>NC_000004.12:73921381-75171381 GCF_000001405.40 Homo sapiens | reverse complement strand
ACTGCCAGTTGTTTAATGATTGTTTAATGAGCCCAGAAAGCAAGCACAACCTGGCTTCAAACTTTCTAAGCCCTAATTAAGGTTGTTGATAAAACTTGCCGATTTTCATACTTAGATAACAAACATGAAGCCACTGTGATTCCTGCCCCATAGGGCTCTGAGTGTGTTAGGGTCAACTCTCTGGTTTTCTTGAGACTATAGGAGGTGACTGGCTTGGGGTTGAGGCAGTAGTCCATGATTTAGGGTAGTTTTCCTCTGTGTATAGATACAGTCATCCTCAGTAGCCATTGGGGATTGGTTTTGGATCCCCCTTGGATACCAGATCCTCAGATGATCAAGTTCTTTATAAAGTGGTGTATTTGTATGTAACCTACACACATCCTCCCATATACTTTAAATCATCTCTAGATTACTTATGCCTAACCCAGTGTAAATGCTATGTAAACAGTTAAACTGTATTGTTTAGCGAATAACAAGAAAAAAGAAAAGTCTGTACATGTTCACATGCAGACATCCTTTTTTTTTTTTTTTTTTTTTTTGTTTTTGAGATCAAGTTTTGCTCTTGTTGCCCAGGCTGGAGTGCAATTGCACGATCTCGGCTCACTGCAACCTCCACCTCCCAGGTTCAAGTGATTCTCCTGCCTCAGCCCCCTGAGTAGCTGGGATTACAGGCATGTGCCACCACGCATGGCTAATTTTGTATTTTTAGTAGAGATGGGGTTTCTCCATGTTGGTCAGGCTGGTCTCGAACTCCCGACCTCAGCTGAACCACCCGACTTGGCCTCCCAAAGTGCTGGGATTACAGGCATGAGCCACTGTGCCCAACCCAGCCATCCTTTTTTTCCTCCAATATTTTAGATCTGGTTGAATCTAATGAAGGCAAAACCCAAAGATATGGAGGGTGGAGTGTGTACAGTTATGCGTGGGAGGTAGCATTGCCAAGAGCTCTGGGATCTTTTCGCTTGACTTTGATTTCCGTTTCCTCCTATCAGCCATATGACCTTGAGTAAAAAATGCATCCTCTCTAAACTTCAGTTTCCTTGCGAATAAAATACAGGTAAAGAGCCCTTACCTCTTAAGATTATTGGATGGGTTACAGGAGCATTCAAAGTCTTTAGCATAGTGTTGGGCACAAAAGTGTGCTAAAAATGATAGCTATTAGTTTTAATATTATAGGAACCAAGGGTTGATTTCATTGGCACTAGATTCTAACCAGCTACATTATCAGTTTGGAAATAAGGCTGTTCTGCATGTGAAGAGTAGATTTTTGCCATCTATTACCCACTCAGCTATTGGCTACAGTGGGTTTGTGGTAATACCAGATAGCTATGTGTCTTCCATGAGCTTTTGCAAAAGTATGATAAATTATCCAAACTTTGGCAAAATCTCTGTACCTAATGCAAGACCTAGGGATAGAAATGAGAATTAGTTAAAACCATTCATAACAATTTTGAAGTTGCTGGCTCATATTGAGGACTAAAGTATCTTGATCCTTCTGAGAAAATTTTGCAAATGTTCTGCTATAATTGTATGTAAATCAGATTTGGCACAGCATATTTCCGTTCCGTAAATGTGTCTAAATAAATTGATCCACCTTGTCTAAAGTGGCGTGGGTATCGCCAATCATTAGTATTCTTCTGCTGCAGGGTAGATTTTTTTTCCCAGCGTGGTGTAATTCTAGGCAGCATGCCATTGTTCCAAATGCATTTATGATTGATTTTCTGCCTAACAACTGACAACTGAACTTTTCAGCAGGAGGTCTGAGCTCAGGCCCCCTTTTTAATACTTGAGAGTGTAACGTGATCCTGATGGATGGTTTTGAAGAACAACTGGGTTTTGTGATGGAAAAGAAAGTGTAGGACTTGGTTCCCAAACACACACTGACTTTTTCCATGTGGATTACATTACTGTAAATTAGAGAAGGGTAGGGGCAGGGAAGAGGCTGTTTGCTTCTATGGGAAAGGTCAGGATTTAGTTCTATGATTGTCTTCTTGCTTATAATTTAGAGAATTCTGCTCCCACTTGGATTTACTGATTTATGAAAGTTCTTTGTGAAAGTGGTTGCATGATCTACTTGATTCCTTGTGTAACTTTAAAACAGGCATTTAAAATTCCATTTTAAAACCTGACTATAACCAGGTATTGACAATCGAAAACTGCTTAGTGGTCAGTTTTGGTGCTTAACGACCAACTTATGTTTTGTTTTATATAGATTAGATTCTAGAGATTTGATTCTAATCTGATTGGCTCCTAAGGATTTCTCCAACAAGCAGTTGGAGTTTGGTATTTGCATCTGAATCATTCCTGAAGGATGGAAACATCTTGGACAAACCTTCAAGTCAATCAAAGGGATTACCAGGATATTGATTCCAAATATCAAATCCTCAGCTGTTAGTAAAAATGTATGAACTATGGTTCCAAATTACCACAGCTGATTGACACTTGACTTTGATATTCACAGAGGCTGTTTTTAAGTGGCAGATGGAATTCCAGTTGGTTCCACTATTTATAAGTTCATTAGAGTCTGAGTTCCACTTAGTGACAAACCTAGGAGAATCTATACAATGGCAAACTCACATTAATTGGTACTAATGAATGTGCATATCAAAGTCTAACATTCCATATGCATGTCTTTGTTCAAGCTGCTTCCTTAAATGGAAGTCTGGATCATTCTTTACATATGTAAATATTTTCTGAATCCACATCAATTTTACTGTGAAGTTCTCCCCAATTACTGTGATCCCCAATGATCTCTTCTATTTCTCACCTCCTAATGCATTTATGGTCTGCACCATTCAACTCAGTTTATAATTGTATTATGTTTCATGTATTTCTCTTACTAATTTGTGTACATTGACTTTTCCTCCCCCATCCACAGATTCTTGAGGGCATGGACGTTATTTCATATCATCCTTATAACCACTTTCTCTCTTGATAGTGTCTAACTCCATGCCAAACATCCAGAAATGTACTAAACATTTTTATACAATTTAAAACATAATTATTGGAAGTTTCTGAAAAATGTCAAAAACTTGAGGGTTTATTTTTAAGCCATTATCAGCAGAGAACTTAATTAAAAATGAACACTTTTGCTGGGTAACATGCATGTTTACATAGGAAAAAGGATGGTACAGATAGGGAAGTAGAGAAGGCTAGAGAATGAATTTCACTTACTTCATATTATTGTCTCCATTTTCCCAGTCTTTTAGAGCCTACATAGTGGCTCGCCATAAGCAGTCACACCCCTAGCAGTAGGTGAATGAAGGTAAGGGGTTAGGGTTTTGAACCTATAAGTTTAGAGGAGAGGTTCCATGAAACTGTACTTAGACCTCTGAAGTGAGGCACTCATGGTACTGCTGGTGCCGGTATCTCTGAGGGATCAAGGTCAGACTTGTCCTGAGGGTACCAAAAAAAGGAACTGGATCCTGGAACCAACAACCTCTGCCAGGGTGAAAAGCTGTGGCTGAGGAATGCTGACCACAACAGCAAGCAAACCTGGAGGAACAAGACCTTCTGCTCTCCTTCCGGCCTTTCTCCAGAGCCTCTGGTTGGTGGACCTCTTAGGGAACAGCTGGCAAATGAAGAAATCGTTTTCAGAGTCCTGGCTACAGTATCATAGAGTAGAGCAGAGCAAAGTGAATTTGGAATTCAGAGTTAGCTTAATAACTAGCACACACAGTTACGGCCTTCCTCTCTCATGAGAGAGTGAGGAGGATGGTAAAGGTAGTAGAAACAAACCTGAAACACAAATAGAAAGCAGACAGGCTCTTCAGCATTTGCCAGAACTGAAAGGCAAAAAGGTGGGAATTGTACTTACATGGTCTTTTGCTGAGAGACCATCCTGGCCACACCAGTCATCAGAGGGAGCTTTGAGCTCTGGGTGATGAAATCAAACTTTAGTATTATCTGAAATTTAGCTATCGAGGAGTCCTATTAATAACTACTCAGAATTGACTCCACCAGGGAAACACTCAAACAGAAGTGTGATTATTCATTCATGATGATTTATCTACTTTATCTAGATCCCGGGCACCTTTATTAGAAGAAAGAACTCATTTTACATGAAAATGAATCTACAGCTTCATCCCTGGGATGCAAGGCTTGTTCAACATATGCAAATCAATATATGTAATCCACCACATAAAAAGAACCAATGACAAAAATCACATGATTATCTCAATAGATGCAGAAAAGGACTTCGACAAAATTCAACAGCGCTTCATTCTAAAAACTCTCAATAAACTAGGTATTGATGGAATACATCTCAAAATAATAAGAGCTATTTATGACAAACCCACAGCCAATATCTTACTGAATGGGCAAAAACTGGAAACATTCTCTTTGAAAACCAGCACAAGACAAGAATGCCCTCTCTCACCACTCCTATTCAACATAGTATTGAAAGTTCTGGCCAGGGCAATCAGTCAAGAGAAAGAAATAAAGGGTATTCAATTAGGAAAACAGGAAGTCAAAAGGTCTCTGTTTGCAAATGACATAATTGTATATTTAGAAAACCCCATCGTCTCAGCCCAAAATCTCTTAAGCTGATAAGCAACTTCAGCAAAGTCTCAGGATACAAAATCAGTGTGCAAAAATCAGAAACATTCCCATACACCAATAACAGGCAAACAGAGAGCCAGATCCTGAGTGAACTCCCATTCACAAGTGCTACAAAAAGAATACAATACCTAAGAATCCAACTTACAAGGAATGTGAAGGACCTTTTCAAGGAGAACTACAAACCACTGCTCAACGAAATAAAAGAGAACACAAACAAATGGAAAAAAAATCCCATGCTTATAGACAGGAAGAATCAATACTGTGAAAATGGCCATACTGCCCAAAGTAATTTATAGATTCAATGCTATCCCCATCAAGCTAACATTGACTTTCTACACAGAATTAGAAAAAGCTACTTTAAATGTCATCTAGAACCAAAAAAGAGCCTGCATAGCCAAGACAATCCTAAGCAAAAAGAACAAAACTGGAGGCATCACGCTACCTGACTTCAAACTATACTACAAGGCTACAGTAACCAAAACAGCATGGCACTGGTACCAATGGATATATAGACCAATGGAACAGAACAGAGGCCTCAAAAAAAACACCACACATCTACAACCATCTGATCTTTGACAAACCTGACAAAAATAAACAATGGGGAAAGGATTCCCTATTTAATAAATGGTGTTAGGAAAACTGGCTAGCCATACGTAGAAAGCTGAAACTGGACCCTTTCCTTTCACCTTATACAAAAATTAACTCAAGATGGATTAAAGACTTAAACATAAGACCTAAAACCATAAAAACCCTAGAAGAAAACCTAGGCAATGCCATTCAGGACATAGGCATGGGCAAAGACTTCATGACTAAAACACCAAAAGCAATGGCAAAAAAAGCCAAAATTGACAAATGGGATCTAATTAAACTAAAGAGCTTCTGCACAGCAAAAGAAACTACCATCAGAGTGAACAGGCAACCTTCAGAATGGGAGAAAATTTTTGCAATCTATCCATCTGACAAAGGGCTAATATCCAGAATCTACAAGGAACTTAAACAAATTTACAAGAAAAAAAGCCCATGAAAAAGTGGGCAAAGGAACAGACACTTCTCAAAAGAAGACATTTATGCAGCCAACAAACATATGAAAAAAAGCTCATCATCACAGGTCATTAGAGAAATGCAAATCAAAACCACAGTGAGATATCATCTCAGCCAGTTAGAATGGTGATCATTAAAAGTCCGGAAACAACAGGTATTGGAGAGGATGTGGAGAAATAGGAATGCCTTTACACAGTTGGTGGGAATGTAAATTAGTTCAACCATTGTGGAAGACAGTGTGGTAATTCCTTAAGGATCTAGAACTAGAAATACTATTTGACTCAGCAATCCCATTACTGGGTATATACCCAAAGGATTATAAATCATTCTACTATAAAGACACATGCACACATATGTTTATTGTGGCACTGTTCACAATAGCAAAGACTTGGAACCAACCCAAATGCCCATCAATGATAGACTGGATAAAGAAAATGTGGCACATATACATCATGGAATACTATGCAGCCATGAAAATGGATGAGTTCATGTTCTTTGCAGGGACATGGATGAAACTGGAAACCATCATTCTTAGCAAACTGACAGAAGAACAGAAAACCAAACACCGCATGTTCTCACTTGTAAGTGGGAGTTGAACAATGAGAACACATGGACATTGTTGGGGGACATCACACACCGGGGCCTGTTGGGGGGTTGGGGGCTGGGAGAGGGACAGTATTAGGAGAAATACCTAATGTAGATGACGGGTTGATGGGTGGTGCAAACCACCATGACACGTGTATATTTATGTAACTAACCTGCACGTTCTGCACATGCACCCCAGAACTTAAAGTAGAATAATAATAAAAAAAGGAAATGAAGTGTAAAGAAAGCATCTACTGTGAATATATATGTAAAATCTATGTAAATATATATGTGAAATCCAACATGCTACTCGAGATTTTTGGTGGGAATTTTGCAGTTAGTGATTTGGGAGCTGCGATTTTTATCACAGGGCCTTGTGCATGGTGAGTACAAAAATTAATGGGGTTTAGTCGTGGTAGCTCACACCTGTAATTCCAGTACTTTGGAAAGCTGAGGCAGGAGGATTGCTTGAGCATAAAAGTTTGAGACCAGCCTGGACAACATGGCAAAACCCCATCTCTACAAAAATTAACAAATTAACCAGGTGTGATGGTGCATGCCTGTGGTCCCAGCTACATGGGAGGCTGAGGCAGAAGAATGGCTTGAACCCAGGAGGTCCAGGCTACAGTGAGCCATTCTTGTGCCAGTGCACTCTAGCCTGGGCAACAGATCAAGGCCTTGTCTCTCAAAAAAAAAAAAAAAATTAATAAATGTTCACAGATGGCTTGGATCTCTACTGAGCACACTGCTGCCACCATAGCTATCTTTCCAGTTAACAAGCTGGAGATAGAGTCACTTTCTGAAGGATTCCTGGTGAAAAATCCCTTAGTAATGAAATTGTACTCCTCTATTGTGAAAAATCACCCTGAATCTCTGTTTTTTAGGGTTGAAATTTTAAGATACTGGCCTTTACTCAATTGAGTGGTTGCCATGTATAAAGCACTGTTTTCAATTCCTTTCATAGATTAGATTATTTAATTTTCACAACTCAAAGAGAAATTTTTTTAAATTATTCTCCATTTTGCAGATAAAAAACTGAAGCAGTAAAGGACCAAGAAACAGTTTTCAGGGTTGTAACATTTTCAAGAACAAGGAAAGAGATAGAGCCAGGACTTGAACTCAGGCAGCTCAACCTTAGGGTCCGCAGTCTCATATATTAGATCACACTGCCCCGTGGAGCTCTTCACTTCACATTTCAGTTCTTACCAAGGAAACAGCTACTTAAAAGACAGAACTTATATTGATGAAGTTTACAGCCACTCTTGGAGGATTGTTTGGTTTGTTCACATTTCAGAATACACTGGCACTCTTCAAGGTTATCTTATATCTAAGAAAAAAGGAGAGGAAGAAGAAATGGAGCAATTGAGCACTTGAATACCTACTATGTAAGCAAGTCCATGTTGGGCATTTTTACACATCCTATAAATTAGATTGCATCAGATCTATTTTTCAGACAAGAGAGTTAGAAGCTCACAGACATTAAGTAACTTGACCAAATCATTGGTTAGTAAGTGACAGAGCTGATATTTGAGTCTATAGATCTTTAACACTCATGCTCTGCCACTATTAACATAATACTTCAGATAATAAAGATCTTAAAGAATAAGTAAGAGGGGAATATTTTGTTTCTATTTAACTTTTCAACTTTGTTTATTATTCATGGCATGAGCCATAACTACAACCCATAACTGTAGCCAGAGCCTTCATCTCTCCTCTTTGATATCTTATTCTAATTGGAATCCACAGAGGTCATCATTCTTTTTTGCTGTACCTATTAACTTTGGTTTCATTTACAACATTGCCCTGTTAGAATTGTGAAGATTATTAACTTGGATTTTCAGATCAGATTTCTTACAACTCTGCTCAAGGCAACCTTATTTTACCAGTGGAACAATGATGTATTTTCAGTGAGTGGTCGTAAATATTGAAGAGTTAGTTCCTAGCTAATTTAAAAGAATAAAGGATAAGGCATCCTTCAGATTTCATTCTGATCTAATTTTGGTTGAGTAAGCTGTTTGCAAAGGTCACAAATGAAAACAGTCATAAAGAGCACCAAGAGGAATATATACAGGTTTGGCTCTCTGTGTGTGTTTGTGTGCATTTTCACATTTGAAAAAAAGTAAATTTAAGCATGAGGGCATTAAAACAACCAGAAATAATAAAATGCTGAGCTCTTTTTTCATAGAGCTATACAGTAATTGTTGATATTCCCATCAATCACCTGAAGCTCTGCAAGGTTTTGAGGCTTTCTGAATTACCAAAGAAGGAATAAATCTCTCTCTGCTTTATTTTATGGTCAGTCATGTTTTCTTATGGTCAAGGCTCTGCAAGTTAGAGATTATACAAGTTTTATAGGTTCAGTAACATTATTAACAAGAATATTTTAAAACCTTGATGACTCTGTCCTACCACTTTTTAAAAAATTAAATAGGGTTTATTAAACCATGAATGATAGAATGTCATCTAACTTTGATGTCTTTACCATATTGCTGTGGGGCAGGTATCATCAATGCCAATTTAAATGTTTCTTCCATCTGACTTTTCCCCCTTTCACTGCTACCTACCTTGTCCAAACACATCTTTGTGCCTGTATATTTCTCTCTCTCTCTGTGTGTGTATGTGTGTGTGTGTGTGTGTATGTATTTTAATACAAACATGCTAGCCCATGCTTTCCTTTGCTATAATTAGAAAAAGGTGCCCCTTCTGGGTGGACAAATTAGATAAAGTTGCTCTTTTCTCCACTTCCTTTCTCAACTGGGCTCCTTTTTGTAAAACCTATTGAACTGTATGCACTTGATTATTAATTGTGAAATATTTATAAGCTCTTAAAATTTATGCCTGAAGTAGTAAATGACCTCATAATTGGTCTCCCTGCCTTCAGCTTTTTGGCATCCCAATGTCTCATACATGCTTCATTAACCTCCATCTTCAAAGAGCTTTGCCATCATGCAATGCCATCAGTGTCTCCCTAACACTGGCAGAATGAAGTGTCAGTGCTCCCCTGATGTTCAGGAACTTCCAGAGTCTGGCTCTGTGACTTCCTTTTGCAGCCTTAACTCCCACTCCTCTTCACTGTGGGCCCTCCGCTCCTGTCAGACTGGCTTATTCAGCATTTTCTAAGCAGGTCTTGTCATTCCTGCCCCTAAAATGGCATCCCATCTATCTGAAATGCATCTCTGCATTTCCTACGTCTATAGATCTGTGAGCAGTGTGCCACGGCATTCTAGCACCAACTTTCCATCAATGTACAACCATCATTTTTATTTCCAGTAAGTATACATGTGATTTTGACCATAATGAAAGTTTCTGCTAACACACAGTACATCACTTAAGTCAACATCAACAAAAGGGGACAGATTTGGCAGAATGTTCAAGAACCTTATGAGAACCTGGTCAAGACAGTAACAAGTCTCCTCTGGCAGCAGTATCACACTGAGGTGTGAGTGAGGAATTAGGTGATAACTGTACAAGGTTTATGTTTTCCTTTTCTGAAACTTGCTTTAAATAACAAATAGTGTTTACTTTTTAAGCCCTTCAAGTTTGTTGGTGAAAAACTCCAATATTAGAAAGGGCATCATGAACAAAAAAGAGGTTCACCACTTCTAATATCCAAAACCTTTATATCTGGGTCAGGCTCGGTGTTTGCTCCTGTAATCCCAGTGCTTTGGGAGGTTGAGGCAGGATGTATGCTGTGGCAACATAGCAAGACCCTGTCTCTACAAAAAATACAAAAATTAGCTAGGTGTGGTAAATGCCTGTAGTTCAGCTACTTGGGAGGCTGGAATGATAGGATCGTTTGAGCCCCAAAATTTGAGGCTGCAGTGAGTTATGATCATGCCACTGCTCTCCAGCCTGGGCAATAGAGCAAGACTCTTTCTAATAATAATAATAATAAAAAACTTTTGTATCCTTAAAGGACCAGATGAAAGCTTGCCCTGATTTCCTTTGCCTATGACAATATCTCCCTCCCCTAAGCACTGATACCACGAATCCTCTGCATCACTCTGGAGTAGACAATGTCACTGCTCTGCCCATGTCTCTCGACATAGCTCGGGATTCACTTCCGTTGCACTTCCTGCAAATTTTTGTCTGAGGCTGTCCTCCCAGCTGGGTGCCTCTCTGGTCCATACACAGGGTTGGGTTGGAAGTGTATGGGGATTAATGTCCCAGGAGCTACCTGCAACATATGGGGCATAGGAGTTGATAAATAGTGAACTCGTTTATCATGCAATGGGATAATCTTCAGGTGTGTTCCACTTCCTCTCAGAGGGTCTCCAGTAGATTGAGCTCATTACTCATTTTAGAGACTTGCTCAATAACACACCTATTGGCTTTCCTCCCTTTCCCATCTTGCTATTCCACTTCATCTTAGCACATTCTGGAATCATCTAAATAAGCTATTTGCACCAAGATTCTGGTCTTTGATACTCTCATTAGTATTATACTCAGTTCCTTGTTACTTTTTTTCTTATGTTTTTTGTCTCCTTGAGGATTATTCCAATCCCACCTCTACAACATTCACTCTTAATATAGCACCAGGGACACAGTAGTTGATTAAGGCAGATTTGTTGATCAAATAAATGCTGTGGAATGAAGAAAATCCCGGTGGAATTTTCTGGGAATTGATTCCATTGGGATTTTGAATAAAAGTGGAATTTTATTTCTAAAGTATAGCAAAAATATCAAATGATTTGATAGATTCTTTTTTTATCATACCTGACTGCAACCTCCACAGCTTATTTTCCATATCACTTTGATTCAAGTGATGTTATTAACTCTTTTCCTTTTTATGTATTCCATCCTGCCTCCTGCCTCAGGCAGAAATCAGCACCAGAATTAATGGGGCCAGTGCATGGTGGGGGGACTCTAGGTGTCCTCAGCCCTGTGGGCTGTAGCCTGACAGTCTAGAGAACCCTCAGACAGGGAGCCAGCACTTTTGTCTTCCAGAATATCATCATGCACATTACATCACTGGTTCCTGGCAGCATCTAGAAAATCTAATTAGAAACTTATCCAAGGCAGGTATTTTTCCACTGAATTTCAAGTCCATCTCTTTTGTGATAGCAGAGATTTGACTGCGAGAGGTTTAGGGAGGACAAGTTGCTGGGTTGCCCTTTCATAGTGCAGAGGAGTGCAATTGAGGAAGAAAAAAAAAACTACCTTGGAGCTGTGCTTCGTTAGTTCTCTTATGAATATTAGATCTTTGGGTGATTGTAAAATTTGCATTTACTTACTTTGTATTCCTTTTATGAACCCTGATAAGGGAGTGAAATATATAAGATTTTGTTATTACTCTTTGGGTAAGGCAATGCCAGTCAGTCCCATCAGTCTTCCAGAGGCAATCTAAATGATGAATGTTTATTTTCAATATGGCATTTTGGTTTGTCTTGGGTTCATTACAGTGTCATGTAGGCATTCCACCATTTTTAGTGTGCTTATTGGTCAGAGTTCTCAAGTTTGAAATTGTGCAAAGAACAGTTCTCACCTGAGGTAGACTTTTCTTTCCACACCCCCACTCTCCTCTTCTCTCTCTCTCTCTCAATCCATTCATCTTCTTTTAGGATCAGTTTCTCTTACAGGAGGGTGGATATCTTACTCATAGGAGTAAAACTTGAAATGTTTTCTTAATATATTTTTGATGAGATCATTTCAAGTATCCAGCACAATGGTATCTATAATATAGAAGGCTCTCAACAAATAACTGCTGAATAAATTAATCACATGGGGAATGGATCCTTGCAACTAAGTGCTCAGACACTTACATTTACATAACTGTGTCTTTCAAGTACACCTATCTTTTGGATGCTATAATGTTACAATTGCATTTACTAGCAAAGATTGAGATGGTTACATTTGAGTTTGGAAATCCGAGACTGCAGATCTGAGTTTATAATCAGATATGAAGGACCTAGAGGAACTGCTTGCTTTCAGATATGCCTTAAGAAAAAAATTATACATTAGATAGAAATCAGGAAAGCGGTGTTTTAGTCCTGGTTCTGCCACTAAAAGTCAATGATTGCCTATGCTTCAGGGAGCTTATTTTCCTCATTTATTAAATGTTGTGTCAACAACCTGTACTGTACTGTTTTCCCTCAAAGGATCAAGGACTTCATGATCTTCTCTAAAGAACAAGAGACTGGCTCATGTCCATAATCCCAGCACTTTGGGAGGCCAAGGTGGGCAGATCACGAGGTCAGGAGATTGAGACCATCCTGGCTAACATGGTGAAACCCCGTCTCTACTAAAAATATAAAAAATTAGCCGGGTGTGGTGGCGGGTGCCTGTAGTCACAGCTACTCAGGAGGCTGAGGCAGGAGAATGGCATGAACCCAGGAGGCAGAGCTTGCAGTGAGCTGAGATCGCAGCACTGCACTCCAGCCTGGGCGACAGAGCAAGACTCAATCTCAAAAAAAAAAAAAAAAAGAACAAGAGACATACTTTTGAAATCCTCTTCATGAGAAATGTCCAATATTGTTTAAACAAAAGGAAGTTATTAATATGTGGTTGCCAGGGAAGCTCTGAGTTGTTCTTCCACTTGACCTGCAGGCCTTTCCAGTCATCTGCATTAGAAGAATGTGGTTTCTATTCTTGCACTCTTTGCTAATTATATTCAGAAGCCGAGAAAGACAGAAGAGTAGAAATTCTGTTTCCTGAAATATTTCTTGAGGGGAAAGAGGAAATTGACTTGTTCTGATGTTCTGTTGTCAGAGAAACATTACTTAATGTCTTTATCACACACCTGATTACTCTTTTTTTTTTTCAGCTCCATAGTTCTGTTTCAGATACTCAAAATGCAATTTCCAGATGGTTGCCTTCTGTAAGGTATGATGCTTCTTTCCATAAGTAATCTTTACTTCCTTTCCTCCCACATTCAATATGTTTCTTATATACTTGGCCTGTAAATTGTTTTCTTTTACATTTCAAATATAATAGCTGATGGTTTTGATTTGTGCTTTCACTAGTAACTGACACTTGTGAAGGATGCTTTATTTCTGTAACCCAAGTGCTGCCACTTTCTTGGTAGAAATCTGCTTCAAAAGATCAACAGGGGTTAATTTCATTAGTCAATGTTAGGTCAGTGCCAATGATAAATCCAGTACAATTTTTCTCAGATTTTATTCAATTATGACTCCACTGCATCCCTTGATCCATCCCTTTTTGTATAAATTGGGTTGAGGGAGAGACAACTATCGCTACTGCTCCATGCCAGAAAATGGGTACATTTCCTTCCATTGACTGATGCTACTCATAGCTCTGAAGCCAGCATATTTAATGTTTTCTTGAAGAATTAAAGGAAGGAATTTGCTCAACATGGTAGGTGATGTTTACTGTAGTCTTCCAAAGAGCACCTGTCACTGAAATGAAGGTAGGAATTGGAATTAAGTGTAACTGGTCTCACATTATGAGGCTGTTTCCAAGCAATCTTATGCTCTCAAACTCTGATTTTTTTCACAGAAAAATTCCATAGACCCACAGTCCACCACTGTCACAATAATAGCCATCTCTGCCAATACCACAACTTCTACCATTTCAATTTGTCTGCTGTCACCTTTGACATAATATAATTACCAACCACTCATCACCTTACAATCCTAACATCACTTTAAGTATTTTTTGGAATATTATGACTAAAATTTTATAATGAAACTATTTAAAATAATAACATATATTAAATGATTGTGATGTATCATACTGTTTTGTGTATATATTAACTCATTTAATCATTACAACTATTTTATGAACTAAGTAATACTATTAACTATATTTTACATATATAAAAATTGAGGGGAAGTGATATCACTAAGATGTCAGAATAGAAGGTAACCTGCTCATATTCCCCCACAACAAGAATGCTGCACCCATCCACACTGAAAAGTCTCTCTGTGGGAGCCTTAGGGTTCAGGTCTGCGAAACCCCAGTGGAGCCAAAACCTAAAAGGGTTATTTTGAGAGTGCAAACAGACACTCAGGTGGCTGATCTACCCTCCAAACTTGCTTCTGGGTTCAAGCCTGGAAATGGCCAAGTCTCCCAAGGGGCTTGGCTACTCCTCCCAGTGCATTGGTGGAAAGGCTTGTCTGCCTGCTAACATTGGTCTTGAAGTGTACCTGAAAGTTCCCCTACTGTGCTGCTCCAGCATTCCTCAGTTAATGTCCCAGCTCATAACTGTTTGCACAAAGACCCAGAGAGAGATGTGCACAAATCTCACAGTCTGGCAGCCTGAGCCTCCCTCATGGGCTTGCAAAACTCCATCCCACAGCAATCCTGAGGAAGTCCAGTCTCAGCTATGGTCCCTCTCACTGCAGTTGGGGATCTATCCCATCTGTACTGAGAACTGCTGGAGATACATACCTGTCTGGGCCAATGAGATGGGCTCTTCAGCCTCTGTCCCACAGCAGATTCTGAAAGTGAGAAGTTCAGCTCTAGCCCCTTCTGCTGCACTCATTATCCCATGTATACAGTATCTTCCTGGGTGACAGACACACCTCTGAGCCAACAGAACCAGCATATCAAGACTTCATCACACAGGAGATCCTGAGAGCACCCAGTCTCAGCTCCAGATCCTCTTGCTGCAGTCAGGGAACTATTTCAGATGTGTAAGGTCCTCCTGGGGGAAGCATGTCCTCTGAGTCAACAAGACTGGCTCTCCAGCTTCTGTTCCAGAGTAGATCCTGAGAGGGCCTAGTCTTAGCTCCAGCCCCTCCTCTTGCAGTTGAAGAACTACCCTACTTGTGCAAGAATTTGATGGGTCATGCACACCCATCTGAGCTAATGAGATAGGCCCATCAGCTTTCTTCTCACAGAAAATTCCAAAGGCACCCAGTCTCAACTCAATCTCCTGTCAATGTAGTTGGGGACTCATTCCACCTATACAAAGATCTACTGAGGGGCATGCCCATCTGGGCTACTGGGACACTTTTCTGGACTCAGTTCCCTTGTCAGCATTCCCACACAACCCCGGTATACTCCTTGGGCCTCCTCCAGGTCTATCTGGGCTGGAAAGCCATGTTAGCCTCAGAGCCCTTGCAGAAAGCCTGGACGTAGAACATCCTCTAGTGCTGAGATGATTGCAGTGGTCACAGGCTCTGGGAACTTAATAGCCAATTGGCTTAGAATCCTTGGAAGGCCTTCTGAAGGACAGGCTCAAACAAAGCCAGACTGTGAAGACTAAAGTATGTACTTAATCCCTCAATATGCAGGCATTATCACACTTCTACAAGCATCAAGAATATTCAGGAAAATATGACCTCACCAAATGGATAAGATAAGACACCAGAGACTGACTATAAAAAGGTGGAGATGTATGATCTCTCAAAGAATTCAAAAGAGCTGCTTTAAAGAAACTCAATGAACTTCATTAAAACACAGAGAATCAATTCATAAATCTTTCAGGGAAATTTAACAGAGAGATTAAAATAATTTTAAAGAAAATCAAACAGAAATCCTGGACCCAAAATATACAATGAATGAAATGAAAAATGCCACAGAAGGCACCAACAGCAGAATTCAGCAGGCAGGAGAAAGAATCAGTGAATTCAAAGATTAGTGAATTCAAAGACAGAATATTTGAAATTACACAGACAGTGGGGGAAAAAAGAATGAAAAGAAATGACAAATTTTATGGGATCTATGTGGCAACAAGAAAAGAGAAAGTATTCAGGTTATTGGAGTGAAATAGAGAATTGAGAAGACAAAAGGGTAGAAAGATTACTCAGAGAAATAAAAACAGAAAATGTTCCAAACCTGGAAAAAATGTAAATATTTAGGTATAGGAAGGTAAATGTCTCCAATCAGATTCAACCTAAATGAGAATACTCCAAGACATATTATAATTAAACTTGCAAAAGTTAAATACAAAAAAGGAATCTGAAAGCAGTGAGATAAAAGAAGCCAGTAACTTATAAGGGAGATCCAATATATCTTATAGATAGCAGATTTCTGAACAGAAACTTTAAAGGCCCAGAGTGAGTGGGACAATATATTCAAAGTGCTGAAGTAAAAACATTGCCAACCAAGAATGCTGTACCCAGCAAACTTATCTTTCAAAATAAAGGAGAAATAGACTTTCCCAGACAAACAAAAGCAGAAGGAATTTATTGCTACCAGATATGTCCTATAAGAAATGCTAAAGGAAATTCTTCAAACTGAAAGAAAAGAATGCTAACATAATTGTTATACTAATTTTATAATTGTAGTGTTGAAACATCTTATATATTTAGTAAGAAGATGACAAAACTATTAAAAATGATAACTACTCTGTCAAGAGATTGGCAGTATAAAAATTAAATTGTGACATCAAAAATTCAAAATGTGGGGGAGGGGGAGTTAATCTCTACAGGTTTTATTTTGGCTCTTTTCTTTTTTGTGTGTGACAGAAGTTAAGCTGGTATCAGTTTTGAGTGTTTATTATAATTAAAGAATATTCTGGTAAGCCTCATGGTAGCACAAAGCAAAAACCTATAACAGATATACTAAAAATAAAAAGCAATGAATTAAAAAATATTATCAGATAAAATCACTTCACACGGAGAAAAACATTAAGAAAGAAAGACAGTAGTTGTAAAACAACAAGTAAATAAGTAACAAAATGGCAGTAGTAAGACCTTATTTATCAATCATAACATTGAATGTAAATGTACTCAATTCACCAATTAAAAGACATAGAATGGCTAAATGGATAAAAAGCAGGACCCAATTATATGCTAACTACATGAAACTCATTTCACCTATAAAGACACACATTAACTGAAAGAAATGGGAAAAAGATATTCCATGAAAATGGAAACCAAAAAAGAGCAGGAGTAGCTATATTTATATCACAAAAAGTAGACTTAACTGAAAACTTTAAAAAGAGACAAATGAGAAAGGTGTCAATTCAGCAAAAGGATATAACAATAGTAAATATATAAACACCCAACACCAGAGCACCCAAATATGTAAAGCTCATATGAAGAGATCTAAAGGGAAAGAGATGCAATACAATAATAGTAGGAGACATCAACACCTCACTTTTGTAAAGCACAGATCATACAGGGAGTAAATAAGAAATAAACATTGGAATTAAGCTATAGACTAAATAGACCTGACAGACATTTACAGAACATTTTATGCAAGTACTGTAAAATACATATTTTTCTTATGAGCACATGGAACACTCTCCAGGATAGAACATATTTTGAGACACAAAACAAGTTTCAACAAATTCAAAAGAGTCAAAATTGTATCAAGCATCTTTCTGACCACAATGGAATAAAACTACAAATCAATACCAGTAGATACTTTAGAAACGGTACAAATATATGGAAATTAAACAACATGCTCCTGAATGACCAATGAGTCAATGAAAAAATTAAAAAGAAATTAAAACATTTATTGAAAGAAATGAAAATGGAAACACAAATGGAACACAGCAACAGTGGCACTAATAGGAAATTTTGTAGCCATAATGGCCTACATCAAAAAATAGACTCCACATAAATGTTCTAATCATGCACCTCAAGAAACTAGAAAGGCAGGAACAAACCAAACCCTAAATTGTAGAAGAAAATAAATAATAAAGATCAGAGTAGAAATAAATGAAATTGAGCCTCAAAAAACACAGAAGGGCAACAAAGTGAAAACTGTTTTTTTAAAGCGATAAAATGAACAAACTCACAGATAGACTAAGAGAAAACAGATTAGACAGAAATAAAATAAGATATGAAAAAGAAAACATTAGAACTAATTAGAACCACAGAAATGCAAAGGACCACTACAGACTATTATGAATAACTATATGCCAACAAATTGGAAAACCTAGAAGAAATGAATAAATTCTTGAACATGTACAACCTACCAAGATTGAACCATGAATAAAGAGAAAACCTAAACAGACCAATAATGAGTAATGAGATTGAAGCAACAAGAAAAAGTCTCTCATCAAAGAAAAGCCTAGGACCTGATGGTTTCACTGTTGAATTCTACCAGACATTTAAAGAAGAGCTAATACCAATTCTACTCAAACTATTTCAGAAAGTTGATGGGTACAGAATACTTCCAAACTCATTATACAAGGCTAGAATGACCCTGATACCAAAACCAAAGACACAACAAAAAAAGAAGACTATAGGCCAATATTCCTGAAGAATATAGATGCAAAAGTCCTCAAAAAATACTAGCAAAGCAAATTCAATAATACATTAAAAAGATTACTCACCATGATCAAGTGGGATTTATTGTAGGGGTATAAGGATGATTTAGCATATGAAAATCAACAAGCATACTATACCATATAAGTAGAATCAAGGACAAAAACAATATAATCATTTTAATAGATGGCAAAAAAGCATTTGATAAAATTTTGTATTTCTTTATAATTAGAAACCTTCAAAAAGTTGGTTACAGAAGGAGCATAGCTCAACATGATAAAGGTCATAAATGACAAGCCCATAGCTAATATCACACTGAACAGGGAAAAATTGAAAGCCTTTTCTCTAAAACCTAGAACAAGGCAAAGATGCCCACATTCACCACTTCTATTTAACATGGCCCTGGAAGTCCTAGCAGAAGAATTATGCAAGAGAAAGAAACAAAAGACATCCAAATTGGGAAGGAAGAAGTAAAAATATCCATGTTTGCAGATGACAAGATCTTATATTTAGAAAATAACTAAACACCAAAAAAAAAAAAACCATGTTAGAACTGATAAATTTAGTGAAGTTGTAGAATACAAAATCAACATACAAAAAACAGTAGTGTTTCTATATACTAACAGCAATCAATCTAAAAAATAATAAAAATAATCAAGAAAGCAATCCCATTTATAATAACTGCAAAAATAAGATACCTAGCAATAAATCTATCTAAATAAGTGAAAGATCTATACAAGGAAAACTAAAAACACTATGAAATAAATTGCAGGGGACACAAAAAAATGGAAGGATAGCCAATGTTCATGAACTGAAAGAATTAATACTGTCAAAATGTCTACACTTTTCAAAGTTATCTACAGATTCAATTCAATACATCAATGACATTCTTGTCAGAAATAGAAAAAACTTTTAAAATTTATATCGAACCACAAAAGACCCTGAGTAGCTAAAGCATTACTAAGCAAAAAGGACAAAGCTAGAGACTTAATACTACCTGATTTCAGATGAATGTACCAAAAACAGCATGGTACTGGCATAACACACACCAGTAGAACACAACAGACAACCCAGAAATAAATGTACTCACTTACAGCCAACTCATGTTCCACAAGTTATCAAAAACACAAATTGGAGAAAGGAGAGTATCTCGAATAAACGGTGCTGGGAAAACCGAATATATGTGCGCAGAAAAATGAAACTAGATTCCTATCTTTCACCATATAAAAAATAAACTCAAAATGGATTACATACTTAAATATAAGACCTGAAACTATAAGAACACTAGAAGAAAACACTGGGCAAACACTACAGGACATTTATTGTGGCAAATATATTTTTGGGTAAGTCTCCAAAAGCACAGACAGCAAAAACAGAAATAGACATATAGGATTACATCAAGCTAAAAAGCTTCTGCACACCAAATAGAACAGTTAACAAAATGAAGCGATAACCTACAGAATGGGAGAAAACATTTGCAAACCATCTGTCTGACAAGGAATTAATAACCAGAATACATAAGAAACTCAGACAACTCAATAGCAAAAAAAGAAGTCTGATTTGAAAATGGGCCAAAGACTCGAATAGACATTTATCAAAAGGAGACATAAAAATGGCCAACAAGTATATGAGAAAAATGCCCAATATTACTAATCATCAGGGAAACACAAATCAAAATCACAATGAGCTATCACCTCACACCAGTTAGAAAGGCTACTATTAAAAACACCAAACAAAACAAAACAAAATAAAAATGCTGGTGAGGATATAGGGGCACTCTTACTTTCTTGATGGGAATGTAAACGAGTACAGTCTTTATGGAAAACAGAATGGAGATTCCTAAAAAACTAAAAATAGAACTACCATATGATCCAGCAATTCTTTACTTATCTAAAAGTATGAAAATCACTATATCAAAGAGGTATCTGTACTCCCATGTTTACCACATAATTATTCACAATAGCCAAGATAGGGAATCAACCTAAGTGTCCATCAACGGATAAACGGAAAAGAAAATGTTATATATATACATAATGAAACATTATTCAGCCATAAAAAAGAATGAAGTCCTGTCATTTGAGCAACATAGGTGGTGCTCAAGGTCATTATGTTAAATAAAATAAACCAGGCAAAGACTTATACAGAAAGACAAATATTGCATGTTCTCATTCATATGTGGGAGCTAAAAAGTAAATCTCATGGAGGTAGAGAGAAGAATGGTGGTTACCAGAGGCTGGGAAGGAAAGAAGGAGAGGGACATAAAGAGTTGTTGGTTAATGGGTACAAAAATACAGTTAAATAGAATGAATATGTTCCAGTATTTGGTAGTACCGTAGGGAAATTATACTTAACAATAATTCATTGTGTATTTCAAAATAGCTAGAAGAGAAGAATTGTAATGTCTCCAACAGAAAGAAAAGATAAATTCTTGAAGTGATGAATATCTCAATTACCCTGACTTGACCAATACATATTGTATATATCTATCAAAATATCACATGTACACCCAAAATATGTACAACTATGATATATCAATAAAATAAAAAAATTGAGGTCCATGAAATTAAGTAGCTTACCCATAGTCACACAGCTAGTAAGTGGCAGAACCTAGATTGTAACTTAGACTAAGAATCTCAATTTTTAGCCACTATGCTAGAAGAAAATTTTCACTGGGAATACTTCAATTTGAAATGTAAACGAGTTTGTCAAACACAAACACATACAAAAGTACTGCTTTAGACAACAACTAGTAAACTTGTAAAATTTATTTCCCTTTGAATTTGCCAGTTCAATGTAAATTGCCTGGTCCTTCAGGGTACCATTCCACCCTATAGTGACTCAGGAACCCAAGCTCTGTCCAGGGTTACTGATGCAAGAGAGACAGGGTGTGGAAAGCTCATATGCTTTTAAGTACCTCAAATGGAAACTGATACACTTCACATCTGTCCACATATGTTCATAGCCACTAGCCAGAATCGGGTACAAGATCTTAAGCTAACAACAAGGAGCCTGAGAACTATAGGGATGGCAAGCACATGCAATATTTGAGAGCCCTACTGATATGGTTTGGCTCTGTGTCCCTATTCAAATCTCATCTTGAATTGTACTCCCATAATTTCCATGTGTTGTGAGAGGGATCCAGTGGGAAATAATTTGAATCATGGGGGCAGGGTCCCTCATACTGTTCTCATGGTAGTGAATAACTCTCATGAGATCTGATGGTTTTATCAGGGTTTTTTTTTTTTTCTTTTGCATCCTTCTCATTTTCTCTTGCTGCCAGCATGTAAGAAGTGTCTTTAGCCTCTCACCATGATTCTGAGGCCTCCCTAGCCATGTGGAACTGTAAGTCCAATTAAATCTCTTTTTCTTCCCAGTCTCAGGTCTCTCTTTATCAGCAGCATGAAAATAGACTAATACAGTAAATTGGTGCCAGTAGAGTGGGGCGCTGCTGAAAAGATACCTGAAAATGTGAAAGCGACTTTGGAACTGGGTAACAATCTGAGGTTGGAACAGTTTGGAGGGCTCAGAAGAAGACAGGAAAATGTGGGAAAGTTTGGAACTTCCTAGGGACTTGTTGAATGGCTTTGACCAAAAGCCTGACAGCGATATAGACAACAAGGTCCAGGCTGAGGTGGTCTCAGCTGGAGATGAGGAACTTGTTGGAAACTAGCATAAAGGTGACTCTTGTTATGTTTTAGCAAATAGACTGGCAGCATTTTGCCCTGCCCTAGAGATTTGTGGAACTTTGAACTTGAGAGAGATGATTTAGGGTATCTGGCAGAAGACATTTCTAAGCAGCAAAGCATTCAAGAGATGACTTGGGTGCTGTTAAAAGCATTCAGTTTTAAAAAGGTAGAAGAGCATAAAAGTTTACAAAATTTGCAACCTGACAATGTGATAGAAAAGAACAATCCTTTTTCTGAGAAGAAATTCAAGCCAGCTGCAGAAATTTGCATAAGTAACGAGGAGCTGAATATTAATCCCCAAGACAATGGGGAAAATGTCTCCAGGGAATGTCAGAGGTCTTCACGGCAGCCCCTCCCATCACAGACCTGGAGGCCTAGGAGAAAATGTTCTGTGGGCTGGTCCCAGGGTCCCCGTGCTGTGTGCAGTCTAGTGACTTGGTGCCCTGCAACCCACCCACTCTGGCCATGACTAAAAGGGGCCAAGGTACAGCTCAGGCTGCTGCTTCAGAGGGTGGAAGCCCCAAGCCTTGGCAGCTTCCATGTGGGGTTGAGACTGTGGGCACACAGAAGTCAAGAATTGAGGTTTGGGAACTTCCACTTAGATTTCAGAAGATGAATGGAAACACCTGGATGCCCAGGCAAATGTTTGCTGCAGGGGTGGGGCCCTCATGGAGAACCTCTGTTAGTGTGGAAGGGAAATGTGGGGTTGGAGCCCCCACACAGAGTCCCTACTGGGGCATTGCCTAGTGGGGCTGTGACAAGAGGACCACTGTCCTCCAGACCCCAGAATGGTAGATCCACTGACAGATTGCACCATGTGCCTGGAAAAGCCACAGATACTCAATGCCAGCCAATGAAAGCAGCCAGGAGGGAGGCTGTACCCTGCAAAGCCACAGGGGTGAAGCTGCCCAAGACCATAGGAACCCACCTCTTGCATCAGCATTACCTGGATGTGAGACCTGGAGTCAAAGGAGATCATTTTGGAGCTTTAAAATTTGACTGCCCAACTGGATTTTGAACTTGCATGGGCCCTGTAGCCCCTCTGTTTTGGTCAATTTCTCTCCTTTGGAATGGCTGTATTTACCAAATACCTGTACCCCCATTGTGTCTAGGAAGTAACTAGCTTGCTTTTGATTTTTCAGGCTTGTAGGCAGAAGGGACTTGCCTTGTCTCAGATGAGATTTTGGACTATGGGCTTTGGGGTTAATGCTGAAATAAGTTAAGACTTTGGGGGACTGTTGGGAAGGCATGATTGGTTTTAAAATGTAAGAACATAAGATTTGGAGGGGTCAGGGGCAGAATGATATGGTTTGGCTCTGTGTCCCACCCAAATCTCATCTTGAATTGTATTCCCCTAATTCCCATGTGTTGTGGGAGGGACCCAGTGGGAGATAATTTGACTCATGGGGGTGGTTTCCCCCATACTATTCTTGTGGTAGTGAATAAGTCACACAAGATCTGATGATTTTATCAGGGGTTTTCACTTTTGCATTCTTCTCATTTTTGCTTGCTGCTACAATGTGAGAAGTGCCTTTCACCTCCCGCCCTGACTCTGAGGCCTCCCCAGCCATATGGAACTGTAAGTCCAATTAAACCTCTTTTTCTTCCCAGTGTTGGGTATGTCTTTATCAGCAGCATGAAAATGGACTAATACACCTACCATCTCTGTTGTATTGCCTGGAAAGCATAAAGCATAATCCTTTCAAATAAATTAATTCAATCATAAATTAGTGTATCCACAACTACAATACCAGGGGACCCTGGACAATCCTGCCTCAGGAATCCAAGTCTCTTGCTGACTTGTGAGAATCCCTCTTTTGATGGAAAAATGTATGAACTTGGTAAACTCTCATGGGATAGCATAGTCCCCCAAGGCTTGAGCTGCTGAATTCCTAAGTTATTTAACAATAAAGGCGAGGAAAGAAGGCATAAAATCTTCTTCAAAATCTTTATATCTTGTTCCATGTCATGTCACTTACTGGCCTTTAATTTTTTTAGATATTCAAGAATACAGGAAGTACCACCTCTTGGGCTCTACATAAGAAAAGAAGTGTTATAATTGGGCATCGTCATTGTAATTTGTGTTAGGTATAAAAAAGGGAGACATGTCATTACCTAACTTGCAGGGAAGAAGAAACCAGGGATGTCCATAGGATTTGCTAAAGGATAAGCCTTTCTTTTTCCAACATTCTTGATATGATAGAGTTGCTTTCACTATTCAGCCTTTGGAAGTAGTTTAAGAAAGGAAATTTCACCAGCAGACGGCTGAAAAACTACAACTGGTGATATTTGATTATTATTTGATATTACTTTGAATAAAGAATAAAAAGGATTATATTGTAAACCTCTCTGGCTAATATTTGTCTCTTACAGTTCTAAGTCTTTTATTCACTGTCTTACAGTAGGGATTAGCAAGGGTAAAGGAAGTTATTATAATTTGGGGGTACATAAAGGGCACTGAACATTTTCCAGTGTATATTCTCAGTCTTTGTAGACAATATCATGGAAAACAGAGTTACTGTTCTCATACATTCCATCTCAGGGTCTGACTGCATGCATTTTTGGCCTGTCTTTTGCAGCTTCTCCTACATTCATATATCCTACACTTGGTCATAAGTGCTGGCTAAAAGAAGAAGGAGTGTGCCTCCATGCTTTGCCTAGGGCTGGAGCCACTTATTTTTGTTCAAATGCAGCAACTTTAAACATTGGCTTTCTTCCAAGAAAAGATATAACATGATCTCAGACTAAAAGTGTCCTGCTATCTCTCAAACAGAAATGTCCCTAGTCCCACCATGTGTAGATTTTCTGCCATAGTTGCCACCTTTCAAAATTTCTTGTCTGGAGATGGAGGTTTTGAATGCACAGTTTCTCATTATCTCTGTTTCTTGTGATGTTCTCCATTTGGTAAGCTGGATAGACCACAAAACTACTTTCTGCACTGTGAACACATCTCAGGGCACAAACTATTTTCAGAAAGATAAGTCACACGTGCATGGTCCTGTGCTTAAAGTGCCTTGCTATCTTTATCTTAAGGCTGTTCTCTCTAGCCATCACACTTTACATAGTCTTCTTTAGCTATTCCATAATAACTTTATTTTCTATTTTACCATCAATCCCTTCTTATAGAATTATACAAAGAAGTCTCCAGTCCTCTGTCTTGTTTATTCTTGGCCCATCAAGTCAAATTTATTCTCAGAAAAGTGTTCTAACTGCATCAAACTCTTTCCTTTGCAGAATCTGATCTCTCTCTCTCTCTTTCATACACACACACACACACACACACGCACACATGCACACATGCTGTAAGAATTTCAGGAGAATTGAAACAGCTATGTATCTGGGAAAGAGGGCCTACCTGTAAGTGGGAAACTATACAAATATTAAGTATTATTATCTGGAAATGAATGGCTTAAGCTTGAAAGTAAGACCACATGAACTGAAACAGACATTCTTCCTTATGTCCAGTGAAGTTGAAAGAGAAATAGTTTTAATCCATTTCCAGAATAGGAGCATGGGAGGAACTGGTGATGGAAATTTGGAATATCCAAAGACCTGAGCTAAAAATAAAAAGCCTAATTAAGATTGACAAAATAACAAACTAGTAAAGGCCTGATTTAAAAGGCCTATCAAGCTAGTTTAACAGGACTGCTGATATGATTTGGATGTTGATATTTGTCCCATCCAAATCTGATATTGAAGTGTACTCTCCAGTGTTGGAATTGGGACATGGTAGGAGGTGAATCATAGGGGCAGATTCTTTATGAATGGTGCAGTGCCATTCCCTTGGTGATAAGCAAGTTCTCGTTTTGAGTTCACATGAGATCTGGTTGTTTAAAAGTGTGTGGCATCTCCTCCTCTCTTGCTCCCACTCTCATCATGTGATGCACCTGCTCCCTCTTTGTCTTCCAATATGATTGTAAGCTTCCTGGGGCACTTACCAGAAACAGATGCTGGCACCACACTTCCTGTACACCCTGCAGAACTGTGAGTCAATTAAACCTCTTTTCTTTATGAATTATCCAGTCTCAGGTATTCCTTTAGAGTAACAAAAACGGCCTAATAAAAAAAATTGGTACTGAGGAGTGGGGCGTTGCTATAAGGATACTTGAAAATGTGAAAGCAACTTTGGAACTGGATAATGGAAGAGGTTGGAAGAGTTTGGAGGTCTCAGAAAAAGACGGGAAGATGACAGAAAGTTTGGAACTTCTTAGAGAGTTTTTAAGTGGTTGTGACTAAAATGCTGACAGAAATATGGGTAGGGAAAGCCGAGCTGATGAGGTCTCAGATGGAAATCAGGAACTTATTGAGAACTACAGTAAAGGTAATCCATGTAATACCCTAGCAAAGAACTTGGCTGCAATGTGTTCATGTCCCAGGGATCTGTGGAAGTTTGAACTTAGGAGTGATAACTTAGGGTACCTGGTGGAATAAATTTCTAAGCAGCAAAGCATTCAAAATATGGTGTGGCTGCTTCTAAAAGCCTATGATCAGATACAGGACAAAGAAATTACTTAAAGCTGGAACTTATATTTAAAAGGAAAGCAGATCATGAAAGTTTGGAAAATTTTCTCTCTGGCCATTTGGCAGAGAAAGAAAAAGCACTTTCAGAAGAAGAATACAAGCAGGCTTTGGAGAAAACACTTGCTAGAGAGATTAGCATGACTAAAAGGGAGCCAAATGCTAATATCCTAGACCATGAAGAGGTCTTGAAGGCATTTCAGGGATCTTTGGGGCAGTCCTCCCATCATAGTCCCAGAGTAAAATAATGATTTTAGGGGCCAGGCCCAGGATCCTGCTGCCCTGCACAATCTTGGGACACTGCTCCCCATCTCCTGGCTCTTCTAGCTCCAGCCTCAGCTCAAAGTGGCCCAGGTACATATAGCTCGAGCTGCTGCTCTAGAGGGTGCAAGCCATAAGCCTTGGTGGCGTCCACTTGGTGTTAAGCCTGCAGGTGTGCAAAATAAAAAAGTGAAGGAATTTGGCAACTTCCACCTAGATTTTAGAAGATGTATAGAAAATTTGGGGTGCCCAGGCAGAAGCTGTTGCAATGATGGGGAGCCTCCACAAAAAAAATTTAGTAAGGCAGTGCTAAGGGGAAATGTGGGATTGGAGTCCCTACACAGAGTTCCTACCAGGGCACTGCCTAGTGGAGCTGTGGGAAGGGGGTCACCATCCTCCAGACCCTAGCATGGTAGATCCACCAGTTTCTTGCATCCTCTGCCTGGAAAAGTTGGAAACGCTCAACTTAAACTTGTGAGAGTAGATACATGGGCTACATCCTGCAAAGCCACAGGGGCAGGGCTTCCCAATATCTTGGGAGCCCGCTCTTCATACTAGGATGCAGGACATGGAGGCAAGGATTATCTTGGAGCTTTAAGATTTAACGCCTACCCCGCTGGGTTTCAGACTTGTATGGGGCCTATTACTCCTTTCTTTTGGCTAATTTCTCCCTTTGGCAATGGGAATGTTTATCCAATGCCTGAACCATCATTGTATCTTGGAAGTAAACAACTTGTTTTGATTTTACAGGATCAGATGTGGAGGAATATGAGTCTCAGATGAGATTTAAGACTTTGAACTTGAAGCTGGAATGAGTTAGGGCTTTGGAGGATTGTTGGGAAGAGATGATTGTGTTTTGCAATGTGAGAAACACGTGAGATTTGGCAGCCAGAGGCAGAATATATGGTTTAGATATTTGTCCCCTCGAAATTTCATATTAAAATTTAATCTCTAGTATTGGAAGTGGGGCCTGGTGTGAAGCGTTTGGATCATGGAAGTGGATCCTTCATGAATGGTTTAACATCATCCCTTTGGTGATGAGTGAGTTCTTACTCTGAGTTCGTGCTAGATCTGGTTGTTTAAAACTATGCGGCACCTCCTATCCCACCTCTCTTTCTCCTTCTTGCATGATGTGATGTTCCTTCTTTCCCTTCACCTTCCACCATGATTATAAGCTTCCTTAGGCCTCACCAGAAGCAGATGCTATCATCACACTTCCTGTACACCTTACAGAAGCATGAGCCAATTAAACTTCTTTTCTTTATAAATTACCCAGTCTCAGGTATTCTGTTACAGTAATTAAGATGGCCTAATACAACTGCATACTCAATAGTAGGGTTTTTTTTTTTTTTTGCATGTAAGTTAAAGTTTTTATTCCATCACTCTTGTTTTTATTTTTGTCATGCAGAACTTGCCTTATCTGAAGGCTGAGGATCAAATTAAAACAAAGTCTCTCATTATAAACTTTAAAGTTGGCCTGAGGGGAAGTATTGAGCTTGTCTCTCACACATGACTAGGGCTGACCTGGCGCAGACAGAACCACAACCACAACCACAACCAGCTTGTGAACCAGCTACTCTATGGCCTCATCAGGGTCACAGGCATTCTTGGGTCTCAGCCAGTTACAAAGCCAAATATTAAACAGGAGGTGATCCCAGTTTGGGGAATGCTTTAGTAACTGCCCTTCTATTGTGTATGTGGATACAGCATAGGGAGAGTCAAATATGGTTATTTTATTATCATCACAATTGCTTTTATGGTATATCATTTCACTAGATCTGGTTTTTTATTCCAGTTGGTTTCCGGGGTAGCCTTAAGTTTCAAAAATTATTCTGGTAAACAAGAAAGTTCTCCCTTTTTCTTTGTCATTTCATTTTTCTAAAACTGGAATCTCTTGGTTTACCAACTAGAGATTCTTTTTATGCAACAGGAAAATTAGTTAACTGACTCAGTCATATTTTCCCATAAATGGCAACATGAGCTGTCCTGTGATATATTTTTAGATACTGGATTAGTCTCAGAATGTAAGTTCTGCACTGTGGGAAGGAATGACATGACCCTACTAAGATTTGAACTCTGCTTTCTGTCACCATGGTTACCATTTGATCATCCTAACTAGCATACTTGGAAAAAAAAGAAAATCGAAATAAAATCCTCTGTAGAAGACAGGGGTCAAAACATAAAATATATTGTTTTTTATATGAACAACATGAATCACGTATGGACTGTAGAACAAAAATGCCTGCAGAACAAAACAGAGCAGAGATATGTTTTGCCAGAAAATTCAAAATTTGAGTTGGTCTTTACAATTAATTATTTAAGGAATGTAGGTTGCAGAACTGCTTAGCAAAAGTAAAAATGTGATAATGAATGCAGCAGTCCAAATGTTTCATGGAGTCACCATATGGAGCATATTTTACCTGCACCTTGTTGCACTTTTAAAATCTTCTATAGCACCTAGCTCAATATTTTGTTATCTCAGTGACTGGCCTGGGCTGGATCTTACTTCCTTAACCTTCTTTATTAAAACATAACCTTAAGCAGCATAAAAATAGGCTTTATTAAAAGCTATCAATCTGATCTTAAACTATTCTAATCGTAAAATATCTGAAGGATGGCTACCATTACATAAGCATTCATCCAGCCCCAACCTTTTCAGAAGATGAGTCTATGGCACCAATAGTAAGATCCCTATTCTCTCAAAATGACTTTTTGGAGATTAAATTTCAGGAAAAGAAAAAAAATTAATTAAAAAAACAAATAGCTATTGCAAAGAAGCAGTTATACTTATACTCATGCAATTGTTAATGTTGAAGCATTCCTGGCAATTTTCATCTTGCATTTTTATTTTGCAGAGCAGACCTTAACCCTTATAACAAAGTTACATATTTGAGTATATTTTACAGTTTAGGTTCTCCTTTTTGAACGCAGTGAATAGGCAATAAGAAATGTTGAGAATATTATTTCAGCTTTTTTGAAAAGATAAACCTTAAAATTCCTCTATGTTTAAAGGATTATAGAAATTCTAGTTGTTAAGTTGAGTGGACCAGCCCCATTGTGTATCATTTTTTTGACTGTGGCATTAGTGGGTATTCATGTGTGGGAGGTGGGTGAGGCTATGGCTCACTATGGAGTTTAGGTAAGTAGAGGGTCTTGATTTCTTTTGAAGGGAGGAGTTCAGCCCTAGAACACTTGCTGGAGGTGGAGCCACTATTTCCTTTCATTGGGCTTAAGGGCTTTTATTCAGAAAGCAGTGGTGCTGGACAGTTCCCTCCCAAATAGGCAAGAGGTGGCCAGGATTTTGGGGTCAGATTAATAATAATTTTTAAAAGTTGATGTTATTGTGACCTTGAATAATAACTTTGTGCTCTGATTCATCATTCATTTCAGATTGAAATTATATATTTTTTAGTTTTATCTAACCCTAATTTGTTTTTGCAATCTTGTTCAATAATAAAACATTTGAAATTTGGAAGTAGGACTTTTGAATCAGTATTAGTAGGAGTGGTCAGAAAATGAGATTTCTTAATCCATGCTCAGGTTTCCCTAATGTACAAGACACTCAACACACTCAACAAACAAACATTGCTGGCTTTTTCCAAGGCCTGTAATTCCACCACTCCTTTGGGTTAGGTATACTTACTCCAGGACCAGTGTGTGTGCATGCACACATGCCCGCCCATGCAAGCGTGTGTGTGTCTAGACAGCTAAATGTTAACAAGTATACTAGTGTTTCCAATGCAGGTAGTAACTGAGAAACACCTACATCTAAAGAAAGAGTTTCTATTTTGCATTTGTCTATTCTATCCAGGAGATTGTTCCGGTTACTATTGCTGTGCAACAAACTATTCCAATACGTAGTGGCATAAAATAGACATTTTGTTATGCTCATGGATTCTGTAGTTTAGATATTTAAACACAGCACAACAGGGAAAACTTTTTCTTGCTCCACAATGTCTGGGGCTTTGGCCAGTAAGACTTGAAGGCTGAAGGTGACTCTACTGCTTTGGGCTGAAATCATTTGGAACTTTCTTCATTCACATGCCTGATAGTTGGGAAGATTGCTGGCTAAGCCCTCAAATTGAGATGTTGGCTGTAACTTCTGCACATGATCTCCCCATGTGTTTTTTTCTCATGGGATAGTTGGGCTTCCTTGAATGTGGTGCCTGGATTCCAAGAGTGAGGTCTTAGGAGAGCAAGATGGGAATATATGTTATTTTTGCAACCCAGTTTGGAAGTCACAGAATGTCATTTCTATTGTACTCTGTCAGAGAAATTACAAAGATCTGTGTAGGTGCTTGGACTGCCAAGGGCACATTATAAGAAAAGCATATAGGATGGAAGTATTGTGACTATCTTTGGAAAATATAATCTGCATAGAAATCATTTAATTGAAAACTGTTCAAAAATTAAAGAGGAAAACTGAAAGTCCAATATGGTTGAAAACATTATAATAGAACACTTTTCTTGCTGTAAATGTGTTAAAACCTCTTCACCTGGATGAATTGCATTCCATGGTAATAAGAAAACTCACAAATCATATCACTGAGATGCTTCAACAATGTTGAAGAAACATAAAAATGGGACACATTGGCATATGGGGAAATTGGTATATATTGTTATGTCTAAAGGAAAGTGATGGACTCTCTAAATGGCAGGCCAGATAAGATTCTAGAGTCTAGTAAATTAAGGTCTAGATTTTAAAAATCCAGGTCAGGGATGACATATAAATATGTCATAAGTGTGCCACCATTTCCTTATCTTGTGTATCCAGGCACTGCTAAATAATCAGGTAATGGTCTTCTTGATGGCTATGCCTGGATAGGACCTAGAGTTATGGTCAAAACTGTGCTCTGCGTAGCCATTAACAATTAATTTTTGTTGACCCATGAGTTAAAACCTATTCTTCATCTATAAACAAAACGCAGGGTACAATGCACACTATTCGAGTGGTGGTAATACTAAAAGCCCAGCCAAGATTTCATCATTATGCAATATATCTATGTATCCAAACTGCGTTTGTACCCCCTAAATGTATACAAATAAAAAAAATTTAAAAATACAAGGAAAATACATAACTGAAGGTTGCTACAGGAGCAGTAACAAAAAGTACTTCCTGACAGCACAAGTACAATGGTGTATTTTAATTTAAAACAACAAATTAAGAATTATTTAGTTTCAGTTTATATCTCCTATCTTAACTATGTCAGGTATCACAGAACAAATAAAGATGAGATGCTTTAAAAATAAGTGGAGTTTCCTAGGTCCCAACATTATTTCAATAAAAACAAATTATGCCATACTAACTTTATTTATTTTCTTTTTAAAAATTGGCAGACTGACAGAGCAAGGTACTGTGATAGACATGGTATAATGTGGCTTGTATCAAGGACTCTGACACATTCTCATTTACGACATCTTTGTAAAAAAAAAAAAAAAAAAAAACTGGAAAATCGCAGTTGAGTGTAAAAATGATTGAAGAGACCAGCCACTGATATAAACAATCCCTCACAAAGGTTGATGACTTCAACTTGGTTGGAATATTCTAGTGTGTTCAACACTTTGTAAGATCATAGGCTTGAAAAGATTATGGGTATATTCATTATATTTAAGGATGACATGAAACTGGAGTAGAGTAGATAGGTTGCATGACATAATGAGAATCCCAAAATATCTTGATATATCTTGTATCCAACACGATAAAATTCAACAGAATATATAGTCATACAACTTATTTTTAAAAAGCATAAAACATATAAACCTGACTTTGCAACAGCATGGGTAAAGAATACTTCTGTATTTTAATTAAGAGTTAAATTAAATCAACCATGTGATGCAATCTCCAAAACAAAACTGCTGTGATTTTAGCATTCGCAAAAGTTCTTTCCAGAACAAGGAAGGTGGTAGTTCCAACCTACTCAGTAGGTAGGTACTCCAACCGACTACTTCCCTGCTCCGATCACAACTGGATAATTCATTCAGTAATTAACATTCCAATGTAAAGGAATAAAAAAACAGGAGAGCATTATTCAGGATCTGTGTTCCCTGGTGAAAACTCAGGGTATTCTATATACATTTACGTGATATGTGCTAAGCATTGTATTAAGAACTTTATTAATATTACCTAAGTTAACTCTTAAACTAACGCTGTAAGTTAGGCATTATTATGACAATTTTGCATGTGGGGACACTGAATCAGAGTTTAAATAATTTTTATAGGTACATAGCTATAGAGTGGAAGAGCCAGGATTCTAACACAAGTCTGTTTTCCCCAGAGCCCCTGTTCTTAACATCTGTGATAGGGGTTCACAAAATTCTAGTGTGCATAGGTAGCACACGAGGATCATGTATAGAAACATGGATTTTCAGGCTTAGATATTATGAATCAGCAGGTCTTGGGTAATTTACTTTAAAATACTTCAGCATAGATTATGTAATTTGAACATGTTTGTGTGTGTTTGTTTTAATCTACACCTTTACTGTGGTTAGTTGCTTTAATCAGAAATATCCACTCCAGAGAAGTTAGCTAACATTTAATAAAAAGCCATGACCCAGAGAAATTCAATTATATTTATCTCCAGTTGACATAAAAAGTTTTGGTAATTTCACTAGTGAATGTTAGAACTAGGGATTTCTTGCCGAAATCAGTGGTTTTCATTTTTTGTAGATTTTCTGGAAATACTAGAGAGAGTCTTGGTGTCTTTGCAGAATACAGACCAGCTGGCTCGGTGATCTGTATCCTTAGGAATGGCACCCAGAGCTTTGAGTCTTCAAGGGCCTATGTTCATCTGATGATTTGGAGACTTCTTGGTCTCCTGTCTCTAACTAGATAGCAGAATCTTGCAGCTGGAGTGTGGCTTCCTTCCCATCCAATGAGATGTTCATGGAAGAGTCCATTAGAGCACTTAGAGGAATGGACACCTATAACTCCAAGGGGTTTTGACAAACTGGTGGTATGAGTGTTGAATGTTTGCTAAGAAATGCTAAGGTGTGTACCAAGATTCAGTCTGAGATTTGGTTTTAGGGGGGTTGTGGAAAGGAAACCCATAACCTTCACCTACAACTGTTGGAGGAGCCTGATATTTATTTATTTATTTATTTATCTATTTATTTATTTATTTATTTATTTTGTTTTTGATATTTATTTTTAAAACCTTGAAAATTGTGCATACCCAAGTTGGATCAGGTCAGGACTGAATTATAAGGAGCAGCTTAAGTGACTCTGATTTGAGACATGCTCTATTAACTTATATCTTCTTCTCTGTTTAAATGGAGAATGAATGAACATTTGGCAGTGGGTTGTGGGAGTGTTTCAAGCACTGGATAAGTAGCCAGATCTTCCTCCAAAAAAAAAAAAAAAAGTCATTTCTAATCTTGAGATTCAATCAATTTTAAAAAGAAATTTTATAAAAATCTTTTGATCTGGTTAATAAAAAGGAATAAAGTTTTGTGATCCTTAGGATATGCCTAAAGCCTCACAACCAATAAGATTTTCTGTGAGTGCTTCTCACTGAACCACTGCAAAGAGCCTCCATCTGTGAGTCAAGATCTTTGCAAAGTAATTTCACAAGCAAACACAATTGAGTCATACACTTTAAAAAAGAAAAAAAGCTATATTAAAGTTGTTTCAGGAAGCTACATGTATCTGTTGGAAAATAAGGGGTGTCATTAAAATGCTGTGCTTAGAGTTCTATTATTATTGTTTATACCTAAAATTATGTTAAGAATGGCACATTAAAGATTTCTTTTTTTTTTACAAATAAGCCAGGCACAGAATATTTTTTCAACACTTTAAGGATTTTCTAGAAGAAAATCGTTGCCTAACATTATTTTTGCAAAATTTCTAATGATGAAAAAACACTGGAATGTTTCTGGGAATAAATCTTATAGCTATAAATAAACATCAATTCTTAAAATATTTAAGTATATTCTTCAATACTTAGTAAGTGCAGTGAAAATAATGTGTCTTTCACATAATGGGAACAATATAAATGTTTGCTTATTGACAAACTTTTTGATTGCTATAGACCAAGTGAGGGAAGTATTAAATGTAATGAAAAGTTAAATAGGCACATAGGAATGAGATTACAAAAATAGTGTGTGAAGCTTACGAATCTTGAGAAATTAATACGGGCAGCGAAGAAACGATTTTAGCACAGAAGACAAAATCATTAAGGCAACATCTGTTCATTCCTAGATGAAAAATGACAATTGCTGAATACTGAGAGGGTCCTTGTTTTGCCTGGAAATTTGTATTGAAGCAATAAGTGGAACTAATAAGTTGGTAGTGGGGATTCTTTAAAATTTTAAAGCGACACCTTATTTTTCACAAGATTTGGTAGGTTCCATCTAATCTATCAAGCATTTCAGCACTGTGCAGCACCGAATAGGTCATGCCTATTCTTATCTGAGAGAGTGCAAATTTTATATGGCCACTGAGTTATCCAAAGAGAATTAATTATATTGTATGTAGTTTCAGTAGATGTAATGATAATATATTTGAGTTATTTGGCTATGGCAATCAATACATGAGATCTAGTTCCATCTTCACTGATTAACCTACCCCCACAACCCTGTCTCCTTTTCTCAAATACTGCTGATGATAGTGACTTTACATTGTTTTGTTACTGTTTGTTTGATGTGGCTTTCTTTAATAATATGCACTCCTTTTAAAATGAAGCACCTTGAAAAATACCCTTTTCAGGAAAAAGGTTGCTAATTTGATATAATAGACTACCCAGTTTGTTGATATTTTAACACCGATTATACTTCTGATGTTAAATAAATTACTCAATTTAGTTTATCTTGTGTATAAAAGCAGGCTGGTTTATTTGGTGACATAAAAAATAAACAACAATTTGACTGATTGTAATTTTCATTTCTTAATAAGGTGCTTGGGTTTTTCCCTTCTAAAATTGTAAGTTATATTAAAGGACTTCCTGTTTTGCACACTGCCATTCCCCAGAGGGTAGGGCATTAAGAACAAGAATAGTTTGACAATGAAAAGTGTCTGGGGAATGAGGGGGTAATTTGGGTGTATAATGTCAAGAAAATGGTAGAAATGCTGGTTAGCTGTCTTGATTTACAGTAAACAAAATACATTGTTTCATTACGCTATTTTATAGAACATTACTCGTTTATTAGTAGTCACAACCTTAATGATGAGGTAGTATTTGTTTCAAGCTTTTCTTCTTTCAAATTGTTTCTTTGTTTATGCCGTTGCATGTTATGTTTAATGTAAGCTAGGTTTGTGTCTTTTAAAATGGTATTTATAGAGACTATTTAAGTATATTACCCACTCAGCCATGGTAGCTTGACTATTCAGAGGGCCCCTCTGTTTCAAGGGCTGTTGTGAATCAAGAGCAGCTCTGATATCGCTCAGCTGTAGAACTCCTCAGGATGCTGGGGATGAACTTGTTCAACTCCATTTCACAGACGTTGAAATTGAGGATGAAAGAGGTTGAGTGACTTGGATCATGCTTGTTATGGGAAGGGCCTGAACTAGAACCTGGTCTTGTCAGTCTCAATCCAATGCTTTTTTTTTAATTAAAGTTTTTATTTTGAGATTGTTGCATATGCAGTTGTAAGAAATAATACAGAGGCCCCTTGCATCTTTTACTCAGTTTCCCCAAGTGGCAACATCTTGAAAAACTATAGTACAATATAGTACAACCAAGATATTGACATTGATATTGTCAGGTTACAGAACATTTCCACCATTAGGATGCTTCAGGCCATTCTTTTACAGCAATACTCACTTTCAACCTACCCAATTCACTTTTTCACCATTGGCAACCACTCTAATCTGTTCTCCATTTCTATAATTTTGTCATTTTATGTTGTACAAATGGAATCATACAGTATGTAACCTTTTAGATTGGCTTTTTAAACTCTGCATAATCTCTGGAGATTTGTTCTTTTTTGGGAAAGGGTCTCACTTTGTTGCTCAGGCTGGAGTGCAGTGGTGTGATCATAGCTCACTGCATCTTCCAACTCCTGGGCTTAAATGATCCTCCCACCTCCGGCTCCTGAGTAGGTGGAATGACAGGTGCATGTCAAGATGCCTGAGTAGTCTGTAAATTTTTTTTTTTGTATAGAGAGGGTCTCACTGTGTTGCCCAGGCTGGTCTCAAACTCCTGGTTTCAAGCTGTCCTCCTGCCTTGGCTTCCCAAAGTGCTGGGATTACAGGCATGAGCCACTGTTTCTGGCTTTTACTTTGGAAATGTGTCACTGGATTATTGTGTGTATCAACAGTTTATTCCTTTTTGTTACTGGGTAGTATAGATATATCACACTAATGCTCTTTTTGTGGCATATTTCTGTTCTAATCTTGGGAAATCTTGGCCATTTCTTTCTTAACTTGGCCATTTCTTAACTTTCAAGTTAAGGAGCATAATTATGAAGGAATAATTCAATTTTGACATTTCTCATTTTGTGTCTGGAGAGACTTGGAAGAGGTGATTATAAAGATAGCAGAAATCTATGCAGTATCAAGGGTGTTTTGGTGATGCCACAGCCTCCTTTGTTTTGTGGTGAGAGTGAGATGGACTTTAGAGAGGGCCTCCAGTATGTTTTCTGAGGGATATGATTAGAAGAGGTCTCTGCTAAATACTGTGTTCATGTGAGGCAGCCTTCCCGGGGAACCAATGTCTCAGCTATTATACAGGGCAAAATGATTTCAGATCTCATTCTAGTGTCACAAAGGGGATTTGCAGGTGCCAGTTGCCATTACTGAAAGTGGAGTGCAGCCAGAAGAGAGGAATTAGCACCTGTCCACCCTGTAACCGTGCCCTGGGTTTTTAATGACCCAAAATAGTTGAGGCTTGACACTCTTAAACCCTAAAGATAGACTCATTAGAAAGACAAAATGCTCCAAGGTGAAGAAAGTATTTTAATTCTTACACTAAATTTTAGTTTGCTAAAACTAGTGGGCTGCGTGGCACTTACCCTGTGGCCACTTGCAGGTCTACTCAGTGTCAAGAAAACTTCCACATTTTCAGGACAGTCAGTTAGGAGATGGGAAGTCACAAAGCCATACCTCCCACTGCATTTATGTGTTCTAATCATTTGAAGATGACTTGAAGAACCTATGATGAAAGGAGAAAGATGTGTCCTAGGGGTTGGAATTGAAGTATTGGGAGGGTGGAGAGCAGTCATTTGAATAACTATTAGATAATAAGACAACGACTTTGGACAAATGAAACAAGTAGCAATATAACATAGTTTGCAAAATCTGGTAAACAACCTTTAAGAAAGTGGGAGTTGAACAATGAGAACACATGGACACAGGGAGGGTAACAACCTACACCGGGGCCTGTTGCAGGTGAGGGGCGATGGGAGGGACAGCATTAGGAGAAATACCTAATGTAGATGATGGGTTGATGGGTGCAGCGAACCACCATGCCACATGTGTATCTATGTAACAAACCTGCACATTCTGCACATGTGCCCCAGAACTTAAAGTATATATATATATATATATATATATATATATATATATACATATATCCCTTAATGTAAGGCGAGGTATGCATGTAGTATGAACCCTAGAATTCTTGAGAGGGAGAAAATGAAAATGTGGGGTTATGGAAAAGGGGCTTGTACAGGAGCATGATGGACTCTTGAGGCTAAGTCAGGTTAATCTCAGGCATTAGAAGGGACTAGAAGGAGCTAGAAGGAACACAGTGATTCATCTAGGTTTTTATTTTATTATTATTATTATTTTTCCTTTTCATTCCTTGTAATTTTTTTTTGTTTGTTAATTTTCTTTTTTTTTTTTAATTATACTTTAAGTTTTAGGGTACATGTGCACATTGTGCAGGTTAGTTACATATGTATACATGTGCCATGCTGGTGCGCTGCACCCACTAACTCGTCATCTAGCATTAGGTATATCTCCCAATGCTATCCCTCCCCCCTCCCCTCACCCCACCACAGTCCCCAGAGTGTGATATTCCCCTTCCTGTGTCCATGTGATTTCATTGTTCAATTCCCACCTATGAGTGAGAATATGCAGTGTTTGGTTTTTTGTTCTTGTGATAGTTTACTGAGAATGATGATTTCCAATTTCATCCATGTCCCTACAAAGGACATGAACTCATCATTTTTTATGGCTGCATAGTATTCCATGGTGTATATGTGCCACATTTTCTTAATCCAGTCTATCATTGTTGGACATTTGGGTTGGTTCCAAGTCTTTGCTATTGTGATTAATGCCGCAATAAACATACGTGTGCATGTGTCTTTATAGCAGCATGATTTATAGTCCTTTGGGTATATACCCAGTAATGGGATGGCTGGGTCAAATGGTATTTCTAGTTCTAGATCCCTGAGGAATCGCCACACTGACTTCCACAATGGTTGAACTAGTTTACAGTCCCACCAACAGTGTCAAAGTGTTCCTATTTCTCCACATCCTCTCCAGCACCTGTTGTTTCCTGACTTTTTAATGATTGCCATTCTAACTGGTGTGAGATGGTATCTCATTGTGGTTTTGATTTGCATTTCTCTGATGGCCAGTGATGATGAGCATTTTTTCATGTGTCTGTTGGCTGCATAAATGTCTTCTTTTGAGAAGTGTCTGTTCATATCCTTCACCCACTTTTTGATGGGGTTGTTTGTTTTTTTCTTGTAAATTTGTTTGAGTTCATTGTAGATTCTGGATATTAGCCCTTTGTCAGATGAGTAGGTTGCGAAAATTTTCTCCCATTTTGTAGGTTGCCTGTTCACTCTGATGGTAGTTTCTTTTGCTGTGCAGAAGCTCTTTAGTTTAATTAGATCCCATTTGTCAATTTTGTCTTTTATTGCCATTGCTTTTGGTGTTTTGGACATGAAGTCCTTGCCCATGCCTATGTCCTGAATGGTAATGCCTAGGTTTTCTTCTAGGGTTTTTATGGTTTTAGGTCTAACGTTTAAGTCTTTAATCCATCTTGAATTGATTTTTGTATAAGGTGTAAGGAAGGGATCCAGTTTCAGCTTTCTACATATGGCTAGCCAGTTTTGCCAGCACCATTTATTAAATAGGGAATCCTTTCCCCATTGCTTGTTTTTGTCAGGTTTGTCAAAGATCAGATAGTTGTAGATATGCGGCATTATTTCTGAGGGCTCTGTTCTGTTCCATTGATCTATATCTCTGTTTTGGTACCAGTACCACGCTGTTTTGGTTACTGTAGCCTTGTAGTATAGTTTGAAGTCAGGTAGTGTGATGCCTCCAGCTTTGTTCTTTTGGCTTAGGATTGCCTTGGCGATGTGGGCTCTTTTTTGGTTCCATATGAACTTTAAAGTAGTTTTTTCCAATTCTGTGAAGAAAGTCATTGATAGCTTGATGGGGATGGCATTGAATCTGTAAATTACCTTGGGCAGTATGGCCATTTTCACGATATTGATTCTTCCTACCCATGAGCATGGAATGTTCTTCCATTTGTTTGTATCCTCTTTTATTTCCTTGAGAAGTGGTTTGTAGTTCTCCTTGAAGAGGTCCTTCACATCCCTTGTAAATTGGATTCCTAGGTATTTTATTCTCTTTGAAGCAATTGTGAATGGGAGTTCACTCATGTTTTAGCTCTCTGTTTGTCTGTTGTTGGTGTATAAGAATGCTTGTGATTTTTGTACATTGATTTTGTATCCTGAGACTTTCCTGAAGTTGCTTATCAGCTTAAGGAGATTTTGGGCTGAGACAATGGGGTTTTCTAGATATACAATCATGTCGTCTGCAAACAGGGACAATTTGACTTCCTCTTTTCCTAATTGAATACCCTTTATTTCCTTCTCCTGCCTAATTGCCCTGGCCAGAACTTCCAACACTATGTTGAATAGGAGTGGTGAGAGAGGGCATCCCTGTCTTGTGCCAGTTTTCAAAGGGAATGCTTCCAGTTTTTGCCCATTCAGTATGATATTGGCTGTGGGTTTGTCATAGATAACTCTTATTATTTTGAAATACATCCCATCAATACCTAATTTATTGAGAGTTTTTAGCATGAAGGGTTGTTGAATTCTGTCAAAGGCCTTTTCTGCATCTATTGAGATAATCATGTGGTTTTTGTCTTTGGCTCTGTTTATATGCTGGATTATATTTATTGATTTGCGTATATTGAACCAGCCTTGCATCCCAGGGATGAAGCCCACTTGATCATGGTGGATAAGCTTTTTGATGTGCTGCTGGATTCGTTTTGCCAGTATTTTATTGAGGATTTTTGCATCAATGTTCATCAAGGATATTGGTCTAAAATTCTCTTTTTTGGTTGTGTCTCTGCCCGGCTTTGGTATCAGAATGATGCTGGCCTCATAAAATGAGTTAGGGAGAATTCCCTCCTTTTCTATTGATTGGAATAGTTTCAGAAGGAATGGTACCAGTTCCTCCTTGTACCTCTGGTAGAATTTGGCTGTGAATCCATCTGGTCCTGGACTCTTTCAGGTTGGTAAACTATTGATTATTGCCACAATTTCAGCTCCTGTTATTGGTCTATTCAGAGATTCAGCTTCTTCCTGGTTTAGTCTTGGGAGAGTGTATGTGTCGAGGAATTTATCCATTTCTTCTAGATTTTCTAGTTTATTTGCATAGAGGTGTTTGTAGTATTCTCTGATGGTAGTTTATATTTCTGTGGGATTGGTGGTGATATCCCCTTTATCATTTTTTATTGTGTCTATTTGATTCTTCTCTCTTTTTTTCTTCATTAGTCTTGCTAGCAGTCTATCAATTTTGTTGATCCTTTCAAAAAACCAGCTCCTGGATTTGTTAAGTTTTTGAAGGGTTTTTTGTGTCTCTATTTTCTTCAGTTTTGCTCTGATTTTAGTTATTTCTTGCCTTCTGCTAGCTTTTGAATGTGTTTGTTCTTGCTTTTCTAGTTCTTTTAATTGTGATGTTAGGGTCTCAATTTTGGATCTTTCCTGCTTTCTCTTGTGGGCACTTAGTGCTATAAATTTCCCTCTACACACTGCTTTGAATGCGTCCCAGAGATTCTGGTATGTTGTGTCTTTGTTCTCGTTGGTTTCAAAGAACATCTTTATTTCTGCCTTCATTTCGTTATGTATCCAGTAGTCATTCAGGAGCAGGTTGTTCAGTTTCCATGTAGTTGAGCGGTTTTGAGTGAGATTCTTAATTCTGAGTTCTTGTTTGATAGCACTGTGGTCTGAGAGATAGTTTGTTATAATCTCTGTTCTTTTACATTTGCTGAGGAGAGCTTTACTTCCGAGTATGTGGTCAATTTTGGAATAGGTGTGGTGTGTTGCTGAAAAAAATGTATATTCTGTTGATTTGGGGTGGAGAGTTCTGTAGATGTCTATTAGGTCCGCTTGGTGCAGAGCTGAGTTCAATTCCTGGGTATCCTTGTTGACTTTCTGTCTCATTGATCTGTCTAATGTTGACAGTGGGGTGTTAAAGTCTCCCATTATTAATGCGTGGGAGTCTAAGTCTCTTTGTAAGTCACTCAGGACTTGCTTTATGAATCTGGGTGCTCCTGTATTGGGTGCATATATATTTAGGATAGTTAGCTCTTCTTGTTGAATTGATCCCTTTACCATTATGTAATGGCCTTCTTTGTCTCTTTTGATCTTTGTTGGTTTAAAGTCTGTTTTATCAGAGACTAGGATTGCAACCCCTGCCTTTTTTTGTTTTCCATTTGCTTGGAAGATCTTCCTCCATCCTTTTAGTTTGAGCCTATGTGTGTCTCTGCATGTGAGATGGGTTTCCTGAATACAGCACACTGACGGGTCTTGACTCTTTATCCAATTTGCCAGTCTGTGTCTTTTAATTGGAGCATTTAGTCCATTTACATTTACAGTTAATATGGTTATGTGTGAATTTGATCCTGTCATTATGATGTTAGCTGGTTATTTTGCTCGTTAGTTGATGCAGTTTCTTCCTAGTCTCGATGGTCTTTACATTTTGGCATGATTTTGCAGCGGCTGGTACCGGTTGTTCCTTTCCATGTTTAGCGCTTCCTTCAGGAGCTCTTTTAGGGCAGGCCTGGTGGTGACAAAATCTCTCAGCATTTGCTTGTCTGTAAAGTATTTTATTTCTCCTTCACTTATGAAGCTTAGTTTGGCTGGATATGAAATTCTGGGTTGAAAATTCTTTTCTTTAAGAATGTTGAATATTGGCCCCCACTCTCTTCTGGCTTGTAGGGTTTCTGCCGAGAGATCTGCTGTTAGTCTGATGGACTTCCCTTTGAGGGTAACCCGACCTTTCTCTCTGGCTGCCCTTAACATTTTTTCCTTCATTTCAACTTTGGTGAATCTGACAATTATGTGTCTTGGAGTTGCTCTTCTCGAGGAGTATCTTTGTGGCGTTCTCTGTATTTCCTGAATCTGAACGTTGGCCTGCCTTGCTAGATTGGGGAAGTTCTCCTGGATAATATCCTGCAGAGTGTTTTCCAACTTGGTTCCATTCTCCCCATCACTTTCAGGTACACCAATCAGACGTAGATTTGGTCTTTTCACATCGTCCCATATTTCTTGGAGGCTTTGCTCATTTCTTTTTATTCTTTTTTCTCTAAACTTCCCTTCTCGCTTCATTTCATTCATTTCATCTTCCATCGCTGATACCCTTTCTTCCAGTTGATCACATCGGCTCCTGAGGCTTCTGCATTCTTCACGTAGTTCTCGAGCCTTGGTTTTCAGCTCCATCAGCTCCTTTAAGCACTTCTCTGTATTGCTTATTCTAGTTATACATTCTTCTAGATTTTTTTCAAAGTTTTCAACTTCTTTGCCTTTGGTTTGAATGTCCTCCCGTAGCTCAGAGTAATTTGATCGTCTGAAGCCTTCTTCTCTCAGCTCGTCAAAGTCATTCTCCATCCAGCTTTGTTCCGTTGCTGGTGAGGAACTGCGTTCCTTTGGAGGAGGAGAAGCGCTCTGCGTTTTAGGGTTTCCCGTTTTTCTGTTCTGTTTTTTCCCCATCTTTGTAGTTTTATCTACTTTTTGTCTTTGATGATGGTGATGTACAGATGGGTTTTTGGTGTGGATGTCCTTTCTGTTTGTTAGTTTTCCTTCTAACAGACAGGACCCTCAGCTGCAGGTCTGTTGGAATACCCTGCAGTGTGAAGTGTCAGTGTGCCCCTGCTGGGGGGTGCCTCCCAGTTAGGCTGCTCAGGGGTCAGGGGTCAGGGACCCACTTGAGGAGGCAGTCTGCCCGTTCTCAGATCTCCAGCTGCGTGCTGGGAGAACCACTGCTCTCTTCAAAGCTGTCAGACAGGGACATTTAAGTCTGCAGAGGTTACTGCTGTCTTTTTGTTTGTCTGTGCCCTGCCCCCAGAGATGGAGCCTACAGAGGCAGGCAGGCCTCCTTGAGCTGTGGTGGGCTCCACCCAGTTGGAGCTTCCTGGCTGCTTTGTTTACCTAAGCAAGCCTGGGCAATGGCGGGCGCCCCTCCCCCAGCCTCGCTGCCGCCTTGCAGTTTGATCTCAGACTGCTGTGCTAGCAATCAGCGAGACTCCGTGGGCGTAGGACCCTACGAGCCAGGTGTGGGATGTAATCTCATGGTGAGCCATTTTTTTAAGCCGGTCTGAAAAGCGCAATATTCGGGTGGGAGTGACCTGATTTTCCAGGTGAGTCCGTCACCCCTTTCTTTGACTCGGAAAGGGAACTCCCTGATCCCTTGCACTTCCCAAGTGAGGCAATGCCTCGCCCTGCTTCGGCTCGCGCACGGTGCGTGCACCCACTGACCTGCGCCCACTGTCTGGCACTCCCTAGTGAGATGAGCCCGGTACCTCAGATGGAAATGCAGAAATCACCCATCTTCTGCGTTGCTCACGCTGGGAGCTGTAGACTGGAGCTGTTCCTATTCGGCCATCTTGGCTCGTCCCTCTAGGTTTTTATTTTCATACCAGCCTTTTTAATGTGAAGTTGCCTGTCTGAGACTCAGTAACGCTAATAGATTTTCCTGCCAGTGCTATGAAATCCATTGTGAAGCTGAGGGGTAATCAGATTAGTATTAAAACTGAACAGCCTGGAGAGTCATTTCTGTAGCTTCTGAGGTCAGAAATAAATTATTGTTCTTCAGAAAGCCAGGCCAGGCTGCTTGTATCTCTGATTTCAGGTTCCCTCCCTGCAGTGTGAGCTGGCTTGGGATTTTGCCCATAAACACTTAGGGGTGATTTTTAGGTAACTTGTTCCCATCTCTGGGGTTCCTCGCTCCAAGTGGCCTGTTGTCACAAAGGGAATGCCAGAATTTCTGAAGTACAAAGTCACAGCATAAGAAGTGATCAAAATATTTGGACTGTTGGTAGTTTGGGGGAAGCCAGGTACAATGTTTCAAGTCAGATTAGCACAAATTCCCTGGCACTTTCCACATTGCAAGCCTAGTGTCAAGGTGACCTGACTCCTCCCTAGGGGTCATATCCAAATCACTCTCTCTTTTTCCCATCTTAAGTCCAGAGGGCCACTCTGGGGCCTCCCAGTTGTCTGTTGTGGAATTGCTGCTAAGTATCCACATAATTCCTGACTTCAGGGTTCAGGCTGTAAAACAAAGTTTATTTCTTGTTGCCATTTTATTTTGCTTCTGTAGAGACAGGCCTGGGTATGTTGCCTGGGTTGGTTGTGAATGCCTGGCCTCAAGTTATCCTCCTGCCTCAACCTCCCAATAAAGTTTATGAATTTGTTAAAGCATGCTGGAGAAATCAGTGCTCTCTCTAGGTGTATTCTGTGGTCACATAGGGTAGGAAAATCTAACCAGGTAAAGGAGATGAGGCAGATGACAGCGGAGTGAGAAGAATGGCTTCTCCAAGGCCGCCTCCAGCATCAGCTCCTTGTATTGCAGATGTTGGAAGGAATTGGTGCGAGTTTCCCAGAGAGCTTGTACTTGTCCAGTCTCCCATGTAGGGGTGGGATCTAATGACTAAAGCTGGTTTTGAATTGGTAGGTGTGATCTGCTTGAAATAATGGTATTTTACCTCCTATGTGCCCATACACATTTTTTAAAAGATTAGTATATTTTCTTCTTCCCCTACCTCTCACAACAACTTTTTACTTTTCCTTGATCTCAGTGTTTTTTTTCTTGTAGGGAAAAGGCACATATAAGAAGCAGCATAGAATAGAGGCTAAGAGCATAAACTGATAAACCAGATTGCTTGGATTTGAAACCAAGCCTTGCCACTTTCCTTGGAAAAATTAGGTACTCATTCAGTGCCCTAGTTTTTCCTCATCTGTAAAATAAAGGTAATCATACCTATTTCACTGAATTTTTATAAAGATTAAATAAGTTTCAATCATCTATTACTGCATAACAACTCCAGAGTTAGTGCCTTAGAACAACAGCAATCATTTTATTATTATTATCACTCCTGGTTCTATCAACTGATTGGGCTCAGCAGGGTAATTCCTGTTTAAGTTCTTTTATGCTCTGGCCGTCAGATGATGGTGGCTGGGGCTGGAATCATCTTGATCTCAGCTAGGGCTGGTGGTTGGTACATCTCCATTTGGCCTTTTCAGGTGGCCTAGACTTCCTCCTAGCATGGAGACTGGGTTCCAAGTGCTAGTGTTGCAATGCAACTCTATGGAAGGTGTATCACTTTTTATGAACTAGCCTGAGAAGTCTCATGGGGCCATCTCTGCCATATGCTATTGGTTAAAGTCATTATAAAGATCCTTTCTGGTTTAAGGGAAAAGATTATAGATCCTACCACTCAACAGGAGGAGTGTCAATAGCACTCTGTAAGAAGAGCATATGGGACAAGGTAAGTTGTGGTAGCCAATGTGCTGCAGAAGATAAAGCACTTATAACAGTATCTGGTGCATAACAAATGCTCAGTAACTCTTAATTATCATCAGTTCCTGGATTCCAAGCCTACTGACCCAATTTGGGACATCTAACCACTTATTCCAGGAAAATTTGGGGAATGTTACTCTACAGCCATGCCATTTTAATGATGCTGCTATATCGCTGTGTCTAAGGCTCTATGAGGAAGAACACCTGGGTCTGAGGCTGTTGTATCCTTTGGAAGCAAACCTTGAAACAAAAGACAAAGAGGAAATGCTGGCCAGGCTAAGAAATGTGTCTGGGTCATTTAGTTATAGCATGGCCACAACAATATTGGAAACCAAGTCCATTTCACCCCAGCACAGTTGACCCACAAACTGTCCTAGTCACTCAGCATAATTAATCTCTGGAAGAAGCCAACTAAAGTCCCACCTTCATGTTCATTGAGACCCATCAACTTTGGATAAAACTGAGTAAAGTTTTCTTTGGCAATGGGCAGGGTCCCTTTGAGGCCGAATACCCCTGAGGCCAATCACCTCATAGATATCCTGGGAAGCATTTCTTTGACTTTGGAGTGACCCTCATTTGAACCTGAATCTCAAAGGCAAATGAATTAGGTGGCTTAGTCAGGGGAACACAAATCCAAAGCCAGAGCTTTAGGGCTCTTGTTGCAAGCAAATGAACCATAGGAAAAGTCTTCTTATGTGCCATCTGCTTCATTATAGACCACATAGCAGCAATAGCAAGACTTGGGCTCTGGGCAGTGTCGACAGATTGGAGCAGCTTTCTTCGGATGTGTCTGAGCCCTCCACGACCTCCTTTGCCTTTTCCTAATATATCTCCCACCTTTAAAAAAAATAAACAGTAGCCTTATTCCTATTCTTTATGGAATAAGGAATCTATCTGACTCTGAAACAGAAAAGTAGATCTATTGAAAACTGTAGATTTCTCCTAAAAGTATTCAAATATGAAAATCACTCAAGAGGCTTGTGCTGCTCCTATTGACGTCATTCAGCCATGTGCAACATTGCCTAGGGTGTTTCTCACTTACATGTAGCTGTTCTAAAGGTCCTAATGGAGATTTGGGGATTAGAGGAAACTATCAGTTAAATTTTATGGTGATTCAGTGGCTCATAATTAAGTCCTTGTGGATGGGTCGTACTGAGGTAATATCGATATGGAGAGAGAGAGAGAGAGAGAGAGAGAGAGAGAGAGAAAGAAAGCAAACAGCACAGACCTCCAGACAGATCAATCGAGTCTCTCATTGGCTGGCTCCATCTGCTGAGAGCATCAAAAGACATTCAGGGAAGAGACGCCTTTCTACAGATGGGCTGAGGGAGAAATGAGAGAACAAGAGAAGTTCATGAGTAAGGGAAATATTCTAATTAACACACGTTCAAAGAGCAGAGGCCAACAAAGGATGAAGGGGCAATAAAAAATAATGAGTGTTTGTTGTATGAGATGTCAATGCCATCTGAAGACTGATAACATCTTGCTATTGTACTAGGCTGAAATTTTTTTAAGTCCCAAAGAACAGCAAAGATTATACAATATTTTTATTTCATCTGTGTCTTGTTTGAATTCACCCCAAAGCAACACTGAGACAAGGACTTGGGTGCAAGTAATTTATTTGAGAAGCAGTAAGCACAAGTGAGAGAATAAGGAAAAGTCAATAAGAAGTGTATTAATAAATAAGTTGAGGGCCTCTAGATCTCAGTCTTGCTGGGGACCCTATGAGGAACCATGTCTAGCACACCAGGACAGAGATACTGGGATATTTAGTCTTTTGATCCAGTCCCTATTGATTGAGGGTTTCCCCCAAGGGTGTTATGTTCCCTTCCCTCCTCTCCCCTACCCTCATCTTCCCCTCCCCTCCTCTTTCCCTCCCATCCCTTCTTCCATTCCCCTCCCTTCTTCCCTTCCCCCATCTTCCCTTCCCTTCTTTCTTTCCTTCCTTCCTTCCTTTTCTTCTTCCTCCTCCTCCTTCTCTCTCTCCTTCTTTCTTTTTTCTCTTTCTTTCCTCTCTTCCCCTTCATTCCTTCCTCCTTCCTCCTCCTCTTCCTCCTTCTCTTTCTTTGTCTCTCCCTTTCCTTTCTCTTCCTTCCTTCCTTCTTCCTCTCCCTCCTTCTTCTTATTCTTTCTTTCTCTCTCTCTTTCTTTCCTTTCTTTCTTTCTCTTTGTCTCTTTCTTTCCTCTCTTCTCCTTCCTTCCTTCCTTCCCTCCCTCCTCCTCTCCCTCCTTCTTCTTATTCTTTCTTTCTCTATTTCTTTCTTTCTCTTTTTCTGTCTCCTTCCTTCCTTCCTCCCTCCCTCTCTCTTTCTCTCTTTCCCTTCCTTCCTTTCTTTCTTTCTCTCTTTCTTTCTTCTTTCTTTCTCTCTTACTTTCTTCTTTTTCTTTCTCTTCCTTTCTCTCTCTCCCATCCTTCCTTCCCTCCCTCTCTCCCCTGTTTCCTTCCCTCTCTCCTTCCCTCTCTCCCTCCCTCCCTCTCCCCTCTCCTTCCTTCCTTCTTTCATTCCTTCCTTCTTTCCTTCCTTCCTCCCCTGTTTCTCTCCTTCTATCCATCTATCTATCAATCCATCTTTCCACTCTAGACTTGCGTGCTCATTGACTAGATTCTGGTGGCAATGTAAAAACCATGCCCAGTTGAAATTTGATCCAATATATGTAAATGAGAGATAGATAGATAGATAGATATCAATGGAACTATATTTAGAAAAGCATAGATGGCCTGTTCATACTTTATCTTTGAAACAGTCTTATCTCACTTACCTGAAAGAAGAGGGTTAAATATTTTATCTCTCTCCCACTGTCTACTCTCTGAACAAAAGCTCTAGAGTTTGTTCAAAAAGATAACTGACTATTCATTTCTTTATTCTATGAATTTTGCTTTTGAAAGAGCTGGTATACGATGCCTCTCCAGAATCACCTTGTTCTTTCTGGATCTATTCAGAATCTGAAACTCCTAGAAAAGAAAAATGCAAGATGCATGAGGTAAGCGAGACACTGCATTGAATCTTGGAAGATGTATGATAAGGTTTGGATTTGTGTCCCCACCCAAATCTCATGTCGAATTGTATCCCCAGTGTTTGAGGAGGGGATTGGATCATGTGCAGACTTCCCCCTTGCTGTTCTCATGATAGTGAGTGAGTTCTCACAAGATCTAGTTGTTTAGAAGTGTGTGGCACCTCCCCCTTCACTCTCTTTTCATTCTTCCCTGGTCATGTAAGACATGCCTCCTTCCTTTTCATCTTCTGCCATGATTATAAGTTTCCTGAGGCTTCCCAGCCATGCTTCCTGTATAGCCTACAGAACTTTGAGTCAATTACAGTTTTCTTTTCTTTTACAAATTACCCAGTCTCAGATAGTTCTTTACAGCAATGTGAGAATGGACTAATGCAATGTGGCTCCCTTGAATAAGACTAGGAACTAGAGGAAGTGACCAGGTAGCATTATGCCCTGGGTATTTTAATTTTCAACATAATGCAGTAATTCAGAATATCAGTTATATATTTGGCATTATTCTCTCAATTTTCCTTTTCTAAATTAAAATTTTTTTTTAATGTACACATTTATGGGGCACAGGGAGATAGTTCGATATGTACAATGTCTAATGATCAAATCAGGGTAATTAGCATATCCACCACCTCAAACATTTATCGTTTCTTTGTTTTGAGAATATTCAAAATCATCTCTTCTAGATAATTGAAAATATACAGTAAATTATTGTTAACTGTATTTACCCTACAGTGCTATAGAACACTGGGACTTATTTCTCCTATCTAGCTATAATTTTTTTCTTTTATTTTTAGTTGACATAATACTTATATATATTTATGTGGTATGGAGAAATATCTCAATACATGTGTACCATGTGTAATGATCAAATCAGGGCAATTAACATATCTATCACCTCAAACATGTATTATTTCTTTGTGGTATGAACATTCAAAATCCTCTTTTCTAGCATGTTGAAAATACAATAAATGTTAATCACATTTATCCTACAATACACTAGAACTAATTCTTCCTATCTAACTGTAATTTTATATCCTTTAACCAACCTCTCCCTGTCTTCTCCTCTCCCAATCATTTCTGGCCTCTAATAACCACAATCCTACTCTCTACTTCTATGAGCTCAATTTATTTTTAGCTCCTACATATAATTGAGAACGTGTGGTATTTATCTTTTTGTGCCTGACTTATTTCACTTAACATAATGTCGTCCAGGCTCACCGATGTTTCCATGAATGACAGGATTTCATTCTTTTTATGGCTGCAGTATTTCGTTGTTATACATGTCACATTTTCTGTTCTTTTTATTTTTTCTGAGATGTAGTCTCACTCTGTTGCCCAGGCTGAAGTGCAGTGGCACGATCTCGGCTCACTGCAAGCTCCACCTCCCGGGTTCACGCCATTCTCCCACCTCAGCCTCCCTAGTAGCTGGGACTACAGGTGCCCGCCACCATGCCCAGCTAATTTTGTTTTTGTATTTTTAGTAGAGACGGGGTTTCACCATGTTAGTCAGGATGGTCTCGATCTCCTGACCTCATGATCCACCCATCTCAGCTTCCCAAAGTGCTGGGATTACAGACGTAAGACACAGTGCCCAGCCACATGTCACATTTTCTTTATTTATTCATCTGTTGATGGACATTTAGGTTGATTCCATATCTTGGCTATTGCGAATAGCGCTGCAATAAACATGGGGTTGTAGATATGTCTTCAATATACTTTCTTTCCTTTGGATAAATACTCAGTAGCGGGACTGCTGAGGAACAAAAGATGTATTCTGCAGCTGTTGGATGGAATGGCCTGTAAATAACTATTAAGTTCATATTGCAGAATAAGTCCAATGTTTCTTTGTTGATTTTCTTTCTGGAAGATATATCAAATGCTGAAAGTGGGGTGTTGAAGTCTCCATCTGTTATTGCATTGGAGTCTATCTCTCTCTTTAGCTCTAATAATATTTGCTTTATATACATGGGTGCTCCAGGATTGGGTCCATATATATTTCAAATTGTTATATCCTCTTACTAAATTAACCCCTTTATCATTATATAGTGACCTTCTTTGTTTCTTCTTATAGATTTTTGTCTTGAAATCTGTTTTTTCTCATATAAGTATAGTAACTCCTTTTTTGTTTGTTTGTTTCCATTGGCATGGAATATCTTTTACTATTCCTTTAGTTTCAGTCTATGTGTGTCTTTTTAGATGAAGAGTGTTTCTCATAGGGAACAGGTCATTGGTTTTTTTATTTTATTTTTTTTAAAACCCATTCTGCCACTTTATGTCTTTGGATTGGAGAGTTTAGTCCATTTAAATCCTGACATTTTGTTATTTTTTTTCTGATCATTTTGTGGTCTTCTCTTTTTTCCTTCCTTCCTTTCTTCCTTTTAGTGAAGGTTATTTTCTCTGGTGGTATGATTTAGTTTTTGGCTTTTGATTGTTTGAATCTCTTACATGTTTTTTGACTTGAGGTTGCCCTGAGGCTTGCAAATACTGTCTTATAACTCATTATTTTAAGCTGATAACAAATTAGCACTCTTTCCATAAACAAACAAGCAAAAACAAAACTAATAAAAACTGTACATTTTAACTTTGTCCCCTCACTTTTTAACTTATTGTTATTTCTATTTGTATTTCATGGTACTTTCCATACCATAGTTGTTATTTTTTATTGAAGTTCATCATGTAGCCTTTTTATTAGAGATAAAAGTATTTTACACACCAGTTACAGTATTATAATATTCTGTGTTTTTCTGTGTACTTACTATTACAACGTGAGTTTTGTACTTTCAGATGATTTGTTATAGCTCATGAATATCCTTTTTTTTTTTTCTGATTGAAGTACTCCCTGTAGCATTTCCTGTTGGAAAGGTTTTGTCTTCTCTGACTGTGTATTTTTCAATAGCCTGTCTTTGAGCTCACTAATTCTTTCCTCTGCTTCATCCATTCTGCCATTAAAGGACTCTGATGTATTCTTCAGTGTGTCAATGCATTTTTCAGCTCCAGAATTTCTGCTTTATTCCTTTAAATTATTTCAATCTCTTCGTTAAATTTTTCCAATATGAATTCTGAATTCCTTCTCTGTGTTATTTTGAATTTCTTTGAGTTTCCTCGGCATCGCTATTTTGAATTCTCTGTCTCAAAGGTCACTTATCTCTGTTTCTCCAGGATTTGTCCCTGGTGCCTTATTTAGTTCATTTGGTGAGGTCATGTTTTCCTGGATGGTCTTGATACTTGTGGATGTGCATCTGTGTCTTGGCATTGAAGAGTTATGTATTCATTGCAGTCAGTGCAATCTGGACTTGTTTTTTCTTTTTTTGAGACGGAGTCTTGCTCTGTCACCCAGGCTGGAGTGCAGTGGCGTGATCCTGGCTCACTGCAAGCTCCGCCTCCCAGGTTCACGCCATTCTGCTGCCTCAGCCTCGCAAGTAGTAGCTGAGACTACAGGTACCCTCCACCACGCCAGGCTAATTTTTTGTATTTTTAGTAGAGACAGGGTTTCAGTGTGTTAGCCAAGATGGTCTCGATCTCCTGACCTTGTGATCTGCCCGCCTGGACCTCCCAAAGTGCTGGGATTACAGGCGTGAGCCACCACACCCTGGCCAATCTGGACTTGTTTGTACTTGTCCTTCTTGGGAAGGCTTTCTAAGTATTTGAAAGCACTTGAGTGTTGTGATTTAAGCTTCATCGGCATTAGGGGGCACCCCAAGCTCAGTAGTGCTATGGTTCTTGCAGACTCATAGATACTACTTTGGTGGTCTTGGACAAGATCCACAAGAATTCTCTGGATTACCAGACCGAAACGCTTGTTCTCTCCCCTTACTTTCTCCCAAACGAATGGAGTTTCTCTCTCTCTCTACTGAGCTGCCTGGAGCTGTGGAGTGATATAAGTACCCCTGTGGCTACCACCACTACGACTGTGCTGGATCAGAGCTGAAGCCAGCACAGTACTGGGTCTCAGCCAAGGCCTGTGAGTGGTTACATCCAATACTGTAACCACTCCCTGGTTATAGTCTAGGTTCGCTCATGGCCCTGGGGCTCTACAATCAGCAGATGGCAAAGCCAGCCAGGCCTGTGTCATTCTTTCCAGGGTGGCAAGTGTCCCCAGGCCCCAGATGGGTCAAGAGGTGCTGTCCAGGAGCCAGGGACTAGAATCAAAGACCTTAGAAGTCCACCTGGTGTTCTAATGTAGTGTGGCTGAGCTGGCACTTAAACCACAAGATGCAGTCCTTTCCTCCCCTTTTCAAAGGCAGAGGAGCCTCATCTCATGGCCACTGCCACCACAGGCCCATGAGTAGTACTGCTAGATTACCACTGATGTTCCCTTACGGCCCAGGGGCTCTTCAGTCAGTTTGTGGTGAATGCTTCCTAGCCTGGGACTCACCCTTCAGGGTAGTGGGCTTTCCTCTGTCCCAGGGCAGGTTCAGAAATGCCATCCAAGAGTCAAGGTTTAGAATCAGGGACCCTAAGAGCCCACTTGGTGCTCTAATGCTATGTCTGTGACGGTGCTGGTACCTAAAGTTTAAAATAAAGTCTCCTTTAGTTTTCCCTCTACTTTTCTCAAGTAGAAGGAGTCTCTTCCTGTAGCCACCAAAGCTGGGAATGTGCTGAGTCTCACCTGAAGCCAACAAGTGTCAAGAGTCTTATCCAAGGGCCGTTGTATACTACCTGTGTATCACTGCTGATTATTCAGGGCCCAAGAGCTCTTCAGTTAGCAGGGGATGAATCCTGCCAGGACTGAGTCCTTCCTTTCAAGGAAATGGGTTCTCTTCTGGCCCAGAATGTGTCTAGAAATCTCATTTGGGAGCTAGGGCCTGGAAAGGGAGCCTCATGGCTCTGACTGGTGCCCTATCTTGTTGTAGCTGAGCTGGTATCCAAGGAGCAAGACAAAATCCTCCCCACCCTTCCCTCTCCTCTCCATGAGTGGAAGGAAGGGGTGTCTTTTGGAGTTGCTGTCTGTGCAGCCTGGGCTTGGGTGAGGGGTAGAGCCAGCACTCCCTTAGCCACCCTGGCTGCTCTCTCAGTAGGTTATATGCCCCACTAAGTCCACTGGCTCTGAGCCCAGCTCATCAATAGGACTCATGTGGGATTTGCAATCCTTGTGACTTAGACTGTCTTTCACATTTATTTAGGGCCCCAGAGCATTTTAGACCATGAGGAGAGGCTTGCAGGAACTCAAGTTTCTACCACTGGGATATGTGATTCCTCTTTGACTAGGGCTGATTTAAATGCACTCTCCATGGGTGGGTGTCAGCTGAGTTTGTTCTGGTTTTGCTTTCTGCTATAATGAAGAGGCACTGAATGCAATGCAATGCTTCAAAACTGCTGTGCTCTCCCTTTTCCAAGTGCTCACATTGTCTCTGCACCACACTGTCACTGCCAGGGGATTGGGTAGGGGTGGCATTGGTGATTCAAAACTGCTTTTCCTATCTCTTCTGTGTGTTTTTTTGGTCTACATTTCTTTTTATTATTATTATTATTATAATACTTTAAGTTCTAGGGTACATGTGCACAACGTGCAGATTTGATAGATAGGTATACATGTGCAATGTTGGTTTGCTGCACCCATCAACTCATAATTTACATTAGGTATTTATCCTAACCCTATCCCTCCCCCAGTCCCCCACACCCCAACAGGCCCCAGTGTGTGATGTTCCCCGCACTGTGTCCAAGTGATCTCATTGTTCAATTCCCACCTATGAGTGAGAACATGCGGTGTTTGGTTTTCTGTCCTTGTGATGGTTTGCTGAGAATCATGGTTTCCAGCTTCATCCATGTCCCTGCAAAGGACATGAACTCATCCTTTTTTATGGCTGCATAGTATTCCATGGTGCATATGTGCCACATTTTCTTAATCTAGTCTATCATTGATGGACATTTGGGTTGCTTCTAACTCTTTGCTATTGTGAATAGTGCCACAATAAACATACGCGTGCACATGCCTTTATAGCAGCATGATTTATAATCTTTTGGGTATATACCCAGTAATGGGATTGCTGGGTCAAATGGTATTTCTGGTTCTAGATCCTTGAGGAATCGCCAAACTGTCTGCCACAATTGTTGAACTAGCCTACACTCCCACCAACAGTGTAAAAGCATTCCTATTTCTCCACATCCTCTCTGACATCTGTTGTTTCCTTACTTAAATGATTGCCATTCTAACTGGTGTGAGATAGTATCTCATTGTGGTTTTGATTTGTATTTCTCTGATGACCAGTGACAATGAACATTTCTTCATGTGTCTGTTGGCAGCATAGATGCCTTCTTTTTTCTTTTTTTTTCATTATACTTTAAGTTCTAGGGTACACGTGCACAACGTGCAGTTTTGTTACATATGTATACATGTGCCATGTTGGTGTGCTGCACCCATTAACTCGTCATTTACATTAGGTATATCTCCTAATGCTATCCCTCCCCTCTGCCCACACCCCACAATGGGTCCCAGTGTGTGATGTTCCCCTTCCTGTGTCCAAGTGTTCTCATTGTTCAATTCCCACCTATGAGTGGGAACATGCGGTGTTTGGTTTTTTGTCCTTGTGATAGTTTGCTGAGAATGATGGTTTCCAGCTTCATCCATATCCCCACAAAGGACATGAACTCATCCTTTTTTATGGCTGCATAGTATTCCATAGTGTATATGTGCCACATTTTCTTAATCCAGTCTAGCATTTTGAGAAGTGTCTGTTAATATCTTTGCCCACTTTTTGATGGGTTTTTTTTCTTGTAAATTTGTTTAAGTTCTTTGTAGATTCTGGATATTAGCCCTTTGTCAGATGGGTAGATTGCAAAATTTTCTCCCATTCTGTAGGTTGCCTTTTCACTCTGATGGTAGTTTTTTTTTTTTTTTTTTTTTTTTTTTGCTGTGCAGAAGCTCTTTAGTTTACTTAGATTCCATTTGTCTATTTTGGCTTTTGTTGCCATTGCTTTTGGTGTTTTAGTCATGAAGTCCTTGCCAATGCCTATGTCCTGAATGGTATTGCCTAGGTTTTCATCTAGGGTTTTTATGGTTTTACATCTGACATTTAAGTCTTTAATCCATCTTGAATTAATTTTTGTATAAGGTGTAAGGAAGCGATGCATTTTCAGCTTTCTACATATGGCTAGCCAGTTTTCCCAGCACCATTTATTAAATAGGAAATCCTTTCCCATTTCTTGTTTTTGTCAGGTTTGTCAAAGATCAGATGGTTGTAGAAGTGTGGTGTTACTTCTGAGGCCTCTGTTCTGTTCCATTGGTCTATATATCTGTTTTGGTACTATTACCATGATGTTTTGATTACTGTAGCCTTGTAGTATAGTTTGAAGTCAGGTAGTATGATGCCTCCAGCTTTGTTCTTTTTGCTTAGGATTGTCTTGGCAATGCAGGCTCTTTTTTGGTTCTATATGAACTTTAAAGTAGTTTTTTTCCAATTCTGTGAAGAAAGTAATTGGCAGCTTGATGGGGATGGCACTGAATCAGTAATTACTTTGGGCAGTATGGCCATTTTCACAATATTGATTCTTCCCATCCACGATCATGGAATGTTCTTCCATTTGTTTGTATCCTCTTTTATTTCCTTGAGCAATTGTTTGTAGATCTCCTTGAAGAGGTCCTTCACATCCCTTGTAAGTTGGATTTCTGGTATTTTATTCTCTTTGTAGCAATTGTGAATAGGAGTTCACTCATGATTTGGCTCTCTGTTTGTCTGTTAATGGTGTATAGGAATGCCTGTGAGTTTTGCACATTGATTTTGTATCCTGAGACTTTGCTGAAGTTGCTTATCAGCTTAAGGAGATTTGGGGCTGAGACAATGGGGTTTTCCAAATATACAATCATGTCATCTGCAAGCAGGGACAGCTTGACTTCCTCATTTCCTACTTGAATACCCTTTATTTCTTTCTCTTGCCTGATTACCCTGGCCAGAACTTCCAACACTACGTTGAATAGGAGTGGTGAGAGAGAACATCCTTGTCTTGTGCTGGTTTTGAAAGGGAATGCTTCCAGTTTTTGCCCATTCAGTATGATATTGGCTGTGAGTTTGTCATAAATAGCTCTTATTATTCTGAGATACATTCCATCAATACCTAATTTATTGAGAGTTTTTAGCATGAAGTGTTGTTGAATTTTGTTGAAGGCCTTTTCTGCATCTATTGAGATAATAATGTGCTTTTTGTCTTTGGTTCTGTTTATGTGATGGATTACGTTTATTGATTTGTACATGTTGAATCATCTTTGCATCCCAGGGATGAAGCCCACTTGATCATGGTGGATAAGCTTTTTGATGTGCTGCTGGATTTGGTTTGCCAGTATTTTATTGAGGATTTTTGCATTGACGTTCATCAGGGATATTGGTCTAAAATTCTTTTTTTTTTGGTTGTGTCTCTGCCAGGCTTTGATGTCATGATGATGCTGGCCTCATAAAATGAGTTAGGGAGGATTCCCTCTTTTTCTATTGATTGGAATAGTTTCAGAAGGAATGGCACCATCTCCTCTTTGTACCCCTGGTAGAATTCAGCTGTGAATCCATCTGGTACTGGACTTTTTTTGGCTGGTAGGTTATTAATTACTGTCTCAATTTCAGAGCCTGTTATTGTTGTATTCAGAGATTCAACTTCTTCCTGGTTTAGTCTTGGGACGGTGTATGTGTCAAGGAATTTACCAATTTCTTCTAGATTTTCTAGTTTATTTGCATAGAGCTGTTTGTAGTAGTCTCTGATGGTAGTTTGTATTTCTGTGGGATTGGTGGTGATATCTCCTTTATCATTTTTTATTGTGTCTATTTGATTCTTCTCTCTTTTCTTCTTTATTAGTCTTGCTAGCAGTCTATCAATTTTGTTGGTCTTTTCAAAAAACCAGTTCCTAGATTCACTGATTTTTTGAAGGGTTTTTTGTCTCTCTTTCAGTTCTGCTCTGATCTTAGTTATTTCTTGCCTTCTGCTAGCTTTTGAATGTGTTTGCTCTCGCTTCTCTAGTTCTTTTAATTGTGATGTTAGTGTGTTGATTTTAGATCTTTCCTGCTTTCTCTTGTGGGCATTTAGTGCTATAAATTTTCCTCTACATGCTGCTTTAAATGTGTCTCAGAGATTCTGGTACATTGTGTCTTTGTTTTCATTGGTTTCAAAGAACATCTTTATTTCTGCCTTCATTTCATTATTTGCCCAGTAGTCACTCAGGAGCAAAGTGTTCAGTTTCCATGTAGTTGAGCAGTTTTGAGTGAGTTTCTTAATCCTGAATTCTAATTTGATTGCACTGTGGTCTGAGAGACAGTTTGTTGTGATTTCTGTTCTTTTACATTTGCTGAGGAGTGCTTTATTTACAATTATGTAGTGATTTTTGGAGTAAGTGAGATGTGGTGCTGAGAAGAATGTATATTCTGTTGATTTGTGGTGGAGAGTTCTGTAGATGTCTATTAGGTCTGCTTGTTGCAGAGCTGAGTTCAGGTCCTGGATATCCTTGTTAAACTTCTGTCTCATTGATCTGTCTAATATTGACAGATTTTTTAATTTATTATTTATTTATTTATTATTTATTTATTATTATTGTGTTGGAGTCCAAGTCTCTTTGTAAGTCTCTAAGGACTTGCTTTATGAATCTGGGTGCTCTTGTATTGGGTGCATAGATATTTAGGATAGTTAGCTCTTCTTGATGAATTGATCCCTTTACCATTATGTAATGGCCTTCTTTGTCTCTTTTGATCTTCCTTGGTTTAAAATCTGTTTTATCAGAGACTAGGACTGCAAACCCTGCTTTTTTTTTGCTTTCCATTTGCTTGGTAGACCTTCCTCCATCCCTTTATTTTGAGCCTATGTGTGTCTTTGCATGTGAGATGGGTCTCCTGAATACAGCACACTGATGGGTCTTGACTCTTTGTCCAATTTGCCAGTCTGTGTCTTTCAATTGAGACATTTGGCTCATTTACATTTAAGGCTAATATTGTTATGTGTGAGTTTGAACCTGTCATTATGATGTTTGCTGGTAATTTTGCCCATTAATTGATGCAGTGTCTTCATAGCATCGATGATCTTTACAATTTGGCCTGTTTTTGCTATGACTGCTACCAGTTGTTCCTTTCCATTTTTACTGCTTCCTTCAGAAGCTCTTGTAAGGCAGGCCTCATGGTGACAAAATCTCTTAGCATTTGCTTGTCTATAAAGGATTTTATTTCTCCTTCACTTATGAAGCTTAGTTTGGCTGGAAATGAAATTCTGGGTTGAAAATTCTTTTCTTTAAGAATGTTGAATATTGGCCTCCACTCTCTTCTGGCTTGTAGGGTTGCTGCCGAGAGATCTGCTGTTAGTCTGGTGGACTTCCCTTTGTGCGTAACTCGAGCTTTCTCTCTGGCTGCCCTTAACACTTTTTCCTTCATTTTGACCTTGGTGAATCTGACAATTATGTGTCTTGGCATTGCTCTTCTCGAGGAATATCTTTGTGGTGTTCTCTGTATTTCCTGAATTTGAATGTTTGCCTGCCTTGCTAAGTTGGGGAAGTTCTCCTGGATAATATCCTGTAGAGTGTTTTCCAGCTTGGTTTCATTCTCCCCATTACTTTCAGGTACACCAATCAAATGTAGATTTGGTCTTTTCACATAGTCCCATATTTCTTGGAAGCTTTGTTCATTTCTTTTTACTGTTTTTTCTCTCACCTTGTCTTCTTACTTTATTTCATTAATTTGATCTTCTATCACTGATACCGTTTCTTCCACTTGATCAAATTGGCTATTGAAGCTTGTGCATGTGTCACCAAGTTTTTCTGCCATTGTTTTCAGCTCCATCAGGTCATTTAAGGTCTTCTCCACACTGTTTATTCTAGTGAGCCATTTGTGTAATCTTTTTTCAAAATTTTTAGCTTCCTTGTGATGGGTTCGAACATTCTGCTTTAGCTCGGAGAAGTCTGTTATTACTGACCTTCTGAAGCCTACTTCTGTCAACTTGTCAAAATCATTCTCCATCCAGCTTTGTTCCATTGCTGGTGGGGAGCTGTGGTCCTTTGGAGGAAAAGAGGTGCTCTGATTTTTAGAAATGTCAGCTTTTTCTCCTCTGATTTCTCCCCATCTTTGTGGCTTTATCTACCTTTGGTCTTTGATGTTGGTGACCTACAAATGGGGTTTTGGTGTAGATGACCTGTTTGTTGATGTTGATGCTATTCCTTTCCGTTTGTTAGTTTTTCTTCTAACAGTCAGGTCCCTCAGCTGCAGGTCTGTTGGAGTTTGCTGGAGTTTCACTCCAGACCCTGTTTTCTTGGGTATCACCAGTGGAGGCTGTGGAACAGCAAATATTGCAGAACAGCAAATATTGCTGCCTGATCTTTCCTCTGGAAGCTTCATCCCAAAGGAGCAGCTGCCTATATGAGGTTTTTGTCGGCCCCTACTGGGAGGTTTCTCCCAGTTAGGCTACATGGGGGTCAGGGACCCACTTGAGGAAGCAGTCTGTCCATACTCAGCACTCAAATGCCATGTTGGGAGAACAACTGCTCTCTTCAGAGCTGTCAGACAGGATGTTTAAGTCTGCAGAGGTTGTCTCCTGCCTTTTGTTCAGCTATGTCTTGCCTACAGAAGTGGAGTCTAGAGGCAGTAGGCTTTGTTGAGCTGCTGTGGGCTCTGCTCAGTTTGAGCTTCCTAGCCACTTTGTTTGCCTACTCAAGCTTCAGCAATGGCAGATGCCACTCCCCCAGCCAAGCTGCCACCTCACAGATTGATCTCAGACTGCTGCACTAGCAGTGAGCAAGGCTCCATGAGCGTGGGACCCCCTGAGCCAGGCACGGGAGAGAATCTCCTTGTCTACTGGTTGCTAAGACCTTGGGAAAGCACAGTATTTGGGTAGGAGTATCCTGTTTTTCCAGGTAGTCTGTCACGGCTTCCCTTGGCTAGGAAAGGGAAATCCCTGGACCCCTGTGCTTCCCAGGTGATGAGACACCCTGCCCTGCTTCGGCTCACCCTCTGTTGGCTGCACCCACTGTCCAACCAGTCCCAGTGAAATAAGCCAGCTACCTCAGTTGGAAATGCAGAAATCACCTGTCTTCTGTGTCAGTCATGCTGGGAGCTGCAGACCGGAGCTGTTCCTATTGGGCCATCTTGGAATGCCCCCCCCCCCTTTTTTTTTTAAGATGGAGTCTTGCTCTGTAGCCCAGGCTGGAGAGCAGTGGCATGATCTTGGCTCATTGCAAGCTCCACCTCCTGGGTTTACAGCATTCTCCTGCCTCAGCCTCCCAAATAGCTTGGACTACAGGCATCTTCCACCACGCTGTGTGTGTTTTTTTTTAGTAATATGAAGTTAAAACCAGGTACCATGAAGGCTCACCAGATTTTGCTTCTTATGAAGGTGTTTTTTTTTTGTTGTTGTTGTTGTTGTAGAATGTTGTTAAATTTGCATTCTTGCAGGGTGGCAGATGAGCATTGGAGTCTTCTATTCTGCCATCTTCCTCCACCTTCTTATTCTGGCATTTCTGTTGAAGGACTAATTCCTTTTATTTCAGAACAATATTGTGGCTCTTATCCTCTTCCACTTTCAAACATATATATTTTTATATTGCTCCCTCTTTATCACATTATCTGTAAGGTCTAAGACATATTACTTCATAAACTTTATTTTTCCTCAATGCCTAAGAACCAGGCAACACAGATGATGAGATCACCTGATAGGCTGAATGATGCTCAGGTACAATTTTAAGATCTCTTCCCTGTGAAGTGACAGGTAGCATGTTGCACAGGTGGGGCAGAAGAGGCAGAGAACCAAATATCACCACAAACTTTCCTAATATCAATCAGTGACTACTGACACATGAAGAGATATTAGATACCAGGGTGTCCAGCTCTTGCTTTAGAAATGAGGAGATAGAAGGAAAGAGTTTTCAAGGGGGAACTGCTGGTTAATCACATTTCAAAGACCAGAATGTAAGCCTCCTAACTCTCAATTTACTGTTTAAAAATTGTGTCTTAGTTTTTTCTTAAAAATGAGTCATAAATGATGAAGCATTGGGTGAAGAAGAAGGGGATAGTGAGGTCCGGAAAGGCCTTCCCAATGAGCCCTCTACATACTATTATCCAAGCCATGGTTAAATTACTTCATGTGTACCTCTCCTTCTTGATCATCACCTCACAGTTAAGCCTACTATTCCCTGGTCTAAATTTTGCTGTCAGAGCCATCCTCTGAAATAAGTGACTTTCCGGGAACATGATGTCTTTACTTCCCTTATAAGGAGACCCTTTGTTTCCCCTGACAATTTCTATCTCTCACTGCTCAGTCTGAGGTGCCTTATGTTCCTCTTAATGGGTTTCTCTCCAGAGGGCATTAGCTGGATGCATCTTTGAATATATGCCATATGCTTTATTTCCCTTTCTTCTTTTGCTTTTTCAGATTTTCTTTCAATCCTAGATTATTGGAAGCTCTTCAGATTGAATATTGAATGCTTTCCAGTTTGTCTGATTTTTTTTAACAATCTTAACCAATTTTAAATGTACAGTTCAGCAGTTCTAAGTGTGTTCACACTGTTGTACAACAGATCTCCAGTACATTTTATCTTGCAGATTGAGACTCTGTACCCACTAAACAACAACTTCCTCTTTTCCCCTTGGGCTTGATTTTACATTAGGAAGAATAAGAACATATAACAAGATAGTTCTCTGGACTGCAATCAGGGAAGGAATCAGCTCCCAATTCCTAGGGCCTAGTTTTATGTAAAGAAGTGGATGCTAGGATGGATGTCTTAAAATTAGGGGGGAAAACTCATCTAGAAGAAGCAGTCATCTCTTTGGATGCAATAGTCATCTCACACAAACACACACACAGCTTGAATGATATTTCTTCTCTGACTCATCAATATTTAAAATACAAAACAACCATAGCCATGAGTGATGTGCAGCACACAAGACCCAGACCTTTCTTCTGGCAATTCTTAAATGCATTTGTAGTTACAACACCCTCTCCTTCTGGTCTTCTAACTTTATGCAATTCTAGCCCTAAATCTTTCTATTCCCAGATGAAGCCTGCCATCTGTTCATCAAACTTGTAGTTGGAGGGAGCAGCTGCAGTTTCTATCTGAATCTGAATGTGTATGTGTTAGTCATTAAGAAAAAAATTTGTGCTGCTTTATGTTTTGAGTCATAACTATGCCATCAGTTGGTCCCAACAAAACTGTCAATGCCAATCCCACAGGAGCTAGTCTGGGATCTGCTCCCAGCAATAGGCTCCTGGTGGATCTTGGGCAGCTTATATAAAATCTTTTCTATTTGTCTTCATCTAAAAATGGAAACAATTTTTTAAAAAACTCACCTTTTTTTCCTTTTTGAGAATGAAGCAGCAGCTCTTTGATCTCCTTCCTTATTGTCTCTGGGGAGAGCTGCTTATGTTGAGCTCTTGGAAGAAAGTTCTCCTTGAAGAGAGAGTCTAAGTTGAGGAACTATGGTGTCCTAGGACTGGAACAGGCTTTGGAGATCAATTGGTCCAGTTCTCCTCAATCTTCATATTTACATATGATCTTGCCAGATTTTGCTGTATCTTTATATTGCTTATTTTTTACTTAATATATACTTAAATAAATTCTAGATTGACTCATTTTTAACACTTATCCTTATCTACACAAAAATATCTGTAAATTATAGCTTAGATGTGTCACATATAATATATTGATTTCATATTATACATTAAAATCTAGAATTTATAAATATATATTTTTCACAAATCACATTAAATTAAACACAATCTTTAAAATAAAAAATAACAGATTATGTACCATCTAAACTCAGTTGTTCACATATCATACTTTGGAGAATACTGGTTTAAATCAGCTTCATCAATTTGTACATGCATAAAATGAGCTTCAGAGAGTACAAGTAACTTTATAAAGTTCCTTGGTTAGGTGGAAGCCAGAACTCCTGAACTCCAGTCCAGTTTTCTAAATCATAGAAATGTAGATGGGAAAAACTTTCTGGGTGATTAAATTTATCTGGAATTTAGTTTGGGGAATTTGGGGAGATGAGACTGTTTATAAATAAAGCTTGAGAAGATTATGGAGGACCTTAAATATTAGGCATAGGAGTAGAAACATCTCTCTGGGCTTCAAGGTCTTAACCCAGGGATCTAAGGAACATCTAAGGTTGTACATAATGTTTAGAGGATTTATGCCTTTGTATATTTGGGCTAGGAGTGGGGAGATTCCTCCAAAAGAGGTTAATGACCACTGTTCTTGGCACTGGGAGCTACTTTGGTTCTCAAATAGAAGGAAAAGTTTATTTTAAGAAGATCACTGTGGTGCAATATGATAAATAAAATGGAATGAAGATGCCGTAAAAGATAGAGACCATGAGGTAGTCCCAGCAAAGTTTGTCTGAACAGGACCATAGAGAGTCATTCTTTCAGGATGGACTTAGAAACATGGACTTACATAACAATGGATCAGATAAAACTGACTTGGATTTTCTTCATTTATTTTCTGAGGACAACCTAATGGAGCCAAATTGTTGAGTGAGAGTTATATAATATAAATATTACTCAAAAAAGTCTGATTTCTGTGCGTGGTTGTGTGGGGAGGGGGGAAAGGAAGGAGAACAAAAGGTAATAAAAGAAGGAGTTTCTGCATTATTGGAGAGCTGCTGATTATGCAATTAGATTGTGCATGTGGGAAGGAATGTTTTCTGTTACTTTTGCTTGAGGTTTAGTAATTTTAAAGTAACTGTTGGCACTTACCTCTGTGAGAGTACTGTGGTGCCTCAAGAATGAGAAACATATTTAATGAACAAAGTAGCCCCCATGCAGGCACTGTGCTGGGTGGTTTTACAGGTTACTTTCCATGGTCATTACAACTGAAGAGAATTAAAATGAGAGACATCTACCCAGAGAATTGAATATTGAGCAATGTAGAATGAGGATTTATTCATTTGTTTACCAAATGTGTATTGAGCATCTATTATGATCATGGTGCTAATGGGCACTAAGACCATAGGAAAGGAAAAGTCATAGTTCTTATCCTTAAGAAAGCCACATTCAGTTAGAAATAGCAAAACAAATACATGCGTTTATCTACACACATACAAGAAAACACTGCATAGCAAGTTCAATTAAGAAAGAAAAATAACCATACACTTGAAGATTAATTATATACCATTTTGTTATAATGTTTTTATGGAGGAGTCGGTGCTCCCCCTGCCTCTGGAGATCATTATCCTAATTTTTTAAAGCAGTTTTATTGAAAACCTGAAAAAATAGACTACACAAGGGATGATATAGATGAATGAACACAGAAGGAGATAGCCACTTGGGAATTTACTGATGAATGAGATAGCCTTTACATTGTATGAATGCCTCTGCATGTAGCTCAGATTGCTACCAATGGAAGGTCACAATTATTTAATATTTTGGAGATGACATCTATATTCAAGAGACTGCTTCATTAAATCAGGCTCCCATAAATAACAAAGACATGGTCTGCTTCAGAAATTGAAATTGAAAACTGGAATATGACTGTAAGTGGCTAAGAGTAAGAGAAAATAAAAGATGGGACATTCAGGAAATCTATTTTTTGATGGACTGTAATTTGGGAAACACTGATGAAGCATAATATAGAAAACAATAAGCCAAACACAAAGTTTAGATTGTGTCTGGGAAACTAAGGCAAAAAGTCAGGCTGGGAAAATCAGAAATAGAAGAGAAACTTGTGCCTTTTGACTTTGTACAAATAATAATATAAAACTCACTTTTTGAAAAAATGAAACAAAATAATCTTCTAATTTATTAAAAGTTGATATTGCATTTGCATGAAATTAAAGCAGGAGTTTAAGAAATCAGCAGAGTGGAATTTACCCCCTCAGATGCTACTGATTTGAAATAGAAAAGAAAATCATTTCCTTTTACTTAACATCTCTTTTTGGAGTTGTTTAGTAGGGCCCATGTCAGTAGAAAAGAAATTAAATAAGTAGATTAGCCAGGTGCAGTGGCTTGCAACTGTAATCCCAGCTACTCAGGAGGCTGAGGCAAGAGGATTGCCTGAGTCCAGGAGTTCAAATCTGCAGTGAGCTATGATCATGGCATTGTACTCCAGCCTGGGTGACAGAGTCAGACCTTGTCTCTTAAGAAAAAAAAAGTAGATTACATGGTGCAGCTCCCCCTTAAACATAAGATATCAAATACCCCAATGACCCTTTTTAACTTCTTAGTAATAGCTTTAATAACTTTCTCAAAAATGTCAATTAGAGCTGATCTTCTGGGTTACTATCCTCATAATTGCAAAAACAAAAAAATTTTAATGAAATTAACAGTAATGTCAAGCTTAATCTGTTGATAGCATGTACACTGGTTAGCCATTGCTACAAAGCAAACTACCCCCAAATTCAGTGGTTAACAACAATAATAATTTACTATTATAGCTCTATAGCTACAGATCAACTCTGGGTTGGGTGCTTTAGGTGGGGTTTGTCTGGGATGGCTCTGTTCCACGTGTCTCTCATCCTCCCCTTGGGACCAGTGAGCTGGCCTTCACAAACATGTTTCGTGGTCATGGTAGAGGGCCATCAAGGCAAGAGGAAGACATACATGGCCTCTGAGGGCTTTAGCAAACCATAACTTCCCCCCTCATTCTACTGGTGACAATAAGCCACATGGCTACACCCAAAGTGAAGAAGTGGGGAAATGGGTTTCCTCTGTGTAGTGAAGAGACCTACAGTTATATGCAAAGGTTATAGATACAAGGGAGGGTAAAGACTTGTGGGGGGGGGGGTATTAATGCCATCTCTCTCACTGTGCAAGGATGATAGAGATGTTGATATAAATTTTAGCCCTATTGTTTCTAATTAAATGTGTTGGAGAGGTTGCTTAATCTTTCTGAATCTTCATTTACTCATCTCTGAAACTGGAATAATGAAATGTTCAGATGGTGTTGGTAAAACGGCTGGGACTTTAAGTCATCCTTTTTCTTTTTCCTATTCTGTATGTATGGCTCTGCTGTTATCACATTCTTGCAATGATGCCCATGCACACCGTTTGTGCTGCTCCGGATTGCCTCTATCACCTTTCAAAGATATGTTCCTGACAAAAAAGGAAAAGAGAATGAGGTGGAATTCTGCTCCAGTGATGTAGTGTCCAATAACGCAAACCTGGGTAGGTGGGAGCATTTCTCTCTTGGTCTTGGGAATGACTATCAACACCATATTAATTTTTTTCTGGCTCTTGCCCTCACCCAGAAATATGAAGGATTTACTTTACTGGAATAACTAGTGCTTTTCCTTTGTACCTCCAATAGTTAACATCAGAATGCTATTTAATATTGACAGTGACATCTTCGTTTGGTCCACTGTGAAGTCTACAAAGGCATCTACAACTGCATGGAAGATTGCATTAGGAAGGTATCCTAGAAAGGCAGTAAGGAACATAAGCTAAGTAGCTAAGTGCATCATATATCTTACGTTGTTTAATCCTCAGGTTCATACTTTTATTTTCCCCATTTTACTGACACATACTTTAATGCTTAAACAGGCTAAGTATCTTGCTTAAGGTCATATAATGTAATTTTAAGTTGTAGAATCTAGTTTTTAATGCAGATCTAATTTTTACCTCTATTACTAACTACCTTTTTTTTTTTTTTTTTTTTAAAAAGCAACAGTATTATAATTGGGAGCTGCATTCCTGATTTAAGATTTAGAATTAAATAGCCATGGATATAATCTTTGCTGCCAAAACATAAAAATACAGCAGCAAAGACATCTAAAATAATTGAAAATATTATTTTATTTTGTGTTATCTGAAATATGTTTATATTGTACACATAAGTCTCCAACATGTCATTAAAGGTACATATTTCACATAATAATTCAACTTCACAATATATTTAACCTGTCATCAACCCACTAACTCCAGTGAATGTCAGTTGAACATTTGAGTCACAATAATTTTGCTCACTTTTGAAAAAATGTTAAGGCCTTTTTTTGGAAATGATTTGAGTGGTCCAGTACTGTTTTAAAAGCAGTCTGGGGAATTCTGAGCTGACACTTTCCCTTTAGCTTTATAAATTTTCCTGTAGCAAGCAGAGGTCCTCTAAGTTATTTGCTTGATCCTAGATTGTGCTCCAAGTTGAGATCATACTTTTCCAAAATAGCAATTGGACATCTAAAGGTTTGAAGGTCTGGCTGAAGATTTAAATGATGAGAATCTAGTAGAAGAGACATCCTTCGAAACTTACTCACTTTTAAAATCTTTCGTTCTTTGCTTTCCAATATGTCTCTTTTAGTTCCTCTCCCACACCAACTGCTCATTTAAATAAGTCACAAAAGTTGAGTATGAGAGTATGAATGGGGAAGTTATATGAAGGCAGATTTTATGAATATGAGCTTTCTCTTAGACCAACTGGCAACCTCTCAGCTAATTTTCCTTTGCTTTCCCAAGCAATTGCCCAACATAACTCATGTTGTCTGTAACACACCAAGAAATGGGCAGGCAAAGTTTATAAAACATGGAGATATACAGGATAGTAGAGAGTGGAGAAATATTAGTATTCAAAATATACCAAATGTGGAAGTGAGTTAGCTACCACAATTGAGAACCAGGTAAGTTTCCTAAAAGCAAGTAAAGAAGAAATTGTTTTCTTCTCGGATGTCATGACACCACTGTCCTGTTTTTCATTTGCCTCTCAGGCCACTACTTCTTGTTATCTTTGCATTCTTCCCCTTAATCTGGCCTCTAAATGTAGGAGCTCTTAGGACTTTGGCCTGGGCTTTTTTTTTTTTTCCAATTTACATTACACTTACTTTATTAGAAAATCTTGCCCTCTAACAAACTCTTACATATCATTTATATGCCAATAAGTTAAGCATTTTTTTTCTATCTCTACCTTGAGTTTCTCTTCTAAGTTTCAGATCTATATATACAACTGCTGACTTGATAGCCCCACCCAGATACCTCACAAGCATCTCAAACTCAACATGTTTGAAACTTTAATCAGCTCCCTTTGATTTGTGCTATGTTAATAAATGCTAACTCTATCCACCTAGTTGCTTGTGCCAGGATCCCAGGAGTCATTCTTTTTATTTATTTCCTCTTTTAAATCTGTAATTTAAAGTTTATTTTAGCTATAATGCATGCTTCTCTGGCATGCTTCGGAGTCCATTGCTAAGATATTCTGTTGTGCTCATCTGTCTGATTTATGGATCTATGCGATTTCTGGCACTAGGACATCATCTGAGTTTGGGCTATATAGCAGTGACAAAATGAGTAGAATAACTTTAGAAACAATAAAAGCAAGAGACCACTGTGATTCTAAGATGAATGCTCCCATTATTATTTAATGTTTGAGTGATATATTAGAATCATTCACATTTAAATATTATTTAAAATTTAATATTATGCCAATATTTGGATGATGAATTCCAGTTATAATGCAACATTGTGTCAAAAAGAATATACTGCCTTGATAAGGGCTGTCATTAGGGCCTATAATTGTGGTTTGCCAATCTGTAACAGGCCAAATGTTTAATTTCCTTATCGGTGGTTTTAGTGCCATGATCCATGCTTTTTCTCTGATTTTTCACCTTCCCAGTGTTGATGTCTGACCAAACTCCAGGGTAGTGGAAAGAGTGTCCTTTTGCCTCATATCACCTTTGCTGAACACAGGTGCTAAATGGATGGCAGGTTGAGAGGTGGGTCAGAGCTGAGGGCAGTAAAGGGGAAGGAAAGGATACTCTGGGAGTTATCTTAAACATTTTCTTCCCTCAGCTCACTCTCCACATCCAACCAATCACTCACCCTGACAAAAGAAAACTTAAACACACCTGGTCTGTCTACTCCACTAACCTCCATGATCTTTCCCTGGACCATCGTTAATAGCTATCTAGGGGTTCTTCCCTCTTTCAGTCTTTCCCACCTTGAACCCATTATCTATACCACAGCCAAAGTGAGCATAAATGAGAGAAAGGTGGAGCAAGGTGGTGGAATAGAGAGCTCCACTGATCATCCTCCATGTAAGTACACCAAGTTAACAACTATCTACACGGAAAAAACACCTTCATAAGAGCCAAAAATCAGGTAAGCACTTATATACTTGGTTTTAACTTTTTAACGCTGAAAGAGGCTCTAAGGAGATAGACAAAACAGTCCTGAATCGGTGACACAACCCCTTCCCTCCCCTTTGGCAGCAGCAGAGTGGGGCAGAGAGTGTTTCTGGGCACTTGGGGAAGAACACAGCAATTGTGAGGCACTGAACTCAGTGCTGCTCTGTTAGAGCAGACAGAAAAACCCAGATCAGACTCAGCTGATGCCCACCCACACAGGGAGCATTTAAACCAGTGCTAGTCAGAGGGAAAACACTGATCCCAGCAGTCAGAACTTAAGTGCCTGCAAAACTCACCACTGAGGGCCAAAGGGCTCTGGGTCTCTAAGTAAACTTGAAAGACAGTCTAGGCCGTAAGGACTGCAACTCTTAGATGAATCCCAGGGCTGAACTAGGCCCAGGGACAATGGACTAGGGGGCAAGCAGCATACTGAGACACTAGCTGGGGCAGTCAAGTGAGTGCTGGCCTTACCCCTCCACTAACCCCAGGCTGCACAGCTCATGGCTCCAAAGGAGACCCTATCCTTCCACTTGAGGAGAGGAGAGGGGGAAGTGGGGAGGACTTTGTCTTGCATTTTGGATACCAGCTCAGCCACAGCAGGATAGGGCACTAGTCAAAGTCATGAGGCTCCCATTCCAGGCCCTAACTCCCAGATAACACTTCTAGACACACCCTGGGCCAGAATGAACTGCTACATAAAAGAAAAAGACACAGTCCTGCCAGCATTTATCCCCTGCTAATCAAAAAGCCCTTGCATCCTGAATAACAAGCAACAATACCCAGGTACAACACTGAGGGCCTTGGTGAGCCTCTGAGATTTGCTGGCTTTAGGTGACACTCAGCTAAAGTTAGCTGTGGTGGCTGTGGGGCAAAACTCCTGCTTGAGAAAAGCAGTGGGAAAAGTAAAGGGAACTTTGTCTTGCACCTTAGGTACCAACACTGCCACAGAGGTGGAGTACCAAGTGGGCTCTTAGGGACCCCAATTCCAGGACTTAACTCTTGGATGGTATTTCTAGACCAGCCCTGGGGCAGAGGGGAACCAATTGCCCTGAAGTGTGAGTCCTAGGCCAGGCAGCATTCACCACAAGCTGACTAAGAGAACGTGTGGCAGCTTGGGATGAGGCTCCTCTGCCTTTGTAAAGTGGAGGGAAGAGTGGGAAGGACTGAGTTTTGTGATCTTCAATATAAAGAATACCAGGTAGACTTCTAAGGTTTTTGACTCTAGTCTCTGACTCCTAGGTGGCACCTTTAGACTTACCCGGGACCTGAGGACCTCACTGCCTTGAGGGAAGGGCACACACCTGGCTGGCTTTGCCACCTGCTGATTGTGAGCCCCAGGGCCTTGAGCAAACATAAGGGGTAATCAGGAAGTGGTTACAGCAGGCCTTGGGCGAGACCCAGCACTATGTTGGTTTCAGGTCTGACCTAATACAGTCATAGTAGTGGTGGCCGCAGGGGTTCCTGTGTCACTCCACCCCCAGCTTTAGGTGGCTCAGAAAGGAGAGAGATACTCTGTATGTTTGAGAAAAAGTAAGAGGAGAGAACAAGAATCTCTGCCTAGTAATCCAAGGAATTCTCCTGGATCTGGTCTAAGATCATCAAGACAGCACCTCTATTAGTCTGTAAGAACCACAGTGTTACTGGGCTTGGGGTAACCTCTAAAGTACAAACAGCTTAGATCACAACACCCAAGTCCTTTCAAATAGCTAGAAAGCCTTCTCAAGAAGGATGGCTACAAATAAGGCCAGACAATGAAGACTATAATAAATACCTAACTCTTCAATGCCCAGTCACCAAAGAACATCTACCAGCATCAACACCATCCAGGAAAATATGACCTCACAAAATAAACTAAATAAGGCACCAAGGACCAATCCTGGAAAAACAGAGCTATGTGACCTTTCAGATACATAATTTAAAATAGCTGTGTGAGGAAACTCAAAGAAATTCAATATAACACAGAGAAGGAATTCAGCATTCTATCAGATAAATTTAACAGAGACTTAAATAATGTAAAGGAATCAAGAAGAAATTCTGGAGCTGAAAAATGCAATTGGCATACTGAAGAATGCATCAGAATGTTTTAATAACAGGATGGATAAAGCAGAATAAAGAATTAGCTTGATGACAGGCTACTGGAAAATACAGTCAAAGGAGACAAAAGAAAAAATAATAAAAAAGAATGAAGCATGCCTATAGGATCTAGAGAATAGCCTTAAAAGGGCAAATCTAAGAGTTATTGACCTTAAAGAGGAGAGAAAGAAAGAGACAGAGGTAGAAAGTTTATTCAAAGGGATAATAACAGAGAACTTCCCAAACCTAGAGAAAGATATCACTATCCAACTACAAGAAAGTTATAGAACACCAAGTAGATTTAATCCAAAGAAGACTACCTCAAGGCATTTAATATTCAAACTTTCAAAGTCAAGGATTAAGAAAGAATCCTAAAGGCAGTAAGAGAAAATAAACAAATAACATACAATGGAGCTGTAATACGTCTGGCAGTAGATTTTTCAGTGGAAACTTTATAGGCCAGGAGAGAGTGGCATGACATATTTAAAGTGCTGAAGGAAAAATAAAAACTTTTACTCTAGAACACCATGTCTGATGAAAATATCTTTCAAATATGAAGGAGAAATAAAGACTTTCCCAAACAAAGAAAAGCCAAGAGATTTCACCAGTACCAGACCTGTCCTGCAAGAAATGCTAAAGGGAGTACTTTCATCAGAAAGAAAAGGACATTAATAAGCAATAAGCAAACATCTGAAAGTACAAAATTTGCTGGTAATAGTAAGCGCACAGAAAAACACAGAATATTAGAACACTAATATTGGTGTATAAACAACTCAAGTAGAAAGACTAACAATGAACCAATCAAAAATAAGTACAACAACTTTTCAGTACATAGTCAGTACAATACGTTATAAATAGAAACAACAAAAAGTTAAGAAGCAGGAGGACAAAGTTAAGATGAGTTTTTATTAGTTTTATTTTTGCTTGTTTGTTTGTTTATGGAAATAATGTCTTTGTCAGGTGAGAATAGGGGGTTATAAGATAATATTTGCAAGCCTCATGTATACCTCAAACCAAAAACATGCAATGGATACACAAAAAATAAAATGCAAGAAACGAAATCATATCACCAGAGAAAATCATCTTTGCTAGAGAAAGACAAGAATTAAAGAATGAAGGAAGACCACAAAGCAGCCAGAAAAGAAATAACAAAATAGCAGGAATAAGTCCTTACTTATCAATAACATTGAATGTAAATGGACTAAACTCTCCAATCAAAAGATGTAGACTGGCTTAATGGAGGAAAGAAAAAAAGACTCATTAAAGAACTGGAAAAGCAATGAAAACCAACTCAAAATTAGTAGAAGCAAGAAATAATAAAGATCAGAGCAGAAATAAATGAAACTGAAATGAAAAAAATACAAAAGATCAATGAAACAAAAAGTTGTTTTAATTGAAAAGTTAAACAAAATTGACCAACCTTCAGCCAAATTGACTAAGAAAAACAGAGTGAAGATCCAAATAAAATCAGAAATAAAAAAGGAGACATTACAACTGATACTGCAGAAATTAAAAGGATCATTAGTGGCTACTATGAGCAAGTATGTACTATAAATTGGAAAATCTAGAAGAAATGGACAAATTCCTAGAAACATACAAACTACCAAGATTGAACCATGAAAATATGCAAAACCTGAACAGACCAATAACAAGTAACAAAATTAAAGCCATAATAAAATGTCTTCCAGCAAAGAAAAGCATGGGACCTGATGGCTGCACTGCTAAATTCTACCAAACATTTAAACAAGAACTAATACCAATCCTACTCAAACTATTCTAAAAATAGAGGAAAAGGGAATGCTTCCAAACTCATTCTATGAGGCCAGTGTTACCCTGATACCAAACCAGAACTAATACCAATCCTACTCAAACTATTCTAAAAACAGAGGAAAAGGGAATACTTCCAAACTCATTCTATGAGGCCAGTGTTACCCTGATACCAAAACCAGAAAGACACATCAAGAAAAGAAAACTACAGGCCAATATCTCTGATGAATATTGATGCAAAATCCTCAAAAGTCAGACAAACAGAGAGACAAATCATGAGTGAACTCCCATTCACAATAGCTACTAAGAGAATAAAATACCTAAGAATACAACTTACAAGGGATTTGAAGGACCTCTTCAAGGAGAACTACAAACCACTGCTCAAGGAAATAAGAGAGGACACAAACAAATGGAAAAACATTCCATGCTCATGGATAGGAAGAATCAATATCATGAAAATGGCCATAATTCCCAAAGTAATTTAAAGATTCAATGCTATCACCATCAAGCTACCATTGACTTTCTTCACAAAATTGGAAAAAACTACTTTAAAGTTCATATGGAACCAAAAAAAGAGCCCACATAGCAAAGACAGTCCTGGGAAAGAAGAACAAAGCTGGAGGCATCATGCTACCTGACTTCAAACGATACTACAAAGCTACAGTAACTAAAACAGCATGGTACTGGTATCAAAACTGATATATAGACCAAAGGAACAGAACATAGTCCTCAGCAATAACACCACACATCTACAACCATCTGATCTTTGACAAACCTGATACAAACAAGCAATGGGGAAATGGTTCCCTATTTAATAAATGGTGCTGGGAAAACTGGCTAGCCATATGCAGAAAACTGAAGCTGGACAACTTCCTTACACCTTATAAAAAAATCAACTTAAGATGGATCAAAGACTTAAATGTAAGACCTAAGACCATAAAAATCCTAGAAGAAATCCTGGGCAATAACATTCAGGACATAGGCATGGGCAAAGACTTCATCTCTAAAACACCAAAAGCAATGGCAACAAAAGCCAGAATTGACAAATGGGATCTAATTAAACTAAAGAGCTTCTGCACAACAAAAGAAACTGTCATCAGAGTAAACAGGCAACCTAGAGAATGGGAGAATATTTTTGCAATCTATCCATCTGACAAAGGGCTAATATCCAGAATCTACAAGGAACTTAAACAAATTTACAAGAAAAAAACAAACAACCCCATCAAAAAGTGGGCAAGGGTATGAACAGACACTTCTCAAAAGAAGACATTTATGCAGCCAACAGACATATGAAAAAATGCTCATCATCATTGGTCATTAGAGAAATGCAAATCAAAACCACAATGAGATGCCATCTCACGCCAGTTAGAATGGTGATCATTAAAACGTCAGGAAACAACAGATGCTGGAGAGGATGTGATGAAATAGGAATGCTTTTATACTGTTGGTGAGAGTGTAAATTAGTTCAACCATTGTGGAAGACAGTGTGGCAATTCCTCAGGGATCTAGAACTAGAATTACCATTTGACCCAGCAATCCCATTATTGGGTATATACCCAAAGGATTATAAATCATTCTACTATAAAGACACATGCACATGTATGTTTATTGAGGCACTATTCACAATAGCAAAGACTTGGAAGCAACCCAAATGCCCATCAATGATAGACTGGATAAAGAAAATGTGGTACATATACACCATGGAATACTATGCAGCCATAAAAAAGATTAGTTCATGTCCCACATGGATGAAGCTGTAAACCATCATTCTCAGCAAACTATCACAAGAAGAGAAAAACAAACACCACATGTTCTCACTCATTGGTGGGAGTTGAATAATGAGAACACATGGACATAGGGAGGGGAACATCACACACTGGGGCGGGTGGGGGGTGGCAGGCTAGGGGAGGGATAAAATTAGGAGAAATACCTAATGTGGGTGACAGGTTGATGGGTGCGGCAAACCACCATGGCACATGTATACCTATGTAACGAAACTGCATGTTTTGCACATGTATCCTAGAACTTAAAATATAATAAAAAAAAATCCTCAACAGAAAAAATACTAGCAAACCTAATTTGACAATACATTAGAAAGATCATTCATCATGACCAAGTGGATTTATCCCTGAGATGCAAGGATGGTTAGACATACGCAAATCAATCATTGTGATACATTATATTAACAGAATAAAGGATAAAAACCATATGATCATTTAAATTGATGCTGAAAAGCATTAGATAAACATCAACATCCCTTAATGTTAACCCCCTCCCCAAGCAAACTGGGATTAGAAGGAACGTAGCTCAATATATTAAAAGCCACATACAACAGATCCACAGCTCATATCATACTGAACAGAGAAAAACTAAAACTCTTTCCTCTAAGATCTGGAACATGACAAGGATGCTCACTGTCACCACTGCTATTCAACATATTACTCAAAGTCCTAGCTAGAGCAATCAGACAAGGGAAAGATACAAAGGACATCCCAAATGGGAAAGGAAGAAGTCAAATTATCCTTGTTTCCAGATGATATGATTTTACATTTGGAAAACCCTCAAAATGCTACAAGAAAACTATTAGACCTGATAAATTCAATATAGTTGCAGGATACAAAATCAACACACAAAAATAAGTAGCATTTTTATGCCAACAGTGAACAATGTGAAAAAGAAACCAAAAAATAATCCCATTTATAATAGCCACATATGAAATTAAATATCTGGAAAATAACCAAAGAAATAAAAGAACTCTATAATAAAAACTATAAAACAGTGGTGAAAATAATTAAAGAGGACACCAAAAAATGGAAAATATTCAATTTTCATGGGTAGGAAGAGTTCATATTGTTAAAATATCCATACTACCCATAGCAAACTATAGACTCAATGCAATCTCTATCAAAATACCAATAACATTCTTCACAGAAATAGAAAAAATAATTCTAAAATTTATATGAAACCACAAAAGACCCAGAATAGCCAAAGCTATCCTAAGCAAAAAGAACAAAAGTGAAAAAATCACCATTACCTGACTTCAAATTATACCACAGAGTTGTAGTAACCAAAACAGCATGGTACTGGCATAAAAACAGACACATAGAGCAATGGAACAGAACAGAAAACTCAAAAAAATCCACACATCTACAGTGAACTCATTTTCCACAAAGTTGCCAAGAACATACACTGGGAAAAAGACAGTCTCTTTAATAAATGGTGTGGGGAAAACTGAATATACATATGCAGAAGAATGAAACTAGACCCCTATCTCTTGCCATATACAAAAGTCAAATCAAAATGGGTTAAAGGCTTACATATAAGATCTCAAATCATGAAGCTACTGTGAGAAAACATTTGAGAAAATCTCCAGGACATTGGTCTGGGCAAAAATTTCTTGAGCAATACCATACAAACACAGGCAATGAATGCAAAAAGTAACCAATGGGATCACATCAAGTTAAAAAGCTTCTGCACAGCAAAGGATACAATAAATTAAGTGAAGAGACAACTAACAGGATGGGGGAATATGTTTGCAAACTATCCAGCTGACAAGGGATTAATAACTAGAATATATAAGGAGCTCAAACAACTCTACAGGCAAAAAAATCCAATGATCTGATAAAAAAAAATGGGCTAAAGATTTGAGTAGACAATTCTCAAAAGAAGATATACAAATGGCAAACAGGCATATGAAAAGGTGCTCAAAATTATTGATCATCCAAGAAATGCAAATCAAAACTACAGTAAGATATCATCTCGCCCTAGTTAAAAAGGCTTCTCACCAAAAGATGGGCAATAACAAATGCTGGAGGGTATGTGGAGAAAAGGGAACCCTTGTACGCTGTTTGTGAGCATGTAAATAAGTGCAACCACTATGGAGAACAGTTTGGAGGTTCCTCAAAAAACTAATAATACAGTTACCATATGATCCAGCAATCTAACTGCTGGGTATATACCCCATAAAAAGGAAATAAGTATAATGAAGAGATATCTGCACTCCCATGTTTGTTGCAGCACTGTTCACAATGGCTAAGATTTGAAAGCAACCTAAGTGCCCATCAACAGAAGAATGGATAAAGAAAATGTGGCATATACACAATGGAGTGTTATTCCGCTATAAAAGGAATGAGATCCTGTCATTTGCAACAACATGGATGGAACTGGAGATCATTATGTTAAGTGAAATAAGTCAGGCACAGAAAGACAAACATCATATGTTCTCACTTATTTGTGGGATCTAAAAATCAAAATAATTGAAATCATGGACATAGAGAGTAGAAGGATGGTTACCAAAGGCTAAGAAGGGTAGTAGGGGGTTTTGAAGGGAGGTAAGGATGGTTAATGCATAATAAATAGAAAGAATGAATAAGATATACTATTTGATAGCACAACAGAGTGACTATATTAACTGTACATTTTAAAATAACATAGAGTGTAATTGGATTGTTTGCAACTCATTGGATAAATGCTTGAGGGGATGGATACCTCATTCTTCATAATGTGCTTATTTCACATTACATGCATGTATTAAAGTATCTCATGTACCCCATATATATATATATCTACTATGTACCCCAAAAAATTAAAAATTAAAATTAAAAAAGTGAGACTAAATCAAAATACAGGTATACTTTGGAGATATTATGAGTTCAGTTCCAGCCCACTACAATAAAGCAATAAAGTGATTCACAGGAATTTTTGGTTTCCCAGTGCATATAAAAATTATGTTTGCACAATCCTATAGTCTATTAAGTGTGCAGTAGAATAATGTCTTAAAAAATGTACATACATGCCTTAGTTAAAAACCTTTTTTTGGCTGGGTGCGGTGGCTCACACCTGTAATCCCAGCATTTTGGGAGGCTGAGGCAGGAGGATCACGAGGTCAGGAGATCGAGACCATCCTGGCTAACACGGTGAAACCCTGTCTCTACTAAAAAAAAAAAAAAAAAAAAAAAAAAAAAAAAAAATTAGCCGGGCGTGATGGTGGGCACCTGTAGTCCCAGCTACTACTTGCGAGGCCGAGGCAGCAGAATGGCGTGAACCTGGGAGGCAGAGCTTGTAGTGAGCCGAGATCACACCACTGCACTGCACTCCAGCCTGGGCAACAGAGCAGACTCCGTCTCAAAATCAAAACAAAACAAAACAAACAAACAAACAAACAAAAACTTTTTTTTGCTAAAAACTGCTAACAATCTTTTGAGCCTTCAGCAAGTCATAACCTTTTTGCTGGTGGAAGATCTTACCTCAGTGTTGATGGCTGCTGACTGATCATGGTGGTGACTTATGAAAGTTGGACTGGGTATAGCAATTTCTTAAAATAAGATAACAACGAAGTTTGCTGCATTTATTGACTCTTCCTTTCATGAAAGCTTTCTCTGTAGCTTTGTGATATTGTTAGTATTTTGTTGAACAGTATTTTACTTACAGTAGAAATTTTTTCAAATTGGGGTCAATCTTCTTACAGTCTGTTTCTGATTTATCAATGAAGTATAAACTTATAAATCTTATTACTTATAAAGTTATAAATATATTCTAAATCCTTTGTTGTCATTCCAACAATGTCTACAATATCTTCACCAGGGGTATATTTCATCTCAAAAAACCACTTGCTTTGCTCATCTGTCAGAAGCAATTCCTCATCTGTTAAAGTTTGATCATGAGATTGGAGCAATTCAATCCCACCTTCAGGCTCCACTTCTTATTCTGGTTTTCTTACTATTTCCCCCATATCTATAGTTACTTCATCTACTGAAGTCTTGAACCTCTCCAACTCATTGATGAGAGTTGGAATTAATTTCTTTCAAGCCCTTATTAACGTTGATATTTTGACCTTTTCCCATGAATCACAAATGTTCTGGATGACATCTAGATGGTGAACTTTTTTCTGAAGGTTTTCAATTTACATTGTCCGAGTCCATCAGACAAATCACTCTCTATTGCAGCTATGGCATTATAAAGTATATTTTGTAAACAAGAAGACTTGAAATTAGAAATTACCCCTTGATCCATAAGCTACAGAATGGATGTTGTGTTAGCAAGCAGACAATCAACAATAACCTCCTTGTACATCTCTGTCAGAGCTCTTGAGTGATCAGGTGAATTGTCGATGAGCAGTGATATTTCAAAAAAGAATTTTTTTTTTCTAAGCAGTAGGTCTCAAGAGTGGTCATAATGTTCAATAAACCATGCTATAGGCAGATGTGCTGCCATCTAGGCTTTGTTGTTCCATTTGAAGAGCACAGACAGGGTAGATTTATTAAGAGCATCATTCTTAAGGGCCTTAGAATTTTCAAAATGGTAAGTGAGCATTGGCTTCAATGTAAAGACACAAGCTGAATTAATCCCTAATAAGAGAGTCAGCCTGTCCTTTGAAACTTTGAAGGCAGATATTGACTTGTCCTCTTTATGAAAGCCCTAGATGGCCTCTTCTCCCAGTAGCAGTCTGTTTTATTTACATTGCAAGATCTGTTGTTTAGTGTAGCCACATTCATCAATGATCTTAGCTAGATCTTGTGGATAATTTATTGTAGCTTCTACATCAGCACCTTCTGTTGTTGGTTCTACATCAGCACCTTTTGTTGTAGGTTCTACATCAGCACCTTTGTTGTAGCTTCTACATCAGCACCTTGCTGCTTTACTTGTACTTCACTTATGGAGATGACTTCTTTCTTTTAACCTCATGAACCAACTTCTGATAGCTTCCAACTTTTCTTCTGTAGCTTCCTCTCCTCTCTCAGCCTTCACAGAATTGAAAAGAGTTAGAGCCTTGCTCTGGATTAGGCTTAGTTCTAAGGGAATGTTTTGTCTGGTTTGATCTTCTCTCTAGACCACTAAAACTTTCTCCATATCCAGAATAAGGCTGTTTTGCTTTCTTATCATTTACACGTCCATTGAAGTAGCACTTTTAATTTCCTCAAGAACTTTTCCTTTGCACTCACAACTTGGCTAAGTGGTGCAAGAGGCCTAGCTTTTGGCTTATCTCTGGTTTGAACATGCCTTCTTCACTAAGCTTAATCACTTCTAGAGTTTGACTTAAAATGAGAGATATGAGACTCTTCTTTCACTTGAATGCTAAGAGATCATTGTAGGATTATTGGTTGGCCTGATTTCAATATTGTTATGTCTCAGGGATTAAGTAGACCAGAGAATAGAGAGAAAAATGTGGGAAAGGCTGATAGTGGAGCAGTCAAAACACACACAATATTTATTGATTAAGTTTGTTATCTTATAAGGGTATGGTTCATGACATCCTAAAACAATTGTGATAGTAACATCAAAGATCACTGATCACAGACCACTATAGCAGATATAATAATCATGAAAAAAGCTGGAAATATTGCAAGAATTACCAAAATGTGACACAGGCACAAACTGATCATATGTTGTTGGACAAATGGCACCAATAGACTTGCTCAATGTAGGGTTGCCATAAACCTTCAATTTATAAAAAAAAATGCAATATTTGAGAAACACAGTAAAGTGAAGTGCAATAAAACAACATATGCCTGGATGTCTTTTCTTTTCTCAAAATCCTTTGATGGCTTCTCCGGGAACTTATGATGAAATCCAACCTTACAATGCGTCCTACAAAGGCGTGCATGATTTGACTGATTCTCCAACCTCCTTTACCATAACACTCCCTTCCACTGTTTACAATCCAGCATGCTTTCTTGTGTATACCCAGGGATTTCCACATCATGACCTTGGGGCACTCTCTTCTGTCTATCTGGAAGCTTTTCTCCTAGGTTCTGATTCTCTCTACCTAATTAACGTCTACAAATCATCCAGATCTAGGCTCAAATGTCACTTCCTCAGAGGGACACTTTCCAAATGTATTGATCTAAATTATTATTCTGTATTTATTCTCACATAATACTTTTCCTTAAGTGCTTACTAAAATTTGTAATTCTGTGTTTATTTATGTAACGACTGTTTCCTTTACCAGCAAGTGAGCCTCACAAGGCAGAAGCAATATCCAGTTTGTTATTATTAGCATATGGATAGCATGTAGTTTGTTGGCAATAAATATTTGTTGGAGTAAAGGTATTATGATTTTTATTGTAAATTTAAAAATATATATTTCTGGAAAGTCTAATTTTGGGGGAGACTAAATTTATTTTTGGAAGAATTTATCACAGAAATTCTCATATAAAAGACATTATTAGTGTAACATAATATATTAAACTAGAATTTATGTGATATGAAAATATTCATTAAATTAATACTGAAAATATAATACTGGCTTTTTTTTCAATCATAAAAAGTAATATTTGTATAAGTGGCACATTGAACAGGTAGGACTCTTGGGATGTATTAGAAAAGCACATTTATTTATTTTTTTAATCTCCCACTGTCTGTATAAAATATATTCAGTGGAGAAAGTGTTTCCCCGCCCTGGTTTACTTTTACATAATAACAATAAAAAATAATGTTATAGTCACAATCACAGTTTCAATTCAGAAATTGAGACATCCAGTCCCAAGGAATGATCCAAACTCTGACCTTGATTTAAGGTTAAAGTATTTCCACTCCCTTGGCTGGTGGTTTTCTTCAGGCAGGAAGGCAAGGAAGGAGAGGTATCACCCTTCTCTTTCCTTTCTCAAGTTAGGCTTCCATCCCCTTGTTTTTATCTTGCTAATTGTGGCTTTCTGTCTTTACCAGGATTGGTGTGGTGGTGGGGATGAGGGGTGTAGTGATATAAGAAGGAGAAGCAACAGGGATAGAAAAACTCTAACTGTATGGGCCTTTTTGTTAGATGGCTGTGCATTCTTTGACCTGGGCAGGTGTTTACTATGGACTCTTCCTCTCTCTTCCTCTTCAGAAGTCTTTCTGAGAACTCCTGAATGTGTGTCCTGAGAGGCAGGCAATGAATTTCCTCCTCCTGGCAGCTCCTCTCTCAGGCTTTGTGTTCCAGAAGCTCACTTGACACTGACTGTATTGGCCAGGGTTCTTCAGAGAAACAGAAACAAGAATGACAGCAAGAGCGAGAGTGAGAGAGAGAAAGAGAGAGAGAGAGAGAAAGTTATTTTAAGGAATTGAGTCATATGACTGGAGGCTGGCAAGTCCAAAATCTGTAGACCAGGCTGGCAGGATGGAAATTCAGAGAGGAGTTGAGCCTTCTCTGAATAAGACTTGAGTCTGAATCTGAAGACTGGAAGCTCGGGTCAGTTTTCTGTGTTGCAGTCTTGAGACAGAATTGCTTCTTCTTTGGGAACCTCAGTCTTTGCTTTTAAGGCCTTCCACTGATTAAATGAGGCCCACCCCCATTATGGAGTATAATCTGCTTTCCTTAAAGTCTAGTGATTAAAATGTTAATCTCATCTAAGAAGTACCCTCACAGAAACATCTAGACTAGTGTTTGATCAAACAACTGGATACCATAGCCTAGCCAAATTGACACATAAAGTTAACTATCGCACAGACTATTTCTGGTAAGTCACATCACCCTTCCAGGTTACTCTGTTGGACAGATCACTCTGTTCCAGGATACTCTGTTGGACTAGGTTTAAAATGGCTTCAGCATGGCTTTTCTCAAGTGACACATCTAGTCTAAAAGAAATACTCATACATCCTTTGTCCCAACAAATTTCAGACTTTTGGGTCACCTAGTGCAACAAACTCACCTTTGATCCCATTATTGAGGGGGCTTGCCAGTGCCTTCCAGGTGAGAATCAGACACAAGTTCATTGCTCCCCCTGAACTGTAAGTGGCACATAGGAAACTGAATTGAACGCCCTCTTTATAGGCTTGATGTGAGGGCCAAGCACTAGAACAGAACAGAAAATTTCCGCAAAGAAATTTTCCTTACAAATCCATTTTCAGATTCTTTCCCAATCACTAAGCCCCACTGTTCTTTAGCCTTCTTGTGGGTGAGAGGTTTAGGAGTTATGGACTCTTAGAATGTCTAGATATTCCCTTTGAAAATTTGCATCTTTGCCTCATGTCTCACCTTATGTAATTCTACTTAATCTTGGTGACTCAGTCAAAACTTCAGTTATAATTCCATTTAGAAACTCTAAAACACCTAAAAACACAGCATTAAAAGCTTAGAAAATGAAAATCACACTTGTTATCATCATCCAGGTCATAGTAAACATTTTGATATACATCATTCTTGTATGGTAGGGACAGACAATTCTTAAAGATACTAAAGTGATATCTGATTAAATTCTCGATATTTCCTGTGGCTTTGGATTTACAATCTAAGGTCATTCTATGTCTAAGGTTACTCTACTGTCACCTCTCAATAGCAGTTGTTTATGACTATGTTCATATGTCATATAAACATATACATTTTAATAAAAATGATGATCATATTTTTCATATTATTTTTTATAATTACTTTTTTCACCAATATTTTGTGAACATGTTTTCATGCCATTAATTTTATTTATTACATAAATTGTAGTGGCTGCATGGTATTCCACTATCCACAATTTAACTAATCCCCTATTGTATACCATAACCTTGTTTCCTTTAAAAATGTTCTTGTTTGCTTATTTTCTTCATAATATAAGCATTCTTACACACCAATAACAGACAAACAGAGAGCCAAATCATGAGTGAACTCCCATTCACAATTGCTTCAAGGAGAATAAAATACCTAGGGATCCAACTTACAAGGATGTGAAGGACCTCTTCAAGGGGAGCTACGAACCACTGCTCAACGAAATAAAAGAGGACACAAACAAATGGAAGAACATTCCATGCTCATGGATAGGAAGAATCAATATCATGAAGATGGCCATACTGCCCAAGGTAATTTATAGATTCAATGCCATCCCCATCAAGCTACCAATGACTTTCTTCACAGAATTGGAAAAAACTACTTTGAAGTTCATATGGAACCAAAAAGGGCCCACATCACCAAGACAATCTTAAGCCAAAAGAACAAAACTGGAGGCATCATACTACCTGACTTCAAACTATACTACAAGTCTACAGTAACCAAAACAGCATGGTGCTGGTACCAAAACAGAGATACAGACCAATGGAACAGAACAGAGCCCTCAGAAATAATATCACACATCTACAACCATCTGATCTTTGACAAACCTGACAAAAACAAGAAATGGGGAAACGATTCCCTATTTAATAAATGGTGCTGGGAAAACTGGCTAGTCATATGTAGAAAGCTGAAACTGGATCCCTTCCTTACACCTTAGACAAAAATTAATTCAAGATGGATTAAAGACTTAAATGTTAGACCTAAAACCATAAAAATCCTAGAAGAAAACCTAGGCAATACCATTCAGGATGTAGGCATGGGCAAGGACTTCATGTCTAAAACACCAAAAGCAATGGTAACAAAAGCCAAAATTGACAAATAGGATCTAATTAAACTAAAGAGCTTCTGTACAGCAAAAGAAACTACCATCAGAATGAACAGGCAACCTACAGAATGGGAGAAAATTTTTGCAATCTACTCATCTGACAAAGGGCTAATATCCTGAATCTACAAAGAACTCAAACAAATTTGTAAGAAAAAAAAATCCCATCACAAAGTAGGCGAAGGATATAAACAGACACTTCTCAAAAGAAGACATTTATGCAGCCAACAGACACATGAAAAAATGCTCATCATCACTGGCCATCAGAGAAATGCAAATCAAAACCACAATGAGATACCATCTCACACCAGTTAGAATGGCGATTATTAAAAAGTCAGGAAACAACAGGTGCTGGAGAGGATGTGGAGAAACAGGAACACTTTTACACTGTTGGTGGGACTGTAAAGTAGTTCAACCATTGTGGAAGACAGTGTGGCAATTCCTCAAGGATCTAGAACTAGAAATACCATTTGACCCAGCCATCCCATTACTGGGTATATACCCATAATACATAATACTATTATGAAAAGCCATGTATGTAAATGGTGCATCTCTATTCTTAATTGTTTACTTAAGATTTAGGATTAATTCCTAGAAGTTAAAGTATTTTTGTGGGCATAGTTTTAAGGCTTTCATATGTATTCTTGTATGACCCTCCAAAAACTCTGGAGAATGCATTTTCTACCGTAGTAATACCCCTAACCTGAGAAGCATAAGCTATGTCTGCCAAAACATTGTTAAATTGGTTTTTATCTCTCTGATTATTGGCAAAGTTGATCCTTCCTTCCTTCCTTCCTTCCTTCCTCCCTTCCTTCCTTCCTTCCTTCCTTCCTTCTTTCCTTCCTTCCTTCTTCTTCGTCTTTTTGCAGATTCTCCATTCAACATCTGTGCCAATTATTTTATCGGGGTGTTCATCTTGTTTTTAAAATCAAGTTCTTCTTAACATAGCAATAATTTAAATACCTGTCAATATGTTGCAAATACATTTATCCAAGTAGTTGCTATTATATATATATATATTTTTTCAGTTGAGACAGGATCTCACTATGTTGCCTTGCATGGACTGGAACTCCTTGGCTCAAGAAATCTTCTTGCCTCAGCCTCCCAAATAGCTAGGACTATATGCACATGCTACTACACCTAGTAAGTTTCTTTTTAACCTTATAATATTTTAACATATAAAGTTAATTCATTTTTAATGTATATATTAATAAATTTCCTTAGGATTTTTCCCTTTGTATTTATGCTTTAAAAACTTTTCCTACAATGAAATTACATAAATATCCACCTATTTTTTCTTATAGTTCTAAAATTAAAATTTTTTTTTGTCTGTTTTATTCAACTCTCGTATGGAAAGACCAATACAGGTATCCGTCATTACCACTGACACCTTCTGAACGAAGAGTCCTATTTAGCTTCTTGTGCAGATTTCCATATGCTCTGTCATGTGACTCCACTTATCTACTCTGGCTGCCACTGAATGAGCCAGAGGTGTGCACCTATCCCAAGAGAAACAATCTTCAGGGAACCAATTTCACAAGTCACCAGCTAGGAGGCTATGAGGTGGCCTTGCATGATAGCTCTGTCCAAATGGGAATGACTGGACAAAGAAGTCTCTTTTATAACTTGTCTTGGGATTGTAAACAAAGATATAGCTGGTTAGTAGCAAAAGGATATGACGAGAAAATGCATGCAAAATTCCCACGAGACAGAGAAAACCATTAGTAAGCAGAAGATATGAGAAAGCAGAAGCTATAAAACAGAGAATATAAAGTAGCTCGCTTTCAATAGCACCAAGAGTGTAGAAATATAATGGAAAGGTGCAAGGTCATCTGCTATTGAGGATGAACAATAGAGCAACGTTAGATGTAGAATTACTTTAGATTGCAAAACCAAAGACTTGAGAGATATCAAGAATTCAATCAGATGTCACTTTGATATTTGTAAGAGTTTTTTAGTCCTATGAAATGAAAATAAAAGATAGAAATCCATCAAATTCAGAGTGCTTTATAGTTATATGGAAACACATTTACATGTCTTAAAATCCAAAGATTGAAGTCAATTGGATGGAGGCTCCAGATTCTAAGGTAACTTGAAGATTAACAATAATATGAGCAAATCTAGGGTATGTGAGTTACGTGGCTTTCTCCTTTAAATTTTGGAGCCATTGATACAGCTATAAATAGACCCTTCCCATCAGCGTAACAGACAAGGATCTAGCCCCATCCTCGACTGATATCCTCTGGTTACTGGGAAACTTCAGCAAACTAAGAAGACAATGCCCTCCTCTTAATTATTTGGGATGACATATTTACTTCCTAGTGAGTATGCTGGATATTCTCTTATTTGCTCTTTATTCCTTAAGATTCACTCTCTTTCCCTCTCTACTCTTCTCTGAACCCCCAGGAAGCTGATCTGTAACAAGCAGATCAACCAGGCTCTCTTGTTTTCTGGCTTCCAGAGGTTCAGAGGGTGACAGAGAAGAGAGGGGTGAAGTATTTGTTCCCCTGTCTTTCTACATGTCTGGCTTCAGATTGGCAGTGGCTGTGCTCCCCGACCCAAAGCCACGGCTCCTGTCAGGGGACCACCTGACAGCTCCAGGTTTTACTGCATTCTGATAAATGCCCCTTTAGACCTAGATATGGTATCTGACCTCTTGTTGCTAGCCCTGGGTTTTTTTGCCATTATTGTTAGTTTCCACCACATTTTTGTCAATAATCATTTAGCTAAACTTTTGTCCATTACCGTGTCTGAATGTGTCATCAATGTCCTGCAAGCACCCTAATGATTACATAACTGGTACCAAGAGGGGTCTCAGAAATAAGCTATTAAAATGGGATTTTGGGATCGAGTGTCTCACTTATTTGATGCAAAGATAAATAATCTTGTTTTTTTTTTGTCTGGGACACTGGTAATCCATGGTATGTGGTGTTATCATGATTACTCAAACTATCATCAGTAGTAGTATAGAATGGAGTGCAGGTGGAGGATGAGGGATTAGGAGATAAAGCTGTCTAATTCTCCCGGCATCCTTTATTGAATAACCCAGTTCATTAATTTATATTTAACATTTTAAATGTTTCTTTACTGATTGAAATAGTCTTCTTTACCATAAACTAAATTCTTTTATATACTAAGGTCTGTTCCTGGGCTATTTATTTTGTTCTATTTATTTGAGTAAGTCTCATGGGATCACTTTATTTTATTGATCCTTCCTGTAAGTCAAAGACATAACACTGGCTCATAATAATAAAAGCTTCTACTTACATAGCATTACTTTGTTCCAGGCAATTTTCTAAGTGTGTTATATATATTAACTCACTCCATCTTCACAACCACTCTGAATAGAAGCTGTTGTTATCTGTGTTTTGCAGGTGGAAAATGAAGCACAGAGAAGTTCAGTGATGGACCTCAGATACTACCAGCAGAAAGCAGAAGAGCTAGGATTTCAACTTAGGATGTCTGGATCCACAGTCTGCACTCCTACCCACTATGCTACACTGCCTCTAACTATGAGGAAGCAAGGGCATTTTTTTTTTTCTGGTGACTAAAAAGATAAGAGTTCAAGTATGTGGCTCCTGATAATCTAACTTATACAGCCTGGAAAAATTGATAGTTACTATATCCAGACTGTCTCATTCAATTAACAGTTTCTCAAGTAATCTTCTAGTTACTGTCGTATTTTATCTGTATCAACTTAGCAAACCAAGTCCAAAACATTTTATATGTGTCTATCTTTCCTGCTGTTCATATTATTGAGTTAGCCAAATAAATTCAATTTTTTTTCTACTGTTTGTTTCTCACAAATTATGACTGGCATCTGTATATCTGGGAAGGTTCTACTGCATTGCTGTATTATCACTATATAATTATAAGAGATCACAGAGTGCATTGATGAAGGCCATGTTGAGACATGATGAAACAGGGTCCATTGTGACTGGGTGAAACTGTCTTCAATTTCCTGGTCTATAAAGCAGAGGTGAGAACAACTGACTCATAGCATTGCGGTGAATATTAGATTAAATAAGATTATGTATGTGGGAGTATCTAATTGTGTCTGGCATGGGGTAGGTCTTCATGCACTGTAAGTTGAATCTAAATCATTGTAGGCTGTGGTTATTATATGGCCAAGACTAAAAGAGGAGATGAGGAGTTTTATACATTCATTGAATACTTTCCACAGTCTAGGCACTATACTTGGTGGTTACATGCATATAGTTTTATATAATGGAATTAGTAAGTACTTTTATAAGATTACTTCCCTATGAGGTATAAGGCCTAAAATTAAGTTCCAACATTTTGCGCTGCCTTTATATCTGGTGAAATCAGGGGCCTGGAGGGTCTTGAATATCCCAATCACAAGTTCTCCCCACTCTGCTCTTGTGGATAAAGTCTCCAACCAGATAACCCTCTTAATCAAAGGGACCAGGGGCAGTTCCTACTTATCCTTGAATAGGTATTTCAGTCCCTGATAGCCTGTAGATTTAGTTTCAAAAGTCACTAATATTTTCCCACAGGAAATAGGGGGCAGCTCACCCTCTTGAAACTAAAATGTCTGCCTCCCATAGCCCTCAGTTATTGACTCTATTCCTGAGTGCAATCTCTCCATGGCCCAGTGAATTGTGCTATGTATATTATGCCACCGTGTGGTGTGGGTATATGTACTAACAAACAGCTGTGATCACATTGGTTCAGTTTCAGGTGTTGTGTGTTTGTTCATCCCCATAAGTCTAAGCTGAGAATCCGTTAAACAACAAGGTGAAATAAAAGGTTGTCAAACACCCTAGGAGAAGAAATTGTGCTGAATGAGTCCCACTGAATTTCCCAGATCATTGCTTCCCAACTTTAATGTGGAAACCAGTTACCTGGGGATCTAGTTAAAATGTTCATCTGACTCAGTAGGTCTGCAGTGGGGCCTGAGAGTCTGTATGTCTAACAAGCTCCCAGGTGATGCAGCTGTTCTTCAGACTGCATATTGACTAACAAGGCTCTAAGAGACAGATTCTAGCCAAGGGAGAATGGAAAATTCACTGTGTCACTTGTTAATGACCTTCCAATCTTCTAAGAATCTGTAGCTCACAGAATGGCTGGTAGCACCCACCAGGATCTGGGACATTCAGCCTGAGAAATAAAAAACTCATCAGGATCTGTGAAAGACATGAAGACAGAAATAGTACTAGAAGAAAGAAAATGCTTAGAAGTCATATGCAGGTAGGGGAAAAGGTACTTATTAATCTCTGACACTGATCAAAGAGCATTACCATTTTAAAGAAGGATGTATTAGTACTCATAAAACTTATCATTGGACTTCTTAGCAATAAAGAACTTGGCTTGAGAGGTCATTCCAAGATGGTCGAATAGGAACAGCTCCCATCTGCAGCTCCCAGCGTGATCGATGCAGAAAACGGGTAATTTCTTCATTTCCAACTGAGGTACCTGGTTCATCTCATTGGGACTGGTTGGACACTGGGTGCAGCCCACGGAGAGTGAGCCAAAGCAGGGCGGGGCTTTGCCTTACCAGGGAAGTGCAGGGGTCAGGGGATTTACCTTTCCTAGCCAAGGGAAGCCATGACAGACTATGTGGAAAAACGGGACACTCCTACCCAAATACTATGCTTTTCCCAAGGTCTTAGCAACTGGCAGACAAGGTGATTGTCTCCCCAGCCCATGCCTGGCTTGGCAGCTCCCACACCCATGGAGCCTTCCTCACTGCTAGTGCAGCAGTCTGAGATCGATCTGTGAGATGGCAGCCTGGCTGGGGGAGGGGTGTCCACCATTGCTGAGGCTTAAGTAGGTAAACAAAGCGGCCCAGAAGCTGGAACTGGGTGTAGCCAACCACAGCTCAATAAGGCCTACTGCCTCTAGACTCCACTTCTGTGTGCAGGGCATAGCTGAACAAAAGGCAGCAGACAACTTCTGCAGACTTAAACGTCCTTGTCTGACAGCTCCGAAGAGAGCAGTGGTTCTCCCAGCATGGCATTTGAGCTCTGAGAACAGACAGACTGACTCCTCATGTGGGTCCCTGACCCCTGTGCAGCCCAACTGGGAGACACCTCCCAGTAGGGGCCGACAGACACCTTATATATGTGGCTGCCCCTGTGGGACAAAGCATCCAGAGGAAGGATCAGGCAGCAACATTTGCTGATCCGCAATGTTTGCTGTTCTGCAGCTTCCACTGGTGATACCCAGGCAAACAGGGTCTGGAGTAGAACTCCAGGAAACTCCAACAGACTGGCAGCTGAGGGACCTGACTGTTAGAAGGAAAACTAACAAACAGAAAGGAATAGCATAAAATCAACCAAAAGGTCATCTACACCAAAACCCCATCTGTAGGTCACCAACATCAAAGACCAAAGGTAGATAAAACCACAAAGATGGGGAGAAACCAGAGCAGAAAACCTGAAAATTCTAAAAATCAGAGCACCTCTTCTCCTCCAAAGGATCGCAGGTCCTCACCAGCAGCGGAACAAAGCTGGATAGAGAATGACTTTGACAAGTTGACAGAAGTAGGCATCAGCAGGTCAGTAATAACAAACTTCTTCGAGCTAAAGGAGGATGTTTGAACCCGTGGCAAGGAAGCTAAAAACCTTGAAAAATGATTACACTTATGGCTAACTAGAATAAACAGTGTAGAGAAGACATTAAATGACCTGATGGAGCTGCAAACCATGGCAGGAGAACTTTGTGATGCATGCACAAGCTTCAATAGCTGATTTGATTAAGTGGAAGAAAGGGTATCAATGATGGAGGATCAAATTAATGAAATAAAGTGAGGAGACAAGGTTAGAGAAAAAGGAGTAAAAAGAAACAAACAAAGCCTCCAAGAAACATGGGACTATATGAAAAGGCCAAATCTAGTTTGATTGGTGTACCTGAAAGTGATGGAGAGAATGGAACCAAGTTGGAAAACACTCTTCAAAATATTATCCAGGAGAACTTCCCCAACATAGCAAGGCAGGCCAACATTCAAATTCAGGAAATACAGAGAACACCACAAAGATACTCCTTGAGAAGATCAACCCCAAGACACATACTTGTCAGATTCACTAAGGTTGAAATGAAGGAAAAAGTGTTAAGGGCAGCCAGAGAGAAAGGTCGAGTTACCCACAAAGGGAAGCCCATCAGACTAACAGCAGATCTCTTGGCAGAAATCCTACAAACCATAAGAGAGTGGAGGCCAATATTCAACATTCTTAAAGAAAAGAATTTTCAACCCAGAATCTCATATCCAGCCAAACTAAGCATCATAAGTAAAGGAAAAGTAAAATCCTTTGCAGACAAGCAAATGCTGAGAGATTTTGTCACCACCAGGCCTGCCTTACAAGAGCTTCTGAAGGAAGCACTAAACATGGAAAGAAACAATAGGTCCCAGTCAATGCAAAAACATGCCAAATTGTAAAGACTATTGATGCTATGAAGAAACTGCATCAATTAATGGGCAAAATAACAAGTGAACATCATAATGACAGGTTCAAATTCACACATAATAATATTAACTTTACATGTAAATTGACTACATGCCCCAGTTAAAAGACACAGACTGACAAATTGGATGAAAAGTCAAGACTCATCAGTGCGATGCATTCAGGAGACCCATCTCATGTGCAAAGACGCACATAGGCTCAAAATAAAGGGATGGAGGAAGATCTACCAAGCAAATGGAAAGCAAAGAAAAGCAGGGGTTGCAATCCTAGTCTCTGATAAAACAGACTTTAAACCAACAAATATCAAAAGAGACAAAGAAGGACATTACATAATGATAAAGGGATCAGTTCAACAAGAAGAGCTAACTATCCTAAATATCTATGCACTCAACACAGGAGCACCCAGATTAGTAAAGCAAGTCCTTAGAGACCTACAAAGGCTCTTAGACACACACATAATAATAATGAGAGACTTTAATATTCCACTGTCAATATTAGACAGATCAAAGAGACAGAAGGTTAACAAGGATATCCAGGAATTGAACTCAGCTCTGCACCAAGCAGACCTAATAGACATCTACAGAACTCTCCACCCCAAATCAACAGAATATACATTCTTCTCAACACCACATCACACTTATTCTAAAATTGACCACATAGTTGGAAGTAAAGCACTCCTCAGCAAGTGTAAAAGAACAGAAAGAACAACAAACTGTCTCTCAGACCACAGTGCAATCAAATTAGAACTCAGGATTAAGAAACCCACTCAAAACCACACAACTACATGGAAACTGAACAACCTGCTCCTGAATGACTACTGGGTAAATAACAAAATGAAGGCAGAAGTAAAGATATTCTTTGAAACCAATGACAACAAAGACACAAAGTACCAGAATCTCTGGACACATTTAAAGCAGTGTGTAGAGGGAGTTTTATAGCACTAAATGCCTACAAGAGAAAGCAGGAAAGATCTAAAATTGACACCCTTACATCACAATTAAAATAACTGGAAGAAAGAGCAAACAAATTCAAAAGCTAACAGAAGGCAAGAAATAACTAAGATCAGAGCAGAACTGAAAGAGATAGAGACACCAAAAACCCTTCAAAAAATCAATGAATCCAGGAGCTGGTTTTTTGAAAAGATCAACACAATTGATAGACTGCTAGCAAGACTAATAAAGAAGAAAAGAGAGAAGAATCAAATAAACGCAATAATAAATGATAAAGGGGATATCACCACCGATCCCACAGAAATACAATCTACCATGAGAGAGTACTATAAACACCTCTACTCAAATAAACTAGAAAATCTAGAAGAAATGGATAAATTCCTGGACACATACACCCTCCCAAGACTAAACCAGGAAGAGGGTGAATCTCTGAATAGACCAATAACAGGCTCTGAAATTGAGGCAATAATTAATAGCCTGCCACCGAAAAAAGTCCAGGACCAGACAGATTCACAGCCGAATTCTACCAGAGGTACAAAGAGGAGCTGGTACGATTCCTTCTGAAACTATTCCAATCAATAGCAAAAGAGGGAAACCCTTCTAACTCATTTTATGAGGCCAACATCATCCTGATACCAAAGGCTGGTAGAGACACAATAAAAAAAGAGAACTTTAGACCAATATCCCTGATGAACATTGATGTGAGATTCCTCAGTAAAATACTACCAAACCGAATCCAGCAGCACATCAAAAAGCTTATCCACCATGATCAAATCAGGTTCATCCCTAGGATGCAAGGCTGGTTCGACATACACAAATCAATAAAGGTAATCCATAAACAGGACCAAAGACAAAAACCACATGATTATCTCAATAGGTGCAGAAAAGGCCTTTGACAAAATTCAACAGCCCTTCATGCTAAAAACTCTCAATAAGTTAGGTATTCATACAATATATCTCAAAATAATAAGAGCTATTCATGACAAACCCACAGCCAATTTCATACTGATTGGGCAAAATCTGGAAGCATTCCCTTTGAAAACTGGCACAAGACAAAGATGCCTTCTCTCACCACTCCTATTCAGCATAGTGTTGGAAGTTCTGGCCAGGGCAATCAGGCAAGAGAAAGAAATAAAGGATATTCAATTAGGAAATGAGGAAGTCAAATTGTCCCTGTTTGCAGATGACATGATTGTTTATTTAGAAAACCCCATTGTCTCAGCCCCGAATCTCCTTAAGCTGATAAGCAACTTCAGCAAAGTCTCAGGATACAAAATCCATGTGCAAAAATCACAAGCATTGCTATACACCAATAACAGACAAACAGAGAGCCAAATCATGAGTGAACTCCTATTCACAATTGCTACAAAGAGAATAAAATACCTAGGAATCCAACTTACAAGGGATGTCAAGGACCTCTTCAAGGAGATCTGCAAACCACTGCTCAAGGAAATAAAAGGACACAAACAAATGGAAGAATATTCCATGCTCATGGATAGGAAGAATCAGTATCGTGAAAATGGCCATACTGCCCAAGGTAATTTATAGATTCAATGCCATCCCCATCAAGCTACCAATGACTTTCTTCACAGATTTGGAAAAAACTACTTTAAATTTCATATGGAACCAAAAAAGAACCCACATTACCAAGACAATCATAAGGAAAAAGAACAAAACTGGAGGCATAATGCTACCTGACTTCAAACTATACTATAATGCTACAGTAACCAAAACAACATGGTACTGGTACCAAAACAGATATATAGACCAATGGGACAGAACATAGGTCTCAGAAATAATGCCACACATCTACAACCATCTGATCTTTGATGAACCTGACAAAAATAAACAATGAGGAAAGGATTTCCTAGTTAATAAATGGTGCTGGGAAAACTGGCTAGCCATATGTAGAAAGCTGAAATTGGATCCCTTCCTTGCACCTTAGACAAAAATTAATTCAAGATGGATTAAAGACTTACGTGTTAGACCTAAAACCATAACAACTCTAGAAGAAAACCTAGGCAATACCATTCAGGACATAGGCATGGGCAAGGACTTCATGACTAAAACACCAAAAGCAATGGCAACAAAAACCAAAATTGACAAATGGGATCTAATTAAACTAAACAACTTCTGCACGGCAAAAACAAACAAACAAACAAACAAACTACCATCAGAGTGAACAGGCAACCTACAGAATGGGAGAAAATTTTTGCAATCTACCCATCTGACAAAGGGCTAATATCCAGAATCTACAAAGAACTCAAACAAATTTACAAGAAAAAACCCCATCACAAAGTGAGCGAAGGATATGAACAGACAATTTTCAAAAGAAGACACCTATGCAGCCTACAGACACAGGAAAAAATGCTCATCATCACATTCATTAGAGAAATGCACATCAAAACCACAATGAGATACAATCTCATGCCATTTAGAATGGCAATCATTAAAAAGTCAGGAAACATCAGATGCCAGAGATGATGTGGAGAAATAGGAATGCTTTTACACTGTTGGTGGGAGTATAAATTAGTTCAACCATTGTGGAAGACAGTGTGGCAATTCCTCAGGGATCTAGAACTAGAATTACAATTTGACCCAGCAATCCCATTACTGGGTATATACCCAAAGGATTATAAATCATGCTGCTATAAAGGCACATGCAGACATATGTTTATTGCAGCACTATTCACAATAGCAAAGACTTGGAACCAACCCAAATGTCCATCAATGATAGACTGGATTAAGAAAATGTGGCACATATACACCATGGAATACTATGCAGCCGTAAAAAAGGATGAGTTCATGTCCTTTGTAGGGACATCGATGAAGTTGGAAACCATCATTCTCAGCAAACCATCACAAGGACAGAAAACCAAATACCACATGTTCTCCCTCATTGGTGGGAATTGAACAATGAGATCACTTAGACACAGGGCGGGGAACATCACACTCTGGGGTTGGGGGTTGGGGGAGGGATAGCATTGGAGAAATACTTAATGTAAATGATGAGTTGATGGGTGCAGCAAACCAACATGGCAAATGTGTACCTATGTATCAAACCTGCACGTTGTGCATGTGTACCCTAGAACTTAAGGTTTAATAATAATAATAATAAGAATAATAAGAATAATGATAAAAAGAACTTGGCTTATTTCTATTAGTTTTCTAGTAAGGTTCATTGGGAAAAATATCTGTTGAATCAGAAGAAGGAGGAATTATTTAGGATTTATTTCATAGTACTCTAATAACAATCATGCCAGAATCTTCTCACTGAGAAGGACAGGAGGAAAAGGAGAGAAGTAGGAGAGGGCTGGATGAAATCAAATCTTGTTTCCTCCAGGAGGTCTGACTTCAGTGAAGATCCAAAGGCAGAGGCCCCACAGGAGTCCTTCTGCTCCCTGGAGACAGTAAGTATTAGATTGGCCTTATGCTTAGCAGACAGGCCTTAATACTAATTTCTCTTGACCTTCTCATGTGATTCGTGTCAGCTTGGCCCTCATTTGTTAAGCTTGCTTTAATTATGTGCATAATGCCTCATTATTTTTTATAAAGGAAGCAGCAAAAGAAACAATTATGCAAATGAATGAGGTGTGTTGTTCACTGAGGAGTTGTGGGCTAATTGGGCACTGGAACAAAAATACCATTGCCAAATACAGTGCTGCCAAAAAGATTCCCACCAATTCCTATTTCAGATTAAGTATATCAGTGCCTACAGGATAAATGTCCAAGAAGATAAAATGCCCTGAGAACTGAGATAGGGCCAGGATTTTCTTGCTAAGGTTGAAGGCTTATCTAAGTTGGCCAAGGTGAAGCTTCTCCTAGAAACATCTTTTTAGTTTTGTCTGTGGTTGTTGCCAAATGGGAATAATTTGTGTGTTGAACCTAGTATTGTTTCCCTTTGTCTCTCCTTTGGAAAGTCTCACTCATTTATTCATTTTGTCTATTTTAATTCAATCTAGTTAAAATCTTCACCTAGGCACTTCATGTGTGAGTTGGCTCCTTTATACCTTAACTCAGGTCACCTCTCATTGTCACCCTATCTTCACCCCACCGTGTGACCCCTAATTCTGTTTTATTAGATCAGGTCAGGAATAGATGTCCTATGCTTCCACGTTACCCTGTGTTTTTCTCTCAGGACTCAGGACATCTGTATTTAAATTCATTGCTGTTGTAAAATGACCTAAGCCACCTTGGTTGTTTGCAATTATCATGTTTTCTCCAGAACGCATAACCAGCGGGGATATTACACTGAAGGAAAGTTTCAAAACAGATTCTTCACAACAAATACCAAGCAGGCATAAAAACTGTCACACAGCTTGTTCTGTTGGCACAGTGAAATCCTCGCTTTCTTTTTTCTTTTTTCTTTCTTTTTTATTTTTTTGAGATGTCTCGCTCTGTCGCCCAGGCTGGAGTGCAGTGGCATGATCTCGGCTCACTGCAAGGTCTCCCTTCAGGGTTCACGCCATTCTCCTACCTCAGCCTCCCAAGTAGCTGGGACTACAGGCACCTGCCACCATACCTAGCTAATTTTTTGTATTTTTAGTAGAGACGGGGTTTCACCGCGTTAGCCAGGATGGTCTCCATCTCCTGACCTCATGATCCACCCGCCTCAGCCTCCCAAAGTGCTGGGAGCTGTCTTTTTAGTCTTTTTAAGCACCCAAACTAACCCCTAATTAAAGAGTTCATTTGAGGCAGATGTGAAAATAATCAGTAATAAGAATCAGCTAAACTTCTAATCAGGGTCAAATACTGACTAAATGGTAGGATCCAAAGAAATACCAAGGTCTAGGGCATTATTTCAAAAGATATAAGGCTATCAGTTTTGCTAGATTTTTATATGTGTTTATTGCAAGGTTGGGAGTGCCTATAGAATATTTCTGGTCATTCCATACAACTGGCAGATCTTTCATTTGACCAAAGAAAAATCATCTATAATATCCATTGTACTAAGTAACAAACCTGCTGTTGATCAGATATTAAGGTAACTAGCTTTCTGATAGCTGCCTCCTGAGTGTGGATTTTGATTAGTGTTTCAAATGCTAACTAATCATCCTGGAGATTTTCGATTAGGCTAGTTCAGATATTAATCAACCACCTCTAAGATATAAATTAAAATGCCCACTTATTGATAAACACAGTCTATGAAGTATTTAAAGTTACTTGCAGACAACGTAGCAGTTGTTAAACTTGGAAGTTATTGTCTGACTTACTTGCTGAAATGCAAGCCCCATGGAGCGGAGATTTATTCACATCACATACCCAGATTCTGCATGGTTCCAGACCTGGAGCAGGTGACCAAGAAATGTTTTTGGAATAAACGGGGATCATCTGACATCCTCACTTCTTTGCTTCTCAATTCTCCCTTTGTTTCTCATTTTCTTCTAACACTCTTCTTTCTTTTTTTCTCTGTCTCTCTTGTGATTCCCCTCCACCCCTTTTTTTATTTGTGTGGGAAACTCATGTGGTTTTTAAACAATTGTGGCCATATATTCTGCTGTTGAAGAATTAGGATGTTTGAAGATTTGCTTTATCTTGATTGGGTCACTTGGAGGCTTCATACTTTGTGTTTTTGTCTGTAAAAGAAGGATAGCAGTAGTGCCTATCTGGAGGCTGTGAGAATTTGTGGATTGTGCTTAGCATGCTTAATTCTTCTTCTCCCTCACTCTTCTGATTTAGCCCTAGACCTGCTTTACTAATAACCTGATTACTTGAATTTCCTTAGCCATGATGTCATTCATTTATTTCTCCCTTGGTCTTGCGAGTGTGCCAACGCAGTGTTTTCTTTGTTGGGTGTGTATATATAATGTAAAGTAGGTGGGCAGGGGCTAGCAGGCCAAGGAGAATGCTTTGCTGCACTTATCCTCTTCTAGCTGTGTTCTCTTAGACAAGCCAGTTAATCTCTTTCAGCTTTTGTTTTCCTATCTGTAAGAGGAGGTTATGACGTCAACCTCACATAGAGATCATAAGAATAAAATGAGATTAGTGTATGTGGAAGACATTCGGCCCAGATCAATGTTCAACAAATGTTAATGGAATGAAATAATCCTTTTTAGCCAATTGCCACATCAAGAGTTTAGCCAGGAAGCTGATCTTTCTGAGCTATGGATATGAGATTTATTATAGGAATGAGATCCTATACAATTGTGGGAGGGTGGGGGAAGTGAAATGAAGGGTGACTGGGGGATCAAAGAAGACATAAATCTGAAAGCCAGGCACATCCAGCCACCAAAGTGAGACCAAGGGAGAGCTGATGGAGAAGTCTGTGGGGGCAACTATTGCCTGTTTGGATCCACAGCCATGTTTGTTAATGGACCTGGGATCTCTTAAACACCAGAGGGAATGGTCAGGAAGAAAAGCTCGACCTTGAGTGGAGGAGGGTGACAATAATGTGGACCCCTCTGGCACATGCATCTGTCTGACACCGCATCCAAGGATGATGTTCAGAGAATAATGGCTACTGTTTCATTTCCATCATCCAAATCTATGCAAATTACACTGTTGACCAATATAACTCTGTATAATATACAGCATAGGTATAAGCATTCTAGGAAACGTAGTTTCAGCTTTTCCAAGTTGACACAGAACAGACCACCATACCAATATTTTCCAGTTTAGAGTTAACTTCTTTCGGCTTTGATTTAAACTACTCCCCATCCCCACTAAGGAATTCTGAAGATTACCCTTTAACTATGACTTAAGTTTATGGAGTTATATGAAGTATTGGTCTAAAGAGGCTCAGGATCCCTACTTCACACTTAAAATGCAATCTCACATAAGGGAAGGATTTTAATGTAATTATATATTAGTTTCCTTACAAATAAGAAAGGGAGTTTTATTGATTATAATTTGGGTTTAAATTTCAAATATACAGTATTACTTGTCAGGTCCTTTATGGTTTATTCATTGGTTTATTATTTGTCTTCTCCCATTAGATTTAAAGTTTTCTGATAATAGAAACATTGTCTCTCTTGCCATCTTTTCTGGGAGCCCCTTGGGACTCTGGCATGAGAGGTCTGGACTCCTTTGAACCTGTGTCTCTGTATCTCTGGTGGACCCAGAGCATCCATGGGTAAAAAACTGAAGTAACGAGTACCATCTTCTACTTGTTGAGGAGAAATTAAGTGTTATGGTTCTTGGTTTTTTACGGTTTGTTCCTTACATTTTTCTTAATAAAATTTGCTTCCTTACTTGAGGCTAATAGCACAACTGTGACACTGATTACTTCAATATTTTAGTGTAGGTTAAAAGCATTAATCTTCTGCCTTGTTAAGTATGTGGGAAGGAAAGAGGAAGGAGACGCTGACATTGCTCTCAAAGAATTTAAAATCTAGCGGGTTTCGGAAAAGGGGAGAGTACAATAGTAAGATGACTTTGGTCTCTGGAGGAGAATGTGGCCAGTTCTTGGGGAGGTGAGAACAAAAATCATGAGAAGAAAACTAGAGGGGATGCCCTCAGTGGTCAGCCTTCTAAGAGTTCATTAAGCAGAGAAAGTGGGCAGTGTATGTTTATTCCCAATAGAGGAAACTCGAGATCTGAGGGCTGAATTAATCTTTTAACAGTTCTGGTTGAGTGAACTGAGAAGCTTAGTTCTTATTTTAACAAACTGAAACCTAACAAGAATAGATAGAGGAGAAGATAGCAACCAAAATGGAATGTCTGTGATAGCAAACAGGTAAATCGCTAAGGTGGTGAGGTCTATTTTTAGCGTCTCCATTGATCCCCTGGGGACCCTCTCACCCCTTTGCACCCAGGCACATGGGACCTTTTGCTGTCTGTGGTTGCTCCGCCCACTTTCATGCTACACCATGGCTCAGCAGGACTCTTTCTCCCATTGAACCTTACCTGCTGTCTTAGTCAGTTCAGACTACTACACAAAATACCATAGACCAGATGGCTTATAATCAACAGAAATTTATTTTTCATAGTTCTGAAGGCTGAGAAGTTTCAGGTCAAGGCACTGGCAAGTTTGGTGTCTGGTGTGGGCTCACCTCCTCATAGGTGTCAGTCTTGTTTGTGTCCTCACATGGTGGAAGAAATGAAGGATCTTTCTGAGGTCTCTTTTTAAAACAGCACTAATCCCATTCCTGAGGGCTCCACCCCCATAACCTACTAACCTCCCAAAGACCCCACCTCCTAATAGTACCACCTTGCAGGTGAGAATTTCAACACAGGAATTTGGGAAAGACACAAACATTTAGATTATACTTCCTATTTTCATCTTATTCTTCTGGGGCTCCTTTGTTTATTAAATTATATTTTTACCCAGACAATTACTGTCATCATTAGAGTGTCTTACATTTGTAGAGCTTCTTTAAAGTTTGCTAAGTGCTTTTAAGTATATCATGTCATTTGATCAACTTATTAAAATGAATTAATATATTAATAATTTAGTCCCCCTAGGTAACACATTGATACATTAACTACTGGAAATAGTACCATACTCCCCCAAATATCTTAGATTTGCAGAGTTCTTTATACTTGGCTAAGTGTTTCAACATCAACTGTTATTGAAAAGGCTCTAGAGTATTGAAAATTGGGCACTGGGGTAGACTGGTGGGGACTTTTGGGCCAGGGCCACCACACTGCACAACCTCAGAGAGTGCTGTTTGCACTGTGGACACTGGGAAGAGTATCTGGCAGCTGTGCAGGGTACTGTCTGTGAGTGACCAGATGCAGCAGCTTTGTTTGTGGCCTTTAATTCACCCCCCTGGTTCTGCAGCCCATGCCCAAGAAGATGGCTTAAACCTCCTAGCCGGTAATGGGTTGGGGTAGGGGTTGGGTGGAGGCGGTCCTGACCCTTATACTTTCCAAGATGGAATAACTGAAGGCCCCACAACACATCCTTCTTCCTTTAGCCCAGGGGCAGTCATAAAGCTATGCTCCACAGAATTTTTTTTTTCTGAACATTCAGAGTAAGTCTCCTTGGAGTTGGGAATAAAGCAGAGGTCAGAGATCATAAAAGTACACAAAGCACAACAAGCTTTATTTTTATTTATTTATTTATTAGACGGAGTCTCGCTCTGTCGCCAGGCTGGAGTGCACTGGCTCGATCTTGGCTCACTGCAACCTTCACCTCCCAGGTTCAAGCAATTCTCCTGCCTCAGCCTCCCGAGTAGCTGCGATTACAGGTGCGTGCCACCACGCCCAGCTAATTTTTGTAATTTTAGTAGAGACAGGGTTTCACCATATTGGCCAGGATGGTCTCGATCTCCTGACCTCATGTTCCACCCACCTCAGCCTCCCAAAATGCTGGGATTACAGGCATGAGCCATTGTGCCTGGCCAACAGGCTTTATTTTTAAAAATATGTAGTCCTCTCTCCTAGGCAGCTGTCATTTACAGCTCAGTTACTATGCTCATGTTGCCTAGGACTTGCACACAGGCTGCTGCGATCTTCAGATGAATTTGCATATGATACTCTAGTTTTAGACATAGTTTGTTTGAGTGCCAAGCACTGGATGTCAGGTACCCTTCTTTTTCTTTCTTTCTTTCTTTTTTTTTTGTGACTTAAAACAACAGAAATTAATTTTCTTACAGATCCAGAGGCCAGAGTCTCAAACCAAGATGCCAGCAAAGTTGGTTGCTCCTGTGAGCTCAAGGGAGAATCTGCTCCATGCCACTTTCCTACCGCCTTGGCAGTTTGCTGGCAATCCTTGGCTTTCCTGGACTTCTTGATGCCCCGTCTCACACAGCCTTCTCCCCTGTGTATCTGTGTTCGAATTTCCTTCTTATAAGGGCTCACACTGATCCAGTGTGACCTTACCTTAACTAATTACATCTTCAAAGATCCTATTTCCAAGTAGATTGTATTTCCATTCTGAGGCTCTGGCGGATGTAAATTTGAGGGGTACAGAAGGAAAAAGGTGTGTAGGCAAGATCTGGGGACTGCAGAAGTCTTCTCTTCTTTCCTTCTTTCCCTTCTTTTCTACCTGCTGGTGCTTACCTTGAACATGCATTTAAAAAGCAATAGAGCAGAATGGGTTAGGCTTTGGGCCCTCAGTCACAGCATCTGTATATCTCAGCACTGCCTCTCGCCGTGTGAAGTTCTACTTCTTTGCTTCTGTCTCCTCACCTACTAAATGGGGATAATGATAGTCTTCACTTCAAAGGCTTATTCTGAATATTATCTACATTAATTAATGTGGAGTGCTTAGAACAGTTCCTGGCATATGGTTTGTGCTCAATAAATGTTACCAGCTGCTGCCTATATTTTCTTTTAAATATTTTCAACTTTTAGATACAGGAGGTACATGTGCAGGTTTGTTACATTGGTATATTGGGTGATGCTGATGTTTGGGATATGAATCCAGTCACCCAGATAGTGAACATAGTACCAAATAGGCAGTTTCAACTCCTTTCTCTCCATCCCTCCCCCTCCAGTAGTCCCTGATGTCTATTGTTCCCATCTTTATGTCCCTGTGTATTCAATGTTTTGCTCCCACCTATAAGCAGGAACATGCGGTATTTGGTTTTCTGTTCCTGTGTTAATTTGCTTAGGATTACAGTCTCCAGCTACATCCATGTTGCTGATATACATGATTTCATCCTTTTAATGGCTGTGTAGTATTCCATGGTGTATATGTACCACATTTTCTTTATCCAATCCTCAGTTGATGGTCACCTAGGTTGTTTTAATGTCCTTGCTGTTGTGAATAGTGCTGCGATGAGCATTCGAGTGCTTGTATCTTTTTGGTAGAATGATTTATATTCCTTTGGGTATATGCCCAATAATGGGATTGCTGGGTCAGATAAAAAGGTAGTTCTTTTTTAAGCTCTTTGAGAAATCTCCAAAATGCTTTCCACAGTGGCTGAACCAACTTACATTCCCACCAGCAGTGCATAAGAATACCCTTTTCTTCACAGCTTTGCCAGCATCTATTACCAGGGCCTCTTCTTATCAATCTTTCACATCAAAATGGTGTTTTCAGAACTTCCTGGTTCTTCTGCTATAAACTCACTGTGACGTTTCTGCTTCAGAGGCCCAGGAGCTCTGCAAGGACTCCTGAGACCTTTGGTTGTCCTAGCAGTTTATCAAGACGTCATCAGAAAGTGTGATGATTTTACAGGAAACAGCAATGACCATTTTCTCTATATTTATTTCACATATTTGCAATACAAGATTAATTATAGGCTTTGGAGAAATTCTGTTACATTCTTAACAAACAAAAATGTTCTAAAAGTGTTGCTTCTGTCAAAACACCATGTGGGTCAGCTATTTCTGCTGACATCTGGTTCATCTTCATTACCATGTTCATGTTAGGTTTGAATTTCAAAGAGTTTGGAATTACTTCACCAGACACACACAGATTTTGTCTCAGGCCCCATAAGGAACCAGAATAGATGAAAAAATCAAGGTTTCTTTAAACATTTAGGCATTCCCCCTTTCCCAATCTCAATTTGCCATGTAAGGAATGCTGGAGCAGGTGACATTTTCTTCAGATCTTGGTGGGAAACATGGAGAGCCACAGAGATAACACAATACATTTGAGCAGCTCTGCAGGGCTTAGGGCAAATGAATGTACAAGTAGCCGAGGCTCCTCACAAACTCTTACATGAAAGCTGCCTGTAAAGCCACTTTGTTTGAGGATGGTTTTGAAAGTCAGAAGGAAGTAGGGTCTGTGGGGTGTGGGAGTCTAACCCTCCAGTCCTCACTGTCATTTCCTCAGCCAGATGGCCATTCTACCTTCCTCTATCTGTCCACAACTGTTTTCTCTGAACTTTAACCCCAAAGTCAATTCATGCCAAAACTTAAGAAATGGGTATTACCTGATATTACTGATTTAAAAATATATGGATGTTATCTTAGTGCCCCAATTTATGCCTAACATCTTAATCAATGTCATTCATACTTCATGCTTGACACATTTGAACCCTCACATCAGTTACTCTTTGCTTTACAGTTGTGACATTCACAAGCTCTTCATCCAGAGAAACTAAACCATCTCTAGTTGCACCTAAACTGGAGATGAGGTTTTCACAATTTTGCAGAGAAAATCTGACAAGTTGAGTAATTTTTCTCAGCTCCTCTCTAGCATTGTGTTTTACCATTGGTGTTGTTATTTATATTTGTTATTTGTTATTTTGGTTGTTGCATGATATCCTGATGTTGTCAAAGTGACTCAAAGCCTTAAAAGGGTTTATTGATGTATAAACATAATTATAATAATAGGCACTGTGAAATTCCATGAACTGGGACAAGTAACTCCATGGGAATAATGATTTTACACAAGAAAAAATATATTATTAGAAAGCATAACAATAAATACCTGAATTTGAGTGTTACTGGACTGACAATTTAATTTTCCCTTATAGTGTATTGTCCTTTGGAAAAAATGGCATGGAGTCATTGTACTCTTTTTCAAACAAAGTTTAATAATACACTCATTGGGGATAATTTCAGCTGCATATAAGAAATAACTCCAAAATAACAATGACTTGAGATTCATTTCTCTTTCTCGAAGAAGTCTGGGGTTAGGCAGTCTGGGGTTGGTATAGTGGCACCATGGTGTCATCAGAACCCAGGCTCTTTACTCTTTGTTCCACCTTCTTAGTGTATGGCTTCTTTCTTACCTTTAATTCATCATCAAAGATGGCTGCTGGAGTTCCAGGCAACACACTCTTACTGTAGCCAGCAGGAAGAAGTAAGAATGGGTGCACCCATTCTCCTTCAAGAAGGCTTCCTGTAAGTCCTAACATAAACACATCTATTTATATCTCATACCAGGATGTAGTCACATAACAATCCTAGCTGTAAGGAAGGTGGGCTGGTAGTCTTCCATCTGAGCATCACAGTGTCCATCCTAAATTTGAGGTTCTGATACTAAGGAGGAAGGGGAATATGGGCATTTTACAGTCAACTAACAGTTTCTTCCACAAATGACCTCCACAGCAAACTAATTTGTTTCCCAAGGAAAAGCACAAAATGATGATTTCTAGTACAATACCAATAAATTATATTGCTAAAGGTGAAGAGACCAAAATGGAAGAATAAAGTAGTATTGCTTATGACAAAAAATTAGTACTTATTACACAAATCACAAGAATCTTATAAAATTGGTCACAAAGTTAATGATAAATATGTTTGAAGACTATTGGTAAAATTCCTTTATGAATTGGCTCCATTGTGCATTGCTCAGCATCAATGAAATGTAATGTGAAGAAGCAACTATTATCATGATAGCATAATAATGGTAAATATTTTACTTGGCAGTTGTATAAAACCACAGAGATTCAGAGTTTTAAATTAGCCCCTGACATTTGTCAAGTTATATATGAAGGAAAATTGCTTGATTTTTTTTTGTGTTATCTATTCCTGAAAACCCATGATATAGGAGATTTGTGTTCTTTTAGTTAGGAATAACTTTGTAAATCATGATGTATATAGGAAACATACATGGAGATTAGTACTGAAGAAGAACCAGACATGTTTATATCAGGTCAAAGAGATTCCACTGAAATGTGAAATCACTCACTGTTTTATTTACATGGGATAGTTGGTGGTCAAGCAGGCCATAGGTCTTAATTTTAGAGGGAATAGTGAAAGTTGTAAATATACATAGTGGTTACCTAGTGTTTTATGTTCAACGCATTATTCAAAAAGTTGGGCAGCAAGTGAAATCTACTGATGGAAGGCAGAACACAGATAGCCTGAGGCGTGTGATGGTGGTGCAGTTGCTGAACATTTTAATGATGGTGAACTAGATGATATGCAGCCAACACCCTGACTTTGGCCTTGTGAGATCTTAAACAGAGAACCCAGTTGAGCCTGCCTGGACTTCTGACCTACAGAACTGGGAAGTAGGATATGCGTGTTGTTTTAAGCTGCTAAGTTTGTGGTAATTCTTTGTGTAACAACAGAAAATTTAACACAAGATGTTCTAGAGGGTGAGAGATAAACACTAAGAAAATTCAGGGGCTCACAAGATTAATGAGATTTTTGGCCTAATAGTCTGAGGCACCCTGAATATTCTCTCCAAAGTTAGGGGAATATTATTGAATCTTATGCTTCCCATTACCAGGGAGGAACACAATGCCTGGCAGGCATCTTTGATTTATAGAGGCAGCATATTATGCACCTAAGAATATTGCTTCAACCCATATACTGGGTGACACATAAGACTTCCAACTTTGTGTGGGGCTCAGGACAGAAAAGGATCCGCAGTAAGTATAGGCTGTGAGACCCCTTCTGCACTGGATTTGACACCTATTCCAGATATGGGTTTGCCTTTTCTGTCTGCAGGGCTTCATCCAGTGCCATTAACCAAGGGCTGAGAGAGAGTTTGAGCTATAGCATGGGATCCCACATAAAACTGCAATGGGCCAAGATGCCCATTATATAGCAAAGGAGGTGCGGCAGGGGCACATGGCCATGGTATCCACTGGTCCTATCAAATACCCCACCACCTAGAGGCTACTGGACTGAGTAAAGCAGTCTGTCAAAGGCCCAGCTGACATACTATCTGGGAAAGGATGTCTTGTGCAGATGGGACACCATCCTCTAGGATGTAGTATACACCCTAAATCCATACACATATCATGTTACACATATAGTGTTTTCAAAACATAGAATATATAGATCTGGAAAGCAAGAGGTGAAAGTAGCAGTGACCCTGTTACAGTCAGCCCTAGTGGCCCCCTTAGGGAAATTGTGTGCTTCCCTTCTCTGCAACTCTGGGTTCTGACATTTTAGTGGCCTTGGTTTTTAGAGGGTAAATCGTTTCACCAAGGAACACAGAAAGATATTTTTAAGGTAAGAACTGCTGCTCAGTTACTTCAAAGACCTTGTCCCAAGAGACCAGTAGGCAAAGAAAGTAATTGCCATACTGGCAGGAATAATTGACCCTGACCATCAGCTGCTGCTGAGCAATATAGGAGCAGAGAATGATATATTTGGCACTCAGGTGATCCACTTAGTTTGCTCTTGGCAACCCTTCGCCCAGTTTTGATGGTAAATGAACAAACACAGCCATCATGCCCTAAGAAGGTCATGGTGACCAGTGAGTTGACAATGGCGACCCTAGGAGTCTATCACATCAGCAGCCTAGCTGCCTATACCAGCAGAGATGCTAGTTGAGGGAAAAGAGACTCCAGCATTGGCGGTGGAGGACAGGGAAGATGACTGTCTGTTACTTCCTTGAGATAGCTGCAGTGACAGGAATGGTAGTTTCTCGCATTAACCTTTCTCTTGTAAGAGTCCCCCAGAATACTGGAGTTTTCCCAGAATTTATTACATGAAACAAGTGGAACTAAATGGTGCCAAAGTTGTCTACAGTGGAGGTCATGGTGTGCCACCCAGATCCCCTTCCAGGTCTGTTTGTTAATCCCCCCAGCTGGCAGGAGGGTTGGTGGCAGATAGTCTCAGCTGAACTTCCTTTCTGGGACTTGCTATGGAGTGGAGAGAGCTGTCTTGCCTGAATTTATGTCCCCGTGGGGTGAGGAGACATGTGAACCTGTAATACTCATCAACTTAAGACAAAGCTGAAGGGGCACCTCAGACTCAGAGGTCCTCACAGGATTGGCTGAGACCTTTGCTGCAACTGTACTGCAGTTCCAGCTTGCCCTCTGCCCAATCCTGCTTCTTTCTCTCCCTTTCAGGTGCTGATCCCAAATTCACTTTCCAATAAGCCTCCTGCACACAGATCTCCGTTTTGGAGAATGATCCTCAGGTTTCTGATCTGTGAGAGGTTTTTGCCAACTTATATTCCACTAGAAAAAATAATCATTTTATTAAAGCATGTCTGGCATTGGATACCTTGATTTTTAAAGTTGGAAATGTGTTTTTTGTTGTCTAATTTTACTATGCAAAAATGGTATATCAGTTTTATTTAGAATTTAAAAAATTACTACCAAGGTTGAAAATATTCTTACATATTCATTTACTAGTTATACTTTTTCTCTCATAAAATGTCTGCAGGCATGAATATTTCTGGACCTGGCCTTTTAATGTCATCCATACCAATAACTGTTTCTTTTCCACCTTTCCTACTTCTTTTATGTGGTGCACAGCAGAGGATTTTGAAGCATGCTGATCTTGTTTACTGTCAGGGTTTAAGACACTATTCTATTCTTCAATCTCCCAAATTCCTAGAAAGGCCTATTAATAAAATTGGGTAGAATATTGGGTTGAAAATATGCTAAATGTAAATAGGTTTTTTATTAAAGAGCAATAAACATACTTCATTACTCCTTTTGCTTGTTTAAGCTTTTTGAGCTTGTGACTTCAACTTTTCCAAGGCTGGGCTATTTACTCTGGATGTAGGATTACATATTTCAGGACTAAATGTGCAGACATAACACTCAGTATTCATGACCCTGTATTGGGACCCTCTTCAGACTGACAAAAAACTTCAGTCTTCTTTTGACTTCTTAGAAAAGATTACACAGACTTAAGGATATTTGGAAGTCTTTTCAAAAGTCAGAAACACTTTTATATCACTCCAAACTACTGCTGACATTTAAAAACTTGATTATGCAAAGAACTTCATCTCTAGGACATGGAATTACCAAATAACTCAATTGAGACCAGAATTTTTTCCTAGCTCTAAGAGAAGTGATGTTAGTAGGATTAGTTAACAGGCCAGAGTACTCATTTTGAGCAAAGACATCATATGTAATTAATGGTATATTTGGAAACAGGCACCACTTGACTTAGGATGGCTTAACTTGAGAACTTTCATCTTTATAGGCTTATCAAGAACAAATTTTTATTTATGATTACCTAACAGCTGAAACTGATGTGCTCTCAGAATAAAGTCAATGCAAATAATTAGTGATAAGACAATGTGATGTGCTAATTTGAGAGGTGGAAAAATTGTGATGATATGGATTCATGATTGGCTAAAGAACATGCCCTTCAACTAAGCTATAAATTTCGGCAAGGGCAGTAATTATCTCTTTTTAAAACTCTTACATACAGAGCTTGTGAAAACATCACAAAAACATGGTAAATGGAGTGAAAGATGCTTTGAACATTCCAAAAGAGAACTGATTGTCAAATTATCAGATTTTAGGGCAAGCTGAAAGGGTTGATATAGAGAAGTTAGCTGAAGTCTTTGCAAATGAAAGCTACTGTTCAAGATGGGTGCTTAATTTTTGAAAAGGAAACAGGAGATCTCTGTAAGAGAAGTCACCTGGAAAACTCCTCCCTTAGAAATGACCATTCATCTTCACTGGCTTATCAGTGGAAAATTTTGCCCCAGACAATCCAAATATTGAACATTTTTAGGTCCCTGGAGCAAAGAGAATTGCTGATTCTGACTACTTAGAAACCTACCAGGAAAAGAAGGCCTCTTTAGTCCACTGGGCTTTCATTTTCAGGAGCTAAACAATTAGCCTATATCCTCCCTCATCACAGACATTTTCAAATGTAGATTTATATCATGTGTTTGGTTTTACATACTAAATATATTTTTATCAAAGTGTGTACACAAAGTGTGGGGGTTTTTCTTTTCATGATTATTTGGCGTTTTAATTAAGCGAAATGGGTTTTTAGGAACAAAACTCAAATTTATAAAACTTCAACTAATTTAGCTGTCATCCAGAAACTTTATTGTAAATAATTTGTCAACAAGATTTGCATTTCTAATTTCAGTTTTTCATTCCTTCTGAGGCACAGAGAAAGGAAAAGAAAAATGACAGCTAATGTTTGTTGAGCACTATACACAAAGGATCTTATTTAGTCCTTATAAACAACACTGCCAAATAAGACTTAACATCTGTAGTTTTTTAGGTGAGGAATTAGAAGCTATGGGAGACTGAATTATGTGCCCAAAGTCATTAAAGCCAGTAACTGGCAGAACTGAGACTTAATTGCAGGTTTATGTTCACATGCCAATTTGCCAATAATCTATCCAACAAGAAGATAAAGATGTGGCATGAAGTTATTAGCTTGAAAGTAAACATTGTGAGTCCAGGCTGGGCGCGGTGGCTCACGCCTGTAATCCCAGCAATTTGGGAGGCCGAGGCGGGTGGATTACCGGAGGTCAGGAATTTGCGACCAACCTGACCAACATGGTGAAACCCCGTCTCTACTAAAAATACAAAAAAATTAGACGGGCGTGGTGGTGGGCGCCTGTAATCCCAGCTACTCGTGCGGCTGAGGCAGGAGAATCGCTGTAACTGGGAGGCGGAGGTTGCGGTGAGCCGAGATGGAGCCACTGCACTCCAGCCTGGGGGACAGAATGAGACTCCGTCTCAAAACAAACAAACAAAAAACATTGTGAGTTTTACTTTGTTTTATCCTACAATACGCCTAGTTTAGGGCTGGGTACATAATAGACGAGCAATTGGAAGGTGAGGAGATGGATAAAGCATGGACTTGGGAACTATAGCACTCAGGCTCCAGAGTCAAACCTTTGGGCTGAAATCATCCTTGATTCACCACTAACCAAATAGGTTACCTTGGGTGAGTAACTTTTACTTCCTAGTTGTGCCTCAGTTTCCTCACATGGTAATGTCACAGGATCCTTGGGGTGTTGTTTTGCCAGCTGGAAACCTCTGTGGCTGGTGGCACCTTCTGCCTGAGCATTGCTCAGGCCTGCTGGGCTTGTTCCACCCACTCAGCCTAGTGGGCTGCGCTTGGCTTATTCTTCTGGCCCAGATCCCACACCTGCCAAGGGCGAGCTGGGCATGGAGCTGCAAAGAGTGTGCGGGTGAGTGAGTGCGTGGTCTGGCCACTGTGCACAGCCAGGCATGCTGGCTGTTGCGGCAGGGCAGGCAGCTCCAGGCGCCAGCACAGGTGTCAGCCCTGCGCAAGACTGCGGCTGGACCAGATGGACAGCATGCAGCTTCTGCTGTGGACACCTGCATCTGGACGAGGGGAATGTGTTGGTGCCTAGAAGCTTCGAGATGCCAGGAACTGCAGGGCCTCAAAGAGGATGTCACAGTCCTGACTCAGGGAGCCCCTAGGTCTGGGCTCCCTGAAGGGCCCCAGCTCTTCTCTCCTTCTTGTTGCCCACAGCGTGGTAAGGTGGCAAGGGTATTTCAGCTCTGTTTGTGTTATGGCTCTTTCAGTCCTGCCATTTGGCAGGTCCTGAGTTCTTGTCCTGCGTCCAGGAAGAAAGAGGTATGTAGACAACTGGAGGGTGAACAAAGCAGAGAGGAGCTTCATTGAGAGGCAGAACAGCTCTCAGGAGACCCACAGTGAGTAACTCCTTTCCACAGGCAGGTCGTCCCATTGAGTGTCCAGCTCTCAGTAGAGCGGGTAGCTCCTTTCCGCAGGCAGGTTGTCCCGATATCTGTTGGATGCTGGCTGAGTCCAGGGTTTTTATACGCTCAGAAGGGAGGCAGTGCTTGCTGATTGGTTCATGGACGACCATGGGTGGGCCTGGAAAAAGTATCATAAATTCTCACTCCTGGCCAGGGACTTCACCCGGAACTGTCCGGCCCCCAGGCCTCAGGTCATCCCTGGCTTGAAGATGGGGTTTCACCAGGGACCCACCCTTTTCAGCCCAGGAAACTGTCTGCCTCCTGCCATCAATAGGCCATCCATGGTGCCCAGGCTGTTCCTGCCAAAGGGTGCTGGCACGCCCCAAGCAGCCCTCAGCACTCCTTCATCCTCCCTCCCATGCTGGTTGGTGCCCAAAGTCCAGAGGGGCCTGAGGTGGCAGGGGCTAGTGTGTCAGTGCTGCCCTGAGCACGTGCACACCCAGCCAGGTTGCAGCAGTGCCTGCCTGGGCTTGGCCGCAACTTTGCGCCAGCCCGGAATGGGCACCAGGAGAGGGAGCAGGCACTTTCAAGCCTGTTGGGGGAGGGAACTTCCTGGACCCCGGAAAGCGCAGTGATGCCTCGGTCCAGAACCATGGCTGGGCGGCGCCCGGGAATGCGGGTCTCCTGTCCCACCAGCTGGATAAAGGGTGGGGCCCCCGCCTGTTCCCAGCCTTGCCAGCTCCTCCTAGCGCAGCCCCGGCCATGCCTCCCAGGCTGCAGTTAGCATCCCCACAAGGGGCTGCTCCAGACAGGCCAGTGCCGTCATTAATAAAATGGGGATAAAATACCTATCTTTTAGGGTAATTGTGAGGATTGAGTTGATCTTGGTAAAACACTTAGAATAGTATCTGGCACATAATAAGTGCTCAGTGAATATTAGCTTTTATCATTATGATTAATCAGATTCTACTACACTGTGGCTGTGTTCAACTTGAATGTCTCAGTTTCCTCATCTGTAAAATGAGGAAAATCATTTATCTTACATGGCTATTTTATTTGGCAATAATATGCTTTATTATTTCTAAATGAAATATTTTATTATGCTGTGGATCTAATGAAACAACATTTGTAAATTTGCTCTGTGCCAGGTACTATTCTAAGCATGCTGTTGGCATTGATTCATTTAACTTTCATAACAGCCTAATAAGGCAGATGCCATTCTGATCCCCATTTTACAGATGAAGAAACTGAGGAAACAAGAGGTTAAACAATTTTTTTCAGGGTCACACAACTGGTAATTAGCTCAGCCGAGATTCAAACCCCGACACAGTAGCTCCACCGTAGTCTAAGTCTATGATGACTACACTATGCTATGTATCTAAAGCAATAACATTTGTAAAGAACCTGCCCAGTTCCTGACATAGAGAAGAAGCTTAGTAGATGTGAGCACTTTGCCTATCTTTTCAATAAATACCCTTTGAAATTCTCATGGAATGCAAAATGATATAAATTTTTCAGCTGGCCTACATGGTTTACTAAAATGTCCACTTTTAAGTAATAGTGGCATCCCTGTACTCTTGGAAGGCACACAGAAATATATGAACACACCTCTCTCTGATTAGGCCCACCTTGGATCATCTTTTCTGTTGACACTTAGGAGTTTCAGTTAGCAAGACATCAACATGCACTCATGTGTGTGCAGTGATATCCTGCAGAGCAGCTGTCAATGATGACAGTTTGGAACAGAACAGCTGGAGGGCAGACCTGAGTTTCTAATGACTGAGAAAAAGTCATGGAAATAAGGCAGCCAAAGGGCTCGTGGCTGACAGTGGTGCGCACCTCCCCACGTTACTGTTCTGGGTTTCTTAATGGGGATGCTGTAAAAATTGTAGGTGGTACAATTCCGGGTTGTGCAGGACTGTCCTGAACAAATCAACCTAGACTATTTCTTTCTCTGTAGCATTTGCAGCATCCTTGACTCCCAGATACTAAATGCCAGTAACTACACCAGTCATAGTAACAACTAAAAAACACAACTAAGAGATGCTGCCACACTTTGTTGCCCTGGGGGAAGATGTGGTGTTATCACCCCTATTGAGAACTGCATCCTGTGGGGCCTTTTGGATTTACCAGGCTTATGTGTAGAAGGTGTGTCTTACGTATTATCTCCCTTCTCAAAATTGGGGGCAGTATCCCAGCATTAGCACCACCTGGGAGGTTATTACAAATGCAAGTCTCAGACTCCACCTCAGAACTATGAATTAGAATCTGCATTTTAACAAGATCTCCAGTAATTTGCATGCGCATTAGAGTTTGAGAAGCATTTCCATCCTAGGTAGAACATGGATTTTGGAGTAAGAAGGTCCAGGGTTAAAATTCAGTCTCTGACTCTTACTAGCTGTGTAACCATGGGAATGTCACTTAACCTTTCTAAGCCTCAGTTTTCTGCTCTCTGAAAAGATCTTAATTCCTCATGTGTAGGCACGTAACAGGTATTCAACAAATGTCATTTCTCTTCTCCTCTCCAACCTTTCATCAGAGAACATAGTCAAGAAAACCACTTTAGCTCTTTGGATATCATTAGGGAATTATTACCATAGGACAGTGTGGCAAGATAAAGAAAGATGACTACTTTCTCTCTTTTTCCACAGTTAAAGACACACTATATATCAAGTTCCAGTTGTGGCATTGCTGGGCATGGCAGATACTCGAAGAGGGGTTGATCTGGGTGTGACCAGGATTAGAAAAGGCCAATACCCCTGGTTCAAACATGTCAGTTAGGAGGAACAAATCAAATTCCCAGATGAAATCTGGGACTGATGGCAAAGGATAGATCTTCACAGGGAGAGCCCAGAGAACAAGTTCAGGCCCAGGAAGTCAGTCAGGCAGATGGTGGGGCACGAGAATCAGAGAGACATCTGGAAATAAGGAAGAGAGGAAACACTTATCAGGACGCTCTCACATCCTTTGGCCTTATCCTCTTCTTGCTCCTGGTGTACCCCGCACATTGCTCTACCAAGGTGCCCATTATACACTACAGAATCTTAGATTGGACTGTTTCATTAACAGATTCAAAGCATTTTGAAGATGAGTTTTTGAGAGGTCATGTCTTGTTTTATTGTTTCACCTAAATATCATATGCAATTTCTAAGAAAGTATCTGGAATGTGTAAAAGAATACTGTTTGTTAAATGATTGAAGGGATGAGTGAATGAATGTTTTGCTTCCAACACTGTAATTTCCATCAGAGGCCATTCCTTAGAGAAATCTATGGGGCTTTTAGGAGAGCAAACATTGAGACTCTCTGTGAACAAACACATCCTTGTTGGTTTCAACTCCCATTGGCCTGTAATCAGGTAGCAGCCTGGATTTCCCACTGCCACCTGTCTTCTTACATCCAGTGTCTCAAGCCTATGCTTCTCTATAGGAGAAACCAAAGGAAAAAGGATATAAAGTTGTCAGAATTTTCAGTCTACCAGTTTTTCTTTGCTCATGGTTTTGGCTATGGTTAGATTGAGAGTCTGTTACTTTTCAAGGACCAGCTGCCTAAGTTTCTAGGAGATCAAGGAGGCTAGGAAAGAATGTTTGTGCCTTTCTTTACTGAAAAGCCACCTGCCAGCCCCCTGGGATTGCTCAGATGGTCAGTGCCCCAAATTCTTGCTCAGGGATTTACCTGAACTCTCATAGATGAAGCAATGAAACTGGCCTATAGGAGACAGACATGAAATCCAGCCTCTCCACCCTTTGGAGGAGAAGCCAGCAGGTAGGTTACACTGGAAACCCTTAGAAGGGGACAGGTAAAGGCCTCAGGTTGTGTTCCCTTGAGTAGAGCTGCTTGATGAACTTGGCTCCTTTCCAGAAATGGATGTTCAGAAGGAGGATGGGACAACCCGTCAGACAGTCCCTGGGCCTAAGGACGTGAGATTAATTGTCATTGAGGATTACTCATCCTATAAAAGTTAAGTGTATTTCATTTCATTGCTTATCAGCTCCAGAGCTTGTTATCAGTGGCTCAGTAAAAGCATCTGCAGCCTGAAATGTGTATGAAATGGCTCATGGCACTTCTAAGTTGGAAGTGAATACATTTAAGAAAACCTTGTTCTTTCTCTCCCCCACGCTTCCTGGCATGTCTTTTATCAACTCCTCGCTGTCTGAAGGATGCATAGGTCTTCTCAGAAGAGCTCAAGCAGAGATAGGAGAGCTGGGGGGAGTTAGTGGGCAGATCGGGGCATGGAATGGTCCATGGCTCTTCAGGCATCAAGCCAAGGGCTGAGAATGGTTCTGAATCCCTTCTCTATTTTCTCCTCCACTTTTTCTTTACCTTTTTGGTAAGGGTAGGTGAGGAGGGCTGGAAGGATGGGGGAGGAGAGAGGAAAAAAACAATGAAAATAGGAAGGGGAATGTATTTGGAACATTACATGCAATGTGAGCTGGTCTTTCTTTTCAGTGGTAGAAACATTATTCAGTTTAGCAGCTCCCTTTTCCTTTTCTAGTACCCAAGTGTTAGCCGTATTCTGAAGGCAGCTTTGAGTCACCCTGCCACATAAAGAACCAGGATGAAGTGAAATGTTGACTGAGGACAAGATGAACATGCAATGATCAGTGGAAGAAGAAAGTTATAAATACCAGTATGGTCATATGACTAGGGGTAAAAGGGAGTCTTTAGTAACTATGCATATTCTCTTGTTTGCTTTGATATGTATATGTGTGTGTGTGTATAAATCAGTTCTTTTTCTGTCCTTATTCCCTTCTGTCCAATATAAAGTGAGTTAAAGTAACTAACCCTATAATTTGGTATCAAAGGAAGACTGCATCTGAACTGGGAAAGGCATGAACATTCCCAGAGATAAAAGCAACATATGGAATGATGTGTCTTCCTTTTTAGGGAGAAGGTGTGTGCATCCTCAGTTGTGTAAGGAACAGTTGCATAATGTTACAGATAACATACTGTTGTTATTGACTTTTTGCCAAGTTCTCATTTGGGGTAACAGAGGTGGCCTGTGATTATTTGCTTATTTTTAGCTCAGCATTATCACCTTTTCTAAGATCTTTGTAATACAGAGGAGAAGCCAGAAATTACATTTCTCAGAATGCTCTTTCCCTTATGGCTCTGGCTAGAGTTTGTCTATGAGAGGTTCTCAGGCAAGATATGGAAGATGGAAAAAAGGCAAAGCCATTCTTCTTCAGAAACAGTTGCATCAGGTGTGTGGGCAGGTGTGACTTTCCAGTGAGCTCTTGAGAACCATTCACTTCACCGTTGTAGCCTGAGATGGTGGCCATTTTCCAGAAACCCTGGCATTTTAGCGATTATCTACTGGTGGTTTCCCTAATCTTTTCTCCTGCTCTCTCAAAGTCCGTATAAGAAACTAAGTTTTATATGAAATCCACAACTTTGTATTAAAACTTTTAACATATATTCCAGAAATACACAGAGCAGTTTTTTGGTTTCTCATGTCAAACCTCTGAATGTCTTGGCACAGTGGCTGGCAGTGAGCATTTGTGTCTCACACTACCTGACAACACTTGGCTTATGACTGATGTGAACTTTTCAACACTCTTCTCAGTGGTGTTTGTTGCAGCAAATTCTGTCCAAATGCTGAGGGAGAAATGGCTAGTGGGAGAACAAGACAGTAGTATAGACTGTCTCATTACAGCTGCTGTATGGACCTGGTGACAAGGGAAGGGTCAGCCTGGAGTGTCCTGCTGTTAAGTTGGTGGTTGTCAGATGAGTGACTTTGACTGGAAGTGCCATGGTGTAGACAGAGACAACTCACAGTCTGCCAGGTCATCAGTTCTGAGGGTGCGACTGCTTTCAAAAGATCCCAAGCCACCATCCTGATGAACAGGAATATGTAAAGGCTCAACCACAGAGCTGCCCAGTTGTGGGTGCCCTTAAAATAGGCCCTTTGGGCCACTCTAGAAACCTTCTTCAGGGAGAAAGCTGCTTCTGCATTGGATGCCCAACTTTGGCTTCAGGTTGTCTCACCTGGCTGGGCATGTTTGATGGGCAGCAGCACATACATGTCAAGAATCTCTGGCATGGAGTGAAAATTTGGCTTGGGAGTGGTCCAGAGCATGGACCCTGGAGACCCATGGTCCCTATTTCAATTCTGCCCCACCGCTGTGTGACCTTGGGTAATTTTCTCTACCTCTTTGGCCCTTAGTTTTCTCTTCTGTACAATAGAGATGTTAATAATATCTATCTCATAGGGATGTTAACCCATGTAAAGTTCTTACAACAGTATCTAGTTCACAGTAAGTGCTATGTGAGAATAAGCTGTCAATATTATTACTACCCTGAGGAAAGACAAGTTGGCCCAGTGATGGAATTTCAGGGTAAGATCAGGGAGAGACTCCGAGGGCAGCATCTCTAGTCTAGGCTGCCATGAATTCACATCTGATTCTTGGGAAGAGCAGGGAGGCTGCAAGTTGAAATTAGGAGAGGTTTTCACCAAAATTCTGTGAGACAATGGGGCTCTGTGCTGGTGTCCTGACAGGACAGGAGGGAAGGCAGTCTCCCCTTTGGCAGAGAACACAGCCATAGATGTGGGAGTCAGCAGAGACAGTGTCTGGCAGGGGATATGTGCTTTAAGAGCTGACTGGGCTTGCTCTGGACTGCATGCTAGACACCCTTGAGACTGCCTGAAATAGCTGAGAGGGACTTTGCAAGGGGCAGAAGGTCTCATATGAGCAGCAGGTATGAGGGTCTTAAGACCCAGGTTAGATTTACATTGGACACCAGTCCTTTGGGTGGTAAAAGACGAAGGGCTCTGGTGCCAGATGGACATGGTTTGAACCCCACCTCTTCCACTTACTAAACTGTAAATACTTGGAGGACAGGGACTATCTTGTTCATTACAGAGTACATAGAAGGATTCAATATGTGGATGAATAAATTTAATATTCTGGAACTTCAGTTTCCCCATCTGTAAAATGGAGATAATGTAATGACCGCTAAAGCAGATGCAAGGATTACACTAGATAATGCTCACAGACACCCAAGTTTCCTAAAGAATATTATACTTCTGTTTTTGTAGTAATTATTGTGTATCTTGCTTAGGATAAAAACTCAGTATATTTGTTGACTCAAACTGATTAATGGTGTTTTGGTGCAGCAAATGTAGTCTACATCTGCCAAAGACTAGGTCCTTTAAAGGAAGGCATCATGCCTCTTATAGGTTTTTCCCAACATGATCAGTGCTTTTAAAGGTCATTTATGATTCAGTGCTTTCTGACAGAAGTCAAAACATAGTCAGCTATTGGAGAGTGCTATTGAATTTTGGGGGAGTAAATAATAGGGTTTTTAGTTGCTTTTGTGCCCACGAAATGCTCCTCGAGAAATGACCAAATAATTAATGGATAGGGCCTGTTTCATGCTCAATCCTCATTCCATATCTTGACTCTTCCCAGTCAATCCTCCATGCTATGTCACTGGGAGCCGAGTAACTAAACTTATGAAATCTGACCAAGTAACTAAACCTATTAAACCTGACCTCAAGTTTATATCCATCATCTAATCAACAAGTTCTAGCTTGCAGGTGATCTATTCCTTTCCTATGGAACAAAATGAATGGGTTTTGCTGCTGCTCTTTTCTTTGGAATCAGAATCATCTTTAGTTTGCTTTTGGGGTTTGAAATTATATTTTGGATGACTGAAATTGCCTGCTATTTAACTGTCAGATAAGGATGAGTATGCTGAATTTAATTTTTAAAGGGGAGTGAAGCAAATGTCAAATGTATTACTAATGCCAATATACTTTAATATGACTTGATTATGTATTGCTATCAACTCATTGAATCAAAGTGTTTGTTTTTACATCTATTTTATAAGGTCCAGAGTATATTTGAGAGTAAAATCACTGCTTGAAAAGTTTCTTCAATTCTTCAATTCTTGACAAGTTTCTTCAATTCTGACATTCTTCAATTCCGTTTCAAGGTCAGAAAGACCTTTCTGCTATGCAGAAAATATTTACTGGTGTGGGATACATTTTCTTTAAGAACAAGTCAAAACTACTTAATATGAGTTGTGTTGAGCATATCAATCAAGTGGTTTGAATAACAAAATATATCAAAATGTGAATCACCCACAGACAGATGGAAGCTTTTATCAACTTTAATTGATATAATTATAATTGGTATGCAATATGTCTTACAACAAATGTGGATACAATGACATCAAATATCAAAGAATTTTCCCACCTTTCCATCTTTAAATGACTTCAGCTAACTTACCCCAAGAGAAAAATCTGGCATTGATCTCTTGGTTAGCATTATTACCAATATCAACTAGCACTATTAAAATCAAAGTTGAAATGGTACATTCATTTGCCAAAAAAAAAAAAAAGAAAAAAAAGGCTTAAAGGCAAAGAAGGTGAATCAACGTGCAAATTAGCATCTGGCCCAATTGCAAAATTCATTTCCTGGATGTGAGGGATTGAACCATGCACACTTGCAAGCAAGATGAAGGGCAAACAGATGACATCAAATCAAAATTAACCCCACAAAGAATCCAGAAGACCTCAGATGGTAAAGGACAGAGGTCTACGTCTACTGCTGTTAGTGCTCAGGTATCCATCCTGTTTTCCCTAATCTCCTGATTCTGATCCAAGAGTCTTTGAGACCTATGTCCTAGGCCATCCTTTCATCTAGAAATGGAAACCATGGCTGTGGCACCAGGCATGGTCAACCCTGCAGTGATTCAGCTGCACAAAGGGGTAGTCCAGAGCTTAGATAGCTGTCTGATGTGGCTAGGACACAACTGTCATTTTATGGAATAAGTTAAAACAACACATTAGTATCACAGCAAACAAGAAACTGAGATCACTTATATATCTATGTAATAGTTAAACTGTCTATAAGTATTTTTCTCCAGAAACTGAAAATACCATAGACATAATTTTATTAATCCTCACAACACATCTGTGAGGTAGTATGGGGTGAGGTCAATATGAAAGCATCACCCCCATTTTAGAAATGAAGACACAGACGTGCAGGGAGGGCAGGAGGTTTCACTGGGGCCACAGGAAAAGAAAACAAAGTTGAATCCCGCTCTTTCATCATCTGCAGTCGATGGCCGAGAAGAGGCGGCTTGCCTCCCTCCTGCTCTGACATTCTCTCTAAAGTGTTATGACTAGACCTATCCATGGATAGGATGTGGTTGTTTAGACCCACTGGAGCCATTTCCTTTAGGCAGACCTGGACAGGTGCTCTCCCTGAGGTCAAAGACGTCAATTTTCGGCATATATTTCAGATGTGTGTGTGTGTGTTATAAGTAACATTTGTAGAATATAGTTGCTAAAATCTTCTGCCCAATTCAAAAGCAGAAAAGATACATTTGGCAAAATAAGGTTCAACCCTTAAATATTTTATTCTCACATAAGATAAGAAGTGTTAGAATTGTTATGGGAAGCTGTCACCTTGCTGAATATATCTGCTCTAGGCCCACATCTCTCTCTTTGCCATGCACATTTGGAAGCCAATAAGAGCAACAGACCCATTATGTGCCCTTGCACAATAGCAGCCTTTCGGTAAGAAAAAAAAAATGCCTGCTTGAGTTCACGGTTTATAGAAGGCGATGGTTCCTGGGAAGAGGCTGATCCCTTGCCCCAGGATTTACGGCAGAGGCAGCATTCAGAAGTGCACCTCTCCAAAGGTGTTTCACAAACATTGTGTCAAAATGTTTTTGGCCGATGGAGAAAGAAACATATGGAATGTTCTGTTTTTATCTGCTTTTCCTTTGCCAAACTGAAAGCCCTGTGATGGGGGTGGGGAAAGAGAGACAGTTACTCAAGCCAAGCACGGCCAGAAGGGGCGCCCTTGGTCATTTGCTGCCCTTTTTTTCTGAGAAGGTCCACTTTTTTAGTTGTTGTTTTCAATATTCAGAGATATGACGATTCCAGTAAGCCCCCTCCTCATTACCCACTCTGGTTGTAAAATACTTCTGGGGCTTGCTCATTCTCCGTCCACACTTAGAGAGTTTAGGAATAATTTTTTTCAGAATTACTCCAGTGTGTGGGTTGGCAGGTTGTAGAAAGTGGCACTGCCCCTACTGTCTCTGAGACCAGAGGGGTTTTCAGTGCTTTGCCGGGCCACAGCCAGAGACAGGATGAGCCGGGGTCAAGTTTCTGTAAACTAAACAGTCATGGCAGCAAGGTCCAACTTTAGAAACAAAAGTTCATTTTCAGGTTCTTTATGACACTGTAGGACAATACAACACATTTTGAAGTCGGACCCAATGTTTGTTTTCTACTATATGAAATCAGGACATAAGATGCTGCTTGCTAATATCAGCTGTTACAAGAAGACAGAGTTGTCGCCATGAAATAAAGCTCTCTAGGAAGCACACAGAAATAAAAAGGTCACCATGCATACCAAGAACAACCCATCAGCCAATAAACTAAACACTTTGGAAATAAAAACTTAACACATCATTTCATTTTGTTAAAAATAAAACGTATCACTAATCTGTGAGTGTCTTGTTCTGTCACAGTGGGCATTGTGATAAATCAGGGTTTCTCAATCTCGGCACTACTGATATTTTGGGGTGGATGATTCTTTGCTGTTGTAGGTTGTGCTGTGCATGGTAGAATGTTTGGCAGCATTCCTGGCTTCTAGTAGCACCCCCAAGTCATGACAATGAAAACTGTCACCAGACATTTTTGAATGTCCCTGGGGTGGAGTCAGGGGGCAAAATCACCTCCTGGTTGAGAATGATTGCAATACACAGATACCTACAAAGAGGAACAATTCTTTCTCAAAATTTATTGTGCAGAATTTTAAGACTATACCCAGGGTTGCTCATTTATTAAAGCAAAGACTTAGTAAGGTAAGTGTGTGGGAAGAATAAATGGATTAATCATAGTCTGTTTCCTATGAAAATGCCTCGTTGAGTAATTGCAGATAGACTAGTGCCTCTTTTTTGTTTTGTTTTGTTTTTAAACATTTTACAGCCATTATCCAACAGACAGTAAAGCAGTGGACCAGTTGCTGTGTGGGTATAAAGCAAACGGTCTCTGGGCTCCTCCAAGCTGTGGATATCTCTGGCCATTATCAATAGCTGATTCTCACTTGTCCTAATGAAGTACTCAGTGCAGGTTAGCCTCCTTCTCCCCCGCCAGCTTCTCTTCCACTTCCCCACACCGTACATGCCTCTCCCTTTCTCTCTATAACTCAGCTCATCTCATAGCCTTTTTCTTTGGAAATGCAACTCTGCTGATCACTTGTGGGCTGGGATCCCAGCTGCCTTTTGAACAGAGCAGACATCCTTTACAGAGACAGGTGGCCTGGAGGGGAGAACAGGTAGGGGCACACTGAGATCCCACAGCAACCTGAGAGATTCTGCCCCGTGACCTGCTGGCCCCCTCCAGGGCACTTCCTATTTTCATCTTTCATTAATTAGGCAGCTAAGAAGCTGCTTTCCAGCTTGTAGAGCCAAGCAGGCAGCATCCTGTCAGAAACAACCAGATAAATAGAGATTAAAAAGGAATCTGAGAAAACCCTGCTCTCTCCCATGCAGGGTGAAATCCTCGTAGAGCTCATTTCCTTTCCCCTCATTAATACTTAATGTAATTTCCTAAATAGAAGTTTAAGAAATAACACAAATGAAATGTTCCCCTGAAAGTAACCCCTAACAAAACAACCCAAATCCTCCTCCTCGGTCCTTCTCAAAGTGGGTCCTGCAGTGGGGAAAGAAGCCTTCACCATGGTGGTCTGGCCTGGCTGGTGCAAGGCTGGCCCACTTCAGCTGCAAATCAGCCTCCACTCACCTTTAAAGAATGGTTCTTCTTGTACCAGAAAGGGGAAGTTGTAGCAGCCAGAGGAGAGGGAGGAAAACAAAAACAACCATACCAACAAAACAGGGCTTAAGATTGTCGTTCAATGCGCATCAGGTACTTATTAATTCTACTGGATAAGCACTTATAAATAAAGAACAGTTAATCCTCATCCCAGGCCATATTCCATTGTTAGGAGTCATCGTACAGAGGGTTGTTGTAGTTTCCCCAGGACCCGTAGTCATGGTCGTCCAAAAGTCTTCCATAGGAGGAATGCCTGGTGGAGAAACAGAAGAGGGTTGTGATTACTTGGAAAAGTTGCCCATCTGAGGACAGCGTAATGCCCTGCACTGAACTGGGGATGCTTATGGGGCCAGGGAGAGGGAAAGTTGTGACGCTCTCACTAGGACAGCAGACCCACCCACCGTGGAGGCCCCGGTCTACCAAACACCCTGTCAATGACAACTCTTCCTGCTAGGATCCTGACTGGCATGTTCTGTTGGCATCATCTGAGTCCTTGTTGTCTTCTGGATCCCAAGTGCTGGGGAAGGAAGAGGAGGCCCCATTTCCATAGTAATTTAATAAGAAGAGATGGGAAAGGGAAGCTTGCATTCCTAACATTCTGACTTAGGTTCTGGGCTTAATTTTCCCTGAAATAATGGTGACACAACCACAACCACTGTTGCTATCACCACCTCTCCTGACATTTATATTGTCTTATAATTTATAAAGTGCTTCTATATTTAGTTTTTACTTGATCCTCAAAATAAGGCCATGGGGCAGGTATAGTTTAAACTTGTTTCTCTGACAAGGAAAATGGGGCTCAGAGATGTTAATTGAAGTGCCCAAAGTCATCCAACTGAGCTGTCAGCCAAATCCCCATCTCCATTATCTAAATCCAGCACTTAGAGCACAAGTTCTCAGAGTCTCATTAGCACCTTAGTTGAATGGCAATATGGGTTAAGCAGAATTTGGTGGATAATTAATTGTGAGACCCTCTTGCATAATTAATAATATATCTATAAGAAATGAAATCAGATTGTTATCACTCCTCTGTTCAAAACCTTTGAATGGATCCTCATCTCAGAGTAAAAGCCAAATCATTAAAATGCCTTGCAAAGCCCTATGGGGTCTGGCCCCAGCTACTTTTCTAAGCATACCAGCCCCTATTATAGGACCCTTGCTCCCTCTGCTATAACCATACTGGTCTCCTTCTCTTTACTCTCATGCCTGACACACCTTTGCCTCAGGGCCTTTGCACTGACTGTTTCCTTGGCTTGGAACAATTGTCCTCCAGGTCTCCACACAGCTCATTCTCTCATTTCCTTCAAGTCTTCGCTCAAATGTCACCTTCTCAGTGAGGCCTTCCTTAACAACTTGATATGGTTTGGCTGTGTCCCCACCCAAATCTCATCTTGAATTGCAACTCCCACAGTTCCCACATGTTGTGGGAGGAACCCTGTGGAAGGTGATCAAATTATGGGGGCGGGTCTTTCCTGTGCTGTTCTCATGATAGTGAATGAGTCTCATGAGATCTGATGGTTCTGTAAGGGGGAGTTTCCCTGAACAAGCTTTCTTTTTTATTGCCTGCTGCCATCCACATAAGATGTGACTTGTGCCTCCTTGCCTTCCGCCATGATTTTGAGGCTTCCCCAGCCACATGGAACTGTTAAGTCCAATTAAACCTCTTTCTTTTGTAAATTGCTCAGTCTCGGGTATGTTTATCAGAAGTGTGAAAATGGACTAAAACACAATTCAATTTAAGTTTTCAACCCCCACCCCAGACTCCCAGCTTAATATTTCTCATAGTACTCCTCACCTTCTAACATACTATATAATTTACTTGTTATTGCTTCTCTTCCAGAACTAGACTGTAACCTCCATGCAGGTATGGATTATTTGCCTGCTGTGTTTATTCTTAGCTCCAACTCCAGCACCCAGAAGAATATCTGACACACAGTAAGTCCTCAATACGTGTTTATGAAAGAAACAGTGATTGGAAAAAATAAATCCAGAGATCCCCCCAAAACTGATCTGTTCATAAGACGGGAGCTCCCTGGAAAGGAATATGGTCATTTTAAGACTAAAACTAATGGCAGGATTAGAAGAGCATCACAAAATGAGCATTTGTTACCTCTAAGGCTCATGCTAGCATATGAATTATTATACCTTGCTACTGGAAATCATGTATGCTAGATACAGTACAAAAAATGACCACTCCCACTAATTTTTATCTCAGCTAGATGTGAAAATTAAACAAAATGAAAACACAATTCAAAGGTGCAAAAAGCATTTGGTATACTTATATCTGTTGCTAAAATAATTGCTATTGCAATTTTGAAGCTTATTTACATCTGCCAGGTATTTGCAAAAAGACAATTTTTTTTTTTTTTGCAAAGAACTAGACCTTTGCTGTGCTCGTTTCAAACTCTTAGCCTTCAAAATTCTGATTTATGTCCTGAAGGCTGATTCAGCTGACCTAATCTATGTACCTGAAAACCTGAAGATGTTCCACAGTTTGCTTTCCCTAAAGGCTCACATTTATTTCTGTGGGTATGGGAATGAAAGAGACCATAAATAGAAACCCAGAAACACCACTGCTTCTTTGATCTATAGAAATAAGGGAGGTAGCTTTGGTAAACAAAGGTCATGGGCTGTCTATGGCCAACACTCTCCCCAAATGTGAAACCTCCAGTTCCAATCAAATCCTTTAACAGGATGGTTGAGAAATGGAAGCTGTAGAATGAACAAGTTAAAATCCGGTAACTAAAGCCCTGGAGCTCTGCCTAAATTTCAGCATAACTTACTGCTACAAGCCTGGCAAAATATACTCAATAAACATGCTCCTTTATTGATAGGGTACTCCTGCTTCACCTTGTATGGTAATTGAACTTCTCACAGAATTTTTATCTCTATCATATATTTTTATTCCCATAAAATGTGAGTTTGGTCAATAAATGTATGTCCTTGAATAAGTTTTTAACCCCCTGTTTCTTCATCTATAAAATGGAGAAACTTTAAAAAAAATTGCTTTATGGTTGTTAGGAGGATTAAATAAGGTAATGAATATAAAAGGCCTGCCACATAGCAAATGTGCAATGAATGTTGGCCAATATTGTTTTTAAATTTTTAATATAATAAATCTTATACAAGCACATGGTGAATCTGCCAAATAGTAAAAAATGTCATTGAATGAAAAGTGAACCTCCTCCCACTGGGAACTCTTGAAACTATACCCCAGGCATAGTTATAAAACCAGTTTCTTACATGATTGTTATTGTATTTGAATTTTTAAAGTTTATTAGTATGTTGGAATGGGGGTTAGAGGATTGAAAATCTTCTGGCTATCAGGTTTACTGGCTATGGTTATTTTAGGCAAGACTATTTGGTTAATGCTATATCTGAATCTCCTATACTGTAAGACACACCTCCTATACAAACACTAGTAAAATAAAGGAAAAAGATTGGCCTTTACTTTGTTTTTTTTTTTTTCCTTCCCATTAAGGAAACAGTGAGTTGAGTAAAATGCTGATAAGTGAGGAAAGATATACAAGAGATATGGATGAACCAAAATTGGGAATGTACTGAACCCATAGGGCTTATTTACCACATTAACGAGCTTAAACAGGAAAAATTGGGTGTACTGGGATTCCAGCCAGGTTTGGACAAATTGGATACTATTGTAGTAAGAGTAAGACAAACACATTTTTTGTACGTGTGATAAGAGGACAATAATTAGTGAGCATGTAAAACTTTCTCTCTAGGTCAGAACCTCTTAAATCATGGCACATTTTGGATGGAAATGGGGAGGTTTTCAGATTGGCATTTGCATAGTGTATGAGGTTAAAAAAAAAAAGACAATCAGAAACCAAAAAACAAAGCAACTCCCATTCTCAAGATAAGTAAAGTGGGACCCAAGGAATTTAGGTGACTTTGTCAATGTTATTTAATGGTAGTGCTGCTAATGAAACCAAGGTCTCTTTGCTTGCTTTATAAGGCAACATTGCTTCATCTAATTTCAACCTGAACAGCAATCTGGATGAATGATGTCATTGTAAGGTCAAAGCAATTTTATTTACTAAAAGTCTTAATAAAGACTGGCACTGATTCAATATAGCCATGTTTTCTCTTTGCTGTGTCTTGGCTCCGCTTAGATGGTAAACTTCTTGAGGGCAGACTATGTCCTACTTTTCTTCTAACTACCTGAAACACCTAACATGTTGCTGTTGATATAATGGTTATTTTATAAATATTTGATGATAACTGCTTATATGCAGCAGCATAGATAGTGTATATGGAGTGTCTATGGGGTTTGGCTAATACCAGCTAGGATTAATATGGCCCATGGAAATTCATTGTATAGTATAATTGGAAAAATGAAAACATCCCATAAGGAATATTGATGGTCAAAGTCACTGTTTTGACTTTAAACATAGGAAGGGAAAAGAGCATTATGGCTGGACTAGCATGCAATGATGTGGCTTTAAGGCCCTTAGCACAGTGCTCACAGCCCGTTAATCAATGGCACTGTGCTTATTGTCAATGTGAGTCTACTGTATCATATGGTGCAGTAAGCAAATTAAAACCCGAGGGGGAAAAATGAAGAATGATTTCTTTTAAACTCTTCCCTCATTGCTCTCTTTCTCTAGTGGCTCTTCCCTAATAGAAAGCAGCACTCCCTACTCCCTGCCCCTACTTGGTGACCACTTGTTGGTGACAAATGGTAAATGATGTGGTGACATTTGTGGCTTGAGGTATTCTCCAACACTGCAAAATGGTACCTATTTAAAGATAACTGTAGCATCAATACTTAATGAAACTCTATTGTCTTTGAAAATGAGTGAAGTGTCCCTTTTCTTGCGTTGAAACAAAACATATTTTAGGAAATACCTTGTCCTTTACAAGGGTCAGCCCCAGTTCTCCACAAGTCTCCACCTTTATTTATGACTATGCCCCACAAAGCCCTCTCCTCTTTAGTCAAGCAAGTCTTGCCATTCAATCATTAGTGCTTACCATGTGCTAAGGATATGAAGAAATATGGAAGGATACAAAGATGATTAAGACATGGCTTAGTGCTGGAAAAATGCAGCTGAACTTTCAGTTCATTAGCCATGAGTAATTAAGCCTTAGACTCTTGTTGTCCATTAACAAAACTGTTTGATGCAGCTGTCACTGTCTCCTTTTCATTGTTTCCATCGTTTCCTCTTTTTTTCTGATTATCATTTCCTGCCTGGCTTCTTTAAGTATTCATTGAAAACTTACCATCTATCAGGCCCTATTCTAGCACCTGGTTGATACCTTAATAAACTGAACAGATCAAAATCCCTGTCCTTAGGGAGCTTACATTCTACGTGGGGAGACACAGTAAATAATATACAAATAATAACATGGTGAATGTTACTAAGTCCATGGAGAAAACAAATAGAAGAAGTGGGTGGGGTGGTGAGGAGTTCCCAGTAGGAGGTGGGGACTGTAATTCTGAATATGATGATCAGGAAGGTCTCACTAAGACATCTTTGAGCAGACACATAGAGGAGATGACGGATGAGCCATGTGGATAACCGAGGGATACCGTGTAGACAGAGGGAGCAGCAAGTACAGAGGCCCTGAGGCAAAAGCAAACAATATATCTTTGTGGTAGCTACTGAGTCATAATTTAAAAAAAATAAACTTTGTATGTTGGAATGATTTTAGATTTAGAGAAAAGCTGCAAAGATAGTACAAAGATTTCCCGTATACCCTTCACCCAGCTTCCACTAATGTTGATACATAATTGTGGTACATTTGTCAAAACTAAGAAATTAATATTGTGAACCACAATTTTGGGGCTAAGAAAACTGAAATCATTACAATTTATTTTATTCACCCAAAGTTACGACAGCAAGTTAGTGGCAGAGTGAGTATCACAACTAAGGAATCCTATCAGTTCCATCTTTTAAACAAAAATCTCACTGATGGGAATATTTCCAAATATTTATTTTTAAAATCCTTTTTTTTTCCAGACTCTGGGTTTCTTTTAAAAAGCTGTTACTTTCAAGCATATCTTGAAATAATTACCTTTGCTTTGAAGGGGCAGGTCATATTTGTTTATTTAAAAAATTATCTGCCAGATGGCATTACTATTGGAAGACAATCATCACAGAAAAGGTCTACACATTGGCACATCTGTTTATTTGTAAACTAGCTCAGTGTCACGACGTAGCTAGTAAAAATCTGTGTGGTTTAACAGATTCCCATGGCTTCCCCTTCCCCAAACCCTGGTTCTTCTTGATTAGGAGTAAACGAATGTTACTGCTGCACCCCCAAACTTTCCTATTCAGACTCATGAACTCATCCAATAAATGTTCATTAAGCAACTACTATACGTCAGGTACTGCCAAGGACTTGATATTGTTCTAGTGGAGAAAACTGGTAGAGAATGCACTGATTGCAGTACAGGGAAGCACATGGTATGAGGGAAGCATGCACAGCAAGGAACTCAGTATGGAAAGGTGGATGAAGGCTTCCCAAAGGAGATCTCTCTTGAGCTGGACGACTTGAAATTAGCCAGATTGGGAAAGGGGTGAACCAAACACCTCTCACAGAGGGATCAGCATGTTCAAAATTACAAAGGCAATATATCTGAAACAGGGCAACATATCTGAAACATATATGAAACAACAGGGCAATCTATCTGGGAAACTGTACAGCAGAGAGTGTGTTTGGAGTGTTAGAAATGGGTAAAACAGGGCTACTGGAGTGTTAGAAGCGGGTAAAACAGGGCTACTCAAAGTGTGATCCTTGGACCAGCAGCACTGGCATCACCTTTGAGCTAGTTAGATATGTAAATGCAAGGGCCCCACCTGGACCTACTGAATCTGAATCTATGGGGATGAGACCCAGGAAACTGTTTATTTATTTTATTTTATTTTTTTTTCTCGCTGTGTCACGCAGGCTGAAGTGCAGTGGTGCGATTTTGGCTCACTGCAAGCTCCACATCCCAGGTTCATGCCATTCTCCTGCCTCAGCCTCCCGAGCAGCTGGGACTATAGGTGCCTGCCACCAGGGCCAGCTAATTTTTTTTTGTATTTTTAGTAGAGATGGGGTTTCACTGTGTTAGCCAGGATGGCCTCGATCTCCTGACCTCATGATCTGCCCGCCTCAGCCTCCCAAATTGCTGGGATTACAGGCGTGAGCCACCACACCCGGCCGGAAACTGTGTTTTTAATAAACTCTTCCATTGATTCTTATGCACATTAAAGTTTAAGAACCACTGAGGGAGAAAATTGAGTAAACAAGACCTACAGAACTCCAAAAGGTGACCTGAAAAAGTCAACTGTGTATAACAAATTCTAGAAGATCTTGGCCTTTATGGCTGGCTGGGCCTACTCTAACAACCAGAAGGAATCCAATTGTACAACCTGCAATCACTAGAAGACATAAAGCAAAATAGGTGACTTCTAACAAGACGTCTTAAAAGACAGGTCCTGTTGTGTCTATAAATCAAGACTGCATTTATTTTTGTGAAGAAAACAGCCCATGTAGTCTGTCTGGGTCACCAGCACACCTAATTACAGCAACATCCACATCACTGGTCTTAGCAGATACGGTCTCCTGTGCAGGGAGATTATGTCTTGGCTGAACAGTTTTGAGCCAACTTAAACAAATCAAAACAGACTTATCTCATTCTTCAATCATCACTAATTAAAGATAGTTCTGCAAAAGGTAGACAGGGCCTTTGCTTTCTTTTAAAGTTGCAAACAAGCCCTGGCATAAAGACTGCTCAGAGATAGTTTCCATTTATAAATGTGTAACATGGATTCAACTTCACAGACGTTTCAGAATAGCACTAACGAAACTGCCAAACTGGAACATGGAAGACCGCCATATCAATATTCAATTAGGAAATGAGCTGCTGTGCCATCTTCCCCCTCCTTCTCTCCCCTGTCCTTTGAATCCCTACGCCTACTGAATGGAAATGGTAGGATGGAGACTGTGCTCCCAACCTCACAGCCTATGTGTTGGTGGTTACCAGTTTACTGAGTCCCTATTTGCTAAGCACTGTTCTAAAAACTACAGCAGTAACAGTAATTGACCTTCCATCATCCTCACCTCATACCAGGCACTGAACCTTTATATGTATCATAATTTAATCTTTGTAACAATCTTGAGTTAGGTACTATTATTATTATAGTCTCATTTTACATGAAGAAACTGAGCACAAAGTGATTAAGAAACTTGCCCCAGGCTGGGCGCAGTGGCCCACGCCTGTAATCCCAGCACTTTGGAAGGCCAAGGTGGGCGGATCACCAGGTCAGAAGAGCGAGACCACCCTGGTCAACATGGTGAAACCCCGTCTCTACTAAAAATACAAAAATTAGCCAGGTGTGGTGGTGTGTGCCTGTAGTCCCAGCTACTCAGGAGGCTGAGGCAGGAGAATTGCTTGAACCCGGGAGGTGGAGGTTGCAGTGAGCCGAGATCACGCCACTGCACTCCAGCCTGGGTGACAGAGCGAGACTTCGACTCAAAAAAAGAAAACTTGCCCCAGAGTGCATGTTCTTAGTCACCATGCTAGTCTCTCCAGTTACTCTGCATTCATTACTTCATTTCGTCTTTAAAACAACCTTGAAAGATACATATTATTAACTCTATTTTTTGCAGATTGAAGAAATTGAGGATCAAGGAGTTAATAATTTGCCCAAGGCCGCCTAAATAGTAAGTAGAAGAGTCAGCATTAAACTTGACTGCAAAGCTCACATTCTTCCCTCCACACCACACTGCTGCTGGTTAAAAGGTGGGATCATAAACCAAGAAGGGCCCTGGGTTCAGGGCAGTTCATTTTATAAGTCACATCCAAAAGTGGCTCAGGTTACAAAAAGATGTGGTTCTCCAGGCAGGGGTCATTGTGACAAAACTAGGGGTAATGGGTCCCTGGAGAAAGGGAGTGTGAAAAGCAGATGGCTCTTAAGTTTACAATGCCTTTAGAGGAAATGAGGATCTGGGAAGAAAGGTGAAAAGTCCCCACCCATTGTTAGCAGAGCTTGCCAAGCATTCTATTTTTCTGATCATGAGGCTGCCTTTTCAAGCAGATTCTCCCCTTGCATTTGCAGAGAACTTGGCTGGGCCAGGGCCATATCCCATGGTTGCAGGTCAGAAGCTAATGGCTCCCTATGGGTTGTGATTTTAGTCACTCGCTGCTCCAGCCAAACAAGCTAAAAGACCACAGAAAACAGATCTTTTGTTATGTTATTGTTTTTAGAAATCTGGGATGAAGAAAGAAGAGTAAGTTCCCAACCAAAGCAAAGCCTATCCTTAGGAACATACATGCACACACACACGTCAATTAAAGTATTTTTGATGAACGATTAATGGGGCTTTCCGACAACCTGGCAAAATAACAGCTGAAGGGGTTTTAGCATAGCCTTAAGATTCATAACAACGATTAATCTCCTTATGTTATCATTTTACCAAAATAATTAATAGAGAAGCAGAAAGGGGCTTTCCTTAGGGGGTTTCTGAAACCCCTTAAGGGTCTAATAACTGTATCCATTCTTAAGTTTATAGTGCTTAAACTTAAGTAGCATAATAGATAAATAGCAACCTTATATTTATGCCACTGTATATCTTACTACATTTAGGAGACAGAAGCTGTATGGGGAAGAAGAATAATGATTTATTCAATTTAATCATTTACTTAATTTATCTGGTGCTCTGAACGCCTGGGGAAAATATAGCTTAAAATAAAATTTTAATCAGCACTCATCAGAGCAAATTGTAATGGCCTGCTAACAAAATTTTCCAAACATGGTAAGTACTGTGATGGCAGAACTGTGTCACATCACTAATGTGGCCTGGCACATGGCTGACGCTCTACAGCTATCTATCAAGGACTGTCTTCCTGGGGCTCCTTCCAGTCTACCACTTTGATGATGATGATGATGTTGGCAGTGCTATATACTTGCTTCCAAACAACACTACAAGGTAGAAACTACTGCCCTTATTTTACAGGTGAGGGAAATGAGGGTTAGTGGTGCTCTGTGACATGCCCAGGTCACAGTGCTGGAAGTAGTAGAGCCAGGATTTGAACTGAGGGCTCCCTGCTTCTGGAGTCTGAATTGTTAATCACTATTTTAGACTGCCTGCCTATAGCCAGTGTGGGTTTAGAGGTGGTAAACTTGAATTCTTGCCAAAGTGAAGAGGAAGAGTCCTTCCAGTTATTTCAGCACCATTTTGGGGAAGTGTGTAGCAAGAAGGAAGTGTTTCTATTTCACTCCACACTTCAGTGAAGGTCGTATTTTTGATAATGTAGCCTCTTAGGAACTCATCATTGGTGATTCTAAAATGACTCTAAAATTTATGTGTAAGTTCCTTTTTGGGAAGGAGGGGCAGAACATGTTTTTCAACAGATACTTTGTTATAAAATGGAAACGAGGTTCCCAGAGTAGTTCATAAAAGCCAATTTAACTCGTAATTAAAATACGGTGTATCTGCAGCAATAAACTAATAATTAAACCAGATGGAAAAAGGTATCATTCAGTAAGATATAATTTATAAAATTAAGTTTAGTGCTCAAGGACATGCAGACTTAATGAAGAGAAATATTTTTTTTAAATCTGGGGGAAACTTCTGGATGCTTTTATAAAATGTTTTATTAGAAACAGGTCAAGCGGGCCCTTTAATTCCAATTTCTCTTCAAAACCTGGCTTTCCTGTTCTTTGTATCGTAGACGCAGGTGATATTACAAGGCACTCTCACACTTGACATTATCGAGATTGATTTGATGCACATTTAGAACACAAGATGGAGGGAGATAAAAGGGAAGGAGGAGGGAAGTGCTCCCAGTGGGCACTGGGTGGGGCTGGGTGGCGAGTGGGGATGAGAGGAGGCAGCAGCAGAGTGGATATGTGCTCTGAGATGAGGAATCATATCCATGAGCTCCACGTGGGGTCAAGAGCAGGAGGGAAGGACAGGGTGGCACAGCCTCTTGAGGAAGAAACATGGCTGCTTGGGGGACAAGTCAGGGGTGTCTGTGTGTGTGCGCCACAGTGCCCATGGGATTGTGTGTCCTTATGGTTCACTGCTCATTTGTTCAATGTATCAAGCACCGTCTTGGTCCCTAGCAGTGTCCTCACAGACAAATCCAGGTCCTCAAGGACCTTACATTTTTTGTGGGGAAAAGAGACAATAAACAAGCAACACATATACAAAAACAAAATGATAGCAATAAAATAAAATAATAGACAGTGGTCACATCCAGGATAGACTTAACAAGGCACTAAGAGAGTAAATAACAGGGGCTCTAAACTGGAAAGGACATCTCTCAAAGGAAGTGAGATGAAAGCCAATGTACACAGCATGAGAAGGAGCTAGAAGACAAGCATCTCATGGAGGAAGTAGCAAGATTGCAGGGTCTGGGGAAGGAAGGACAGAGAACCTGGTGTGTCCTAAGAATTGGAGGGAGCTGGAGTTTCTGAAGTTCAGGACTTCAGAGGGAGAGAGGGATGTGATGATTGGAAAAGGGGAGGCAGGCACGGTCCAGGATGACTGAGGGCCACGCTGAGGAGTTACAATTTAATTCTCAGTGCAAGGGGAGCCACTGGGGTTTTTCAGGAAGGGAATGACAGGGCAGAGGAGCTTGCATAGAAATGGTTCTGGCTCCTGGGAGGAGAACGAATTGGAGGTCAAGGGTGAGTGTGCTCACCATGCAGCTTGTGTCTTTCTGTCCTTTGTTATGGGCACTGCACAGACTAGGAAATAAGACTGTCACTTGCCATCTGGCATTTTACAGCTGGAAGGACACTTAGAGACTGTGAGTAATGTGGTGTTGAGACTTGATTTCACGGAGCAATAGAAAACAAAAATGGAGGACTCACAGAGTATTGCAACTTCCTATTAGGCTAAAGAAAGTAAAATCTCAGCTACTATCACTTCATTTCATAGGAGAAAAGATATTTTAAAGCCAAAAATATAAAGACATAATCTCAGGAGAAAAAACGGTTTTATAGGAAATGCCACACCTTCCTTATATTTTTTACATTTTGCATTGGAATCAATGAAAACCTCATTAACAGATTGGGTACAAATCCACAGTTCAGTATTCAGAACATCAGAATTTAGGAACCATCGATCCCACCCTTCTACCCCCTTTCACAGATGAGAATAGGTGAGTTTTAGGAGGCATGTGGCTTTCCCAGGGTAATGAGGTACATTTGGGGCAGGGAGCCTAGGCTTCAGTCTCCCGACTCCACGTTAATTCTTGTTCCATTGCATCATCATGCTGTATATCTCAGCTTGCTTCTTCTACTTTGCCAAGGTTCAGATACTGTACGTCTATACCTGTGTTGTGTGGTGTAGGAGTACACCCGCCATTTTTCACTTCTCTGCCAATATTTCTAAGGGCTAAGATACCTATTAAGGAACAAGTATCCAGCAAAACAGCGCTCAGCCCAGAGCCCAACAAAACAGAATCCCTTTTTTTTAAGAGTAAGCTGCGTCTCACCTGATTTTTAGGTAGGCTGCAACTCCAAACACCAGCAGCACCACGGCAATGACTGTCACGGTAATGGCGGCGATGCTGCCTGTGAAGGAGGAAGGGCACAGAAAAGAAGATACATGAGGATACGGGGCATCATGTGACTTTGGCGTGCGTAGTATCCACCTTCTGCCTGATCCCATCTTTTCTCTGAAAGGGGGAAAAGCTACTTCAGATCATTCTGCATGACATTCACAGCTAGAATAAAACCCAGGATTTTAATTCTGTTACCAAAACACTTTTTATGCAGGTGAAATTGGGTAAATCGTCAATATTTATCAAGACTTTTTGGCTGGCCTGGAATTTAGAGAGGAGTACTTAGTCATATTTTGATTATCTTTTTAAGAATGACATCAATCTGTTGTTGTTGCTGCTGCTGTTGTTTGCAGGGGTAGTGGGTTTTAGATTTCTTGATGTCCTATTTTCTTCTTTTATGGGCTCTGCCTCATCTTTCTATTACTTGTGAAATATTGAGAGACTTTGGATGTTTTATTCAAGGGTCAGTGCAAAGTAATGTTTTTTTCGGTTTTTTCATAAAAATATTGGCAGTATCCACTTCAAAAGGGTCGTCTTGGTAGGAAATGCACTAATTTTAATGAGGCAATCAAGTGAAAGCATTTTAAAACATTCCTCTGTGGGAAATATGTTCAGTTTTCATTCTTGAATAGTAAACTTGGTTTTATAGAGACTAAAGTGAAGTTTGATATATAGAATAAGGTCTGGTCTGATAGGTAACACTATTTTTTGTTTGTAGAAATATCTTGGTGCAATATAAAGTCACGCGAATATTTTATTCTGTAGTTTGAAATCTGGTTCCAAAAGCAACTATTAATGGGCAGTTTAAAAAAACTCTTTGAGCATGTACCCTTGTAAGAATAACCACACCTCCTCCAAATACTACTTTGAAGCACAACATGCTTTTTGTGTGAGCTTTGCATTAATAATGAATATACTTTAGTTTCATTTCACCTTAAAAATGGCAAGAATCAACTGGGCTCTTGTCCCCTAATACTTAAAGTGAGTTTTCGGCACTAAAGCTGGTGTTAGGGACTCCATTTACTCTTTTAGGCAACTGGGAAATTATTTACTAGTACTTCAACAAATGAATGGGACTCTTAAACACACTGCAAAGAGCACCAGAGATGTGGAGTCTGAATATGTGGATTCGAGTGTGGTTCAACCATTAGTAGCTGTGTGACCATGAACTATTTACTTAACCCTGACGACTCTTATACTACTTACCTGCTGAGACAGAGGAATAAGAGTGTTCTATCCATCTTGCATGATTTTAAGGGGATTAAATGAGATGCCAGGTGTACCAATCTAAAGAGCTATGCAAATATATGATCCTGGACCAATTCTCATATCTTGTGTACTAGGTCTCAAAAGTGATGAATCTCCCCCATATTTTTGGAGATTTATCACTGTAGATTATTTTAGTATCTCTTCTTTTATTTATTTATTTTTGTCTGCTGGTATGAACGGCTCCTGTTACTGTTCGTTTTATTAGCCTTCCCACCAAAAGAATTGTAGCACAGTTAAGAAGCAAATCAGTCCACTTGTTAATTCTTTAGTAACTTCTAAAAAGCTCTGGATGAAAGAATGCTACATCAAACATCCATGATCCTGCTGGTTATAATTTCTAAAAGAGAGACCAAAAAAAATCATTGCTAACATTAAGACTAAGACCAGAGCTTGTCATGTCTGCAAAGACTGATCATATTCAACCGTTTCAGAGCTTACAAGCTTCTGAACACTCACAGATCCATTTCTTTGCTCCTGGAATCATTTTGAGACAGATTAATATAATTACCAGAATAATTCTCTTTCCCTTTTTACTATTGTAAAGACAGAATTATGGCACTGAATGCTCAAATGTGCAGACTGGGTCAAGCAGAGAAAGTCCGAGGTCAGTTCCCCTTATGGAAAACCTCCACTCCTACTTTGAAAGGCTCCTCTTGGCTTGTTGGCCTCTAAACTGTGTTGAAATTAGAACAATTCAAAGTTCACTGAAGCCTTGTAATAGCTCTTTTAAAAGCTTATGAAAGGAGGGTTACAACCATAGGGTAAGGTGATGGGAGTATTTTAAGATTCAAAAAGATACAGTCATTGCAATTAAGAGCAGTGTAAAAAACTGACCTTTTAATTTAATTTCTCCTTTTAAAAAATGGAAGAAAAGAATGAATATAGCTGATTTTTTTGCAAGACTCTTCTTTCTTGCTCCAGGGATAGTTTAATATAGGAAATCACAGGTTTGGCCTTTTTTCAAAGATTCTTCTCTAACTTTAAGCAGTTGGGTCCCCTCCAACTTTGTGATTTACTGAATTTATTTACATACCACCTCTTTCTAAAGATAAATCAGGCAGGTTCTCCAACTAAAGTGTGATCTTTTTTTTTTTTTATTGTAAGTGATAGAGTGACCACTTCTCCTCCATATGATGGGTGGCTCTCTAGCTCCAAGTGTACCCCCAATCTTCAAATGGGGCTCTTCCATGTCACCCTTCCATGTCCACAGAAGATAGCCTATATGACCAGAGCTGGAATTAGCCAGTTATTTTCCTCCTGATGGGCCCTTGAGGGCAGCTGGGCAAAGGGGCACTTCTAAGAGTTTGTACAGCCCAATATAAGGCCAAATGGTATAAGATAAAACAGATAGTAATTAAATATTTGAACCACTGTATTAACTATTCTGTTACCCACTGGCTCTTCTCAGTGGATGCCAGCCATGGGAACAAGAGTCCTCCAAAAGCAGAAAACCTTTATCTGGCCCTAAGCCTAGGAGATCTTGTATCCTGAGCTTGCTGTTACCTCCACAGCAGTGGCTGCTTTCAGAAGCAGCTGGTAACCATCAGCCCTGGGAAGTTCCACACCTGAGGGCATCACAGTTTGAGAACATGAAGGGGTTGCTGAGCCCATGTTAGCGCAACTTTATAGGGTGACTGAAAAGGCTTTATTTCCTCCTTGTGAAAACAAATGCCATTTCCCCCTGAGTTCTGTTTAAACTAAACTGGAATTCCCCTCCTCCTCCTCCTCTTACATTTTTCAATATGAGGAAGGGACAGAAAAAATGAGGAAGGTGTGGCTGGGGGGCAGGGGAGCCTCTGGCTTATGAGGAAGGTGTGGGACACTGACGGGCAGTCCACTGGGAGTGGAGACATGGGGAAGGTGGCTGGCGTTTCATTTCTTCCTCATTGGGATTTGTGAGTTAGAGACTGGGTGTGACTCATGTTATAAAGCCCTGGAATGGGCAGAAATTAAGAACTGAAGGAAACTTATCTATATATTTTATAATCCCAGATACAAGAATATTCCACTGTGCTAGCACGTTTCACTCTACCAACATGTTCTGCCTATCCAGAGGGCTGGTGAAGGCCTGTGAACCAAAACCTCTTTGAATTTTGGGCCTCCCTGAAGTCTGGAATTCCTCAGGGTTGCATTTTGCCACTTTTTTTTAATGGCCCAGGACCAGAATAAATGGGCTAAAGAATAACCATAGCTACCATTTGCAGATGATTACTTTGGGCTGAGACTATGCACAAAACTGTACAGCTATCATCTTATTTAATTCTCTTTACAAGGTGGGCAGAATTATTCCCATTTTATAGATGAGGAAGTTAAGGCTCAGAGAGATTAAGGTTTTACATGTGGTAAATGATTGAACTATCATTTGGACCCAGTACTATTTAGTCCTGGTTTTGCATTTTTAATCATTAACTTTTCTTAGCCTGGCCAGCTCCTATTCTTCTTCACTATCTAGCTAAATAGCAACTCTTCTGAGCCGTTTTCCCTGACACCCCTGGGTAAAATTACAGTGTTGCTCTGTGTTCTCAGATCTCAGCATCAATTTCTTTCAAGCATTCTGTATTATGTTTATGTGCTTCCCTAGGTCATTTCTATTCATGGCCATCTTGCATCTCTTCCCATTTCTTTGTGCACTGTTAGCTTAAGGCACCATCTTTGGCCCACAGTGGGTACTTAACTCATGTATTTAATGTTGAATAAACAAATATACTTTTAGCTTAAAAAAGATTACCAGAATTTTTTTTTTTTTTAGCCTAATCATTGTCCTAAAAAAGTTTCCACACAGCTGACTCACCACCTATTCACCTTGGAATCACCTGCTCCAGTTCTTACCTGAGTACCTACTCCTATGATTACATCTATGATCCCACCTCCCCAGCCCCCTGCCCTTCTCACTGTGCACTTGAAAGTCCCCATCAGTGACCAAGGTGGTTAGTTGGAGGAGAGTTCTTTTAGGAATGAATTAGTCCATTCTCATGCTGCTAACAAAGGCATACTCAAGATGGTAATTTATATATAAAAAAAGGTTTAATGGACTCACAGTTCCACATGGCTGGGGAGGCCTCACAATCATGGTGGAAGGTGAAAGGCATGTCTTACATGGTGGCAGGCAAGAGAGCATGGGCAGGGTAACTTCTTTTTATAAAACCATCAGATCTTCACTATCACGAGAACAGCATGGGTAAAACTCACCCCCATGATTCCATTACCTCCCACTGGGTCCCTCCCATGACACATGGGGATTATTACAATTCAAGGTAAGATTTGGGTGGGGACACACAGCCAAACCATACCAAGGAATAATTGTCTAAATAGAGTCAGATAACATCCTGGAAGCAGCCAGAGTAAACTCCTGGTCAGCCTTGTCGGCCACTACTCCACTGCTCTACAACCCTGAGGAAGGAGGCTGCCTTTGGGGGTATTCCTTTCCCTGCTTTAGCTCTGTTCTATACCCTGAGGCAGTCCAGGAATCAACTGTGGCATCATTTAAGAGTCTCTCTCCCCACACTCACACATCCCCATGGGCCCGCACGCCACACAGATGGGCCCCTTTTCTTGATCACACACTCAGAAGGGGTTCTGTTCATGTCCAAGCCTCCTGCCTCTCACTTGACCAAAAGGGTCCTTCTATATTCCTGGGCTTAGCAATATTCTCAAACCTCAAATGTTCCTCTAGGGACTCTTCTCATTGAGGGATTTTCTTTTTATTTCACTTTAAACATGAAATAAACATTTTATTTGAGCTCTTTGGAAAAAATATTAATATTCACCAATTGTATCCAAAATGTAAATATTAGGACATGATGGGATGAACCCAAACAACCTCTGAAGAAATAACTTTGCTGGGCTCTTTAAAGAAGTTGTTGTTACTCTGAGAGAGCTGGGGGTGGAGGAGGTGATGGTGGAAAGTTTCCAGAGGTGAAAAAGAGGTGAGTGTCTCACTGCTATCCATAGATGACTCCTGAGCTACATTCTCCTTGAAAATTCACCAGTCAGCTTATTTAGAAGGTGCGTGTAAATACTTGACCAAGTTCCTGAGTATGTGTGCATGCCTCTGATCTATTTTGAGAAGAGTCTTTAACAAACCTCTTGACTGTTTTTCAATATTCTTGCGCTTTTCTTTCCACTTCCTGGTCCAGAGATTAGGTAAGAATTGGAGAAGAGGAGCAGGTGGCCACTTCAGGGTGTGCCGCAGCTCCTTCAGTCAAGGTCACCAAGAGGAAAGGAACATTTTGTCTCAGAGGAATTCTTTCTCTTTAAAAGCATGTATCTGTGGATGTGCTGGAGGAGGGAAGTGGGCGACTGGCGAGGGCTTGACAGTTAGAACTCTGTGTGTGCCGAATCTCTATTTATTATGCTAGGCTCTTCATTCTCACAGCAAGAGCATCAGATCATGTCTCCTTCCTCCAAAGAACAACAGTAATAGCAGGAGAAATCAACGACAACAAAAATAATAGCAACTAACACTTTCCTGTTACTTACTGTGTGCCAGGGACTGTTCTATGAGCTTCACTTATTTCAGTTCATTTAATCCTCATGAGAAAGTAGGTATTCTTGTTATCTCCATTTTACAGTTGGGGAAACTGAGTCACAGAGATGCTAAGGACCCAAAGCCACAGAACTGCTAAGTAGAAGAACTGGGATACAAGCACAGGTTCGAGAGTCCATGTGTTGCCCACTAGGCTCTCCTGCCACCCTGGGCTCTAGTACTAAATCCTCAACTGCTTTTAAATAAAACCTACAGCTCTGGTACATCCTCTGTCTGCTTTCTGTTAGCTGCCCAGGAATCAGGGCCTGCCTTAGGCTGTGTGATGGCTTGGGTCCTCTTGTACATACTGGTGAAGGAAGAATGAAGCTCAATAATTCAAATTAATTGGGAAGAGGGCTAGTTAGAAGCAGACAACAGTTCTAGAACAGCAACCTTAGATCGTTCAGGTCATTGGTTTCTAGTGTGTGCTGTGGTGCAAAATAACTGCTCAGAATCCTGCCAAATGCTGTTCATTTCAGTGTGTTAAATAACCCAGGGTACATGGTAACTGCAATTTGCTTCTAGTGGGGTGGTAGTGGGAGTGGGGTGTAGTTTGTGAGATGGAGAGAAAGTGAGAAAAGAAAACCTTAGTTCTTAGACACTGCAACCTAGGTAGATCTTAATTTTACCATTATTGGAAGTCTCTTTGTCTTCTGGCCTTGTCTGCTTGGATTTCATGCCCATTCTTCTTTCCATTCCACCCCATGCCAGGGGAAGCACATCTCGTCTCCTCCCTCTTACCCCAAATCCACCCTACAAGCCTCTCCCGAATGAGCTCCATGGGCTCACCTTAAGCCAGGACAGTGTGGTGTGTAGAGACCCAATAGGCAGGGGCCCTGAGGTTTCACCACTCCATGGCGGAGACAAGTGTCAGGCCCCGGGAACCATTCTGGGGTGGGCAGGATTGGATGGGATAGGCAGGCAGGGAGGTAAGAGAGGTGAGTAGTGCCAGCCTCTGTATTTCTGCCTGTGGGTGGAATGGTGCCTAAGGTGGGTGGGCCTGTAAAGTCTGGAGCAGTCTTGGAAAGAGTTGGGAATGAAGCTGTTCTCTGATGGATGGGGCAGGACTTGGACAGACAGCAAAGGAGGATCGAGGCAGGAACCACCTCAGAGGAGGGCAGACACCCAATATTTATGGGCTTGAAGGGTTTGCACTGGGCTTGAAGACAGAGCACCTTGACTGGTGTTCTTAACTAAAAAATGGGCTAATCCCTGTCCTCTCCACCTCATAGGGCTACTGGGAAGATCAAATGCTTTGTAAATTAGCATGAACAAAGGGGGCTGTTGAGATCTTTGTAAAGGCCAGTGTCTTCATTTTATGGATTCGGAGACTGAAATGCTGCAGGACTGACTAAGTGACAAAACGAGGACCACAGGCTATATAAGAAAGCGTAATGGAAATTAAGGAGATCATGTAAATGGTTGAGTACTCAGGACCAAATCAAAAAAACTCTGAAAGCCAGGGATCATGGTGTTTGGGCTTGATAGTTTGGGGAGCAGGGACCATGGAAGTGCTTTGGGAATAAGGATGCACCTTTTATGCAAAATCCTTCTCAAGTCCAACCTTCTCTTGGAACTCATCCCGATGACAGTCACTATCTTGAGTCCTCTTTTTCTAGACATTTGCTGTTTTATTTTGTATGGGACAATTTAGTAAATTTGTTTTAGTATGTAACTGATACTGCCATATGTAGCTGTGGGTGGTTATGCATATTATACATATAAGACATAGATATATGAAATACACTGTAATACCAGTGGCTTTATGAGAATACATTCTGCCTACTCTCTAGACTGAAAGTCTCTTAAAGCCAGGTATACCACATTATACTTTATTATTTGTCTAGGCCCAAAGTAAGTGATTCACAAAATAACTCTGATTTCTTCTGAAGCACAGCTATTTTTTAAAAACCTGAACTTTATTAGTAGTTATGTTGCAAAAAGAAAGCATCTTTCTAAGGAAAACAGCTTGCATAAAAGTATGCTACAGAAGTATTTTTAATTAACACAACCTAAGCTTGTCTCTGTAAATTAGTAAATTAGTCCTTTTCCCCATTACTCCTCTCTCAAAATCTTTACATCATTAAGCTACCAGTCATTTGTTTACACAGAGTGGCAGAGGTAAACTTTATAAAAATTAGCCAAGTATTATCACGGCTGGAATGTTTTACCTCATGTTTATACTCTTATCTACATGCTAGTTAGTGGGCAGAATTGGGATTCGAACTGTGAGGTAGGATCCCAACATCTATATGTTTCCACTTCATGTCATCAGAAGACCTGGTTTAGAGACTGGCTTCACTTTTATCTAAAAGGATGTTACCTACCTAAAGCTTGTAGTTAAAAATGTATGCTAGAAATATTAATCTTGGTTGAGATAATAAAATACTTGCACTTGCGCAAGCCCAGTGCTTGTTTCCTCTTCCTTCATTTCTCTCTCATGGGGGCACGTCAGCTGTATTTTAAGGACCTGGGGAGCGCACATTTGCAATTAATGCAAACCAGGCACACATGACGGCACAGTTCTTGGTTACCATGGTTTTAAAGTTTCTTCACTTCACTTAGAATTACAATCTTTTCCCACACGAATGAAGCCTCTTTTCCACTTGGAATTTATTTTAACTGTGTGTTCAGATTGTTCAATCTCAGCTGTCTTTTGACACCTGTAATGTGAACTATACTGGTTTTCTAAGAATAATGAGAGATATTCTTCATTGCCTTTTCTCAAGGCAAAGCAGCTGTCTTCCACCTTAGAACAACCGATTAACACATAGCAACTCCAGCTAAGTGTCTGGGATCAATCCCCTCATTCAGTTGTGCTAATGGTGCTCCCCAGATCAAAAGGAGTGTGCCAGAAATGAGGAACACCAGAGGCCAGGCTGGGGAATCTCAACTCCTAGGTCATCTCTGTGAATGAAGCTTAGAGGGGTGAATATGGACTGCAGTTAGCATGCCACCGTCTTGCTCAGTAGGTGCCAGCATCTCCATGAACAATGAGAGAGAAGAGCTTTTTGTTGTTGCTGTTGTTGTTACCCTCTCCTCTATCTCTTTAGTATTTCAATGATGAAAACAAGACATGACTATGGATAAAATACTACTAAAGGGGCTGGGAACAGTGGCTTACGCCTGTAATCCCGGCACTTTGGGAGACCAAGGCGGGTGGATCACCTGAGGTCAGGAGTTTGAGACCAACCTGGCCAACATGGTGAAACTTTGTACTAAAAATACAATAATTAGCGGGGCGTGGTGGCGGACACCTGTAATTCCAGCTATTCAGGAGGCTGAGGCAGGAGAATCGCTTGAACCCAGGAGGTGGAGTTTGCAGTGAGCCGAAATCAAGCCATCACAGTCCAGCCTGGGCGACGAGAGTGAGCAAAATTCAGTCTCAAAGAAAACAAACAAACAAAAAACTAAAGGGAAAAATAAACGAGAAAAGTTTGCATATGTCCTTTGGAAAAATCATCCAGTCTGCTAAGGTGAAGGCTCAGATCCTTGTGGGGTTCACCAACCTTGGCAAGTGAGAGCTTCCACACTGGTATTTTCTTGGTTCAGAGGACATAAGCAAGAAGGAAGAACTTCTAAAAGCCCAGGACAAAGTCCTAACTCTGGTTGCCAAGCAGTGTGCAAGTTTATCTTTTTTAATCACAGAATATGGGCAGGGAACAGAGAGTCATAGTTTCAGGTTACCTATCCTGACACCTTGACCAAGGGCAGTGACATCAATATAATTACTACAGTCCCAAGGACTCAGGGACCTCCTAGGAACCACTAGCTAAATTTAGCCTTACTCCATGTCATTAATCAGCAAGGCCATGCAGGAACTTGCTATTTTTTTTTTTTTTTGACAGAGTCTCGCTCTGCCGCCCAGGCTGGAGTGTGCAGTGGCGCAAGCTCCGCCTCCCGGGTTCACGCCATTCTCCTGCCTCAGCCTCCGGAGTAGCTGGGACTACAGGCGCCCGCTACCACGCCAGGCTAATTTTTGGTATTTTTTAGTAGAGACGGGGTTTCACCGTGTTAGCCAGGATGGTCTTGATCTCCTGACCTCGTGATCTGCCCGTCTCGGCCTCCCAAAGTGCTGGGATTACAGGCGTGAGCCACCGCACCTGGCCAGGAACTTGCTTTTGAATACTGTGTTTACCAAGTGTTAATTTCCCCCAGACTCAGGAATTCAAAGTTTTGGAGTTAAAAACGTGGGAAAGAAAAATAATTTCCAACTTTGATGCCAGTTAAGGGAAGAGTACAACTTCTAGGTCTCAACTGTCCAACCTCAGGGGCAGATGGGACCCAGGCTAAATCCTGCAGCTCAGCCTTTTTTCCCCCAACGCCCCAAGATTGCCTTTCTCTTAGCTAGAAATCTTCAGTTGTTTGGACTCTTTAACACTTTTCTTTGGATTTTCCAAGTTTTCTGAAACTGTTATTATTTCAGATGTGAACATAGCTATTTTTCTCCTTTATACTTTTTGGACTATGCTTTTCTGTATTATGCTGTAGGCAGGTACTTAAGTGAACTTTTATTACCTAATATTCACAGTAATAATCACTTTGGGAATCTTAAAGTGTTTTTACAAACATTCTAATTCTTCAAGTTAAGAAAATCAGAGTCTAGAAGAGTCAAAACTCTTGCTGGTTGGTATCCACATTGAGAATTAAGGACCCAACTGTAATAATAATAGCTAACGTTTATGTAGTGCTTACTATGTAAGAGGCACTTTATATACTTGTCTCATTTAACCCTAATAAGAATCCTGTAAAACAGGTACAGTACTATAATTACCCTCATCATATAGATGAGGAAAATGGAACACCTGTGATAAATAAACTTGCTCAATTCTCCCATTTAGCAAATAGCACTGGTGAGATTTGAACCAGGCAGTCTGAGGCCAAAGCTTGTGCTGTTACTAACATTCTTGCCTTCCTACAGCCTGTCTTTGAAATGACTCCGTGATTTCTCCACATGGAAATATGGCAAAGTGTTTTTGATGGCCCACATCCATGGACCTACTGAGATTTTATAATTTTAACATAAATTTGCCTTCATCTTTGAGCCTCTGGTCTACCCCTTGAAGGCCATGAGTCTGACAATAAAAGCATTATACTGTTAAATAAAATATCATCTCTTTTGGCCAATATTTTTCTCTCCTAGGACCTGAGGGGGAACAAAGCATGCTGAGGACAATATTAAGTTAGCATCTATTATATGCACTCCTAATGCAATATTCCTGACTTGACTCTCTGAAATGAGTTTTTTAGAACCTTTCTGATAAAGATGATGGGAGGGTGTTGATCCATTCTCATTTCCCTGCCAAATTATTTTGTAACTAAAAAGGCATGCTTTTTTGAGTTGGAAGATTAGAGTACGGGTTCAGTCAGGGTATGGAATCAAGCATATCCATATCCTGGCATATTAATGGTATCAGCTGTATCTATAAGTTAAATCCCACTTTCTCAGTGAAGCATTTCCACAGCCACTTTCATCATATGCAACTGGTGAAAGCATTTGAAACAGAAAAAGAAAATTGCTCCATAAAGACAAAAACTTTCCAAATGTAATAAAAGGTGACATTGGGACAATTAAAACATGTGATAGAGTTATATTGCTACTACATGACAAACTAAATAGATAGTAAATAGCTGATTTTATTACCTTGACATGTATATCTCAAAAGATATTTTGGAAACATTTCAAAAGCAGATTAAGATTTAGGTAGTAAAAGTGAGCCAAAGGAGAAATATAAGAAGAAGAGACAATAATTCGGAATAATTTTTACTTAAAATAAAATCTGACAGCTGGAGCCCCTTATGAGAGTTTATCTTGTTTTAGGAAACTTTGAGGTTTAAACTAAGTTTAAAGAATAGGCAAACAACAAGTATATGAAAAAGTGCTCAACACCACTAATCATTAGAGAAATGCAAATCAAAACCATGATGAGATACCATCTCACACCAGTCAGAATGGCTATTATTAAAAAGTTGAAGATAGACACTGGTGAGGTTGCAGAGAAAAGGGAATGCTTATACACTGCTGGTGGAAATTCAAATGAGTTCAGCCACTGTGGAAAGCAGTTTGGAGATTTCTCAAAGAGCTTGAAACAGAATTACCATTTGACCCAGTAATCTCATTATTGAGTATATACCCAAAGGAAAATAAATAGTTCCACCATGAAGACACTTGCACATGTATGTTCATCACAGCACTATTCACAATAGCAAAGACATAGAATCTACCTAAATTCCCACCAATGGTGGATTAGATAAAGAAAATGTGGTATATATACACTACGGAATACTATTCAGCCATAAAAGGAATGAAATCCTGCCCTTTGCGGCAACATGGATGGAGCTGGAGGCCATTAGCCTAAGCAAATTAATGCAGGAACAGAAAACCAAACACTGCATGTTCTGACTTAGGAGGAAGGTAAACCTCGAGTATACGTAGACACAAAGAAGGGAACAACAGACATAGGGACCTAGTTGAGGGTGGAGGGTGGGAGGAGGGTGAGGATAAAAAAAAACTAACTATAGCGCACTATGCTTATTACCTCAGTAACAAAATAATCTGTACAACAAACTCGCATGACACACAATTTACCCATGTAACAGACCTGCACATGTACCCTCCAAAACTGAAATAAAAGTTGGAAGGAAAAAAAAAAAGAACTGGGCACAAAAGAAAAAAATATGAGTGAGAGTTTATAACAACCCATAGCATTGGCAGCCTTGGAGTCTATGGGAAAACCAAAGAAGGGAGTCAGAATGGTGAGAAGAGAGGTGAGGTGGGCTTGGTGTGGGCAGCAGAAAGTCCTTTAGACAGCTACACTGCTTAAAGGCATCCGAGGGGATGTCTTTGCAGACACAGTGAGGATGTTCAATTTTTCTTCATTTTCATTTCAAAGCTCAGGATTAATGAGGCTAACACAATACGTGAATTTATTGTCTAAAGATTGATATTGTCACCAAAAATCATTGATTGATTGATTGATTCATTGGACATTTATTGAAAACCTACACTGAGCCAGACACTGTTAGGTGCTGGGAATATATTTGTGAGCCAAAATAGACAAGGACCCACCCTCAGGTACTTTAAAAGCAGTGAAGACAATGAACAAATAAACACAAGAAAAATGTATAATCACATGCTGCGAAGAAGAGATGCAATTGACTTGTGACAAGTTGTAACTGGGAGGCCAACACTGGACAGGGGGCTCCATAAGAGACCTTCTGAGCAGGTGCTATTTGATCTGAGACCTGAGGAATGAGCTGGAATTAACCAGGTGAAGTGATGGGTTGTGAGAAAGTCCCAGGTAGCGTCTAAGTGAGTCAAGGCCCTAAGTCAAGAGGGAGACACAGGCGCTCATGGAACTGAGAGACAGCCAGTGTGGGTGGTGCAGAGAGCGAGGGGAGGGTTGTGGGATGACACTGGGGTGACAAGTGGAGCCCACATAAACTGAAGGTGTGTGGACTTCACCCTAAAAGCAGCGGAGTGCCCCCAGGGGCTGAGATGGTGGTGGTAGTAAGGTTATGTGAGCCTTGATCAGATTTGTGTTTAACTGTCACTCTGGCTGCTGTGTGGACAACAGGGAGTAGGGAGATGGGTGCGGGGGGGGGGAAATGAGGGGCAGTTGAGAGGCTATTGCGGTGGGATTATGGGAGCTCTGAGATAAAAATGAAGAGAAGTAGATGAATTTGAGAGCTACCAAGAGTTCAAAATCAACAGTACTCAGTGACAGAGGGGAGTTAGGGAGTGGGAGAGAGAGAACTGAAAAGATGGTGGTGACACTCACCGTAAGACGACCAGGTCTGGGCATATACAATGATCTAATATTTGTAAAGCTGAGCGTAAGATACCATACTTGTTAGGATTATTGCTTTCTGATACATTCTGGCCATTTTAAAAGAATCTGACCAGTAAATGTTTGCCATTCTTTAACATGGTCTTCTCACACCTATGTTTTTGTTTTTAATTAAATAATTGTTTTCCCCTTTAACCTATTTTTAATATGTCAGTTAAACATGATGGTCATTAACTTACTACAATATACATTTTTCGCTTCTGAAATTTTCTTTTTTTTTTTTTTTTTTTTTTTTTTTTGAGACGGAGTCTCGTTCTGTCGCCCAGGCCGGACTGCGGACTGCAGTGGCGCAATCTCGGCTCACTGCAAGCTCCGCTTCCTGGGTTCACGCCATTCTCCTGCCTCAGCCTCCCGAGTAGCTGGGACTACAGGCGCCCGCCACCGCGCCCGGCTAATTTTTTGTATTTTTAGTAGAGACGGGGTTTCACCTTGTTAGCCAGGATGGTCTCGATCTCCTGACCTCATGATCCACCCGCCTCGGCCTCCCAAAGTGCTGGGATTACAGGCGTGAGCCACCGCGCCCGGGCGAAATTTTCTAGGTATACTTTTAAAATTATTGTTTCATCTTTTCTACAAGTTGATTCTTTTTTCAAATCTAAGGTTTATGGGTGTCTTGTAGAGCTGAAAGTCCCTTGCAGGTATGGACATAGAGATGTCTAGATGTCTGTGCCTACTTAGTGCCCTTTATTTAAATGTATTTATTGGCATCGCTCATACTGGATAAATACTAGGGTTCAGATCAGCAATTTAATGTTCAATGGTCTTCACCAATTTTCACGGTTGTGTGTGCTTCTCTTTATGGTGAAAATAATAGGATAGTGAAAGACCAGTGGACATGTGGATTTTACAGACAAAAGAGAGTATCTACTTTGCAACAAGCACAGTAACTATAATTTTAAAGTTTGCATATGCAAGAACTGATGATGTTTTGAATATTACTTGTTTTGCAATGTCAGTTAATCCCTCAGGCATGTACTGAGCACCAAATTGTTCATAGCACCATTCAATGTTGTTCAGGGAGTCAAACACACACTGTAGTCATAGTTTTCATCCTTGAAGAGATCTGATTTAATAAAACAAAATGACCCAAATTTAACAGATCACGTCTTTCTCTCTTCCTTTAAGAGCCAAACAAAAGCTAAAAAATGAAAATCAATCAAAACTCTTCTTCTGCACAGCCAATTTTGCATGGCTGCTACCACCATCTGCTTCCCCTCCCACTGGGCAGCTCTACCCCTGGGACCCAGCTGGCAACATCTGGCAACTAGCCCATCTAGCTCATTTCTACAGTAATGCTGAAGCCCATCAGTTCTTCCCCAACTCTGTGTCTCTACTAATTCGGGTAGGATGGGCATTGTGAAAGGAACACTTGGCTTTGGGTCTGTCAGGGGAACTGGATTTCAATCCTGGTCTGGTCACTCAAGTGAGAATTTGAGTCAGTCACTTAGTCTCTCTGGACTTGTTTTGTCACCTGTAAAACAGATACTGCTGAGCTCACACCACTGGAACGTTCTGAGGATCAGATGAGGGCTACCTGTGTCAGTCGCTAGCCCAATTCTTGGAACATACATATTCTCAGTATGCCTCATACGACCATGAACCTCATGTCTTCTGTAAAGGATAATTGTAATAAATAATTACCATAGTATGAAAAGCCAAAAGGACCTGAGAGACTGCTTCTCTTGTATTCAGTTTACAACCAAGAGCCTTTTAAGTTAGAGTAGCTAAGTGACGTGCCTACTATCAGTGCATGACAATGACAAACCAGAAAACAGTTATAAACTGGCATACATGGTTCCAAATCTGAACTCCCTGCAACTTGACATACATATTCCCACCAGTTGAATACTTTTAAAATATGATTCTCAATATGTTCTTCCCCTGATCAAAAGACTTTGGTGACTATAAATGGCCTAGAAAGTAAACCAATTGTCTTAGGCTGCTCCCTAGTGTTCTCTAATGCTTGCCCTGAAGTCGTCCTTCCTACATCTACAGTGTCTCCCTCCATGTAGCTTGGGACCCAAACTAGGTTACTCACTATGCCATATGCCATGTGCACACTACATTGTAATGTCCATGAGTGAAGTGACTGTATTACTCATGGCTATAACCCTAGTATTTAACCAGATGCCTGGCTCATAGTAGAAGCTCAATAAATATTTGTTGAAGATGGTGGGCATTCTTCAATATGATAAATAAAATAATAACAATGATAATCACACCAGCAGAATAGTAATAACAGTAAACAATAGTAAAGTAGCAACCATAGCCATTGATTGAGCTATTGCTCAACAGCCATATGCTATAAATTTATTATCTTACCTGAACCTTCTAATAACCGCATTATGTGAATACTATCCCTATCCTATTTTACTGATGATAGGATCAAGGCTCAGGGAGATCTAATAACTTCCCTAATATTGGTTGATTGGCTCTTTTATTCATGTATTCAACAAATGTTATTGAAGGTCTACCATGTGTTGGGCTCTGTTCTAGGGGTTCAGGGTGTAGCCCATATCTTCCTATTTGCAAACAAGGTCCTTGCTTTCATGGTGGCATGAAAACAGACACTGACTCTGTCTAGTGGCAGAAAACAGACACTAACTTATCAAATAAATCAGATGATGTCAGAAAATGGTTAAGCGATAAAAAGAAAAATTAAGTAGGGAAAGGGATCAGTAGTGATGGGGGTTACTATTTCAGATGGGGGAGTGAGTAAAGGCTTGCTGAGGAGGTGAGAGGTAAACAGAATCCTGACTGATGAAAAGGAGGGAGCCATTGAAGATCTGGAGGGAGAATGTTCTAGATAGGGGGGATGGTAACTGCAAAATCCCTGAGACAGGAGTATCTCCAGTGTGTTCAAGAAGCAGTAAGACTGCCAGTGTGTCTGAGGGTGAGAGTGGACGAGGTGAGGGTAGAGGTCCTATGACCTGCTGAGCTTTGTAGGCATGGTAGAGACTTTGGCTTTTTCTCTGATTCAGAGCGGGGAGTGATTGAAATGTGAGAGCGGATGGATAGTGGAGTCTGTTCTGAGTTTTGAAAAGATCTGCCCGACAAGGGTGCAGTGAATAGTGAGATCAGTTGCAGGAATATTAAAGTGACACGTTTGAAAGATGACAGAGGGACGGGAGGCGATCAGCCCAGATCTCATGGACAGGATATACAGTATGTGAGAAAGAAAGGAGTCTAGGATTACTTTGAGGGTTTTGGCCTGAAGAATTGAAAGAAGACAGGAAATGATCAAGGGGCACAGGCTGAGAATTGAGGAAATCAATAATTTGCCTTAGACATATTAAGTGTGAGATGCCTATGAGCCACCCAGTGGAGATGATGAATTGGCTGACAGCTGGCTATACATGTCTATAGTTCAGTGAAGCAAAATGGGGAGAATTTTACATCTCAGTGTTATCAGCACATAGATGACAATGAAAGTCAAGAGTCATCCACGCAGGAGTGACGGTGGAGAGATCAGGGAGAAAGGAGGCCTGAGGTGCTCGACCTGGATAATGAAGGAAAATGAGGAAGTGAAGTGAGACAGCAGAGAGAGAAGGTAGTGAAAATGCACACTCTGAACGTCGAGCAGAGCCAGTGCTTTAACGATGAGGGCAGTGATCATCTGAGTCAGACACTGCTGGCAGGTCAGGTCAAACCAGGTCTAAGCACCAGAGAATACAAGAGCAGGGAGGCAGAATGGGGGAAGGGCTGAAAAACTACCTATTGGGTACTGTGATCACTACCTGGGTGATGGGATCAGTTGTACCCCAAACCTCAGCATCACGCAATATACCCACGTAACAAACCTGTGCATGTACCCACTGATCTAAAATAAAAGTTGAAATGATAAACAAACAAAAAAAAGATCTAAGAATTTACCCTTAGATCTGGCAATGTAGAGGGCACTGGATTATTCAACAAGAGCAGTTTAAGTGCTTACAACTTCTGCGTGGATTCTGAATGCAAGTGTGTCCACCCTTAATGATCGTGCTCTTGGTTCCTTGCCTTTGTAAATGAGCACCTGAAACTCCCTTTGCCCAAATCCCCTTCATCTCTCTTTAGGCTCAAATTTCCTTTATTTTCTGCAACTCAGCTCCCTGCTCTCTCCATCATGGAGCCCTTTCTTAAGGTCTATAGTCAAATTTAACTCCCATAATATTCACCTTGTTTCAGAATTATTCATTGGTGACTGTGTTTAGATATTTGTTGAGTGAGTGAATCCTTGGATTAATAGAAACATACTACGTGAACCCACACAGAATGAGACAAAATGCTATGCAAAATGTGGTGTTATTACTGCCACTACTAAAGGCAGCATAAAGAATCTCTAAATAAGAGCATCCCAAAATAGTAACCTGAAGCGCAAACCAACAGAATGTTGCTTGGTCTGCTAGCTAATAAAGGAGGAGTGCAGCAATTCAGAGTGGTGAGAGAGGACTTGACTTGGCTTAGAGCTCTGGGCCCTGGGCACAGGGCCCAATGCTGCCACTGGGCCATGTGATCTTGGGTGAGGCACTTCAAACTTCTGGGACACAGTTTCTTCACCTTTGAAGTGAACAGGTTCTATCACATCATCCCAAAGATCCTTCTGCCTACCAGGTTCATTCTCATATTAGAAACTAAGTACTGATATTAAGAGTTACTTGTCCTGTGTCCTTTCTCTCTACTTAAACTATAAAATCTCAAAGGATAGGTCTCATACTTGTTTTCATGAAGAAGAGGGTCTTGGTAAATGCAATCTAAATATTTTTTGATTTAGTAGGTCATAAGGATACATACTCTTTGGTCTATGAAATGTGTACTGGTCAGTGATGTCCCTCTAACCGGCCACACCTCTCTTCCCCAGTCATTTAAGCATTCTGTCATTTATTCTGAGTTTCTGCTATATGCAATATTCCCATGAACTTCAAGGTTTATGAGCCAACTGCCACCAATTTGGGGCCTCTTGACCCTGCTGGCCTAGAGTTGAGGAAATCAAGACATAGAGCCTAAAATCAAGCCAAGATATTAGAACAGAACTGTCTTGAATAACCCAGCCCATAAAACTAAGGTACTTGTAGGAAGGAGTAGATGTGTCAGTTTAGAGATTCATGTATGCTAAGCTTAGATTTTGTGGTCAGGAATATCAATCTGCTAGGTCTAAAGTATCCTGAAGGGGACAGAAAGTGAAGAGAGAGTGGCTGGTTAAAAACTGAAAAAGTTGTACAGACAAGTGGTGGTGAGGGCCTGAAATAGGAAAGAAAAAAAATGTGGTCACTGTATTTTGATGATCCCTTTGTTTAAGATGGTTCTTAAGATATCGCATCAAAGTCAACACCAACTCTGCTCCAGGAACCAATGTCAGAGATGTTACCTTCATGCTGGGAACCTGGGGTGCAGGGGTTTGGATAGAGACAGACTGAAGATACACATTCAAGCTCAATGTTTTAAGTGCTGGCCTGGAGGTATAAAAAAGGTGCTAATGGGGTGATGGGCTGCACAGAGGAGTCAATAGATTTCCTCCCTTCACCTCTGCAGATCCACTCTCCACCCTTCTCTGTGTGGTTCTCTGACCAGCCCTCTAGGAGGCCAACCTGCATGGACCACACCAGTGGGTCCCCTTGTTCTTGGCTTCTTGCTGCATATCAGAGGAGCAGGGAGAGGGAGGGCAGAGTAGTCATTCCCTTCACTCCAGGGAGGTTAACCTTGAGATTGTTGTGTCCCTCAGCCAAGAGTCACTGCTCCTGATGGCATGGTCAACTCTACTGGGCCTCTCCTTCTGGGTTCTGGTTACTACTCCCTCCTTTCCTCCTAGGTCTGGCCTGTAACAGCCCTGTTATTGTGACCCCCTGTGGTTCTCCCATTCCCCAGCCAGACCTTTGTCATTAGTTCCTTTATCCCAGTCTCAGTGTCTATCTTTTTCTTGTTGATATCCTCAATGATATACTGGGCCTTTGAAATAAAAATGTGCAATTCTCTGGGACTTCTTCCCTTACTAAATTGTGAGCTCTTCCATGAGGAATCACGTCTTCATTAATCTTAGTTCTATCTCTTCCTACCTCCACTGTCAAGCAGTTTCCATTCGTGATGGATGTATATCAATTGTTTGTTAAAAGTTGTGATTCTCTCCTCAGTGATGGCCATTCCTTTGACCCCAACTGACCATGCAGGGTTCTGTCTGGAAATGACCTTCTCAGTCTTCACCTCTCACAGGACCACCCAGGGGAGGGGCTGCAGCTCCATTTCCCCCTCTAACTTCTGGCTCATCTAAAATGAGCTCATCTCACTCTTTCTCAGCTAAGTGGTGAAATGCTCCGATGAAAGACTCTTCCTGCCCAGTACCCTAAATTGTACAGTCTTCACATCAATGTCAGATGCAGGTGACCTCAGAAAGGGCCCTTGATTTCTCTCCACCATAATTTCCAAGATTACAAAACAAAGATAAAAATAATACTAACTTCATATAATTATTGGGAAAATAAAAACAGATGTGACATCTTGTAAAATTTATTGTCTTTCCCTTGAAATATATCAGTGACTATAAAGAATAAGTAAGTTTTCTCCACTCCTACTCTACTTTGACTGGTTTCCAAAAGGGAGACACTACTTTAAAACACTGAGCAGAATAATAATAACAAATGACATTTCCTGAGCATTTACTCCCTGCCAGGAACTGTTCTAAGTGCTTTATGTCATTTCAGTTAATCTCCACAAGAACTGTGTGCAGTAGCAACTGTTTTATCCCATTTTACAGATGTGGAAAAATACAGGCACAAAGAGGTGAAGTAACTTGTCTAAGGTCAGGAGCCAGAGTTGAAACCTAGGAAGCTTGGCCAAAGCCATGCTGTTAATCCCTTTGCTATCTGGTCTCATGTGCTTACATTCCCTGTAGCATCATTATGACTTGTGAAAACAGGTCATAAAGGTGCAATTGGCCACAGTGAATCATGAAAATTGTTAAGTGACTAAAAATAAAGTTTGCACTCGTGGAAATTCTTGTGAATTATAATTCAACTTAGGTGTTACACTCCAAAATTCAAATTTTCCATTGTGTTTGGTTCACTGAACTGCATTCTTAATGTGAGGGTGTAGTAAAGAAAACTAGTGGACTGGATAGAGACTCACCTGAACTTAATGCATGTTCTACTTCCTGCATGATCACCCTGGGAAAGGTGGTGGTGGTCTCCATGTCTATGAGCTCACACATCACTTTGCCTGACACAGTTGTTGGGGGTGTTTTCTCCTGGGGTACTGGCTCAGCTGTGGCATGTGAAGTGGGTGTGTGGTCAGAGCTGGACTCCTCTGTCGGGGACTCTGGTGCAGTTGGAGCTCCAGTGGGTTGGGTGCTGGTCACAGTGGAGCTATGGTTGGTAGTAACGGAGGCAGAAAAGACCTCAGGTGGTGAGGTTGATAGGGATGAGGGTGATGAGGCTGGAGCTTGAGGGGAGATGAGTGTGGGAGGCTCAGCAGCGGACTGCGACAGTGTAGCTGCCACGCCTGCTTCAGGAGTGCCCGAGCTGTGTTCCTCCAACGTGGTTGTTAAGTGGACTCCACCGCTTGTTGACGAGAACCCAGAAGGTGAGGGGTCTGTGTTTGTGCCTTCCCAATTCGAACCTGGGCTGGTGATCTCCTCTTCTCTGGACTCTATGGAAATGTTCTTAGGAAGCAGAGATGTTGGGGCTGATGCTGTAACTGGGAGCACCGAGTTGTTGTGAGTGCCGTTGGATGGGGAGGCAGTGTCTGCATCAGTGTTTTGTGGAGAGCTAGTCCAGATGGTGGTCGGTGGTACAATGTTTGTCGGAAGAGAAACAGACAAAGGAGCTGATGTAGGCAGACTCTGTACCCTCCATCCTGTGGAAAAGCCAGTACAAAAGTGGTTAATATGTGAAAACACGGTAATATGTGAAATAGAGGCAAGGCTTTTACCCACAGCTGTTTTACAGCATTTTCACAGGTATTTCTCATTTTGCATTGTGCCCTCCCCAGTTGTGAAGGCAACTTTTAATGGACTTTCTTCCCACCAATTTCTCTACAAATCTCAGTAGGAACTCGCCCGAAACTCAGTAAGAACAATTAGTAGGACTGTCAACTCAAGACTAGCCAATGCATGGTATGAACTAATCTTGTCCCCAACTTGCTTAAAATCATGTCCTTAGAGAGTAAGACCCCCTGGAGAATTGATTTATGGGAACTTGTCTGGACTGCCGAGCAGCCAACTCCACAGCTCCTGTAGGAACGATGGGAGTGTGGACATTGGGAGTGGGGAAGGAGTGGTTGGTGATGAGTGTGGTCACTGGCAGGAGGGGGCTTCAGTCTCGTTCCATCCCACAGCTGAGGAGCTCACTGACTGGCTGTTCCATGTCTTGAGGGCTATCCATTCTGCACTTATGCACAGGGATATAAGGGATATGGACCTCCTGGCTGGGATGAATAAATATGTGAACACATTTCCTGCAGAGAAAGAAAAAGGGAGAGGTCCCAGAATAAAAGCTAGAAAGAGAAATCTGAGGTTTGGAAATATTTTCTGAGACTGGAACCCTGTCGTCTGAAATTCCAGCCTGAGGTCCTTACCATCATATCACTTGCCAAATGCACTCCTTCATATGTTGTAAAATTTACAGCTAGTTTCCATTCTTCCTTTCTCCTTCCCTGCACTTACTCATTTGGTTTCATTCATTGACTCATTCAATGATTATTTAATAAAGGGCTTTTATGTGCCAGTACTCTCCTGGACATGGGGTTCCTGGTTTCACTTTTAGGTAACACATATCTTGATTGCCTCCCCATACCCCCTTGTCATTCCCTGACTAGTATTTCCCCCAGTCATTTGCATCTCAGTAGATGGGACCCCCATTCACCCGGTTGCGCAGTTAAAAACCAAGATGTCACCCTTCATGTATTTCTTTCCCTCACATCCCACATCAAATCCATTAGTGAGTCAGGATGAGTCTACCTTGCAAATATAATCCTGATTCAACCACTTGTCACTATCTCCCCTATTATTTCAACATCCCCTGAGCCATTATAGTCACTAGCCTCGATGACTGCTGATTAGTTTGGATGTGCCCTCCAAATCTCAGGTTGAGATGTAAATGCCAGTGTTGGAAGTGGGGCCTGGTGGGGGTTGTTTTGGTCATAGGGACTGATCCCTCATGGTTTGATGCTGTCCTCATGGTAGTGAGTGAGTTCTCTCAGGATCTGGCTGTTTAAAACATGTGGCACCTCCCACCTACACTCTCTTGCTCCCATTCTCACCATGAGATGTGCCTGCTCCCACTTCCCCTTCCACCATAAGTAAAGCTCCATGAGGGCATCACCAGAAGCTGAGTAGATGCTGGTGCTGTGCTTGTACAGCCTGCAGAACCATGAGCCAATCAAACCTCTTTTCTTTATAAATTACCCGGCCTCAGGTATTCCTTTATAGCAATGCAAACACAACTGTAATAGTCTCTTAATTGGTCTTCTAGCCCCCTGGTTTCCTCCCTTTTAATGTGCTTTCCACTTAGCAGCCAGCATGATCTTTTATAGCAGTAAATCAGCTCATGTCCTTTCACTGATCAAAACCCTCCAAAGGTGTTCTGTTGTACTTAGAACAAAATCCAGAATTGCTTCCCTATGTAATCTCATGTTCTCGTCATCACTTTGATTGTGTCACCTCTTCCTCAAAGGAGTCTTCCCAGACAAGCCTTAACTAATTCTTTTCTACTCTAGCCTGTTGTCTATTTAAAAAAATTTTTTTTAATTTTTTATTGTGGTAAAGTATGCTAACACTTTACTATTACAACCAATTTTAAGTGTACAGTTCAATGGCAGTAACTATATATACATATTGTGCAACCATCATTATTCATCTGCAGAACTTTTTCATTTTCCCAAACTCAAACTCTGTGCCTATTAAACAACTCCCTTTTCCCCATGGGAATGGCATAAAAACAACCAACCATTCTACACTCTACTGTCTCTATGAATTGGATTGCTCTAAGTACCTCACATAAGTAGAATCATACAATATTTGTCCTTTTATGACTGGCTTATTTCACTTAGCAAAATGACTTCAAGTTTCATCCATGTGATAGCATGTGGCAGAATTTACTTCCTTTTTAAGGCTGAATAATATTCCACTGTATGTATGTATCACATTTTGTTTATCCGTTCATACACTGATAGATACTTGGGCTGTTTCCATCTTTGGGCTACTGTGAATATTGTTGCCATGAACGTGGGTGAACAAATATCTGTTTGAGTCCTTGCTGTCAGTTCTTTTGGGCATATTCCCAGAAGTGGAATTAATGAATCATATGGTAATTTTTTGCTTAATTTTTTTGAGGAAATGCCATACCCTTTGCTCATTTTCGTCTTTCACAATAAGAGAAGTGTTTTCCTGAAATTACATATTTATTTATTCACTTATTTATTGTCTCTTCTACTGGAATAAAAGCTCAATGAGGGCACAGTGACCTGGTCTTACTCATTGCTGTTTCCCCTGAGCCTAGGACAGCATTAGGTAAGTGCTTAATAAGGACTTGCGGGAGAAAGGAAGAAAGAGTAGAAAAATGAATTAACCCAAGAACCTTATTCATGAATACTCCAACATCTTTCCACTCTTTTCCACATGTCACTTTAGTTATGGCCACATCCATCATGGCTTCCTCAGGGAGGGCTGCCTACCTGGTATTATTTGAGGGCAAGATTCTTGCTTAAAGATCAGCTTCACTCATTTTAATTCCAACATAACATATGCCTATGACTGATGTCTAGTTAGGTCTTCAACTATTTAACTCTATGTACCCTGAGGATATTTCCTTGAAGGTGTCAAATAGGTAAAGGCCAACCATAATCAATATTCAAAAGGAATAGAACATGGCCTAGATGCCAGTCAGAGGAAGGGAGAAAAGACCAAAAGGGAAACATTCAGGTACTAGGCTAAAATCTGCTTACATCATCATTTGCCACTTGGCTGACTCAGGAGCTGATGGAAGGCCGTGCTATAGAGTTTATTCTGAATTTAACATTTGGATTGTCATCAAAATAATTGGCTTTATTTTATTTAAAAGGAGTTCATCAAGGCCATAAGCTTCAGGAGAGTTAATTTCCTGGTAAAGAGGAGGACAGACCTCCCAACTTAGGCCACATGCTATTCCATGCTGTTACGGTGGTCTTTTGGCAGCTGTGAACTGTCAACAGTTTTAGAATGAATACAGATCAAGAAATCTTTGAAATATGGACAAAACAACAGTTGGGACAAATATTATTAAAACATGGGATCCTATCTATGACCTTTGGAGCTTACTGGCTTTGCATTCTGGCAGCTGTCATGGCTGATTGAAGATTCCAAGGGCAAAAAAAAAAAAATGACACCATTTACCATTCATAGCATCATGTAATAGATAGGCAGATGGAGGTAGAGAGAGCCTCAGTCTGTTAGTCGAGTCAAAGAGTCTTGTCAAGCCTGAGATAAATGAGAAATCAGTCATCTACAAAGGAGAACCAATTCATTCATTCATTCATTCATTCAAGAATTTATTGAGCTTTTCCCTCAGAGAGCTCATACTCAGCTTCCTGTAATATGAGATGATAAGTGCTATATAAAAGTAAAACCAAGTTGTAATGGAAACTCTGAGGAAAGATTAATAAATTCTGTACTGATACCATGGAATGTAAAAATATACAAATGCCATTTTCGAATGACATTTAGAAAAGTCACAGAAGAGATGACATTTGAATTCGTCCTGAAAGAATAAGAATGCACAAGATACCACTTAAGATATCTGATGTTCAGAATGACACTTGCATTGTCGTTTCCAGTGGAGCTAAAAGCTGTACCATAGAAATCATTACAGTGCTGAAAATGACAAGCTCTGAGAATTGGTTTTGTTGCTGGAAATATCCATTTTCTTGTTTAATCTTACTAATACACTTTTACAATTCCTACCCTGCCTGCTTCCAAAGAGGACTGGAAGTGGTCATTCATTTCCCATAGCTATCTACTGAGTACTTATTTAAAGAACTTTACAGCCAAGTTCAGGCAATTTCTGTTCCTATCAAACTAACAATGCATGAAATTGTATGACAATGTTGGTTATCTTCATTTGAATGAGGCTTTAGAAGCCTCTGCTTTGCCTTATTTGATGGTACATTCCATAATGCACTGACTCCTGGGGTAGGTCTATTTCCAATACAAAGATAGCCAGGGCTAAGGCACCATGATGATCGTAGAGAATGCTTGCTGTCTTAGTCGGCTAGGACTGCTGTAACTAAATACCACAGATTGGGTGGCTTAAACAACAGAAATTTAATTTTCGCAGTTGTAAAGGCTAGGAAGCTCAAGATCAAAGTGCTGTCTGATTCAGTTTCTGGTGAGGGCCCACCCCCTGGCTTGAAGATGATCGCCTTCTATCTGTGTCCTCACGTGACCTTTCCTCACATGGCATGCGAGTGAAGACAGAGAGTAAGTTCTTTAATGTCCCTTCTTATAAGGGCACTAATTCCATCATAAGGGCCCCACCCACATGATCTCATCTAACTTTAATTACCACCTAGAGGCCCCATCCTCAAATACCATCACACTGGGGGCTAAAGCTTCAACATTCAGAATCAGTGTAGAACTCGTGTCTCTGCAGGAATACGAAACTGCATAAGTCAAACCAGTAAGAATGTAGCCTTTCTCAGGATTTCAAGGAAATTTTAGAGCTAGGGAGGGCCTAAATAATGAGTGAGTTTAACCCTTAATTTGATAAATGAGGGAGCAGACACAGAGAGAGGAAGTGGTGTAACTGACCTTACACTAAGAGGAAGAATTGGACAGTGTCTACCTGGAAAGAACTGTGCAGCAACAGAGTCAGAACTAGAACTCCTGCCCTGTGACCCCCACTGATACCCTGTGTCCCAGCCTCAAAAAGGCTGGTGGAACTTACTTTAGCAACCACTACTACAGAGAATGCAATGAGGAGCGCATGTGAGACTGGGCAGCTGAAGAAGTTAAAAAAATGTCTACAGTCCCACTAACAGTGTAAAAGTGTTCCTATTTCTCCACATCCTCTCCAGCACCTGTTGTTTCCTGACTTTTTAATGATCACCATTCTAACTGGTGTGAGATGGTATCTCATTGTGGTTTTGTTTTGCATTTCTCTCATGGCCAGTGATGATGAGCATTTTTTCCTGTGTCTGTTGGCTGCATAAATGTCTTCTTTTGAGAAGTGTCTGTTCATATCCTTCGCCCACTTTTTGATGGGGTTGCTTGATTTTTTCTTGTAAATTTATTTAAGTTCTTTGTAGATTCTGGATATTAGCCCTTTGTCAGATGGGTAGATCGCAAAAATTTTCTCCCATTATGTAGGTTGCCTGTTCACTCTGATGGTAGTTTCTTTTGTTGTGCAGAAGCTCTTTAGTTTAATTAGATCCCATTTGTCAATTTTGGCTTTTGTTGCCATTGCTTTTGGTGTTTTAGTCATGAAGTTCTTGCCCCTGCCTATGTCCTGAATGGTATTGCCTAGGTTTTCTTCTAGGGTTTTTATGGTTTTAGGTCTAACATTTAAGTTCAACCATTGTGGAAGACAGTGTGGCGATTCCTCAAGGATCTAGAACTGGAAATACTATTTGACCCAGCCATCCCATTACTGGGTATGTACCCAAAGGATTATAAATCATGCTGCTATAAAGACACATGCACATGTATATTTATTGTGGCACTATTCACAATAGCAAAGACTTGGAACCAACCCAAATGTCCATCAATGATAGACTGGATTAAGAAAATGTGGCACAGATACACCATGGAATACTATGCAGCCATAAAAAAAGATGAGTTCATGTCCTTTGTAGGGACATGGATGAAGCTGGAAACCATCATTCTCAGCAAACTATCACGAAGAAAGAAAACCAAACTCCACATGTTCTCACTCATAGGTGGGAATTGAACAATCAGAACACTTGGACAAGGGATGGGGAACATCACACACCGGGGCCTGCCGTAGGGTGGGGGGAGGGGGGACGGATAGCATTAGGAGATATACCTAATGTAAATGACAAGTTAATGGGTGCAGCACACCAACATGGCACATGTATACATATGTAACAAACCTGCAAGTTGTGCACATGTACCCTACAACTTAAAGTATAATAAAAAAAAATTAAAAAGTCATGCCTCCATACACCTTCCCACCCAAAACACAGCCACTTTTCTTTGAAGAAAATAATTAGTATTAGTATTTCCTTGAGAAGATATGATGAAGAAACTGAACCCATTACTTTCTCAGTTAGAGGTGAATGAGCATTGTTTCAAAACACAGTGACATTGCCAGAGATGGTGTGTCCTGCTGGGGCAGTGACAGGCCCACAGACATGAAAGGGACAGATTCAGGGAAGGGCATCTCTTAGACTTAGCCCATGTGTGCAGCCTAAAAGCCTGATAACCAGTTCAATCTGGAATTCCTCCTTGTAAGTTTACAGATAGCAGTGGTTCCTGAAGTCTGGTCAGGTTCAAGCTTTTTTGCTGCAAGAATAGCTGACGGATTGTTTCTCTGAAGAAAACCAGATTCTTGGTTGGATAGAAAACTATATGTTTCCACGTGTATTGTCCTCTATGGGGAGACCACTATTATAGTTTACATCCATTTGATATTTAAAAGAGCTAGTGTTTGGCTTGGTCCTCAGTTTCTAGACCTGCTAGGAGGGATGTGGGGGGCTGATTGTTGGGACATGCAGGTGAGTTCTTATGGTGCTGAGAGGAGGTAGAGGCATTGTAGCGTAGAGAGTCTGCCTTCTGTGCCTCCTGACCTGACTGGGTGTCAGGAATATGGGCAGTGAGTGCCCTGAACTCTGTCACCTTTTCCTGGATTCCATGAGCAACAACCTGGGCCAGTGGCAGAGTTGCAGACAGCCTGATTTTCTGTGTTGCTCACCTATTCTTTTTTTCTGTCCCTGGCCATGTCTTTCCCTGCTCTCAGCTTGTCAAGCACGTGAGAAAACATGTGGCAAAGCTTTGGCAAACTTGGTGAAACTTGATCAAAATGCAGTCAAGCCCTTTCCTGCTGCTGCCAAGTCAGCCGGGAGCATTGCTTGTGGTCGCCTGGCAGAGGCCACACAGCTGCTGAAGGTCTGTGTGCTGAGTAATTGCTACCAGTTTCTCCACCTGTTACGGCCACCATCGTGAACTGCTGAAAAGGCCAGTGGGACTGTTTAACACATATATTAACAAGTGTACTGAGCGCTTTACATACATCATCTTATTTAATTGAAATATAACCTCTGTGAGGTAGGCACCATTGTTATCTCGGTTTCACAGATGATAAGACAGAAGCTCAGAAAAGTTCAGTAATTTCCCTAAGGTCACACTGCTAGCACACGGTACAGCTGAAGCTTGAATGCAACACTGTTTAACTTTTAACCACCAGCTTTTTAATGATTCTATAGTATTGAATTGGGAAATGCAAAGGTGTTTTTGAAGTTTGGGCTCCATGTCTCCTTGGAGGCAGTTGGTAACCAGTTTGCTTCTATCTTTTCTAGTACATTCCCTAGTGTGGGCAACTAAGTGACTTTTTAAAAGTTATTAGACTGTATGAACCCTTCCCCTTCCCTTTAATCTGATCACAGGATTCCTACTGTCTTTGGGATAAAACCTGAGCTCCTTGGCACAAGACATGCCACCTTTCACAGTCTCTCCAGTTTACCCCTCATGAGCAGTGCGGTCTTGTCAGTCTGAATCCCTGTAAGCTCCTGGAGTATCCCATGGCCATCTGCCTCCCTGCCTTTGCACTGCTGCTCTTTCTACCCTGACTCTGCTCTCCATGTCTACCCTCTTGCCATCCCAGTTCTGAGAAATCCAGAGCCTTACCTTCTCTATGAAATATTCTGCAACTTGATAGACACTTCCTCCTGTGTGCAGCCACCTCACTTCACACAGACTCTAATGACAGCACACATCATGTTGAGCCATAGTCTTTCTCCAGGCTTGTACCCCTTCAGGCTAGGAGCCCTGATAATAAAAACTAAACTTGTTCTTTGTGTCTTAGTGCCTGGCACAGAGAAAGTGCTCAATAAATATTCATTGAGTAGAAACATGGATTTTCTACCCTTTGAAAACAGAAATGTTCTCTAGCTTATATGCTGAGTCATGATAGCAGAAATGTGTCCTCCCTGTGATTTGTCTGCAAGCTCCATGAAAATGACCTGTTAACACAAAATTGTGGATGGGCCTCCAGACAGACTTTTGTTATATTTGTTTGCTTGTTTTTACTTTGGAGACTGCAGGGATTTCCTTTCTTTATGCATGATCTAGACCAAGGTCACCAGCTTTTGGTGACCACCTATCAGCTGGGGCAAACACAGGCTAGTTTTAACATCTTTACATTGAATGAATTGAATTTCAGCAGGTATTTAAGAGAGAGAGAGAGAGAGAATGTTAAAATGATAATTATTTATTTACATTTCAAAGCTAGGTTTCAGTGTGTTTTAGGTTGAGCCACTGTTAGGGACCTACAAAAGTTTCGCACCTACACAGTTTCCCAAGTTGTCTTTGGTGGGCTCTGCTGAGGGCACCCAATGCTCCAGAAGGCTCATCTAACATCTACAAAACCATTCCTAATTAGAGTGTGGTCCAACCATATGGTATTTGAAAGCTATCATATGTCAAAACAGAATGTGTATGCCCCAAAACCATCAAACTGTGTCTAAGAAGATACTTGCTTGAAGTAGGAAAGCCATATTCTCCTGAGTATTTTGCTTATGGAAATGAGACATAATTCAATCCAAAAAGAGGAAAGAGCTTCTGTTTTCTAGCCACTGAATCACAACCTGCAGACCTGGTGAATGACTCAATTTCTCCATCCATAAAATCAGTTCTAATCATATCAGCAGGCTCCCCACGGTGCTGTGAATTCTAATGAAAGAATAACATTTGTGAAGAATGCTGTACTTCCTGGGAGAAAAATATGCCATTTTTCTTTTTTTTTTTTTTCCTTAGATGCAACATCTGTCTTTGTCAGTCCCTTAAACTTACTGCTTCTAGGATGGGAGGGACTATAGTGGTCACACCAGAAGGAAGCCGAGCTGAGCAAGGACGCCAACGAATGTCTGAAATCCCAAATGCCCTGTATTGGGGTTTCTCAGGGTGGGGCCATGGAGAGAAAGAGAGACAATGCAGGAGGGCAAGCAGCTTCTCTTCCATCACTTTGTGGTTGAAGGTGGATATGGGCATGGGTGGTGGGGAGTGGGAAGGAGATTTTCCGAAGGACAACATCAGGTTCTCTGGTTCTTTCCTTTCACAGACCCAGTCCCAACATTTGTGGGATCCAGGGCAAGAGTACACACAAAGGCCCACACAAAGCATGTCTAAATATGTAACTTACAAATTAAGATGTGCCCATGGCTTAGCCTGCGCTCCATCCTGGGCCCTGCAGCCCACTCCCAGGGTAACCCTCTGCAGACCCAAGACTAATGGGACAAGGGATCTGCTGGGGCAGTGTAGGCCAAAGCTGCGGCTGGGTCCACCAGAGGCCAAGATGGAGACTGACCTGGACATGCTTCCTGGGCAGCTTTGGTGGCAGTCTCCCTTCTCTATGCCTCACTTTTCTGGCAGAATTTTCAGGCATTTCCAAGCGGAAGGGAGGGAGAGAACTCAGGCATCACTTTGAATGTTCTGCCAGTGACCAGCTTTAAACAAAGACAGACACTCTGATTCTGTAGAGCCAAGGTGGTGATTCATTCCTTCCTATCCTCACTCCTGTGCCTGCAGGTCACACACACTGGCCTGGGAGACCAGTTTACTCCCTGTATCCTTCTCTTGTTTGCTCAATCATTCACTGAAATTAAAAAAAAAAAAAATTCTCATGGGACTAAAAAGATAAAAAGTCTTTGAGTTTGGGTGTTTGTAAAATTCAGACATCTGTTGCCTAGTCGAGGGGTGGCATACCCTTCTACCCACCTCCTATAAGCACAAACTGCTATCAAGTCATTTCTCAAACCCTGCAGCCCCTGGCAAAAATCAGAATTTTACAAAGCCCAAATATTGCCTTGTTTTGATTTGGAACCTCTTCCTTCAGAGGATCTTTTCTAGGCTTAGAATTGCCCAAATGACTGAGGCTGCTCTTGTAGCCTAATGCTCTTGTAGCCACTTGTCCACTTCTTTTCCTGATGTCTCTACCTCAGCTAATTGCACCATCCATGACTCCTTGTTCCCCAGAGAGCTGGAGCCCTTTAAGTGGTCAGCTCCATGGCACTTTGCCTTTGAAAGGACAGTTCTCAGTGGCATCCCAGGCTAATGCATCCTGGCCTTCTTTTCGGTGAATCAGTAGGCAATTTGACTGATTATAGGATAATGTTCATGAAATGCAACCAGGCTTTGTATTCATGTTGGCTTCACTGCCAGAGTTCATTGCTGACCATCCAGGGAACGGGGAAGGGGACAGAGATGGTTCCAGTGCAAACACATCTCCACAACTGGGAAAACAGCTCAAACTTAGAGGGTGTTTCCTCTGATGGGGGAGAGGAAACCAGGGGCTTTCTGAGAAGGCAAATAATCTGTAATATTGATGTGCCTCTTTCTCTTCTCTCTGCCACCATTTTCTTCTAAGGGTTTTCACCGAAGATGCCAGTCAGCATGAATGGGTATACTTCATGGTTTCTTTTATTTATTTCTATTTACTATTAAAAATGAAATACAACTTGCATGCAGTAAAATGCACACGTCTTAATTGTACAAAACAATGAATTTTTACATGTGTATACCTGTGCTACCGCCAGCAAGATCAAGATACAGAACCTTTTCAGCACCCCGGAACACCCCCTCATGTCCTCTCAACACTTAACTCTCCAAAGATAATGCTTATTGTGATGGAACATTATGACTTTACACAACAGATTAGGTTTTTCTGTATCTGAACTTCATATAAATGGAATTATGCAATATATTCTCTTTTGCCTCAATTCTTTCACTCACTGTGAGACTCACCTCTGTTGCTATGTGTATTACTAACTCATCATTTATCATTATAAATTGTACTTGGTTGTATGAATATATCTCAATTTTTTCCCATTCTACAAATGATGAGCATTTAGGCTGTTTTTGGTTCAGGGTTATTACAAACAAAGCTGCTTGCTTCATGGCTTCTTAGTAACTCTTTTCTAATGCTTATTACATGCCATATTCTGGGTATTTTATGTGTAATAAGTCACCTAATCTTTACAATAAACCTATGGGAAATATTATATCTCCATCTTACAAGAGCAAATTGAGGCACAAAGAGGTTAAATAACATCCCAAGATACACAGTTAGAAAGTAGGACACCTTGGACTAAGTAGTAGTATACCTTGAATTATCTCTTGCCCTCTTAAACACCAAGCCATACAGCTACCCGCAATGGTTAAAACTATAGGTCAAACCACTTATTAGCTTTGTGATCTTGGACAAGTTCATTAATCATTCTGCTTCCTCATCTACTAACATGAAATAACAGCAATATCTCCATTCAAAGGGATATTTTAAGAATTAAATAAATAATCCATCTAAGGCAGATACGATTGCTTGGCTAATCCAACAGCCACTTCCAATCCATTTCCAAGCTAAAGGCTCTTTTGTAGCCTTCTTTGCAACTAAGGGCATCTATGTGCCGCAGTTCTGTGAAATGAGATTGATGGAACATACGCTATGAGACATCTGAAAAAGTGTTTGCCTCTTTATAAAAGCAATATATAAGAAAGGGAACTCTCTTGGTGACTATTCTTTCCTCCTCCTTCCTGTCCTTAACGCAACTGTGTCTAGCACAGTGGCAGCCATCCTGTGAAGCCAAGGATGCCAGTAAACCCACTAAGAATGATGAGAGTGAAAGGCAGAAGGAGACTTTCTCCTTGATGATATTGTTGATCCACCAGGCCAGGCCTAGGATGCCTATCTCCAGACTTCCTGTTAAATAAACACTATATACCTTGTGAGCTAAGGCATGGTTCATCAGGTTTCCCATAACTTGCAATATAAATAAATGATAGGCCACGTAAAGAGCTAATCACAATGCCTAACACAAAGAGCTCAATCAATATGAGGCTACTATGTTAACCTCTGTCTAATTGGAACCTGGGCCCAAAGGCTCTCAACTCTTGTAACTGCTAATGATTTTCTAAAAGTGCTTTGCAGCCGCTATCAGAGAAAGATGATTACTCCTCATGGCATCAGCTCTGAGCGTCAGGAATGGAGTGCTTCCCACATCCTTCAACAAAGCAAGAGGCAGCTGGACCTGTCAGTGTCCCAGAGGTACTCTCCAAGCTGATGCCCAGGAAAGCCAAGCTGCTGCACACACCCACAGATGCATCCAGGAAAAAAAAAGACAAAAACCCAGATAAATATGATTGTGTTTTTCCACCTTATTAAAAAAAAGTCCAGAAACTTCTGGGGCAGTTTTCAAAATGAGTCATGATACGACACGCATCAGGCTGAATGGCTCCCGGAGGCTGAAGAAGCAGAGGAAGCAGCACTCAACAACAATCAGGGACCCACACTTTGTTTTTAGAAAACCTGGCCTGCCTTTATCAGTGCTTTGAGGTATAAGCTAGCACATATTCATTAGAATGGCATTCTATCATACCATTTATTTTATGCGTTGCTTAGTTTACTTCTTAAATATCTTTTAGATTTTTATTTGTTTAAGTTCAATTCAACAACTATGTATAGAGTGCCTGCTGTGTGCAAGGAACCCAGGTATCTAAATTATATGGAGGAAGGCATACTGGAAAAACATATACATTTGTTTTATTAATATATTTCATACAACCTTTCCATTGACTGTTGCAATTTGGTCCTATTTACACCTCATGGATTTTAATGCTTAATGTCTCCTGCACCTGACCTCTCTGAATAAAGGTCTCTGATAGCGGAATAGTCATGTTTTCTCTTCTACCACCTATTCTCCCCACAGATGGTCTGTTTTGTCAAGCATGCTGAAAGGAAAGGACTGGTAAGTAATTAAGTAATGCACCAATGTAAGGTTTTAATTAATTATGATATCTGCCTTTCAGCTCCTTTTCTGCCTCCTAAACTGTCTTCTAAATAGCAGCTTTTAAAACTTACAGTGTTGGGATGAAGTTCTTAGAATCTGAGGATCATTGTCCTTTACAGACATCTAAATGAGAATGAAGTTGGTTGCTCCCTTGAGTGTACCAGGCTGGATGTACTGAGGCAGAGTTTGGATCTCTGAAGTCTCCATCTGGCTTTGTGGGTCTTTAGGTAAGCTGCCTCTCGTCTATGAGACCCAGTACCTCTGACAATTAACGCTCTTTCCCGTCAGGGACACTCTATGTTGTGTGGTCATTTTTAAAACTAGGATTGGGTGGAGGAAGGAGGCTGTTGATGGAACCACAATGTAGACAGGACCTAACTTATCACCAGAGACTCCAGGAGAGCCTTCGGGTTTTATTTTCTTATGGAATGTTTCCTAAGTCCTGATATATTGTCAAAGATAGGCAGGCAATCCGAGGGGAGTAGGAACTGTGTATTCATTCTTTCCCTGAATAAAGAAAGGGGGCTAGAGAAGGGAAGTCAATTATTGGGAGATTAGTGTAACACATGCATGCTTGTAGCTCACACCAAAATATGAATAGCATAAAGCTAAGCTGGGATAAATCTTATTTCCAGTTCAGATGTTATTAAGGTAACCTATTAATTTTGTAGGAATGAATACCCTCTGCAAAAAGTGTTCCTCATAATGAACTAAATCAGTTGAAATCAATGTGGGGAGCCATGCTTTATGTAAGAGATGTTGTGGGTAATGAATTTTAATTAAATACTTTAAGTAACAAGGGAAACTGGATGTTTGAAGAAACTCCATGGTGAATCCTCATTTTGTATAATTAATTACCTTCCAATTTGTCTCTTGTGCAAGAAGCTTTTAGACTTTTAATTTGCCTAAAAGTCCAGACTCTCCTATGCTTTTGTTACCTAACACATTCACTATTCCAGAAAGAGGCAGCTTGCTTTAACTACAGAGTTTGCATCTCTGCTGAAAATAACATAAATCACTACTTGGGTACACACAGCCACATAAACACCATCTTCGGTGCTTCATTTGTTAACCAACCTCCAACTGCTGCAACTGTCAGTATCTCTCAAATGCCTGCAGCATGGCCACCTCTGCTAAAGACAGTGTTTGCAATGCCAACTGGGGAGTTGTCATTGGCACTGTGATTGGAGTACAGCATATTCTGATGAAAATCTGTGGGAACTATTAAAATGCTACTCTGCAACCATTGCTGACAGATGCTATTAAACACATCAATCTGGAAGGACAGAATCTGGCGACATGAGCTAACTTGGGTGAATTGCGGAAGCTGTATAAAAATTGGCTCTGTTAAGCTCAACTCAAAGAATAATTTTACGTTTGGTGCACTTATTTAGAATAAATCTATATGCGTCGCTGCTTAGAAAAAATATTCAAAAAATAACTCTGCCCATTTTAAACCTTATAAACCACTTTTTAATATATTCCTATGTTCCCTCTGGCAGTGCTGGGATTATGCAGTGACACCCCAAATATACACATGCTTCATCGGAGGCAGAGTCACCTCTGCTGCATGGCTTTATTTTAAAGGTGAGTCTCAAATCTGAATATCCAGCTTTATGTTCTCTCCTGCATTCCAGTCCTCTGTCTTTTGGGCTTTACATTCAAAGTCAGTAAGTCTAACATATCTGGATTATCTTTCCCTCATTACACCAGCTCCCTTATTTCTGTCATTATCCTACACCTTATCCAAGTTCTAATTCAATGTCAAGCAGCTCACAAGAGGCAGAGCTGGGATTTGGGCTCAGATATGTCTGAAGATTCCAGTAATCCCTCAGGTCTTTTTGAAGGAGGATCCTACTCCTATAAACATGATGCCCATTAAGGAAAGCACTTCATTTTCAGTGGGCTGAAATATTATCCACACATATACCCTTCTAAATGATCCATCAGAGAGAGAGAACTTTTTCTGTCCAGCCAAATGTGCACATTCTTCATATAGCTACTCAGAAGGAAATGGGTGTGTCATTCTTCAGACCATAGGATAGATGCCAACATGTCCCTTGGTAGAAACTACCTGCCAGCCAGACTATGGATACACCTTCTCTCTAGCTCAGAGGCTGCTTTTAACACGACAGGTTCCCATCTCACCCTAAAGGCACTTATCAGCTGTGAGTCAGGTCTCTGCAGGAGGAAGCACAAGCATGTCAGCCTGGTGTAGCTAGGGGGCTGTAATTGCATTCACTAGTCTTCATCCAGAAAATCTACCTTTTATTAAGTCCTTATCAAATAGTCATATATAGAAAAGCCAAAATTATTTTTTGAAAAATCAGAAATAGCATTTCTATTTGCTATGTAATTGAATCAAAAGCGTTTCAGCTTTGGCTCTTCTCTCTGGAATCCACCCTTTTGTTCACTAGCTAAGCAAGTATGAGCACCATATAAAAACTACAAGCAAACTTTCTGAAAAATGTAGAGAAAATTAATTCTCCTTTCTATGTGTGACTGTACACACAATCTGGAAAGGAGTGGGTCTGGTAATAATTTTGATTTCTGTTTCACTGTAATAAAACAATCAATCTACATAAAAACTACAGAGCAAAGGGAGAACAGCAAAATTCCCTAAGAGAAGAGTGGTAAAATCTCCAGGAATTAGCAAGTCTGAATCTCCAGGCTCATTCTCAAATGAGCCCCAGCTCCCATCATTCCAGCTGCACACAGGGCATTCATTTCTTCTTGGATGACATTTTATCACCAAATTCAATAGGTCAATCTACACTAAGCAACTCCCCACTGCCCACTTCCAAAATAATTTTCCTAAATGCTCCCTGATTCTGCCAATAGCACCGGTCAGGTTTAATGTATTTGAAGAAAGTTTGATTTGTTCCTCGCTTTTCTTTTCTATGTCCTGTCAAACTCAATCCTCATTTATTCTTCAATTTAAAAAATTATTTAGAGCCCACTAGGTACCAGGTACCATGCTAATTGTTGGGAATAAAATAATGCACAGAGTCACTGCCCTCACAGCACCAATATTCAGTGGAGTGAGCTGCTACAGAGCATGAAGTTAGAATGTGGTATAATTAGTGACAACACAGGGGCCTGTACAAGGACATTGGGGGGCAGGCCTACAACAGATGTGTGTCACGGTGTCAGAGTAGACTTTCAAAGGGAAGTGACCTCTCAGATTGGATGGGAAAGATGAGTAAGAGTCAGTCCAGGAAGAATAGTGGTGTGGATGGAAGGGGGAATAATATTTCCAACTTTAAAAGCATTATGTCAAAAATCCCAGACATGAGAGCCTTATGTCTGGGACTTAGGATGCAAAATGGAGAGGGATGAGAGACAAGGCTAAAAAAATCATCCAGGACCAAATCATGTAGGGCCTTGTAAGACACGTGTGAGCTCTGAACTTTATCCCAGTGATTTTGAACCAAGGGGTGATGTGATCAGCTGATGCTTTTGGAAGATCGCTCTGGTGAGGGCAGACAACTGATTGATGGAAGAGGACACATCTGGAGGCAGGAAAAGCTGCTAGGGGCTGCCGCGGAGAGGACACTGTTCTGGCCTAAGGTAGTAGCCATGGAGAAAAGTGAATGCACTCAGGATCTCTCTTGGCCTTGGCTTCTTCTTTAATGGCACTCTGAGTACTTCTCATAGGACCCATACAGAGTGAATGAATGCTTAAGAGGGCACAGAGCATGTGTGAAACTCTGGAGCCAGACTACCCCGTTCAAACCCTGACTGGGCTCCTCACTAGCTCTCTCTTGTGTCTCAGTTTTCTCAAAAGTAAAGTAGGGACAATAATGATATACATTCCATAGTAAATACTCAGTAAAGGGACAGTTAATACATGTAAACACTTAGAACAGTGCCAGGCACATGAAAATACTCAATAAATGTTAATTAGTAGTAAATGTGTTCAGGATTGTACCGTCATTTCCTTTGTCCACAATCTCATCACATCTCACTCAATCTACCCCATGATGGCCTCTTAAATCGCCTTTCTGCCTATTTGTACTCTGCCTAATTCTACTCTGCACATGACTTCTAGATGGATCTTAAAGACATCTTTCATAATGTCACTCTCTTTTTTCAAATCTTATAAGGCTCCCAATTAAGCCCCAAATCCTTAATCCAACAATGCAAACACTTCCCCAGCCTGGTCATATTTAATCTTCTCTAAGTGTATTTCACTTTACAGTTATATCCCAGGGTATGGCCTTTAGTTGACAAAAATTTAAATTTGCGAGGAGTTTTATATAATATCTGCTTTGGCCTATGATGCATGCACTTACATTTATGAGAGCTGTTTTGGATTGTTTGTACCTCCAAGTAGCTGAGCGCCAGGAAACAACAGCCCTTATGAGGTCATCTTCCCAGTTTTGAAGTGTTCCCAGAATTTTTGGTTTTTAAGCTTATTGTAGTGACAATCTTATGCATCATTTACATTGCCATTTATTTATTTATTTATTTATTTATTTATTTATTTATATTTTTTGAGACAGAGTCTTGCTCTGTCACCCAGGCTGGAGTGCACTGGTGTGATCTCAGCTCATTGCAACCTTTGCTTCCTGGGTTCAAGCAATTCTCCTGCCTCAGGACTGTAGGCATATGCCACCACACTTGGCTAATGTTTGTATTTTTAGTAGAGACAGGGTTTCACTATGTTGCCCAAGCTGGTCTTGAAATACTGACCTCAAGTTATCCACCTGCCTCGGCCTTCCAAAGTGCTGGGATTACAAGTGTGAGTCACCATGCCTGGCCAGCATTGTTTTTTAATTGATTTATTTAGCCTTTTGTGGCCTAAAAAAGGACAGCAAAGGTTTAAGTTTATGGTATGCAGTAGCCGTAAATGAGCTGAGCAAAGACATTCAGCCTTATTACAGAATAATTAATGAAGGGAAATTGCCTGGGAAGGCCATGCCATGACGATGAATGTCATCTGCTGAAGCAACAGTGTCCATTTTAAGGCAATTTGGTGTTGTTTTAGTATAAGTGGCTTAATTTGGGGGCTCAGGATGCATCAACATCTCTTGAAACTAATAGTAATTATGTTTTTGATTTTTAGGAATTTGTCTCTTGGGAGTTTTCAGGAAAAAATTACCCTTGCAAGCTGGTTTTCTTCAAAAGGCATTCTTTGCTCAATGTTCTTTCCTTCTACACATCACACGAATTCCTACTTCTTGGCCTTGGTAGTCTACTGTACTCCACTTTAATTCCTTCCCTATATTTCTTCTGCCATTTTATCACAGCCTGATTCTGTTGCTGGGTCCTCTGTGAAGTCTTTTGTAATAATTACACCTACATCAACCTTTCTCTTTTGTAAACTTCTATTGTCTGTTCCTTAGACTTTTATTTATATTTTTTGAGGTATAATTGATGTATAATAAAGTACCTATTTAAAGTGTACAAAATGGATGAGATTTGACATATGTACCTACCTATGAAAACATCACCACAATCAATAATGAACAGACCCATCACCTACAAAGGTTTTCTCATACCCCTTTGCAAATCCACTCTTCATGCCTAGCCCTGTCTCAGACAACCAGTTATCTGCTTTCTGTCATCAAAAATTAAAAATGGTCATACATTTCACTTCTTCATTTGTTATAAAATCATAATCCATTGTTATTCTTTTTACCTGAAACACTCAATTATCTTTTAAAGACATGTAAAAAATAAGGGAAAATATTTTATTTTGATCCTCATATATACTTTCATTTCACTTCTCCTGATGTATCAGTTATACATGGCTGCATAACAAATTATCCCAAATCTTAGTAGCTTAAAACAACATTTATTATTTCACAGATTTTGTGGGTCAGGAATTTGAACTGGGAGCAGTTCAGCTGGATCCTCTCTTGGGGCCTTGCACAAAGCTGCAAACAAGGTGTAGCCAGGGCTTCAGTCATCTTTAGGCTCAATTGGGGAAGAAACTGCTACTAAGCTCATTCATACAGTGGTTGGCAGAATTCAGGCCCTGGTGATCTTTGAATGGAAGACCTCAGTTTCTTCATGGCTACTGGCCAGAGGCTACCCTCAGTTCTTTGCCACATGGGCTTCCATACAGGGCAGTACACAAAATGGTAGATTGCTTCATCCAAGCAAGCAAGCAGGAAGAAACAGGGAAAGAGTTTAAGCAAAATGAAAGTCACAGTCTTTTATAACCTAATCTCAGAACTGATATCTTAACACTCTTGGCATATTCTATTCATAAGAAATAAGTCTCTAGTCTATTTTACATACAAGGGAAGAGGATTACATCAGGAGGTGGGGATAATTAGAAGCTATTTAGAAGCTGTCTGCTACTTTGTTTTATTTGTATATATGTTATAATGCTCATAACACACTATTATTATTTTTATTTTAAAAAGATACTTTCTGGAGCACTTCACTCCTTTGTTTAGATCCAGATTTTCATCTGGCGTCACTTTCCTTCTACCTGAAGAATTTCTTGCATTGCTTATCTGATAACTGCATTCTTTCAGATTGTGTATGTCTGAAAGAGACTTTGCCTTTGTTTTTAAAAATATATTCTTGCTGGGTATAGAATTCTAAATTGAATGTTTGTTTTCTTTCAGTACTTTAAAGCTGCTTCTTCACTTTCTTCTCACTTGCACTGTTTCCATTGAGAACTCTGCTGTTATTTTTATCTTTGTTGCTCTATACTAATTGTGGTTTTATTTTCCCTCTGGCTGATGTAAAGACTTCTCCTGCCCCATTGGCCTTAAAAAATTTCATTAAGATGTGCCTTGATGCAGTTTTCTTCATGTTTCTTTTATTTGAATTTGTTGAGTTTCTTGGATTTCTAAATTTATAGTTTTCATCAAATTTGAAAAAATGTAAGCCGTTAGGTCTTCAAATATTTTTTCTGCACTGCCCCTTTCTTTGAGGACATGTGTACTAAGCCTCTAGAAGTTGTCCAACAACTCATTGCTGCTCTGTTATTTTGTTTATTTTTTGTTTTATTTTCTTCGTTTTATTTTGAAAACGTTCTATTACTTTGCCTTCAAATTTACTCATTTTTTATTAGGTGAGAGACATTGTGACGATGCTGCTGGATGTTATGCCCACCTAATGAAGTATCCATAAAAACCCAAAAGGAACAGGTTTGAGGACCTTCCTGATAGCTGAACACGGGGAGGTCCCTGGAGGGTGGCTGCCAGAGAGGGAATGGAAACTCCACATCCCTTCCTACACACCTTGCCCTATTCATCTCTTTATTTGGCTGTTCATCTGTATCCTTTGTAATATCCTTGAATATAAGCTGGTAAATGCAAGTGTTTTCCTGGATTCTGTGGGCAGCTCTAGCAAATTAATTGAACACAAGGAGCAGGTCTGGGAATCTTGATTTATAGCCAGTGGGTCAGAAGTATAAATAGCAACTTAGTTCCTGGGATTGTTTTTTTGTTTTTGCATTACTTTTACTGTTCTTGAACTTTGTTCTGGGACATGTGTAAGTTACTTAGAAACATTTTGATTCTCTCAGCTTGCAGTTAAGTTTTGTTATGTGGGGACCACAGCAGCTTTCATTAATTTGGCCCCTCTACTTATGCAATACCCTTTTGAGCACTCAACCTAATGCCCCATGTATTACAAGGGTTCTTTCCTCTGGCTGCTGGAAACGTGAATTATTTCCAGTCTTGAATTACTGTGAGGAATTGTTCTGTTAATTTCTTTCTGGTGATGTTTCTACATAAGTATGCGCTCATCAGTACTCAGCTTTGGACTTGAAAGGAATCCTCTTCAGGTTCTGGAGCTCTCTCTCTCTCTGCATCTCTGGTACTCTGCCTCAGGAATCTTAGGTGCTTTAGCCTACCTTAACATTCTCAACTGTGCCTCTCAACTCAGGAAGTTTGCCTGGCTCTGCCTAGGTTCCTTTTCCCTCAACGCTAGCCTGGAAACTCTGTCTAGGTGTCAAGCTGAGGCAATTGTAGGACTCACTTTGTTCTTCTTGTTAGAAATTACTGCCTATTGACCAATATTGGAAAACCATTGATTCATATATTTTGTGATTTATTTTTTGTTTAGTTGTTTAAGGTAGAAAGTTGAATCTGGTTTCCATTACTCCATCATGTTCAGAGGTGGAAATATTTCCCATTTGCTTTAATAACCTGTGACACAATTTAGCCCCCAAACTTTTTATATATCCTTTATGCTCAAGAAAAAGTGCTTCTGCAGGGCGGAACCCATGTTATCTGACTTCTTTTACACCTAATACAGTGCTATGCACATGTTGAAAATATATATTACTCTTTACTTGGTCTCTTGGAAAAGTTGGCTGTGAAGTCTGTTTCCTTTGCTTCAAAAATACTGCATCCTTTTGGTCTTTCTCTTATCTCTGTCTTCTTCACATCTAGCTCCTCTTACCATTCCATAAATATGACAGTACACCTTTGAAATGTCATCCAATCTGATGGCTTCAGCTATTATCTTTGTCAAATACTGACTGGCAACTTTATAACACTGGAGGGCCTCCAACTGGCATTTATGCGCCAAATACAGTGTTTTAAAGGTGAACTCAAGTGAAAAATTTTGCCATCTGGCAAAATTAGTCTGATTATCCTAATTTACTATGCTTGGTTGACACCCATTATTTTTGCCAACTCCCTATTTTCTGATCCTCACATCCCACTCTCTGCTGGGATTTTTGGTGTCTTCCCAACTCAGCCAGTAGCAATTATGACTTTCCAAGACTTTCCCTGGATGGTCCTAAGTTCTCGTCTCTTGGATCACAGACAGAGCCTGAAGTCCATTTGCTGTTTCTGGTACTGTGCCTGCATATCTAAGTTTCATCTCTGGCCAGCTCTGTGTTGTGCTGAAGCCAACAGTATTTTGGAGGAGCTCACTAATCCCTATTTACATTGCAGCTGCAAAACTTTTCCTCCTTCCAGCTGGAAACATTGATATTGTAGATGAAGATATCCATGAGATTACTATCTAATAGGTGAAAGTCAGTCCTTCAAGGACCTACTGCAGTTGCTCCCAGGCCTTGCTTGCTTGAATTAATAACCCTGTGCAATGGATGTACTACAGATTTCCATGTGCATACTCTGCTCTCATTTCAAGCCTAGTATATCCAAAATGCATCTTCCCTGCCAATCTGATCCTTCCCCTGTGATCCTTATTTTCATTAATGGTGCCTTTCATCTCCTAAACAGGTAACTGTGAAGCTCAGGAATCATCTATGATGCCTTAGTCTCTTACTATTACTTGATATGTCCTCTAGTTCCATAAGTTTTACATGGAAATGTCTCTTGTATGTTACAGTTTCTAACCTTCCAGTGTTTCTCATATTCATATTTTTTCTACATTTCCATGATCACTCCCTTGCTACAAGGCCTCATTCCTGATGAGGCCACCAATACAATCCACACAGCATTGCTAGGTGAATTCCTCTGTGATATTGTGATATATATACTTGGTCTTTATCCCATTTTCTGACATACATCTCCTAAAACACTTTGAATCTCTAGAGTGATAATAGTGTCTTTTGTGTGCTCACGAGATGACTGGTGGCTGGCAACTCTAGATAGCAGTCAGGATGGGGACTGGTTACCAAAAGACCAAGGCAGGATTAGAGGGTTGGGATTTTCAGCCCTACTCTAAAACTTCTACAGAGGGTAGAAGGGCTGGAGGTGGAGTTGATCATCAGTGGCCAATGATTTAATCAATTATGCCTACCTAATGAAGTATCCATAAAAACTCAAAAGGAACAGGTTTGAGGACCTTCCTGATAGCTGAACACAGGGAGGTCCCTGGAGGGTGGCTGCCAGAGAGGGCATGGAAACTCCACATCCCTTCCTACATACCTTGCCCTATTCGTCTCTTTATTTGGCTGTTCATCTGTATCCTTTGTAATATCCTTGAACATAAGCTGGTAAATGTAAGTGTTTTCCTGGATTCTGTGGGCAGCTCTAGCAAATTAATTGAACACAAGGAGGGGATATGGGAATCTTGATTTATAGCCAGTGGGTCAGAAGTATAAATAGCAACTTAGTTCCTGGGATTGCTGTCTGAAGTAGGGGCAGTCTTGTGGGACTGAGCCCTTAAGCTGTGGGATCTGACACTATCTTCAGGTAGATAGTATAAGAATTAAATTGAATTAGAGGAGACCCAGCTGGTATCTGCTGGAGGGTTGGTTGCTAATGGGGAGAAATCCCCACACATTTTGGTGACTGGAGGTGCTGTGTTGTATTAAGACGTAAAAGAGAATACGAAAAAAATACTTTGGTTTTTTCCTCTCTATCCTTGGACGCCCTCAAAGACAAACTGCTTATAGGACTTCTAAAGTTTCAGCAACTCTTTACTGTGCACAAAACTAAGTCCAAACTAGCCCTTCAGCACAAAATGCCCTTTCCTCAGTGGTTTTGGCTTATACTACCTTTGTAATCTTAATCATTGTGCTTCACCTTACATCTGCCATCTCCAGCCAAACTTAACTTTGATCTTAGAATTCTCTCAGGCCCATTTTGCCTGTTTAAATCTATGAATTGGGACTTTAAGGTCTAGCATATCAACTCTAGCATGCCAACTCCTTTATGTCATTTTCTAAAAGTTTCTAACCAGAAGTAATAGCCATACAGTTATGCTTAAAACAGCCCCTGATACATAGTAGGCATACAAGTGTTTATTTAATGAGTGAATGACTCTCTTTTACACTTTTATAACATTTTGTGCTTGTCCAATAACACTTTTATCATCCTGCCTGATGCACCAGTTAGTTTATTCATTCAACAAGAACTGAGCACCAATGATGTGGAAAGTTCCACGCTACAGAGTTTACTGAGTTATGGTCATCTTCCCATGTCTCTCTTATCTCTCCCACTAATCATCTTCTCTCCCATATTTACACAGCAGCATAAATATGTATACTGATACGCGCCATCTCTCCCACCATTATGTAAATGTGTCTACTCTATGCATGGCCATCTCTCTTACAGTTGCATAAATGTGTCCATTGTATAAACAACTGTTTCTCCTATAGTTGTGAAAATGTCTACTGTATACACAACCATCTCTTCCACCACTGGGTAAATATGTATACTGTGCACATGGCCATCTCCCACAGTTGTGCAAATTATCCACTGTGTACATGGCCACCTCTCCTACAGTTGTGTAAATGTGTCCACTATACACACAGCCATCTCTCCAACAGTTGCATAAAGGTGCCCATTGTATAAACAGCCATGCCTACCATAGCTGTGTAAATGTATCTCCTACATACACAGCCATCTCTCCCATAATGAAGTCCTCAAGGGAAAAGAGTCCATTTCATTCCTCCTGAACTCATTCACAAGGCTACTAGCCCAGGGCCTCACATGACACACAGTAAATGTGAAATTGAACATAAATTAATTTTTCTGAATAAATGAAATAACACAATCAAGAATCAGAAGGACACTGATGATCTATCTGCTTGTGTCTTGAATAACTGAAATGAGAACAAAGATCATGTAGTATCCCCAGAGGAAGTAGGTGCCAACTTGCTTCTTTACATCTGATTTTAATCTCTTTCAAAAAAAGAACAGAATTCTGTCCTTCTTGATCAACCATAAGAAAATACAACAAACAACACAGGATCTGTTGAGTTTAGTTTCTTTAAAAGGAGATCAAGCAAATTGCATGGCAAACTTTAAAACTTCAAAATTTCATCTCTTGACGTTGACATAACCTGTCTTAACAAACACCTTGAATATTTTAATTTTTAATATACAAAATAAATATTCAGTATGTTATTTCAAATTTAAAAGAAGTTTTTACAAATAATTTTACTTCATGATCTTCTTAGATACCATTTAGAATAGGTTTTGATTTACATGCATCTTTCCTTATATATTAAGATGTTCTACCATTTATAAACAGTAGAACATTCAATATCAACAACTATTAATGTCTATATTGAATTCAAAAGTACTATGGAAGTTCTCTGTCTCTTCTCATGCCCCCAGCTAACAAAGAAATGGGTCTCTGTGGTCACACCTGAACCCTGTGATCCTGTCCTCCAACCACAGCTGATTGGACCAGGAATAGAACCTTACCAGTGCCGGACCAGATTCTTTCCTCTAGGAAACTGTATTTGTGACTGAGGCACTAGGTAGTCCGTTAGAATTAATGATTAAATTGGGAAGACATCTTATCACATGCATAAAAAGAAGGGGAAGCCAATTTGATGATGGAAAAGGATAAAGCAAATATGAAAGAAAAGCACTAATAATATTGAACATTTAGTATGTATTAGGTCCTATTTCAATTAATGTTCATAGAACTCAATTAAACTCAAGTGCTTACAGTCAAAGAAACTGACACAAAGAGAGATTAATGAAAGTGCACAGCCGGGGTGTGAATCTAGTTGTCTGACCTGACTCCAGAGCCCAATTTTTGACTGACATTCTACTACCCTGGAGTAGTAGAGCAGGTGTGAGGGACCATGTGATCACAGAGAGCTGGTGGGCTTCCTTAGCAAGAGGTTTCCTGATCTTGTCTAAGACTTGTCTGAACTTTCTGCCATGGATATTATGAGGAAGGTCATTTTTTTCCATTGAAATTTTTTTCCTTTGCTTAAACAATTTCAGATGTTTCAGTTACCTGCAACCCCAAAGTCCCCTGCAACAGCCCCGACCCCTTCATTTCCACCCCCTTGTGTTGGACTTAGCATTGCCATTAAGCTTCATGTGTATGTGCTCTCATTGCTGTTTTCAGCAACCTCTTCTGCTGTTTGCGTTAGTTTTTCACACATAGACACATATGCACAATGCCTCTCTGCACCTGTTTCTATACTATCCATACAAATCAGTTACTGGTTTGTGGAAATGTAGAGAGAGTAACACAAAGGGTGTGGAGGAATATGTCTGGGACTTCATTTAATTGATGGGACTGGTTAAGTCATGAAGAAATATTTTATTGTGAGTTGCAATTTGTAATATCTGTAATTAGCACTTTGAGTATAATTAGGCAGTTCAAACATTAGCTAGAGAAAGATAATTAAATGTGTGTTTTGCCTTTCGTACTGCAAAGGAAACTTTTTAAAACAACTGGCAAAGGTAAAATCTAGCCAAATCCATTTTTTTTTAATCAGGAAAGATTTTAGCAAGCTTTTACTAGTATCTGAACATATATAAATCTTAAAATTATTATGCACCAAAGACTCTATGCATTGTCAAAATGCCATCTCTCAGCATTATCATTAAAAGAGGAAAACAAAACAATGAATTATTCTAAGGCCGGGTGCAGTGGCTCATGCCTGTAATCCCAGCACTTCAGGAGGCCAAGGCAGGTGGATCACGAGGTCAGGAGTTTGAGACCAGTCTGGCCAACATAGTGAAACCTCGTCTCTACTAAAAATATAAAAATTAGCCGGGCGTGGTGGCACACACCTGTAGTCCCAGCTACTCAGGAGGCTGAGGCTGGAGAATCACTTGAACCTGGGAGGTGGAGGTTGCAGTGAGCCGAGACCATGCCATTGCACTCCAGCCTGGGTGACAGAGTGTGACTCCATCTCAAAAACAAAACAAAAACAAACAAACAAAAAACCACAATGAATTATTCTCTCAGATACATAATTTAAATCTGTTCCTTGTGGTTCTCAATTTCCTGCCAAATGGAATGAGGCAGTTGTATGTTGTTTGGGCCCTGCATTCAGACAGAGTAGGGTTAAATCACTGCTCACTGTCTACTAGCTTTGCAACATTGGGCAAGTTACTTTTGACCTTGGGCAAGTTGCTTATGACCTTAAGCAAGTTGCTTTGTTACTTCCCTTTCACCGAACCTCAATTTCTTCACTTGTGAAATGGGATAATAGTAGCATCTTCTTCTCAGGATTGTGATAAGGATGAAATGGACCACCCACTGTTGGGAAAGGCAGTCTTCCATGGGCCCCAGCATCTGCACCCATCCTTGCTGAGTATGCCAAAATGCAAGGCCTAGCTGTCCTATGATGCTGAGCCATTTCTGTAGCTAATCACATAGCCAATTAAGTAGGTCATGGTGACACAGACAGACAACCATATGACTACTAACTCCTCAGGGGAAGGATTCTGGCTTGTTCATTACTTGCTGTAAAAGGTATGGAGGGCTTGGTCCTAGATTCCTCAGCTGCAGCACAACTGCCCGCATAGCTGCCACCTGGGCCCTTTGTGTTATGTGGGATGTAATGGCAGAGGAACTGGCAGTATCATGTGATGCTTCTGCTGCTTTCCGTGCTGTAAATAAAAATGGTCTTGCTCAGATCTATTGAATCTCATTGTCTACTTTTGGAATCTATGGGGCTGTGGAAAGCCAGCCTTCCTGATTGCTTACTCATGTCCTTTGGATCTTTTTTGGAGCTTTGTCACTCCCTGCCATCCTCTGTGATGAGGGTTGGCAAACTTTTTCTCTAAAGGGCCAGAAGGTAAATGTTTTAAGCTTTGGGACCACATATAGTCTCTACTGCATATTCTTCTTAGTGTGCTTTTCTTTAACAATCTTTTAAAAATAAAAAAATGTTTAATTCACAGGTTGAACAAAAATAGGCTGAAGGCTGGATTTGACCTCAGCTCCTAGGAGGCTGGCATCTTCTCTGATATCCATGTAAAACACTTAAAACAGTCTACGCTATGTTAATGACATTTCAAAAAAAATTAGCTATTCTTACACTTAATGCTTTTTTATTTTGTTAATCTCTAAGCCTAAGGAAACCCTCCTGGTACTCCAAATAACGTTCGAAAATGATAAAGAACCTTTTGGAAAACATATAGTGCACAGTGACTAGCTATTCTCACTCCTTTAAGTAAATTCTGTGCCTTTGGAAACAGGACAACTCCTTATGTCAGGCTTCCCGACATGGTACCAAGAATAGGTTACAGGTATGTGTGTAGATATTGAACTCCTCCACCTTCAGGGCAGATGGTCACCTTCATCTGTTTATTCCAGAGCACTGTGCAAATATTTATCATTTTCTATGTGGGTCAAGGCATGAAAAAGGTTGTTAAACCCTGCTTCAGGTCATTAAGTTACCATTTAGTGAAGTACAGGTTTGGTGTATAATAGAACACTTTTCAATTTTTAGACCACTGTTTTCAACTAGAGTGTGGTTGGTGTGGAATTCAGAGGAGCATGCAGTTTCCTTTACTGATTCCAGGTGACTGTAGAATGGTTTCTCCTCACAGGACAGGAGATAAGTCACACTAATTGGTTAACTCTGAATGGTCCAGACACCCTCTGAGGAAAAAGATGATAAGAAATAGCCAAGAAAGCCAAATGTGGTGGCACACACCTGTAGTTCCAGCTACTTGGATGGCTGAGGCAATTTTTACAGATGGGGTCTTGCTATGTTGCCAGGTTAGACTTGAACTCCAGAAATATTTCAAGCAATCGATCACTGGAGCCCAGGAGTTCAAGTCCAGCCTGGCAACGTAGCGAGACCACCATCTCTAAAAATAAACCTTAAAAAACAGCCAAGAAGACATCAATGATACAAAGAATAAAGACAACAAGAAGTTTTGAAGGATTGCTAAACTGGAAGGTGAAGGGGTGGGGTGGAAAGGGAAGCCAGAAGGAATTAAAATAATAATTGAGTGTCCAAAACTGTCCAAGCACTTGTTCTGGTTAAGAAGGTAAATTCTCCAGGGCCAAATCTAAGAAGAGAGGAAAAGTAATGGATAAAAGTACATGGGAGCAGGAGGGGATGTTGAAGGAATAGAGCCATGGGCTGCAGAAGCTACAGTAGAGAGAAGCATTGACAGGGATGATATAAATCAGGTCCAGTCATGGTGACCAGAATAGCCAGCTTTCCAGATAGGAGGAGAAACTCCTACTGAAGTTTCATAGCTGGTAGTGCTATCCACTGTACCAGCATCCTATGACATCACTCCATCACTGAAGTTCTGTGACAATGACCTTGAGTCATCCACAGATGCAAGAATGATGCAGTCTGTTTTGTCTCCTGAGTCAGAAAAGCATACATTTAAAAGATCTCCCCCTCAAAATAGTTATGAGTTAAGATTTCAGACATTCTCTCCAGAAAAGGATAGATATTTTAGTTTTCTGAAAAACCTATTCCCAGACCATATTCAGTGACCAAAGCCACAACAATCTACTACCTACTGAGATATACAATGACTCTCATAGTACATGAGGGGTGGGTCAGATGAATGCTCTAGAGTCTTCTTGTAAGACCTGTCCTGGTCATGAATTGTAATCAGTTCCTCTAATTTTCCCTCTAACTTAGTATAAGACTCTGAGTTGTCACTATAGATACAAGACAATATCTGGTCCCTGGAACAATTTTTAAAATGATGTCAGTGGTGAGGTAAGGCAGTAGAGATTCAACTTTTTTTTCCTGTTGCAGTGTTAACAGAAAAGTAGGAAAAGATGCATGAAACTAGGAAGTGTACTTCATGGGGCCAGAGAGCTGTCCTCTGAATAGTGAGCTGATTGACTGAAGGAGTGATAATGATTTTGCATATAAAAAGAATTAGGACTAAACTGTACGTGTCATGGAATGGTGACAACTTAATTCAAGCATATCACTAGGGAGATTGCTTTAGAATGTTTTCTTTTAAAGAACTTCTCTGAATATGTTCCCAGAGGGAACTGTTTCTGAAAGTTACCCTGGAAATAAAGAGCACTGCCCCTGGAGTAAATTCACATTCAACAATGGTGGCACAGTCTCAAACCCTAATCTTAGGATTCACTGACTTCATTTTAAAGATATACTCAAGAACAGTGGTGATCTTTGGGTGGTGAGAAGAGGAAGTTGCTACTAAAAAAGTTTGTTGCTTGAATTTTCTTTTTAAAAAAAGTTATGTGAATGTGTTTATTATTTTTTATTTTCTTAATTTTAATTTTATTTATTTTAAGTTCTGGGGTACATGTGCAGGATGTACAGGTTTGTTACATAAGTAAACATGTGCCATGGTGATTTGCTGCACATACCAAGCCATCACCTAGGTATTAAGCCCAGCATGTATTAGCTATTTTTCCTGATGCTCTCCCTCCTCTTTCACCCCCGACCCTGACAGGCCCCAGTGTGTGTTGTTCCCCTCCCTGTGTCTATGTGTTCACATTGTTCGGCTCCCAGTTATAAGTGAGAATATGCAGTGTTTGGTTTTCTGTTCCTGCATTAGTTTGCAGAAAATAATGGCTTCCAGCTCCATCTATGTCCCGGCAAAGGACATGATCTCATTCCTTTTTATGGGTGCATAGTATTCCATCATGTATATGTACCATATTTTCATTATCTAGTCTATCATTGACAGGCATTTGGGTTGATGCCATGCCTTTGCTATTGTGAGTAGTGCTGCAATGAACATATGAGTGCGGGTATCTTATAACAGAATGATTTATATTCCTTTGAATGTATATCCAGTGATGGAATTGCTGGGTCAAATGATATCTCTGGTTCTAGGTCTTTTTTTTTTTTTTTTTTTGGAGATTGAGTCTCACTTTATCACTCAGACTGTTATTTGTGCAGTGGCGCGATTTCGGCTCACTGCAACCTCTGCTGCCCAGGTTCAAGCGATTCTTCTGCCTCAGCCTCCTGAGTAGCTGGGATTACAGGCGCCTTCCACTGTGCCCAGCTAATTTTTGTAGTTTTAGTAGAGACGGGGTTTCACCATCTTGGCCAGGCTGGTCTTGAACTCCTGACCTCATGATCCACTCGCCTCGGTCTCCCAAAGTGCTGGGATTACAGGCATGAGCCACCACGCCTGGCCCTGGTTCTAGGTGTTTGAGGAATAGCTACATTGTCTTCCATAATGGTTGAACTAATTTACATTCCCACCAACAGTGTAAAAGCATTCCTATTTCTTCCCAGTCTCACCAGCATCTGTCGTTTCTTGACCTTTTAATAAGTGCCATTCTGAATGGCGTGAGATTGTATCTCATTGCGGTTTTGATTTGCATTTCTCTAATGATCAGTGATGTTGAGCTTTTTTTTTCATATGTTTCTTGGCCACATATGTTTCTTGGCCACATAAATGTCTTAAAGAAGTATATGCTCATGTCCTTTGCCCACTTTTTAGTGAGGTTGTTTGTTTTCTTCTTGTAAATTTGTTTAAGTTCCTTGTAGATTCTGGATATTAGACCTTTGTCAGATGGATAGATTGCAAAAATGTTCTCCCATCCTGTAAGTTGTCTGTTCATTCTGATGATAGTTTCTTTTGCTGTGCAGAAGCTCTTTAGTTTAATTAGATCTCATTTTTCAATGTTTGCTTTTGTTGCAATTGCTTTTGACATTTTCATAAGGAAATCTTTGCCTGTGCCTATGTTCTGAATGGTATTGCCTAGACTTTCTTCTAAGGTGTTTATAGTTTGGGGTTTTACATTTAAATCTAATCCATCTTGAGTTAATTTTTATATAAGATATAAGGAAGTTTCAATTTTCTGCATATGGCTAGCTAGTTTTCCCAGCACCATTTATTAAATAGGGAATCTTTTCCCCCATTGCTTGTTTTTGTCAGGTTTGTTGAAGATCAGATGGTTGTAGATGTGTGGTCTTATTTCTGAGTTCTCTATTTTGTTCCATTGGTCTATGTGTCTGCTTTTGTACCAGTACTGTTTTGGTACCAGCCATTTTGGTTACTTTCACCTTGTACCAGTTTGAAGTCAGGTAGTGTGATACCTCCAGCTTTGTTCTTTTTGCTTAGGATTGTCTTGGCTATACGGGCTATTTTTTGATTCCATATGAATTTTAAAATAGTTTTTTATAATTCTGTGAAAAATGTCAATGGTAGTTTAATGGGAATAGCATTGAATCTATAAATTACTTTGGGCAGTATGGTCATTTTCATGACACTGATTCTTCCTATCCAGGAGCATATAATGTTTTTCCATTTGTTTGTGTCCTAATTTCCTTGAGAAGTGGTTTGTAGTTCTGCTTGAAGTGGTCCTTCACTTCCCTTATTAACTGTATTCCGAGGTATTTTATTCTCTTTGAAGCAATTGTGAATAGAAGTTCGTTCATGATTTGGCTTTCTGCTTGTGTGTTATTGGTGTATAGGAATGCTTGTGATTTTTGCAAACTGATTTTGTACCCTGAGACTTTGCTGAAGTTGCTTATCAGCTTAAGAAGCTTTGGGGCGGAGATGATGAGGTTTTCTAGATATAGGATCATGCCCTCTGCAAACAGAGACAGTTTGACTTTTTCTCTTCCAATTTGAAACACTTTATTTCTTTCTCTCGCCTGATTGCCCTGGCCAGAAAATCCAACACTATGTTGAATAGAAGTGGTGAGAGAAGGCATTTTGTCTTGTGCCAATTTTCAAGGGGAATGCTTCCAGCTTTTACCCATTTAGTATGATATTGGTTGTGGGTTTGTCATAAATGGCTCTTATTATTTTGAGGTATGTTCTTACAATAGCTAGTTTACTGAGAGTTTTTAACATGAAGGGATGTTGAATTTTATCAAAGGCTTTTTCTCCATCTAGTGAGATAATCATGTGGTTTTTGTCTTTAGTTCTCTTTATGCGATGACTTAACGTTTATCGATTTGTGTATGTTGAACCAGCCTTGGATCCTGGGGATGAAGCTGACTTGATCATAGCAGATAAACTTTTTGATGTGCAGATGGGTTTGGTTTGCCAGTATTTTATTGAGGATTTTTGCATTGATGTTCATCAGGGATGTTGGCCTGAAGTTTTCCTTTGTGTTGTTGTTGTGTCTCTGCCTGGTTTTGGTATCAAGATGGTGCTGGCCTCATAAAATGAGTTAGGGAGAAGTCCCTCCTTTTCAATTTTTTGGTATAGTTTCAGTAGAAATGGTACTAGCCCTTCTTTGTACCTCTGGTACAATTTAGCCATGAATCTGTCTGATCATGAGCTTTTTTTGGTTGGTAGGCTATTTATTTCTGCCTCAATTTCACAGCTGGTTATTGGTCTATTCAGGGATTCAACTTCTTTCTGGCTCAGTCTGGGGAGGGTGTATGTGTCCAGGAATTTATCCTTTTCTTCTAGATTTTCTAGTTTGTTTGCATAGAGGTGTTTATAGTATTCTCTGATGGTTGTATTTCTGTTGGGTCAGTGGCGATATCCCCTTTATCATTTTTTATTGTGTTTATTTGATTCTTGTTCTTCTTTATTAGTCTAGCTAGTGGTCTATTTTAATATTTTTTTTAAAAAAGAACAGCTCCTGGATTCATTGATTTTTTCGAAGGTTTTTTTTTGTGTGTGTGTGTGCGTCTCTATCTCCTTCTGTTCCTCTCTGATCTTGGTTGTTTCTTATTTCTGTTAGTTTTGGGGTTGTTTGCTCTTGGTTCTCTAGTTCTTTTCATTGTGATGTTAGGGTGTCTATTTGAGATGTTTCTATATTTTTGATATGAGCATTTAGTGCTATAAATTTCCCTCCTAACACTGCTTTAGCTGCATCCCAAAGATTCTGGTACATTGTCTCTTCATTCTCATTAGCTTCAAAGAACTTCTTGATTTCTGCCTTAATTTTATTATTTACCCAGGAGTCATTCAGGAGCAGGTTGTTCAATTTTGATGAAATTGTGTGGTTTTGAGTAAGTTTCTTAATCTTGAGTTCTAATTTGATTGTGCTGTGGTCTGAGAGACTGTTATGATGTCAGTTCTTTTGCATTTGCTGAGAAGTGTTTTACTATCAATGATGTGATCAATTTTAGAGTAAAGTGTCAGGCAATTCTGAGAAGAATGTATATTCCATTATTTTTGGGGTGGAAAGTTTTGTATATATCTATTAGCTCCATTTGATCCAGAGCTGAGTTCAAGTCCTGAATATCTTTGTTAATTTTCTATCTTGATGATCTATCTCATAATGACAGTAGGGTGTTAAACTCTCCCACTATTATGTGTGGGAGTATAAATCTCTTTGTAAGTCTCTAAGCACTTGTTTTATAAATCCGGGTGCTCCTGTATTGGGTGCAAATATATTTAGGATAGTTAGCTCTTCATGTTGAATTGAACCCTTTACCATTATGACCTTCTTTGTATTTTTTTATCTTTGTTGGTTTAAAGTCTGTTTTGTCTGAAACTACACTTGTAGCCCTTGATTTTTTCAGCTTCCATGTGCTTGGTAAATTTTCCTCCATCGCTTTATTTTGAGCCTATGTGGGTCTTTGCACATGAGATGGGTCTCTTGAATACAGCACACTGATGAGTCTTGACTCTTTATCCAGCTTGCCATTCTGTGTCTTTTAATTGGGGGCATTTAGCCCATTTACATTTAAGGATAATAATGTTATGTGTGAATTTGATCCTGTCATCATGATTCTAGCCAGTTATTTTGCAGACTTGTCAATGTAGTTGCTTCATATTGTCATTGGTCTGCATACCTCAGTGTGTTTTTATAGTAGCTGGTAATGGTTTTTCCTTTCCATATTTAGTGCTTCCTTCAGGAGCTCTTGCAAGGCAAGCCTGGTGGTGACTAATTCCCTCAACATTTGTTTGTCTGAAGAGGATTTTATTTCTCCTTCACTTATGAAGCTTAGTTTGGCCTGATATGAAATTCTGGGTTGGAAATTCTTTCCTTTAAGAATGTTGATGTTGGCCCCCAATCTCTTTTTGCTTGTAGGGTTTCCACTGAGAGGTTTGCTGTCAGTCTGATGGGTTTCCCTTTGTAGGTGACCTGGCCTTTCTCTCTGGCTGCCCCTAACATTTTTTCCTTCATTTCAACTTTGAAGAATCTGATGATTATGTGTCTTGGAGTTGATTTTTCTCATAGAGTATTTTACTGGGGTTCTCTGAATTTCCAGGATTTGAATGTTGGCCTGTCTTGCTAGGTTAGGGAAGTTTTTCTGAATGATATCCTGATGAATGTTTTCCAACTTGGGTCCATTCTCCTTGTCTCTTTCATATACCCCCATTAGTTGTAGGTTCAGCCTTTTTACATAATCCCATCCCATAGTTATCAGAGGTTTTGTTCATTCCTTTTTATTCTTTTTTTCTCTAATCTTGTCTGCCTGTCTTGTTTCAGAAGATAGTCTTCAAGCACTGAGATTCTTTCTTACACTTGGTCTATTTGGCTATTGATACTTGTGGTTGCATTGTGAAGTTTTTGTGTAGTGTTTTTCAGCTCCATCAGGTCATTTATGTTCCTCTCTAAACTGGTTATTCTGGTTAATAGCTCCCATAATGTTTTATCATGATTCTTAGCTTGTTTGCATTGGGTTAGAACATGCTCTGGTAGCTCAGTAAAGTTTGTTATTACCCACCTTCTGAAGCCTACTTCTGTCAATTCATCCATGTCAGCCTCAGCCCAGTTCTGTTCCCTTACTGGAGTGGTATTGCAATAATTTGGAGGAGAAGAGGCACTCAGGGTTTTTGAGTTTTCGGTATTCTTGCATTCATTTTTTCCCATTTTTGTGGGTTTATCTACCTTCGATCTTTGAGGCTGATGACCTTTGGATAGGGTTTTTGTAGGGTCTTCTTGTCAATATTGTTGTTGTTGCTTTATATTTGTTTGTTTTTCTTTTAACAGTCTGGCCCCTCTTCTGTAAGGCTGCTGTGGTTTTCTGGGGGTCCACTCCAGACCCTATTCACCTGGGTCCCTCCCGCACCTGGAGGTGTCAGCAGTGGAGACTGCAGAACAGCAAACATGGCTGGTTGCTCCTTCCTCTTGGAACCCTGTCACAGAAGGGCAGCCATCTGATGCCAGCAGGAACACTCCTGTATAAGGTGTCTGGCAACCCCTGTTGGCATGTCTCACCCAGTCAGGAGGCACCAGATCAGTGACCCACTTAATGTACTCTGGCTGCCCCTTGGCAGAGCAGGTGCCCTGCACTGGGGGAAGTCCTCCTCATGTGGACTGCCCAGCCTCTTCAGAGCAAGCAGGCAGGAAAGACAAAGTCCACTAAACTGTGGAAACTGTGGCCACCCCTCCTCCCAGGGTCTCCATCCCAGAGAGTTCAGAGTTCTGTCTGTAAACCCCTGGCTAGAATTGCTGAAATTCCCAGGGAGGCCCCACCCTGTGAGGAGGAATGGATTCAGGTCCCACCTAAAGAAGCAGTCTGGCCATTATCTGCCACAGCTGCTGTACTGCACTGTGGGAATTCCTCCCAGTCCAAACTGCCCAGCTTCCCTGGCACCAGCAGGGGAGAATGACAGACTGGAGCCACAGTGATGGTCATCACCCCTCTCCCCAGGAACCTGGTCATCTTAGGGAGTCTCCAGACTGCTGCCGCTGGCTACAACTCAAGCAGCCACCAAGAGTTTACATGATTCTGTGCTCAGGATCCAAGGCCCTGATGGCATAGGCTCACAGGGGGATCTCCTGATCCACAGAAAAAGCATGGTTTCCCTGGTGAGGTAGCACAATCACTCACCACCTCCCTTGGTTGGGGGTAGGAATTCCCCTTAACCTATGTGGCTCTCAGGTGGGCTGTGGCTCCACCTTGCTTTTTCTCACTCTCTGGGTGTTGTACCAACTGTCTAGTTGGTCCCAATGAGAAAAACCTGAATACCTGTGCTGAAGGTGTAGGATTTACTTGCCATTTTCATTCTTCTCCATGAGAGCCACTGACAGCAGCTGCTTCTAGTCAGCCATCTTGCCCCCTCCTCCCTATTGCTTCAATGTTCTAATTTTCTACAATATCTATATATTGCAACTATAATAATGCAAGACTCAATTAAAAAATTAAACTCAAGCCATTGTGAGGTTGATTATATAATTACACAGAAGTTGTTGAACTACCAATTTACTTGTCTCTCCTAGCCCCGTGAATATAATTAATATAACAAATGTAGTCAAACGTGACTACATGTTTATAAAATATACCTTTGACTTCATGTTCATGAAATACATGCATTTTATAAACTTCTCTGGTGTGCATGTTTTGGTAAAATTTCTGGCAAATGCCAAAACCTAGTAAAGAATATGCCTTCCCTTGTATTCACAGCCATAGTTATGTCTTTCAACTACTCAAAAACTCACACAAAGTCAATTAAAGAAACTGAAATAACTGAACTACTTCTAGGTGGAGCTTCACATCCTATTATTTGTTTTGTTTTACAGAAACATAATACCGCACTCTAACATGATTGGGAAAAGCAAAACTCTCATTAACTGCAGTGTCTTGTTATGACTAACTAGAGTTCATTTAACTCTAAAGCCAGGCTAAAGATGCTTGGTTTTTTAAAGAGTGATACATTAGAATGTGTAATACATCTAACAGGGGATGCAATCTTTCGAAAACTGGATGCCAAAGTCCACCTGTTCTAGCTTTGCAGAGACTGCACTGACATTCAAAGGTTAGGTGAAAGGGGGAATGTGCAAATGTCTGATGCAGTGTCTGATGCTGCCCATATTACTTGCTTTGGCTGCCATAACAAAATGCCACAGACTGTGTGGCTTAAACAACAAAAAATTTTTTGCCCACATTTCTGGAGGCTAGAAGTCTGAGATCAGGGTCTCAAAAGGTCAGGTTCTGGGGAGATGCCCTTTCCTGGGTTGCTAATGACCACCTTTTGCCTGTGTTCTCCCATGAGATGGAGAGAGACAGAGAGCAGGCTCTCTGGTGTTTCTTCTTAGAAGGGCACTACTCCCATCACAAGAGCCCCATCCTTCTGACCTCATCTAAACCTAATTACTTCTGAAAGCCTTATCTCCAAATACCATCACATTGAAGCTTAAGGGCTTCAATATCTGAATTTTAAGGGAATACAATTCAGTTCATAGCACTGCCCTTGAAAGTCACCCCCTCAGGCCAAAGTTTGGGAGGTCACAATAACATGTGCATTCACATATTTACCTTTCTCTACTATGACTGCAATCACCTCCACATTCTATGGTAACAAACCATAATAGAGAATAGAAAACTTCTGACAGGCTAGTGCTGGGAATAAAAGCCTTATATGTCTCCAGGCCTCCTGAGCTTGAATGAGCCGAATTATATTGACATAGATACAGGAGTCTGAAAAACTGGACAAGTCTTCTCTTGAAAGCTATTTAACAACTCCCAGTGGCCCATCCTCCTAGGGTGTCACTGCTATGACAGTGGAGACCTGGGGACCCATGATGGTTAATTCTTTGTGTCAACTTGACTGGGACAAAAGGTGCCCAGATTAAACATTATTTCTGGGTAAGCTCTGTGAGGGTGTTTCTGGATAAAACTAGCATTTGAATCCATGGACTCAGTAAAGTAGTTTGCCCTCCTCAAAGTATGTGGGCATCATCCAATCCGTGGCGAGCCTGAACAGAGCACACACAGAGGAAGGAGGGATTTGCCTCTTCTTTTTCTGCCTCATGGCATAATGTGGGACATCTCACCTCATCTTCTCTGGTCCTTAAACTAAATCACACCGTCAACAACCCTGGCTCTCAGGCCCTCAGATTTGAACTAAATTACACCACTGGCTTTCTTTAGTCTCCAGCTTGCAGACAGAAGATGGTGGTACTTCCCAGCCACTGTAATCATCCGAGCCAATTCTTTACAATAAATCTCTCTCTCTTTCTTTCTCTCTCTCTCTCTACACCCACACACAGACACACACACACACACATACATGTAACATATTTTATTATTTGATTCTCTAATCATGACCAATACAGGATCCCAGTGTCCTAAAATCTGAGGGTGGTGGCCTGGGTTCCTCTGCAGGAACTTGGGTCAAGAGAGAGGAGACAGCCAGAATCTGCAGAGTGTGAATATTATGGGTTTTATCTACCTAAAAAAAATGGTCTATTTAACTTTATGGCCATCTTTAGGCTTGTGCCGCTGCAAGAGGGTCCTGGGAAGGATACCTCAGGACAGGACTTTGTATTCAATTTGTACTGCCTTCCAGGACTCAGATGCAGATGAGGAGACCTGACTCTCCAGTGGCCTCCAGAAGACGAATGTCTCTAGCTCTATCCCTGGACTGTGATATATAACTGGGGAGGCGGTGAGGGGGGCGGGGGGTTGGGAGGGAGAGTTTCTTGTTTTCAAGTTGCTGAGATCTTTATGGGGGAAATAAAAGCATTTTATATGCTGAGATCATTTATTCTTTTAAACACCTTAAAAGTCTGTTCATATTTGTTGGAAATTTTTTTATATATTCATGTGTACTGTACAGTATCTTTAGATGACAGGTTTCACTAATTTTTCTATTTTAAGTTTATATTACACATAATGTGTACCACTGTGAAAATATTCAGATTTTATACTTCATTGACTGAAGAACAAAATCAAAAATCAAAATTCAAACCAAAAAATGTTAAAGAAGGGTCCTAAAGGCAGTGTGGACATGGGAAAGAGGAGTAAATTTAAATACCTCCCATGTGATGGGGTTTTAGAAAATCCATTCTTGTTATTTTTTTTAATCTTCAGAATAACACTGTGAGGTGTGATTGACTCATTATGTGTAAGTGAGGACAATGAGGCTCAGAGATCTAAACATCACATGGTAGATAAGGGGCAGAGCCAATGTTTTACTGTCATCTACTCAAAAGCAAAGCCTTGCCTTCTCCACTACACTGTATCAGCTTGCAGATGTCCTCAAGCCTCCTGTCCCCACAGTGTAAGTCTTCATTTCCCCTTACTGCCTGGACACATTGAGGCATCAGCAAGATGACACCAAAGGACTTAACATTTAAAATAAAATAACCCAAATAACGTAGAGGCTTATCTGTTACTAGGCTCAGATTGAGCTTATGTTACTTTCTGCTGATCGGAAAAAGAAATCATGAAGTACTACTTTGTGTATTTACCGGAAGAATTTTCATAAGCATGCTAAGTAAGAAACAAGTCTCCCAAATATAACTCTTGGTTCCAAGAAGCTATTTACAGCAGAATGTCAAAACTCATATACTACTACCGAAGAACTGCACTAAAAGACACAATTTTGAGAACATTCAGATCCATCTGCAGATGTTTAAAAAGGTAAAGATTTCAGAAACGTGTTGACTTAGATTTGTGCTTCTTTCTGAAGTTATTTTATTGTTACAAAGCATACAAATACATAACTCAGTGCCAAATAAAGGGATTCTGAAAGAAACAGAAAGCGGTTTCAAAACTAAGTGAATGAATATGAGTGAAAGGTAAGTATTATCACAGGTATTTTCTTTTTGCATTGCAAAAACAAAACAAATCCAATGTTTAGGGCAAAAATCAGGGCTCCCCAACAGTAGACCACAATCTTGCAGATGCTCAGGCAATCCCAGAGCCATGTGGCCCTGTTTTCAGCTCATGCTCCTTCTGTCCCTGTAGTTTCATGGGAAGGTGATGTGGGCAGCACTGCTCCACTGAGCATTCTCAGGAATTTCAGTGTTTTTACCCCTTCCCTGCTCAGAGACAGGGCGTGCATGTTGTCAATATCCTTGCTCATCTTTGCAGACTTACAGCCACACCCTAACTACCAGTAACTTCAAGGAGCTACATATGAATAATAAAATATGTGTCACAGAAAATTATTATGCTTGTGGCTGTGAAAGATGTCCTCTGGTTTTGGTAGGAGCAGACACCATCCAGCTAATCAGTGCTGCAGGAAGAATGTGTCCCAATACCTTGAACTTCTCAGAAACCTTGAAAACTTTCTTCTAGAAAGAAGAGTCTAGACTAGGCTGGGAAAAGATTGGGATCAGAGGTAAGGTATTAAAAGGTTAAGCCAGCTCCTCATTAACCCCACTAGTGCAAGTAGGTGATGGAGTGTGCAATTCAGCAAAGCAAGACTCAGAATCTCAGAGAGGAAGGAGATCTGAGGACTTGCCTCACCCTCATGCTTTATTTTCAGATAAACAAAGTCAGCTCAGAAACAAAAACATGACTGTATTTCATCAAATCTAAAAAGTGTCAACTATCAGACACTTGTTATTTTATGTAGTCTTAAGAGTGACACAAAATGCTGTTAATAAAATAGGATATGCCATTGATTGTGAAACACATCTCATTTTTAAAGTGGTAAAAGCAAAAACAAAAGCTTAAAAAAAAATCTGATATGATTTGGCTGTATCCCCACTCAAAACTCATCTTGAATTATAACTCCCATAATCCCCATGTGTCGTGAGAGGGACCAGGTGAGAGGTAATTGAATCACAGGGTCAGGTTTTTCCCGTGCTGTTCTCATGAGAGTGAATAAATCTCACAAGATCTCATGGTTTAATAAAGGGCAGCTCCCCTGTACACACTCTCTTGCTTACCATCATGTAGGACATGCCTTTGCTCCTTCGCCTTCTGCCATGATTGTGAGGCCTCCCTAGCCATGTGGAACTGTGAGTCCATTAAACCTCTTTTTCTTTATAAATACCCAGTCTTGGATATGTCTTTATTTGCCCTGTGAGAACAGACTAATACAGTGTCTTAGAAGGGGTATCTTGATGAAACATAGTAAGCAACTTGCCTCCAAATGCTCACTTCTCAGTCCTTAGGTCTCCTGTTGTTCCCCACTATGCTCATGCAGCTTCATTTCCAATGAGAAACCTAAAATCCAGGAGTGAGGAAACTATCTCAAAGTCACTGAGTGAAGAAGGAGCAGAGCCAGGACTCATACTAGGCCCCTGATTCCTTTGTGCTGGCTCCCACAACTCTATATTGCCTCTCACTCTAAGGTATTTATCTCTTGCTCTGGAAAACAGAGCTAAATTAGTCAGAGAACATTTGCCTCCTGATTAGGTTTAGCTTATGATAACATAAAAATTAAATTGCTGCCCTGAACACATGCAGGCAGGCTGGAAGCAGCCTGGGTAGACATTTACCAGGGTAAGAGAGGGTCTCTGGATTTGAAACATGCTCGGTAAAATCTATAAAGCAGGCAATCCATGTGCCAGGCAATTGAATAGCTATTTATCACAGTTAGATTAGATGTTTTACTCAATCTAGACTTACTGGAATATGGGAGAGAGGCTGAGAATAATTTTATTTTCTCACAGACCTGGCCCTTCCCTCTGCCACACAGCTAGAGCACTGGGATTTCTCCACAACATCTGTGCCACTGCTTAAATGATGGAAGTTTGCCATGTCTGTAACTAAGAGCCTGGCGGCTGACATGTGAGCCGTCCAGCCTCACATGGTCCACAACCCCCTCAAACTTGAAAAGAAGGACAGAGCCACACAAGAGGACAGCTCCTTCTGCAGTGCCTCCTCTGGCCTGACTGGTGAGGTACAAGTTAGGCATGGAAGAGAATTATCTGGAATGTCTTATCTGGCTGGTGCCCCAGGAAACCTGAGATACTGTATACCTCCTGTTCACATACTAACACTTCTAAATTTAGCTTAGGGAGGTGTGGCCTCTAATTCTTCATATGAAGATAAGCTTCCTTTAACTCAGTGTTTCAACCTCTGCATCGTGACTAGATGACATGTGAGTGGAGATACTGACCGCCCCCTGCCCCGCCTTCATCCCTAGGCTGGTCATCTGGCTGTGAACCGCTGTGATTTTTAAATCTGCCAGTGACTTAGACAATAACAAAAGGTTGCATCCAGACTAACTTGGCCCATGTTAAGAACCCTGGGAGCTCAGCCCACAGATCTCAAGATGAGAGTGCAGTGCGCTATCAATTTCTACAATCTCAAAAACAGTGAAAAACAAAACCCCTATTGCTCCTTGGCTACTTTATTCTTATCTGCTGGGTGATAGCTGATAGTAAGGTGTTGAGAGCACCCAGAAGAGAAGGAACAGCCCAGCTGTCCATGGTGGGAGAGGAACAAAGACACCTGCCTTCTCACGAGGTATTTAGTTTCATTGCAACACTACTCAGTCTTTTAACTTTTATTTTCTCTGCCTCCCCTGCCTGATGAAGAAAGGAGACAGCCTCAGAGCTATGCCTCCAGACGCATCATTCCTCTTGCAACACTGACTGTTTTCACAGCAAGATGGGCCCTTTAGCTCTCCTCATGAAATGTGAGGCTGTGTGCCCTCTCTGCCTTCCTCTGACTACAGAGGACCACTGGGTGAGTTTGGAAGGCAAGACACATGTCCTAGCACTGGATACAATGGAGTGGTAACTACATTCAGATTTGCTTGTCTGCAACTTGGGTGATACAACATTCTGAGTGCTGTACTATATTTTCTGGCATTTAAGTCCCTTCTTACATGTTAAAATAGAAATTTGGGTTCATGCTTTCCCTCTAAGTGCCTACAAACCCTCTTTAAACTGCTTAACACAGCCACAAAAGGGCCTTAGACAGCCGCCCCCTCAACACAACGACAAGGGACCCATGAGCTTGGCTCTCTCTGGGTACTTCTGTAAGTGAGAAAGAGTAGGGGATGTCGGCTGCCCTTCCGCACCCTCTCCCTCATTGCCAGGAGAAGCCCTGTATACACACCATCACCTACCTTCACAGTATCCACCTGCAAGGAGAGAGAAGCAGCCAAAACTTGGTTTACCATGTGCTTGTATTTAGTCCATTCTGGTTCTCTGTCAGAAGGTTATTTCCATTTTTGAACATAAACCACCCTGGCAAACCAGCCCATAGCCTACTTTCAAAGCCTGTCTTTCAAAACATTTCTTAAATATGGGAAATCACCACTATTCTCAGAATGACTGGAACCCAAAAATCCTACAGATTTACCTGTATTTCTAGAATTTAATTTTGACATCTTCCAAAACTCAGGCTTGTTTTAATTCTGTTCAAGGAAGTTTCATCATGTATTTTGCTACCTTTGAGTAAAAGGGAACAGAAGTAAATGGCCAAAAGGAAAAGTTCTTTCATTTGTTCTGAATGAATGAATAAAAAATGCAATGAATGAGTGAATGAATAGAACGATCATTGGCAAAAGAAAGCACAATAGACAACTGACCCCAAACTGCCTTATCTCTGCAGTCAACAAGACCACATCCAGGGGCTGAGGCTGGTTTCACAATTAATTAAGTTCCAGAATTATTTTCCCTTCCTCTTTCTTCTTCCATGCACACTGACAAATAACCAGGGTGTGACATGTAAAAATTTTAAATCTCATTTGAAGTTGAAATGGTATAGAATTCAGGAAGTGCTGAAGTCTTATTAGAGACTACAGCATCCTTATAAACAATAATGCTTAAAATCAGAATAATCAACTTTTATATTTCCTGACCTGTACAGATTTAATTATCTAGACCTAATGTTTTAGTAATCTTATTTTCAAATGATATAATTTTTTAATCTTATCTTGAAACAAATGCTCAAGTTTATTTGTAGAAGTTGGGGAAAGTAAAGTTCAATGTCTAATTTCTCTGACAAATTTAGAGCTCTTTCCTCTGCTTTCCAGGAGACAAAATAAGAAACAGAAATAGGATCAAGTTCTATAAATAAACTGTGGTTGGCTTGTCCTTAAATATCATAAACTGTTGAAAAGAAATGAAGTCATAAACATATATTAATTTTATTTTAAAAGCTGGCTAAGAGATGGTGCTAGAATTAAAAAGTTTTGCAAGAAGGAAAATGAAAAGGGGAGGAACCTGCAAACACTTCAGAAATAATGAAACACTTATATTTTCTGGTCAGCTTCTTCTAAGGCAACAGAATTCTGTGTTTGCCACTTTACCACTGTGCTGGTGGGATACTTAAGTAACCTCAAAGCATTGAGGTATTGGCTAACAATCCGTCTATGTGTTGCTTATTAATAATGGTTACATTTTGCCAAATATTTTAACCATGGTTTCACTTTCTCCCTATATTAAAAGATTCCCCAAGGAAAAACCACAAGTTAAATGACAGCAGAACAAGACTTTACAGGTAGGCATGTATTTGGTTGGATTTTGTGACCTTCTTTCATGTCTTTTCAGAATGTATTTATGGAGTTGGAAGAGTCAGAATGCGTTTGCCTATGAAAATTTTTTTTGGAACTGAAACAAAACAAAACAAAAAAGCCCAACCAACTTTGAACTTGTTTTCACTAGCCCAGCCGATGTGCCACTATAAGCCTTCAAGGGCCTTACCCCAGCAAGGCCTCTGCTTTGGTGCTCTCCATGACGCAATCTGTCTCTCTGCAGACACAACTCTAAGGTGTCTCCAGAGCCAAAGTCAGGTGAAGAAATGGGGTTATTGTGTGGATTATTTTAGGTCAGAATACAGGCCAAAAAAACAAAACTGGTTCTGTTTGAAATTGCCTGGCTGCCCTCATTTTGTCACTTGACTTTACATGGAGAGATACTGCTCCAGGAATTACCCAAATGACAAAATAAACAAACAAACAAATAAAACCGTACATTCTGCACCAAGAATAAATAACGCAAAGTGGAGACTGAGCTTATTAATTTTTTCAAAGCCTTCCTTACCTGAATATGTTAATGTGAATTAATGTGCTGGACTGGCCCAGAGGAAAATAAAGTCCTTCTGTAGTTTATCTTCTATACCTAAATTGGCAGATCTATGGAATTCATGTTTGCATTACATGTAAAGTTTTTACAGTTCTTACACCTGGATAAGGATCTTTTGACTGGAAAGGTCAATATATTTCAAGGGCTTTGGCTCTGAGAAAGAACGGCTTGGTGGATTCCAGGTACCAAATCATCTGTAAAATCACATGCCAAATCCCAAAAGCTTACTGTCTCCAGGACCACAAACCAATCAATTTGGGAGGAAATTGGCTCAAATAACATCAACACCCGTAATGCCAATGGCCAAACTCTAGATGGTGAATGTGAAATCTTAAGTGGAATCTGCTCCCAGGCCAAGACAATACAACCAAATCATCTGGATGCAAGTCAAGCTATGAGGTGAATGTGGGTAGTATAGTCACCACTCAAATTCGAACCAGATGGTATCAGTGTGACTGATAATGACAAAGACCCTCTCCTTGACTGAATTTCAGCTGGGTTCCCCTGTGCCCTCTTCTTGACCAGGCCTCAACCTTGGCCCCTGTCCTGTCTGTTGCTTGCCTAGTCCAGTCTCAGCAAGAATTCTGCCAAGTAATTTTATTGAGAATTCCCCCACCCTTGATATCTGATCAAGTTCCTGACCACACACTTTTGATGTATAAGTTCTTGGCTTGCCTTCAAGAATCCTCTTCAGTTGGTTTAGCAACTTCCCCTTACCCTGGATGTCTCCTCCCAGTGATTTGCCATCCATTCACCCCCTCACTCTACTCATTGGTTATAAATCCTTATTTGTCTTTATTGTATTTAGAGTTGAGCCTGATCGCTCTCCCCTCTTAAAATAGTCTTGACACATATTGCAATAGTCCTGAATAAAGTCTTCCTTGCCATTTTAAGACGTATTAAAACATTTTTTTTGACATGATAGCTATGTTTAATAGGAGCCAAAGGTCAAGGCACTTTGGCGACAACCACTGTCCGCTTAGCAAGGAGCTTAAGTTCAGCAAGGAGCCAAAATTGACCATTTTAGTTTTGAGGCTTTACCTTTAAATAAACTATTTATTTTGGAATGAATTTAGATTTATAGAAAAGTTGCTATGTGCTCCCTCACCCACTTATTCCCATTGTTAACATCTTACTCATCAAAACTAAGAAACCAACATTGGTAGATGGCTATTAACTAAAATCTAGACTTTATTTGAATTTCACCAGTTTTTAAAATTAATGCCCTCATTCTGTTCCAGGATTTCATCTAGGTACTCCATTGCATTCAGTTGGCATGTTTTCTGAGTCTACTCTGGTATATAATGATGTCTTAGCCTTTCCTTGTTTTCATCACCTTGACACTTTTGAGAATCACTGGTGAGGTACTGGGGAGAATGTCCCCCAGTCTGGGTTAGTCCGATGCTTTTCCCATGATTAGATGGGCCATGATTTTTTGAAAAGAATACCATAGAAGCGAAGTATTCTTCTTATCACACAGTCATGTTTTTGAGATGACTTTTTGATGTGGCAACTTTTGCTCATTAACCTCACAGCAGGATTCTTCATACCTCAAAAGTGAAACCCACCTCTCAAGGCTTTACTGAAGAACTTTACTAAAGATTTCATACGGGAAGGTGGGGAAAGGAAAAGAGGAGAAAGTTACATCACATATAACAGAGCACAAGTTAATGAAAATCCCCTCTAATATCCGTTTTTGCCCTTTTACAAAGGAATGACAGCACCTGTATCCTCCACTTGCCCAGGAAGTTTCCGGAATCCACCTGCTCTAGCCCATCTGTACCCCAGATCCCCACTTTTTCTTGCTATGCATCTGCATGCCATCATCTAGTTCAGCAAAAGACCTTCTGAAGACTATCTGCGCAGAAGTCACCTGAAGATAGTATTAATAACTAAGAAACAGTTTTTCAGTCTCAAATAACTTTCTTCCTTTATACAAAAAAAGGTTATTAAAAACATTTTTACTCCACAATTTATCAGTGAGAACTGACTTCAGAACAATGCCCCTCATCCATGATGAACTGGAAGGTTGAAGCAAACTGTCTTGTTCCTGGAATCTAGGGGGTGGAATGAGTGAAGAGGAGCTTACTTTGCTCAAGTGTTAAACATTGGACTTTTCTTAACAGTCATATTAACAAAGTATCACAAATTTACTAATTTTATTTTACTTTAGTTGTTTGAGTCTCAGTCTCTTTCTAGCTCTTGGTCTTTAGGCAAGTCTATTCCTAAACTTTCAAGAGAAATAGAAACTAACCTAGATTTCTTATAAGGACAGGTAATTTTTCCATTTACTCACTTAACAAAAAATTATTCATTGTGTTTAGTTGCTAGTCACTACCTATTAATAGAGTTTTTCTTTTATTTACTTATGTTTTAATTCAACAGATATTTACTAAGCTCCTACTAAATGTCTAGGAACAGATTAGACCCTAGGGATAGGGTTTCTACTCTCATAGAACCTATAGTCTAAGGAGGAGATAGATATTAAACACATAATAATAAAAATGAAGTGTATTAAAAGCTGTGAAGAGAATCATAAACAAAAGATCAAGGAAGGATGCAATGTGTGTGTGTGTGTGTGTGTGTGTGCTTTGCCAGGTGTGGAAGGAGTTGATTTACTTTTTAAGAGTAGAGGTCAGCGAAGGCTTATCTGAGGGAGCAATATTTGCAAATGATCTGAAGACTTGAGTAAGCATTAGCTAAACTGGCTAAAAAGAGGAAAAGTACAGACCAATGCTGAAAGCAGGGCCTGCAGGAATGTTCTAGGAACTTAACGTGACAGTGTGTCTGAAGTGGGGGGACTAATGTGACCTCATCAATCATGCAGGCCAGGCTAAAACCAAGTTTAAGATTGTGAATGCTGTTCTCCAGGTAGAGCTCACTGGTAAGCGCTCAGGAGGGCAAGAGCTAAGTATTAATAGCTCCTTCCCATAAAAGAAGAGTATTATTTGAACTGTGAATATAATGCTAATTGACTTGTCCCTCTCTTCCTTAGCTATCCATCCCTGCTCCTACACAACCATGCCCATGTCTTAAGGAGAATGAGGCAGCAAACTTTCAGTGTCCACTCAAACTCCCTGACACCACGCACCATTCCCTAGCGAGGGTCATTTGCAGTTAAAGACTGATATTTCTCTCTGCAGAAGGGAAGAGATACATTTGTGTAGATCAGGTACAACAGTCCCATTAGCACATTTGCCTTAGTTCAAGGATAACTAACTACAATGATTGCTGCAAAGATCTTGTCTTTGTCTACACCTGATTATCCCATTTTTATTTTTATTTTTTGGCACGTAGAAAGATTTGTAAATTTTATAATATGTAAACATATTACAAAATTTGCCATTTTAACCATTTTTAAGAGCTTAATTGGGTGGCATTAATTACATTCACAATGTCGTTCAACCATTGCCACTATCTATTTCCAAAACTTTTCAATCATCCCAAACAGAAACTCTGTACCATTAAGCAATCACTCCTATTTCTTTCCTCTCCCTAGCCCCTGGCAACCACTAATCTACTTTCTGTTTCTTTGACTTGCCTATTCTAGATATTTCATATAAATGAAATCCTATAATATGCGACCTTTTATGTCTGATTTCATTCACTCAGCAAAATGTTTTTAAAGTTCATCCATATTACAGCATGGATCAGAACTATATTCCCTTTCATGATTAAATAATATTTCACTGCATGTATATACCATATTTGGTTATCTATTTATCTGCTGATGTACATGGGTTATTTCTATATTTTGGCTATTGAGAATAATGCCGTTAAGAACATTACCTAAAAGTATCTGTTTGAATCGTATGTTGAATTCTTTTGGGTTTAATATACATTTTTAAGAAATAACACATTTTTAAAAATTGAAGTAAAATCCATGTAAGATAAAATTTACCATTTGTATTAGTCCATTTTCACACTGCTATGAAGAAATATCTGAGACTGGGTAATTTATAAAGGAAAGAGGTTTGATTGACTCACAGATCCGCATTGCTGGGGAAGCCTCAGAAAACTTACAGTCATAGCAGAAGGCAAAGGAGAAACAGGCACCTTCTTCACAGCGTGACAGGATGGAGTGAGTGCTAGCAGAGAAAATGCCAGACGCTTATAAAACCATCAGATCTTGTGAGACTCACTCATTTATATGAGAAGAGTGTGGGGGAAACTGCCCCCATGATCTGATTACCTTCACCTGTCCCAGCCTTGACATGTGGGGATTACAATTTAAGATGTGTTAACTGTTTTTAAGTGTACAGATCTGTGGCATTAAGTATATTTACATTTCTGAGCAACCATCACCACCATCCATTTCCAGAACTCTTCATTTTGCAAAACTGAAACTCTACACCCATTAAAGAATAACTCTTCATTCTTTCTCTTCCCAACCCTTAGCAGCCACCATTCTACTTTCTGTTTCTATGAATTTGACTACTTTAGGTGCCTCAAATAAATGGAATAAAACAGTATTTTTCTTTTGCTAACTGGCCTACCTATTCACCCCTGCTCTCTTGTTTGCATGGCATACTTTTTTCCATGTTTTCACTTTTAACCTATTTGTGTCTTTAGATCTGAAGTGTCTCTGGTAGATAGTATATAGGTGGATCACATTGTTATAAAATCCATTATCTCATTCTGTTTTTTGACTGGGCAGTTTAAACCATTTACATTTAAAATAATTTCAGATAAGAAGAGACTTACTTCTGTCATTTTATTTCTATTCTATATTCCTTATAGCTTTTTTTGTTCCTCATTTCCTACATTGCTGTCTTCCTGTTTAGTTGATTTTTTTTGCAGTTAAATGCATTAATTATTTTCTCCTTTTTCTGTGTATCTGTATGTTCTTTAACTATTTTCTTTGTGGTTCTTATGGTATTACATTTAACATCCTAATGTTATCACATTCTAATTTGAATTTATACATCTTAACTTCAATAACATACAAAAACTCTGCTCCAATACAGCTCCACTCCCACCTCTTTTTAGTTATTGATATTACAGAACTGTATCTTTACACATTGTGGGTCCAAAGGTATAAACAAATTTTTATGCATTAATTTCTTAAATAATGTAGAAAACAAAATGTAGAATTAAAAACCAAAGTTAAAATAAGACTGATTTTAAAACTGATAATAGTTTTAAAAATAAGCATTAGTCTCTTAAATCATATAAAATACATAAAGTGGAGTTACAAACCAAAGTGTAAAAGTTACCAGATTTTATAACTGTTCATGTATTTACCTTTATTGAGATCTTTATTATTTATTCATATGTCTTCAAATTACTGCTTAGTGTTCTTTCATTTCAACCAAAAGGACTTCTTTTAGCATTTCTTTAGGGCAGGTCTAGTGGTAACATACTTTCTCAGATTTTGTTTTTCAGGAAATGTCTTAATTTCTCCTCTTTTGAAAGACAGTTTTGACAGATATAGGATTCTTGGTTGACAGCTTTGTTTGTGTGTTTTCTTTCAGCACTTTGTATATATCAGCCCTCTGCTTTCTGGCCTCTAAAGTTTAGAATGAAAAATATGCTGATAATCTTATTGAGAATCCCTTATATGTGACAAGTTGCTTCTCCCTTGCTGCTTTCAAGATTCTCTCTTTGTCTTTGGCTTTCAACAGTCTGATTATAATGTGCTTTGGTGTGGGTCTCTTTGAGTCCATTTTAGTTACAGTTTGTTGAGCTTCTTGAATGTTTATATTCATGTCTTTCATTAAATTTGGAAAGTTTTCAGTCATTTTTTCTTTGAATAATCTAGCTTCCCTTTTCTCTTTCCTTCTTCTCCTTCCGAGACTTTCATTACGTGTATATTTGTCTGCTTGATGATATCCCACAGATTCTTTACACTCTGCTCACTTTTCTTTGATATTTTTTTCTGTTTTCTCCAGAATTGACAATTTCCATTGTCCTGTCTTCAAGTTCACAGATTCCTTCTTCAGTCTGCTCAAAGCTGTCTTTGAATCTTACTGGCAAACTTTTTATTTCAGTTATTATACTTCACAGCTCCAGAATTGCCTTTTGGTTTTGCTTTAGGCTTTTTCTCTCTTTATTAATCTTTCTGTTTTGTTCATACATTGTTTCCTTGACTTTCTCCACATCACTTTTCAGTTCTTTGAGCATCTTTTTTTTTTTTTTGAGACGGAGTCTTGCTCAGTCACCCAGGCTGGAGTGCAGTGGCGCAATCTTGGCTCACTGCAAGCTCCGCCTCCCGGGTTCACGCCATTCTCCTGCCTCAGCCTGCCAGCTACAGGGGCCTGCCACCACACCCCGCTAATTTTTTTTTTTTTGTATTTTTAGTAGAGAGGGGGTTTTACCATGTTAGCCAGGATGGTCTCAATCTCCTGACCTTGTGATCCACCCGCCTCGGCCTCCCAAAGTGCTGTGTCTTTGAGCACCTTTAAGACAATTGTTTTAAAGTTTTTGTACAGTAGATCTTCCACTGGGTATTTTTTAGGTATGTTTCTATTGGGTTATTTTTCCCTTTGAATGGGCCACACATACTTTCCTATGTTTTTGTGTCTTGTGATTTTTGTTGTTGTTGAATACTGGACTTTTGAATATAATAATATAGTGATTTTGGAAATCAGATTCTTCCCCTTCCCCAGGGTATGCTAATTGTTGCTTTTGTTTTTTAATTGCTGTAGGCTGTGTCAGTGCTGGTGATCAGCCCAACATGTAAACTTAAGGTCTTCTCGGTTAGTTTTTAAGACTGCCTTTCCCTGATCATATGTCGTGACTTTCCAAATGCCCCCATATATGTGGTTGTTTTTAGAAGTCTTAGACTTTAAATGTCTGTCTCCCAAAAGGGGAAGAAGAGAAAAATAAAGTAGGAGGAGGAGAAGAAAAAATTAAATGAAAGTGCACTGGTCCTTTAGATCTTTTGGAACTTGCTTTACCCAAAGGGAGAAGGGCTTGCAACGTGAAGAAAGGGGTGCAACAATGGCTTCCTCCTATATGTGTGCACCTCAAAGATTAGACACAGCAATCAGCAATCAGAATATATATCTCCAGTTTTTGTAGGATTCTTTTCGCTCACCCTGGCTCCTACAAACTGCCTGCAAGTTACATATGAAACGTGCACAACTGTCTGCCATGGGGCTGGAAAATGGGTAGCTGCTGCCATGTTGCAAGCTGAAATTAACCAAAATTTACTATTACCAATCCTTCCCCTGTAAGTTACAATCATTCTAATGGATTCCAGAATTCCAAAATAGACCAGACAGATTCTGCAACTGCAATTGTTGTTTAGATGGGGAAACTGGTACTTCCTATTCTGCCATATTCCCATAGTGCTCTGATCAATCCTTCTTAACTGATGACTCTGCTAAATGGTTTGATCATCCTATTTTCTTAATGATGAAAAATCTGAATTTATGTTTTGTAAGTGCTATAAAAAGATCAATATTCTTGTTGATACAAGTTTAATACTTAGGCAAAGTAACAAAAATTAATAATAGTATAACAACAAAAACAACAAAATACTAGTTATGAAAATAATGGTGCTGAGAATTTTGTACTAAATGAGTTGCTGCTGATACAAAACGTTCCCATGAGCAGGAACTAAAATATCTATCAGTGAGTTATGGATTACTTGGGATTTACTTGATGCAGCATGCATATTATATTATTTAAAACAAGAAGTAGAAATAAGCATGGTGAGGGGAGGAAAGGTGGCTGAGTGGAACATCAGAACCCACGATGTATTTGCAATAGACACTCTCTAAGGTGGAAATAATAATCTAACCAGACTTCAGGATAATAAGAACTTTGCTTAGGATGCCAGAAGAGCTGCTAGGTTCTAGCACCAGGTCTGTCATTAGTTATGTGACCCTGTGCAAATCAATTTCCCTCTGAGAGATATTTGTAAAATAGTGATGGGGGGGAGGATAAGAGCTTTATATCAATTTCTAACATCTTTCACAGATAAAACATTTTATGATTTTATAAATCTAGATCTCTAGTGTCTAATACGATAGCCACTAAGATGCATGGCTATTTAAATTAAATAAAATGAAAATTTCAGTTCCTCAATTGCACTAGCCATATTTCGAATGCTCAGTAGTCTGATATAGCAGTCAGATAATGACTAATAAGTTGGACAACACTGACAGAAAACATTTTCATCATTACAGAGAGTTTTGTGTTGGATAGCCCTATTCTAGATCTTTTTCTTTAAAAAGACTCTTGAGAAGCCTAATGTGAACATTATTTATGTTCTTATGTAGTGCTATTGATTTTATCATAAAATTGACTATTGCTACTAAAAATACTACAAAGAATTGGCATTTATTGAGCATGGCCATGTGCTAGAATTGTCCAAAGGGGTATTTTGACTTAATCCTCATAACTCTCAGAGATAGGAACTGTTATTAGGCCCATTTTACAAATGAGAAAAACAAGATTCAGGGTGACTTAGTAAGTTCTTCAGAGCCACATTCTAGAAATGGCAGTGCTAGGGCTTAATCCCATTAACTATCATTTCTCAGAGTACCAGATATTTCACTTTGGCCCCAAGCTTGGCCTCTGGTCTTACTGTCTTATGGTCGAGCCTCATAAATTCCTCACGGTCTTTCTTGTGGACACTGGACCTTTGTATATGCTTTGTCAGAGTACTCCTCTACCCCCAGCTTTTCATTTTCTTTGCTTGGCAAGTTCCTATTTATCCTTTAGAAAGTAACTCAAATATTACTTCTTCATCAAGTAAAATAGTTACCCGGTCTGCTTTGGGTTTCTGCTATACTCCATTCATACCTCCAGCACACAGCCTACTAGGCTGCCTTATAGTCTCAGTACACATGTATGGCCCCCCACCAGACTGTTAGTACATTAAAGATGAAGGCTGTGCCTTAATTATTTTTGTATATCCCTAGTTCAAGGAACGTGCTGAGTCAAGGTTAGCTGAATAAAAATATCAAAATATCTTCCTAGGATTAAGAGTCATCACCCTTTCAACCACTCTGGCTTATATAGATGCTTTCCATTATTCTTGGAACACGCAGTTTTAGATGCTATTTATTACCTGTAAGCAGAGAGCTCCACCACCTTCAGGCAGGGAGCAAGGTATAAATAAATAAATAATCATTATTTCTGAGATAAGTAGTTATTCCCAAGCCTCTCTATGAGTAGTCTGCCATTTACAGGCAAGAAAATATTGCCATTCCCTACCAATTCTCATGAAGTTCTGTCCACATTCCCTACCATGCACCAGGCATGGGCAGCACTCTGGGCTACCTGCCTGCAATGAGAGGCCATTTGGAATACTGCAGGCCTATTAAGGTGCAGCTTGGCTGTTGTCTAGCTTCAATCCCTCCCTGAAGCTGCTTAAGGAAGGAATATTAAAATTGTTCACAAAGGTCTTGGTGCACAGTTAAGAAGACACCTGGCAACCCCACACACTCTCCCAGGGTACAGAACAGCACCACCCCAATTCCCTGCCTGCAGCTCTCTACTCTAGACAAATGACAGAAGAAGAAAATGTTATTCTGGTTCTCCTTGACTTCTAATGTCATATAGGCACCTCTATATTGAATCATCTGTTTGCTTCTGCATCTTAGAAAAAGCTGAGGTAGGCCCAAATCTTTAAAAAGAACAAAAACCTCTAATCAATCAAGTTAGCAAACAAATAAATCAAACAACAAAATCAGAGCTATTACCAGAACAAAGTGTAGGGAGAGAAATACTATTCATCCAAGACCTCCTGTAATTAGGATTGTTCTGGGTAAATTAATCTCTTGTAATCCAGCAGTCCTAAAAGGTATGCTTACTGATCTTATTTTACAGATGGAGACATTAAAGCCCAGATAAGACGTGCTGAATAATAGAAAGAACATGAATTTATTGGCAGAAAGACCTGAGTTCAAATGTGGGTGTCAGTAACTCTGCGGCTTTGGACAAATTATTAAACCTCATTAAATCTCTGTTTTCTCATCTGGAGATTGAGACCAGTAGTACCAACTTTCCAGGGCTGATATAGAGCCGAAATTAAAATGTCTGTGAAGTGCCTAACACAATGGCTGGCATCTTATTAGATTTAATAAATGTGAGTTCCCTCTTCCCTTGCCCACTATATGGCAGAGATGTAATTCAAAAGCAGGGAGGTGGGCCTCCAAACCCAAGTTCTTGGCACATCTGTAATGAGAACTTGTCTGAGCTGCTCCTCCACCACTGTGGTGATACAATCAGATTGGCTGAACTTGAATGATTCTTTCCTTTATACTGGCAAACCACTCTCTATTATTTTATGTATTTAGCCCAGATGTAAATCTTGTACAAGTCAAAATCAAAATATATAAATCATGCATCTCCCAGTGCATTCTAATGTGCCTGCAGTACAGCCTGATCATAAAAATATCAGTCATAGACCTACTCAGAAAAAAGGTTTAACATTGGCAAAAGATTATAGAGTAAATACTGGGCTTCAGGTTCTAGGGAATTTGCGAAAAGCCAATAAGACATAGGGAACACCAATAGCCTTTCTTGTGCTAAATCTCTCTCACAGTCCCCCTGTTTTGAATCAGGCCATGTCTTCCCCTGGGAAGAAAAGAAATGCAAGTTCACAAAAAATGTTCTTGTGAAAAGTTGTAAGCTGCATTTACAACTGGGGAAGATTTCAGTCTCAGTTGTTTTCTTGCTGGTCATAGATATATTTGTCCTTTGCTTGCTATGGAGAAAGATTCTGAACTTTCAGAAAAAACTTCCAAGTCTAGACTCCAAAGAATATAGTTTATCTTACTATGGCATTTATTTTGCAGACAGTTCCCTCTCCAACACATGAGTCTATACAAATGGTCTCACCTGGCAACATATTTCCCAGCCCATGCACCCCTCCCCTATCCCTGATGCCCTAAGGACACTGCAGAGACAGCTGTGGGTACAATGAAAAAGTGCAAACTTGGAGTAATGAGATCAGCATCGAGTTCTAACTCTGCACTTTTCTCTCTGACTTTGTACATGTCACCTCAATTCTATGAGTTTTGACTTTTGTCATCTCTATAATGGGGACATTAGCTGACTACCAGGTGTTCCACCTGAAAGCTCTGTAAAAGAAAGCACATTGTGTTATATAAATTTTTAAAATTAGAATTTAGAGAGCAGAAACTGAAGAACTGTATGTTCAGCTGGTATTTTCCATTTTTAAATTAAAATTCATACTTGCTACTAGTCTGATTTCTTTTGAATTAGTTTTTTTTGGAGGTCTAAACTTTGGAGACCTTTGCAAACATAAGTAGCTTCCAAAATACTGAGCTTTGTGCATTAAAATGTAAGTTTTATGATACTCTACATAATGGACTGTAATGGAAAAAGCACCAGACCAGGAAGCCAAAACATCTATAACTGACTTCTATGTTTACTGACATACCTGAGCATTCTGCTCCTCCATTTCTTCATCTGTAACTTGAGAGGACAATGTCTGCCTTCAAGGGTGATCTGAGGGTGAGATGAATTCATGCAAGAGTGATCGACGTGTTGGAAGCTACGGCCACAAAAAACTAAAGCCAGTACTAGATATCCTGAGGAGGCTTATGAATTTTGAAAGAAAGGCTACATCACTTAACAGTTAAATTAATCACAGAATGAATGTTAGATATTCTTAACCTTACTAGGGGCACAAAGTTCAGGTCTTGGACAAAATCTTTGGATCATCCAAGAAAAAAATGCAAATAAGTACATATACATAATGTTTGATACAATTTCAGGTGTTTTGTGGGCTTCCTGATGCTCATTTGTGGTTCATTTATGTTTAGATAGGCCTCAGGTTAAGAATCCATTTCAGATCATAAAGAAGAGCAGACACTAATGATCATCTCATTTCATCCTCTTATTTAACAGATGACAACTGGAGGTATGAAGCTTATCAGTGACCTTACCACAACTGCTAAATATAGCTTTAATGAGTTTTTTTTTTTTCATTTTTCAAAATCTGCAGTCTACATTATATAGAGTAAGCTTAGTTATTTGGAATATGTTTATTAGCAGAACATTTCATTTATCCTCCCTGTTAAATCAAAATAAACTTATGCATATCTTATACATTTTCAATAATATAAATGGAATTTATATTTTGAAATGATGTCATATGGCAAGAAAGCATAGACTGAATTAATCTAGTGCTCCTTTTAAAGCCAAATTGCCAAACACTTTTAGAAGGAAACTTTATCCACCATGGCTTAAGCCTAAATTCTTAGGTGAATTATGATCTGTTAATCAGGTTTCCTGAATTTACACAGCTCCCAGCTAATTGCCTAGGTTCTGTCAAATTCCTCATCAAAAAGAAAAATCAAGTGTTGCTGAAGTCTGATGCTAAGAAAAATGCATTTTTATAAAAATAAGATCAAGAAAATGCATAAACAATATAATTTCTACATTTAGGAGCCTTGGTGAAGAGGACCAACATTCTCATTGCTGATGGGATTTGAGACCTGTTACTTTTCCACTATCATTGAAACCAGCAGAAATTGCTCTCCCACAGGTGCAGGATTGATTGGTGTTTTCTGAACATGATGCGCACGATGCTAGAATGGGCCATCAGCATCATAAGTGAAAAGAAAATGAGCAGGTAGAATCACTGAGTGTACAGCAAGATTCAATCTATACTTTGCTATGTCCATAATTTCAAAACAGCAGTGTTTTTTTGTTGGGCATTATGAGTCAAACACAGGTCAAGTTTACGTTGTTAGAAACTTTGCAGTAAGTCCTCAGCAAAGAACATAGGCACACTTTCAAATCCTAGCTGTCATTCTTGGTAAAGTTGGAACAGAATAGACATGGCTTAAGAAAGAAGATAAATGTCATCATTTTTACTAGTAAAGACTTAGTGAAGTATCAACTGGCACATGCCAATGAACCTTGCTTCTCCAGTTCAAGTTTTCTATGCCCTCCTAGAAACCCAAAAACTCAACGCTGATTAAGTAAAAGAAAAATTGGGTCTATTCCCTAAATTCCTGTCCCTTCATATACCATCTCAGAAGGCTTTTGGTTCTTCCTGGGTAGCTCTTGCTGAAATAGTGAATGTTCTCTTCTCAGTAACTTAATAATAATTTACTGTGGATATTGAGCCTTAGAGCTTCAGAAGATTTATTCCATATCTACTTTTAGTTTTTGCTTCAGGTGCCGTGTAATGTCTTAAGCTGTAGTACATGTCACCTTTGGAGAGGAGGTTGTGAGGTGGCCAGGCCAGCCAAGGTAGAGTCTGTAGCCTCCAAATCAGTCAGCTTGACTTGCCAAGAGAGAGATAGGCCACTTCACCAGGCGTGACCCACTTCCCTTTCTCTTCCTGGGGTTGCAGCCCAAGCTGGCTCACCTGCTTCCCTCAGTCAGATGTCTCTGGAGAGGCCAGGATGTTCTCAGATGTCGGTGGTGGTGGGGATCGCTTTTCAAACTTTAATGTTTCTTGTCAGTTCTTTCATTCTGGAAGAATTATCATAAAGTACAATCTTCCATGGAAAAGTCTGGTCATCCAAAGCATGTGCCCCAAACCAGATATATGAGCTGGTTGACCTGCTCACCCCTTATATAACCTCAGATTTCCTGATTAAGTTCTTTAATCTTAATTGTTTTAGAAAAAGATTCAAAGCTTCTAAAGCTCTTTACTCCTAGCCTCCTGGGCACCGATGTTGGGTCCCAGGCTGTCTTGCCACATTGCTTTGGCAGAACAATGACTTTCTCTGGAATTTTAAAAAATATAATGAGGCTGTTCTCTTGCTTTGTAACTTTTTATCTCAGCATGAACTCAGTTCTCATCAAGGAGCTTTGTTTGCAGCATCAGAGCTTTAATTTTTTTTATTCCTTAAATAATAACTCATATCAATAAAGGCTTTATACAGCAGATCTCTCATTTTTTCTTAGAATATTTCTCTTACCTGCATAAGCAGAACTATTTAAGTAGTTAAATCTCCTATAAAGGAAATTATATGTTTTTCCAGAGGAAGAAGTTTCAAATATTGATTTTCATTATGACATATAAAGAAAGCTGTGATTCCAAAAGAACATGAAATAGGTAGCTACAGAGCCAAATAAACGTCCATGCTTACTTAATAAATATTGTAGTTACTAATCAGAAGAAATGGATGTATATGATTATGGCTCTTCAATATATAGACTATCTTACCTTTTGTGGGGAGGGAAAGTGAATTTTAGATGCTCCAGAAAATGTATTAATCTATTGAATGTTAATTTTCTCTTAAGAAATTATTTCAATGTTATTTGGTCTCCTTCTTTTAAAGACTTCTAATTACTTTAGTAAGGAAGGAAGCAGGTAAAGAAAGAGGAAAACATATATATCACTCACAAATATATGTATATTCACATTTTACATATGCACACACATAAACACACACTTTTCACATTGGCTAACAGAAAACCACTGTCCTACAAGGTCACATTTTCTATGTTTTTCAGTGAAAGATTCATCTGACTTCTTATGTTCTCATATCCAGTAATACTTACACAGAACTGAGAAGAAGATACTTTTAATGTTGTTAGGAAAACTGGCTAGCCATATGCAGAAAACTGAAACTGGACCCCTTCCTTACACCTTATACAAAAATTAGCTCAAGATGGATTAAAGACTTAAACGTAAGACCTAAAACTATAAAAACCTAGGCAATACCATTCAGGACATAGGCATGGGCAAAGACTTCATGGCTAAAACACCAAAAGCAATGGCAACAAAAGCCAAAATTGACCAATGGGATATAAATAAACTAAAGAGCTTCTGCACAGCAAAAGAAACTATCATCAGAGTGAACAGGCAACCTACAGAATGGGAGAAAATGTTTGTAATCTATCCATCTGACAAAGGGCTAATATCCAGAATCTACAAGGAACTTAATCAAATTTACAAGAAAAAAATAAACAACCCCATTAAAAAGCGGGCAAAGTATATGAACAGACACTGCTCAAAAGAAGACATTTATGAGGCCAACAAATATATGAAAAAAAGCTCATCATTACTGGTCATTAGAGAAATGCAAATCAAAACCACAGTGAGATACCATCTCATGCCAGTTAGAATGGCAATCATTAAAAAATCAGTAAACAACAGATGCTGGAGAGGATGTGGAAAAATAGGAACGCTTTTACACTGTTGGTGGGAGTATAAATTAGTTCAACTATTGTGGAAGACAGTATGGCAATTCCTTAAGGATCTAGATCCAGAAATACCATTTGACCCAGCAATCCCATTACTGGGTATATATCAAAAGGATTATAAATCATTCTACTATAATGACACATGCACATGTATGTTTATTGCAGCACTATTCAGAATAGCGAAGACTTGGAACCAAGCCAAATACTCATCCATGATAGACTGGATAAAGAAAATGTAGCACATACACACCATGGAATACTATGCAGCCTTAAAACAGGATGAGTTCATGTCCTTTTGCAGGCACCTGGAGGAAGCTGGAAGTCATCATCCTCAGCAAACTAACACAGGAACAGAAAACCAAACACCGCGTATTCTCACTCGTAAGTGGGAGTTGAACAATAAGAACACATGGACACAGAGAGGGGAACATCATTTGGGGCCTGTCGCGGGGTTGGGGGCTAGGGGAGGGACAGCATTAGGAGAAATACCTAATGAAGATGACGGGTTGATGGGTGCAGCAAACCACCATGGCACATGTATACCTATGTAACAAACCTGCATGTTCTGCATACGTACCCCAGAACTTAAAAGTATAATAAAAAGAAAAATAGAAAGTGGGTCATGTCCTCCCTTGCATGCAAACAAAGGAAAAGTATCATTTCTACATTGCAATGAGCAATGCTAAAAAAAGTGCAGGAGGCTATTTTCATCTCCTGCAACTTTTTGCTATCTCTCTATACTCTTCCTGACTTTACTGCAGGCGTGGTGATGTAAATGATACGGTGTTGTAAACAACAGAGTATTGAACCTGGCAGAGGAGAAGTGAAATGGTGCCTTTGAAATTTGTCTCTAACATAGTATACCTGCTACTATCCTTGTCCAAGTCAGAATGCTCTGGAATTACCCAGAGACCTCTGACAGCCGCAGGCTGGCTGAGTTACCAGAACGGCTGCTATTGCTCCACACAGCCCATTCTCTGTTGGTCTCCAAGGAGCAACATTAAAGTCCCATCAATTTAGACTGTTGGTTTCAAAGAGTCAGATGGTTTGGAAATGTGTGATGGCATTTCCTCCCTCCATCCTTTCCTCCGTTCCTTTTCTTTTTCCTGATTTTCTTTGTTCCTGCTTGTCACAGTGCCTGCAGGGTGCTATCGGTATTTAGTGGTCAGGAACCAGAAATGCCATCTCCATGTAAAAAAAAAAAAAATCCCCCTCCAAATGCCTAAAATACAGATTGAGAAACACCTGATTTAAACAGTCTCATCAAGAGCAATAAATACGTAGATAAATAAGGAAACAAATAAAAAAAACTTGATGTGATAGTGAATGCTATCTTGAATAAAAGTAATTTATAATCAATTAAGTTCATAACTTATTTTATCTGTGGGGAGGAGTCTTTCATGAACATGATTGAGATGTGAAATTAATATAACTGCTATAAGTTGAACCATGTTCCCCAAAAAGATAAGCTGAACCACAACCTCTAGTACGTGTGAATGTCACCTTGTTTGGAAATAAGCTCTTTGCAGATATAATCAGGTTAAGATGAAAATGGGCCCTAATCCAATATGACTGGATGACTGGTGTCCTTGTAAGAGGGAAGTTTGGACACAGAGTGACTCAGAGGAAAGGGGGCCATGTGAGACAGAGGTGGAGATTGAAGTGATGCAGCCCCAAGCCAAGGAATGCCTGGGGCCACTGGAAGCTAGAAGAAGCAAGGAGGAATCCTCCCCTGGAGCTTCAGAGGAGGCATGGCTTTGCTGAAACCTTGATTTCAGGCTTCCAGTTTCCAGAAGTGTCGGAGAATATGTTTCTGTTGTTTTAAGCTTTCCGAGTTTATGGTAATTTGTTATGGCAGCCTCAGGAAACCCAGACAATAGCTAATCTATATTTATCCAAAGCTTGGCAAGTTGGCATAGTTCAAGGGGGTAGATAGCTCACAGCAGTTTGGGGATAGGACACTTATTTACTGATAACCTTTGCTTCTGGGCAACTGAGAAGACATATTTCCCTTTCTACCCAGGAGGGCACACTTCCTTCTAAATTCCTCTAGTTTTGGTTGATATCACCAGGGAAGATTTCCAGAGTTCCAAGATGAAAGGAAAAAAAGTATCTTTTTGGTGACATAAAAACCAAAAGAGCAAAACAAAACTCCTTTCTTTGTCACTCTTTTTCTGTTGCAGAAGCAGATTATGTTGAAAAAAAAAAAAAAAAGAGTAAGAGGCCAGCCATAGGGAAGTGCCTCTATTTGATGCCACCTTCATTTCCACAGGACATGTTTGCCATCTCATGTTTACTGTCTTGTCTAGGCTCTCTTCTATAACACATTTCAAACATGACAACTCATGTTTATTGGCCTTGCCTAGGTGATGTTCTAACAACACATTTCAAAGGTTAAACAGTGAACTGCAATATTAAAATAAGAAAACTGACCTATAGGCTGGGCGCAGTGGCTCACGCCTGTAATCCCAGCACTTTGGGAGGCTGAGACAGGTGGATCACAAGGTCAGGAGATCGAGACCATCCTGGCTAACATGGTGAAACCCCATCTCTACTAAAAATACAAAAAATTAGCCAGGCGTGGTGGCGGGCACCTGTAGTACCAGCTACTTGGGAGGCAGGAGGATGGCGTGAAACTGGGAGGCGGAGCTTGCAGTGAGCCGAGATCGTGCCACTGCACTCCAGTCTGGGTGACAGAGCAAGACTCCATCTCAAAAAAAAGAAAACTGACCTATACAGAGATATAACTCATGCCCATTTCTTACTAAGTACAAAACCAAACAAATAGATGCATTTTTTCTCAGAGGAAACGTGGGTTTTCTCCTTCCTATGGAAAGCTCCCCTGTGGCTAGTACTGGATAACTAACTGTGGATCTTTTAAAAGACAATCCCTATTGCATTCACTTGTCTGGAGTGAAATTTTATTTCATAAGGATGTTCAGGTAATGATGATTGCCCAAATATAACAAGCTTGTCTGTAAAGTGATTACAATGCCCTTTTGTTTGTTTTTGTTTTTTGTTTTTTTTTGAGACAGAGTCTCGCTCTGTCGCCGAGGCTGGAGTGCAGTGGCATGATCTTGGGTCACTGCAACCTCCGCCTCCTGGGTTCAAGCGATTCTTCTGCCTCAGCCTCCCAAGTAGCTGGGATTACAGGCACCTGCCACCATGCCTGGCTAATTTTTTGTATTTTTAGTAGAAACAGGGTTTCACTATGTTGGCCAGGCTGGTCTCGAACTTCTGACCTCGTGATCCACCCGCCTCGGCCTCCCAAAATGCTGGGATTACAGGCATGAGCCAAGGCACCTGGCCTATAATGCCTTTTCAAATTTCATTTGCTGATGTGTAATCACAGGAAACCGGCCAACTGGATCTCCTGGACCCTGTCATCTCTCCTGTGTTTCCTCTGTGTCTTTTTGGTGTCCAGTGCATTCACCATGACTCTCACTGTGCGATTCCTGATCCAAGTGGTGTTGCAGCTTCCAGCCCACTTCCCTCTTCCCTATAAGATGTATTTGTCTTATAGGCCACTCACCTGGTGCCTGTGCTTTTCTACATGCCAGTACATGGTAATGGATAATAACTTTCAGCTACTCTAAGTTAATGTGTTACTTCTCTCAGAGATCATAAAGCCTTTAAATCTTAACTCTCAAGGAAAGGAATGCTGGTGAACAAGCTTGAAGAGGCTTTGGAGTTCCTGAAGTCAGGGGACTAACGTTTACATGAGATTTTTAGTTAAGTTCTTTCACTAACTAGCTGTGAGACCTTGGAGTCCACATTTTGAGCCTCAGTTTCTGCAGTTCAATTTGACAAGCATGGAGCACTTGCCATGTATGTGCTCATACCTGGGAGGAAGGGATATGAAGCTAAGACATGACCTCTGTTCTCTAAAAGCTGAAAGACTAGTAGGGCTGACATGTGAAGAACACAGGGAAAAATCTGAGCCTGCAAAATGAAGAGACTTTTGGTTGGCAGAGAATGGAGGAGTGTGGCATTCTAGAATGAGGAAATGGCATGAGCAAAGGCAGAGAGGCCTGAAAGCGTCCAGCAGTCTTCCTGGGGAAGACTTTCCAAACAAGAGTGACCTCTCTGCTTCTCTGGCCTTTCACACCATGATAAGAGGCACCTCCTTTTTTTGTTCTAACTCTAGTTCAGATCCCAAGCCACTTGCTAAACACTGCGGACTTGTTTTGCAAGCAACTAGGAGGTCTAGAGGACTCATTTTAAAACTTCTTATAATGGAAAAACATAATCATCTGCAAAGGAGGAGAGAAGAGTATAATGCATCCCCATGTTCCTTTCAGCCAGTTTCAGCAATTATTAACTCACAGTCATTTTTCCTATAATATTCCCACTCCCATATTATTTTGAAGTAAATACTAAGCATCATAGCATTTCTTCTATAAATAAAATAGTATGTATCTCTAAAATATAAGGGTTGTTGAAAACATAAGGGTTATATTATTATCATATTGAAAATATTAACAATACCTTAATGTCATCATATATCTAGTCAGTGTTAAAATTCACCATCGTCTTACAAATGTCATCATTTATTATTGCAGTTTTGGTTTGATTCAGGATCCAAATAAAGTTCATAATTGTGATTGGCTGCTATGTCTCTTAAGTCTCTTTCTAGTTTATAAATTCCTCCTACCTCTGTCAATCTTTCTCTCAATCTCTTTTTTTTTCCTTGTAATTCATTTATTGAAGAAACCTGGTTATTTTTCCCATAGAGTTTTCCATAGTCTGGAGTTTGCTGATATCATCCCCACAGTGTTATTTAACATCTTCCCCAGTCCTCTGTATTTCCTGTGACTTGATTGTTGGAATTAGAAACTTGATCAGATGTAGGTTTCTTTCAATTTGGCAAGACTGCTTCATAGGATATGGTGCATTCTTCCATTAGGAGATGTAGTACCTGAGTGCATCACACTCCACGGTGTTGGCAGCCACTGATGATTAGCATCCAAGCCCACTAACTCAGTAGGTAATGCAATATGGTGATATTCTATTTTTTCCATGCCTTCTTCATTTATTAGCTGGAATAACCCTAGAGAAAATTATCCCATCATCTAATATTTGGTCACTCAATGGTACACTTCACAAAATAAACGCAGGCTTAGATAAATAAATCAATTAAAAAACTTGATTTTTCTTCTACTCATCTATTATGTTTTCAAAATAATGTGTTGCTTATTAGCATTCTCCAATGAAGGTCAACGAATTTTGTATTATTATTGTTTTGTTTTTGGCATTATTGTGAATTTACGAGTTTAAACGTATTTAATGTGTTTCAAACTATTACAATTATAATCATCATCAATGCTCAAATTGTCCCAGCTTTGGCCAGTTGGTGCCTCATTAAGTGGTTTTGAGTCCTTTTGATGGGATCCTAGTATTCTTTGAGAATATGTTTACTACCTGGTCTAACAAGATATTCCAGATTCATCTTATGTATTTCCTAACCCAGACCCGGAATTAGCCACTACTCCCAGGAGCCTTCATTCTTTTTAGCAGAAGTAAAATTTACAAACCATAGTCTCAGCACCTATAAGATTATCCTCTTCCTTTGGAAGAGAGCAGGCAATTTGGCATGGCCTAAATAAGTCCCAAGACTGGCAAGAGACTGTGGGAAGAAAACGGGTGACCATTTAGGAGTTACTGATAAGAGATGATAAGGCTCTCAACCAAGGCTGTGGGGATGGGGAAGAGAATCAAAGTTGGGAAAAATTCTAGAGACTACATTTATGCAAGAGAATTTAGCAACTGATTTGGTAGTTCAAGGGAATGGGGGCAGAGGTGGGTAAAAAATTAGAAACCTGGGTTCAACGTCTAGTCCAGTTCTGTTACTTATCTACTGTGTGATTTGTGGCTCATTACTTGACTTCTGAACCTCAGTGACCTGAACGGCAAAATGGGAATAGTACTGCGTACTTTCTAGAGTGTGAGAGGATTAGATGAAGTGGCAGATGAAATGAATGTAGCACAATGTGTGATACCTAGTAAAACTAAAAATTTAAAAATGCGACACTCCCAAGTATCTAGTTTTATCTATAATGTGAGAGGTTGGCCTAGATCACCCCTAAAACTTTCAGTCAGTTCTGCTCCAGCCCTCTCCCCAGTCACACCTGTGCTGCTTTCTGATAATGTCATAGAGTATTAATAACATATCCTCCAGCATTTACCTACACCACATTTTATTGATTATTTTGTTGAAAAGATTATATAAGAAATTTAATGTTGCCAAAAGAAAAATAAATTGTATATTCTTCTGAGGGCTGTTTTTCTTTTTTGATATCTGTGTTGGCCACTTTCATTTTAGAAGAGCTTAGAATAATGTTTTAAGAAATTGCTCCCATATGTGACAAAGAGAGGAGATCTAAAAAACTAACAAAGTATATTAAATACTGATCAGTTAGGACAGAGTGCCTTAAAATACTATGCAAGGTGGTTATCCTGATCAATGATTTATGCAGCATCTGGTTTTAGAAAATGGAATATTTGTTTAAGTCAATTCCTTCCCAGAACCTTCTCTAACCATTACATCAGTGATGCCCGGTAAACATTGTTGAGGTTATTTGCTTCTCTAAAATCTTATTTTCGAGGGCTGTAGCAGAATGAATTTCGAATCAAGATTTTTAAGATCAAAATAGCCATCTAGCAGTCACTATAGCCACATTATCTGTTGCTAAAAAGTGATTAACAATATTCATAATATCTCAACTTTTAAAATTGTAAAGGGAATACAAGCTGTTTATTAAAAGTTCAGGCAATGAAAGAGAGAGGGAGAGAAAGTAAAAGTGACCCAACGTTCACTCATCAGATACCATTGTATCCTTCTAAACCCTTTCTCCACAGGCGCACACAACATACATTTAATTTTGTAGCTTGCCTTTCCAACATACTGTGAAATATAAAGTTACAATATATTATGTCAATATATTCATTTTTGTATGTCAGTACATCATGGACCATTTCATTATTTTAAGCAGTTGCCTAATATTGCCCAGTATGAATGTTGAATTTATGTTGGTTTATCTGACCAGCTCATTATTGTTAGACATTTACATTGTTTCTAACTTATTTTTATTAAAAACAGTCCTTAAGCCAAACAAGCAAACAAACAGGACTTTGAATCAGGTATGGGTAGGTGACAGATACATTCTTATCTATTTCTGTGTAATGTGGCTTTAAAAAACCGTCATTGAAACAAGAGACAGCTGTTTCTTATGACATTAATTTTTTTTTAACCAAAATCTTGGCTGTAAATTTCTGAATCTCAAAAACCACACTTTCTTCTTTTCTGTTACCCCTCCAATCTGAAACTCTATTCTCAGTGATGGAACCGTTTTCACTTGCTGAGCAGCCACGCTTGTCTTTGAGATGGGAGGCATTGAAAGCCTGCCTACTCTTGCTGATGTGCAATTCTTTTCCTTCCGGTGAGAGATCAGGCCCTGCTTTTCATTTCACTCGGAGAACATGGTGACTCCCATGGGAGAAGAGGTGGGGCCATGGTCACCTGTCCTCCAGCACCACAAGCACAAGACCAGACGCAGCTCTCTGCTGGGCCTCCAGCACAGGTCAGAGCTACTCTCTGGGGCCACACCTCTGTTTACAGTCAAGGCTGCTGACGTCAAGATGGCTGAGAGCCTGCCCTTCTCAAGAATGGACAAATGGACATCATGGAACAAGCAAGGCAAATATTTTAAATAAACACAAAGTGTCATCCTCTTCTTTGGTTTGTTTATAGGTTGCTCTTCAAGTTGATATAATCTTACATTTTACCACGATTGCTAAGGCTGCAAGGCAAGCATGTTATTTTTTAAGCTCATATTATTTTTCCCAGCCTAAAAATAATTAAACATTATTATTTTGAATAAGCCAGTGTGCACCATGAGTATTTGTTTCATGATGTAGCTGGGGGATATGCCAACCTTGGGGATTTTAACACCAGCCACATCAAGAGGTGTCAGCCCTGCTGGGTAGATGACAAGTGCTTCCTTCCCCCACCTCAGCTAAGGTGCAGGTTTTATTTGAGGCAAGACTTCTGCATCCCTTCTATCCATTGCTTAGTATAAAACACAATTCATATTTCAGAACAACCGAAGAAGGTAGCACAGGGTCTCTAAGGTCAAGGAAATGCCCATTCTGTTCTTGAGCTTATTAGTGACTAACTTATAACTTTACCATTCATCATCTTAATTTACTTAAATTTCTCAGACTTAACTGGGTAACTTTCAATAGTGCTTCCCTTAGACTCAAATCACTTTTCATCACCAGGTTATTTTTAGTTATTTGGAATTCTCAAAAATGCTCGAATGGTGAAGGTATCTTTATCTTCCCTAGCTGAGCTCAAAGGTGACATTTTCTTAATTGTCCAGGGAGTTTATAAAGTTTTAGCTATTTTTAAATGATGTCTATGGCACCAAATAAAGCTTACATTTTAAGAAGAAAAATTTTGTATGTGTATAGCTCAAAAATAGCTGATTTTCCAAGTTTAGCTTGTGTAATCCTCAATGAAGACTAAAGGCCTGACTCATTTTTTTTTTTTTACAGCTTTTTGGAAGCACTAGACATAAGCACCTGATAGTAAGCAAGTTTGCCAATGTCTCACTTTTGGGTCATTTAAGGCAAAATCTGAATTAAGTATTCATTTTGCCAGCCCTCAGAAATGTATTTTAATCATCCAATTTAACAAATAGATTTTTAGTACCCTCATGTGCCCACAAAGAATTCTAACACAGTGGGATACCACAGCAAACAAGAGGAACAAAATCTCTGTCCTCCTAGAGCTATGTTTTAGTGAGGGGTAAGGAGGGATGGAGGAAGATATGCTTTAAAGAAAAAGTAGAGGCAAGAGTCAGATAAGAGGCACTGGGAATATGGTGTTGGCAAGTGGAACAGACTACAATTTTAAGAGGTCGGTCAGGGTAAGTCTCATTGAGAAGGTGACATTTGACAAAAGTTTTAAGGAAGTGAGGGAATTAGTCATATGGGTATCTGGAGAAAGCATACTCCAGACAGAGGACTTAGCTACTATGTGCTTCTGGTAGTCCTGTGGCTGGTGCAGAGTGAGCAAAGAAGAGTGTAGAAGATCAGATTCAAGAACCAACGAGGCCCCAGCTCACGGAGGTCTTGATGGTCACTCTAAGATTTTGGCTTTTACTCTAAGAACAAAGAGGAGCCATTACAGGGCTCTGAACAGAGCAGTGACTGATATAGTTCCAATGAATTCGCTGTTGCTATGCTATGTAGAAAACAGACCTAAGAGGGGAGGGGTGAAAGCAAGTAGATCTGAGAGGAGGCCACAGCAGTGCTCTTAGAGAAAGACAGTAGTGGCTTGAACCAGAGTGGGAGAAACTGAGGTGGCAAAACGTGGTTGGATTCTGTACATATTTTAAAACTAGAGCAGACAGACTTTCTTGAAGGTTGGGATGAGGAGTGTTAAGAGAAAAACAGGACTCAAGAATGACTCATGATTTGCAGTCTGAGCAAATAGAAAGGTGGCATTTCCATTCATTGATATGGAGAAGGCTTTAGATAAGCCCCCTAGGGGAAGAAAGTCTAGGAGCTCAGTTTTGGATATGTTGAGTTCGAGATAACTATTAGATATTCAACTACTGACTTCCCTTTGACTAAGTCAAAATTTATCATCCTCAAAGAATGTAAATTCCCTGAGGGTAGAGTTTTGTCATTGCTCATTAATGTATATCCAGAGCCTTGGACAGTGTTTAGCACATGTAGATTCTCAATTAAAAATTAACTGAATGAAAATTTATAAAGCACACACTATGTTTCTTGCTCTGTTCTACGTGCTGGGGATACAACAGTGGAAAAAAATACCACCAACATTTCTTTTCTCACGCACCTTACAATCTCGTAGTGGGAGACAGAGAAAGCAAATGAAGTAAAATAAAATAAATCCTTTGCCTGTTGGTATACATACTTGATAGAGACTGGTTGAACGTTTAGTCCCATGGCACTCTAGGTATATTGTCATAACCCTACAAGGAAGGAAACTGAGAGCACAGAGTTGGTATTCCTTGCTGGTCTATCTTACTCTAAAGCCTCTGTTAGCACACCATATTGCTTCTCATGTAAAATAACACAAATCCCTTCATCATCTGACAAATATCAGGGCTATGGTTCTCTTCGTATGAACCTCTAAAGGAGAGTCTTCTCATAATCAGATTGTTTTTGAAGAGCAGTTCTAGGAAGGCTGCCTGGAAGTAAGCAACCCCAGACCACTTTGCCCTCCTTAACTGAGCCAAACCATGTAGCTGCTTTCATCTTTACATCACAGGGCATTTTCTTATTCTTCACCCCCTTTCATGATGCCGAGGTTACCTTAATTACCCACCATAAAGTCTAACACATCATTTCATCTGAAAGGCTCACTTTGTAACTTTCCACAGAACTAAGGAGGCACACTAAAACAAATACTATATTCATATAAATTTGAAGAGGTATCCCTTATTGCTCTAAAAATGAAATCAAATGAATTTTTCATATCTAGCAGTAGCATCTAGCGTTGGTTTGAGCCTTAGTACTCCAAAATAATTTTAATCCTCCTCCTGCTCCCCTGATTCAGCCATTTGATGTTTTCTTGGACTCATGAAACTTTATGCCCCCAGCTTCTCCTCCGTAATTTTTGCAGAAATTCTGAAACAGCCACTGTCCCTGCCTACTGTGCATTTCTTACCACATTTCTGCACGTAATTTGATATCACACTTCCTGCCCCCAGCAACATTTCCTAGCATGTAAATGATGAATATTTTTTCTTGTGCTCTGACCTATCTGAATAGGTCTCCAAAAAGGAGACTATCTGGGCTCTCCTCCTGAATGTCATTTCCATCAACATTGTAATTTTTAAGATAAAACATCCAGGGTTCCCCACTAGTTGAATGTGGTAAAAGTATATGTCTTGATGTTGCCTTTCAGTCGGCAATGTTCATTAATAGCAAGAATTCCCATGATAAGTAGAGTGTGTGATCTACCAATAACTTGCCTCTTTTCAAGGCCAAGAAAGACATCTTCAATCCACCAGATTTTCTTTAGGACCCTCTGGTGAACAAGTGGCAGTGAGGTCACCTCATGTTGTAATTCTGAGATATACTGAAATCCTCTCCTAATAAGACACATTACATTAACTCAATAGAATGACTGGGATCTTAAACATCGCCCTAAATACATACAGACAGTGCATTGTAACTAACATACTAAATAAACAGACACCCTTTAATCTTTAAAATAATTGTTACTGTTCTTCCTGAAGAGTCCAATTACAGTACAAAGCAAGAGTCCTATAGTATGGAGTGGTCCTACAGTATGGACCAATCAAATAATGGTCAACACCAGTTAGTTGAGGTATCTATCTCCTGTCTATCTGTGGGATTGTGCTATGGTTTCAATATTTGCATTCTGAAAAAAATTCATATGTTGAAATCCTAATCTCCAAGGTAAAGATGGTATTAGGAGGTGGGGTCTTTAGGAAGTGGTTAGATCATGAGGATAGTGTCTTATAAAAGAGGCCCCAGAGGGCTGCCTTACCCCTTCCACCACATGAGGAAGACACAGCTAGTGAACCAGAAAGACAGCCCCCTCCAGACGCAGAACCTGCAGATGCCCTGATCTTGGACTTCCCAATCTCTAGAACTGTAAGAAATAAATATTGTTTATAAGCCACCCTGTTTATGGTGTTTTGTTATAGCAGCCTGGATGAACTAAGACAGATCACAAAAGCTTTTCCTACAAAACTAAAACCATGTCATAAAGGATAGAGGACCAATAACTATCCATTATGGATACAATAGTGGGTGAATAAACTCTGTAAGTAATGAAGTTACGCTTGTGTACTACCCCTGGTAAAAATATCACAACATAAAAGGTAACATGTATTTTGTTAACTTCGTATTAGGAAATATAAGGTGTTCTAACCTCTAGGAAGTCTGAATGGTAGCTCCAAGTTTAAAACCATGGCCAAAACAAAACAAAACAAAAAAAACACACAGATAAACAAAACCCTCTCTCATCTAATTCCTTTCATGTTTAACACCTGCACTAAAGTTCCCAGGTCCTTATTTCCTTGTTCATTGAAAAGAAAATCAAATGTTGGAATTTGGAATGTAAGTGGAAGATGTTATCATCAAAGGTGTATTCCACCACTCACCTTATTTTGTATTGAATAGACATGTTTTCTAAATATCACACCTGGTAATTTATCTTAATATTTTTTCCACTTAACAATAAGGTATTCACAGATTTTTTGCCTTAGGTATAAAAGGTACAAATATCCACCACAGTTCAATTGATCAAAGGATTTTTTTAAACATCTGTCTTAAAATTCTATATAATATGTTGCTTAAGGCTCTATATAGCCACAGCTTCCAAGTAATACCAATAGACTTATCCAGCAGGGATTATGCAAACCTTATATAATTAATATTTGTGAGATTTCTCAAGATCCCGGCACAAAAGACAGCACTGAAATTCAAAGCTTTCAGTTTTAATCATAACTTTCTTTTAAAAAAAAAGAGTACAGAAGGCTTCGAGTCCCAGCCCCTATAGCAAGATCATTGCTACCATTAAAAATATACTTTTTTATATAAAGGAAGAGTCAAAGGGGGTTAAAGTCATTTAGGGAGGCTATAGAAATCCCATCAATGTTCAGGAATACACAGTTAATGGATATATAATCAGAATCAAAATATCTCATTGGCATGAATGCTGCCTCTAAATCCTAATCCCTATAGTTGCTAACCCAGAGAGCTGCTCTTAAATCTCCATGTTTTCCCATGAACAGATTATTTCTAATGAAATGGTGCAGGGTAACTAAAGCCCCATGAGGCAGGCTTCAAAATAAAGCTAATCCTGTATCAAAGTCACTGTATAAATGAACTGCAGATGAAAGGCCAAAAGTATGGTTGGCAGTTAAAAAACAAGACAACCAGTTGAATCTGAATTTAAGATAAACAACAAAGAAAGATTTGGTCTAAGTAAGTCCCAAATATTGCATAGAATGTACTTAGAATTCACTGTTTATTTTACATTCAAATTTGACTGGACAACCTTTGTTTTTATTTGCTAAATTTGGCAATACTAGCCAAAGGAAAATTAAGACTATTTTCAATTGACATTATACCATCCTGCACCAATGAAAAGCACAGATGAGACAAATTCTATAATTGTCTATTTCATTTTAAAGACTTCTATTACTTACACAATGGCAAAGTTCCCAACATCTATAAGCCATGTTAAAACAAGTGAAAGAAATTGGCCATGCTGGTGTAAAGGATTATGATGAACATTTAAAGATTCACACATCAGAAAATACAATGTTACATCAACCCTATCATTTAAATAATTTAAGCTGTAACTAAAAAAAGAAATGTCATGAACTATATACACAAATCAATCTTACTGAATAGTTGCCCGGCTTGCAGATTAACTAGATGACAACCTATTAGCTCTGTATTTCTAGGCAAAAAGCAAACATTGGATAAAGCAGACATTCACTATCTACCCACCTCTTCTCAGAATTACCACTGTCTTGTACATAAAACATCAATTTTTCCAAGAAACTGCTTCATTTGATATCTTATGAACAAGACAAATAAGTTTGATTTATAAACTAATGTGCCCAATTTTAGTGATAGATACTTCCAAATGGAAGCAAACTGTTGTAACTGTTATTGCAGGATTCCTTCATTTAGATTTAAGACAGTCAAATTCATTTTGAAAACACTTAAAAAATGTTGCTGTCCATTGCTTCCGGTGGGGTGTTATAATCCCCTTAGGGTAAATTATTGCTTAAGAAAGTCTGCTTAAACAGTATAATATTTGACCAATATTTTTCTCATGAAAACACAAGCACAATTTGACTGGGGTCAAATGCTGAAGTTAAATTAGAGATACGGCAATTATTGATTATTGCTATTGTTTTGGAGCATTCAGACAAAATGACCTGTTTTTTCCTAAGTTATTAATCTGAATTATCTCAAGTTTGTAGCTCTGGGGACCTGACCTTTAAGGTTTAGCTGAGTTGAGTTTTTGAAACACACCAGTTTGCAAAAGTTTCTATGGAAGAAATAAAGTCCTTGGTGAGACTTTACATCTATTTGTTACTGAGCATTTTTTGGACTCTTGCACTAAATCTGAGTTGGCACATTATTAACCTTTTCAAATTAGGCATTTAGTAGGCTCAGAATATTTTCTTCATTTGCACATTGGTTTGCTGGAACAGCTGGCACTGCACTGGAATATTAGTTGAGATCTTTGATTTACATAGTTCAAGTACAAACACATAAACTCTGCTTTTGGAGAGGATGACCTAATTAGTGCAGCATATAGTACACTTCATTAATAAAAATAATAGCAACAACAACAGCTAACACTTATTGAGCATTTGCTATGTCTCCAGCACTGTATACCTATAGGTATATTCAGGTATTGAACACTTTCAATAACTCCAATTTTTTATTCTCCAAATTTTGTAGATAAAAAAATGCAGAGTGGTTAATGTACTTGTCCTCAATCACATAATTAGTAAGTAGTAAAACTTAGATTTTTACCTAGGCAATCTAGCTGCAGAATCTACGCACTTAACATCTTGAAACACTGCCTCTGTAAATGCATCAGATAACAACAGAGAGTGTTCATCCACCTTCTCAGGTCAGTTTTCATGTGAAGGAAATGTCACATCTTTGACTGTGACCACAGATTTCAGGGGAATAGGAGTTTCTCAGGCTAAGGAATGCAAGTGACTCTTCACAACCACCCCCAACAAATCATGATCAGCCTTCCTGTTCCTTTACGTGTGTGCACAATTTTGTGTATTTTAATATATGTGTGATAAGGCTACTAAGCTGACATATATCAAGTACAGAGTCATAAATGTGCAGGGTGAAGTAAGTCTTCCTTCAAGGATAAGGACATTTTAGATGTTAGTTACCTGGAGAAGAGGTATCTACCAGATCCAGAACACAAATAGGATCCCTAGCTGAGTGGCAGACTGGGAATCTAGCTCTCTGGTGATCTACATCTTAATCACCAAGGGACCAATACGTCTGCGCAGGGTGCCTGGGTAATGGGTGGAAGGTCCTGAGAGGAGACAGGGGCAAACAGAGCAGACCCAGGGCGGTAGAAATAGGACCATGAGGTTTGTGCCTCTCTTACCTAGTGTCCTTCCTTTTTGTCCTTCTTGAGTATTCAGAAAATGCCTTTGAAAGTTCTAACATATCTCATACTTCACTGAGGGAGTTTTTAAATAAATAGGGCCATAAAAAACTTGAACGTGCCCGGGCGCGGTGGCTCACACCTGTAATCCTAGCACTTTGGGAGTCCGAGGCTGGTGGATCACGAGGTCAGGAGATCGAGACCATCCTAGCTAACACGGTGAAACCCCGTCTCTACTAAAAATACAAAAAAAATTAGACGGGTGTGGTGGCGGGCGCCTGTAGTCCCAGTTACTCGGGAGGCTGAGGCAGGAGAATGGCGTGAACCCGGGAGGCGGAGCTTGCAGTGAGCTGAGATCGCGCCACTGCACTCCAGCCTGGGAGACAGAGAGAGACTCCATCTCAAAAAAAAAACAAAAAAACAAACAAAAAAAAAACACTTGAATGTAACAACCATGGTGGCAAGAACAAAGGAAGAGAATCCCGAGGGGAGCAGGAGAGGGATAAATGTGGAAGCTACCAGGGGCCTGCCATTCTCGTTCCCTTCTTGGTTTTGGGGATAAAGGTTGGAGGCTCTGGTTTGTATTTTAATCTGGAATCAGTACTCCAATATGCCTTATCCTGGCATAAGAAGTGTTTGAAAATGGTTTATAGAATAGACATCTAGTTTTCTACCATAATCAACCTTGAGAGAACTGAAGACCATCTAAGATTTCTCTCTCCTTTTAGAAATAGAAGTGAGGCTGGGCACAGTGGCTCACATCTGTCATCCCAGTACTTTGGATGACCAAGGTGGGAGGATCACTTACGTTCAGGAGTTCAAGACCAACCTGGGCAGCATAGGAATACCCCCCATATCTACAAAAAATAAAAAAATTTAGCTGCCTATGGTGGTGTGAACCTGTAGTCCCAGCTACTCAGGAGGTTGAGATGAGAGGATGGGGAGGCCGAGGTTGCAGTGGAACTGGAATCGCGCCATTGCACTCCAGTCTAGGTGACAGAGCTAGACCCTTTGTCTAAAAATATATAAATATATTTATATATACCCGAGTGAATACATGTAGAGATCTACCCTTGTTGGCTTGTTGACAACGCACACATATTTGCAAGTGTCCATTGTATGTGCTGGAGGAAATACTATGTATACTTTGAGAGGATTTGTTGAGCCAAAAAACAGGCCCCTGCCTAATGCTGTTCCTGGCTCAAGAAAGTATCACCTTAAGAATTTTACAGAAATATTGTTGAAGCCTATGGCTAGAGGAGGAAAATGAGAAGGAAACAGAAAAGACACAAGGCCTGGTGAAACTAACTAGAGATTTGCTAGGGGAGTTCTGGGATAAGCCCCCAAAACACATGTGTGTGCACTTTCACTTCAAGAGCCCTCATCCCTTTCTTCTTTACCAACACGTCTATTTTTTTCTTTAAAAATGATATTTTACATTCTGAAAACACCTTAAAATTAAGGTGCAAAGAATCTCATGAGGTATTTATGCCAATTTTTATATTATTTTTTCGGACGATTTATTGCAAAGTAGCTCTAACAACAAACTGACGTCTTAAAGAGATTCCTTCAAAGGCACAAACTTCAGGGGGAATGCAGTGTCCATTAGCTTCATCATTTTCAGCTTGGGATATGCATATCGAAGCATAACTAGGGAAATGAGGCAGTATGTCTTCCTGAGTCTCGAGCCTCACAGCTGGAAGGCTGTGACCATCTGGGCTCTGATCCTAATTAGTGCGTGGGGGTAGGAGTGGTGCTCAGCCGGTCCCTGGCCCACCAGTCTCCTCGCTCTAGCGGTGGGTCAAGGGTGATATTCCTCCCGGAATAGCGGAGCTAAACTGTAACGCTGAATAAAAGAAAAAAGAAAAAAAAAAAAAAGAAAAAAGAGCTTCTTGGGGTGGGGGTGGGGAAGCTACAATACACTGTTTGTTAGGGTTAATCCCGGTTTTGACAACTGCCAGAGCTGTTTAAAAAAGGAAATGATTAAATAAACAAGACAAGCCACTAAATCAAATTTGCAAACGAACCTCTCTACTGACTCACTCAAGGGTTTCTGAACCTCAAGAAAAGATTTTTGAGTGAGGAGAAGTAAAGGTACCTTCCGTGTCATTACGTAAGCATCTCCTGCTTTGAGGATTACAGGAATTACCACCCGCAGCCAGCCGGGAGCTCCGCTGCCTATTGCACCTGCCGGACCTAGGCTCTCTCATCTCAGCCCGAGGCTGGGCAGCCAAAGCCGCCTGCGAGTATTCGGGAACTGTCCGCGGACGCGTCTCCAAACCGTGCCGAGATACCAGCGAGAAAGAGGTTTTCTCAGACGGACGTTCACTAAGTAGAGAAAATACGCTATAGTTTCAAGTTGGGAAACTTTTCCTTATAACTGCATTACCCACTGTGAGCTGCCTGAAAACCGCTAGCTTCTTTTCAAGGGATTGCGACGACTCGTGTCCACAACTGTAGGAACCCGACGAACTCAGAGGGAGGATATACAGACTAAAGCACGAGTAGAATCGGTTTGCGCTATGTGACTTTGGGTCACATTTAAACTGAAAATGCCAGTGGCCGCGCAGTCGGGCTACTTTTCCCAGCAGCACCATATCCACAGCCAGTTGTCCCTTTTCGGGAGACGTTTTCTGGAAAAAATAGGTACCTGAACTCTAGATTCAAAGCGTCTTTCTGAATCTCTCCCCGGTCCCCGCCAAGCCGAGCTCAGTCATCTGGCTCCCCTCTTCCCCATCCCCGCTGCCAGAGGTCGTCGCCGTCTGTGGTCCCGAAACCCGAGAGTGGCTCCTACGAAGCCTTTCAGAGGTGGTGCAGGGGGAGGGGAGAGGATGCTAGTTTAGCCAAGTTAATAGTTTCTTCTATGGGATACGTTTTTGGGGAGTTCTGGGGCAGAAGGTAGCCTTGCTACCCCCAGTGACGATTGCGAGCCTGACCAAGGCCGGGCCGCTGCTGTTAGTGCCACATCATCCTAAGCATAACTAGGAAGGGACGCCGGAGATCAGAGACCGCCAAGACTCGAGAAAGCAAACCAGCCCCGCCAGGCGCGCAGCCGCTGCTGAAGCCTTCCCAGATGCGAACCTCCCACCCCCACTTCCCCGGCTTTTTCATCCCTTCCAGGGCCCAACGGCAACAAGAAGTCTGGTCCCGTACTTTGGCAGAGTGCGCTCCGAAACCCTGGTGAAGAAAGAGAAGCCTTGAGGCGCAGTCCGTGTTGCCCACTCTGGGTTCGAACACGCAGCTAAGACAGCCACCTGTTCTACAAAGCTGGAGTTTGTGCGGGCGCGGGCTGCGGCAGGAAGGACCCCATCGTCCCCTCCCTCAGTACGGTTCGGGACCGCCAAAGGTGCACGTCACCCCAAATCTAAGTGCGCACACACCTGCGCACTCACCCGGAGGCGCGCGGCGACTCACTGCCGGATCTCCTAGCTTCAGCCCCGACCACGCGCTAGCTACTGGGGCCCACCCCGCGACCTGCCCTTCCGGGAGGATGGCGCCAATTACCTGCAGTTAAGATGCAAAGAGCGAAGAGAGTCTTGTAGACCATGGTAGCCTGGTATTTGGTGCCCAGCCCGGGGCGGGCGGCAAGGAGTTTGCGGACTGACAGAGCGCACTGGGCGCTGGTAGCGACTCCTCTGCCGGGTGGGCTGCGGTGGGAGCCGGGAGGCGCGAACAGCTCCAGTGGAGGGCGCGAGGCAAACGAGGCGAACGCAGCGCAGCTCCGTCAGCTGCGTGCCCTCCGGTGCTCCGCGCTCTTCTGCTCCATCCCAGCCGCCCGAGCCCGGGGCCGCCTCCGCCTCCGCCGCCGCCGCCGCGCCTGCCGCTGCCAAACCCCTCCCACCCGGGCCCCGCGGCGATGACTGGGCCACCCCCTGGCCTTCCTTCTCTCAGCCCTCAGGTCCCGAGAGCCCCGGCCCAGAGCGGCCTCTGCTGGACAGTCAAGACACGAGACCCTGGGTTCAGCAAATGTTTGCAGCGCCTTGCACTGTGCTGGGAACTAGGGATGCAAAGAAATGTGAGCACATCTCTGCCCTTAGGAATCTAGCTCAGCTTTTCCTACATGAGCTTACAGCCTTTAAAAAGGTGACCTTATGCCATTTTAGGAGTTCCCTCGGAGAACCGGCACATGTTCCAAGAATGAGGACCTTCTTCATTTGTCAAAACACTTCTGCGTGTACATCATTAAACCCTCATCCACATTAAACCCGGCTGAGCTTCCTGGGGCCCGAACCAGGATGTCTGCCGCTGCATTCAGCTTCTTACTAGAAGAAAATACTGTCGGGGGGATAACTAAGCCAGACACCCTACTAGGCGTTGTTTCATGAATCCTTCTAAGAATTATTATTATTCCATTTTACAGGTGAGAAAATGAAGGCACAGAGAAGACAATGTTCTCAAGGTCGCATAACTGGTAAGAATAGTTTGTGCACTAGGCCCATAATAAAGGCTGACGTTTCCTGAGTGATTGCTATGTGCTAGGCACTGGACAACGTGCTGTTCAGGAATCAACCAAGTCATTTAGTTCTCACAACAATCCTTGGAGATTATATCCTCGTTTTCAGGGGAGAAAGTAGAAGCACAGAGAAGTTTAACTTGCCCGAGTTCACACAACTCGCAAGTAATGATAAGATGCCTGCCCAGGCACCCCGCTCAGCCTCTGTACTCTACTCCCTCTCAAGAGCCCAAAGCTTCTCCAAAGCCTACAGATTAGAACTGACCTTTCATTCAGTTCCCTCCCTGCTCTTGCTACACTTTAGGCTTGCTTAATTCTCACACTTCGATCAAAGCAGATGCCAGGTTCTCTCCCAATTCTGTTATTAATGAACCTATTGGTCCCCTAGTCACTAGAGCTGGGGCACTGCAGGAGTTAACAAGCCTTTGTAAAGAAATGATTTGCGTGGAAGGCAGCTTTCTTTTTTCTGTAATATCTTCTTCATATGCCATGGGCTCTGTTCTCACTTCTTTCTCACATACCAGAAGCTGACTCTAGGAGTCCTGAGCACCTTATCTATGGTCAATTCCTCTGCCTGACTCTATCACACTACCACTTGTAGATTTTGCTCACACTTCCACAACCAGATTAAATTTGGATCATATTTTTTTCTCTTTGTTTTGGTAAATCTAGTAATTTCTGTTGGAATGAGAAACAAAAAATACTCAGACCAAGTGCCCATCCCCTCTCCATCCTCCCTGGCCAGATAAACTGCAAATTCAATTTGTTCAGCATGTTCTCTGAATGCTTTTGACTTCAAGGCCCTTCCGGTTTCTAGGGTAATCTATGTGATTAGGAACAATTTCTGCATCTGGGTTTTGGTTGTCATGGATGCAGGGACCACACACAGATGGAGTTATGCAGCGACATTCTATCAGGCATTAGCCCCTTTAAATAGGGCAGGTTAAGTAAGTGACTCTATGGCAGAAATATAGGTTTTTGAAGACCACTTCACAGAAAAAATTTATTCAATTGAAATTCAGCAAAACTTGAAGGAGTCTTTCTGGAGTGCGAAGCATGTGCAACTCTAACCTTGATATCTAAGATAATGGTTTGGTACTCAAAGAATCATGACCCCTACACACTAATCAGTGAAAATTTCCAAAACTTTTCTATTGTACGCAGGATAGAGTTGAAATAATTTCTTTGATTAAAATAGTTCATTTTAATTGCTGATTAAAAATTTTAATTTATTAATTAATTTAGTCAGAGCATATTTAATCACTTATTTTACGCCAGCCCTTATGCTAGGCAATGGAAATACAATGGTTGTAATAGCCAGGGTAGTGTAGGTTATGCTGCTGTAACAAACCAGCCCAAAGTCTCCCAAGCTTAAGCGATAATGGTTTATTTTTTGCTCATCAAAGTCTGCTATGGATCCAGGTTACTCCTCAGAGTAGCTGTCCTCAGGATCAGTGTTGTACCGCCATATCGAAACCTGCTTTTGTTACAGTAGGTAGCTAGATAGGCATGAGTGGGGCAGCAGAGGGCTCCCCCCACACCCCACCAGGAAAGTCAGGTAACCATCATGTGATGGCCAGGCAGTTATTAACTGTCTCTCTAAAATAATAATTGGTTACAGCTGGCACGAGGGACTGACCATCTCCCCATAAATAGGGAACACATGAAACTGGTAATCAGCAGCTTCCAATAAGATCTCAGGAGGTGGGTGACTGAACTCAAGCATGTGCATTAAGATGCAAAATGGTGGAGTTTAACTGGTATATGACCTTCTGGGGGCATTAAAGCAATGCAAGACGCCAGAAGTAGACCAGCATGTAAAACCCTAAGTGCAAGGTCAAATGGGGCACTTGACGTCCAAGATGCCCTCTTAGGCCTCTTCCAACTGTGCTTTCCTTTCTTGCTGCTCTAAAGCTTTTTAATTAACTTCCACTCTTGCTCTGAAACTTGCCTCAGTCTCTTATTCTGCCTTATGCCCCTCAATTATATTCTTCCTTCCGAGGCAAGAATTGAGGTTGCTGCAGTCTCTGCCGGTGACTCAAATAACTTCCACCTCTAACAGTTTCACATCCACCTCTAACAGTTTCACATCCACTGAGTTAGGGAAAGAGAGAAGTGGAGAATTAAGTATTTAAATCTTCCACCTAAAAGTGACAATTCTGTTCATATTTTATGGGCTAAGGCAAGTCAATGGCCATGCCCAACTTCAAGAAAGCAAGAAAGCATGTTATTTTTGCGTGCTCAGATAGAGACGAGAACTCTATAGCAGGGAACATTGTGATATGTGCCACAGGGGCTAATTGTCCCTGCACCAGGAAACTTATTTTCTAGTAGTGGGGAGTTAAACATTGAATGAATAATCACAAAGACATATGCAATAACATTATATTAAATGCTACAATAATAATAATGATGAAAATTTATTAATTGTTTCAAGCATTTTATGTACAGTCATGTGTTTACATTTCTACACTCTAACTTTGTGAGATAGATACTGTAGAAGACCAGAATGTGCCACTTCAGAATATGCCTTTTCAGTATAAGCATTTGTTTGAGAAACAGCAGCTATAGGAGCAACTCTGAGAACAGAGTGGAATTACCTTTTTGTAGGGTGAATTTAAATCTATAAAGGAAATTTTCATTTGTAAAAATGTCTTCCTCTGAATTCTAGGAAGAAAAGGATGGCACTAAATTACTGGAAACTCTTATCAATGGAGAGGGCTCTGACTTAAATACGCATAACAAACTTTACCTTTGTTTGCCATGCTTTACCTGGTCACTTCCTCATAACTGCACCCCTACCCCCATACTCCTCTTTCTTTGTTTCAGCTGAAGATGATATTTAAGTTTGAATTCAAAGTCACCTCTTTGAAAATTACTAATTCCCTGACTATCTCCTGTACATATATATGAAATATACATGTTAATAACCTCGTGGGGTTTTTGTTGTTGTTAATCTGTCTTTTGTTATAGGGGATCCCAGCTTAGAACTCATAAGGGGTAGAGAGAAAAATTATCTTTTCTCCCCCCAAATACTATTATTATCCAAATGTTACAAAGTAAGAAACTGAGAAATACTTATACAGAATAAAACTTTGAAGGAAACTAAGGGATTCAATGAGATATAATAGCAGGGGAACTAGTACTCCTCAGTGGGGTCAAGGATGGAATTTGCATGTAACCCTTAGTTATGACTTACAGCAAAAGCCATTTTTTTTTTAGTAGAATTCTTAGTTCTTTTATAATACTCCACTGGGATAAAATCTCACATAAATCTACCTTTTACTGACTTTGACTCTTTTTTGATCATTGTTAAAATGAATTTTTAGTGTTGTGGACTTTTAACATTTTACCAAAAAAATTGCTCTTGGCTGACATAGATTTTTACATCCTGAATATATTATATTTTATAATTTTAGATAATACATTTTAGGTAATATAGAAGTATTGTTTCTGGATTCTTTATATCATGAGATGGTTTCATCTGGACTCTTGGCTTAAGTGAGAGAATAACTTGGCTGAGAGAGCTGCAGTGGTTAGAGGTTGGGTCCTAATCCCCTCTGCCATCTACTAACTGAGTGATTCTAATTAATTACTTGGCACCTCTATTCCTTTGTTTCTGTATCAGTCTGCTAGGGCTGCCATAACAGAACATCACCAACTAGGTGGTTTAAACAACATAAATGTATTTTTTCCATGTTATGGAAGCTGGATGTCTAAGGCCAAGGTGATAACAGTGTTCAGGCTCTTGACACCATTGCAAGCAGGAATTCAAGAATGAGTCAGAAAATAGTGACAGTAGGAGATTTATTGCAAAGTGAAAAGCATATACTCAAGAAAGGGGATTGTGGGGGTACTTAAGACAGAGTTGTTTGATGGAGTTTGGAGTTTCTGTCTTTATGGGCTTCTTTAACCAAGGGGTGGAATATTCATTAAAATTCCTGGAAAAATTTAGAGATTTCTCAGAACTGTGGTGCCACCTATTTTTTCACACCAAATATGGGTGTTCTCAGGACTGTCATGGCACTGGTGGGTATGTAATTGATAATGTTAACAATAATATAACGAGGTCCTAGGAGAAATCTAGGTGAAATCCAGTGCCATGTTGGATCCAGTTGGTCTTAGCCAGCTGGGTCCATACCTTGGGTTTTGAGGGTCTTATCAGTTCCTAGCTTCTGCAGCTATTTCAACAGTTTCCTTTTGCTAGTCATGCAAAACTGCTGTCTGGAATTTTCTATTCTCCTGTGACCACCCTGTATTATTCCTGTCTCAAAGGTGCTGGCAGTATTGGTTTCTGGTAAGACCTCTCTCCTTGTCTTGCAGGCGGCTGTCTTCTCACTATATTCTCATATGACCTTTTCTCTGTATGTGCACACTCCTGGTATCTCTTCCTCTTCTTATAAGGATACCTGTCCTGTTGGATTAGAGTCCCATCTATATAACCTCATTTAACCTTAATTACTTACTTAAAGCCCTATCTTCAACTATAGTCTATTGGGGGTTAGGGCTTCAGCATGTAAATTTTGGGGGACACATTCAGTTCATAACATTTCACCCTTTGGCTCCCTCAAAATTCATGTCCTGTCACATGCAAAATACATTCACTCCATCCACCCCAACAGCCTCCAAAGCCTTAACCCATTCCAGCATCTAAAATCCAAAGTCTCATTGAAATATGATAAAAATCAGATATGGGTGAGACTTGAGGTCATTGTGAGGCAAAATTCCTCTCTAGCTATGAACCTGTGAAATCAGACAAGTTTTGTGCTTCCAAAATATAATAGTGGTACAAGCATAGGACAGTTTCCTCCTGGCATTATAGGGAAGATTGAATGGATTATATATATGAGAGGCTTGGTGTGTTCTTATTTTTTTTTTTTTCCGATGGAGTCTTGCTCTGCTGCCCAGGCTGGAGTGCAGTGGCGTGATCTCGGCTCACTGCAAGCTCCGCCTCCCGGGTTCATGCCATTCTCCTTCCTCAGCCTCCGGAGTAGCTGGGACTACAGGCACCCGCCACCACGCCCGGCTAATTTTTTTGTATTTTTAGTAGAGACAGGGTTTCACCGCGTTAGCCAGGATGGTCTCGATCTCCTGACCTCGAGATCCTCCTGCCTTGGCCTCCCAAAGTGCTGGGATTACAGGCGTGAGCCACCACGCCTGGCCAAGGTGTGTTCTAAGTACCAATAGATGTCAGCCATTATTAGAGGAGAAGCTTTGGAGTACATTAAAAAATTAAGTGTTCTAAAATACAAGGAGAAAATGGCTGGGTATGGTGGCTTATGCCTGTAATTCCAGCACTTTGGGAGGCTGAGGTGGGCAGATCCCCTTAGGTCGGGAGTTCAAGACCAGCCTGGCCAACATGGTGAAACCCCATCTCTACTAAAAATACAAAAATTAGCTGGGCATGGTGGCACATGCCTGTAATCTCAGGTACTTGGGAGACTGAGGTGGGAGACTCGCTTGAACCCAGGAGATAGAGGTTGTAGTGAGCTGAGATCGCATCATTGCACTCCAGCCTGGGCGATAAGAGCGAAACTCTTGTCTTAGAAAAAATAAAAAATAAATAAAATACAAGAAGAAAACATTAGTACCTGCTGTGGGTATTTCTTGACACACAGAACTATGTGTCTTGGGCTCTATCTTTAGTAATCACTCTCCTGCTACAACTGAGCTGCAGTGGAAAGCTCTAACCTATCTCTGTCAGCCCCTTCCCTACCTCACCCTCCTTCCCAAAGGCAAAAATGCAGCAGCCTCAAGACCCTGATATATTTTGTCTTGGCTTTATTTCTCTCTCTCCAAGAGGCATTGCAAAATATTTTCTTTGAGTCTGCCACATTTCTCCCCATTACTTTGCTTTTCTCTTCTTAACTCCAATTTTTAATTTTAATGGCAAAAAAGATTAAAGGAAGTAGTGCAATATGTGCAAAAGGGTAAATTTGGAACTCAGTTAAGAAAATCTGCTTGAATGGGGCAATTTTAAAAGAGTATGATGAAACATGATAATTTCTCTGATTTAAATAACATTGTTTGAGGCTGCATGAGGTACTTGAGGACAATAAACCATGTGTCAGTAATTTTTATTTTAATTAAGAATAAAGCCCTCTAAACCAAAAATAAAATTCTAAGCTCCCCAACCAACCCAATTGACCCTTCCTCTTGGCCAAGGGGATTCCAAAGTTAACTGGAAAAACTAGTTCAGGCCATGATGGGAAATGGAGGTCAGATATGCCTCATTAATCCTCCTCCCTTTGGAATTCAGGCATAGACGATCATCATTAACTTTAAAATGGAGACCTTAAGACTGACAAAACAGACTCATTAAGTCTGATAAAAACATTTACAATCTATTTTCTCTGAAGCCTGCTACATGGAGGCTTCATCTGCATAATAAGAACCTTGGTCTCCACAACCCCTTATCTTAACCCAGACACTCCCTTCTATTGATTCCAGGTCTTTGGATCAACTCTTTCAACCAATTGCCAGTTGGAAAATCTTTGAATTCACCTATGACCTGGAAGCTCCTAGTTTGAGTTGTCCTGCTTTTCCGGACCAAAACAATGTACGTCTTACATGTATTGACTGATGTCTTCTGTCTCCCTAAAACATATGAAACCAAGTCGTGTCCTGAACTACTTTGGGCACATGCTCTCAGGATCTCCTGAGGCTGTGTCATGGACATGTCCCTAACCTTGGCAAAATAAACTTCTAAACTGATGAAGACTTGTCTCAAATACCTTTTGGTTTACAGCCCTGACAATATTTCGGGAAGGAAGAAACTCCTTCTTGGATGTGACGCACATAATGAAATCTTCTATTTAAACTAGTGTAAAACTTAATTGAGTTGATCCAGTACTATCCAATAGAAATAAATTACAAGCCATATAGAAATTTAAAAATTTCTAGTAGACACATTTTAAAAAAGTAAAACTAAGTTATATTAATTTTAATAATATGCTTTAATGTATCTAAAATATTATTTTGACAGGTAATAAATATAAAAAATTGAGATATTTTACATTAAAAAAATTCAAAATCTTCAAATTCTAGTGTATATTTTATACTTGTAGGAAATCACAGTTCTGACATGAATTCATCTCAATTTCGAATGTTCAAAAGCCAAACGTGGCTAGTAGCAATCATAATGGACAGTGCAGTTTTAGAACCTGGACCTAGTCTTTTGCCATGCCTCTGAATATGTTCTATAAAAGTAAGAAACAGTGCTACTGAGGCTTTCTCAACTGACAGTACTGTGTAGTGGTTGAAAGCTTGAAACTTGCTGATTGCATGGACTGAGGCAACTTACTTAACCCCTCTAACCCTCAGTTTCCCAATTTGTGAAATGGAGATGATAATAATAATCCATTACTTCAAAGCGTTGTTTTAAGTATTAAATGCATGGAAATTATTTGGAGTTGAACCTAGACAGAGTAGACTCTTAACAAATATTTGCTGTTATTTTTGGTAGAAATGATTATGATGTTGAAAAATTGTTATTAACAGTAAAATCAGACTGGACATGGTGGCTCATGTCTGTAATCCCAGCCCTTTGGGAGGCCAAGGTGGGAGGACTACTTGAGCCCAGGAGTTCAAGACCAGCCTGGGCAACAGAGGGAGACCCTGACTCTACAAAACACAAAAAAATTAGTCAGGTGTGGTGATATGTGCTGTGGTTCTAGTTACTCAGAAGGCTGAGATGAGAGAAACACTTGAGTCCAGGAGGCTGAGGCTGCAGTGACCTGTGATAGTGCTACTGCACTCCAGCCTTGACAACAGAGTGAGTACCTGTCTGAGGTGGGTGGATCACGAGGTCAGGAGATCCAGACCATCCTGGCTAACACAGTGAAGCTCCATCTCTACTAAAAATACAAAAAAAAAAAAAAGTAGCCGGGCATGGTGGCAGGCGCCTGTAGTCCCAGCTACTCGGGAGGCTGAGGCAGGAGAATGGGGTGAACCCAGGAAGGGGAGCTTGCAGTGAGTCAAGATCGCACCAGTGCACTCCAGTCTGGGTGACAGAGCGAGACTCCGTCTCAAAAATAAATAAATAAATAAATAAATTAATTAATTAAATAAAAATAAAAATTAGTAAATAAAAAAAAATAGTAAAATCATGCCAAATATTTCTGTAATATTTGGAAGAATTAGATTCCTTACTACTCAAAGACACTGACAATGTCCCTTATCCTTAGAAAATTTACATATGCATAGTTTAGAGTAGCGTTTCTCAACCTTTTTGGTCTTAGGATCCCTTTATACCCCTAACACTTATTAAGAACCTGCCCTCCCACTCCTGGCCAAACTGTTTATTTAGGTTGAAGGAACATTTTAAGATCCCCTTCAGATAATTGTGATCTGTCCTCTTTTATACTACATGAATACTCAACAAGCAGTAGTTTCTTAAAAGTTTGGTGCAATACAGAATCCAAAAGCATTTCAGTGTAATTTTCATATTCTGTCAAATTAAAATCCATTGATCTATCTTATATCTTGAATATATCTTTTATCCCTGCATGATTTTATATCATAATGCATTGGTCACATAGAAAATATTGGTTCACCAAGTTCATTCAAATTTTAACGTATTTCGTTATACAATATCAAAAAGTCACATTTGTTAACATCTTCACCTATATCATCAGAAAAATCTTTAATCGTTGGAAACCATCAAACTAATAGTAAAAAATACAAGTTTCCCAGAATTCTGATATTCCCTTGAAAGCTTGAATCTTATTGGTACCAAATAATGTCAATTATTTTATTTCCTTCCTTCCTTCCTACCGTCTTTCCTTCCTTTCTTCCTTCCTTCCTTCCTTCCTTCCTTCCCTCCTTCCTTCCTTCTTTCCTTCTCTTCTTCCTTTCTTTTGTTTGTTTTTATTTTTCTTTTTATTTTTTTTGAGACAGGGTCTTGCTCTGTCTCCCAGGATCCAGGATGGAGTGCAGTGGCATGATCATGGCTCACTGTAGCCTCGAACTTCCTGCTTCAGCCTCCTGAGTAGCTGGAACTACAGGTGTGTATCATCATGCCTAGCTAATTTTTTTTTTTAATGTTTTATAGGGATGGGGTCTCTGTGTGCTGCCCAGGCTGGTCTTGAATTCCTGGGCTCGAGCAATCCTTCAGACTCAGCCTCCCAAAGTGCTGGGATTACAGGTGTGAGTCACTGCACCTGGCCAAATTTGTTTTGTTTGACATGACATGCTAACTTCATAGAGAAAATGTCTCACAAATACTGAAGCCTAAATAACCATAGTTTGTCTGTTAATAATGTTTTCAAATGAAAATAGTGTTTCATAAAAAAGTGGCTAGGTTAGCTTTCAATTCATCACATACATACATTTCCTTGGAACAACCACTTACTTTGGTATTCAGCAAAAATGCTTTATGCATACTTTTCATTCATTTATATGAAAAAGATGTGTGTTCAAGATCAAGATTTTATAAAAATTAAGAATTTTTGCTGCTTCATTAAGGACATTCATAAGGACATGAATGGTGGTAATACAATGACTACTAGTATAGTTTGGTGCCACTGCCTACATTTGTGTTAAAGCACCAGAAGTTTTATCCACAATTGCTTTTGTAGCATCAATGGAAAAATCAAAATGCAAAAAAAGAGATAAATAACATCTTAGTAATATTATGAAAATAGCTTTGACTCCACAGATGTAAAAGGATCAGACTCCTAGGAGTTTGTGAACCACACTTTGAGAACTGCTGGCCTAGAGAAATATCTTAGAAAATTGTGAAGGACATTAACTGTTTCAACTGCCTAGAGTATCCCTTTCTTCAGGTAAGTGTTCTTTCCTCTGCTTTAAGCAACTAGTTTCAATGGCGGTGGCTATTTTCCTATGGAGGCTGCCTCCTACCCTATGGGTGACTGGTATAGGGTAGACACCAGCCTCTTTATATTCAGTATACTTTCTCAGAATTCTTAAACTTGGAACCAGAAAATGTCACTAATAGTTGCTCTCTGGGAACAAAGTTATGAAGTTCTGGCATTTTGGTGAACCACCCAAGCATGTAGAAAAAGCTAGTCTAAAATAGGATAGATAAACCCAACTCTCAGAGAGAACCAGAAATGGGAGAAGGCTTGGTAGCATTCCAGTCCCTGGTTCCACTTGTCCTTGAGGCTCGACCACATTCTTGCCCTTCCTGCTACTCTGTAAGCATTTTGATAAATTTCCCTTGCCTCTAAACACTTTATATTTTCACAAACTTTATGAGTTTGTCCAACTGTCTTTTTTTCTGAACACTTTTGCTAGCATCAGTTGTTACACAGTTTAGTAGATTCCACTTCAGATTACGCTGAATTTGAGTTTTCTCGACTTTGAAAATATTCTTGACTGCAGTTTTACTCAGACCATTCATAGAGGCTATGAATTCATGTTATTCACTTCAAAGTCAGTATTAAATTATCAAATAAACATCAACAACTGAATAGTGTTTGGTAACAACTGTCAACTCATCAAGAGCCAAAGAAAAACACTAGAAATTATTTTCCTTCTTTCTTAATTTATCCAAAATTGACTCCCAACATCCTCAACTTATTAAGCAACTGTTCTCACAGAAAGATTAATAATCTAAACAAGTTTACTTTCTTTGTACATCTTTTTTTTGCTGTTATTGTTGCTACAATTGAATAAAATATAATTAACTTGCACCTGGTAAATGGCTTTTCTTGCTTGACTAAAAACCAAACTACTTGGAAACTTACTTTGGTTGAAGATTCATTTCAGACTTTTGTGGGAAAAATCTACTGAGATATTTTGTTTTGAAGTTTCAAATTTTTCTGACTCAGGGAGTATTGTACATCAAAGATAGTGTGGCAATTATTTAGTCTGGTACTGTAGACCTATGTTGTATTCTTCTAAAGTAGCAATGACATAATAACATGTATAAAACACAATGCTTACAATTGATTTAGATAACAAAATAATCTACTTTCCATTCTATTTTTAAAATGTGATATTCAAAATCTGTTTTTCTCTTCATTTTCTTGTTTGTTTTATTTTGGCAAGATGCGTATGCAATAACAATAAAAAAATAAGATAAAACGCAGTGGTATGTGCTGAATGTGTCCTCTAAAGAGCATGTATTGAAATTTCAATTCTTAATGCATTGTGTTGGGAGATGGGGCTTAATGAGAGATGATTAGGCCAGGGGGGTGAAGTGAATGAAGTAATATTATTATCATGAGAGTAGGTTTGATATAAAAGATCAACCCCTTTCTCTCTGTTGTGCCCACCTTTGCCCTTAGCCGTGAGATGACACAACAAGAAGGCCTTCACACAATGCCAGCCCCTTGATCTTGGCCTAAGTCTCCAGAAACATGTGCTAATAAATTCATGCTCATTATAATTTATGCAGTGTCTGGTATTTTGTTATAGTAGCACAAAACAAAGACAGGCAATACGTGTGACACTCAAAATGCTTCCAACCTATGCATTTTTCACTGTGATTTGTAGTGCACCAAGAAGCAGTGTGAAGCCATGAAAGTGCCACAGTCTCTGTCACAACTACTCAACGCTAACACTGCTGTTGTATGAAATTTGCCACAAGCAATAAAGAAATGACTGTAGCTCTGTTTCAATACAATTTTTGTTACAGAATCTGAAATTTGAATTTCAAATCATTTTCAGGTGTCTTTAAATATTCTTTTGCGTTTTTCCAACCATTCTGAGGTCACAGGTTATACAAAAACAGATTTGGCCTGCTGGCCATAGTTTATCTACCCATGCTCTAGAGATTTCCATTTGATTTTGCTACATGTTCTGGATTAGTTCAATCCTGTAACAACTTCAAATTATTAGCTTGGGGTTTCTTGAGCTAGTTAGTGTATATTCAAACTCCAAATCCATGTGATATTAGGGCTATGATTCTGATTTATGAGATAGACTATTTTCCGTATTTGTTTTGTTTCCTTTTTCACTATGGAGCTGAGCTGAGGTTTTTACAAATTACCTTCTATGTCTCCTTTTACCATCAGGCATATTTTTTTCCTAACATAGCTTTTCATTTAAGCTCTAGCTACTTTTCAAAGGCCCTGACTTTATGCAAGTTCAGTTCCAATATTCCAACTTATTGAAGCCAAGTAAGTCCTTATCTTTTGTGTCTCATGTGGCCATTAAACCTAGGGCATCTACTGCTTCAGCAACTGCTGGATACTCTAATTACAGCTCCATTCCCTGCTTTTTGGTTGCCCTAAAAATTTCCCTTGATTGTTTTCAAGTGTTTCTGTTTATTTATAAAAACTAATAGTTTATCCAGCACTTTAAAGATCTTTTGTAGGAGTAGGTATGGTTTTTCAGAATAACTAAGCCTCTATATTTATAGAAGTGAAAGTCCCTTGTATTTTCTTAGTTCTGTTTTTTCTTTTTCTTTTTTTGTTTTTCATTTACTTTCTCTAACTCAATTTCTAATTTAAGCTTCCCATCTCATTACACTGGTTGAAAACTAACCTTAGTTATTATAAGTTACTCCTATCTTTCTGGATTTTTTATTAACCGTAGCGGCAGAATCTTACGCAATGCTAAAATCTGGAGTTTAAGTGACAGCATTTGGTTATCGAGTCATCTGTTCATTCTGAAACGCTGTTTACTTCTGAGAATAAGTTATTCTCTGTAATACGGCTCTTCAGATCCAAGGGCTGTCTGCTAGGGTTCGAGTATAGAATTCTTTGCAAAGTTGCCTAGATTCCCACCAGTCATTTTATTGCTGAAGTATTCCAACTGCTATAGGGGCTATGCTTACAAAGTAGGTCACAGATCTCCTTTGCATTTACACCCTGAGAACTCTCTGTTCTCACTATTCAACCTATCCTTATAACATCGGGGATTTCTTGTTTTGGGGAAATCATATTCCTATCATGATTCTGGCTTAAATATGCTGTCTATAACCTAATTTTCTCCCAGCTTTAAGAATTAGCTGTTTAGAAACAAAGGCCTGGAAGATTTCCAAGCAATTTCTGATATTTTGCTATTCCACAACTCTTTCCTCCCTGCCCCTCTCCTCCAAGCTGGCAGTGAGAACTGAATCAATTTGTTTGGATGGAGACAGGATAAGAAAAAAGTACATCAATGTTTTAAAAAGTATTTTAGCTTAAAATAGTTTTCTGCTACACGTTTGAAAGGTAATGATAATCATTCTGACAAAAGCTGAGGGTGCTTGAAATAGGTCAGTGGCAGTCAAGATAGAGAGAAAAAAACAGATTTGAGATACATTTTAAGGTTAAAAGCAACAGGACTATTAACTAATGGCACGATGTGCAGTTGAGGGAGAGGCAAGAATCAAGTATGACTTCCAGATCATGCTGGACCAATTCTGGAGCTTTATTTATTGAGCTGTGGAATTCTGTGGAAATAAAGTATTTCGAGAACCCCTTTATATCCATTTTCCTACTTGAATTAGAATCATATTCTAAATGATTCAATAAATAGAGCGAATAACAGTTAAAGATGTAAATAACTAACGCTTATTCCTACCTTCTACCATCATTGATCCTCTACAAAATTCCATTGAGCACTCAGTTTATATTTCAACTCTGGAAGATTTTGAAATGGATGAAAGAAATTATTAAATACCCTTTAACTGAAGGCATGCCAGTGTGCACTTTTGCTTTTACTAAACTATTTTACAACTTTGTAGAGTTGTAAACCTGTAGAAAATTCATAGTAATATAAATTATTTTAGTCTAAGATATGCAAATTTTGTGCAGTGGAGTACAATTAATTATCACCCTGTGGATAATGACTAGATTTTACCAATTTTGCATCCATTTGTAAGCTTATTTCAGCATTTCTTCTCTGCCTACAAATGTATATTTCATGTTCTTTGAAGCACTTGTAATATCTCACTGGTTGCCTCATTTAACCAAGGAGTTAAATAAAACCCTTGACATGTATTATTGTTATTTTTTTGAGACAGGGTCTCACTTTGTTGCTCAGGCTGGAGTGCGGTGGTGCGATTATGGCTCACTGCAGCTGTGACCTTCCAGGCTCAAGAGATTCTCCTTTCTCAGCCTCTCAAGTGGCAGGGACCACAGATGTGGGGTACCACACTGGCTAATTTTTACTAACAGTTTTGTAAAGATGAGGTCTCACCATGTTGCTCAGGCTGGGTTTGAACTCCAGCTCAAGTGATCCTCCTGGACTGTATTCATTTTTCTTTTAGTTTAGCTATTATTAGTTTATTACAAAAGAGAGACGTAGAACTTATGTACATAATGAAAGATTTCAGAACTTTAGTGGAATGGGCAGCTTCACTATTATGCCATTTCAATGGTGATTTATTTCAGTCTGCATACTTTCCAAGAAAGTCACCATCTCTAAACCATCTCTAAATAAGAAATAATCCTTGTCTAAAGCACTTTGGTGCTTCCATATTCTGGGAAAATAACTTTATCTCCAACTTGGATGCTAACTGGTTGAATCTCTCCACCCTTTCTTTTAGAGACCAATCTAACAGCTACTACTGATGCATGTAATACTTTTCTTTGACATTTGTTCTGGAAGCATCATGCCTCCTTTGGCTACAGTTTCAGCTGCAGTTCTTTCAACAAATACTCGGTCAAAGAGAGAAATAAACTTTCAAATGTTTGTTCTGCCAAGACTCCTGCATCAAAGCTCGTACTCTACATTCCTACTGCAGCTGCAAGAAAAGATCTGAAGTCAGGTTCTTGGGACAGGTAAAAAGGCCAGCCAGCCCTGCCCTCTGAAGTGAATTCAATTTTTGAATCATGATTTTTTTTCTCTAAAAACTGTTTTTGACAGATTAATCATAGTTTAAGATATGAATATCTTCTGTCTAAATTCCATTTAGAACAATAGAATTTTATATTAGGGTGGGCAAAAATTGTGAAGATTTTATTGTTTAATTTCTCATTTCACAGAGTGGTTAAGTGATATGTCCAAAATTATAGTTAACTATGTTCAGATTAAAATTCATACTTAGCTCAAACAATGACTAGTTCAGTACTCTTTTCAGTACACTCTTTAATTTAATGTAATTTCTTCTCCTTGCCTTTGTGAGTTTAGGTAATACATAAAGAAGTAGTAAGCCAGGCATGGTGGCTCACACCTGTAATCCCATCACATTGGGAGGCTGAGGCAGGTGGATCACCTGAGGTCAGGAGTTTGAGACTAGCCTGGCCAACATGGTGAAACCCTGTCTCTACTAAAAATACAAAAATTAGCCAGGCGTGGTGGCACACACCTCTAGTCCCAGCTACTTGGGAGGCTGAGGCAGGGGAATCGCTTGAACCCGGGAGGTGGAGGTTGCAGTGAGCCGAGATTGTGCCACTGCACTCCAGCCTGGGTGACAGAGTGAGACCCCATGTCAAAAAAAAAAAAAAAAAAAGTAGTAGACCAGTTGCTTCAGAAAAACAAATTTAAGCTCTAATAACTTTATGTGTGTGTCTTCAGAACAAATTATGTATTTGAAAAGCACAGGAAAAGTTTAACTTTGAGGCTGAGAAAAACAAAACCAAACCAGCAGATCGAATAATACATTTTCATTGTAGGAAAACACTTACTGTTAACAGGGCTAACACAACAGGTTTAGAGACTCTAAATTCTGTCAATATGACCTTTTTCTTGGTTGTTTTTGAGCAAAAAAAAATCTATTAGAGTTATAAATGCTGACATTTTTACAGTTAATTTACAAATTTTATTCTACTTGTCAGTCAAATTTCAGTAATTTTTAAAGTTTTTGGATAATATTTAGACCCATATACAGAGCAAGTTAAACATATTAGGACATTTAAAACTGTAATATTGGAAAAGAGAAGATGGCTGAATAGGAACAGCTCCAGTCTGCAGCTCCCAGCGAGATCAATGCAGAAAGTGGGTGTTTTCTGCATTTCCAACTGAGGTACCTGGCTCATCTCATTGGGATTGGTTAGACAGTGGGTGCAGCCCATGGAGGGTGAATTGAAGCAGGGTGTGGTGTCACCTCACCTAGGAAGTGCAAGGGGTTGGGGAACTCCCTCCCCTAGCCAAGGGAAGCCATGAGGGACTGTGGCATGAGGAACAGTGCATTCTGGCCCAGATACTATACTTTTCCCACTGTCTTTGCAACCTGCAGACCAGGAGATTCCCTCGGGTGCCAACATGACCAGGACCCTGGGTTTCAAGCACAAAACTGGCAGCTGTTTGGGCAGACACTGAGCTAGCTGCAGGAGCTTTTTTTTCCATACCCCAGTGGCGCTTGGAACACCAGCGAGACAGAACCGTTCACTCCACTGGAAAGGGCTGAAGCCAGGAAGCCAAGTGGTCTAGCTCAGCAGATCCCACCTTCATGGAGCCCAGCAAGCTAAAATCCACTGGCTTGAAATTCTCACTGCCAGCACAGCATTCTGAAGTCGACCTGTGGTGCTCAAGCTTGGTGGGGGCAGGAGGGTCCACCATTACTGGGGCTTGAGTAGGTGGTTTTCCCCTCACAATGTAAACAAAGCTGCTGGAAAGAGTGAACTTGGTGGAGCCTACTGCAGCTAGGCAAATCTGCAGTAGCCAGGCTGCCTCTCTAGATTCCTCCTCTCTGGACAGGGCATCTCTGAAAGAAAGGCAGCAGCCCCAGTCAGAGGCTTATAGATAAAACTCCCATCTCCCTGGGACAGAGCACCTGAGGGAAGGGGTGCCTATGGGCACAGTTTCAGCAGACTTAACTATTCCTGCCTGCCAGCTCTGAAGAGAGCAGTGGATCTCCCTAGCACAGTGCTTGAGTTTTGCTAAGAGACAGTCTGCCTTCTCAAGTGGATCCCTGACCCCCATGTTTCCTGACTGGGAGACACCTCCCAGCAGAGGTCAACAGACACCTCACACAGGAGCCTGGAACACCAGCAAGACAGAACCATGGCTGGCATATGGCAGGTGCCTATTTGGGAAGATGCTTCCAGAGGAAGGAACAGACAGCAATCTTTGCTGTTCTGCAGCCTCCACTGGTGATACCCAGGCAAATGGGGTGTGGAGTGGACATCCAGCAAACTCCAGCAGACCTGCAGCAGAGAGGCCTGACTGTTAGAAGGAAAACTAACAAAGAGACAGGAATAGCATCAACATGAACAAAAAGGACATCTACACAAAGACCACATCCGAAGGTCACCAACATCAAAGACCAAAGGTAGATAAACCCACGAAGATGAGGAAAAAACAGAGCAAAATGGCTGAAAATTCCCAAAACGAAAATGCCTCTTCTCCTCCAAAGGATACAACTCCTTACCAGCAAAGGAACAAAACTGGATAGAGAATGAGTTTGATGAATTGGCAGAAGTAGGCTTCAGAGGGTGAGTAATAACAAGCTCCTCTGAGCTAAAGGAGCATGTTCTAACACAATGCAAGAAAGCTAAGAACCTTGAAAAAAAGTTAGAGGAATTGTTAACTAAAATAACCAGTTTAGAGAAGAACATAAATGACCTGATGGAGCTGAAAAACACAGCACAAGAACTTTGTGAAGCATACACAAGAATCAATAGCTGAATCGATCAAGCGGATCAACTTAAGTAAAGCATGAAGACAAGATTAGAGAAAAAAGAATGAAAAGGAACAAACAAAGCCTCCAAGAAATATGGGACTATATGAAAAGACCAAACCTACGTTTGATTGGTGTACCTGAGAGTGACAGGGAGAATGGAAGCAAGTTGGAAAACACTCTTCAGGGTGTTATACAGGAGAACTTCCACAACCTAGCAAGACATTCAAATTTAGGAAATACGAGAACACCACAAAGATACTCCTCGAGAAGAACAACCCCAAGACACATAATCCTCAATTTTGCCAAGGTTGAAATGAAGGAAAAAATGTTAAGGGCAGCCAGAGAGAAAGGTTGAGTTACCCACAAAGGAAGCCCATCAGACTAACAGTGGATCTCCCTGAAGAAACCCTACAAGCCAGAAGAGAGTAGGGGCCAATATTCAATATTCTTAAAAAAAAAAAGAATATTCAACCCAGAATTTCATATCCAGCCAAACTAAGCTTCATAAGTGAAGGGGAAATTAAATCCTTTTCAGACAAGCAAATGCTGAGGGATTTTATTACCACCAGGCCTGCCTTACAAGAGGTCCTGAAGGAAACACTAAATATGGAAAGGAAAAACCGGTACCAGCCACTGCAAAAACATATCAAATTGTAAAGACCATAGGCACTATGAAGAAACTGCATCAACTAACGGGCAAAATAACCAGCTAGCATCATAATGACAGGATCAAATTAACACATAACAATATTAACCTTATATATAAATGGGTTAAATGCCCCAATTAAAAGACACAGACTGGCAAATTGGATAAACAGTCAAGACCCATCAATGTGCTGTATTTGGGAGACCCATCTCACATGCAAAGACATACATAAGCTCAAAATAAAGGGATGGGGGAATATTTAACAAGCAAATGGAAAGCAATAAAAAGCAGAGGTTACAATCATAGCCTCTGATAAAAGTGACTTTAAACCAACAAAGATCAAAAGAGACAAAGAAGGGCATTACATAATGGTAAAGGGACCAATGGAACAAGAAGAGCTAACTATCCTAAATATATATGCACCCAATACAGGAGCACTCAGATTTATAAAGCAAGTTCTTAGAGACCTACAAAGAGACTTAGACTCCCACACAATAATAGTGGGAGACGTTAACATCCCACTGTCAATATCAGACAGATCTATGAGACAGAAAATTAACAAGGATATTCAGGACTTGAACTTAGCTCTGGACCAAGCAGACCTAATAGACATCTGCAGAACTCTCCACCCCAAATCAACAGAATATACATTCTTCTCAGCAACACATCACACTTATTCTACAATTGCCCACATAACTGGAGGTAAAACACTCCTCAGAAAATGTAAAAGAACGGAAATCATAACAAACAGTCTCTCAGGCCACAGTGCAATCAAATTAGAACTCAGGATTAAGAAACTCACTCAAAACCACAAAACTACATGGCAACTGAACAACCTGCTCCTGAAAGACTACTAGGTAAATAATAAAATGAATGCAGAAATAAATAAGTTCTTTGAAACCAATGAGAAAAAAGATACAATGTACTAGAATCTCTGGGACACAGCTAAAGCAGTGTTTAGAGGGAAATTTATAGCACTAAATATCCACAGGAGAAAGTGGGAAAGATCTAAATTTGACACCCTAACATCACAATTAAAAGAACTAGAGAAGCAAGAGCAAACAAATTCAAAATCTAGAATACAAGAAATAACTAAGATCAGAGCAGAATTGAAGGAGATAGAGACACAGAAAACCCTTCAAAAAATCATTGAATCCAGAAAGATTATCAAAATAGATAGAACTCCAGCTAGACTAATAAAGAAGAAAAGAGAGAAGAATCAAATAGATACAATAAAAAATGATAAAGGGGATATCGCCAATGATCCCACGGAAATACAAACTACCATCACAGAGTACTGTAAACAGCTCTATGCAAATAAACTGGAAAATCTAGAAGAAATGGATAAATTCCTCAACACATACACCTTCCCACAACTAAATCAGGGAAGAAGTCGAATCCCTGAAGAGACCAATAACAAGTTCTGGAATTGAGTCAGTAATTAATAGCCTACCAACCAAAAAAAGTCCACGACCAGATGGATTCACAGCTGAATTCTACCAGATATACAAAGAGGAGCTGGTACCATTCCTTCCAAAACTATTCCAAACAACAGAGAAAGAAGGACTCCTCTGTAACTCATTTTATGAGATCAGCATCATCCTGTTACCAAAACCTGGCAGAGCCACCACAAAGAAAGAAAATTTCAGGCCAATATCCCTGATGAACTTTGATGCAAAAATCTTCAATAAAATACTGGCAAACCAAATCCAGCAGCACATCAAAAAGCTTATCCACCACGTCCAAGTCGGCTTCATACCTGGGATGCAAATCTCATTCTACATACACAAATCAATAAATGTAATCCATCACATAAAACCAATGACAAAAACCACGATTCTCTCAATAGATGCAGAAAAGGCCATCGACAACATTCAACACCCCTTCATGCTAAAAACTCTCAATAAACTAGGTATTGATGGAACATATCTCAAAATAGTAAGAGATATTTATGACAAACCCACAGCCAATATCATACTGAATGGGCAAAAACTGGAAGCATTCCCTTTCAAAACTGGCACAAGACAAGGATGCCCTCTCTCACCACTCCTATTCAACATAGTACTGGAGGTTCTGGCCAGGGCAATCAGGCAAGAATAAGAAATAAAGGGTATTCAAATAGAAAGAGAGGAAGTCAAATTGTCTCTGTTTGCAGATGACATGATTTTATATTTAGAAAACCCCATCATCTCAGCCCAAAATATCCTTAAGCTGATAAGCAACTTCAGCAAAATCTCAGGATACAAAATCAATGTGCAAAACCCACGAACATTCCTATACACCGATAATAAACAGAGAGCCAAATCATGAGTCAACTCCCCTTCACAATTGCTACAAAGAGAATAAAATACCTAGGAATCCAACTTACAAGGGATGTGAAGGACCTCTTCAAGGAGAACTACAAACCACTGTTCAACGAAATAAGAGAGGACACAAAAAATGGAAAAAACTTCCATGCTCATGGATAGGAAGAATCGATATTGTGAAGAATGCTCATGGATAGGAAGAATCAATATCGTGAAGATTGCCATAGTGCCCAAAGTAATTTATACATTAATGCTATCCCCATCAATCTACCATTGACTTTCTTCAAAGAATTAGAAAAAAACTACTTTAAATTTCATACGAAACCAAAAAGCCCATATAGCCAAGACAATCCTAAGCAAAAAGAACAAAGCTGGAGACATCAAGCTACCTCACTTCAAACTATAATACAAGGCTACAGTAACCAAAACAGCAAGACACTGGTACCAAAACAGATATATAGACCAATGGAACAGAACAGAGGCCTCAGAAATAATGCCACACATCTGCAGCCAACTGATCTTTGACAAACCTGACAAAAAAAACAATGGGGAAAGGATTCCCTATTTAATAAATGTTGTTAGGAAAACTGGCTAGCCATATGCAGAAAACTGAAACTGGATCCCTTCCTTACACCTTATACAAAAATTCACTCAAGATGGATTAAAGACTTAAACATAAGACCTAAAACCATAAAAACTCTAGAAGAAAACCTAGGCAATACCATTCAGGACATAGGCATGGGCAAAGACCTCATGACTAAAACACCAAAAGCAATGGCAACAAAAGCCAAAATTGACAAATGGGATCTAATTAAACTAAAGAGCTTTTCCACAGCGAAAGAAACTATCATCAGTGTGAACCCGCAACTTACAGAATGGGAGAAAATTTTTGCAATATATTCATCTGACAAAGGGCTAATATCCAGAATCTACAAAGAATTTAAACAAATTTACAAGAAAATACAAACAACTCAATCAAAAAGTGGGTGAAGGATATGAACAGACATTTCTTGAAAGAAGACATTTATGTGGCCAACGAACATATAAAAAAAAGCTCATCATCACTGATCATTAGAGAAATGGAAATCAAAACCACAGTATGATACCATCTCACACCAGTTAAAATGGCAATCATTAAAAAGTCAGCAGACAACAGATGCTGGAGAGGACGTGAAGAAATAGGAACGCTTTTACACTGTTGGGAGTGTAAATTAGTTCAACCATTGTAGAAGATAGTGTGGTGATTCCTCAAGGATCTAGAACCAGAAATACCATTTGACCCAGAAATCCCATTACTGGGTATGTACCCAAGGGATTATAAATCATTCTACTATAAAGACACATGCACACGTATGTTTATTGCAGCACTGTTCACAATAGCAAAGATTTGTAATCAACCCAAATGCCCATCAATGATAGACTGGATAAAGAAAATGTGGCACATTTACACCATGGAATATTATGCAGCCATAAAAAAGATGAGTTCATGCCCTTTGCAGGTACATGGATGAAGCTGGAAACCATCATTCTCAGCAAACTAACACACGAACAGAAAACCAAACACTGCATGTTCTCACTCATAAGTGGGAGTTGAACAATGAGAACACATGGACACAGGGAGGGGAACATCACATACTGGGGCCTGTCAGCAGTTGGGGCACTAGAGGAGGGATGGCGTTAGGAGAAATACCTAATGTAGATGACGGGTTGATATGTACAGCAAACCACCATGGCACGTGTATATCTATGTAACAAACCTGCACGTTCTGCACATGTATCCCAGAACTTAAAATATATATTTAAAAAACTGTAATATTATAAGCTTAATATTTTTCTTTTTCTTTTAGGTATTTCTGTTTTCAGGCTTACTGAAAACAAAAAACCTCCCTGAATTCTTGAATAATTCCTTTAACTATAATAAATTAAATTTGAGTTTTTCAAGAACTCAGAGAAATTTTTGTTTTTTTTTAATATATAATATATAAACTAAAATCTTTCTATTTAAAATCACCAATGTAAATTACAAATCTCTGTGTTTTAAAATAGAATTATAAGAATTATTTTACTAATAGGTCACATTTTCTGAAGTGCTAGAAGTACATAAATCACAAAATATGAAGAGATTACCAAATCATAAAAATATTTTTATTATGGATTTTTTTATAGTTTTGGTTCTCTGAAGTATTTTTATACTCAATTTTAAATCTTCCTGGTTTTAAAATATGTTTACCCACCACAAAAATATTTACCAAATCTCAAGACATTTTGGTGATATTTCCTCAAATATGTAATAACTAAAACATATTAGCTGAGGTAATGACTGGATTCTTGTCTGCAATACTGATGAAACTCCAATTATCTGAAGGATTTCATAATGTAAAGACTTAGTCTCCTAGTCCATGCAGTTCACTTCCCTGCTTTGCTCATGGATGTCTCTATACCCACTGAAGAGGGCTCCTGAATTTGGCTCTTCTTTGCCAGTTAAAATGGCTGTAAATCCTTTACACTTGAGAGGCCTTCTTTCATATTTGTCTATGCGGTAAAATTGTTCAACTGTAAAAAATGCCATCCAGTTGAATCCTGAAAATCTTGTCTTTGAATGACTATTTAATCACAAATGTTAAAGTCTTTCTATCACCAGATTCCTGAGTTTCAAGCCACAGAAACTGATTCCAGTTAATTTAAGCAAAAAAATGTGTTCATTTGACAGATAGCTCAAAATGGAAAGAAAAGTGAAACATCAAGCCTCAGGAACTAGCAACCCTCCAGAAAAAGGAGAGCAGGAATGAAAGGACTGTTTTTTTTAATGAGTCCTGTCAGAATATTCAAGAATTATCTTCATCCATTTTAGTTGCTAAATTATCCATAAAAGATTAAAAATCTTGAGCAAATGAGTCTGATTAGCCTAACTTGTGTTAAGTGCCACCCCTTGCCCAAGAAGCTCCCCAAAGGAAAACAGATGCCAATACTAGACGAATAAGAAATGGATGAGGCTAAAGAGCCTTCCTGGGATAGAAATTGTTTGCATATCTCTGTTGCCTTCAAGCTAATGAAGATATACCCTTCTGGGTAATCACTGGATGCCAGTAGTGTTGTAAACCCAATCTCAATATGTAACCAATTTTGATGTTTTTTCATCCTAGACAGATCTTATGGTAGAAAGCAAACTTAACAGCAGTGTAACTTTTCTACTAAAATTGACTCCCACATCACTTAATCCTTAAATTAGTAACAAGTCACTTGTCTGGAAGGAAAATAAGGCCACATAAATTATCGGGTCAACCCACCTGTGCTGATGAGCACAATAAATCTGCCCCCTGAAGCAATCAGGGTGCAAGAGGTCACTGGTGGTGAAACGAATAGATGTTTCTTCATTGCATCAACAGCCATTAGATGGGAGCAGAACACATTGATTATTCAGGAGAGCAGAAATAGTCAACATAGTAGTCACCATCGCAGAATCAGCATCCCCACTACAAGTTCAACTTATTAAATCAGTGTGCCCTCACAAGAATATTATCTTGTGGAAATATAATTCTACTGCCATTTCCCTATAGTACTTCCAAGTAAAGATTATGGTCTTCAGTGAATTTGTTTTGACTGTTACATGCAAAATTTTTTTCCGTTTATTCCATCTGTCATTTGAGTATATGCTTGCAATTATTTAGGTAATATTCTGTGCTTATAAAACATCCAAAGAGATTAACTAGTAATCCTTGTCTTTAGATGTAGCAAGAATTCCTTAAAATCAATTAAAGATCCTTGTATTATTTCTTCCTTTTGATGCTAATTAAAAAAAACCCCACTGAGCTATAGTTTAAAGCCCAGCACTGTTCTATTTTAAATTATTTATATTTAAAAATACTATTTCAAAGCTATTTCTGAGTATGCAGTCATGCTACCTTAGATTACAATACTTATAATTAAATAAGAGTAGGCTTGGTGATTAGAAGAGAATTTTGGCAGTCAAGGCAACATTAAAAATACTCAGATCATTTTGTTATATGTAAAATTTTGACATACTATTTAATAAAGCTATATAATAATGTAAGAAAGCTATAAAAACTTCAAGAAATTTAAGAAGGAGTTTGTGGACTTTACTTTTGATAATTCAAATCAGTGCAAGAAAGGTCTTATTAGGGCCATAATTTCATAGGCAAAATGAAGTAGAAGTCTGCATAATTAACAAGTGATGTACAGATCAGGGGACTGGAGTGTACTTTAGCTTGAGTTGTCTGGATTGGCTCATTATATATATTTGTGGCCAGTTTTATGTAAGGTGTCTAGTAAAAATTTGAACTCTCCTTTTCACATATGGTATTGTCACTGGAAGGAGGGTGTCCAGAAAAAGACTCCAGTTTTCAGCACCTCCTTTTTGCCTCCAGATAATAATTAGTGCTTTTGAAGGGAATGTGACCAGAAGTTGTCTATCTGTGCCCCTTCCAGGCTGAGACTTGTAAGAAGCAGAAGAGACTTCTCTACTTTGTACTCTCCCTCTCTCCCCAAGATAGGAGGAGTCTGGGCTCTCTTTTCCATGGAGAAGACAGTGTCTCTCCCCAACTAAGAAAACCTGTAGTAAATTATCATATGACCAAGCAACCAACATCTGTTGCATTAAGCCACTGAAATTTTGGGGTTTGCTATCAAACCTAGTGTTACTCTGATTAATATAGCATGATAATATAGCAAGATATGTGTGTGATCTTTCAATCTGTCTCTATGTCCATCTATTTGTCTATCCATCTATTCATTCAACAAATATTTCTTTTGAGGTTTTTTTTTATGTTCCAGGCACTATGCTAGGCATCAGCAATGAAAGTTGAGCAGGATCCCCTTTTGTTTATAGAGTAGGGGATGGATTAATTGGAATGAATGGGAGGAAGGGGCATGAGAAGACAGATACCCCAAAACATCCTTTGTAAATATGATGAGTAAAAAGAGAATTACAGGAACCTCATTCAACCCAGGGAGTCAGAAAGGCCTTTCTGTGAATTAGGCGTTTGAGTAGGAAAGAGCCAGACAGGAGCGAGCTGAGAATTGAGGGGGTGGGAGCCAGAGAATTCTAAGCAGAGTGAGCAGCATGTGTAAAAGCCCTCCAACTAAGGAAAAATGTATGAGTCAGCAACCAAAAGAATATAGTGGCTAAAAATCATTTACAGTATTCTTTAGTAAACAAGCAAATTAAAGCACCAACAGTTTCTAAGTTGTTTGGCATAATGGCTCTTTCCAGTCAGATGGTGGTTTCAGTGCTATCCAAAATGTGAAACTAATGAGAGAAGTTGATATGGACTGATTAGCTGCATCTTTCTTCTGTAAGCCATCCTGTTGCTGTGTCAGGCTAGGAACAAGCCAGCTAATTATGAACAGACTTTTAGCAGCTGTCTTTTATTGGTGTGGCAATGTTGCATCTCTGATTCCCCAGAAGTATCTGTTTTAAGTATTTTGTCCTATTATTTTTTCATATAAATGCACCTCCAAATCAGAAGCCAAATTGGTCATGTTGATTTTACTTTCTTCTTCCCCTTTCTCATCCTTTTCTCCCCTTCCTTCTCTCCTTTCTCTTCCTCCTTCTTCTGGAAAGATTTCTTTGAGAAAAAATTACTATAGGCCAAAAACATATTGTAATACTGTATTGTACATCAATAGAAACTCATGATGAACAAAAACATAGTAAACAATGAACCACAGAAGTCCTTATTTCACCCAGTATCTAGGAGCCTTGTATGACTTTGTATTAGATATAGTAATAAAAAATACTTCTTCTTGAGACTTCCCTTTCTCTTCACTGACACATTATCTTTTTGGGCATTGGTTTCCTCATGTAAAAAACAGGCATAGAACTCAAAGTAGAAGTAAGTCCATTTGGCAAACATCCATGCTGAATACTGTATTATAGTATTTAGTTTTGCAGCCTATAGAAGCACAAAGTAGCTGAAAGATTTGTCTCTAAGAAGATAGTCAAGATGAAATTTTATTAGATCTGGATTAGGTTTTGGTAATGAAGAGAAACCAGTTGAATACCTCCTACCAGCCTAAGTGAGAACTACTTACCAGAGAGGTCTCTTCTGTTTCCTTCTAGCTTTGTGTATAAAAACAAAAGCAATAGTTGTAACAGCTACCAGTGATTACATTCCTATTACGTTCCAGATCCCATTGCATTGAATTTCTCCAACAAAGCAGGTTGTTTAGACAGCACTGTTTTGATGCACCTTGGGTCAGGAATAGGCTGAAGCTCAGTAACAGGATGACATCTTCTGCTCTAGCTACTTTCAGTCAATGTTACTATTTTTGATTGCATAAAAAATGCTTTTTTGTTTTTATTATTTCCATTTTATAGATGAAGAAACTAAGACTCTGAAAAGTTAAATGGCTTTCCCCAAAGTCCCTCACCTGGTGAGCAACAGCCCAGAAAGTTCCTGATATAGTTTGGCTCTGCATCCCCACCCAAATCTCGTGTTGAATTGTAATCCCCAGTGTTGGAGGAGGGGCCTGGTGGGAGGTGATTGGATCATGGGGCGGAGTTCCCCCTTGCTGTTCTTGTGATAGTGAGTGAGTTTGCATGAGATCTGGTTGTTTAAATGTGTGTAGAACCTCCCCATTCCTCCTCTTCCTTCTGATCCAGCCATATAGGACGTGCCTGCTTGGCCTTCGCCTTCTCCCATGATTGTAAATTTCCTGAGGTCTCCCCAGCCATGCATCCTGTACAGCCTGCAGAACTGTGAGCCAATCAAAACTCTTTTCTTTATAATTACCCAGTATCAGGTCATTCTTTACAGTAATGTGAGAACAGAATAATATAGTTCCTAAGTCCTTGCTCTTTTCTTCAGCAGTTCTGCTTCTTGCAGCTGCCATTTTCAAGAGCCACCATTTATCAAGGTCTCCTGGTACCACTGTCCCTCTGTTATGTGCTCCATACATATGCAATCTGATTTAATTCCTCCTCATCTGGAACTGCAGGAACTGGGGTGAACCAGGGCAGCTGCCAGTTCTGGAGTTATTTCTGTCTTCTCTGGCCCCTTTGCTGCACTCCATGACCTTACAATCTGGGCTTTTAAGTCAAATAACCTTTTCAACTTGGCTACTTTAGGTTTCTTTTGCTGGGATTTGGCAACGTAGCTTCCGCCTGAGCTTCTTGGCTCTCTAACTCATGGTGTAATTGCTCTGGATTTGATTTTGGATTCCCCATTTGTGGCTTGGGAGGGCTTCTCTCATCCCAGAACACGGAGACAAGACTCCCAGCCCCAGGTCACTGCCTTCTGTCCATCATCCTAGACCCCAAGGCCCCCTTCCTTACTTCCCTGGACTTGCCAGAGGAGGGAGCAAGAACAGACTGGTGAAATAGAAAGAGAATGAACTGGTAGTCAAAGTATTTAATCTTTCCAGAATTCCACTTCTTATTTATAAAATAAAATAATAATACCCAGTTTACTAGATTATTTTGAGGATTAAATAGACAATGATTTTACATGGATTCAGCATATAGCAGGCACTCAATAAATAACTATTATTGTTGGAATCACATTAAAAGAGTTCACACTTTTAAGGTGATTAACACTGAGCTTGGCACATAATAAACTTTACCCAAAGGTGAACTATCAATCAAACCCCAGGGTCTAAAAGGGATCTTTGAGGTAACCAAGTTCATCTCTTATTTTATTATACTGGGAACTATTCTTTATGGAAATCTAACTACGACCCTTACTTCTCTGTTTTCAGTTAGTAATTATAGTAACAAAATGTCTGTATTGTTGAATAGTGTAGAGTTTTATAGGGAAAATGTCATACCATATTGTGAGACTTACATTTACACTAAATGCGGTAAGATTCAGCTACCTCAATAGAAACTACTTCTTTACTTACACCATTATTAAAGTAAAGTCACATGGTTTTTCACATTCGCATGTTATTTTACTTAAAGCACAATATGTCATATTTATAAGTCCTTTTTATTTAGACTAGTGAGGTTGGGAGCTGATCAGCATTAGTGAAAATTCTAGTTAATGGCTTATTTAAAAAGAAATAAAAAATTTTTTTGAACTTACTTTGACTTACGGGTATAAATTACGAATTACTTAGAAACACATTTCTTTGTGGATTAAAAAACTTCAGTATTTTTCTTATTCAAATTATCACATATTCTGAATTTAATAAGTCAGTTAATAAAGTTTTATTATATATTCTTAAATTTCTTTGTGCTGTGGCTACTCTGAATTTTGGCAAGCACAACAAGAAATTTAACTATCAAGAGCTTGATTTAATAAATATCATGTTACATGAACATGATATCTTATAGCCTGAAAGGCCAACCAACCTAGTTTTAACTGGAACAACTAGAAATGAACCTCTCAAAGATGAAGTTTTTTTTTTTTAATCCCATCTTACTCCCTTTTTAACTATTCTAACAAGACATCTTCACTGCTTGAATTTTGATATCTGTGGTACAATACCACACTTTTTATGAAAGGACAGGGAATGATACAAGAAAATAGATACTTTAGCTTTGAGACACTGAATGTTTGAAGGAACAATGACCAAATCATATATGACCTCAGAACACTGACCCATAACCTCTGCAGCAACGAGTCCAGAACAGTCAGGACCTGGTCAGTCACTGCCAGCTTCTCTATTTTGTGTCCCTGCTTCCAAGTCTGGACCAACCAAGGAAAGCCAATATACCCCCGAAAACAATCACATAAAATGCCTCACGTCCAGTTATCCTTTCTCCAGTTTCCCCATCCAAACAGCCTCCAAACAAATCATACCTGAAGCCATCTCTTTATTTTTTTTGCTACAAAACTTCCTTATTCCCCCCTCTGTCTTTGAGTGTGTCCCAAACACATGATGATGCTGAGTCCTTTGCCATAGCAAGCTTTGAATATATACTCTCTGCTTGTTCACATCTGGGCAGTCTCTGTTTATTTGTGTTTCTTTGAAATCCCACTAAGATTCAGTATACACTGCTTAATGCTGTGGCCCCAAGGCTCTGACCACGTACAGTGCCCACAGAGGCCTCTGTGCTTTGCTACTCATGGCTTGTCAAATCCATTCTGACACTGTAAGTCTGCACAGACCTGAACTCTGTTTCCTGTGCGTTGTGTTCCTTGCATATTTATTCACAGTTTGATGCCAAGTTGTCTTATTGTTTTCTGTTTGACATCTTTGGTAGAATCAAGTCATTTCTTTTCATCTCTTTTTGCTCTTTTTGTGCTTCCTGTTTGTATTGTGCGATCTAATAGTGTTGTCTGTCATAAGGAGAATCAAACAGTAGAATACAGGCATAGGAGCTCCAGGCCTATTGTTCCAGGTGGCCTCACAGATTGGTGAGCTTGAAATTTTCATTGGACTGGCACCTGTTTGGACACACTATGCTATGAGTCTCCAATAAAACTGGATAAAGTTTTTCTTTTGCCTTGATTTCTGTTTGGAGAACTTGGCTTTGATTCAGAGAAAGCATTCTCACTAGCTTTCCACCTGCCAGTGAGAGGAAGGGGAAAGTAAGTTGCTGGATCTGCATTTAAAGGTGGTATGATGTTCTTTTTATGTGTCAAATTGATTGGACTAAGGGATGTCCAGATAGCTGGTAAAATATTTCTGAGTGTGTCTGTGAAGGTGTTGCTAGAATAAATTAGCATTCGAATGGTAGACTGAGTAAAGATTTCCCTCACCAATGTGGCTGGGTACTGTCCCACCCATTGGGGAACTGAATGCAACAAAAAGCTGGAGGAAGGATGAATTCATTTTCCTTTCCTGAGTTGGGCCATCCATCTTTTCTTGCTACTAGCCACTGGAGTTTATGGTTCTCAGGCCTTTGTACTCCACAGCTTACACCAGCAGCTACTTTCCTCCACCCATCAGTTCTTAGGCCTTTGGCCTCAGTTTGAATAACACCACTGCCGTTCCTGTTCTCCAGCTTAAAGACAGCAGATCACAGGACTTCTCAGCCTCCATAATTGTGTGAACCAATTTCTACACTAAATCTCCACATACATATTTATATATAGTATATCCTATTTATTCTGTTTCTCTGAAGAACCTTAAAAATACAGGTGGGACAACATCAGGTTGGAGAACTGAGACACAAAGCGTATAAGCATCATTTTTGCCTGACTGTTGGCTATCTGTCATTGAGTTGTCTAGATTTAAATATTTTGCTCTTACAGGAAAAATTTCTATGTCTTACATGTACTCTCATTATTTATGCTACCATATCTCTAAATTGTATAACTTCATCAGGGGTCCTTTGAACCTTCAGTGACCACTCGGGGGAATATTTGATCTGAACAGAATTGTTTATTTAAGGCGTAACTTAGAAAAGAAAGGAAACAAGATTATTCAGGCACAATGTGCAGTATTTTTTATTATTATGTAACAACATATAGGACATGATCTCTCTAAGGATGGAAAAACATCCTCTCCTGATAAAGACTATCCAAATTTATCCTAGATTGCTCACAAAATGACAATTGGAGGACTACTAGGTTTAACTGGATATTGCAGACAATGGATGCAAAGGTTTTCTGAAATTTTGACACTTCTTTGTGAAGTAACTGAGTCCTTAGTAAGAGACTCTGTCCTCTGGGAGCCCAAATAGGAACAGGTCTTCTGTAACGTGAGAACTCTCTTCAACAGTGTCCTTTCCTAGGCATCTTTATTAGTTTTCTAAATATTCCATAACAAAAGTACCATAAAATACTTTGGATGGCTTAAAACAACAGAAATTTATTGTTTCAGCCTATTGTCTGCAGGCTAGAAGTGTGAAATCAAGGCATCAAGACTATGTGCTCTCTGAAACCTGTAGGAGAGACTCCTTTGCTATTCCTAACTTCCAGTATTTTCTAGCAATCCTTGACATTCGTAGGCTTGTAGATGCATCACTCCAATCTCTGCCTCTGATGTCATATGGCCATATTCTCCCTGTGGCATCTTCTTATCTTATAAGGGGTTTAGTCAGGTTGGATTAAAGGCCCACTGTATCCCAGTATGACCTCATTTTAATTTAACTAATTACATCTGCAACCACTGTATTTCAAAGTTAGGTCATGTTCTGAGGTACAGAGGTTAAGGTTTCAACATATCTTTTGGTGATTGTGGGAGCAATTTAACCCGTATCAGCATTCCTAAATACAGAAAACTGTTTTGTCTGCTGGGCGTGGTTGCTCACATCTGTAATACTAGCACTTTGTGAGGCTGAGGCAGGCAGATTGCTTGAGCCTGGAAGTTTGAGACCAGCCTGGGCAACACGGCAAAACCCTGTCTCTAGTAAAAATACAAAAAATTAGCCAGATGTGGTGGTAGCACACCTGCAGTCTCAGGTACTTGGGAGGCTGAGGTGGGAGGATCACCTGAGCCTGGGAGTCTGAGGCTGCAGTGAGTTTTGATTATGCCACTGCATTCCAGCCTGGATGACAGAGTGAGACCCTGTCTTAAAAACAAACAAACAAACAAACAAAACTCCTTTGTCTATTTGCACATAAACAAAATAGATAAGCCCTTGTGGCTTCAACTAAACTTCATGTAATCCACGAAAACCATTACTTACAGCCTCAATCCCGACCTTGCTGCAAAGGCCGTCTTGTCTCAGGATGATAGCTGCAAACTGCCAAATTTGTTGATGCTTCTGGTGAACTAGTCCTCTGTTCTCTACTTGGTTCCTCAGACATTATAGACATTCCTACTGACTGAGATTTTGTTACTGTCACTCTCTTATATTACAGTTCACTGTTATATCACCCTGCATCCTGCCACTCTACTATCTCTACCAGAAGAAGGGGAATTTCACAGTTCTTTTCCTTTTCCTAACCTTTGTTAGGAAACTTTCTGTTCCTCACTAAGATTTATTAGAGACTCTCATTGAGAACTCCAATCTAATATTATTTGTTGATGGATTCTACCTCAAAATTAAAACTAAAACTGGAGGTTATTGAACAGGATATGTTATCATTAATTTAAGTTATCCTTTAGAATATAGTCTCCTGAAGTAAAACCGGGCCGGATGGCAGAATTTATTGTACTTTTTAGAACCTGTCAATTAGTCAAAAACTAGAGGGTAAACATATATTTAAATATATGTACAGAGAACAGGTATATCTTTGAAGTGGTATATGACTTTGGGATGCTTTGGAAACAGAAAGGATTTCTCACCACTGCTAGAACCTCTATCAAAAATGAACACCAAGTTAAGGAACTGTAAATGCACTCCTACTTCCTAGAGAGGTGGCTATTATAAAGGTTGAGACCCATGCCAAAAGCGATAACAGAGAAGTGAAAGGAAATGCTCAAGAAGATTATTATGCCAAACAGGTAATCTTAACCAAGGTTATGATATTAACTAAATCCTCAAAGGAAAATTCTGGAGGAAATCAGAGATCATTATAAAATATCAATGTTTGGTTCCTGATTTGGAAAAGGAAGAGTGGAAAATGCATGGTTAGACCTTTCACTAGACTGTCTCTGATGCTCTTGAGTTAGCTGTTTGGTAGCATTAGATGATTTCAAATATATACTGTTAAATTTCTCCATGAAACTACTCATCCTGACATGAACAAGTTGGTTACTATCATCTTAAATCAACATTAATTGGGAAACTTTAAGAAGATAGTTGAAGGTCATTTGTCATCTGTCAGTAACATAACCCTGGGGAAGCTCTAAAGGTGAGACATGGTCAGGAATAGAACTTTAATGGCCCTTTGAACTCCAGCAGATGGATTTTATCCAGCTCTCCTCCTTTTTAGGATTCAAATACTTTATTATTGTTATAAGTTTATTTTCAGTATAGGGTGAAACAGCATTTCCTTGCCAAAAAGTTATAGCACTTACAGTTGTTAAAAAGCTGCTAATGCTTTCAACTTGGAGATACCAAGTTTATATCAAATGACCAACCTACACATTTTATGAGAACTATTATAAAATAACTCAGTAAGGTTTTACCCCTTACTCAGAAACTATACTGCTTTTACTACCCATGATATTGTAGAAAGGTTCAAAAAACCAGTGCCATCTGTAAATTAAAATTACCAAACCTTTCAGAAAAAGTCCTGTTGCTCCCACGACCAAAATACTTTCAATGACCCTACTGGCATATGACTGACTCTTCTAGGGACACATTGGTTATCCCTCTGTGAACTGGTAAGTAGAAGGCCCATACATTGAGGAATTTCACCTCCAGTACTAGATCCACCCTGCTTCACATAGAGACGACAAAATATTGAAAGGAGTGCCTGTGCTTTATTCAATCCTGTCGTTAATAGGTTAAGGTCACCTTCCCACATCTTCCTAAACAGTCTCTTTGTGATCTTCAGTCAGTAGGTGTTTTTCCATTGGAAGAGACATGAGAGAAAAACTGCTCTCAAAACTTATTGAATTGAACATTATCAGGTATTGTTAGCAACAACCACAGCAGTGAAATGACAGGGAGCCAATCTTTAGGTTTATATTTCATAACTAAATAAGCAACCAGAATTCCACACAATTAGAAGTCTGCTCCAACAGGGGATCTCAATAATGAGGGTTTTCAGAGACCCTCTAGAAGCTGCTCATCTTCAGAAGCTGACTGCTGACATAAGACTTTCAGAAGAAGCCGATGACCTCAATAGTGGACAGATTCCAAACAAGACCTTGAACCAGAACCCCTGAATAACTTGTTTTTTTTTTGTCACTGCTTGCTTACGGTCATTCTTCTCATTTTCTATAGACCTCTGATTGTCATCCACTCATAACAGCCTCTTTTTCACTTTTCCTTCTTTTTTATGATAATTGTCAGATCAGAATATAATCGTTTTAATTCCTTTATTAGGTTTATCCCAAAGAATAGTCATTGCCCTCATTCTTGTTGATTGTTGGACATTCCATTCATCACTGAATCCCCACAATAAAACCTCTGGGATAATTTCTGGCTTCATCAAATGAAATCAGAGGGAATTTTAGCTGATGGTGTTTCCACCTGCACTGCCATGGACAGATAACTTTAAACAAATCAACCTATGACTTTGCTGAGTCCCTTTCTCCAAGAAAAAATGACTAATTATTATAATCTACTGATAAAATCTAGGTTATTCTAAACTTTAATATAACAACCTTCATAGGGTGTGGGCCACAAGGCAGTGGGCCAAATGCTTGCCACTTTATGAGACTAAAAGGGACCCAGATATGTAATACAATTAACATAAGGCCTGGTTCTGACCTCATGTCAAAATGACTCCTTTTTCCTGGTTTTTCATATGCCCCTAACTGAATACCACTTCCTTTGTGCTAAGGATGCCTGATCCTGTTTGCTTAAGACTATCACCTCATACACTTTAGGAACAGTAGCTGGAGACTTGTTTGTCTCCGAACATAGAGACTGATTCTATAAATCACCAAGACTGTAAATTCTGATTCACACACAAGCTCCAAAACAATGCCACCTTTGATTATTCAGATTTTCTAGCTGGGGAAATTATTGACTCATTGTTTATGCAAACAATCAGAGTAGTGTTCCCACCCATGGGAATCGTACAGACATGAAACCCTGTAAGAAACTGATCATCAACATTGGCAGAAGTTATTAATGATATCACCTTTGCTTTAGATGAAATACAGACCAGTCTCAACTCATTGGCATGAGTAGTGATGGACAATCACATTGCTCTAGATTTCTTATTGCCTAGTAGTGGTAGCATCTGTGCCATTGTTAATTCTTACTCTACTTCTATCAGTGAAACAGACAAGGTAGTACAGGCCATACATCACCATAATGAAAAAGCTACTTGTTTCTCTAAGGCTGGTTCTCAGGTCTATGAAATTTGTTCTTGGCCTTGGTTGGGTAATTGGATGGTTTCTTCTTCTGTGCATGTTACAGGGACTATTAATTATTCTTGATTCTCCCATAGTGGTCATTATATTAGTCCATTACATTCTGCCCAGAAAAACTGCTATCTTCTTACATGATTGCCATGATGATATAACAAAAAGGGCAAGACAGTCTTGCTATGCAGTTGATTGTGGAAGTGGGTGAACAATCCCTGAAAATGAAGGTTTAATATCTAGCCTTTTGTGAAGTAATCAACCTTTTACAAGTGAGATACTGACCAAAAATGAAGACTGAGAAACTGACTATAAAGTTAGGTGGTGGCCAGATCATCATATCACAATAGAACTCTGACCCACAATCTCTGCAGCAAACAGCCGGGGAAACTAAGCCACAGCTGTGCAGCAACTGTCCTGCAATGATTAGGACGTGGTTAATCATTGCTAGCTTCCCTATGTTTGCCTTTGCTTCCAACTCAGGAGCAACCAGAGAAAGCCAAACACTGTATATTCTCTAAGCCATATGATGCATATCATACATATAATATCCTTATTTTAGTTATCCGTCTTCCAGCTTCCCAGTGCAAGAGTCTACAATCAGATCATACTTGAAGCCTTCTTTTTTATTCACTATTAAAAAGCCTTCTTATTTGTTCACTTTCCCACTTCTTTGTCTGGTTTTGAATTTCTGCTAAATGGAAGTGATGGTGGCTGACTTCCTTGCTACAGCAAATTCTAAATAAATTGCCTCTGTTCTTATTTCAGCAGTCATTTATCTCTACAGTTTCTAATCATTGTGACTTAGCTTTGTTTTAGAATATCTATAACAATGCCTATAAAGGTAGTAAAATATAAAATGAGTTTCAGACATGAAAGGTAACTGTGAGGGGATAGTGAGGAAAGGTTCTTTTGTTTAAAATAAAGGAAAAATGGTTTTGGAAAATTGCCTAGAAATCTTCTGAAAAATATAAAGGAGAGAAAAAAAAGTGATTTGTTTGGCTTTGTAAAATGACTTGATGGGCTAGATGGAGTCTTTATTTTTTACAAGTAAAGAAAGAAAAAAAGGTTCAGTGCTTTGTATCTGAGAGCAATCTTCTTACCTAGGTTCTAAAAGCACTTTGCAAGAATCATTTGGTGTCAAATATTATAAATTCTTTTTCAAAAATGAGAAGTGGGAGCACTGTTGGTTTTTCTAGGAGAATAGAATAAAGATTTGTATTTTCCCATTAAATATTATGATAATTATTCTGGCCTGATCATAAGCTAGTCTGTATGACAGGCTTTTATATATTGTGTATGCTATATCAACTCCTAGCAATAAAAACAAAATCCCAATAAATAGTTGCTGAATTTTAAATTTAGTCTGTTTTCTCCTACAATGTAAAGAAAGCTAGTACCAAAGTTACATATTTATATGGAGTAATTTTACGGCTTGAAGTAATCCTCACACCACCCCCTCAATCCTGTTGGCAACACTTTCTATCATATTGAATTTAGTCCCCTTGCCTTGATTTTATAAAAAAAAAAAAAGTGCCATACCCTTCATTTTTCAGCTTTAGTATGGAAGAATGCCTTAATATTATAAATATGACCTGTAAATCTAATTATTCGAAGCCAAGTTTATTGCTTTAGATCTATCAGAATGGTACTTTTTCCACCATTTTGGAAAAAATGACTTAGGCATGTGAAATTCAAGTTGCAATACATTATTTTTAAATCACAATTTACCACAAAGATAGTGATTCTCAACTTTCTCAAATGCCTCCAGGATTATCTAAAAATTCCAAAAGGTTATTATTCGAAATAATAGCAAGTGTAGGAAAGGTGTGGTTCTTTCAGCAGAGAGATGGGTAGCGAAATAAGATTTCCACAGGGCTTTATAATTCCAGGGAGGTTGGCAGAGAATCTCCTTATTCTGGGGGGTGGTCTTTCCTTTGAGGTCTTGGTTTCCTCACTGCCAGTGTGGAATAGGAAATTGGGCTTTGAGAATGTCATAGACTTAATTCAATTCTTTTTTTTTTTTTTGGCCTCTGATTTCTGGTTTGTATAAGTGTTGCTGCTGTCTTCTCACAGAAATGATATAAGAAATTATCACCAAAGTAACACTGTAATGTTGAGGCTAAGCTTGTCAACCTGATCGTTATTTTTTTCTATAGTCTTTGCACATCTCTATAGTCTTTCATGAGGACTTCATGTTCCCCTATATTTTACCTTCTCTTTTTAATAACTGCAGTGTTACACTTCCAGTTTTATTACTCATACTTTCTAAGAGCAGAACATGACATGTAAATATACGAGTCCTTTTCCTATTATAGGTCTTTGAATATGAATTTACTGCTCTCCTGTTTCCACATTCATTTTTTCATTTTGATACTTTTCTTATACCACCAAGACACTATCTCATCTTGCCCTAATAAAAATGAATTGATTTCTTTATATATTTATCCATTTATTTAACAAGTACTTATTGACTACTTACTATATGTCATACACTCTGCTAGGCACTGAGGGTGCAATGATGTTTAAGATACATTTCCCTACCCTGAAGGACTCACTCTTGTAATGGGGAACACAAGGTCAGCTGGTGGACACCAGATGGTACCTGACAACTCCTTTCCTTGGACATTTAAGAAACATTGTTCAGATACTTATTGCTTATCCCAGAGGAAGCCCATGGCCCTTGGCAAGGTTTTGTTGTTGTTTCACACTCTATGGTCTTATAGTCTCATGGTCACCTCATTCTACAATTGATTTTACTTGTTTTTCGCCTTCCGTGGCTATCCTATTTTCTATGCCATGCACAGACCGTATGTGGAATTCAGTCCCCTTTTCTTGATTTCCTATGAAACATAAGGCATTAATGCATGTAGTGTGCATTATTAAAGGTTTCAGGTGATGTGATGACAAAGGACACATGGAAAATAATTAAACTTGAGTGTTACTCTCTTTTTAGAATTTCTTAGGTCAATTCTACTATCAGGAGCTGGCCGATTTTGCGCTAATGACCTCCCATATGTGGGTGTTGTCTGATCCTTTGCTCCCTCTACAGTGTCCTTGTATTTGGAATTTGCTTCCAATTCCCTTAATTCTTTCTCATTTTGAATGCAAGGCAATTTTATTCTTTGTTTCACTGAACCATTCCAAATCATACTCTGGAGGTCTCTCCTTTTACAGCCACAATGGACTAGGAACCAATTTTGTTAAGTAGAAGGCTTTCTACTCTATGCAAAAAATTTTACACTTCCTTAGGGGCTGAAGTGGCTGCAGTCAGTGTTGGTTTTAAATAGTGATGTAGTTTTCCCCTCCCTTACATATGTGAACTATATATGGTGCTGGGAATCACTGTAGAGATCTTAGACCATGCTATGTGCTGTGGGAGTCAGAGAAGGTACTTCAGAAAGTCAGGAAAGCTTCCCAGAGATGAGATCTGAACTGGTTTTAAAATATGAGGACGAATTTACCTGTCAAAAAATTGGGGGAAAGGCTGAATGTTTTATTTTAGCTTACTGTATAAATATTCATATAATTAAGTGAATCTATTATTTGTAATTAGCAAAAAGTATAATAAATCATTTTTCACTTTATATATTAAAATATTGTTGTCCTTTCTCAGCCTAATCTTCTATTATTTAATATTTTCAAATCCTTTCTTTCACTGAAGCTACATGTTATCAGCCTCCCCTCCTGCTTTACTACCCTGCGATCCACTATTTCAACTATGTCCTCTGGATCTGGCTTGACTGTTCCCTCTTTCACCATTATCTTATACAGCTTGTCAATTATTAATGCTAGATAATCCCCACATTTCCCTTTTCCTCTGGCTCCTTTCTTACTATCCCCAGAGAAAATTATAAAATGAGAACTGAAAGTAAAACAATCTCCTGTCCCTACGCTAAATAATAACCGTAGGCTTTCCTGTTTCATGTTAAATAATGCCGAGAACAAGAATAACTTAGCTTCTTGTCACAGCAAATATTTACTCCTCAAAATAAGACTCTGAATCAATTAAACTAACAGCTTGATCATCAAGATTTGCTTTGAGACCCTTGCCTTACTGTGCACATTATTCTAAAGCTGCTGGGTCATAATGCTCCATAATCCCAACCAGTGACCTGCCTTGCAAGACCTGCCTAAAAACCACAAAGTCAGATCTTAAAGCCTATACATATCCCCTTCTGATTTCCTTCTTCCAGGATGCTACTAAGACTCTATCAAGGGGCTCTTCTCTGTCACTGAAGAAAGTCTAATAAACTTAGTTTTGCTTGCTACATTTTCCTGTTGTCTTTTAGGGGAGTCCACAAGAATCATTCTCATTTGATCTCCTATAGCTCCAGCTATAATTTCAGCTTCATCCTTCCCACAGCTCAATTCTTTCATTCTCATCTATTAAATAATAGTATTTGTAAAACTTTTCTCATCCAGTTTTCAAAAGCAACATTATATCCCTCCATTTCAGCAAATGCTCTAACTTCATTCTCTCTTCTGTATCCTAAAAAGATAGGAAATGAGCTATAAAAAGTTTCAATGTAGAGCTATTCTTATGCTCTCTATTGGTGTCTATAGCTCCTGGGGTGGTCACCTCACTGACTTTTCTCTTTCTTATTCATCTTCAGCCATTTGCCCTTGAAATTAATGTGTCCCACAAGATTATCTTTTCTTTTTACCTTTTCTTGAGGCCAATCTCATTCAGTTCCACAGTTTCAACGATGGTCCTTATGCAGATAATTTTACTAATTAATGTTACCAGTTCTAATTTCATATGAATTGCAGGCATAAAATCATGACAAGAATGAACCCTGGACTCAATACTTTGATCTTTCTCATGATCTTTCTTTCTTGTCCCAGATCTGATCTTTCTCTTAAATTTTTCATCTCAGTTAATAAACATGCTAATGACCATTCCTTGACAAGAATGACCATTCCTTGACACGGAAAACCAGTAATAAATGAATAATAATAATAATAATAATAACTAATCTAGTTGTGGTAGGAGTTTTGGTTATGCAGAGCTCATTTTGTTTTTCTCAGCAGTTGTAAAATGAAATCATAAAGCATTTTTGCTCTACCATTCAGATGTGTAAAATAAAAATAGAACTTCTTTATTTTCTATGTTGGATCAGAAGGAATGAGAGCTAACACTTAGGTGTATGTGCCTAAATCCATCATGATCTTTAAAAACTGACTTGCTTCTTTTCCCCAAAACCCCCAAACTGCAGATGTCTGTAAGTCTTCTTTCTGCCCATTCCCTTCCTCATTCTTCCCATTGATGGGGAGCAGAAAGAGTCACAAAAGACTAATATTGTGATAACTCTGCCCAGGAGGACTAGCTACCCTGTCTCCTGTTGGAAAGATTAAGTAAGAAATTGGCCAGGCGCGGTGGCTCACGCCTGTAATCCCAACACTTTGGGAGGCCGAGGAGGGCAGATCACGAGGTCAGGCGATCGACACCATCCTGGCTAACAGGGTGAAACCCCGTCTCTACTAAAAATACAAAAAAATTAGCCGGGTGCGGTGGCAGGCGCCTGTAGTCCCAGCTACTCAGGAGGCTGAGGCAGGAGAATGGCGTGAACCTGGGAGGTGGAGTTTGCAGTGAGCCGAGATTGCGCCACTGCACTCCAGCCTGGGTGACAGAGCCAGACTCTGTCTCAAAAACAAACAAACAAAAACAAACAAAACAAAACAAAAAAGAAATTAGTCTTGTGTGGCTTATTAGTCTTCCATTGTAAATGGCACCTTTGGTGGATGAATAATTTAGGCAATGCAGGGAACTCAGGTTAGAAAGCTATTGTCACTGGTTTCTTGGATGGAGAGGTTGTGGCCAGGAGAGTTGCACCTCCATTCAACTATGGCCCTCAGGTTGTTTTGTGCAGCAGGACTGCTGAGTTTTGTCTTAGTCCTCTCTTCTACATGAGAACCAAACACTTGGGCATGCTGGCTTAGACAGTTTATCTCTTTAAAAATGCTGTGCTATCATTTTCAGTGTGCTTTTTTGGTATCATGTTACTGTTACCATGGGGCTAAACTGCACTTTGGTCTCCTTCAGAATTTCAAACAGTACATGGCACAAAAATTCTTTAACCTTCACCTCTTTTAACTTATATGCTGTAACAGAGAGATTTTCTGCCTGCGACAGTGCAGGGTCTCCACAAGACATGCTGGGCTGACTCCTGCTTCTGTTCCTCTCTGTTCATTCTCATTCACAGATATTCCTGGGCTGGGACTGAGCAGATTTTCTCTTACATCCCTTCTCATCCTTATTCCTATTCATAGAGGGATTTCCTTCACATTATTGGATTCATTTTCATAGTGGAATGCAATGCCCCCACCCTTCCCCAAAAGTATAATGGTAGAATGGTTACCAGAAACATGCTTTCTGGGTGGAGCAAAGTCCAAATGAATTTAACTCATTTAAAGTATTATCCCTGTTGTCACAAAATTCATTGATATATAGAAGTTTTCTGGGCAGGGTATTGGCAAATTTGCAAAGCGTCCTGGTGAAATTCCTGCAGAGAAAGGACTGAGAACCAATCCTTTCAGCCTGAATTCAAAGTTAGAGACATCATATTTGTCAAAGTAGAAGGGATGTCTCTGACAGAGGCCTAGTGTCAGAGAAAGGCACTCAGGCCGGGTGGAGCAGATGGAGAGAAAGAAACCTTGGCCTCTGGCTCATCAATTTCTCAGAGAGACTCAATCCAAGAGGAAAGAGATACTTGGCTCGACTGGAGAGAGGCACACATGCAGGGGAAGGGACATAAAACAGCATGCTTTGCCATCACCGTTTACCTCATCCAGAAAAAGAATTTCTTTAGGAATTTAAATAGCTGTGAAATAAATTTTAATCGTTTGTTGCTCTCAAAATTTAATAAAGCTGATCTGTTCAGTTAGCTTTCTGGCCATCTGTCACTGACAATCTATACCTCTGTTTTGAAGAAATCTCCATGCCCCAGACATTCTCTGCTACTCTGTCCTGCCCTGTTCCCTGAGCCTGGGGACATGAGGCTGGTGCTGACATTTGGGTTCCCTGACAGCGATGCTGCCAAAATCAGTGATGCAGATTAGGGAATCTGCCAGGCCCTCAAGCCTATTCTGCTGGACAGTTTGGCCAATCACAAGTTTGTCACTTCATCTCATGACTGTGTACCTGCTAAGGCAGCAGTTAGGATTTTAGAAAAGTGGGGGTAGCCTACATAGGGGCTGCAAGGCTACTGCTTCCTGATCAGGCTGTCATGTTTTATTATACAAATATGACCCATGCAGTTTCTGAGTTGGTGATGGGGATGAAGTGCTAATGGACTGTAGTGTCTTCTCTGTATTATCATATTTCTTTTATTCCAAGGCTCACTATCAACTTAATAACTCATTTTTAGAAAGAAAAAAGCCACACTATTTCCATAACGTTAAATGTATGTATTAATTGCAAGGTGTGTGTCCTGACTTCAGAAACATTTAACCCACAGGGAACACCTTCATTAAATGATCAAGAGAATATAAAGACTTCATGAAAATATAATGATTATGTTGGCCAAGAAGGACTCATGGAGTGTGATGAGAAAACAACTTTACCTCCTGTGCACCTCACCAAGCCCACTTTGACGTCTGTATGTAGGGGTAGCTCTTTTTGGTTACCCTGCATGGTTCCAAAATGCAGTTTCAATTCAAGACTTAATATGTCCAAACCAAGTGAGGAGAGAGAAGAATTAAATGATCCTCTTACTAGGATTTTTTGCCTGAAGTCCATTTGGCACAAGGGAAGGCACTGATTCCATCTGATTGTTATGACTCCTTCCTTTATCCCCAAGCAACCAGTGGAACCTTTCTAGGTTCCTTCTGCTGAGGTCCCCTCGGACCTTCAGGTGTTTTCTTAGACAGCATCTTAGAAGCTTCACACCAGCTTTCTCATGCATAATCCTCAGGAAACACCCATGCTTTTTCACCCTAAAACCTTGGGAACACAGGACAATCCCATTAGACCTACCACACCCTCACTTCTCTATCAGAGATATCTCATCAAAACTACTGTGCTGAGACCACATACTGCCAAATTCTGGTGGCCGTTTACTGGATATTGCCTTGTCTTACTTGGTACAACTATTGCTCTGTGGGCATCCCAACTTCTTTGTGTGTAATTTTGGGCCTCCATCAATGACCAATGCAAAAACATAGGAGGCCTTTTGATGCCAGGATTCTGCTATGACTGAGGCAAAGTGAAGAAATGCCCTCTCTCCTTTTGCATCAGAGTTTGTTAGAAGGATCACAAAATACTGTTTTTTTTTTAAAAAAAATCTAGATTTATGGGTACAAATTAAATTGTGTTACATGCATAGATTGTACAATGGTCAAGTCAGGGCTTTTCAGGTATCTTTCACCTAAATAATGTACATTGTACTCATTAGGTAATTTCTCCTCATCCATCCTCCTGGTATTCCCTCATCTTTTCAAGTCTCTGTTGTCTATCTTTCTACTCTCTCTGTCTATGTGTATACATTTTTTTATCTCCCACTTATGAGAACATGTGATATTTGACTTTCTCTGTATAACTTGTTTCCCTTAAAATAATGACTTTCAGTTCCATCCATGTTGCTACAAAAAACACAATTTTATTCTTTATATGGCCAAATAGTATTCCATTATGTATACACACCATATTTTCTTTATCCAATTATATGTTGATGGATACTTATGTTGATTCCATGACTGCTGTTGTGAATAGTGCTGTGATAAATGTGAGTACAAGAATCTTTTTGTTATACTGATTTCTTTTCTTTTGGGTAGATACCCAGTAGTGAGATTGGTAGATCAAATGGTAGTTCTATTTTTAGCTCTTTGAGAAGTCTCCATACTGTTTCCCATACAGGTTGCACTAATTTACATTCCTAACAACAGTGTATAGGAATTCCCTTTTCTCTGCATCCTCATCAGTGATTCTTATTTCTTGACTTTTTATTAATAGCCATTCTGACTTAATTTGCATTTCTGTGATGATTAGTGATGTTGAGCGTTTTTTCGTATACCTGTTGGCCATTTGTATGTCTTCTTTTAAAAAATTTCTATTCACATTCTTTGCTCACCTTTTTTGTTTGTTTGTTTGTTTTTGAGACAGGGTCTCACTCTGTTGCCCAGGCTGGAGTACAGGAGTACAGTGACACAATCATGGCTCACTGCAGCCTCAACTTCCCAGGCTCAAATGATCCTCCAACCTCAGCCTCCTGAATAGCTGGGACTATAGTGTGCACCACCATGCCCGCTTAGTTTTTTATTTTTTGCAGAGATGGGGGGAAGGTGGGTGGTCTTGCTGTGTTGCCCAGGATGGTCTCACACTCCTGGGCTTAAGCAGTCCTCCCACCTCAGCCTTCTGAAGTGCTGGGATTGCGGGCATGAACCATTATGCTTGGCCTCTTTGCCCACTTTTTAATAGGATTATTTGTGGGGTGATTTTTTGGAGTTGTTTGAGTTCCTTATATATTCTGTATATTAATCCTTCATCAGATGAATAGTTTGTAAATATTTTCTCTTATTCTGAAGGTTATCAGTTCAGTCTATTGATCGTTATTATTATTTTTTGTCACACAGAAACATTTTAATTTGTCTCATTTGTCTATTTTTGCTGCTGTTGTGTGTGTTTTTGAGGTCTTGGTTACAAGTTCTTTGACTAGATCAATGTCCAGGAGAGTTTTCACTAGGTTTTCTTCTAGTATTTTTATAGTTTGGGGTTTTATGTTTTAGTTGTTAATTCATCTTGAGTTGATTTTTGTATATTGTAAGAGATAGGAGTCCAGTTTAATTCTTTTGCATGTGGCTATCCAATTTTCCCAGCACCATTTATTGAAAAGAGTGTCCTTTCCCTAATGTGTCTTCTTGTTGACTTTATCAAAGATCAGTTGGCTATAAATATGTGCCTTTATTTTTGGGTTCTCTATTCTGTTCTATTGATTTATGTGTCTATTTTTATAACAGTACCATGCTGTTTTGGTTACTACAGTCTTATAATATAATTTCAATTCAGGTAATGTGATGCTTCCAGCTTTGTTCTTTTTGTATTTGGGCTCTTCTTTGGTTCCATATAAATTTTAGGATGTTTTTTTCTAATTCTGTGAAAAACAACATTGGCATTTTGATAATGATAATGCACTGAATATTTAGATTGCTTTGGGCACAATGGCCATTTTTACACTGTTAATTCTGATTCATAAGCATGAAATGTTTTTCTGTTTGTGTCATCTATAATTTCTTTCATTATGTACAAAACAGTTTTGACCCTATATTTTTAAAAGTTGTTTAGCAAACCCAGTCTTTTGGTTTTTATTAATTAATTTGCTTTTTCTTGAACTTAGACATGGAGTTAGGAGGCAAATAAGAATAATAAACACTTATGCATCCAAAATAACTACCTTTCTGTCAACTAAGGCTTTGTTGCTGTCAGACTCCTGGAGTTTGGTTTTCTCTTCCTTAAACCTGAGTTCTCTCAGGAAGCATCTGGGTCATTCTGCAATGGCCAGCAGGCTGGCTGCCACAGTAATTAGCCAAACATGTCCAGACATGTTGCATACTCAAGCTGGGAGCTCAGCTTCTGGTGATGAAGTAATCAAGTGTCATAATAGAAAAGAAGCTGACGAATTCAGATCGCTATCGTTTGGTGGATGGAGCAACCAAGGTTGAGAGAGGTAAAATTATTTGGTCAAGAACATACACTGGTTAGTGACAGAACTCACAAAGCCGTCATCTCCTGATATCTTGACAAGTGCTCTTTCCACTTCAGAGTTCTGTCTGTCTTTACCAGATGAGGATATACTGAAATTATATATAGAAAGTATCATATTCAGAAAACTGCTTTCTGGTTGCAGAATCAAGTAACATTATATATCCCGTGTGTTAAAAAGAGGCAGCAGAGTTTAATTCAGGACAATCCTATATATGTGGAATGTCTGCCAGTTCTAGATGGTAATGTTGTCAATTGAAAAAAAATTACAGAAGAGAAGATTCACTCTTTTTTCCCCTTTCTTTTTTTTTTTTCTACTTCAATTACACTATGGGTTTTCCCAGTAGTTTCTTCAAATCTGAGGTAAAGCTTGGCAGATTGGGATTGATGTCTTCTTTATTATTAGTCTAGATGAATGGAAGCTCCTGGTAAATTATGGGGATTTTTGAATAAAATGGACAACGTTTAGCCTTCCAAAATTAGTCAGAAAGAATGTTAGTCTTGAAGATAAACCCAAAGACTTTCCCATGGTAGAGTAACAGAAGCTATGAGAAATGTCTAGGTGGAATATGTTCAAGGCATCCCAATATCGTATGGAAATGCAGATTAGAATTCTTGAGTCCCTAAGGAGGGTGCAGAAGTGGCTGGTCAAGAAAGACCTCAGCAGTGGAATTAGAAAGACAGAGAATTTTAATGAGTGGACTGAGATGTGGAGGACAAGGTGGGATGAGGGCCTCAGTATCATGTGCTAAGAGGAAAATGACTGAGGCCCAAGGCCAGTCAGGATTAACTGTGCTTCAGTGGAGACTGGCAAGGACTGGCAAAGACTCTCTCCTTGACCAAAGTTAGGCTCCTCTGAACCCTCTTTTTGACTAGGCCTTGACCATAGCACTATCCTGTCTTTGGTCTGCCTAGATCAGTCTTAGTGAGGGATCCTGCTAAGTCATCTCCCCACCCTTGATATCTGATCAAATTCTTTATCCCCCACCTTTGATGTATAAGTCTTTGGACTGACTTCAGAGTAAGAATTCTGTTATGTTAGCTTAGCAAGAAGCCCCCTACTCTTGATCTCTCCTCTTAGTAATTTTCTGTCTAATGACTCCTTCACTCTGCCCATTGGCTGTAAGTACTTGTCCTTGCTATATTCAGAGTTGAGCCCAATCTTTCTCCTTTATTGCAAATCTCTATTGCAATAGTCTTGAATAAAGTCTTCCTCACTATTCTAACAAGTGTGAGAATAATTTTTTTTCTTTAGCAGGACAGAGGAGGGCACACAGACCCCACGCACCCTCTTTACCCACCAACTGGGGCTGGGATGCTATGTAAGCTTCTGTTAAATCCAGATGCTGCCTGAAAGTAGGGGAGAAACAAAACCCTGAACCGAAGAGAAATTAACCAAAAGAGCCAGAGAAGTAAACCACAAGAACTAAGTTATCTTGAAACGGTACAATTAAGTATTTCTGTTTGCAGTAAAAGTTGGGGCTGGTAAGTCCAGGTTTAGAAAAGTAAAGTTGTATGGCTTTGTGTATCTCAGCTACTTTACTTCATTTAAGAACCATATATTTCTTAAAAATATTGCCTCTAGGGTAATTTAATTTTTTTAACTCCAGAAAAATAAAACGTACCTTTTGCAGAAAGTGATTAATGTGTATTAACAGAGATATTTCCCTTATCACATTAACCCTCTGTGCTTTAAGGATAGTCAAGAGAGCTGCTCAAATTTTGTTATTTCTGGAAGTTTTTTTTACTGTGAACCTTTCTCACTTAGTAATTCTAAAAAAGTGTTTATAGCCTCAGGTATACCTCTCTACCACATAATTTGCATGTACTTAATCAGGATCTTATTTTTATTATTAAAAAAATCCAATCCCTATGAATATCAGTGTTTATGAGCTCTCCATCTAATAGCCAGAGAGGTCTGTCTCACTCAGCCTAGCTCTCTGCAAAATTTAGCGAGTGGCTGTTCATCAGGCAGTAAATGTCAGGGTGACAAATTGCCAAATCCAGGGCAGCTTCTCCTCCCAGCAGTGAGCACTTTTCAGATCATTTTGCTTTTAAGCATTTTTCCCCTTGTTTCTAATGGAAGAGAGAGAAGGGGGAGGGAGTAACGATAGTAATGCACTTTGTTCAGTCACTTAGTTCTAAGTCAATAGTTTTCCCCAATGCAAAGAGATGTTATTCCCTTTATAGCTCCAGGTCTGGTTAGATTTCTGAAAGGTCAGGGAGCACATTGAACACATCAAGGCATCATGCCTCATTTTAAAGGTACAATTTTTTCTTTCTTTATCTCCTGAAGGACGATGATAATATTTCAAAAGTGTAAGGAGTAAAATGATGTGTAGTAAAAATACATTTATTACTATCTTTTGCAAATTGTGGAATGGTAGCTCTGATATTCTGACCTATTTGCTGAAGCATTCGGTATGCAATTTGTCAGCTGATATTTATAGTTACAAGAGCTCTTTCTTTAGAAAGAGGTCCCTTTGTACTGGAATCTGAAGGAAAAAATGGGAGTGTAAATTGGGTGTATTTAAAAATAATCTGCTGAACCAACATACTTGGAACAATGTGTCATCAACCATTCTTTCTCTCATTCTATTCTCTAACATATAGTTATATAATCAAGAGAAACTTTGTGGCCAGGGATGTACCTGCAACTTGAGATGAAAATTTGAGGACGAGTACCCTTGCAGTGGTATGAGATTGAACTGAATACTCACAACATCCCTTCCAAATTTGAAATTCACTTATATAATTTACACTCTTAAATTTTCTTTGGCATCAATTCTTTGAATAATTCAGGTGATAAGGTGTATGTATTATCCAAGTTCAAGGCCACTTTTTTACTGGTAGCTTTCTTGAGATGAATGAACTTTATTTCCCATATTTCATCTACCATGGAGTCTGGCAATGGTGTTGGAATACTATCAATCATCAAACATTGTGATTCCTTCTAAACTATTACTTTTCATCTTTCAAGCAAAATTCTTCTCTCTCATGAGGCTCCTACCTTCATATTATATCATCTTCCTTGGTATCATTCAAGTTAGCTCACTCCTGGTCTTTCTTTATAGTCTCAGTCTCGTCTCTTCACATTATAATCATCATGTGTGATGTCAGGGCCCATGGCTTTTAATAATGTACCAACCTGGCTTTAGAGTTCCCTGACATCCTTAACTTCACTAATTATCATCCGATGACAGCAATCTATATCCATGGGCACACCTATTATCTTATTGTTACATACAACTGTTCCACTTCTGGAATTCTAAATTCCATTTTAGTCTAACCTCTAAACCTAATTTATATTTGCCTTTGACCTCATGGAAATTCTTGATCCAGTCATTTCTTCCTAGCTTTTACCTCCTTAATTACTCAAATTTTCCTCCTATTTAGATCTCTTTTGCCTATTTATATCTAGCTGAGATTCCATCCACTATAAGAAAAAGAAGATTCAACCAGTAGTTTAGTTTAAATAAATAGTTGCTTATTTTTCTCATGTAATAGAACATTTAGAGGTAGGAGTTTACTTTAAGGGTTTTTGATGCTCTGGAGTGTTTTGCTAGGGCTGTAACAAAGTACCACAGTCTGAGTGATATAATCAACAGGAATTTATTGTTCCAGAGTTCTAGAGACTAGATGTCCAAAATGAAGATGTCGATCTGCATTTCATTGCTTTAGGGCAAAAAAAAAAAAAAAAAGAAATCAAGGTGTAGATAGGTTTGTCCTTTCTGAGCTTGGTGGGGAAGAAACTGTTCTATGTCTTTCCATTAGCTTCTGGTGGTTTTCAGGCAACTTTGTCATTCTCTGGCTTATAGAAGCATCACCCTGGTCTCTGCATCCTCACATGGCATTCCCCTGCATGTGTGTCTGTCTCTAAATTTCCCCTTTTTATAAGAACAACAGTCAGATTTGATGAAGACTCACCTCAATGACATTTTAACTTGCTTACCTATGTAAAATCCCTATTTGCAAATAAGGTCACTTCATGAGGCACTGAGGGTTAGGGCTTCAACATTTAAATTTTAGGGGGACACAACTCAGCCCATAACATATTCCGTAATGTCAACATGGCCCCAGGCACTTTCTACCTTTCTTCTCACCATCCTCACCCTGTTGGCTTTGATTCTCATGGTTTTTGCCCCAGGCTTAACAGGTAGCTGCTACACCTCTAGGATTGCTCCATACTCCAGACTAGGAGCAGGAGGAAGCAAAAATGGGCCATATATCATCCACATCTTCTCCTTTTCATCAGGAAAGCAAAACCTGTCATGAGGTCATCTTCAGTTGAAATAAAAACTGGGAAATAAGTATTTCCAACTTCAGTAGGAGGGGAAGACAAACTTTTGTTGCCCCCAAACTTGGCTTATGTCTGCCTTTCCTATTATAGCACCCAGCACTGGTGAGAGCCCCTGGAAAAAAACCATCTTCCAAACTGGAACCACTGCTAAGTCATGGTCTCCACCTGAAGGGGTCTTTAGCATTATTTTGAAACAGTTTTACATACCTCTGATCAGCTCCCTCATCTGGCCACCATGGCAACTCCAAACCTTTACAGTCTTCTTCACTTGCTTCCTGCTACCTATACTCTCTCACTATAAAACTTGTGGTAATTAATTGTGAACAGTTTCAACTACCCTTTCCCTTACTCTACTGGTTTTCACCTTCCTTCTATCCCCTTTCATTTGGTCAAATGTGATTCCCTAATATAAGCACTTCATCTTGTTTCCTCTGCCTCTCCTGGGATTCTGCTGCATGGAGGGTCCATTATCCTGTTTTCATCCGTTCCTTCTCTACTATCTCCTTCAGCCTTAAGTATATTCAAATTTCTTCCACCAAAACATAAACAAATATGTAAATCCTTTTATCAACACATATATACATTCTTCTCTGGCTACCATTCTTACCTTTTCTTCTTATCTTCATGATAAATTTCTTAGAAGAATAGCCTTTGTTTGTTGTCTTCATCTCTTTACCTTTCAATCACTCTTAATGGTACTCTAGTCAACACCTTGCTAATCTACTGAAATTGCTGTGGTGGTAATTTCCAGTGACTTCGAAAGCGCCAAGTCCAATAAACTTCGTCAGTTTCCACTTCCCACCTTATTTGACTTAACTGGGGCACTGGAGATGTTTAATACCATGGCTTCTGAGAGGTATCTCATGGCTCTTCTCCTCTCTGATTTGTCCTTCTTTCTCTACTTTACTGGCTTCTATTCTTTTACGTGTACCTTGAATGTTGTGTTTTCCTTGGAGGTTGTTCTTGGCTTCCTTCTCTGTTTGTTCTCCATTCTCTCTCTGGGCATCTACTTCCCTGTTTTCACCATGACTCAATTCTCTACCCAACTCTCCCCTGAGTTCTGATTATTGTGTCAAAACTACTCACAGAATGCTGGTTCCTGGTATTCCACAGGTATCTTAAACTCAACTTACTCAGAGCAAAATTTATTATCTGCTTTCTTTCCTGCCTCCACCATCTTTCTTTCTCCCTTTCTTTCTTCCTTTCTTCTCTTTCTTTCTTTCTTCTTTCTTTCTTTTTCTTTCTTTCTTTCTTTCTCTTTCTTTCTTTCCTTCCTTCCTTCTCTCTCTCCTTCCTTCCTTCCTTTCTCTTTCTTTCGTTTTTCCTTACACTAGTAAAAATGAATCCTACATCATCTCAGATGCTGTTCTTTTTATTCCCGCCACTGAGTGATCACCATGTTTTGAAGTTTCTAAAGCTGAATTTCCTTCATTTCCATTGCTCCTTGTGGTTCATATGATTTTTTGCCTGGTTTAGAGGAACAGGCCAAACTGATGTCCCTATCTCCTGTCTTACACCCATCCAATCCATTTTCCAATCTTTCACATTTTTAATGTCACAATGCCCATCAATTCATAGACAACGATGCTTCAAAAAACTCTTATTAACAGGACACACCTTCCAATCTTTGGTTTGCCATGAAGGCCCCGCGTAGTCAAGCCCCTATCTCTCAGGCCTTAACTCTTGTTGCCTCTCCCATCTCCAATAACCCTATGCTTTTGCTATATCAAAATATTTGCAGTGTTTTCTATATATCCAGTCTTTTTCATACACACACATATATATATATATATATATATGCTTTGGTAATATAGCCCCCTTGGCCAGAAATATCCTCTGCTATCATTTGATGATTACCTCCTTATCTGAAGTGCTACTTTTATAGAGACATTCCTCACCCCTTCACCATTCTTTGGAGAAAAATGTCTATCCTCTTTTGTGTTCCTCCATATACTTATGTCAAAGCTTCTCCACACTTTATTACACTTTCTTATTTATATGTCTGTCTCTCCCTTTTAGACTGTAATGCAATTGAAGGATTGAAGGTAGGGACTGAACCTCATGCATCTGTGAGTTCACAGCATCTACAAAGCTTGGTGTGCAGTTGTAGGGATGTATATGTGAACTCTTGGTTAGCGGAGTGCAAAAACACTGAATTTAAATTTAAAAGATGAAGCTTAGGTGTTGACTCCATCATTTATCAGCTGTGTGACTTTGGGTAAGTCATTTGACGTTTCTGATTTTTAATTTTATGTGGGTATTTTAAAACTCTTATCATGTGCTAACCTGTGCATTTAACCAGAGAGTCTCCCTATCCCACCCCTCTATGGTGAGCCTCAGGCTCACATTTATTGGAAAGCACACTGTAAGCTGTTAAAATTTATTCAAATGTTGGCTGGTATTATTACCGTGGTCAATGCTTAGATATTAGCAAACATTGATGAAAATAAGAGCACAGATGAGTGACTTTCAGGCAACAATGTGCATTTGCTATTACTGGGAATAATGACATGCATTTATCCATTAGCTGAGTAGTGTTCATAACTCAAGATTAATATATAAAAAGGTCTCGCTTTTTGTTAATGCCTGAGCAGGCTGGCATATTTCGTTAGTTTTCTGTCTAGAATAACAATAGATTAAAAGCATTGAGAATACCCTTGAAATGCTAAATTACATTTAGGTTCTCTTTTTGGAAGTGTGCAAAAATTGTTTTTTGAGTCTCAACTCATTTGAACAGACATACTTTATCAAAGCCAACTTGAGGTAACATTGATACTGGCCATGAGTGCATATCTTTACATATTTTATATGGTGTTTTGTTCATGTATCAAACTAAAGGCCACCCTGTTAACATTCTGGCCTATGTGCCATAATCCCAGCCTAGTTGGAGAAGCTGCTTTCCTGCCTGTTTTGTGTTCTACTCTTTCATTTGCTCATGAGATTGTGATATTCTCCTTCATATCCTTTTGACAATTGAAAGCAGAAAGTATTCTTGAATATTCTTTTCAGTGAGCTTGTGGGATAGGTAGTATTTTCTGAGGCCTGGTAATTTTCATTTCTTTTTGTGTTGATGTTTCTTCTACTACTCTGCCCTACCACAACCTCTTCCTCTGACCAAGCCCTCAGTATCCTTACTCTCTGTCCTCTTTAGCAAAGCCTTTATTGAGCAGAGGAGATAGTAAGTGTGCAGTTTGTTGTTAAGGGCTGAACTGTGTTGTCCCAAAATTCATTTGTTGCAGGCTGAACCCCCGGTACCTTGGAATGTGACTATATTTGGAGAAAAGATATTTAAAGAGGTGGCTAAGTTAAAATGAGGCTGTTAGGGTGGGCTCAAATTCACTCTGACAAGTGTCCTTATAAGAAGTGGAAATTTGCACACAAAAACAGACACTAAGGATGCGGGCACACAGAGAAAAGACCATGTGAGGACACAGCAGAAAAAATTCAGATGAAATGAATCTGAAAAATTTAGAGAAACTAGAATTTGTGGAACTTGGTGCTTGAATATGGGAGATGAGAAAGATGGAGGAAAATTAGGATATTTAGATTGTTGGCTTGAGTGGTTAGTTTCATTCTGATGTCCTTAATGGAAATGGTCACTATAGAAAGAAGAGCAGGTGCTATAGTGAAGTGCGAGGAAGGATATTCTGCCTTTGTTTAGGGACATGTTGACTTTTGCAGGGCCCATGGGACACCGTAGTGGAGCTGTCCAACAGGTGCTTGTTTATATCAGTCTGGCCTGAGGATTTAGAGTTGGAAAATTACCACCATTCAAAGGTTAGTAACACCTAAGAGCAGTTTTTTTTTTTTGTTGTTGTTGTTGTTTTGTTTTTTGTTTTTCACCCAGAGGTTGCTTGTGAGAAGAAAGAGCCACAGGCAGAAGATGGAACTTAGTGGGATACGAGCATTTAGGGAATGACCAGTGAAATAGGAGCCTAGGAAAGAGATAGAGCACAATTGTAAGAGATCTGGGTGAGTGCACAATCATGAAAAGAAAATGGACAAAGAAAGTTTCAAAATAGGGAGGGTGCAGCTCTTTTTAAAAGCTTCAATTATTGACATTCAGTTATCAACAGTGATGTAAAGAAGTTTTTAAAATGTATATGGCTTTTCCTAGTGTTCCCATGTCACATTGTGGAGATGGCTTGGTATCCTTCTTCATTCTTGGCTCTTAAAACCTGATTCTGGCTGGGTGTGATGGCTCATGCCTGTAATACCAGCACTTTGGGAGGCTAAGGTGGGCAAATCACCTGAGGTCAGGAGTTTGAGACCAGGTTGTCCAACATAATGAAACCCCATCTCTACTAAAAATACAAAAATTAGCCGGCTGTGCTCTTGTAGTGCCAGCTGCTTGGGAGGCTGAGGCAGGAGAGTCACTTGAACCTGGGAGGTGGAAGTTGCAGTGAGCCAAGATCATGCCATTACCCTCCAGCCTGGGCAACAAGAGTGAAACTTTGTCTCAAAACAAAACAAAACCACCCAAAAAAACTTGATTCTACTTAACTTCAGCATGACCCTTTCTGCCTCTAAGAAAGTCAACCAATACTGTTTTCTTCAAGCTGCACAAGGTCCCTATCCTCATCTTTACTCCTGAAACTCTATTGGCTTAAGATTTGGTCTTGCATTAGGAATTCAAGAATCTGGTATCTTAACCTAAGCCAATGTAATAATAATGTTCTCCCTACTGACATACAAGTGGCCAAGAAACATATGAAGAAGTGTTTCACATTACTAATCATTAGAGAAATGCAAATAAAACCACAATGAGATATCATCTCACATCAGTCAGAATGGCTATTATTACAAAGTAAAAAAGCAACAGACGCTGGTGGGGCTGTGGAGAAAAGGAAATGCTTATACACTGTCAATGGGAATGTAAATTAGTTCAGCTGCTGTGGAAAGTAGTTTGGAAATTTCTCAGAGAAACCTAAAGCAGAACTACCATTTGACCCAGCAATCACATCACTGGGTATATATCCAAAAGAAAACAAATTTTCCTACCAAAAAGGTACATTTACTTGCATGTTTATTGCAGCACTAAGACATAGATCAACCTAGGTGCCCATCGACCATGGATTGGATAAAGAAAATGTGGTACATATAAACCATGGAATGCTAGGCAGCCATAAAAAAGAATGAAACCATGTTCTTTGTAGCAACATGGATGCAGCTGGAGGCCATTATCCTAAGAGAATTAATGCAACAGAAAATCAAATACCACATGTTCTCACTTACAGGTGGGAACTAAACATTGATACTTACAGACACAAAGATGGCAAACAACAGAAACTAAGGACTACTAGAGGGGGGAGGTAGGAAGAGGGACAAGGGTTAAAAAGCTAACTATTGGATACTATGCTCAGTATCTGTGTGGTGGGATCATTTGTACTCCAAACCTCAGCATCATGCAATATACCCAGGTGAAAAACCTGCACATATATCCCCTGAACCTAAAATAAAAGTTGAAAAAAAAAACTTCCCTTGAATATGTTAGCTTATTTTTGCAATTCCTGATTTATTTCTGGTTTTTAAGGAATTACAGAATCTTAGAGTTGGAAGAACTTTCATGGATCATCTTTCTCCATGAAAGTCTTAAACCCCGAAGTTTAAGAGCCCCTTTTAGAATATTCATGCCAAAATAATTACTCAGGCTGCTCAAAACCTTTCATGAGCTCATTGCATTCCAGGCAACCCTTCCATTGTTGATTGGATCTCATGGTAATTTTTGAACATGGCCTTGACTAGCCCACAGTGTACCTTTGTGGGAATTGGAAACAGGTGCTCCCTGGGGGTATATGAAAATCCTGGCAAGTTATGACTTTCACTCATTGAATCTAGTTCTGTGAACTACAGAGGGAAGGATAAATTCCATTTTTTTTATGAAAGAGTCATTCAGTATTCAAAGAGAACTATCATATTGTTACCTAAGTCTTCTCTTCAGGGGAACCTTCATTCCTTGTAGAAAGGACATGATTTTGATACTCTACTGCTTTGTTCTAGATGGAGTCCAGTTTGTCATTGCTCCTCTGAATTGAGCAAAATATTCCAAATGTGTTCTGATTGCGAGGTAGAAGTTTCCTGTAACTACACTCACTGTATTTCTACGAGTGTAGGCCGAAAGAACATTCACTTTTTCTATTCTGCCAGCTGAATTGCCCAATTGTTTAAAGGGAAACTTGAAGTCATGTAAAGAACGTGGCTTAATGAACCTCATATACTGTACAATTTAATTTTTGATTGTAGGTTCAGGACTTTTTCCTGATCTCCATTTTTTTTAATACTCCCTTATTAGGTGTTTTAAGAAGGGATTATTACTCAACAGATGTTAGTATCCTTACTCTCAAATAGTAGACTACTTATTCTTTGTTTATATTTTTGTTGTTCATATAGATGTTTTTATGATAAGAGCACTAATATTTTTAACAAATCCTTCTAATTGGCCTCTGCAAATTCTAGACTAAAGTCTCAGTTCAATTTCATAATGGTAACAGGAGTACGAGGCACCCTTGTGTTGTTACTTCCTTTTTATCTGTACTTTGCTCAGGTAGCTGCACTAGTAAACTGAATAGAAACTCCAATTGCATTTGGCTGGTGCAGCTGTGGCATCACTGTGCTAGCTATCATGAAGCTTTCTGCATGTCTCAGGCATCTTGAGAACAGCTCTACCATATCTTTGGAAACTCCAAATGCATTAGAGTCTGGAATATCCTTTCCTCAGAGACAGGAAAAGGAGGCAAGGAAGTATTCTTTCCGCTAAAGTCAGAATAAATAATAATGACTGTCTAAGGTCAATGTGGAGGGGTATCTCACAGCAGCCACTCTTCTTTGCTTGGTGACTTCCTGTTTAGCTAGTAAATAGGAAAACCCAAAGACATTAGTGAAAGTATTTCATTTTACCCAGACTTTGCCTCATTGTGAGCTGGTGAGCAAGTACAGGGGTTCACATAAAATGTTTGGCTGCTTCCAGAGAAACCAAAACCTACTTCAGAAAAAGATCAGCAGTGAGACCAATGTGTGAAGAGAACTTTAGGAAAACATAAAGCAAAACAGATTAGTGGCTCTCAACACCAGGTCCAATGAAAGGCAAGTGTTCCTCCAATGTCTTTGTGCCTGATCTGATTGATAATATTTATTTATTTTTTGTTTATATGATAGGCCCAATCTTCCTAGTTGCCCAAGGAAAAACCAATGGCTAAGTATATAAGGCTAAATAAGAGTGGATTCCTCTTCTCCTCTAGGTCTTGTTCAGTTTGCTGTGTTCTCTACTGCCATCTGGTGGTCAAGAAGGATCAATCACTGCCCTTGCAATGAAGAACTCTATGAAAGCGAAGGCTTGGCCATTTTGTGTTCAGCTCCTTCCAGTAAATACTCCATGGCATGATTATTTATTTTTCCTTTTCTCTTATTCATAAATCAGAGTGGCTGTTTGAACTTAACCACCCTTATCAAAATCTTTAAAAATATTTAAAATATTTTGACCCAGTGCTTCCACTTTTATAATCTCAAAGAAACATAAGCAGACAGATTTATGTATGAGCATGTTTCTCAAAGTGTTATTTATAATAGCAAAATTGGAACTACCACAAATGTTCAAAAATAGGAATTGTTAAAATTGGAGTGTTCTGTACCACTATTCACTCACGCTTTAGAAGAACATTTAATGACATGGGAAAATGTTTATAATATATTATGAAGTGAACAAACACAGTTAAAAAGCAAGTAAAACTTCACAATCTCCATTTTGGCTTTCTGTGTATTTCCTCCTTTCAAAGGCATGAACATATAATACTTTGGGAACCAGAAAGAAATGCCACCATAAATATTTTATAAATATGGTTACCTGCATGGTAGAGTATCAGTATCAACTTTTTTTTTAAAGTAACACGTCTTTTAAGATATCTATCCTAGAACTTTATTAAAAACATACTTCTACAGAATATCAGTGCAAAGGATCGTGAACAATTGCTTTAGTGTTCTTGGGATCAGGAATAATCCAGGAAGCCAGAGCATGCAGCTGCCACTTCAGGTTTGCTAATGAGTCTTGTGGCTAAGATAAAAAGCATGTTATTTGTTGCATGACCCTAAAGAGTTATTAATTTGTTCTAAGGCTTATATTTTGCTCCCAAGAGTTGTTGGTGGGGATGTGGAAGATGATGCAATTCAAATCACTGTGCAGTATGTGCAGTAACCAGAGCTCTATTTTATAATTGGACACAGTCCATTTCTTAAAGCTTTTTCAAGACATAGCTTTGAGATTTTTCTTTGTACAATGAAAAGGTACACAGAGACTGCTTTGCTTGCTTCACTGGGTAATTAGCCCACAAAGAGAAGATTGAAGGTGCTCTCACGGGTTTCTTTAAATGGAGCTAAGAGCAGCTGCCCTTGGGTCCTAGGAGCAGCTGTGTGGCTAGCCAAACCCAGCTAGAAGGTGTTCCTCCTACAGAGCTTTCTGTTTCACATTTGTTCACTTAATACATTTGGACACAATTTCCATATACATGGTTAACATGTCACTTCTGTCTACCCTAAGGGCACCAGGTGGTAGCTCCAAGAAGAGGAAATCATTTTCGGAGTTCCCTGCTGGCTCAATCAACACTTTTCACTTCTCCTAATGAGATGGTTAACCTGTTTTTTTCATTTAGCCATTTGGTCAACAAAACTTTAATGGCTGTTATAGAGTAGTTTATAATTTCCACACTTACAGGCATTAACACCATTACTATTAGATTGGGAAACAGAGATTCGACTAATCCTCCAGCTTAAGCTGAAAACATATCTCCATAGAGATTTTTCACTGAATTAATTCTACTAAATTCTTGGGTCAAACACAGTTAATGTTTCTGCTTAGTCATTTTTAAAGAAAAGAAATGAAATCTGGCTGGTATACATTAACCCGTGTGTGCTTCTTAAATAAATTTACAAATATAAATGGACTCAAACATTAATCAGACTATTATCTTAACATATTAAAAAATAAATTTACATAGCACACTGTATTAAAGTGAGTATTACAAACTTTTAGTTCTAAAGTAGTTGTTTCTCTTTGGCATGTTTCATTGGGCATGTTCCAGGAATTCAGTAAGTCCTCAAAGGTTGTTTTTCTGTATTGGTGCTACTTTCTTTTATCTAAGTAAAACATATTCTCAAAATAACATGCACTGGGAAGTATGATTCGATGCACAAATACTGCTTTACACATAGCTTTTGGGGACTATAATACCAGTTCTGTGATTGTCATAAAGATCTTTAAGATGTGGTAGGTGGAGTTATCAGTGTCAGAGTTACAGAAAATCAGGGACAGAAGAATTTGCTTTTTGAATTTAGAACCTTGTTAAGCCTTATCTATTTTGACTTCAAATATGATTTCAACCTTTAAGAAATTGCTTCCATTGTCCTTTCTGCCTAATGCACTTGGCTACTTTCTGAGGCTTATCATTCATCAAAATTTTAAGAAAATAATTTCCTTTTTTATTTGAATCAAGAAGCCTATGCAGAAAAAAATACTTTTCGTAAGTGTCTTGAGCTTAAGTTATTAACCTAGAACTTTAGATATTAGTAGTACATAAATTGGAAATAACAAATTAGCTACATTTAAATGGATTTATTCCAAGGCTTTATAAATTGATGAATAAAGTGGGCAAAAGTATATAGACTCATAAGATATGTTAACATAATAATAGTTCCAATATATTGGATCCCACTACAGATTGTTTTCTGCATTGAACCAGCTATTTATATACATAAATATCATTTAAAGTATTCCCTTGCCCCAAACTCTCCTTATCTAGTTAACAGTGCTATCCAATAGAACTTTCTGTGATGACAGAAAAATTTTACTTCTAGCTACATATGGCCATTGAGGTCTTAAAATGTGACTACTGCAACTGAGAAACTGAATTTTTAGTTTTATTTAATTTTAATCAATTTCAACTTAAATAGCCACATGTAGCTAATGGCTACTATATCTGATAGCACAGCTTTAATGCATTAGCTGGCTTTATTATCTTCAGAGTACTAGGCACAAACTATGATTATCTTTTTAGTTTCCTTGTTTCCTAATTATCTGTCTTCTCCTTGCTAGGCTGTAAACTCCCAGAAGGACCTGGTCTGTCTTTTTCACAGCTATATTATTATAATCTAGGACAGAGCTTGGTGTGTAATAGATACTCATGTTATTTATTTAAAATGCACATGTGTGTTATTATTATGTCTATGTTACAGATGATGAGGAACAAAGAGGGAACAACTTTTAAAAGATGACAGGGATTCAAACACAGGACTGTTTGACTCAAGCTCCAAATCCTTCCATTCTACTAGTTGGCCATAACTACACCCACGACTGCACTTCAGACTCCTGATAACCAAGCCCCAAGAATGGAAACTGTTTTAGTGGGATTAATACCCAAAGCTGACTAGAAGTTCCCTGATCCACTTTTGTTGCTAGCATTCTGGGCAGGAATCTTTCAAGCCATTGAGTTAAGGCATTCTCCCAGAAGTTTGAATGTACACATATTACTGTCAAGGAATAATAGTTTAACATATAATTTCCCAGATTGTTCATAGTACTTAAGAATTCTAGTGCTCTTTCAGGCATGGTGGCACACGCCTGTAGTCCCAGCTACTTGAGAGGCTGAGGTGGGAGGATCACTTGAGCCCAGGAGTTCAAGGTTACAGTAAGCTATGATCGTGCCATTGCACTCTAGCCTGAGAGACAGAGACTCTGTATCAATTTAATAAGAAGAAAAGGAGTTTTAGTGCTCCTTAAGATATAGTGAATTGCTCTTTTAGGAAGAGAGAAGTTCCAAAAATGTTTTTTCTAAAATGTATTTACAATGTATATGTTAAAAACAAATTACATACATTTTCTTGGCTGTTCTTGTTATTTTTAGATTATCTGCTTAAAACAAAGTGTGCCAAAAGTTTTAGGAAGCTACATGTAGAAACCCCTGAGGTTTGATTTATGCACTGATGCAGAGTGAGGACTTAGAAATACCTCTTTAGGTTAATGTAGGCAATCCAATTAAGATTCCTTGTCTATGTTGTCTGGAGTGGTAAACTTGCAACAAATTTGTGATATTATCACAATGTAATGAGTTAAACACTCATATTATACAAATGTATTCCTTATGAGGTGTAAGCCTCATAGTTTATGTAAATAAATCAAATCTTTAGAAAGTGAACAATTGTAGCCTTTGCTGTCTTAAAAGGTGAGAATTGTGCTTTTCAATATGAAATAAACCTTATCAATGGCAAAATGTAGAACCACCTAAATATTGAGAAACTTTTGTTTTATGTTATCTTTGCTATAATATACCTGTGCAAAATAAGGTTTCCATAGAATGTTGTACTGGAAACAAAATACAGGATAGGCATAAGACTAGATCCGACAAATGCTCTGACATGACAACAGCACTTCTAATACCAAGCAGTGTATATATATATATATATGACATAAAATAGTATTTTCATTTAAAAAATAACAAAAATATAAAAGTATTGATGCTTTGACTTGACATATATTGTCTTTGACATTTCCTGGTGGGGGTCTGGGATGCTAAGGGCACTGAGGAAGGTTTGGCCTGGCTCAAGTCCTAATCCTTCTCATGAGGGGGCAAGAACCAGATCCGGGGTTGGAGTCATTGGATGCTTAAGTGGAATATCTTGCACATGGTCATCAGGAGGGCTTTTCAGTTTGGAGGTTGAATGTCAGCCAAAGTTCTTAGAGTACATAAAGAGTCAAGCAAGAGAAACCAAATTTGATAACATCAAAGGTCAGAGCAGTCTCAAAAATTGGAGAGAGCTGAAAGTGGCAATTTATCGTAATGAGAGCAAGCCTAGAAACAAAGTAGATTGAAGCTCGTAGGTAAATGCATGAGCTGGGGGTGTTTTATTTTAATTGAAATAAAGATGTAGCAGTTGGCAGTATTGAGATTCGAACCAATCTGATAATTCAAACCCTTCCTCCTCTTCTCATTATAGGATTCAAATTCTTCTTCCATTTCTCACTATAGAAACCTTGTTGAGACGCACTTTCCTTTTGCTGGTAATAGTAGTCTCCATCTCATAGGCAGACTGTGAAGATTAAATGATTAAAATGGCATAAATCATTTAGCCCAGCATCTGTTACAGGTTGGTGCTCCATAAATATTGGCTGCTATTACTAAGGCAAGGAAGATTCTGGGCTGTCATCATGAACAGAACCAGATGAATCTAGGATAATGTAATAGTCACACATGTGCTTGGAATCAGACATAACTTGGAAAAGTTACTCAACTCTTCTTTTCTTTAGCAAAACAGAGATAATAATTACCTCACTGGTTAGCTGTGAAGGTGAAGTTAAATAATGTATATAAAATGCTTAGCACTTCACTGCCTGTTACAGGGCTAAAGCTCCATGAATGGAAGGCCCGTGGCCTGATTTCATTGGCTGTCAGCCATAAGGTGGACAGGCTTAAATGTAAAGAATTAGATCAACACTTTACAACTTGGCAAAAGCCAATGTGTGCTGATCCACGGCTTGGAAAACCTCATTTTCAAAGTTCTTCAGGCTGGTATGTCAGTGCTATACAAATGTACAAGAGACTTATGATTCCTAGAGCTACAGTAACATCTCATTATTGGAGTTGTTTTTCCTACTGCCCCACCTTAATGCAGTCTGAACATTTATTTGGGTTGCATGAAACACCATATTATCAAGGTCACAATTAAGTAAGGTTTTCAGATATGCCAATATTTTATTTCAAGTTCCACAAAAAGCTGATATTTTATAGAAAATGGCTGGAGGAAACATAGGGTCTCTCCCTTTTTGACAATTGCTATTTTTTTACTTTCATTTACTTTAAGAAGTTTATGACTTAAAAGAATAGAATTAGTAGAAAAGGAATCTAGCAAAAATGCGATGAGCAGTTTGCTGAATGTTGAGAATTCTCTCTGGTTAATTAAGGGGAAAAAGATGTTATGTTTAATGTTACACTTCAGAACTTTTGCATCTGTGCAAGACGCATAGAACCTCATCCTTGACTATGTAAGAATACTGGACATTGTAAAGGGCATGCCACTATTACACCATCCCTCGGCTGAGAAAACTCACTCGATTCTTCAGATATTCTCAAAGCATCCAGCTTGTATATATTTTGCTTTTGATTGTTTACATAAATCATTAGCGTGAATGTTACCAGTGTCATAATAGCCTTAAAAATAATTGATTTTTTGTTTATATGACATAGTATAATGGTTTAGATTTGATTTATTTTTAAAAACTCTAAAAAAGTCATTTTGAGTTTTTAAAATAACTTTTCCCTCCAAAAATTTATTTAATAATATAAATTAAAGCCCCTGTGGAGGCTTTGTAATGTGTCACATTTGTAATGCGATTAGGCTAGATTACATTTCCCAGAATTTGCTCTCCTTTATGTTTCTGCTTCTGGCTGTATCTGTAGATTCCAGAATGTTTTTGCTGTTCCCCATCTTTCAGCCATCTTTCATTCGCAACTGCCAGGTAATATTCTTGTAAAAATAAAATTCATATATGTGTTTGTGTATGTATATATATGTAGAAATTTTCTATATATACTTTATTCTTTCTCTAGTGGTCTACTTGTCTGACTAAATCTTGAGACAGTCCTCCTTCACCAATTCTAGCCTTTTCTCCAGAGAGACTTACAGCTACTAGTGTGGTGCAGCCATATAGATTTTTCTTTCTGTGCATACCCCTAAACATTGCCCAACACGTTTCTCACTGTGCTGAGTGCTTTCATGTGATTTAAAAAAGAGGATAAAGGCTAATATTGTTTATATTATCTTTTTGAAGTGTCATTTCATTGTTATCAATCTGTACTTATCTGTACTTATGTTTCTCAGTTTTGTGTGCTGAGCTGATATTTCCTCTTTTTGCTTGCAGTTAGTCTAATTAAGATGTTCTCTTAGTTAAAGTTTCTTCCCCATTTCTTAGGGATTGTTTATTCAGTTACCTTTGAAACCACTGAATAGATAGGTCATCTGGATTCAGAATGATCATTGAAAAGATGCATCTGCCTATTAATTAGCTTTCTGTTTTTGCTAAGTGGTTTATATATACTACTTCTGTTCACGTTTGGGTTTTATATTTTTCACTCCATTGTTTAGGTCAAGGGTGAGCATTCAAAATTTGAGATATGGAAAAATAGCCATTCATGTGTGTCTTACTTTCTTTGATTTATCTTGTTTCCAGCCTTTTCAGCCTCAGTGGAGGTCCATGGTTTGGGTATAAAATAAAATCATATTATTGAAAATCTGAATTATGTAAGACATAGGAGTAAGTACTGCGGGGAAATATAGGAAATTAATTTAAAAATCTCTGTTCTCTAGTTTATAATCTAGTTAGGAAAAATAAGGCATAAATATGCAACAATCTAATTCATAGCAAAAAACCTAAATTACAGCTACAAAAATTAATGAGATGTTACACAATGACATACGATGAATTGCCACATTACAGCAGAAGATTAAGAGATGTTGTTTTCAATTGGTGTTGGGAATATGGGTATAAGAATAGAGGGTGATATAGGAGAATAAGCCAAGAAACTTCTTCAAGCTCTTCATTGCCATCTTCTATCCCCCAACTGACTGAAAAGCACTGGTTAAAAGAAAAGCACATTAATTTTTTTTCAGCAAAACCAAATATCTCCTTTTCTAGTATGTCTCATCTTTGTTTCATATCTCTCAATAGCTTTCTCCTTTATCTTGAGTTTCTTTCCAACTGTCCAAACTCCAAAGACTTCAAGTTTCAAAACCACATTCACTTATATTCAGCAATAGAGCATCAATCTACTTGCTTTCTTCTAATGATAGGTTTTTCATAATTTATTTTATTTTATTTTATTTTTTATTTTTTGAGATGGAGTCTCACTCTGTCACCCAGGCTGGAGTGCAGTGGTGCCATCTCGGCTCACTGCAACATCTGCCTCCCCAGTTCAGGCGCCTCCCAGCTCAGGCGATTCTTGTGCCTCAGCCTCCTGAGTAGCTGGGACTACAGGCATGCACCACCACGCTTGGCTAATTTTTGTATTTTTTAGTAAAGACAGGCTTTCATCATATTGGCCAGGCTCGTCTTGAACTCCTGACCTCATGATCTGTCCACCTTGGCCACCCAAAGTGCTGGGATTACAGGCGTGAGCCACTGCTCCTGGCCTCATAACTATTTTTAATTTTACTATTCAAGCTTAAATGTGCCTACGCTCCCAAATTTGATTTAATTATCTCTGGGGTGTGGCTGTGGCATTAATATTTTTACAAGTTCCAGGTTGATTTTTACATGCAGCAAGGATGGAGAAGCATTACACTAAGCATGCTTTTAGAAAAGTTGGCCTGATTATAATTGACTGCTTACATACCTGTTACCCCATTCCCCCAATTAGATTGTAAGCTTGTCGAGAAAGAGATCATCTTTGTGATAAATAAATGTATTTTGGGTAAGGGAGCTACTTTGTTAGCCCAGATCTGCAATCTATTACCTACAATTCCAAAATTCCAAATCTATGAAGAGGAAAAATGTTTCTTACCTCATTTGGAAATAAAAACCGACCTCAACTAAGATAAGGCTATTTATAGTCTTAATCGATTCCATTTAGTATGGATGTTTGTTTCACTGCAGAAGGTTAATGTTTGATTATGGGGTGCTGCCCTAGACTCTTCTAAGGGTATTACATATTTTCACACACACACACACACACACACACACACACACACAATCAAAAAAAAAATCTGAATTCTGAAACACATCTGATCCCAGAACTTCAGAGGAGATACTGTAGAGCAGTATTTATTAATGGGGGTTTAAGAGAGCTGAGGTCTTAGGGGATAAGGTAGCATTTAGAATTTACGTCAGCGGTTCTCAAACCTGATTGAATCACCTGCCAAGCTCTTAAAATCCAGCAGTGCCCTTGTATCACCTTTAAGATTCTTAGTCAATGGATCTGGGTTTGGGACTGGGTGCTAATTTATTTTTTTCAACTCTTCAGGTTATCCTCTTGTGCAGGCAGAGTTGAGAAGCAATGATGTGGACTAATGATTCTAAGTTGGGAGCTTTCCTGACCGTTCCCCGAGTCTGGGGAAATTTTTCTAATGACATATGATCCTTTGGAGACATGCCTCCATCACTCACACTACTAATGTGAGCCAGCATCATCTGAGATGAGTATTGAAGCCCTTGAGGGAAGAGATAAAGGCTAGAAAATATGGAGACATAAGGAGAGGAGAAAGTAGCCTGGATTTATTTTTATTTTTTAATTTTACTTTAAGTTCTGGGATACATGTGCTGAACATGCAGGTTTGGTACGTAGGTATACATGAGCCATGGGGTTTGCTGCACCTATCAACTCATCATTTAGGTTTTAAGTCCCACATGCATTAGGTATTTGTCCTAATGCTCTCCCTCCCCTAGCAACCCACCCCACAACAGGCCTGGGTGTGTGATGTTCCCCTCCCTGTGTCCATGTGTTCTCATTGTTCAACTCCCACTTATGGGTGAGAACATGTGGTGTTTGATTTTCTGTTCCTGTGTTAGCTTGCTGAGGATGATGGTTTCCAGCTTCATCCATGTCCCTGCAAAGGACATGAACTCATCTTTTTTTATGACTGCATATTATTCCATGGTGCATATATGCCACATTTTCTTTATCCAGTCTATCATTGATGGGCATTTGGGTTGGTTCCAAGTTTTGATATTGTAAATAGTGCTCCAATAAACATACATATGCATGTGTCTTTATAAGAGAATGATTTATAATTCTTTGGGTGTATACCCAGTAATGGGATTGCTGGGTCAAATGATATTTCTGGTTATAGATCCTTGAGGAATTGCCACACTGTCTTCCACAATGGTTGAACTAATTTATGCTCCCACTAACAGTGTACAAGCATTCCTATTTCTCTGCATTTTTGCTAGCATCTGTTGTTTCCTGACTTTTTGATAATCGCCATTCTAACTGGTGTAAGATAGTATCTCATTGTGGTTTTGATTTGCATTTCTCTAATGACCAGTGATGATCAGGTTTTTTTTTCATATGTTTCTTGGCCACATAAATGTCTTGAGAAGTGTCTGTTATATCCTTTGCCTACTTTTTGATGGGGCTGTTTTTTTTTTCTTGTAAATTTGTTTAAGTTCCTTGTAGATTCTGGATATTAGACCTTTGTCAGATGGATAGATTGCAAAAATTTTCTCCCATTCTGTAGGTTGCCTGTTTACTCTGATGATAGTTTCTTTTGCTGAGCAGAAGCTCTTTAGTTTAATTAGATGCCATTTGTCAATATTGGCTTTTGTTGCCATTGCTTTTGGTGTTTTAGTCATGAATTCTTTGTCCATGTCTATGTCCTGAATGGTATTGCCTAGGTTTTCTTCTAGGGTTTCTATGGCTTTAGGTTTTACATTTAAGTCTTTAATTTATCTTGAGTTAATTTTTGTATAAAGTGCAAGGAAGGGGTCCAGTTTCAGTTTTCTGTGTATGGCTAGCCAGTGTTCTCAGCACCATTTATTAAATAGGGAATATTTCCCCATTGCTTGTTTCTGTCAGGTTTGTCAAAGATCAGATGGTTGTAGATGTGTGGTGTTATTTCTGAGGTCTCTGTTCTGTTCCATTGGTCTATATATCTATTTTGGTACAAGTATCATGCTGTTTTGCTTACTGTAGCCTTGTAATAATAGTTTGAAGTCAGGCAGTGTGATGCCTCCAGCTTTATTCTTTTTGCTTAGGATTATCTTTTATCACAATATACGGCCTTTTTTAAATGAAACTTAAAGTAGTTCTGTGAAGAAAGTCAATGGTGGATGAGAATAGCATTGAATCTATAAATTACTTTGGGCACTATGGCCATTTTCATGATATTGATTCTTCCTATCCATGAGCATGGAATGTTTTTCAATTTGTTTGTGTCCTCTCTTATTTCCTCGAGCAGTGGTTTGTAGTTCTCCTTGAAGAGGTCCTTCATATCCCTTGTAAGTTGTATTCCTAGGTGTTTTATTTTCTTTGTAGCAATTGTGAATGGGAGTTCACTCATGATTTGGCTCTCTGTTTGTCAGTTATTGGTATATAGGAATGCTTGTGATTTTTACATATTGATTTCGTATCCTGAGACTTTGCTGAAGTTGTTTATAGCTTAAGGAGTTTTTGGGGTGAGATAATGGCATTTTCTAAATATACAGTCATGTCATTTGCAAACAGAGACATTTGACCTCCTCTCTTCCTATTTGAATGCCTTTATTTCTTTCTCTTGTCTGATTGTTCTGGCCAGAACTTCCAATACTATGTTGAATAGGAGTGGTGAGAGAGGGCATCCTTATCTTGTGCCGGTTTTCAAAGGGAATGCTTCCAGCTCTTGCCCATTCAGTATGATATTGGCTATGTGTTTGTCATAAATAGCTGTTTTTATTTTCCGATATGTTCCATCAATACCTAGTTTATTGAGAGTTTTTAGCATAAAGGGGTGTTGAATTTTGTCAAAGGCCTTTTCTGCATCTATTGAGGTAATCATGTGGTTTTTGTCATTGGTTCTGTTTATGTGATGTATTACGTTTATTGATTTGAATATGTTCAACCATCCTTGCATCCCAGGGATGAAGCTGACTTGATCGTGGTGGACAAGCTTTTTGATATGCTGCTGGATTCAGTTTGACAGTATTTTATTGAGGATTTTCACATCGATGTTCCTCAGGGATATTGGCCTGAAATTTTCTTTTTTTGTTGTGTTTCTGCCAGGTTTTGGAATCAGGATGATGCTGACCTCATAAAATGAGTTAGAGTGGAGTCCCTCCTTTTCTATTGTTTTGAATAATTTCAGATGGAATGGTACCAGCTCCTCTTCATACCTGTAATAGAATTCGGCTGTGAATCCGTCTTGTCCTGGTCTTTTTTTGGTTGGTAGGCTGTTAATTACTGCCTCAATTTTAGAACTTGTTATTGGTCTACTGAGGGATTTGACTCCTTCCTGGTTTAGTCTTGGCAGGGTGTATGTGTCCAGGAATTTATCCATTTCTTCTAGATTTTCTAGTTTATTTGCATAGTTTATAATATTCTCTGATGGTAGTTTGTATTTCTGTGGGATCAGTGGTGATATCCCCTTTATCATTTTTTTTATTGTGTCTATTTGATTCTTTTCTCTTTTCTTTATTAGTCTGGCTAGCAGTCAATGTATATGTTAATTTTTTCAAAAAACCAGCTCCTGGATTCATTGATTTTTTTTTAAATTATTTGTCGTGTCTCTATCTCATTCAGCTCTGCTGTGATCTTAGTTATTTCTTGTCTTCTGCTAGCTTTTCAATGTGTTTGCTCTTGCTTCTCTAGTTCTTTTAATTGTGATGTTAGGGTGTCGATTTTACATCTTTCCCACTTTCTGATATGGGCATTTAGTGCTATAAATTTCCCTCTAAACATTGCATTAGCTGTGTCCCAGAGATTCTGGTACATTATGCCTCTGTTCTCATTAGTTTCAAATAACTTTGCTATTTCTGCCTTAATTTCCTTATTTACCCAGTAGTCATTCAGGAGCAGATTGTCCAGTTTCCATGCAGTTGTGCTCTTTCGAGTGAGTTTCTTAATCCTTAGTTCTAATTTGATTGTACTGTGATCTGAGAGGCTGTTTGTTATAATTTCCGTTCTTTTGCATTTGCTGAGGAGTGTTTTACTTCCAATTATGTGGTTGATTTTAGAATAAGTGCTATGTGGTGCTAAGCAGAATGTATATTCTGTTGATTTGGGGTGGAGAGTTCTGTAGATATCTGCTAGGTTCGCTTGGTTCAGAGCTTAGTTCGAGTCCTGAATATCCTTTTTAACTTTCTGTCTCATTGATCTGTCTAACACTGACAGTGGGATGTTGAAGTCTGCCACTATTTTTGTGTGGGAGACTAAGTCTTTTCGTAGGTCTCTAAGAACTTGTTTTATGAATCTGGATCATCCTGTATTGATGCATATATATTTAGGATAGTTAGCTCTTCTTGTTGCATTGATCCCTTTACCATTATGTAACACTCTTTTTGTCTTTTTTGATCTTTGTTGGTTTAAAGTCTGTTTTATCTAAAACCAGGGTTGCAACTCCTGCTTTTTTTTTTTTTCGCTTTCCATTTGCTTGGTAAATATTCCTTCATCCCTTTATTTTGAGCCTATGTGTGTCTTTGCACGTGAGATGGGTCTCCTGAATACAGCACACCGATTAGTTTTGACTCTTTATACAATTTGCCAGTCTGTGTCCTTTAATTAGGGCATTTAGCCCATTTATATTTAAGGTTAATACTGTTATTTGTGATTCTGATACTGCCATCATGATACTAGCTATTTATTTTGCACATTCATTCATGTGGTTTCTTCATAGTATCGTTGGTCTTTACATTTTAGTGTGTTTTTCCAGTGGCTGTTACTGGTTTTTCCTTTCCATATTTAGTGCTTTCTTCAGGCACTCTTGTAAGGCAGGCCTGGTGGTGACAAAATCCCTCAACATTTGCTTGTCTGTGAAGGATTTTATTTCTCCTTCACTTATGAAACTTAGTTTGGCTGGATATGAAATTCTGGGTTGAAAATTCTTTTATTTAAGAATGTTGAATATTGACCCCCACTCTCTTTTGGCTTGTAGGACTTCTGCAGAGAGATTCGCTGTTAGTCTGATGGGCTTCCCTTTGTAGATAACCTGACCTTTCTCTCTGGCTGCCCTTAACATTTTTTTCCTTCGTTTCAACCTTGGAGAATCTGAAGATTATGTGTCTTGGGGTTACTCTTCTCGAGGAGTATCTCAGTGGTGTTCTCTGTATTTCCTGAATTTGAATGTTGGCCTGTCTTGCTAGGTTGGAGAAGTTCTCCTGGATAATATCCTGAGGTGTGTTTTCCGACTTGATTCCATTCTCTCTGTCACTTTTAGGGACCCCAATCAATCATAGGTTTGGTCTTTTCACATAGTCCCATCTTTCTTGGAGGCTTTGTTCATTCCTTTTCATCCTTTTTTCCCTAATCTTGTCTTAATCATTTCATTAAGTTGATTTTCAATCTGTGATATCCTTTTTTTGATGATCGATTCAGCTATTGATACCTGTGTATGCTTCACAAAGTTCTCGTGCTTTGTTTTTCAACTCCATCAGGTCATTTATATTGTTCTCTAAACTGGTTATTCTAGTTAGCACTTCCTGTAACCTTTTGTCATGGTTCTTAGCTTCCTTGCATTGGGTTAGAACATGCTCCTTTAGCTCAGAGGAGTTTGTTATTACCCACCTTCTGAGGCCTACTTCTGTTAGTTCATCACACTGATTCTCTGTCCAGTTTTGTGCCCTTGCTGGAGAGGAGTTGCAATCATTTGGAGGAGAAGAGGCATTCTGGTTTTTGGAATTTTTAGCCATTTTTGGGCTGTTTTTTTTCCCCCCATCTTCTTGGATTTCTCTACCTTTGATCTTTGAGGCTGATGATCTTTGGATGAGGATTTTGTATGGGGTTCCTTTTTGTTGATGTTGATGTTATTCCTTTCTGTTTGTTAATTTTTCTTCTAACAGTCAGGCCCCTCTTCTGTAGGTCTGCTGAAGTTTGCTGGAGGTCCATTCCAGACCCTATCTGCTTTTTTGTCCAGTGGAACCTGCAGAACAGCAAATATTGCTGCCTGGTCCTTCCTCTGGAAGCTTCATCCCAGAGGGGTGCCGGCCTGATGCCAGCCAGAGCTCTTCTGTATGAGGTGTCTGTCAACTCCTGTTGGAGGTTCCTTCCAGTCAAGAGGCACAGGGGTCAGGGACCCACTTGAAGAGGCAATCTGCCCCTTAGCAGAGCTCGAACACAGTGCTGGGAGAACCCTCTTTGTCAGGATCCACTGCTCCCTTCAGAGCCAGCAGGCAGGAATATTTAAGTTCACTGAAGTTGTGCCCACAGCCACCCCTTCCACCAGGTGCTCTGTCCCAGGGGCTTTATCTATAAGCCCCTGACTGGGGCTGCTGCCTTTCTTTCAGAGATGCCCTGCCCAGTGAAGAGGAATCTAGAGAGGCAGTCTGGCCACATCCACTTTGCTGCGATGTGTCGAGTTCCACCCAGTCCTTAGCACTGTCAGAGGAAAGCTGCCTACTCAAGCCTCAGTAATGGCGGACGTCCCTTCCTCCACCAAGCTCTATTGTTCCAGATTGACTTCAGACTGTTCTGCTGGCAGTGAGAATTTCAAGCCAGTGGTTCTTAGCTTTCTGGGCTCCCTTGCTTCAGCCGCCTTTCCAGGGGAATGAATGGTTCTGCCTCTCTGTAGTTCCAAGCATCTCTAGGGTACAAATAATAATTTAAAAAACCCTTCTGCAGCTAGCTTGATGTCTGCCCAAACAGCTGCCCAGTTTTGTGCTTGAAACCCAGGGCCCAGGTGGTGTAGAGACACAAGGGAATCTCCTGGTCTGCGGATTGCAAAAACCGTGGGAAAAGCACAGTATCTGGGTTGGATAGCACAGTCGCTCGTGGCTTCCCTTGGCTGGGAAAGGGAGGCCCCTTGCTCCTTGCACTTCCCAGGTGAGTTGATGCCGTGCCCTGCTTCTGCTTGCCCTCTGTGGGCTGCACCCATTGCCTAACTAGTCCCACTGAGATGAACAGGGTACCTCAGTTGGAAATGCAGAAATCACCCGCCTTCTGCACTGGTCTCACTGGTTGCTGTGGACCGGAGCTGTTCCTATTCGGCCATCTTGCCAGATTCCCCCAAGTAGTCTGGATTGACTGAAGGGCAGGCTGAAGACGCAGTTAGGCATCTGATGTTAGAAACGTGAATGCTTATTTTATTATTATTAGAATAATTTTGTTTATGTAGACACTTTAAACTGAACTTTTCTCTATTTATTGTGCAAAATAAACTTTTTATTCATCCTTGTCTTTTCTGCAAGTAAACAAGGTCAAATTTTCAAAATTCATTTCGCAATATTTTCTGTTTCCATGGTGGTCTCAGTGTAAGTATCTCTGGTGCTACGTGTGGGATTTGATGAAATGCCTTGAAAATCCAAAGCAGATGAGAGCAAATCACCTACTGAAGAGGGTGGTAGAGATGTCTATTGTGAAGTAAATCTGCTGCAAGCCAAGGAACACAAGAAGTTATCACACATAAGGTTTTACATGTCATGCTGGCTGCTTTCCGTCTTTGAGCATTTGTGCTTCATGGGTGGAACGTCATTCCTGTGAGTTATATTAGACATCCACCCTGTTTTAATTTATAGTGTAATGTCAAAGCCATAAATTACAAGCCTTAAAAACCAGCCTCAATAATGACAAATAAATTGAGTCATGCTATGTGCATTATTAATATGCTCAGGCTGTATATGTCTCCTGAAAGTATGTAAAAGAAAATCTAAGATGAATTTTTTCTTTTGGAATCTTAAAACAATAAATCAATGTATGTAAAATGAAACAAAAGTGCTCGGCACAGAGTAAGTGTTCAAAAATGTTATTCGTCATTGTTGATGGTATTGTCATTGCAGTGTGTGAAGGTGTAGGGAGGTTGGTGGCCTGAGCTGCAGCACTAGATGCTTGCAGACTTGATAAAGTGCACTTCACAAATGGGACATCTCCCTTCCCACAACTGTCATGTTTTTTGGCTCTTTTGCCATGTCATTTGCATTAATCTTTGAGTTGAGACCAATTATGTGATCAAGCTTAGCCTAGGCAGGGACACTTGAGTATTTAAGGTTGAGTACACTGGTTTGGGTTATTTGAGATGAATGAACCTGTAAGTGGCATCTTGGTATACAGTAAAATGTCTTGGAACCCGGGGTTAGAACCTGAGTTCTTGTATGGGTTCTGCTTTAGATGAGCCCAAGGACCACAGGCAGGTTGCTTCACATCCCTGGGTCTTAATTTTCTTATGGGTGAAATGAAAAAATCAAACTAAGATGGCTGGTGGAGGCTGGGCATGGTGGCTCACACCTGTAATCCGAGCACTTGGGGAGGCCGAGATGGGTGGATCAGTTGAGGTCAGGAGTTTGAGACCAGCCTGGCCAACATGGTGAAACCCCATCGCTACTAAAAATACAAAAATTAGCCAGATGTGGTGGCAGGTGCCTGTAATCTCAGCTACTCAGGAGGCTGAGGCAGGAGAATCGCTTGAACCTAGGAGGCAGAGGTTGCAATGAGCAGAGATCATGACACTGCACTCCAGCATGGGTGTCAGAAAGAGACTCTATCTCCAAAAAAAAAAAAAAAAAAAAAGGAAACGAAAAGAAAAGATGGCTGGTAGAGTCTTAATCATCTCTAGTGTTATTTGGATATAAATTTAAAGAAAACCAAGATTATGCCTCAATGGGAGACTTTGAAGGTTTGCTGCCTGATGGCCTACACCAGGGGTTGGCAAGCCATGGCCTTGTAGAGGAAACCAGCCTGGCACCTGCTTTTGTATGATCTGTAAGCTAAGGATTTTTTTCTCTTTATAGTTTTAAATAACTATATTAAAGATAGTTATATAAATACCTCCATACTACCTCCAATTTTGATTCTTTTAGGCTGCAAATCCTAATCTATTTACATCTGACTTTCCATGGAAAAATGTGTTTACTCCCATACTATTCACATCCTACATAGAGAGTTCAAAATAAAAATCTCATGGTGACCTTTAGTTACCAAAGAGAGGTTCTTTTCTACCTTTCTCTCCAAGATGGATGGATGACTGTCATATTGTCCCATCAGTTAAATTAATTGTTCCTTTTATTTTCTTCCCAATGCTTTAAACATTCTTAAGTTGTTATTTTATTAGAATAATGACAGTTACAAACTTACAAATAGTTATCAAAAGTTTTAAGTAATCACGTTTCTGTTTGACTCTTTAGACTGGCAATAGGTGCAACCCTTTCTATTCCTTTTTGACCATCTGAGGAGAACATTTTTTTTTCTTTATAAAGATTTATGTGGCACAGCTATTTATCAGGGGGAAAAGCCAACATAGCCAGTTCTTCCCTGAGATTTTTTGTGCTGGAGCTGGGCAACCTGCCCCTTTCTCTTCTGAGCATGTAGATGAAGGGCATGAGTGCTGATGCTGTCAGTGGTGTATTAGACTGTTCTCATGCTGCTAGTAAAGACACACTCAAGACGGGGTAATTTATGAGGGAGAGAGGTTTAATTGACTCACAGTTCTACATGTCTGGGGAGGCCTCACAGTGACCATCATGGTGGAAGGTGAATGAGGTGCAAAGTCACATCTTACACGGCAGCAGGCAAGAGAACTTGTGCAGGGGAGCCCCTATTTATAAAACCATCAGCTCTCATGAGACTTATTCACTAACACAAGAACAGTATGGGGGAAACCATTCCCATGACTCAATTATCTCTACCTGGCCCTACACTTGACACATGGGGATTATTACAATTCAAAGTGAGATTTGGGTGGGGACACAGCCAAACCATATTAGCGGCCCTGTCTCCAGCCTTATGGAGAGGCTGTCTATGGGGAGAGAGAACGAAGCTGACATAGAGATAAGCCAGGATGAATAGGCAACAAATTAGGAGAAACAATTTGGCAGTATTGAGCCCCTGCTTTATGAAACAGCCCTTTTTGCTTATGTGAGTTCCAAATTTCCCTTTGGTCTTGGTTAGCTTGTGTTGAATTTTTCTCACTTGCTACCAAAGTTGTTCCTGACTAAGAAGACCATTCATTTTTCTCAGAATAAGAACTTCAGAACCTGGAATGTGATCTTATTTAGAAATAGAGTATTTGCAGATATAATTAGTTGAGGATTTCAAGAAGAAATCATCCTAGACTTAGGGTGGGCCTACTCATCCAGCAACTGATGTCCTTATAAGAAAAGAAGAGGACAGAGAGACACACACAGAGAAGAGGGCCTTGTGAAGACAGAGGCAGAGATAGGTGTCATGCTTCCATAAGCCAAAGAACACCAGGAGCCACCAGAAGCTGGAAGAAGCAAGGAAGGATTCTCCTTTAGAGCATTCGGAAAGCAAGTGGCCTGGTTAAGACCTTGATTTTATACTTATGGCTTATGAACTGTGAACAGGATACATTTTTGTTGTTTTAAGCTACCTAGTGCATGGTAATTTTATGATCTGAGTCCTCGGATGTCCATACATCTGGTCAAAGCCAACAAAAGCATGTCTTACTTTTCTGAGCACCTGCTGTGAGTCACAGCACTTCTGTTGTTTTAAGCTACCCAGTGCGTAGTAATTTTATGATGTCAGTCCTTGGATGTCCATACACTCTTCTAGTATCTGGTCAAAGGGAACAAAAGCATGTCTTACTTTTCTGAGCACCTGCTGTGAGTCACAGCACTTCACTTGTATACATCTGTCATCCCAGCACACTGTAATGGTGAACTTATATCTCTGGCTTTTCTACTACAGCCTGTCCTTTCACAAGTGAAGACCTTAGGTTATCCTTTGTGTCTTCTCCTTCTCCTAGCACAGGGCCTGCTCCATCATTGGAGCCCAGTAAATATTTGTTTCATGGATGCATGCGTGAATGAACGAATCATGTCTAACATTTTGCTAAGCATTCAGAAAGATTAATCAGAATATGGAATTTCTCCAGGAGTTTAAAACCAGGATGGAAAGGAAAGACAATCCAGAAGCAGATAACCTGCAGCAGTCCCAATGAAAACCAGTCTAAGCGTGACTAAAGGAGAAGCCAAGGATACATTGACTTCATAAAGCTCTGTACACACTCCCCCAACCCCTGGCTTGTATAGAACTGCTCTAGAATCAGATTGGCTGGCTCCATTAGCCCAGCTCTGCTACTTTTGAACTGATGTCTCTCCAAGACATTCATACTTAAAACCTAAAAGATGTACTTTTTTTCTCTTATGTAAGAATTCCACGTAATGTCTTCCTCACTTGTCTCTTCTCATTAGTGTCTGATATTAACATTGTAATTCAAATTAGAGTTGCCGGCAGATCACACAGAACTCAGTGTATGTAATCCTTAAGGTAGATATAAATCGCAGTTACAATTTGTGTGTGTGTGAATATAAGTGTAAAAATCTACATATACATGTAAACAATGCAATTTCTTATATAGCATGTTCTTTGACATCTTCAGCATTTAATATAGGATTTGAGTTTTATTTTGTCCAACCCAAAGACTTTTAATTTAAAATTCATGGGTTATTTTATAAGGTTACAGTACATGGGAACCATGTCTTATATTTCTCTTGTCTCCCACAGAGCATGTAGTAGTGTTGGAAAAATACCAGGAAGTTACTCGGGCCCAAACTATAGGGACTTCGGGACCTCATGATGCCTCCTGACCTGCAATTCCACCTCCAAAACCTTGCCAGTCCTGCCATCTCAATCTTCAAATATGTATCTAATAGAATCACTTCTTCTCTTCTCCACTGCTGCATTCTGGGTCTAATCATCATCATCTCTTGCCTAGACAATTTGCAACACCTCCTAATGGTAGCTCTTCCCTTTCTTGTTCCTTCTGACTCTATTCTTCACACAGCATCCAGAAGTTCTTTTTAAAGCATAAGCCTTATACTCTCCTCTATCACACTTAGAGAACATTTCAAACTTGAACCCCTTCTAGTGGCATCCAAAGTCCATTGTTATTTTTTTTTTTTTGCCAACTTTGTCTCCATGCATTCTTCGTGCTATGTTCTCTGCTCTAGCCATGCTGGCCTTTTCTCATTCCACAGATATTTGAGCTCATTTCTGTTGTACCTGTCATGTTTCTGCTATAGTAATTCTATGCAACACCACCTCACTATCCCAATTCTCAGTGGCTTAAAAGAAAAACGTTTTTCTTGCTCATGGCTTTGTGTGTTGGTTGGGGTATCTCTGATTTATTTCAGAGTCAGATGGGTCCATGTGTTTCTGGGAGCAGCAACCTCTCAGGGCATGCCCTTCTTATGGCAGGTGGCAGGAGCACTGGAGGCAAGGCTAAACCACACAAGAATATTCAAGTCTTCTAGACATATGTGATTTTATTATATTCACTCCCATACCACTGGGCTCAAAGCAAAACACACACCCAAGCCTAAAGTTGGTGTGATGTAACTCTGCCCAGAGTGAGCCATGAACAGGAGCAGAGGGGAGAGTTGTGAATAAGTAATACTCTCTACCCCATTGGCCTCAGGGACTTTGCTGCTGCTATTTACTCTTCCTGGTCCTCTTTCTCCCAGATTTCTCTCTCTCTCTTTTGTTTTATCTAGATTCTTGTTCAAATATTATCTTATCAGAAAGCCTTCCTTGACCTCTCTCTGAGATAGATTCCCAGAAACCCAGTAATTCTCTAGTATATATCCTGCTTTATTTTCCTTCCTGATGCTTATCTCCCCTTGAAAGGGTATGGTGTATTTAGGTATCACTCTTGTCTTTGGTGTGACTTTGAGGGGGCAGAAGCCTGTCTGTGTCCACCTCTGTATTTTCAGCATGTGGGACATTGCAGGACCCAAGTCAATGCTTTTAATAAATATTGGTTGGATTAAGCAAATGAAGCAATACTATGATTGCTTTTCTTGGAAAGATTAATTGAATTGATGAAATTGCAATCAGAACTTGTCATGCCAGGAAGAGTACATAAATTTTTTATGTTTAAAGCTCTGTGTGTGTATACATGCACATGTGCTCAAGTACGTATGTTTTCTACTTTTATTGGAAGGTCACTTTCATGCATTCTAAATTCACATCTAGACTTAGATGCTTTTTGCTTTAGATATGCTTAATTAGTAAGACATCTTAAACTTTGCAAGATCTAAAGATATATTAGAATTCTTTTCATCAAATTCAGCCTTTTCTTCTGATTTTCCCTATTTTTCTCAAGTGGGACATATTCTTCTTAGAACTCTAGAGTTACATTTGACATTTAATTTTCTCTTGTCTTCCTCACTTAATTAATGCTTGGCCATGTAGACTCATCACCCACAACATCTCTCATACACCGTTTCCTTTCTTTTCTATTTCTGTTTCTATCGCTTGCGTTTCAGACTACTGTCTCCCTTACAAGGAAATCTTAAATGGATTTGCTTATCCTTATCTGTTGTACACACTGTGTGCCAGGAGGCTTGTCCTAAAGTGAAGTTCTGATTATATGACTCTCATATTTAAAACATTCAGTTTCTTCCAGTTGCAGGCTATACTAAGAAAAAAATCTATGTAGAAAGTGTAAGTTTGTTGTTGCCTTAAAATATGAGTCATTTTTATTTCCCAAATACAACTATAGACAACTATTTCCTTTTGATTAAAAAACAAAAATCAGTGATCAACTCGCTGTAAAAGGCAAATAATTATTTGTCGTTTATCCAAAACTCAAATGTTATTGGCTGTATTTTCATTTGTGAAATCTGGCAACTCTACCTTGAAGGCAAAAGCAGGAAGTGCTTCAAAATTCTTTCAAAAACAAAATAAAAAATAAAAAAATACACAAATGTATTATAAAACTCCAATCCCAAAGAATCCAAGATTATTTGATTTCTGAATTATTTGTAATGGGTTTAATATTTATATTGAAATATATATGTAGCAAACTTTTATTCATGTACACCTGAGTAACACACAGGAAGAAATGTCGGGGATAGCATTGTCAGCATGGTTTTTTTGGCACTACACAACCAATTCAGATTTAGTAATGTCTCCAATTCCAAGTTGTCCATAGGATGAAAGTAAAGATGTCCTTATGCCACCATACAGTGTCTTTTGTATTAAACCATTCCAGAACTTTATAAATGGAGCATTCACATAAATTGTCCCCATTTTACAGATGCCAGAAAGTCAGAAGGGGAGCCCAGAAGTCTGGCTTAATCTATCTTTCAGAGGCTTCCGAACACATCACTTCATGGATTGTGCAAAGAGTACCTTTTCAAAGCGTACAGTGAGTGTGCAGTCTGAAGTGAATCAGCAATCACAACAGTAAATCTTATATTTGTATGTTGCCAATAAACATTATCTCATTTGATCCTCATAAAATGCTTGTGAGGTAGTAATTCCCTCCTTTTTACAGAGGAGGGAATTGAATTCAAAATGAGAGTAATACAATTAAAAGGTCACTTGAATAAAGGCCTGTATTATTTTGTTAGGGAATGCAATTAAGTGATGAATACTAATTTCCTTGAAACTGATGTAACCTTTCCCCCTATGTAATACTAGTGACACAACTTGAGTGCCTTGGTGGAAGATGTCCAACTTTTGAATTTGTCAATGAAGAGTAACTGAGAAAATTGTATTGTCATAGTGTTTAACACTATGGTTATTTAAATGCAACTAATATTTTTCAGGTGCTTTAATACTATCGCCTACTTTTTGAACACTTCTGTGTGCTGGACACTGCTATGTACTTTGTGATTACAGGTTTTCTTGGGAGACATTGAGAGTTAGGTTCCTGACAATCACAATAAAGCAAATATGGTAATAAAGCAAGTCACACAAATTTTTTGGTTTCCCAATGCAAATTAAATTTATATTTACACTATAGTGTAGTCTATTAAGTGTGCAATAGCATTGTGCCTAAGAAAACAATGTACATACCTTAATTTAAATATACTTTATTGCTAAAAAATGCTAATGATTGTATGAGCCTTCAGCAAATTGTAATGTTTTTGCTGGTAGAGTGTTTTAGCCCAATGTTCATGGCTGCTGACTGATCAGGGTGGTAGTTGTTGAAGGCTGGGCTGGCTGTGGCAATTTCTTAAAATAGCACAACACTAAAGTTTACTGCATCAATTGATGCAATAAATTGATGCAAAAAATTGATGAATCAATTTTTTAAATGAGAGATTTTTTTTCTTAGCATGAGATGCTGTTTCCAAGCATTTTATCTATACTAGACCTTCTTTCAAAACTGGAGTCAGTCTTTTCAAACTCTGCCACTGCTTTATCAACTAAGCTTAGGTAATATTCTAAGTCATTTGGTGTTATTTCAACAATGTTCACAGTGTCTTTACTAGGAGCAAATTTCATATCAAGAAATCTCTTTCTTTGTTCATCCATAAGAAGCAATTCCTCATCCACTCGAGCATGATCATGGCATTGCAGCAATTCACTCCCATCTTTAGGCTTCACTTCTAATTCTAGTTCTCTTGCTATTTCCACCACATCTATAATTACTTCCTCCACTGAAGTCTTGAACCCCTCCAAGTCATCCATGAGGGCCGAAATCAACTTCTTACAAACTTCTGTTAATATTGATATTTTGACTTCTTTTGAGGAATCACAGATGTTCTGAATGGGTCCTGAGTGGTGAATCCTTTCCAGAAGGTTTCCAATTTACTTCACCAATATCCATCAGAGGAATCACTATCTGTGGCAGCTGTAGCCTTACAAAATGTGTTTCTTAAATAACAAGGCTTGAAAGTCAAAATTACTCCTGGATGCATGGGGTGCAGAATGAATGCCATGTTTGCAGGCAAAAAACAACATGAATCTTCTTGTATATCTCCATCAGAGCTTTTGGGTGACCAGGTGCATTGCCAATGAGCAGTAATGTTTTTAAATGACTCTTTTTCTGAGTAGTAGGTCTCAACAGTAGGCTTAAAATATTCAGTAAACTATGTTGTAAACAGAGTAGCTGTCATCCAGCCTTTGTTGTTCCATTTATCAAGCACAGACACAGTAGATTTAGCATAATTCTTAAGGGTCCTAGGATTTTCAGAATGTTAAATGAGCATTGGCTTTAACTTTAAAGTCACTAATTGCATTAACCTCTAAGAGAGTCAGCTTGTACTTTGAAGCTTCAGAGCCAGACATTGACTTGTCCTCTTTAACTGTAAAGTCCTAGATGATATCTTCTTCCAATAGAAGGTTGTTTTGTCTACACTGAAAATCTGTTGTTTGGCATGGTACAGGTACAAAAACAGACACATAGACCAAAGGAACAGAATAGAGAGCCCAGAAGTAAAGCTGCACACCTATAACCATCTGATCTTTGACAAAGCTGACAAAAACAAACAATAGAGAAAGAACTCCCTATTCAATAAATGATGCTGGGATAAATGGCTAGCCATATGCAAAAGATTAAAACTGGACCCCTTCCTTACACCATATACAAAAATCAACTCAAGGTAGATTAAAGACTTAAGTGTAAAACCCAAAACTATAAAAACCCTGGAGGCTGAGGCGGGTGGATCACGAGGTCAGGAGATCGAGACCATCCTGGCTAACACGGTGAAACCCCATCTCTACTAAAAATACAAAAAATTAGCCAGGCATGGTGGCAGGTTCCTATAGTCCCAGCTACTCGGGAGGCTGAGGCAGGAGAATGGCATGAACCTGGGAGGCGGAGCTTGCAGTGAGCCGAGATTGCGCCACTGCACTCCAGCATGGATGACAGATCGAGACTCCATCTCAAAACAAAAACAAAACAAAACAAAACGAAACAAAAACCGTGGACAACAACCTAGGCAATACCATTCTGGACATAGGAGCTGGCAAAGATTTCATGTCAAAGACGCCAAAAGCAATTCCAACAAGAAAAAGAATTGGCAAATGAGATCTAATTAAACTTGAGCTTCTGCACAGCAAAATAAACTACGAACAGAGTAAACAGACAACCTACGGAATGGAAGAAGATATTTGCAAACTATGCATCTGGCAAAGGTAGTATAGGCAATACCATTCAGGACATAGGCATGGGCAAAGATTTCTTGATGAAAACACCGAAAGCAACTGGAACAAAAGCAAACATTGACAAATGGGATCTAATTAAACTAAAGAGCTTCTGCACAGCAAAAGAAACTATCATCAGAGTGAGCAGACAATCTACAGAATGGGAGAAAATTTTTGCAATCTATCCATCTAACAAAGGTCTAATATCCAGAGTCTACAAGGAACTTAAACAAATGTACAAGAAAAACCCAAACAACTCCATTAAAAAGTGGACAAAGGAGATGAACAGATACTTTTCAAAAGACATACATATGTCAAAAAAGTATATGAAAAAAAGCTCAGTATCACTGACCATTAGAGAAATGCAAATCAAAACCATAATGAGATAACATCTCACACCAGTCAGAATGGATATTATTAAAAAGTCAAAAAATAACAGATGCTGGCAAGATTGTGGAGAAATGGAATGCTTATACACTGTTGGTGGGAGTGTAAATTAGTTCAAAATTGAGGAAAGCAGTGTGGCAATCCCTCAAAGAGCTAAAAACACAACTACCATTTGACCCAGCAATCCCATTACTGGGTGTATACCCCAAGGAATATAAATCATTCTACCATATACATGCACACATATGTTCACTGAAGCGCTATTCACAATTGCAAAGACATGTAATCACCCTAAATGTCCATCAGTGCCAGATTGGATAAAGAAGATGTGGTACATATACAACATGGAATACTATGCAGCCGTAAAAAAGAACAAGATCGCGTCCTTTAAGGGAACATGGATGGAACTGGGGGCCATTATCCTTAGCAAACTAACACAGGAACAGAAAACCAAATACCATATGCTCTCACTTATAACTGGGAGCTAAATAATGAGAACACAGGGACACAAAGAGGGGAACAACAAACACTGGGGCCTACTTGAGGGTAGAGAGTGGAAGGAGGAAAAAAATCAGAAAAAATAACAACTGGGTACTAGGCTTAGTGCTTCAGTGACAAAATAATCTGTACAACAAGCCCCTATGACAGGAGTTTCCATATATAACAAACCTGCATATGTACCCTTGAACCTAAACAGAGAGTTAAAAAAAAAAAAAAGAAAAAAAGGAAAATTTGTTATATAGTATAGTCATCTTCATCTGCTATTTTAGCTAGATTTTCTGGATAACTTGCAGCAGCTTCTACATGAGCACTTTCTGCTTTACCTTGCACTATTGTGTCATGGAGATGGCTTCTTTGCTTAAACCTCATGAATGAATCTCTGCCAGCTTACCGCTTTTCTTCTCCATCTTCCTCCCCTGTCTCAGTCTTCACAGAATTGAGCAGAGTTATCCTTTCTGTGGATTAGGTTTTTGCCTAAGGAGATGTTGTGGTTGGTTTGATCTTCTATTCAGACCACTAAAACTTTCTCCTTATCAGCCATAAGGCATTTTTGCTTTCTTATCATTCATGTCTTCACTGAAGTAGCACTTTAATTTTCTAAAAAACTTTTCCTTTGCATTAATAACTTGCCTGTTTGTTGCAAGAGGCATAGTTTTCAGCTTACTTTGACTTTTGATGTGTCTTTCTCACTAAGCTTAATCATTTCTAGTCACTGATTTATAGCAAAACATGTGACTCCTCCTTTCACTTGAACACTTAAAAGACACTCTAAAGTTATTAATTGACCTAATTTCAGTGTTATTGTGTGTCAAACAATAGGGGCTTCTGAGAAGATGGAGAGAGAGCTGGTTGGTGGAGCAGTCAGAACATATACATTTAGTGACTAAGTTTGCTGTCTTATATAGGCATGATTCATGGCGCCCCAAAACAATTATAATTGTAACATCGAAGATTGCTGATTATATAGATCACCATAGCAGATATAGGAGACATAAAAAATTAGAAATATTGTAAGAATTACCAAAATGTGACACAGAGACACAAAGTGAGCACATGCTGTTGGAAAATTGTGCCAATGGACTTGCTAGACACAATGGTGTCACAAACTTTTAATTTGTTTAAGAAACCCACATTATTTGTGAAGCAGAATAAAGTGAAGTGCAAGAAAAAGATATATGCCTGTGTTATCAGAGTAAGTCTAAAAGACAGTTAATAATCTTTATCATTCTGTTAAATATATAATACTCTAGCCAGCATGGCTTGCTTCACCAGCTTTATATAAATAACTGGCCTAATCTCTTTCCTTTCCAGCTTAATCACTGTAGCACCCAGGTATAAAGAAGTTCCTTTTTGATTGTTCCAGAATTCTGAGGGCTTATCTGGTTTTAAGAAGGCCAGTTCAGCTCTCATAGGCCAAGCAGAAAGAGAAACTTCAGAGCCTTGTCAGTCCACAAGCACCATTGTTGTTTTGCTTTCAACCCTATGGTGTCTACGTTGTTGACTGTTGGTTCTGAGTGGTCCCATGTGTAGGCACTTGCTCTGCAGCCACACTCTTGCTGAAGTATGTGTATGTTCAGCCTGTGGTCTTTCCCCATGCTTATTTCACAGTTCATATTCACATGGTTGGCTAGCGTTCTTTTTGTTATGATGCCACATAAGGAAGTCTAGGTAGTTGCTTTGGAGATATTTTCAGTCTCAGGCATATGCTGTGCTGGAATCAGCTTCTCTCATAAAACCTTAGGGTCTTATGTTCATCATGGGCTCACCCTTTCCTTTTGAGGAGTTCTCACCTCTCGTTTGGGTTATGTTCTAGCAGTAGACTTTGGTTAGGGCCACCTTGTCCTATCTGACAACTTTTCCTAACTAGAAATCTCAAACAGTAGAAGTTGTTAATTCACTCATGCAACAAATATCAATTTTGCACTTATTATGTGCTAGGCACTATTCTTAGCAGATTACAAAAGAGATTCTGTCTTCATCAACTTATTTTGAACAAAAGTGGAAAATGAACTAATAAAAAATCGAACACATAGAATATTACGTTGTCATAAGTTCTATGGAGAAAAATAAAGCAAGTATTGGGGAGGAGATGGGGGAAGCAATAGTTGCTATTTTAAATAGGGTAGTCAATGCAAGACTCATTGAGAAAGGGCTATTCATTGAAATGCTTGAAGAGGTTGAGAGAGTCAGTAATGTAACTATTTAGGGGAAAACATTCCAGGAAGAGGGAACAGAGATTAAAAACAAATCTCTGAGGTGTGAATGTGCTTTATGTATTCTGAGAAGAGCAAGGAGGCCAGGTTGCTGGAGCAGGGTGAAGGGGAGGAGTAGCATGAGCTGTGAGTGAAGAGGCAGTGGAGAGGTAGTAGGGAGCCAAATTGTGGGACTGTGTAAGCGTGGTAAGGATTTGGCTTCTACTCAGAGTGAATTGGGAAGCTACTGAAGGGTGTTGAGCACAGAAAGATACAATCAGACCTAAGTTTCCACAGAATTACATGGCTTCTGGTGGAAAATAGACTGCAAGAGGATGTAGGAAAAAAAAAAAGAACAGACTTCTCATTAACCCCAGTGGACTGAATATATGCATTTATCTTGTGTGTCCCCTGAAATTCCACTAAAATAATAGTATGTAAATAAAACTATTATAAACCCATAAGGAGAGAAAGAGGTGGGGAGAGAGAAACTACTTCAGCAGTCAAGATGCATAGTTAGATTAGATAGACACACACATATATACATATACATAGTCTTATGACTAACAGGTATACATTCTGAAACATGTCATTAGGCAATTTCTTCATTGTGGAAACACCCTAGAATGTACTTACACAAACCTAGATGGCATAACCTACTACTCACCTAGTCTATATGATATAGCCTATTGTTCGTATGCTACAAACCTGTACAGCATGTTACTGTACTGAACACTGTAGGCAGTTGGTAATACAATAGTAAGTGTATTTCTAAATATATCTGAACACAAAAAGCATACAGGAATGGATGAAATAAAAATTTTTCATCTCCATTATAATCTTATGGGACCACTGTTGTATATATAGCCCATTGTTGACTGAAACATCATGAGTCCCATGGCTTTAATGCAAAGCACATACAAAGTACTACCAGCCACTCTTCTTAGTGAACAAACCAGAATTTCTGCTAGTTTCCACTGACTTATATTTTGAAGGAAGGTGGAAAATAATTTTTTAAAAAATAAATACAGATCAGATCCTGAAACTTAATACAGATTTTGCAAGTTAGCATCTTTCAGGGGAGGATAAAGACCAGGAAACCTACTCACTCCAGAGAGCCCTAGAAGGGCTTAGGAGTTGGAGTAGCTGTTATTTCAGAAGTTATGGCAAGGGATGGGATTGGAAGTAGGGGAATTGATTGAAACACTCTATATGGAGCAAGTGGATCCTTCGATTCCTTCCTTTACCCTGAAAGGAAAGCATGAGTTTGTTTTCTAGAGAAATTAAACCTGAGGACATTGGTCATGTCAGAAAGTAGGTGTGAAAACTGGAAATTAAATAAATGTCTACCCACTGAGTGGTGAGTTCCACAATCCTCTTTTCCCAATTCTGCTTTCAAAAAGGTGCAGCCAGATGTACTCCCCCAGCCAGAAGTGTGAAAGGTTAGTGTCTGAAAGAAACTTCCATGCCTAAGAAGACCTGCAGATACTGCTGACATTTGAGAACCCTTGACCAACAAGCTCGCCCATTGTCTGATTATCCTGGAGTTAGCTGAGTTAGTCATTAAGCCCTGCCTGAGCATAGAGAGCTTCTGCTTGGCTGTTATTGAGTGTCATTGCTGTATGGAAATGAATGAAGTAGACCAGTGCTGTCGTGAATGGATTTATGAAGAAGTTTATCCTTAGTCTGGATGAGGGTGGATAGATGGCATCTTATTGGCATCTCCATAGTCAATAAGAGGGTGTTTCAGGGAGAGGAAGCCATAGGAATGAAAGGGTGTGCAGTTAGGACTATGAGGAGACCAGAGAGCCTAGAGCTGTAAGGTGCATTCCATAGAAAAGGGAGGGGGGAAACTTTGGATTGGTTTGGATGGCCAAATAATAAAAGGCTCTATGGGGGCTGGGCGTGGTGGCTCATGCATGTAATCCCAGCACTTTGGGAGGCTGAGAGAGTGGGTTGCTTGAGTCCAGGAGTTCAAGATCAGCTTGGGCAACATGGTGAAATCCTGTCTCTACAAAATAAAAAAAATACAAAAATTAGCTGGATGTAGTGGTGTGCCCCTGCAGTCCCAGCTACTCAGGAGGCTGAGGTGGAAGGATCACTTGAGCCCAGGACGTGGAAGTTGCAGTGAGTTGAGATCGCATTACTGCACCCCAGCCTGGGCAAGAGAGCAGGACTGTCTCAAAAAGTAAAATAAAATAAAGTAAAATAAAATGAAATAAAAGTAAATAAAAGGCTCTATGGCAGCAGTCCCCAACCTTTTTGGCACCAGGGACTGGTTTCATGGAAGACAATTTTCCCACGGACCAGGAGTGGGGGTGGGGGTGAAGGGTGAGGACGGTTTCAGGATGTTTCAAGCACATTACGTTTATTGTGCACGTTATTTCTTTTATTGTTACCTTGTAATATACAATGAGATAATTATACAACTCACCATAAGAATCAGTGGGAATCATGAGCTTGTTTTCCTGCAAGTAGATGGTCCCATCTGGGGGTGATGGGGGACAGTGACAGATCATCAGGCATTAGATTCTCATAATGAGTGCACAACCTAGACCCTTCCCACGCGCTGTTCACAATAGGGTTTGCCTTACGATGAGAATCTGATGCCACTGCTGATCTGACAGGAGGCGGAGCTCAGGCAGTAATAAGAGCAATGGAGAGTGGCTATAAATACAAATGAAGCTTTGCTCGCTTGCCTGCCACTCAATTCCTGCTGTGCTGGCCTGGTTCTTAATAGGCCATAGACCGGTACTGGCCCCGGGGTTGGGGAACCCTGCTCTATGGGCCACAGAGGAATTGATGCTCAATGTAATGTAGAGTTGAACGAACATTTTCTTTGAGCAGCCAAAGTGCTTGTGTAGACGTTGAGGGGGGAATGAATCAGGCATGTTTAATGTCCTAATAAGTTCAAACTCTAGTGAGGTAGAAAGATCCACAAGTAGCTGAGGAAAATTCAGTGCCATGTAAGCACTGTAAGAGGGCCAAGGTACCATGGTAGGGATTCACATAAGGTGCCTCTCTGAGTCTGGCAGTTCAGAAAATGTAACCTGAGGTTGGAGGTAGGGCTTGTACTAAGCTTTGAATGATGTTGTGATGGGAGGTTGAGAAGAAGGTATTCCTAGTGGAGGGGGCAACGTGAGTAAAGGCAGGGAAACATGAAGAAGTTTAGAGACCCATTAGATGTGCAGTCTCACTGCTGAGTATTGGAAGGGGAGGGGCAGGAGTTGGAACTCCAGAGGATATGGGGGTCAAATCAAGGAGAGCCAGCTATCATATTTAGGGGAAAAATGGAAAGCCCTAGAAGGGTTTTCGGAAAAAGAACGACATGGTCAGGTGGAAGATTAGTCTATGCAGATCCTGGGGAATGGATTTCAGCTGAGATTGATCTGGGGAAATTGTAATTATCTAGATGACAGCCTAAACAAGGCCAGAAGTAACACCAACAGGACTCACCAATGTATTAAACATGAGGAGCAGTATTATAACAGTCTGGCAGGGACCTGGGTCCAAACTCTGGCTCTGCCATTTATGCCCTGTGTCTATGTAACCTTAGACAAGTAGCTTTACCCTCGCTCCATATGCCTCAGTGGGTCATAGATTTCTTGTTCACGTTCCTGATTTTTTTTTCAAGCTTCTATTTGCCTTCCTTATACTGTTGGTACAATTTTCCTTATTGTCCCATATTCACCCTCAATCCTGAGCACCCCTCACATCTCTCCTTTCTTTAAACCCAGGCTCACTGACATACTGTTAAAGCAACAGGAGTTTCCTACTAAGCCTTCCCTTTCTTCATATGGATTCTTTGCAATCAAATGCTTAGAACTTCATTTCTTAGAGTTTATTTTCTAATGTTACCATTTCAAATATCTGGCTTCTGTAAACATCTTTGACTGTTGTCTGCACATGCACCCACTCTCTGAGAGATTCATAGAATTCGGGACACTCAGTGCCACATCCTGGACACCAGGAACATATACACTTTTTCTGCACCACCTGTGAGATGACCAGGGCAGGTTGGCATGGTGTTGGGTAGGAATGAGGACTCTAAGAGTAGTGAGCAAGAAATGTAACTTCAGGGAACACCCAGAGTGAGCTCATAATAAGGCACAGTCATACACATATGTGTGTGCTACAGAGTGTGTGCATGCATGTTCCCCCAGATATGTGCATGACCACATGCGTAAGTGTGGGTTTATGTAAAAGGATGTCTTGCCTTCTGTGATGGTTAATACTGAGTGTCAACCTGATTAGATTGAAGGATGCAAAGTATTGATCCTGGGTGTGTCTGTGAGGGAATTGCCAAAGGAGATTAATGTTTGAATCAGTGGGCTGGGAAAGGCAGACCACCCTTAATCTGGGTGGGCACAATCTAATCAGCTGTCAGCATGGCTAGGGTAAAAGCAGGCCGAAGAACGTGAAAAGCCTAGACTGGCTTAGTCTCCCAGCCTACATCTTTCTCCCATGCTGGATGCTTCCTGCCCTCAAACATCAGACTTCAAGTTCTTCAGCTTTGGGGCTTGGGCTTGCTTCCTTGATCCTCAGCTTGCAGACAGCCTATTGTGGGAACTTGTGATCATGTGAGTTTAATACTCCTTAATAAACTCCCCTTAATATATCTATCTATCTTATTAGTTCTGTCCCTCTAGAGAACCCTGACTAATACACCTGCCGATCCAGGATTTGGCAATTAGGTTAAATCTCTACATTGGCCCACATACCCTCAAATGTTATCATGTGTCCATGATGTGAATGGTGCTCCCGTGGTTGTGGCATACCTGAACATAACACCTGAACAGTGCACAATCTGAACATATGTACTGGAAGGAGAGTGGATTTTTAACATATCCAAGTAGGGGATCCTAACAAAGTAGGCTTTGGGGTATATTAGGTCTGATACTTAGCGTACAACTACTAGTTCCTGAGAAATAAAAATTATTCTAATATCCATCTTTTCAGTGATGACAGATCATGTGACAGATTAGACCTGGAAGCCCATGAGAAGTGTACGTGGACTCTTTTTCTCCACTTGGATATCTTTATAGTGTACATTTTCTCAATCGTGTTCAGACATTTTCAGAACTTGACAATCCCAGAGGCATTTACCCAGGTAGGTGAGTAATAGCCTGCATTTCTTAATTTAAGGCACAGTGATCAGAAAAGGCCTATGACCCCTAACAAAAAGTGTGGTCAGTGACCCGGAATCATGAAGCTTTGTCCAATCTCCTTGGTTGAGATAATTCAGTCCGAGATAATTCATTGCTTAGTGCATTTCCCTCTTGGCCACTCAGGGGCCACACCTCTTGGGTGCAGTCAGCTGCCTTTTGCAATGACTGTCAGTCTAGAATCATGAAACAGCTAATGACATACTGCTGTCCCATATGTTACCCGAATCAGCGTGACTTTAATTATTTCTCCTGGGATGAGTTCAAGGGCTCATACATTCTCAGAAAGCTTGGAATAAGACTGTGACTTAGTTGCAGCCAGACAGGGTGTGATAGATCCCTGGTAAAGCTTAGCAGCTGTGGCCTATCCGCACTGAAGCAGTGATGTGCACAGATGTTGCTATGGTGACTTCCATAACTCAGAGGGTGTGAGAATTTCGGGATTCCCAGGGGGAACGCTGTATTTTCTCACACCAGACTCTGTAACCTGGCATTCACAAGCCCTCAAATACAAGCAGTCCCAATTAAGATCCCTAAAATTCTGGTCCCTTGCTATTTATATGTAACAGCCATGTGAACTTTAATGGAGGAGTTTGTGTGTGTGTGTGTTATAAAAATGTGATGGGAATTTTCTAATATTTGTACTAATGTCTTACAAGGCAGAACATGACCCATGTACCCCATCTTATTTACTTTTCCTAGAATTATAAGTTTTCTTGGTATCTCATTAATCACTAGAAGTCTAAAATTTTATTCTCGTTATTGTTCAATTCCCACCTAAGAGTGAGAACATGCGGTGTTTGTTTTTTTTTTGTCCTTGTGATAGTTTGCTGAGAATGATGGTTTCCAGCTTCGGACAGAGGATGGGGAACATCACACATCGAGGCCTGTTGTGGGGTGGGGGGAGGGGGGAGGGATAGCATTAGGAGATATACCTAATGTAAATGACAAGTTAATGGGTGCAGCACACCAACGTGGCACATGTATACATATGTAACAAACCTGCACGTTGTGCACATGTACCCTAGAACTTAAAGTATAATAATAATTAAAAAAACCTCTCTTAATAAAAAAAATTTATTCTCTTTATACTCTGCTGCTACTGCCTTGCAACAATCTCAGCTTTAGTGTCTAAATTTTTTTTTATTATACTTTAAGTTCTGGGATACATGGGCAGAATGTGCAGGTTTGTTACATAGGTATACACGTGCCATGGTGGTTTGCTGCACCCATCAACCTGTCATCTACATTAGGTATTTCTCCTAATGCTATCCCTCCCCTAGCCCCCAACCCCCTGACATGCTCTGGTGTGTGATGTTCCCCTCCCTGTGTCCATGTGTTCTCATTGTTCAACTCCCACTTACGAGTGAGAACATGCAGTGTTTGGTTTTCTGTTCCTGTGTTAGTTTGCTGAGAGTGATGGTTTCTAGCTTCATCCATGTCCCTGCAAAGGACATGAACTCAACCTAATTTAATTGGTGTGTTTTACAAAAATTATTGAATACCTACTCTGTGTATAGAATTATACTTTATGGTTATATCTCCTTTATGAAAAAAATGGTATGGAAATAGAATTAATTTCTATTGAAGTGATATCTAGTGTTTTCTTGTGTAGTTTCATCATTGAAAATCTCTAAGTACCTTGAAAAATCAAAGGGTCTAATTAAGTAATGTGGATATGCAGAAACAATGTATATCAGTGTTTAAAGTCTTAAAAGAAAATTCTTTATCTGGTTGATAATAAATTGCCCCTGGGACCTAGACAGTCAATTAATCGAGAAACTAATTCATTCATTCAACATGTATTTATTGAACACTCTGTGCAGGGTGCAGGTCCTGGGCATACGTTGATGAATGAAACTAATTAGAGTTCCTCTTTTCATGAGCTTATGGTATAGAAGAAGAGAGAGAAAACATTGTGTAAACTAACATGAATATATAATTGCAACTGGAAAAATGCACGCAGGAATTAAATAGGGCAAAGTGGTAAAAGATAGCTAGAAGGCTACTCAAATGTACGTGAAATATCAAATGCAATTACATGTATGACTAAAAATAGGGCATACACAGAGATTTATGTCTAGAATGGAGAAGAAGGGCACTTTTGTATCTGTACTTCAGTGATACATACCTGGCTAAAGTCATAGTCATCTGCGTTCAGGGCCTGATGATTTAGTAGTTGAATGATATGGGTACGTAAGGAAGGGGAGATATCTATCTGCAGCTTCTTCTGGGATGAAAATGAATTTTGTTTTGTCACCCTGGGAGCAAGAGAGCTGACAGTGGAGGTGGGAGTGGGGGTGTTGAAAATGAGTCTACCTTTATCAAAGGTGCTGGGGAATGGCAGAGTTAAAGCATTTGCATAGGACTGATTCCTAGGAGAAAACTGGAGAAAAGGGAAGGAAAGCTGCATTTACTGTACACCTACCATGCGCCAGGCATTTTATACGTCATCTCACTTATGCATGGATATTGCTTCTATTTGGGAGATTAGGAAATTCAGGCACAAAAGATTAAGTAATTTGCTCAACATTTCATAGCCTGTGAGTAAAGAGTCTGGAATTCAACTCTTTGTCTGCCTGACTTCATAACTTTCTAGTCCCTGTTTTTTTTTCCCACTATCTTTATGCTCTCTAAGCCATAAACAAGCACAATCCCTGTGTACAGTTTACAAAGAAAAAGGGTGACAGTATAATAAATTTATGTTTGTATCTTTCCCATAAAACATTTTATTTACTCCTGTGTATACCAGTAGGTACTATAACAATTTAACATACTATCATAAAATGTCTTTAGATAGACCTTAGAAAATATAATGTAGAGAAACACCATATTCATGGATTGAATGATTTATATTGTAAATATGTCAATTTGACTAAAATTAATCTATAAATTCAGTATAATTCCAATAACAGTACTAGTAGGATCTATTTGGAAGAAAGCTGACCAATTTTTTAAATTTATATGGGTGAGCAAAGGTCTATAAATAGCTAAGAAAAATCAAAGAGTAGAAATTCGCACCTCTAGTTATATTTTATAATTAAAGTGGCACTAGTGCAGGAATAGAGAGTCCAGGAACAGATTTATATTTATTTGGATATTTATTACATGTCAGAGAGAGCATCACATATCAGGAAAAATTAGTTCACTATATGGAGAGAAATACATTTGGATTCCTTACACAACACTAAAAAATGGATTTAAGATTTAATTATACAAGATAAAACTGCAAAGCTTTTGTTGATCTAATGACCAGTTAAGCATTCTTAAATAAGACCTCACAAGTTCAAACACTAAAGATGAAAGAAAAAAGAGAAAAAAAAGAGTTTTACTAAATAAAGCCAAATTAAATATTTGTGTGTGTGTGTGTAATAAAGGACCCCCATAGACAGTTTATACTTGGAAGGGAATATTTCCAATACTAACAAGTGATTAATATTTAGTATATATAATACCCTTATGCAAATCAACAGGAGGGAAGGACATTCAAAAGAAAAATGGCAGAAGACATGAAGAGGCAATTCATGAAGTAGAAAACCAAACGATTGGTAAATACTTAAGTGCTCCCTCCTCCCCAAAAAGCTTCACCTAACTATTAGTCAAGTAAATACTAATTAAATGAGAAAGAGGTATCATTTGCCACACACCATTTTGTCAAGAATTAGAAAGTTAGCTAATACTAAGTGCTAGCAAAGGTATGTAGGACATGCAGCCCTCATGCATAGTGCTGGGAGTGACAACTGGTACATTCACTCTGGAGACCAATGTAGTACAACTCTATGAAAATACTCTCTAAGCAAGCAATCCCACATCTGGGTGTATATTCCAAAAAGAAACCTTCACATCAGACAGATCTATAGTTCTCCTCGTAGGTAAGTAAATAGCAAAAATGTGTACATAGATTCACCAAAAGCTTTGTTCAAGAATGTTTATATGGACACTATAAATAACAGCTGAAGACAATATATATTTCCAATTACAGTATATAAATAAATAATGATATATATTTATATAACAGAATGTGATAAAGCTATAAGAATACATAAACTACAAGTACAGACAATAGTAAGGAGGAATCTCACAAATATCATGTGAGGGAAAGAAGCCAGACCCAAGAGAGTATACACTGCATGATTCGGTGAAAAAGGGTCCAAAACCAGGTAAACTTAATCATTGGTGTTAAAGATCAGGATAGTGGTTACTCTTGCTTGAGAAGGAGGTGTCTGGAAGGATGTACAGAGGGCCTCTGTGAGGATCTGGTGGTGCTCCTTCCATGGATGCCGATATGCCTGTGCTCATTTTGGAGACTTCACTGAACTGTACATCTATGATTTGCATGCTTTTCAGTATGTATGTCGCACGTGAATAAAATTTATGTTAAAAATAATTACATATATAAAATACCATTACATAATCTTCAAGTACACATTTCAGTCTAAGTAACCATTGCCTAGCTAGAAAATTAGAAAATACTGATAATTTCCAATGATGTCAAGTAGCAGATTACATACAAAATACAGCAAAGTTGATGTCTTGCCAGTAGTTAGAGGAAGGCAGGTAGGTATGGGGGAAATGTGAGTAGGAATAAACTAATTGAGTGGGAAACATGAGGAGGATACACTAAAGGAAGGCCTGCATGGGCCAGGATTGATTGTGCATCATGAGCAGAGAGAAATGATTGATCCAGTTGTGTGTACCTGAGTGTGAAGGAAGAAAACTGTATTTATCAAAGCCCTATGAACACCAAGCTCTGAAATACAACAGAAAACAAGGAAGATACAGCCCCTGCCCTCAGAGACTTAATGGTCTTGTGGAGAGACAGACATTTTACAAATAAGAGCCCAAATAATAATGAATTAACATTCTGATAAATGAGACAGCAAAAAGATACAGGTTGCAATGGAATAAGAGGGAAGGAGAGAAAATGTCAAACTGTGCCCGCTTCTTCAGTAGACCTGGAATAGATAGGTCTACAGAATAGAAGAGTAAGGTAGGTGATCTGGGAAATGGCCAGAAATGTAGGAATGAGCTTAGGAGTGTTATTTGTACAGCAGAAGAGGCTGAATGATTCTAACTATAGCGTATTAAAACTTGAGGTATCTCTTGCCAAATGGGATTTCTAAGTACTTTATTTTAGACAACATTTAGATATCTGCCTATGGATTTTGCCAATATGGCAAAATGATTTCATTTTAATTTGAGGTTGGGAGTGGGCAAGATACAGTAGAGATACTATCTCGTTTAAATGGAGATTGTCTCTCCCTCGTCTGATTACTGAGTTTGGTAAATATAGACTCACAGTGAACTTTTTAAAAATTCTTGTCCAGGCGCGGTGGCACATGCCTGTAATCCCAGCACTTTGGGAGGCCAAGGGGTGGGCGGATCACAAGGTCAAGAGATGGAGACCATCCTGGCCAACATGGTAAAACCCCATCTCTACTAAAAATACAAAAATTAGCTGGGCGTGGTGGCACATGCCTGTAGTCCCAGCTACTCGGAAGGCTGAGGCAGGAGAATTGCTTGAACCCGGGAGGTGGAGGTTACAGTGAGCCAAGATCATGCCACTGCACTCCAGCCTAGGCAACAGAGCCAGACTCCATCTCAAAAAAAAAAATTATTAAGGAGACCGATTTAAAGTAATAACTGATTTAAAAGTTAAATATTTTCCTACCTCTTCACAGTATATTTTATGGAATTTTTCTGTAAAGTATACATGACTTGTGGTCATAATCTCAAAGTAGAAGCAAACACTAAAATGTGTAAGATGGCAATATTCCATTTAGGAGCACAGAATTTTATCTTAACCTCTGTGAATCTGTTTCAATTGCAGCAACATTAATGGACTGAAAATCCAAAGTCATTAAAAATGTCTGGTATAATGCAAGGTGTGATATGTGTGAGTAGTACTTAACAAACTGTTTCTGTAGAGATTTCATGGGTTGTTAAGCTGTGATATGATTAACAGCATCCAAAATAAGTACTTAGCTTTTCATGCTTAGAAACAATTTTCATTTGGTTATGCAGGGGTGATGGATCTATTGTGTGCCGATGCTTCTTAAGAAGAGTGAATAGGTAGAATGAACCTCAGTTCTTCCCTAGTTCCATGATTTTGTGATTTTAGGCAAGTGAGTTAACCTCACTGTGGATGGGTTTCGTCAGCTGTATAATCAGGAAGTGAGCCAGTAGCCATACTGCTGGGATGGTCTATTTGTTCATTTCAATGAGCCATCTCTTTCCCTAGTGATGTTATTCTTTGAATTGGCTTTCTTGATTACTTCTTTTCTAGTATTGGGGCACCTACTAAACAGAGAGAGCCATCTGAATGCTGCTGGATGCACATGAATCCAGGACTAAAGGGAATTACTTGGAGATACTTCCCCTTGAATGCAGCAGATCCTAAGGAAGAGCTCCTACTCCTTGCCGAATACACCTTGTGAGACAGCTAAGGGCTGTCCCACTTGGGTCTCCTTTCATGAAATATTTTGCTTCCAACTGCAGAGAGGGCAGTTATCTGATAGCCTCCAGTTGCAGCACCCTGAGGATCCACCAAAGCTTTTCAGCTGAGGCCAAGCTTTTTCTGGGCAATCCTGAAAGCACTGGCAGAATGGAATCCATAGGGCCAGGGTGCTTCTGCCCAGTGGTTCTGAGTAACTCATTGGGTTGGCAGAGCCTTGTCAGATCTGCATCACAGCCTAAGGCTGCCCCAGTCCAATGCTGCTTTCTCCTCCCTTTCTTATCACAGAGGACTGGTAAGCATCAGAGCTGAAAGGCTTTTTATGCCATTCCTGCTTCTTTGCGCTGTGTTTCAAGGGTATTCTTTCCCTCCACCAGCTTCCCAATGAACCTCTTGCATTTCTAAATCTGTCTCGGTGTCTGCTACCTGCAGAACCCAAACTGATATTCCTTTCCAGTGACTAATCAGTATGTCTACTGGATTTCATGTCCCTGTATCCTGCCTAATACAAGCAATGGTTACTTTTTCACTAATTACAATATTAACCTCACTCTAGTCTTCCCTCTCTATAAAGGTTTATTAAGAAAGCCAATCATAGATTTATACCCACTTTCTGAAAACACCCAATCCAGATCAAATCCCCACTTTCTTAAGCCTTTCTCCAAAGTCTCCTAACCCACAGCCTGAATCCTGTAATAGGTTCTTTCTAACACTCTTACTGAGATGCCCCACTGTTCCCCATGGTATACATTCCTCCCGGCCATGGAGATAAGAAATCCAATTTGTTTAGCTACAGGTGTATTCTTTGTGGTCTTTGCCTAGAGGACATTGAAAACAGTATAATTTATCTAAGAAATTACTATGTCTCCTGTATCCATTCATTTGTTCATTTATTCACTTATTCATCCCACAAACATTTTTTGAGCACCTCCTTTGTGCTGGAGACTGCTAGACACTATTGATTTGAGATTGACTGTATACTGCTGGCTAGAAAAGCCTGGCAGAGATAAGAGCTGCTATGTATTACATACTGATTATATGTCTGGCACTGCTCTCAATGCTTTATATAGGTTACCTATGTAAGGGTGCCTTACCTTAGCCTCCAAGGTGAGAATTGTTATTTCATTTCTACAGATGAGAAAATTCAGGCTCAGAGAAGATAAATCAACACAGCTGGAAAGTGGCAGAAACAGGATTTGCACAGCTTCAAAGTCCTCCATGAGTTCTTTCAAGGAGGCTGAACTCCCTGAAATCAGGCTGTGCACAAAACTGCCTCATTTTATTCCAAGTAAGGTTGGCCATATGTAGAATGAAAGAAAAATGATAGCCGAAATTTGTCATTTAAAAACCAGCTTTTTTTTTTTTTTTTTTGAAATGGAGTCTTGCTCTGTCGCCCAGGGTAGAGGGCGGTGGCACAATCTCGGCTCACTGCAACCTCCAGGGTTCAAGAGATTCTCCTGCCTCAGTCTCCAGAATAGCTGGGACTATAGGCATGGGCCACCATGCCTCCCTAATTTTTGTGTTTTTAGTAAAGACGGAATTTGACCATGTTGGGCAGGCTGGTCTTGAACTCCTGACCTCAGGCACTCTACCCACCTCGGCCTCCCAACATGCTGGGATTACAGATGTGAGCCACCGTGCCCAGCCAAAAAACTCAGTTTTTATTATTTATTTATTTATTTTTATTGAGGAGGGATTTGTGTATGTTCAGAACTATAAAATCTGTGGAAACACATCCTTTTTCTGTGTAACTAATGATAACGACTTCATTATCATTAGTATACCAACACAAAGTTTGTCATTATATTAATATTTTAGCATGTTAGTATATAATTAGTCATTATATTAGTTAGCTCAAGCTGCCATAACAAAACACCATAGGTTGGGTGGCTTTAACGACAGAAATTTATTTTCTTACAGTTGTGGAGGCAGGAAAGTCTAAGATCAAGCTCCAGCAGAATTCAGCTTCTGGTGAAGGTGCTCTTCTTAACCTATAGAGAGTCACCTTCTTGCTATGTGCTCATATGGCCTTTTCTTGGTGCATGGAGAGAGAGAGAGAGAGAGAATGCACAAGCAAGCTCACTGGTGATTCTTCTTATGAGGGCACTAATGCCATCATGGAGGACCCACCGTCACGGCCTCATCTGACCCTAATTCTATCGCAAAGGCCCTATCACCAACTATCATCACACTGGGGGACACGGCTTCATACGTGTGAATTTTGGGTGTTACAAACATTTCGTCTGTAACACATGGTCTCATCTCTGATGAAGCACCTGAGATTTTAGAGTATCTGTTTTACACATGGCACCCAGCGTTCACAGGGGTGTTGGGAAAAAGCCTGCAGAACAGAGTGCCCTTCAAACTTTCTTGTTTCTTCTTTCTAAATCCAAAGCAACTGCACAGCACCATAGATTCTGAAATTGTGCTGTATTTAGTGTGGGCCTTTCATGAATATTTCATAAGCAGTTCCATTTCCATGGGTGGTGAGGAGACCACTGGATAGAAGGTAGTGGCATGACTGTCTAACTCAGTTCCAGCTTTATTCACGGAATTGGGCAGGTTCTAGCAGCTAAATAGAAGGGAAAAGGTGAAGAAAGGGCAGAGCATTGGGCCTCTCAAATAGCTCTTGCAAATTATGTGATATTCTAGCCAAACCACACTCCTTTTAAATTCTGTAACTCCTAGTTACAAAATTCTCAAATTAAACATGTTAAATTATCTTTTTCTTTAATTTTAAAAATTAAAATTAAATACACATACAATGATATTTGTATGATAACATATATAAAACACAAAGAATAAGAATAAAATGAATACCCATAGACCCAGTTTGAAAAATGGAATATCAACATCATTTTTGACACTTCCTATGTGCTCTTTCTGATCCAATCCCTCCTTTGTTCTCTCCCCAAAAGTAATCACTGCCCAGAATTTTGCATTTTTAAAAATCCCCTTGTTTTTCTTCATAGGTTTTACTGCATATGTATACTAAAATCATATACTTTTAGTTTTACATGTTTTTGAACTATATAAAAATAGGAAACAAGACTTTCTTTAGCTATTTACTATGATTACATGTCCCATTTCGAAGTGTTACCAGAAACATAATTTTTAGAAAACTTCAAAGACATCTCATTTCAGAAAATGTTCTTTTCCTCTGCTTCTATTAAGTGTAAATTTGAAGAAAAAAAAGCAATAGCTATGCTGAATGTTTTTCATTGTAACTATCGACCCATCAAGTCCATGGGGTGTGTGTGTTGCAGGGGTGGAGGGAGGATGAAAGTGGGAGAGGAAGAGGGAAGGAGATAGGGAGGGAGCACACACACCTTTTCCTTGACTCTTTGCTTGTGAGATGATACAAGACCAATAAATCAGTGTTCCATCCCCCAGCCACAGAGGTAGGTTCAAGGGTAATCATATGACCCAAGTTAGGTCAGTAAGCATCAAACCTTGGCCTTTTGCCAGAACTATTAGGGAGGCACATTGTTTCCACTGAAAATACAATTACGCTTTATTTCTTAGACTTTTGAAATCATGTCTCAAATAATTAAAGAAACCAATGACTAACAGAAATTCTTGAGTTTGCAGGATGGCAAATAAGAAAAGAAACAACTTGCTGAAATGCTGCAACTCCCTCCACTTGTGAAATAAAAGAACCTGCTGAAATTGAACCAAGATGGCCACCAGGAGTTTGGGCAGAAGGAGCTTGTTGATGTCACAGCCTGAATTTCCACTGCATGTTTTATACTAACTCCCCTCACATTTGCACATGAAACCCATGAAGTAACATGAAGAAATAACTGTGCACGCTCAAGTACTTTCCAAACTTCTCCTTTGTTTCCACTAATTACCCAATAATCTCAGAATCCACCTCCTAACCTTTTCTAATAAAAATACTGCCTGAAAGCCAGCAGAGGGAGACAGATTTGAGCTTGACTCATGTGTCCTTGAGAGTTGACTTTCTTTCTTTTCTTTTAAGCCATACTTTTTTTTTTTTAAAACCATTTGTTATAGGAATAAAACAAAGATGTGTGAGACCTATATGAAGGAAACTGTAAAACTTTACTGAAATTCTTTTTTTTTCTTTTTTTTAAAAATTATACTTTAAATTCTGGGATACATGTGCAGAATGTGCAGGTTTGTTACATAGGTATACACATGACATGGTGGTTTGCTGCAGGCATCAACCTGTCATCTACATTAGGTATTTCTCCTAATGCTATCCCTCCCCTGGCCCCCCACCCCCGACAGGCCCCAGTGTGTGATGTTCCCCTCCCTGTGTCCATGTGTTTTCACTGTTCGACTCCCACTTATGAGTGAGAACATGTGGTGTTTGGTTTTCTGTTCCTGTGTTAGTTTGCTGAGAGCGATGGTTTCTAGCTTCATCCATGTTCCTGCAAAGGACATGAACTTATCCTATTTTATAGCTGTATAGTATTCCATGGTGTGTATGTGCCACACTTTCTTTATCCAGTCTATCATTGATGGGCATTTGAGTTGGTTCCAAGTCTTTGATATTGTGAAGAGCACTGCAATAAACATACATGTGCATGTGTTTTTATAGTAGAATGATTTATAATCTTTTGGTATATACCCAGTAATGGGATTGCTGGGTCAAATGGTATTTCTGGTTCTAGATCCTTGAGGAATCACCACACTATCTTCCACAATGGTTGAACTAATTTACACTCCCACCAACAATGTTAAAGCGTTACTATTTCTTCACATCCTCTTCAGCATCTGTTGTTTCCTGAGTTTTTAACGATCACCATTGTAACTGGGGTGGAGGGTATCTCCTTGTGGTTTTGATTTGCATTTCTCTAATGACCAGTGATGATGAGCTTTTTTCATGTTTGCTGGCTGCATAAATGTCTTCTTTTAAGAAGTGTCTCTTCATATCTTTTGCCCACTTTTTGATGGGGTTGTTTGTTTTTTCTTGTAAATTTGTTTAAGTTCTTTGTAGATTCTGGTTATTAGCCATTTGTCAGATGAATATACTGCAAAAATTTTCTCCCATTCTGTAAGTTGCCTGTTCACTCTGATGATAGTTTCTTTTGCTGTGCAGAAGCTCTTTAGTTTAATTAGATCCCATTTGTCAATTTTAGCTTTTGTTGCTGTTGCTTTTGGTGTTTTAGTCATGAAGTCTTTGCCCATGCCTATGTCCTGAATGGTATTGCCTAGGTTTTCTTCTAGGGTTTTTATGGTTTTAGGTCTTACATTTAAGTCTTCAATCCACCTTGAGTTAATTTTTGTATAAGGTGTAAGGAAGGGGTACAGTTTCAGTTTTCTGCATATGGCTAGCCAGTTTTCCCAACATCGTTTATTAAATAAGGAATCCTTTCCCAATTGCTGGTTTTTGTCAGGTTTGTCAAAAGATCAGATGGTTGTAGATGTGTGGCGTTATTTCTGAGGCCTCTGTTCTGTTCCGTTGGTCTACATATCTGTTTTGGTACCAGTGCCATGTTGTTTTGGTTACTGTAGCTTTGTAGTATAGTTTGAAGTCAGATAGCGTGATACTTCCAGCTTGTTCTTTTTGCTTAGGATTGTCTTGGCTATATAGGCTCTTTTTTGGTTCCATATGAAATTTAAAGTAGTGTTTTCTAATTCTGTGAAGAAAGTCAATGGTAGCTTGATGGGGATAACATTGATTTTGGGCTGAGACGATGGGGTTTTCTAAATATACAATCATGTCATCTGCAAACAGAGACAATTTGACTTCCTCTTTTCCTAATTGAATATCTTTTATTTCTTTCTCTTGCCTGATTGCCCTGGCCAGAATTTCCAATACTATGTTGAATAGGAGTCATGAGAGAGGGCATCTTGTCTTGTGCTGGTTTTCAAAGGGAATGCTTCCAGTTTTTGCCCATTCAGTATAACATTGGCTATGGGTTTGTCATAAATAGCTCTTATTGTTTTGAGATACATTCCATCAAAACATAGTTTATTAAGAGTTTTTAGCATGAAGGGGTGTTGAATTTTATTGAAGGCCTTTTCTGCACCTATTGAGATAATTATGTGGTTTTTGTCATTGGTTTTGTTTATGTGATGTATTATGTTTCTTGATTTGCACATGTTGAAGCAGCCTTGCATCCCAGGGATGAAGCTAACTTGATAGTGGTGGATAAGCTTTTTGATGTGCTGCTGGATTCAGTTTGCCAGTATTTTATTGAGGATTTTCACATCGATTTTCCTCAGGGAGATTGACCTGAAATTTTCTTTTTTTTGTTGTATCTCTGCCAGGTTTTGGTATCAGGATGATGCTGGCCTCATAAAATGAGTTAGGGAGGAGTCTCTCTGTTTCTATTGTTTGGAATAGTTTCAGAAGGAATGGTACCAGCTCTTCTTTGTACCTCTGGTAGAATTTGGCTGTGAATCTGTCTGGTCCTGGGCTTTTTTCATTGGTGGACTATTAATTACTGCCTCAATTTCAGAACTTGTTATTGGTCTATTCAGGGATTTGACTTCTTCCTGGTTTAGTCTTGGGAGGGTGTTTGTGTCCAGGAATTTATCCATTTCTTCTAGATTTTCTAGTTTATTTGTGTAGAGGTGTTTATCGTATTCTCTGATGGTACTTTGTGTTTCTGTGGGATCAGTGGTCATATCCCCTTTATCATTTTTTATTGTGTCTATTTGATTTTTCTTTCTTTTCTTCTTTATTGTCTGGCTAGTGGTCTACCTATTTTGTTAGTCTTTTCAAAAAAACACCTCCTGGATTCACTGATTTTTTGAAGGGTTTTTTGTGTCTCTATCTCCTTAAGTTCTGCTCTAATCTTAGTTATTTCCTGCCTTCTGCTAGCTTTTGAATTTGTTTGCTCTTGCTTCTCTAGTTCTTTTAATTGTGATGTTAGGGTGTCAATTTTAGATCTTTCCTGCTTTCTCCTGTGGGTATTTAGTGCTATAAATTTCCCTCTAAACACTGCTTTAAATGTGTCCCAGAGATTCTGGTGCATTGTATCTTTGCCCTCATTGGTTTCAAATAATGTATTTATTTCTGCCTTATTTTCCTTATGTACCCAGTAGTCATTCAGGAGCAGGTTGTTCAGCTTCCATGTAGTTGTGTGGTTTTGAGTGAGTTTATTGATCCTGAGTTCTAATTTGACTGCGCTGTGGTCTGAGAGACTGTTATGATTTCCATTCTTTTGCATTTGCTGAGGAGTGTTTTACTTCCAGTTATGTGGCCAATTTTAAAATAAGTGCGATGTGGTGTGAGAAGAATGTATATTCTGTCGATTTGGGTGGGGAGTTCTGTAGATGTCTATTAGGTCCGCTTGGTCCAGAGCTGAGTTCAAGTCTTGGATATCCTTGTTAATTTTCTGTCTTATTGATCTGTCTAATATTGATAATGGTGTGTTAAAGTCTCCCACTATTATTGTGTGGGAGTCTAAGTCTCTTTGTAGGTCTCTAAGAACTTGCTTTAGGAATCTGGGTGCTCCTGTATTGGGTGCATATATATATTTACAATAGCTCTTCATGTTGCATTGATCCCTTTACCATTATGTAATGCCCTTCTTTGTCTTTTTTGATCTTTGTTGGTTTAAAGTCGCTTTTATCAGAGGCTAGGATTGCAACCCCTCCTTTTTTTTCTTTCCATTAGCTTGGTAAATAATCCTCCATCTCTTTATTTTTAGCCTATTCGTGTCTTTGCAAGTGAGATGGGTCTCCTGAATACAGCACACCAATGAGTCTTGACTCTTTATTTAATTTGCCAGTCTGTGTCTTTTAATTGGGGCATTTAGCCCATTTACATTTAAGGTTCATATTGTTACATGTGAATTTGATCCTGTCTTTATGATGCTAACTGATTATTTTGCCCGTTAGTTGATTTAGTTTCTTCATAGTGTCAACGGTCTTTACAATTTGGTACATTTTTGGGAAAACACACCAAAAGGTACCGGGTTTTCCTTTCCATATTTAGTGCTTCCTTCAGGAGCTCTTGTAAGGCAGGCCTGGTGTTGACAAAATCTCTCAGCCTTTGCTTGTCGGTAAAGGATTTATTTCTCCTTCACTTATGAAGCTTAGTTTGACTGGATATGAAATTCTGGTTTGAAATTTCTTTTCTTTAAGAATGTTAATTATTGGCCCCCACTCTCTTTTGGCTTATAGGGTTTCTGCAGAGAGATTTGCTGTTGGTCTGAAGGGCTTCCCTTGCGTAACCCGACCTTTCTCTCTGGCTGTCCTTAACATTTTTTTCTTCATTTCAGCCTTGGTGAATCTGATGTGTGTCTTGGGGTTGCTCTTCTCGAGGAGTATCTTTGTGGTATTCTCTGTATTTCATGAATTTGAATGTTGGCATGTCTTGCTAGATTGGGGAAGTTCGACTTTCAATATAAAGCTTTTCTTTTCTCAAAAACCTGATGTCATAGTATTGACTTCTAATGCATTGGGCAGCGAGCCCCTTTTACTCCATAATACTTTTAGATGGTCACCGTCAATATAACCCAAATTATGTAGATAATCTTGACTATAACAGCATAATGATTTTGCTGAAACAAGGCAAATAAGTATAAACAATTTTAAAGAGCAGATTTTAATAACATAAAAATTTTCTCTTCATTTTATTACCCAATCACACATCACTAACTCACTCAGATTGAGCCACCATCTACAGAACACCCAGATTTGTGCAATAACAATTAAATTCAGTCATCCTTAGTCATATTCTAGATATAGCTTCACATACTTTTTAAAATTTTGTTGTTATGAATGCATATTTATTGAGATAGTAGGATAGAACATATTTTATTTGACAGCATTTTGGCTTGAGTTCTATTTTTATAATATTTGGACATATGAAGTATGGGCCTCCATTTTTACTTTTGCCCTGGGCCTATGAATTGTTAAGTCTAGCTGACTGGAACCGGTTTCATCACTACAGAATCCCTAAATTCAATCCTTAATTTTTCTGCAGTTCTTCCTCTTCATCTCCCTCTATTTCCGTTAGCATTTCCTGGTTTTTCACAAATTTAGCCATGTGTCTACTCCTGCTGCTTCTGGTGGCTTCCCATATGAATCTGTCAGGTCGTGCTGGCCCCTGTGATCACTGCTGCCTGTGCAGAGACATCGGGCTTCACCTCCGGAGGGCAGAGGCTAAAGAGGATTGTTTTGGGGGCACCAGTGTGTGTGTGTGTGTGTGTGTGTGTGTGTGTGTGAAAGAGAGAGAGAATTGGAAAGAGATGGGTATGGAACAAAGCTAGAAATAATGAAAAGAAAATGATGATGAGGAGATACCTTGAAGGAAGGAGTAAGTAAAAATAAAATGTACATATATACAAAATGATGATGGATGAGGATTTGTCTGTCTTAGAATTTCAAAGTGAAAAAAAAGAGCAGATGTGAGTGTAGGGTTTGGAGCATAATAACAAAGGTGGCATTGAGAGCTATCTCTACATCAGCAGTCATGGGAAGCTCACTTTTGGAATTGCAGATATTCAGACTCAAAATTTCTTTAACTTACAGAGCAAATGTTAGCCAATTTACTTTAACGGATAAAGCAGAATTTTACTTATATTTTAGCCAAAGCCCAGTCAGATTCATTAAGAGGGTATAACCACTGCTTTATGAAAATTTGACCCTTCTTGTCTTTCTCCCCTGCCTTACTTCAGGCTAAGATTCCTAATAATGTGAAATCCTCTCAATGAATTGGTCAAGAGAAGTATGGTCTCATCAGTCCAGATGTCCTTTTGAAAGACTTTTAATAATAAAAATCAGAAGTCGGCCGGGCGCAATGGCTCACGCCTGTAATCCCAGAACTTTGGGAGGCTGAGGCGGGCAGACCACGAGGTCAGAAATGGAGATCATCTTGGCTAACATAGTGAAACCCCATCGCTACTAAAAATACAAAAAAATTAGCCGGATGTGGTGACATGCACCTGTATTCCCAGCTACTCGTGAGGCTGAGGCAGGAGAATCACTTGAACCCAGGAGGCAGAGGTGGCAGTGAGCCGAGATCACGCCACTGCACTCTAGCCTGGGCGTCAGAGTGAGACTCCGTCAAAAAAAGAAAAAAAAAAAAAGGTCTGGGCAATGGCTTGGGTCTTCAGAACATCAGTAGGCACTAAAGGCATTTAAAGATGAAAGGAAATACCTACACTCTCTTCTTAACAGCTGTAGTCTCAGAATCAGCACTCTGCTTCATAAACAGAAATGGGGAGAAATGAGATAAAATAATGTTAATAAAAAAAGTTCAGGGGAACAACAGAAACAAGAGGAAATATACAAAGCAGGGGGTTGTGGAAGCATCCTTACATTGTCACCCTAGTGTTGTGACTCCAGTATGGGGACAATTAGAACCCCAATGAACACTATTCCGGGACCAGAGAAAATGTAATAGGATAATTATGCCGCAAACTATGATTGTTATGTTTAGAATTCCTGCCTAGGAAAGGAGATATAGGAGTGCATTGAGAGCTCTCCTACTGTGATCTGAGAATCAAACACCTGCATTAGCATCACCTGGGTTCTTGTCATCATTATTCTTGGGCCCTACCTGAGACCTACTGAAGCAGAAGCTCTGAGATCAGCGTCTGGGGATATGCATCTTAAACAAATTCCCCAGGAGGTTCATATTCACAATGAAATTTGAGAATGACTTGCTTAGAGGATAACTAAGAACACAGATATTATTTTACCTGCCTCCTAATATCTTTTCTTGTGTTTATCTCCTTGTGCTTTGACTGATGAGAAATCAAGTAGCACTAAAGGATTCCATGGTAAACTCAGAAAATCTCTGCGAAACAGAAGTTTACTTTCCTACTGTGTCTTCACGGAAGAAGCCAGCTTGACATATGGAGGTCTGTTTGAATATCCTCATTGACATGATCTTATCTAATTTTGAGTTTGAATAATTACAAGTTACAGACATTTATTAAGCTCATGAGCATGGAAGAGCAATGAATATAAGTAAGATATGATGAAGTATTTAGTAAAAATGCCAATATAAGCTCTGAATCTGTGATGTGTGGATAGGGTAACTACAGTCACCCTTATCTGTTCAATAAGGCCAAACTCAGCTGAGCTATTCATTAAAGCTGGATCCAGCTATGTAATGGTTGCATAACAGGATATTGAAATAGAAGCATCAGATAACTAAGTGACTTGTGAAAGAACACTGATTGAATTTGAAAAACGTAGGTGGCTGAGAACTAGTTGACATATGGCCAGATAAAAGAGGATTTAAGGGACGAAAGCACTTTTTGGAGAGAACGGTTTATGTGTTGTGAGCCCTACCTTCCTCCAAAGAAGAAGGATAGGGCTTTCCTTTTCATCTCAATGCAAGGGAGGTATTGCAATGGACTGAATGTTTATGTTCACCTGAATTCATATGTTAAAGTTCTGGCCCCCAAGGTGATAGTATTGGGAAATGGGGCCTTTGGGAGGTGATTAAGGTCACCCTTATGATAGGATCAGTGCCCTTACAAAAGAGACCGAAGAGAGACCTCTTGCCTTTCTGCCATGTGAAGTTAGAGTGAGATGTCCCTCTGTGCAGAAGCAGGCCCTCACCAGACATTGAACCTTCCAGCACCTTGATCTTAGACTTCCCAGCCTCCAGAAGAGTGAGAAATAAGTTTCTGTTTTATAAGTCACCCAGTCTGTGGTATTTTGTTATAGCATCCTGGACTGATGAACATAGGTGCTCTAAAGAGATCACTGAGAGTTTACCAAGATTACTATGAGTCACTGGTAGTTTCAGTGGTTCACAGTTACTATTTGGGGACCTTGCCTGAAAATATAGTGAGCAAAAGTCCATCTGCTGATGGATGAGCTGATGGATCAATGTTCTGGAATTTGCCTGCTACAACAGGGTTGCTCTAAAACATGCCCACGTGTTTCCTTTGCTTCAGATGTGCACCACATGCAGAAAAATTGCTGGACTAGAGTTGTCTTAGGTCCAGAAGACCCCCTGATGACCAAACAGGACTCATTTTTTTTTTTTTAAAGATGCTGAGGATATAGTCAAATTCCTAGGATCTAGGTGACTAAGAGAATAGAGATGTACCCTCTAATATCAAGAAAACTTCAGGGAGACCATCCTGATAATGGAAGTTTTCTGAACAATCAGTGAATGTGCCCAACAAAGGAAAAGCCAGCTCCTGTGATCTTCTAGGCTCTGAATGCTCTAGGCCAGCTTATCATCAGGCCAGTCAGGTGAGAACTTTGATGTCTTCCTTCTGTTTTCTCCTCTCACCCCCCACACCTCTATTTGCAAAGCCAGAGGCATCAGTAAGAGCAGCTGTCTGTTGAGGGAGAATATGAGAGAGGAAGGGAGGAGCCAACCACACTCTCTCTCCCCAGCTTCAACATTGCTTCTGGCAGCAAGATCTGGCTACAGGTGAAGGGAGAAGCCGCACCTTTGAATGAGGATGAGACATCCTGGATTTGAACCGGCACTTTGCTTTGTAACTTTAAGTGATCATCAGATTTCAAATTATTTTAAGAGACTTACAGGAATATAAAAAAGGTTTTGATTTATCATCCAGGAACAAGAAGAACAAAAGGAAACAAACAAAAGCAAAGACTGTAAGAGACAAGAAAAAAAATAAAGTAGCTTTGTAATTGCATCTCATGAGATGCTCTTGATTGGTGCAGTGGTTGTATTTGGTTAGTGTAGCTCTAGAAGTTTTGTGCTTCAGGTGTAGTTTGAACAACTTTTTCACTGTTAGTGTTATCCTTTTAATTTGATTAGTCAGGCTGAAAAATTGGAACTAAGGAGGATTTAGGTTTTGTAGAGCTTGAAGTCTTAGAGGTCCTTTTTTTAAAACAAAGGTTATGAAATTACAAGTACAAAATTGCCAGCATCCCTCTGAAATGCTTGAAAAATGTCCTTTCAAGTGAGTGGCCTTGAAGTTTGAGCTTCTGTAGCTTCAGAGCACAGTAGATCCACCTCTTTCTAGAAGTCAGCTTCTCTCTGCTGCACCCCATCACTAAACCATCAGCAAGGCTTGTGGGCTTTACTTTAAAAATACATCCCAAATCCCATTACACGATAATATCTCACTAACTCTCGGCCAGACCCACCCTCATGTCTCACCTGGACTGTGTGGCCGCCTCTGACTTGCCTCCTGAGTCCACCTTTGCCCCCTTTTGCATGTTCAATAGTCAGAGCTATCTTGTAAAAGCACAAATTAGATCCTCATATAATTTCTCTCCTCCAGTGGATTCTTATCAAACTTTGAAGAAAACCCAGAGTCTTTCCTATGTCTTAAGTGGTTTTATGTGACTTGGCCCCTGGCTATTTTCTGACCTCACCTCCTGTCATTCTCCCCCTTACTCACTGTGCTCCTGCCATGCTGGCATTCTTGTTCCTCAAACACACCAAGCCAATTTTCACCCCCATGGCCTTTGCATTTGCTGTTTCCTCTGCCTGGAATATCCTTCTCTTGGATTGTCTCAAAGTTTGAATTCCAGATTTGGTTACCAGGGCAGCCCTGGAGATATAGTTGAGAAAGTTCATTATTTTCTTAAACAGTAAGTAGCTGAGAAAGCTCATATTTCTTCTTAAGCAGTTTTTTCTAGTCTCTTTGTCTATAGGTGTGCTTGCTTAAAAGAACTTTAGATGGCCTGAGGCCACGGGAGCTTCAGGCCACTTCAGCAATTACAAGAAGAAGATAATGCCAGTGTGAAACAGGCACAAACCAGAACTGGGGACCCCTTGTTACCTTTAAGTCATTAACATATCATCATAATGTTAAAATCCCTGCCCATAAAGAAAATCACCACCTTTCTAAACATACGTTGTATGAAGAGGAAGGCTTGTTATCTGTGCCTGCATGTCTGGAATTCTTCCCTGCCTGTGTTTACATACCTCCTTGCCCCACATCTAACTCCTTAATATTCACTAGCTTCCCACACCTGGGAAGAAGGTGAGAGCAGGAGCTCTCTCCTTCTCCACTACTGGCCAGGAATACATTTGCTTGTCTTTTGTTCCTAATAGGGTATTCTTTCTTCGCAACAGATAGAAAGTAGAGGAAGAAGTCAATTTACTGGTGACAATTTCAGCTTCTCAGAAAGGCCTCCCCTGAGCACTTTTCCTATAGGTCCAGTCCCTGCTCACCCCATAACCTGATTTCAGTCTCTACTCGCCAGTGCTGCTTTAGTACCTTCATGGCACTTAATATGGTCTAAGATTGCGTTAATTCAAGTTCGTTGTGTATATCCCTGTATTGGCCAGTGTTCTCCAGAGGGACAGAACTAATAGGATAGATGCATATGAAAAGGGAAATTTATTAAGGAGTACTGACTCACGCGATTACAAGGTCCCATAGTAGGCTGTCTGCAAGCTGAGGAGCAAGGAAGCCAGTCTGAGTCCCAAAGCTGAGGAACTTGGAGTCCGAAGTTCAAAGGCAGAAAGCATCCAGCATGGGAGAAAGATGTAGGCTGGGAGGCTAAGCCAGTCTAGTCTTTTCACGTTCTTCTGCCTGCTTTTTATTCTGACTGCACTGGCAGCTGATTAGATTGTGCTCACCCAGATTGAGGGTAGGTCTGCCTCTCCTAGTTCACTGACTCAAATGTTAATCTCCTTTGGCAACACCCTCACAGACACACACAGAATCAATGCTTTGTATCCTTCAATCCAATCAAGTTGACATTCAGTATTAACCATGACACTTCCTCACTCTTCCATGAAGTAGCGACCTTGTCTTTTTAAATGCTCTATTTACATTTGATTTGAATCTTCAGTACACAAAAAATGGTCAAATAAATTTGTGAAATAAACAAATATAAGTCTTAAATACATTCTAAGATGGAGACTTTCCACTAATACAGAAGACTTCCTATCCAGCAGCCTTCACTGCATAGATTTCACTATAATGAAAGACTTCTTTAATTCTTCCCAGTTGATTATTAAATTAGAGGTGCCTAGAGGTTAGTGTGGAGAGAGCATGGAACTTGGGCATTCTAACAACAAGCATTTAAAACTGAGTGAGGCTCAACCTCCTTTCTCACAGAGTTTATATTCTATAAGGGCATAGATTCTCTGTGTCAAAGAGCCAAGTCCTCTGGGCCATCTTAGGACCATGATGGAGGCCAAACATTTCTAATGGGCTCAGAATTTGTCTGCTGCCCTTGGGACCAGAGTGTGACTCAGTGGTCATCCAGACCTGAAGAGGCTGTTCTAGAGAGAAGACCCTTCTGTTTATGTCCTCACCACCTAAACCTGTAGAGTCTGGTCATTCTGTAACCACCTGCTGGCAGGAAATGAGTTTGACAGCAATTTACCTATAACACCCAGATCTCAGTGATGATACCAGAAGGGCACATGACCACACAAGAAGGAGCCTCTTTCCTGTTGCTGCCTGATGCTGAAAAATCCTAATACACACTGCAAGTTGCCTACATCTACTGAGTGGCTACTGGGGGTAGCAAAGGTAAAGAATATTGAGTTACGTGATTTATCCCTGTGAAGACTTGCTGTGTTGCTATGGAGACACATCTGTATCCTAGCATCTGCATTAATGATCTACTAATAAAGAACATATATATGCTGAGGACAGAGAGAAAAAACAGTGGTCAAAATAATGTTGTATTAATGAGGGTGCTCCAAAGAAATAGAACCAGTTGGAGGATATATATATATATACACTCTTTATTGAAAATACACCTGGTCACTCAAGAGCTCTGATGGAGATGTACAAGGAGCTTGATGTTGTTTTCATGACTGCTGACATAACATCCATTCTTAGTCTATATATATATATATAGCCTATGTACATGGATATAGGCATACCTTATTTTATTGTGCTCCGCTTTATTGCACTTTGCAAATACTGCCCTTCTTACAAATTGAAGGTTTATGGCAACCCTTAATTGAGTAAGTCTATTAGTGTCCTTTTTTTTCCAACAGCATGTGCTCACTGTCTCTTTCACAATTTGGAAATGATTGCAATATTTCAAATGTTTTCATTATTACTATATTTGTTACGATGACCTGTGATCAGTGATCTTTGGTGTTACTGTGGTAATTGTTTTGGGGCACAATGAACTGCACTCATAGAAGACAATTAACCTGATAATTTGTGTGTGTTCTGACTGCTCCACTGACTGGCCCATCCCCCATCTTTTTCTGTCTCTGTACTCAAGCCTCTCTATTCCCTGAGACACAACAATAGAGGCATCGACAAATTAATAATCTTACAATGAGCTTGAAGTGTTCAAGGGAAAGGAATTGTTGCATGTTTCTCACTTTAAATCAAAAGCTAGAAATGATTAAGTTTACTGAGGAAGGCATTTCAAAAGCTGACACAGGCCCAAAGCTAGGCCTCTTGTGCCAAACAGCAAAGTTGCGAATGCAAAGGAAAAGTTCTTGAAGGAAATCAAAAGTGCTACTTTGATGAACACACAAATGATAAGAAAACAAAATAGCCTTATTGCTGATATCAATAAAGCTTAAGTGGTCTGGATAGAAAATCCAGCCAGCCACAACATTTTCTTAATCCAAAGCCTAATCTAGAGCAAGGCCATAACTCTTCAATTCTATGAAGGCAGAGAGATGAGGAAGCTTCAGAGGTTTAAGGAAAGAAGCCATCTCTATAACACAAAAGTGCAAGGTGAAGCAGCAAGTACGGATGCAAAAGTTGTAGCAAGTAATCCAGAAGATCCAATTAAAATCACTGATGAAGGTAACTACACCAAACAACAGATTTTCAATGTAGAAAAACAACCTTCTATTGAAAGAAGATTCCATCTAGGACTTTCACAGGTAGAGAGGAGAAGTCAATGCCTGGCGTCAAAGCTTTAAAGGACAGGCTGACTCTCTTGTTAAGCAATAATTCAGCTGATGACTTCATTTACCATTTTCAAAATCATATGACTCTTAAGAATGATGCTAAATCTACTGTGCCTGTGCTCTGTAAGTGGAACAACAAAGCATGGATGACAGCACATCTGTTTACAGCATGGTTTGCTGAATATTTTAACCCTGCAGTCAAGACCTATTGCTCAGAAACAAATTCATTTCACATTATTACTGTTTATTGAAAATGCACCTGGTCACTCAAGAGCTCTGATGGAGATGTACAAGGAGCTTGATGTTGTTTTCATGACTGCTGACATAACATCCATTCTTAGTCCATAGATCAAGGAGTAATTTTGACTTTCAAATGTTATTATTTAAGAAATACATTTTGAGATCTGGCGTGGTGGCTCATGCCTGTAATCCAGCACTTTGGGAGGCTGAGGCAGGTAGATCACAAGGTCAGGAGTTCGAGACCAGTCTGACCAACATTGTGAAACCCTGTCTCTACTGAAAATACAAAAATTAGCCTGGCATGGTGGCACGCCTGTAACCCCAGCTACTCACGAGACTGAGGCAGAAGAATCGCTTAAGCCAGGAAGCGGAGGTTGCAGTGAGCCGAGATTGCACCACTGCATTCCAGCCTGGGTGACAGAGCAAGACTCCATCTCAAATAAATAAATAAACGAATAAATAAAGTTAAAAAAAAGAAAAGAAAAAGAAATACATTTTGGAAGATGAAAGCTCCCTAGGTAGTGAATTATCTGATGGATCTGAGCAAAATAAATTGAAAACCTTCTGGAAAGGATTCATCACTCTATGTACCATTAAGAACATTTGTGATTCATGGGAGGAGGTCAAACTGTCAACATTAACAGGAGTTTGGGAGAAGTTGATTCTAATCTTTACGGATGACATCGAGGGGTTCAAGACTTCTGTGGAGGAAGTAACTGCAGATTTGGAAATTGAAAAAAGGCTAGAATAAGAAGTGGACCCTGAAGGTATAACTAAACTGCTGCAATCTCATGATCATATTTGAATGGATGAGGAGCTGCTTCTTATGGAGGAGTAGAGAAAGTGATTTCTTGTGATTAAATCTACTTTTGGTGAAGATGCAGTGGACATTGTTGAAATGACAGCAAAGGATTTAAAATATTACCTAAACTTAGTTGATAAAGCTGCAGCAGGGCTTGAGAGGATTGACTCCAATTTCGAAAGAAGTCCAATTGTGAGTAAAATGTTATTAAATATTATCACATTCTATAGAGAAATCTTTTATGAAAGGAAAAGTCAATTGATGTGATAAACTTCATCATATTATTTTAAGAATTGCCACAGATACTTCAATCTTTAGCAACCACCACTGTGATCAGTCAGCACTCATTAACATCCAAGCAAGACCCTCCACCTGCAACAAAATTTACAACTCCCTGAAGGCTTAGATGACTGCTAGCATTTTAAACCAATTAAGTATTTTTAAATGAAGGTATGTACATTTTTAAGAGTCAGAAAACAACAGATGCTGGCAAGGCTGTGAAGAAATAGGAATGCTTTTACACTGTCGGTGGGAGTGTAAATTAGTTCCACCATTGTGGAAGACAGTGTGGTGATTCCTCAAGGATCTAGAACCAGAAATATCATTTGGCCCAGCAATCCCACTACTGGATAAATACCCAAAGGATTATAAATCATTCTACTATAAAGACACATGCACCCTTATGTTTATTGCAGCACTATTGACAACAGCAAAGACTTGGAACCAACCCAAATGCCCAACAGTGATAGACTGGATAAAGAAAATGTGGCACGTATACACCATGGGATACTATGTGGCCATAATAAAGAATGAGTTCATGTCCTTTTCAGGGACATGGATGAAGCTGGAAACCATCATTCTCAGCAAACTAACACAGGAACAGAAAACCAAACACTGCATGTTCTCACTCGTAAGTGGGAGTTGAACAATGAGAACCCATGGACCCAGGGAGGGGAACATCACACACTAGGGCCGTCAAGGGGCCAGGGGCAAGGGGAGGGAGAACATTAGGAAAAATACCTAATGCATGCAGGGCTTAAAACCTAGATGAGGGGTTGATAGGTGCAGCAAACCACCATGACACATGTATACCTATGTAACAAACCTGCATGTTCTGCACATGTATCCCGGAACTTAAAGTAAAATAAAATAAAATAAAGAACATGAAAAGAAAGACACAATTCTACTGAATATTTAATAGTGTATGCAATATGGTATAAACATAACTCTCATATTCACAAGAAAACTAAAGAAAATGTGTCACTTGTTTTATGGTGATTGAGCTTTATTGTAGTAGTCTGGAACAAAACCCACAATATATTTGAAGTATGTCTAGTTGTGTGTGTGTGTGTGTGTGTGTGTGTGTGTGTGTGTAGACAGAGAGACAGAGAGAGAGAGAGCTTTATTACAAAGAATTTGTTCACATAATTATGGAGGCTGAGGAGTACCACAATCTGTCTTCTGCAAGCTGGAAGCCCAGGAAAACCATTGTTGTAGCTCCAATCTGAGTCTGCAGGCCTGAGAACCAGGAGAATCAATGGTATAGGTTCCAGTGCAATGTCTAAGTTCAAAAACAGTCAGGGAGAAAGAGGTATTTCTTCCTTACCCTACTTTTTATTCTATTCATGCCTCCAACAAATTAGGGATTGGAGGAGGCTCACCACACTGGGGAGGACAGTCTGCTTTACCCAGTCTATTGATTCCAATGTTAATCTCATCCAGAAACACCCTCATAAGCACACTCAGAATAATACTGAACCAAATTTGGGCACCCTGTGTCCCAGTCAAATTGACATGTAAAATTAACCGTCATACAAATTAAGGGGGAGACTTCTTGAGGAAATTTTTGAGGATGGTTTTGAAAGAGAAGAGAATTGTTTAAAGAAAAGTAATGAGGATGCAATACGCCCAGATAACAAACCTGCACATGTACCCCTGAATCTAAAATAAAAGTTGATTTTTTTTTCAAGTGGCGAGGAATTATCTCTGCCTTGAATGTCTTTCCAGAAGTCCTTCCTGCTTGTGGTTAGGCAAACTCCTCCCTTGTGATGTCCTCCGTAATCCTGATCACAGATACATGTCTACTTGCTGCCTTCTGCCTCTTTTCTACCTTATTTATACCTTTCTTTATGGGCAAAGTGCACCATTTTAGTCTTACGTCTTTACATGGCTCTCTACTCCCCTTCAACTGTTAATGTTTTAGGCAGGCTTTGTGTGTGGCACACAGTGAGTAGTTTCTGTGCCACAGAAGTGATTGCCAGCAAGTCAAGAGCAGAGGTTGCCAGTTAGATATATCAATCTAGGGTAGAGTTAAGGAATGGGGTCCTGGGTCACTCAGTCTAATTTAAATGCCAGGGATATGAGTAAGATTGTCTGGGTTCAAATCAGGGCTTGAGTTAATACATAAAACAGAATGCCTGACTATTATGTAGTAAAAATTCAAAAAATTGTAGCGACTCTAATCATTCTTGTTATTATTACTATCATTCTGTTTGTCAGATCTCATAAAAACCTTTGATTTACTTTTCTGTTCATTAATTACACTGTCTTTCTGAGAGCAGAGGCTAGTCTTATTTAATACAAGATGCCCAGAGCCTTTCAATATACTGGCACATAGTGGGTGCCTTCCTCTGACTGTTGAGTAATTTAATTGAATGTATCCAGGTGTGAAGGAGGTACTGTGAGATGAGAGGTCAGAGGCCTCTTTTGAACTGTTTGCTCCAGATGTGTATTTTGCTGGAAGAGTCTGGACAGAGGAAGCAGAGCTGTGCCAGGTGTGTTATAACACGTCTGGCAAGATAAACTGAGGGTACAACTGGATCATATTTGGGAGAAATTTTTCAGCAGTAGTACTATGGGCTTTTATTATTCCTTGTCTCTTGGCATACAATTTGAAGTTTAACTGACCTTCACACACAAAATCATAGTAATGAATTCAACTCATTTTTGAACAGAAGGTGATAAAAGTAATACTGTGCATCAGGAAAGTAAGAGAATTAATGAAGTAATTAACCTTAGTCAGCATGTTATATGACCCTGGCCCAAGGAACAGATAACAAAACAAGGAAAAGTGCCTGAGCCAAGAACTTAGTTTATGGTCAGCAGAAAAAAAATAGAGACACTTGAAAACCATGCTAAAAGGGTACTGATAGAAAAAAAAGCCTTATGGGACTAGTACTCAGCAACTGTTCCCATTGAAAGGAAGTGGTTTGAAATTTGGGCTAATGACAACCAGAGCATTGCAAGGACAGTTCTGGTAAAAAAACCATGCCCTCCACCCCCAACCTCAAACCCAATAATTCTTTTTTTGTTATTGTTCCCTCTTCTTCTTTTTCTTTCCTCTTTCTGGTTTCTCTCCTTGTTCCAACTTGAATATTTGATCTAGCATACAATATTAGAAGCTCTGTGGAGTCATCCTCTCATGAGTGATCACCCTTCCCTGGATTCCACACCTCTGCTGGCATGAGTCAAGAGAGACTCCCTGAAGTAAATGTAATTCAGGAAATATCCAGAAATCTGGGTGGTCCAGATATGACCCTCCTTCGACTTCCATGTTCCCATCAACGGATAGGAAGACAGTACCCCTGGGCTCTGTGTGTTCCTAGCTAGATCCCTGACCTTTCTCTACCTGTCTCTTTCTGCCTCACCTTTGTTATCTTCCGTGAGAGCATCATCAGTAGTCTCGGGTTCATTTGAAACACATAGGCAGAATATTTGACCTGGAGGAGCTTTGACTTTCTAAACTTTCTGCTGTTATTAGGTAGTATGGGAATCAGCATATCCAATAGACATCTTTCAGGCATTCCTATGACTATTCAACAATATAGATTGAGTATCTATAATCCATATGGCCTATTTTGCACTGAACATAATGCTGGGTATATGAGTAAGTTCTCTGCTCACATGTTGTCCACAATGTGGTCAAGGGAGATAGGCATGGAAACAAATGAAATCAATACAGTGACTTTATTGCTGAGCTAGAAATCTCTTCAGGATATACCAGGGGCACAGAGGAGGGAGAAATACCTTCTGCAAGGAATTGGACGGTTAAGAAAAGTTTCTCAAGTGAGGTGACATTCTGAAAGCTGAGAGGTGTTTACCAGGTGGAAAAGAGAGCACAGGCATTCAGATCAGCAGGAGATGTTTGGCTGCATGGCCAGGAAACTTTAAGTAGCTCAAATAGTTCAGTGTGTCCTGAGAGTGCACTGTGTGTGGGTCACTACTAGAGATCAGGGCTAAGGGATGGGCAGGGGCTGGATCATTAGATGTACCTGGCTAAGAAGTCTGGACTTAATTTGGCAGTGGGGAGATATTGAAGGGTATTCAGCAGAATGGCAACATGTTCATTAACTTGTTTATTCATTGTTTTATAGGATAAATGGGTATTAAATATGTTACATGCCAGGGATTCTTCTAAGCATTAAGGACACATCAATAAACAAACAGATAACAATCTCTGCCCCTGTGGAGCTTACTTTGTTACTGGGGATGGGGGATATATGTTATCAACAAGTAAATTATACAGCACACGTATGTTTATTGTGGCATTATTCACAATAGCAAAGACTTGGAACCAACCCAAATGTCCAACAATGATAGACTGGATTAAGAAAATGTGGCATATATACACCATGGAATACTATGCAGCCATAAAAAATGATGAGTTCATGTCCTTTGTAGGGACATGGATGAAATTGGAAATCATCATTCTCAGTAAACTATCACAAGAACAAAAAACCAAACACCGCATATTCTCACTCATAGGTGGGAATTGAACAATGAGATCACATGGACACAGGAAGGGGAATATCACACTCTGGGGACTGTGGTGGGGTGGGGGGAGGGGGGAGGGATAGCATTGGGAGATATACCTAATGCTAGATGACGAGTTAGTGGGTGCGGCACACCAGCATGGCCCATGTATACATATGTAACTAACCTGCACAATGTGCACATGTACCCTAAAACTTAAAGTATAATAATAAATAAATAAATAAATAAATAAATAAATAAATAAATAAATAAATAAAAATTACACAGCACGTCAAAAAGCCATATGTACCATGGAAAAATATAGAGGAGGTTAAGGGGTGTCAGCACTACTGGGGTAGAGGAAGAGTTGCAGTTCTAAATAGGGCAGCCAAAGATTGGAAAGAGATAAAGGAATAAATGATGAAAATTGTATGGGAGAGGGGAGAAGATGTCACAGGAAGAGGGAACTGCTGGTCCAAAGGATCTACAGTAGGAAGAGACTTGGCATGTGTGGGGTATCCTGAAGAGGCTTGAGAGGCTGAGTTAAGTAAACCGCGAGAAGTGGAGGTGGAGGTGACATCAGGAAAGTAAGGGAAAAAGGGTCATGGACTGTGCAGGGCCTTGGAGACCACTGTAAGGACTTTGATGTGTACTTGTAATGACATGAAGAGTTGAGAGAGAGAGGGAAAGAGAGCACAGACTAGTGACATAATCCAACTTGAAATTCAAAAGGATCACCTGGCCATTGGGTTAACAGACCAATTTGGAGTCTATTGTAATAATCCAGGGCAGGTGATGATGGTGGCTTGGACCAGAATGGTAGCAGCAGAAGAGATGGGAAGTGGTGGATTCTGGGTGCATCCAGATTTTCACTGCAGAATGATCAGCCTTAGAGAAGCATAGAAGATAAAATTTCATATGGGGTTAACATTTACTGAGAGCTTACTATGTGCCAGACACTAGTCTAAACAGTTTCTATGTAGTCACTCATTTGTTTTTCATAGCAATCTATAAAAGAAGGTGCCATCATTATTCTCTACTTTACATACAAAGGAAGTGAGGCAGAGAAATAATATTGGAGTCAGGAAAATCAGTTAGCAGACTATTCCATGCATGAGATGATAAGGGTCTGAGTTAAATAGCATTGGAAATGAAGTGGGAAGTCAGGCTGTGAAGGGGTGGGGGGTGGAGATTATCTTTTCCATCTTTAGTTATTTCCTTTTTTCTGAGCAGGACATTTCATAAGTCCCTATTAAGAGGGTGAAGACAGCTTGAATCTCTTCCCTGGACAGAAGGGCTTTTGGGAACATTTTCTCTGAAAAGCCATGAGAGACATTTATTGTTGGCAGAGCTATCATTTTGATTCATGAGGGAAAGTATTTTAGATGTTAATAAAGGAGATAGTTGAAAATAACTGCAGTGTAAATAATACCCTTAAACTGAGAGAAATGATGGAAGTATAAAAATTGAGAGAGTTGAGGGAAGTTTTTTTTTTATAATAAATGATTTAATTTCTTTTCCACAATATCTTCTGCTAAGCAAATTTCTAAAGAAGGGCATAATTTTTTTTCTTATCCCTGAGATGTTAGGCAATGACAATTTGCAAGTCTGGATTGACTTGAAGGGTTTTATTAATGAACTTGTCAGCCCTAAGGTGGGAGAAGATTATAGTGTGCTAGATTATATATTGGGTCTGGTCACAAAAGACCTTGATTCTGGTTCTAATGCTGAGACTTCACTTACAAAACTTATTTGTGTCTTATTTATAAAACAAAGGCCAAAGACGGCAATAGAGATGAATACTTCCCAAGCCTTATTGAGGATGAAGAAGATGTGAAATGAATAAAAGGTACATAATGAAAAATTAAAAACCCAAATTATAAATATTTGAAGGGAGAGAATTAAGGTTATTTAGTCACTGGTGTATTTTCTGAGGAATTTACCATTTTGACAAGGGATATAGCAGTTAGAAGTTATTTAGAAAAAAGGGATATAGCAGTTAGAAGTTATTAAGATTTATAAATATCATTTGTCATCACAGCTGAAAGTCTCAAAACAGCTTTTCAGTGTAGACTACATTTAAAATCTCATCCTTCACCTTCTTAGGGCATTGATTGAAGTTATTATAGAAAGAATCCTTCCTTTAGATTCCTTTGTTCCTGGGAATATTTACTCTGCTTAAATGCAGTCTTATGTTCTTATTATGGTGTCAAATCTCCATGTTGTGCCCTCAGCCATACATTTAAAAATATATTCTAGATGGCTTAAAGATGTTGATATGGACTGCATCAAAATTTAATGTGATCTAATTCACATTTAAGTGCTTTAATAATTGATATTAGCTTGTAATTGTTGATAGGCTACAGAATGCAGAAATTGTTAAATTGTGTCCCTTATGGCCAGTGATGATGAACATTTTTTCATGTGTCTTTTGGCTGCATAAATGTCTTCTTTTGAGAAGTGTCTGTTCACATCCTTCACCCACTTTTTGATGGGGTTGTTTGTTTTTTTCTTGTAAATTTGTTTGAGTTCATTGTAGATTCTGGATATTAGCCCTTTGTCAGACGAGTAGATTGCAAAAATTTTCTCCCATTCTGTAGGTTGTCTGTTCACTCTGATGGTAGTTTCTCCTGCTGTGCAGAAGCTCTTTAGTTTAATTAGATCCCATTTGTCAATTTTGGCTTTGTTGCCATTGCTTTTGGTGTTTTAGACATGAAGTCCTTGCCCATGCCTATGACTTGAATGGTATTGCTTAGGTTTTCTTCTAGGATTTTTATGGTTTTAGGTCTAACATTTAAGTCTTTAATCCATCTTGAATGAATTTTTGTATAAGGTGTAAGGAAGGGATCCAGTTTCAGCTTTCTACATATGGCTAGCCAGTTTTCCCAGCACCATTTATTAAACAGGGAATCCTTTCCCCATTTCTTGTTTTTGTCAGATTTGTCAAAGATCAGATGGTTGTAGATATGCAGCATTATTTCTGAGGGCTCTGTTCTGTTCCATTGGTCTATATCTCTGTTTTGGTACCAGTACCATGCTGTTTTGGTTACTGTAGCCTTGTAGTATAGTTTGAAGTCAGGTAGTGTGATGCCTCCAGCTTTGTTCTTTTGGCTTAGGATTGACTTGGCGATGCGGGCTGTTTTTTGGTTCCATATGAACTTTAAAGTAGTTTTTTTCCAATTCTGTGAAGAAAGCCATTGGTAGCTTGATGGGGATGGCATTGAATCTATAAATTACCTTGGCCAGTATGGCCATTTTCACAATATTGATTCTTCCTACTCATGAGCATGGAATGTTCTTCCATTTGTTTGTATCCTCTTTTACTTCATTGAGCAGTGGTTTGTAGTTCTCCTTCAAGAGGTCCTTCATGTCCCTTGTAAGTTGGATTCCCAGGTATTTTATTCTCTTTGAAGCAATTGTGAATGGGAGTTCACTCATGATTCGGCTCTCTGGCTGTTATTGGTGTATAAGAAAGCTTGTGATTTTTGCACACTGATTTTGTAAAAAAAAAAATTGTGTCCTTTATGAGACCAATAGACCACAATTTGTAATAAAAACACTTTAGAATTTATTTTATATTTCTTTAGGAGCAGATGAGCGTATGAATATTACAGAATATTACAGACCATAAATCAAAAGTACTAGTTTTAAATAAAGTTGCAATTAGAGAATAGTTTAGAACATAGGAAATTCTCAGCCATTAGTATGTTAATGAATTTTTAAAATTATTATTATTTTGCTTTATTTTTAAAATTTGTATAAGTTTAAGGTGTTCAGGTGCAATTTTGTTACATGGTTATATGGTATACTGGTTAAGTCTGGGCTTTTAGTATATCCATCACCTGAATAATGTACATTATACCCATTAAGTAATTTCTCATCATCCATCCCCCCAGTCCCCAAAATTATTTTTTCAGTGGCTGGTTTCATGGGATATTTAAGCAGAAATAATTTATTAATGACCATTTGGTCAGTTTAAAACTATGTTGAAGGAAGAAATCTTGACTTGCATTAGCATTTTAGGGCTGAAAAGACTGTTTGAGGTCCTATAGTCTTGGAGCATCCTAATGTCCAGTTTAGGAGGGAGATGAAATTATTTTAGTTTCCTTTACAATACACAGCATGTGCACTTCCAGTGCCAGGGAACTTACTATTTCCCAAGGGAGTCTATTTTCTCATTAAAATTTTAGACAGACTTTCTTATATTGAATCCAAACTCATCTGCCTCTAAGCGCTAGGTCCTTGTTATAACCACTGGGACTCAGCAGTTATGAATATAATTCATTCTCCACATGACAACTCTTCAAATATTTGAAGACATCTGTCATGCAAGCCACTTTCCCTCCCTCCTTGCCCTGTCCTGTCTGCTTAAGGCTAAACAACCCAGAAAGATCTGTCACTTGTGAAACAGAGGCAAGAACCCACCCCAGTCTGGTTAAGTTTAGCAACCTATCATTTATAAATACATGTTCTTCCCTTTTGGGATCACTAAAAATATATTTCTTTTCTTCAGTCTTTTGGAACTGATTTCACAGAGATTACCAAGAGCTTCTCACCAGCACCCCCCTTCCCCACTATCTTTGGAATGTGATCCATAGGAATAAAAAATACTCAAATTCATTAAGGGAGTTGAGAGCAATTTTAAAATCTCTACACGCATCTTGAGTTTTCATACTACTTCAGGTGTTTTTTTCCTGCTCCTTTTGTTCTCCTTGGTAGAAAAAATAAAATCACAATACAGGTGAAAAATTTAAAAATGTATGTGATTCGTGTATGTTGCACCATTGGCATAGAACAGGAGTGCTAGGCCTTTTTTTTGATATTTTCATTATAAACATAATTAGGGTAACCTTTCTGTGGTCCTGAATCATTTTCACACACCTCAGCCCCTTTTGATGCTATTTTAAGAGGTCTGTGACTGCCTTTAACTGAAATTGTTAATAATTACATAATTCGAATCATGTTTTCTTGAGCACTTTTAACTCTTGAAACATTCATTCACCTCTTTTAGCTTCTTGTGTCCTATTATTTTAACATGCCTGTTTTCCCTGATATGCTTTTGCAAGTCTGCCTTCTTTCAACTGAAGTTGCAGAGTGGACTCCAGCTTTCCCCTGTGTGGCCATCACTAATTCTAGGGTTGCATAGTCATTTTTCTTCTATAATTTATTTTGCCTTAACTGTATAACCAATTCCTCCTGTGAGTTTCAATTACAACCAAAGCAATAATTGTCCCATCTCCTCCTCTATATTGTGAAGAGATATGATTTTTCAGAAAGGAAAGTGAAGAATTCATTAGATACACTGTTGTTCCCAAATGCGGCTTTCAGCAGGTGGTCAGAAGGCTGACCTCACCCCACACTATTATTTGAGGTCTTCAAAGTCAGAGTCAGTGATTTACTACTAGGTCATTGGATTTGAAGTGTGTGTTCAGAGTTCAGAATTTGCACGTATGTAGCACATATAGCAAAGCTCTGCCACATTTTACCCACGTGATCTTGGGCGAGTTATTCAACTTCTGTTTTAGTTTTTCTCAATGGTGAAATGAGGATAACAATAGTATATAATTCACAATATATGTGGTGAACATTTAAAAAAGTTAATGTACATAAAGTGTTTAGAACAGTGCCTGGTACACAGTAAGCGTTCATTGTTGTTATTATACTAGCAGAGGAATAAGGCACTCACATACTCTTAACTGAAGGAATTCCTTCCCTACCTGTTAAGGTGACCTTCTATGGAATAGCTAGGTGGGCAGGAGCATCCAGTTTGTTCAGAATAAGTGTGTCTACAGTCTAGTGAAAGATGCTACAGGCAGAGGGCCCTCATAGATGATGTTTTCATTTGAGTAATAACAGCACTTCCTAATATAAAGCCTAGTACAAGGTAGATATTCAGTATATATTTGATGAGCTGGAATAGGGGCAAAAGTAGAAAGAAAATCTTTTCTTTCTAATGATTTTGCCATTATATAGGTTAGGAAACTATTTTTTATCTGGCCAGTAATTTGCAAGATATTTTCACAACAGTGTTACTTCTGATTTCTATCCCTCACCATCTCTTCCAGCCCCACTTTTTTTTTATCTTCACCCTGATACTTTCCACTGTACTTCATAAGGTCTGCTTTCAGGACCTGAGAGTCTCATACAGGTGTAAATCTCTACATCTTCTAACAAGGCTGCTTCTTTCTAATATACTCTTCCAGTGATTGCTACAATTGCACCAAATCTTGGGATAACTTTGAGGCTATCTTGTGCATAATTATAATAATGAATAGTGAATATTTGTTATGTACCAGGCACCATGCTACAAGCCTTTAATTTCCCATTTCAATCTTACAAGAACCCTATGAGTAGTTCTGTTATAATTTTCAATTTAGAGCTGTGAAAATTTGGGTTGGATAAAGCTAAGTAATTTGCTCAAGGTCACATAGCTGGCAAAAAACAATGCTAAGTTTTGAACCAAGGCTGTATCTTTACTTAAGATTTAAATTTTAAGATTATACTGTTCTCCTTGTTTAACTTTTTAACTTACTTTTCTTGTGATATTAGCACATATAAAGTAGTATTTTCTAAAAACTCCTCCCAATTATTTTTTTCCTCATGGGATTTATGATAATGCTTATGAATCAATTGTTGGTCACTTACATTACTCTCTAGGGGGTGCTCTGTGCATTCTTTCTTACATCATTCCAAAGGAGGAATGTTAACATGAGTCAAGGATGTAATGGAATCCTCACAGATCCACAATTGGGCCACTGTGCTAAGAGGAGGAGCAAATAGGGCAATGTTTGGAGAAGCAAATAGGGCAACATTTTCTTCATAGTACTGTGTATTTGCTTGGAGAGGGCTCGGAGGCATTACAGAACCGGAATATGATATGGGATAAATGAGGCAGACAGGATAGTCTAGCTTTGCCCTATGTCTAGGGAATGTGGCTCTCTTGTCCTTGGGCTTTGTCTTCTTACCTCCTCTCAAAACCTGATAAAATACAGAGAACAGGATCAGGATGTGACCTAGAGGAAAGGCACCAGGGGCAGGTATGACATTCTTTAGTGTCACTCTGCTTGGCTGATTGTAGGTTCTCCAGGAAAATTTGCCAAATAGAATAATGAAATGATGAACTAATTGTTCTGACAATTCAGGTGAACAGGAGTTTAGTGACACTTAGTGTTTTACTTCTACATCTATGTGTTCAAAGTACTCTTCTTTTTCTTGATAATGAATCTAGAAGCTGGGATGGATAATAAAATTTCTAATTTTTTATAGGTTTTTCAGAAATGTTGGTTCTTAATGGAAGAAGAATCAGTCATTGCGATTATTCTTGGTAGGTTCTCTAGATTTTAGTTTTCTTGATTTAGAACACCCCAAGCCCAGATGCATCCAGTTTTGTAGAGTCCTACCCTTTTTGTTGTAGTCTGTAAAGCTGTTCTAAGATTTCTAAGAAGCTTAAATGTTTTTCTATCATGATTGCAGTGGTAGGATGCCATACCACCAGTGTAGACCTCCTGCACTCAGGCTCAGGTGAGCAAGAAAAACATATCATGGGCCTGGAGGATTCCATTGTCACAATATGTGTCACCACCTTCCAGAATGGAGAACTGGTTATTGCATGTATGTGGTTACCTATAATACCTCCCCTACAATTTTATTTTACCTGCACTGCTTAACATCCCAAAAGAGAAATCTGGCCTTGTGTTAGAAAATTCTACAGTTCTAAATCACAGGATCTGAGAGTGAGACCAAGTTGTATCATGTACTCTCTATGTGTCCTCAAGCAAATAATTTAACTTACTTTAGCCTTAGTTTTTCCTCTTGAAAATCGGAGAAATAACATTTCACAGGGTTATGATGAAAATTAAATAAGAAAATATAGAAATAGATTTTTTGTATATTATTTCCATAGAGGTGCTTTGTGAAATTATTTAGTAGAAGATATAAGCACAATTGCAATGCTAATCAGATTTTACCTTCATAAATATGAGGCAGAGAGGAAAGGCAGGGTTTGCTTTCTTGAGGTTCACTTCTACCCAGGTCCTCAGGCCAGTGTTATATCACTGAGATTTGTATTTCTAATGAAATTCTACAGATATTTCTGCAAGAATAGAGGAGCAGAAAGAAATACTATAATGAAGGCCAAAGTGGAGTATAAACAAAATGGAGGGTAAGCAAAAATTGTCTCGGTTTTCCCTCCTTTGCCTTTTGCTGTGATTTTTTTTTCCCTTTCTTCCTACTCAGCACATTTGCCTATAGTAAGCTGACCCAGCTTTGAGTTTGATTTCCCAGCCTGTAGTCTTTAATGATACTTTATGCAGCAGACAGAAATTTCCTGTCATATCTCACTAAGTGACTGCCTATCTCTTATACTAAATTAGTTCATCTACTATTTAAAGGATGTTAATGTCTTAATGAGTTAGCTCTCTTGGATAACAACTTTACATTTTTTATGAGCTTCTCTAGGAAATATACTTAAGGGAGAAAATAATTTTAGTGAGAATTTTAGCAAACCAAAGAAGGGGATTTGAGCATATATTTTGGGCCATGGCTTGTGTTGTGGTTGAAATAACATAGCTGAGGCATCAGCCAGCTCTGCCAAGCGTGCCAGTCCAGACTAGAGAATGTCAAGGAGTTTATAATTTTGAGCGCCAAATGCCATACTTTGTCTGATATAAAATACTATTGTTTATATGATGTATCATTACTTTATGGACGTTAAGGAAACAATTTTTTAATTAAAAATTAAACAATGACAAATATTTTCTTATTACTTGGAATTTTAATTTTATCCTAATTGAAAGAAATATTTTAGATTTATACATAGATTATTATATACTGGTATTATGTATGCATAAAAAGAAATAAATAGGCAAATGTTAAATACGAAGTCTTACTTTTCCTAACTAGTTTTAACTTTGAATTATTGCTATTTTTGTTATTCCACACAATTTTTTTCATGCTTTTAAAGGTATTGGTGATATAGCATTACTTAAAAGGGTGTTCCATTTTGGTCTACAGGATTATTTGTTAAGCCTTTGAGAATATGCTGAAGGAATAACAACTTTATTGTAACTGCTGCGTGACAACATGGAGAGATGCGTCCTGATGTCAATGATGATAAAGCATCAAAAAGTGTGCATCTTAGAATGAACAAATTCTAAGTTAGTTATGATTGTTGGGGCTAACACATTTTCAATATGTATTTTTTTTCAATGCATGAAGCTAAAATGAGAAATAATTATAACACTTCACACTTGTTTACAACTTTACAGCCTCCAAAGCATTTCCCTACACATTATCTGATTAAAATTTCAGCCTAGAACCAACACTAGCAACAGCATCGTTATCTCTGGTGGTAGATGACATTTTTAAAACCATGTCAATGATGTTATTCTGCAAGTTTGTATTTACACACTTCTTCATTTCATTTACTAGTTGTGGCAGACTGCATGTCCACCAAAATCCATTCTCCCTTTTTTCCTGGTACAACTGGGCTGTATTTTCCAGGCTCCCTGAAGAGTTATGGCTGTGTGACTGAGTTCTAGTCAATGGAATGTGAACATACAAGGTATATACTACTTTCAGGCCTGGCCCATACAATTATTCAGTACATGCTCTCCCCTCCATTTAAACATTGGAGACATTTTACTGGGAGACAAATGTGAAGATGGTATAGCCTCCATCACTCTAGGTCTTTAAATGGCTTTGTAGTTCCTGTTATCCCCACCCTAAGCAGTTACATAAAAAAGTAATAAACATTGTTCTTTAAGCCATTGAATTCTGAAATTTATGTGTCATCATGTCTTAGCTTGCTTTTTTAATTAAAAAATTTTTAAACTTTTATTTTAAGTTCAGGAGTACATATGCAGGTTTGTTATGTAGGTAGATTGCATGTCATGGGGGTTTGGAGTACAGATCATTTCATCACCCAGGTAGTAAGCATAATTTCCAATATGTAGTTTATTGATCCTCACCCTCCTCCCACCTTCCACCCTCAATTAGGCCCTGATGTCTATTGTTCTCTTCTTTGTGTCTATGTGTACTCAATGTTTAGCTCCCACTTATAAGTGACAACATGCAGGATTTGGTTTTCTGTTTCTGTGTTAGTTTGCTTAGGTGAATGACTTCCAGCTCCATCATGTTGCTGCAAAGGACACAATCTCATTCTTTACTATGGCTGTGTGGTATTCTATGGTGTACATGTACCACATTTTCTTTATCCAGTCTACCATTAATGGACATTTAGTTGATTCCATGTCTTTGCTATTGTGAATAGTGCTGCAATGAACACACATGTGCATGTGTCTTTATGGCAGAATGATTTACATTCTTCTGGGTATACACTCGGTAAAGGGATTGCTGGGTCAAGTGGTATTTCTCTTTTAAGTTCTTTGAGAAATCTCCAAGCTGCTTTCCACGATGACTGAACTAATTTACATTCCCACCAGCAGTGTATGTGTTCCCTTTTCTCCGCAAACTTGCAGGCATCTGTTATTTTTTTGACCTTTTAATAACAGCAATTATGACTGGTGTAAGATGGTATCTCATTGTGATTTGCATTTCTGTAACTACTAGTGACATTGAGCATCTTTTTATATGCTTGTTGGCTGCTTGTAAGTCTTCTCTTGAAAAGTATCTGTTCATGTGCTTTGCCCACTTTTTAATGAGTTGTTGGTTTTTTGCTTGTTAATTTGTTTAAGCTCCTTATAGATTCTATACATTAGATATTTGTTGAATGCACAGTTTGCAAATATTTTCTCCCATTCTGTAGATTGTCTATTTACTCTGTTGGTTGTTGCTTTTGTTGTGCAGAAGCTCTGTAGTTCAATTAGGTCCAATTTGTCAATTTGTGTTTTTGTTGTAATAAAATCTTTACCAGAGCCTATGTCCTGTCTTAGCTTACTTTAACAAATACAATAGATCGAGTTGCATGTTTTCCTCCAATGTAACCTGTATTCCATACATGACTGCAATGAAGAGCAAAGGAAAAATAACTCATACTCTATTAAAACGTGCATTCAGCAGGTGGTAACAGAGATCCAAGTTGTTTTGGATTATAGGGCAAATATAAAATAATTCCATTAATTCATAACAATATAAATGAATGATTGAATAAATAAATATAAGAGAATAGAAAAATCTTTGCAAAAAATGCTAAATAATTTATGTTGATACTCCTCCCTCAGAAAGGTGGAGCATAACTCTCCACCAGTAAGTATGGGCTGGACTTAGTGATTTCCCTCCAGAATACAGTATGGGGAGTAGGAGGAGGTAAAGAATTACTTACTATGGAGAAACCTGACAAAATGAACTCAACCAGGTGACCAAGGTCAATATCAAGAATAGTTATCATGTTGACATTATTCACCCTTCATAAAATCAGTAGAAATGATATTTTATCATTGTGGTCTTCTTCCACCAAACCAGAAAAACCTAACCATGAGAAAAACCTCAGAAAAGACACAATTGTAGAACATGCTATGACATACCTGATGAGTACTCTTTGAAACTTTCAAGGCCAGCAAAAGCAAAGTCTGAAAAACTGTCACAGCCAAAAGGATCCTTAGGACAAATGACGACTAAAGGTAATGTGGTATCCAGGATGGGACACTGGAACATAAAAAAAAAAATTAGACAAAAACAAAGAAAATGTAAGTAAAATATGGACTTTAGTTAATAGCAATGCACTAATGTTTGTTCCTTAGTTTCAACAAATGAACCTTACTAAGGTAAGCTATTAACAATAGGAGAAACTACATGCAAGATGTACAGAAACTCTCTGTAACATTTTTGAATTTCTCTTTGAATCTAAACGTTTTAAACATAAAAAGCTTTATTAAAAAGAAAAAAGTGGCAGAGCTAAGCCTGTCTAATTCCCAAACCCAACTCTATGTTATGAACTGAATGTTTGTATTCCCTCAAAATTTATACATTGAAGCCCTAACCCCCAGGGTGACTTGGATATAGGATTTTTAGGAGGTAATTAAGGTTAAATGACGTCATAATAATGGAGTCCCAACCTGATAGGATTGGTGGCCTCATAAGAAGAGAAAAAGCGAGATCTCCCTATCTCTCTTCATGTGAACATGATGAAAAAAGGCCATGTGAGCTCACAGTGAGAAGGTGGCCATCTGCAAGCCAGGAAAAGAGACCTCACTAGGACTGAATCACCGGATCTCATACTTCCTAGCTTCTAGAACTGTGAGAAGATAAATTTTTGTTGTTTATGCCACCCAGTCTATGGCATTTCGTTATGATAGCTTGAGCCTTACTGCCTTTAGACCTTGATTCTAGGAGTTACTTTGAAAGTTGGACCAATCACTTGACTATGCAGACATCTATTTCCTCTCATTAAGATGAGAATAATAATACTGCCTGCCTATCTCAGCAGCTACTTTAAATTCAAATCGTTAATATATGGGAAAGTATTGTACAAATGTAGATAATTAATTCTTATTAAATTAAACGGATACTAGTTTTTCTTATCTCCCAAAAGCCTAAACATAGTAAATTTAGAGAGTAATGCTGGTTTTATTTTCTAAGGTTTAAACTTGTTTGCATTTGTGGATTATACTCCTTGGATCTCAAAACTAACTAGTTATGTGGACCATTATTAGGTGGTAATGCTGGGGACAAAATTATTAAAAGTATCTTACAGAGATTCATAGGGACAATAATAAGAACTTTCAATATACCTTAAAGACAAAGGACAGTAACTTCAGAATATTTTGTAAGCATGATATCATATTTTCTGCTAAGTCATTTCTGAAGAGTTTACATTAGTTTTAGCGTTTTAAAAATACTGTATTTATGGACAGATGGCAGGTATATATTATAGGGCTAAAGAAATATTTCCGAAAAAATTACACTATGAGAAATATAAAAGCAATTTAAATGTATCATTAAAGGAAGACATGTAGTTATCTCTGAAAAAATCTTAAATTCCAAGGATTGTTAGACTAAAGATATAACTGAATTGTTTGGGGGAATCATAAGGACCATTAAATTATTTTGAGGTTAATAACATGTATATTGATGTCACCTTAAAACAAAGGAAGGATGAGAAACGAAGATGATACAAGAGGTAGATTTCACCTTTTTTTTAACTCCTTTAACATATCATTCTGCATCTATGAAAGATTTTTTGAAGAATTATTTTAAGCTCATCCTCCCTCTCTTCTCCAGCTTTGCTGCTTCTCATTTCTTACTCTTTCCTGTCACCATTTCTCCTTACCAAGAAGTTGGGGGAAGGAGGGAAAATGACCACGTAAAGCTGTGTTAGTTTGTTGTAAACTCATTAAGCATTCATTATTTGGCTGGGTGCGGTGGCTCACACCTGTAATCTCAGCACTTTGGGAGGCCGAGCTGGGTGGATCACCTGAGGTCGAGAGTTCAAGAACAGCATGGCCAACATGGGGAGACCCCGTATCTACTAAAAATACAAAAATTAGCTTGGCGTGGTGATGCATGTCTGCAATCCCAGTTACTTGGGAGACTGAGGCAGGAGAATCACTTGAACCCGGGAGGCAGAGTTTGCAGTGAGCCAAGATTGCGCCATTGCACTCCAGCCTGAGCAACAGAGTGAGACTCCTCTGTCTCAAAAACAACAACAACAACAACAACAACAACAAACATTCATTTTTTGAGTTAATTTTTGAATTTATTTCTTTGCATTCTGGGAAACTAGGTAGCTCATTTATTTAAATCTTCAAATCACAGTACTTTGTTTATATTCAACACGTTTTTGTATCCTGGGTTACGTGCTATCTTGGTCTCTAAAGAGAGTTGAAGGAGGAAGGAGAAATAAAAAGGATGGAGAAGGTGGTCAGAGAGGTGTAAGGGAGGTGTAAGGGCATATGAAGAGGCAAAATTGTACCCAAATCCATGGAATTTTAGCTCAGTGTTACTTTCCCAGCAGAGCCTTGCTCTGTGCCTTTCTTTCTCTACTTCAACTATTAGTAAGAGAGGGTTAGTAAGGATGCCTTTTCCTACTGGTTCTCTCTATGTACCATGTAAAATTTTATAATGACATAACAACTATCAGTGGAACATGGTGGCTCATGCTTGTAATACTAGCATTTTGGGAGGCTGAGGAGGAAAGATTACTTGAGGCCAGGAGTTCGAGACTAGTCACATAGTGAGACACCCATCTCTACCAATACTACTACTACTAGTACTCCTACTCCTACTACTATCAACTATAATTCACTGAACAGTTTCTAATACACCAGATTTTTTCCTTGAAGATATGTATTATTGGGAATCATAAAAACTGTGCAAGTCATTACCATCACATTTTATCAATGAGGAAACTGAGGTTCAGAGAGGTAAGTAGTTTGTGGTTCAGTCATTGGGTGACACAGATCCAAATTGAACAGACTGAACAGATTCCAAAACCAATTGTACATAATATTCCAGCTCTGTTGTCCCACCTAGAGGAGTGTCTACCTTGCTGGAAGTCTGGGACCAAGTAGGAAGAGATGAAGCCACTGTGGCAAGGACTTTAGGAAGAGATGTCTAGGGCCACATAGGTGCTTTCTCACTTAGCCTACAACTAGGGCCAGCACAAAAGCCCAGATTTTTTAAAATCAGAAGTTACTTTTTGAAGTATGTTTCAATATGGCCAAAGAAAAAGATCATCATGGTGAACTGAAACTAACAGGTATAATGTCACAGAGACAATTATTTTTGAGGTTTAATAACATATGTTAAGCTGCCATTTAAAAGAGATAGCAAGTCAGCCGGGCGTGGTTGCTCACGCCTGTAATCCCAGCACTTTGGGAGGCCGAGGTGGATCTCCTGAGGTCAGGAGTTCGAGACCAGTCTAGCCAACATGGTGAAACCCCATCTCTACTAAAAAAAAACCACAAAAAATTAGCTGGGTGTGGTGGCAGGTGCCAGCAATCCCCAGCTACTTGGGAGGCTGAGACAGGAGAATTGCTTGAACCCGGAGGCAGAGGTTGCAGTGAGCAGAGATCACGCCATTGCACTCCAGCCTGGGGGACAAGAGCAAGATTTTGTCTCAAAAAACAAAATAAATAAAAATAAAAGAGATACAAATCAAACACATTGAGAAATACATATAAAAAGTGGATCCCCTAGACTGAAGAGGAAGATACAAGAAAGTAGGCAGGAAAAAAAATAACTACCTCCCTCAGAACAACTAGATTATAAAATACAATTACCTGAATACAACTTTTGAGCAGTGATTTTTCACTGATACATTCTTAGAAACCAATTCAGTAGTTTTAAATAAAATATTTGAAAGTTCTCTCTATGTAACTGTACCACTAATAATCTACAATGCATGATGCTTATCATTACTATAAAAATTACAATTTTAAAAATGCCTTTCATCATTTTCATTCACCCACTCTTATTAAATAAAGTTAATGGTCATTAGGAAATTTTCCTATACTACTGAATGCCTTAAAGCCTTCATTTGGAGAATACATGTTGGCCTAGAAGGAATGCATTCCAAAATTTTCCTTTCCATCATGGCGTGTGTCTGTTTATGTGTTGTGCCCTATATGTAACTACAAGTTTATTTTGTCCTGTCCAGAAGACGGGGAGGACGGTCCCAGCTGCAGGCTGTTCTGTGTGGGAAGAGAAAAAGGCTGATGCTTAAAGGCCCTCCAAAGGAATCTACTTAAGCCTCATACCAGATTTGGGAGGACTGGTTATACCTGCCTAAACCTGGCACAGGAAGAACAGCACTCAAGCAATTCCTACCTTGGGGTTAACTAGGAATACAAGTTTCACCTTGTGACTCTGGTGTAACTTTGGTTTATTTTTCTCTTAGTAACAGCTCAGCTTGCAAATGAAAGCACTGAGACGCAACTCAGTTACATGTTTGAGGACTCAGGAAAATCAATTCTTACCTTCCACTCTTCCAAATGTAATGGTTGTATTCCAGCTTTACCATGCCCCATAAGCAAATGACTTGAGAGAGAGAGGTGGTTGGGGGCTGGGGGAGAAAAAGAAGAAGGAGAAGGAGAGGGAAGAAGAGGAGGAAGAACAGAGAGAAAGAAAGTGAGGGGAAAAAAAAGAAACAAACAAAAAAAGACAGGAAAAGTCTCTTAACATTGAAGAGATTGGATATCCAGTGTCAGAAAATTTGGATTTTCTTGGGAGTACTTATTTTATTTATGGTGGTAAATAAAGCCCTCAAGGAAGGTTATTAATTTATCTGTCCTATTTAGTATATTAAATTATACTACTTCATATTCTAGTGGCCTGAAAAAGTTAATTTACCACTTGAATGGCATAAATGATGAATACTTACACCAAGTCCTGGAATTTTCCAATGCTCAACAAACATTTAGTACTTTTTGTTTAGGTCTCGCTTTTTTTTTTTTTTATTAGTATCTACGAAAAAGGAAAACAAAATTGTAGCATTCTGTTGGGGCTAACAGGACAGCTGTTGGCTAGGCTAAATGCCATCTTGGAGTAAGAGATACTTTAACTTAGGGCACTGGTGCTGAGAGATGGAGAGAATATCAGAAAAGAAAAATGCAGGGTGGAAGTGTTGAGAGGGAGGGAGATGATGTCAAAATCCATTGGCTTCCAGTGTTTCTGCTCTTTTTAGCTGGGGTGCAGTAACCTTCCATCTTACAACTTTGGGTTTCTTTAAACTTCATGCCTGCCCTCTCTACCAATGTTTTATGAGCTGTCATGTGGGACTAGAATGGGATTCTGAAAATTAAGAGCTGATTTTTATTCCACCGGATATATCAGTTGCCTGGGGCAGTAAAATAATTTAGTTTTGAAATGAAATGTTATTCGTGGGAGACAAGTGCACAACAATTTACTTAACTTAAACAGTAGGATGAGGAGGAAGAGGCAGACACCCAAACTACATTTCATATGTAAAATAAGGCTTACATGACTTTTGGATGCTATAGAAATAAAATTTCTGTACTGAGGGGCATAATTATCCACATAAATCTTATATGAGGAACACAGACCAGTACAAAAGCAGCTGTATCTTTTGGTTATCTTGGAGGCAATATATAACCACATAAGGTAAAATTGGATGCTGCTTGCTTTCTCTAAAAGCTGTGAGGATGTCTTTCTGTTCCAGAAATTGCTTAATGCAAGTAAATGAAAATATACTGAATACATGAGTAAATTCATAAACAGAAATACAAATGAAATTTCTAAAGTAGGTCCTGGTGAGCCCCAATTTTATGAATTATTAGAAGACAATGCACCCAGAAACTAAGACACTAGCTTGAAGACTTTTTTCATTTCTTTTCTTTTTTTTTTTTTTTTTTTTTGTTGCTGATGTTGTTGTTGTTGTTGTCGTTGTTTTGAAACAGTGTCTCACTCTTGCGCCTTGGCTGGAGTGAAGTGGCTCGATCTAGGCTCATTGAAGGCTCCATCTCCCAAGCTTAAGCGATCCTCCCCACCTCAGCCTCAGGGAATGGATGGGACTGCAGGTGCACACCACCATACCCGGCTATTAATTTACTTTTGTATTTTTTGTAGAGACGAGGTTTCGCTATGGCTTCAAGACTTTAAAAGGCAACAATGACTCTTTTGAAATTGCCTGCATTATCAAATGCCTGAAGTCAACCACAATGAATGGTGAGTCTGGTTTCTCCATGACACTAGCAATCCTCTGAAATAAAGGAAGTTAGAATTCCAGAACACGTTTGGGTCTCTGACTCTTCCTCGGTGGCTTCCAGGAGTTTAGGTCAGCCTGCAGGCCCGACCGGAACCCCCGACACCCCTCCACGCGGATTCTTTACATCTCCCTCCCTACCTTGTTTACGCCCTAGGGGGTAGGGAAATGAACAGTCAGTCAGGTGAGACCCAGCAGGGGGAGTGGTGAGCTGGTCCGAGGGCAGCCCGAATATGTCCCTGGGTGTGGGTATGGGTGTGGGGCAATTTGGGTGGGAGCAGCGTGGAGGCTCCCAGGACCAAGTCCTGCGCCTCTTTGGCGGGGTGTGTGCAGGAGGAGGGGGGATAAATAGGAGGCTCCCTCCTCCCGGCGACATTCACGGAGCCGGCCGGCCTCCCGCCCTGGGTGTTTCCCTGCCTTGTAGCCAGGGTGCCAGCCTGGGAAGTAGTTTCGTTTCCTTCTGCCTCCGGGATTAGTTTCCAGGCACCCTCTCAGGCGCCCGAGGCCCGGGAAGGGGGCGAAGAAGGAGGGAGACTTGTCTAGGGGCTGCCCGGCCCGGCAGAGCGGGGTTGATGGACCGGGCCGCCCGGTGCAGCGGCGCCAGCTCCCTGCCACTGCTCCTGGCCCTTGCCCTGGGTAAGTGGCCGTGCTGGGCACTGGAAACCAGGAGGAAAGTCTGGGGCTGGAGTCGCGGGGAGGGCGAACCCTGAACCGAGCTGGCATCTGGACAAGAGGGCGCGCTGGGGCTGGCAGGCGCGGGTTGGAGAACTTTGAAGGCTGGGAGAGCGCGAGGTTAAAGATCTGGCAATTGGGCACCTGGGGCTGCACCTGCTGGAGGCAGTCCCTAGACGCGTGAGAAGGCCCGAGGGCGGAAGCGATTCCGAGGTCCTCGCTGCCAGTGCTGCGAGCAGGCCGCCAGCTGCTGACTTGTGCGCACAGCAGAGGGCCTGGCGGCGCCGGCGGGCTGTCCACCGGGGTGAGGCGCTGTGCTCGCAAGTGAGGGTCGGGGGGTGGGGGCAGGGGCGAGCAGGGAAACCCACTAAAGAAGCTCACGTGGTAGTATAGACCAAGAAGCATATCCTGCAGGAGGCAGAAGAACGGGAACTCTTTGACTGAAGGTGTGATCACCTGGCGTTAGGGAAGAGTGCCAGCGGGAGGAGGAGTAGCAGGATGCCTAGAGCCCTCCAGAGGGTCTCTCCTGCCTCCTTAGGAGTCAGAACTCACAAAGCAGAGCTGGAACTTCAGATGTGGCTGGAAGCAGGCTTCCCCTTCCCCTCCACCGAGGGAAGGTAGTGAGAAGGCTTCTAAGTAGGAAAAAATCCCAACTCTTCAAAGCTTGCTCTCTGCATCATGGTCATTTTGCGGGGCAGAGAAGGGAAGGGAAACCAGTAACATTTTCTAATCTTAGCTGGGCTGTAGACACATCTGGGTTTGGAGCATTTATGTGGTAGGAGGAGAGTCTCCACAGCTGAAGTGTCACCACGATATCACTCCTACCTTCAAGCCTGGGAAGGGGACACCACAAATGAAAAAGAATGGGAATTCCTCTTATTGAGGAAAGAGAGGGGGAGCCTAAATGAAAACTTTCATTTGACTGTGTCCTTGGAGTAAGAGAGGTGGCTAAAAAGGTACAGTGAACTTGCTTGGAGGTGGATCAGACTTAGGACCAAGGTTAGAGAAAATAAACTTATTTAACAAACGCTGAAGAGGAAGGAGTCAGTAACAATTTAGTGGTAGAGTGAATGTGTACATTCATGAAGAAGAGCAATGGGGTTGAGACTTAACCCTAGAAATAGTACTGATGCTTTTGCCAGCATTGCTTGCAAGTAGCTGACATTCTCTTCCTCCACCGTGTCTAAACTATCCAACAGTCAAAGTATTCCCTGAGAATCTGTCGTAGTCAGCAAGGTGCTGAGGTATGTAGCAATGGAGGTGGGGAAAGGGCTCATGAGATTCCTAAAATAAAACATGATTCCTGCCCTAGAACTTGCACTGAATTTGGATATGCAAGCCCAGCAGGGTAACCTGTGGAAAAATTCACGGAATCAGAAAAGGGAGAAAGAGCTCAACAGCGGGGGCTGGAATAGTGGGGAAAGGCTGAATGGAGGACACGAATGCGTGCCTTGAGGCTTGGGTAGAGTTTGCAATAGTAGAGAGGAAAGAGGGAACAGAGACAAGGGAAAAAGCATTTAGTAAAGGGTTGGCGATGCGAATGAGCATGCTTTACTGGAAAGAGTAGAATTTCTGAGAGGCAGACAGATTATGAAGAACTGAAAAAGCCAGATTAGAATATTTGGAACAGAATCAATAAGCTATTAAACACACACCATCACAGGGCTTGACTGGGAGTGATATGATGCAAACAATGGTTTAAAGGTGATAAATCTGTCAGTGAGGTGCAGTATAGGAAGGGGGGGCGCCTGTGGGCCAGAGGACCTGATTGTCTCGTAGGTATAATCTGGGCATGAGCTACTTGGGGCCTAAATTAGGGTGATGTTTTAGCAGAGGTGTCATAGTAGAAATGACTATTGAAAGTCGATGGACATTCTTTCCCCTTTACTATCACAAAACTTGTCAAAAGACAGAAATGAAAATCAAAAAGCAAAACTCGAATCCAGTGCTATTGTACACTCAGGGTAACCTAAATGTACAACCGCCCTGTTAAATGATTGGCTTGGGAAATTGAATTTGGTCTCTAGATCCCCTTAAAGCTCTATTTCTTGCAAAATGCTAAGGAACGTAATTTGTTGGCATCGCTGTTTCCATTAAGTGGCCCTATTTCTGTCATACACACTTTACTTTTAAGTCCCCTTCCTAAATTATGTCACATGTTGTTCTATTTACTTTTTGAAAAGAATGTGAGCAATAAGATGCATGAGACACTAGTGTTTGTGTGTGTGTGTGTGTGTGTGTGTGTGTGTGTGTGTGAGATGGTGGAAATGCGATGAGAGTGGGCATTGAGCAGACATGAGCCCTGGTTCCAGCTCTACCACTTCATGACTCCGAGATGTCTGTAAGTTACAACTTTCTGGGCATTGTTTTTCTAATTTGTAAAATGAAGAGGTTTCATTAGATGGTGATGCCCTTTCCATGTCACATTCTTTTCAAAAAGTAAACAAAATAACATGTGATTTAAATTAGAAATGGCTTATGTCTATTACAAATGTAGATGCTCCTTAAATACATCTGGCATTTAGTAGATGCATCTTTACAGGATAATTTCCATTCTAACATATGCAAATTAGGTACTACTTTCTTTGAGAAATTTTATAAAGACAGAAGTGGGGTTGGAGATATAAAAAGAAGGTATACCATAAGCAGATTATATGGTACAAATACATTTAATATAAATATAAATTACACGTTTATGTGTTATCGATATTCTTTATATGCATTAATTTGGTTTAATTTTCTAAAACTGTTTAAAGGCATTTTCTAAGTCAGTAGAAATCCTGAGCCATTTAATCTTACTTTCTCAAAAAATGAGATTTTCCAAAATGGGCTCGTATTTCTCTACTGTATTTTCTTTTTCTTTTTCTTTTTCTTTTTTCTTTTTTTGAGACAGTCTCACTCTTTCGCTCAGGCTCAGTTACAGTGGCATGATCTCAGCTCACTGCAACCTCCGCCTCCAGGGCTCAAGTGACTCTCCTGTCTCAGCCTCTCGAGTAGCTGGGACAACAGGCACTCGCCACCACGCCCAGCTAATTATTGTATTTTTTGAAGAGACGGGGTTTTGGCATGTTGGCCAGGCTGGTCTTAAACTCCTGGTCTCAAGAGATCGTAGCAGATAAATATTTGTTGCTGAATTAGGTAGGGAGAGATAGGACATTCAAGTGCAGAATGTCCTGTCTAGGGAGAGATAGGACACTCCAGTGCAGAGACGTTGCGTTGCATATAACAGGAAAAACCAATACTGGAAACCATTTCTTTTGACTTATTTAAAAAGCATGTAAGCTCATCCTAGCTGTCTCCTACACCTTTGCTTTCCCTACTGCCTACCCATACATCTGTGCCATCCCTGGCTCTGGCTATTCTCTGACAGATTCTTGGACTCCTGGCTCTTCCTTGCTTCCAGGAAACCCTGCTTCTCCTAGCTCAGGGCCAGGCTAGCCTGACTAATAATGTTCAGTTGGTATTGGTCAGACCAGGTGCTTTATTTTGGACTGTGTCTGGCCTGTGTCACTCAGTGTCTATTCTGATTCTATTCTAGTCTGACTCTATCCTTGAATTTGTGGGTGACTCCTGTATATTCTCCAGTCTGCTTAGTGCACCAACACCTAGAGGATGCTCCTTTGGGCAGATGGAGAAGGGGTGACATCGCTTCATAGTCTCCCTGATAGAACCCACATGGCAATTACTGAAAATGGGTAAAAAGAGCATATCTTGAGGCAGGGTCATGTAGTGGTCAAGCCTGTAAACTCTGAACCAGACCTTTGGGGCATGGCCTCCTGGTGCTGTGACTTGCTAGCTCTGAAACTTCGGGCAAGTCTCTTAAACCTCCTTGGCCCAGTTTACTCACCTGTAAAAGCTAATAGTAATAGGACCAATGCAATTACGTGAATTAAATGCAATACTATGTAAAGCCACTCAAAATGTGCCCCAAACATAGAATAAGCATGAGTTATTATAATAGACAGTAGGAAAGCACAGGACAAATCATTCATTGTTATCAATACCTCTTAAAATTTTTTGACATTTTGATTCTGGATACTTCCCGAATGTCATCAGGCTCTACTAATTAATGGGAAGACTTTCTGTTGCCTTCATTTCTCAAATTCCTGCTCCCGCTAGTTATGAAATAGGTAATAGATAAAAATCCTCAAAAAAGTTTTATTTTGACTGGGTTTGTCAAAAAGGAACAAATGTAAAAAATAAAGCTGCAAAAGTAAAATGCATATCTACTTTTGAAAAAATAAATGCCTCTACAGATTCTTCTTCCTCTGCCAATTTTGATCCTAATTTCATGCAATGAAGAGCTTTACTGCACTTGCCTAGCATTGATATCAGACACAGAAGTTAGACTGCACTAGCAGAGTAAAATAAAATATTTAGAAGGTAATTTTAATATTTTAGGAAATCTCATGAAAATCGGGTTGTCAGATTTATTTGAATTATATAAATAATTGCCTTAATTAAAAATAAATAAAACTGTCATTTTAGAATAATGGATGATGATGCAATGTCAAAAGTTGTTTCTCTATAAGAAAAATACATTAATTTAGGAAAGTTTTCTTAGGACAAAATAATTTTTTCAGATGCTCAAGAACAGATAGCCATGCATAAATATTTTTATTCTATAATGGTTGCCTTGTAACATTGAGAAAGTTGCTTAAACTCCTTTTGTGTAATTTTCTCACCTATAGAATGTTAATAAAGATAACTATCATTTAGAGACACAGAATTATTTTGAGGATAAAATGAGAAAATGCAGAAAAAGATTTTAGAAGAATAATTGGCAGGTAATATTCAATGTATTATTACTATTTTAACTTTGTGAATATTCAGATAACTTTTCAATTATTTCATAGGTATTTGTCTAAAAAGAACTAGAATCAGTGTTTATTAAGCTAATTGGAGTGTTAGAGTTTGTACTTTGATCAAAGGAAACTGCCATAATAGTCACCACTATTATGGAGGCAAGCAAAAGGAAAATAGGGCAGGAATTTGCCCACCATGGCCATGCTTTCAAAAGTGCTTTGAATTGTTTCCTTAGAATGTAAGCTCCACGATGGCAGGGATTGTTTACAGTTATAGCCCAGTTCCTATGTATAGTAGGTGCTCAATAAATACTTGTTGAATGAATGAATGTCAGTGGGGATAGTCCAGGAAGTCCTTCTAGGTCAGTAGCTTCTCAGAGTGTATCACAGAGATCTTGATGTGAACTTTTGTGTTTCCTCACATACACACTCACATCCACTCCCTCTCTCCCGACACACACTTCCTAGCTTTGATAATGAAAATGTAAGAATCGCTTTCTCCCAGAACTCAGTATCCTATCTTTAATGTCTTCAGATTTGCTAACGATGACTTACTTTTGATACACAGCTCCTTGCCAAGATGGCAGCTGACTCTGGTTTTGCCAAATAGGCAGACCAGGTATGAGTTTTGTTCATGAAAGTTGGTTGCTGACTATCGCAATTAGCAAAACATTAACATATCCAAATGCATAACTCTTTTGCTCATGGCACGGTGCTTGGCAGGTTGATGAAAAGTACTATCATTATTTCTAAACACGTGATAGTGAGGAAGGCAGACCTAAAAATTTTTACCATGTTAAATTTTACCATTTTAAAGTATGTCTAATACTGTTTACAGTGTGTCTAAAACTGTATTAAACATTAATGAGAAAAGTCTAATTGTAGGCCATTGTCTTTCTAGAAAGATTTACATAGAATAGAAATGTTCATTCCAAATGAAACATTGTATAATAGTTCAATCCTTAAGGAAGTTTAAATTGCATCGTACAGATTAAATATGATCTCAGAAAAGGATAATTTATTACAGGCTGGAGTGATTAGGGGAAAATTCACTAATAGTGACAATTCTTCCTTGGTAGTGGTGAAGGAAAAAATGGGAGAAGAATTAAAAGGTGGACAAATTAATAGCTACCATTTTTTTTGTGTAGCACTAAGACTCAAATATCTCAAACAAAAAGTTAATTTTGTGCAGTTCTAAAGGAAATATTGTCTGGATAAGAACATGATTTCCAAAATGAGGGCATTAGTCGGAATCCTGAATTATTGATACAGTTCTATCTCTGCAGGATATCCTAGGAATTGGAGGCAGGGGGTTTTGTAATTTAGACAAATTCATGCTTTTTGTTACAAGATAGACTTAAAATATTACATGGTTTCCTATCTGGGGAATTTGTTAAAATACTCTGGAAATATCTAGACTTCCTTTTACCTTATTCCCTACAGCTGGGGGACAAGCTGGCCCCACCTTTTGTGTAAGGTCCAGATGAGTGGTTTGCTGGTTTGCTTCATGATTCTTTTTCCCTGTTCCCTAATCATGTATTGCTAGGCTTTCTTAGGTTGGAGATGGCTCGTAATCAGGAGGTCCTCCAGGTCCATCTTAGAGTAGCAACAGCACCTGGGAAAAAAAAGACTTTACGTATGTGGGAACTAACACTGTGAAAGATTAAGTAGCTTCCCTAAAACATAGTATATGCCTAGAACTCAAATTCTGATCTTTTTGACTCCATATGTGCTTTCAACCCTACCCTATCCTGCTTTTATGCTTATTGATCTTAGGCAGTGCCAGACCCCAGCTGATACTGGATCTGCAAAGAATCACACATAAGTTGGTCAAGAATGCTCACAAGTCAAATTTAAGAGGAAAGCAATTGGATTAAAATTCATATGTTTTATATTGCTCAAGATGGCTAACCTTTCCAGATATATTTATATCTTAAAAAAAATCTTAGTATTTCAACTGTATATCTAATTGTTATAATTTAAAGAAACAATGAAAGACCTTTTTAGATGGTTGGAGGGAGAGGCAATATTTAATCTTAATTCACATCAATTAAACAAGGTCAAATAACCATGAAATGCTTTCATTTATTCTCTACATTTTCTTTCCTGAGGATATGTAGTATGTTACTTACCTGACTCATAGACTAGAGGTATTAATTACAAAATGGGGATGGGAAGTTTAACAGTATTCATATTCAGCCTCCTTGTTTTAAAGTGATGAGCTAGTTGCATAACAGGATGAACTACTAATATAACATTTTCGTCTTCGCAAGACTGTGGATTCATTCACTTGTTTAACTTTATTTAGTTTTTGAAGAGTTGCATAAGGAGTGCCTGACACATAGTAGGACCTCAAAATGTATTAATTAAATGAATGAATGAATGTAAGTGGCTGTTGGTGGAAGATGCCCAGCCAGTAAAATAACAACAGGTTAAGTAAAAAAAAAAAAAAATTGTATTTCTTGTTGGCAAAACACTGAGCCCAGATTCAGGGATGTGGTAGAAGGACAGGTTTCTCCATCCCTTATTATATGGGACTTGCTGCTGGCAGTGCTAGAGATTCTTTCACAAAAGGCTTTTCTTTTTCCCATAGCATTTCTTCTATTTCTCATGTTTTGTATTGAGGATTCAGACTGCTACATGTTTGGTTCAGGGCAGATTTTACTGGTCGAAATGTAAACTTTTAAAATAAGTGTCTAAGTTGGGGAGGGAAGGGCAATGGACTCAGGACACTCTCCAGTGGTTTATTTAAAAACACCCTTGAATTCTGTGAGATGTCAGATGATTTTCTCTCTTGTGTGATTAGAATTGTTTTCAACAGAAATGGTTTTCATTAATGGCGAGTAATCAAATTGTTGTATTCATGGGTTTATGTTTAGTATTAAAAAGAAAAACAAACTTTTGGCGGCTCCTATAGAAATGGAGATAGCTTCGCTTTGGAGGCTGACTGCAGCCTGAGTTGTTAGTGTTGAGAATCTCTAGCTTATTTAGTATTACATATAACGATTTCATAACAATCAATTGTCTGAACTCTTTAGTGGTTAAATTTAAGCACATTACACACAGATCTTTGTTCTCTAATCTTTGGAGTGAGCTGCATGGTCCAGGCCATCCTAGAATAGGCGAGAACCACTTCCCTCTGTCTTCTGGTGCAGAAAGCCTGTAGCACCACCAGGAAATTGTCATCAGAGCTGAATTAAGCACTTTCAGGACACTTACACTTGACTTGTTCACGATCACCTTCCTACTGAAATGCCATCTGAGTTTCTGACACTCAACTGGTCTCATCTCAGGGTGACAGACACAGGATGTTACTACGTATTCAGGTATCTCCTTGACCTTCTCTATAGAATATCAACATAGTTACTTACATTTTGGGGAAGCTTTATAATTGTAAAAGCATTTTAATACCCATTATCTCATTTGATCTTCACAATAAAAATAATAGCAGAACAGTTGTGTAATATGTGCCAGACACTGTTCTAAGAGCATAATAATTCATTTCATCTACATAACATTCATCTAACACAGGAGCTAGGTTGATATCATTATTATTCCCATTTATAGAGTAGGATATGAAACACAAAGGGATTAAGCAACTTGCCCAAGGTTCTGGCTTTAGGAGAACTATATGTGTGAGGTGATAGTTTTTTCTTAGTCCTGATAAATTTACCACAGTGATATGAGATGATAACATTAGAGGAAGCTGAAAGTGGGTAAAGGGTGTGTGAGAATTCCCTGCACTTTGCAACTTTTCTGTAAATATAAAATTGTTCCAAAATAAAAAGTTTACTACAAAAAAAGACACTGCAGGAAATTCCAATTACTAGCCAGTTTGGCTATTCGTCTGCTTAGAATGTAGGGCTTGACACATCAAAAATCTAGAAAGATCTCAAGTTAACAACCTAACATTTCAGCTAAAAGAACTAGAGAACCAAGAGCAAACAAACCCCAAAGCTAGCAGAAGACAAAAAAATACCCAAGATCAGAGCTGAGCTGAAGGAGACAGAGACATGCAAAAACCTTCAAGAAATCAATAAATCCAGGAACTGGCGTTTTGAAAAAATTAATAAAATAGACAGCTAACTAGACTAATAAAGAAGAAAAGAGAGAAGAATCAAATAAACACAATCAGAAATGATAAGGGGGATATCACCACTGACCCACAGAAATACAAACAAACATCAGAGAATACTATAAACACCTCTATTAACATAAACTAGGAAATCTAAGATAAATGGATAAATTCCTGGACACATACACCTTCTCAAGACTAACTCAGGAAGAAATTGAATCCCTGAACAGACCAATAATGAGTTCTGAAATTGAACCAGTAATCAATAGCCTACCAACCAAAAAAAGCCCAGGACCTGAAAGATTCACGGCTGAATTCTACCAGAGGTACAAAGAAGACTTGGTACCATTTCAACTGAAACTATTCCAGAAAATTAAAAAGGAGGGATTACTTCCTAACTCATTCTATGAGGCCAGCATCATCCTGATACCAAAACCTGGCAGAGATACAAAAACCAAAAAAGAAAACTTCAGGCCAATATCCTTGATGAACGTTGATGCAAAAATCAACAAAAGACTGGCAAACCAAATCCAGCAGCATATCAAAAAGCTTATCCACCACGACCAAGTTGGCTTCATCTCTGGGATGCAAGGTTTGTTCAACATATGCAAATCAATAAATGTGATTCATCATATAAACAGAACTAAAGACAAAAACCACATGATTATCTCAATAGATGCAGAAAAGGCCTTTGATAAAATTCAACATCCCTTCGTGTTAAAAACTCTCAATAAACTAGGTATTGAAAGAATATACGTCAAAACAGTAAGAGCCATATATGACAAACCCACAGCCGGTATCATACTGAATGGGCAAAAGCTGCAAGCATTCCCCTGAAAAAGCAGCAAAAGACAAGGATGCCATCTCTCACCACTCCTACTCAACATAGTATTGAATGTTCTGGCCAGGAAAGAGAAAGAAATAAAGAGTATGTAAGTAGGAAGAGAGGAAGTTGAATTATCTTTGTTTGCAGATGACAGGATCCTATATGTAGAAAACCCCATGTCTCAGCCCAAAAGCTTATTAAGCTGATAAGCAACTTCAGCAGGCTCAGGTTACAAAATCAATGGGCAAAAATCACTAGCATTCTTTTTTCTTTTTTTTTTTTTTTTTCGAGAGAGAATCTCTCTCTGTCAACCAGCCTGGAGTGCAGTGGCACTATCTCAGCTCACTGCAACCTCCGCCTCCCAGGTTCAAGCAATTCTCCTGCCTCAGCCTCCAGAGTAGCTGGGATTATAGGTGCCTGCCACCATACCCAGCTAATTTTTGTATTTTAGTAGAGACAGGGTTTCATCATGTTGGCCAGGCTCGTCTCGAACTCCTGACCTCAAGTGATCCATCTGCCTCGGCCTCCCAAAGTGCAGGGATTACAGGAGTGAGCCACCATGCCAGCCTAATCCCTAGCATTCTTATACACCAACAACAGTCAAGCCAAGAGCCAAATCAGGAATGAACTCCCATTCACAATTGCTACACAAAGAGTAAAATACCTAGAAATATAGCTAACAAGGGAAGTGAAGGACCTCTTCAGGGAGAACTGCAAACCACTGCTCGAAGAAATCAGAGAGGACACAAACAAATGGGAAAACATTCCATGCTCATGGACAGGAAGAATCAATATCATGACAATGGTCATGCTGCCCAGTGTAATTTATAGATTCAATGCTATCCCCATTAAACTACCATTGACATTCTTCACAAAATTAGAAAAAACTATTTTAAAATTCATATGGTACCAAAAAAAAAAAAAAAAAAAAAGAGCCGAATAGCCCCAGCACATTCCCAAACAAAAAGTACAAGGCTGGAGGCATCATTCTACCCAACTTCAAACTACACTGCAGGGCTACCGTAACCAAAACAGTATGGTACTGGCACAAGAACAGACACATAGACCAATAGAAGAGAATAGGGAACTCAGAGATAAGACCACACAGATACAACCATCTGATCCTCAACAAACCTGACAAAAACAAGCAATGGGGAAAGGAATCCTTATTTAATAAACGGTGCCGAGAGAACTGGCTAGTCATATGCAGAAAATGGAAACTGGACCCCTTCTTTACACTATATACAAAAAATAACTCAAGATGGATGAAATACTTAAATGTCAAACCCAAAACTATAAAAACTCTAGAAGAAAATCTAGGCAATAACATTCAGGACATTGGCATGGACAAAGATTTCATGACAAAAACACCAAAAGCAATTGCAACAAAAGCAAAAATTGACAAGTGGTATCTAATTAAACTAAAGAGCTTCTGCACAGCAATAGAAACTGTTATCAGACTGAACAGACAACCTGCAGAATGGGAGTAAAATTTTGCAATCTATCAATCTGACAAAGGTCTAATATCCAGAATCTACAAGGAACTTAAGCAAATTTACAAGAAGAAAACAAACCACCCCATTAAAAAACAGGCAAAGGACACGAACAGGCACTTCTCGAAAGACATACACGTGGCCAAGAAACACATGAAAAAGAGCTCAACATCACCGATCATTAGAGAAATGAGAATCAAAACCACAATGAGATACCATTTTCACACCAGTCAGATTGGCTATTATTAAGAAGTCAAAAAACTACAGATGCTGGTGGAGTTGCAGAGAAAAGGGAATGCTTTTACACTGTTGGTGGGGGTGTAAACTGGTTTAACCATTGTGGAAGACAGTGTGGCTATCCCTCAAAGACCTAGAGGCAGAACTACCATTTAACCCAGTAATCCCATTACTGGGCATATACCAAAGGAATATAAATTATTCTACTATAAAGATACATGCATGCATATGTTCAGTGCGCGGTATTCACAATAGCAAATATACGGAATCAGCCTAAATGCCCATCAGTGATAGACTGGATAAATAAAATGTGGTACATATACAACACGGAATACTATGCAACCATAAAAAGGAATGAGATCATGTCTTTGCATGGACATGAAAAAGTTGGAAGCCATTATCTTCAGCAAACTAATGCAGGAAAAGAAAACCAAACACCATTGTTCTCACTTATAAGCGGGAGCTGAATGATGTGAACACATGGACACATAGTGGGTAACAACACACACTGGGGCCTGTCGGGGGATAGGGAGAGCATCAGGAAGAATAGCTAATGGACGTTGAGCTTAATACCTAGGTGATGGGATGATGTGTGTAGCAAACCACTATGGTACATGTTTACCTGTGTAACAAACCTGCATATCCTGCACATGTACCCCTGAACTTAAAATGAAAAAAAAAGAAAATAGGGCTGGAAATATACCTGAATCATTTCACTGATTATAATTTCAGGGTCTAGCATAGTGCCTGGCATGCAATAAATCCTCAGTAAATGTTTGATCAAATATTGATTCCATGGATGTTTTGTGAGACTATGTGACATTACAAAAAAGAAAATGACTGACTTTTTTGGTCATGTCTGTGACTGAGACAAAGTCATAGAGATGGAAAGCAGAATGGGGGCTGGGAGGAGAGGCAAGTAGGGAGTTATTGTTTAATGGGTATAGAGTTTTAGTTTTGCAAGATGAAAAGAATTCTGGAGATGCATGGTGGTGATGGTTGCACAATGTGGATGTATTTAATGCTACCTTAAAAAAGGTTAGGATAATAAATTTTTTGTTATATGTATTTTACCATGACAAAAAAAAGTGAAAAAAAAAGACAGAGGTAGATTATTTGTGGCACACATATTTGTGGTGTGGGAGTCAGAAAAAGAGCTGGCAAAGTTGAGTAAAAAGGAGAGAATAAGCCAGGAAGCCAACAATGGGGGTGGATTTTAGATGGAAGATTTGGGAAAGTCAACCATATCAAATACTCTAATGTGGATGTGAAGGAGGATGAGGCTAAAGAAGAGGCCACGCTTGAGTGAGCTATGAGGAAATTACTGGTGCTCTTGAAAGACAAGGGATAAGAGATTGTTGGTAACTGAAGCCACACACACACACACACACACACACACACACACGTGACGAGAGAATAGAAATTGGGGTTGTGGATGGAAAAGAGACAAGCTTTGGCTTATGAGAGTCAACTTCAAATATGTGAAAAGTCGTTTCAACCAAGGTTTCCCCTGTATAGTTCAGAGAACACAGCTTACATTAGTGAACTAAAATTCCAGGAAGGCAGCATTTGGAAGAAATTTATTCCCCAAATGGAGCTTGGAAAAAAGTGGAGCCAGATGCCTTGGGATGTGGTGAGCTTCCCCTGCCTGTACACACATGTGGTCTGGATGGTACATAAATGGAGTTGTGTAAAGGTGATTCCTAAGCTGGGTAGGGAGTGGGCCATGACCATCAAGTTTTCTTATGTTCTTATGAGTACAGGATGATATTACTGCACTTTGGCAAGGTTTTTGAGGTTGAAAGATAGAATTTCAAAATACGAAACTCTCACATTGTGCACATGTACCCTGAAACTTAAAGTATAATAATAATAAAATTAAAAAAAAAAAAAGAAACTCTCAGTAGACTTCCCTGGGAAGGACAGAAGACTCAGGCCACTTGGAACCTGGGAAACCAATAACGAAGAATTTTTAAAAAGACAATTGAGCTTTTCCCCCAAAATTGAATTCAGTAACTGTGTTCTCTTATGGTCCTCATCTTGGAATATAGCACCAATCCTATGCCCCAGGCTTAGTTTTTGCATTAAAGACATTGCATATTTCATATTTTACCATCTATTAAAATAAGGATGACGGACTGATATCTTACTATGAAGGGTAAAAATAAAGCACAACTACAATAGGTAAATGACATTGACAAAAAATTCAAATATTGTTACATCGGGAGATAGTTATTTGTAACATTGCCATCCTGTGATAGAAGACTTCTGTGAGGAAAATCCCTGCTCATTTTTAGGTAAATGACAATCATCATGTAATGGAGGGTCAGAAGAGTGATTGTAAGTTTGGTTGAGATGTGAGATGAGACTACACAAAATAATAAACTTCACTTCCATTTGCCTTTGCAGAAACATAACGAAGAATACACACCTCATTCTTAGTGATTTCCACACAACATTTGTCTTCGCTGTTAAATACTTAGTGAGTGGTTTTCTATACTAGTCAGATTCTTAATTGGGAATCTGTCTTTCAGGATGTGGTGGGCAGTCATTGAGAAGCTTCAACTGGCAATATGTGTTGTGACTATTTCTTAATGAGTCTTCTTTTCATAGGCCACACAATGAAATCAATTGAATTATTTCATAGTCACACAAAACACACCAAGAAGGCCATTGTTTCTTAATCCTTTTTTGTATAATTCGTCACTCCAGCTGAACAGCTTTACTCATTGTCTCCCAAAGACACCAAACTCATTTCTATGTCATTTCCTTTGGTCCTCAGTTTCTAAGTTCTTCTGTGAAACTTTTTGATTTTTCCAGCTTAACACATTGCCACTTTTTGGAATTCCAAGATAATTTATGTTCTAAACACCTGATACCTAAGATATTCTGCCTAATATTTCTTTATTTATATTCCTAGTCTCTGCAAATGGTTTTATTGATAAAGATGATAACAAATTCGATGCTAAGTTGGGTTGGCTTACTCTAACTCATTTAAAGGGTTTAAGTTCTGGGGCTTTTTCAGGTTGGGTGAGCATCTACTCTGAAATCTTATGTTCTTTTCTTTACCATTATTAAAGTTTGATGACTGTTTCCTCATGGGTCAGAGACCATGTTATCACTAGATCCAGAAACCAATGCCACAGTTTCACCTCACTTTGCACTTGGATAATCCTCCTTGAAAACAAATTGTCCTTTTTCCTTGGTTCCTTCACCTCCTCTCTTTGAACTACTATAGAAATTCAGTGAGCCTAAAACTTTTCATTCAAATTGTCACAATGCCTAACTGCCTGGTTTGGCCTTATTATAAAGGAATGGGAATCAAAAAGTCAAGTTTTGACAACTGACGATTTCTGAGAAACTAGCTTCAGATTATTTTGGAGTTCCTATTAAATTTAGTCATTCAATCAATTTGTCACAGATTTAATAATGGTAATAGTAAAAAAAAGGTTGATTTACTGGCAAAGACATTGTCGTGTTGACAGTTTTCAGATACCTGAATTAGTTTGTGTATGACAGGTTGTTAAATTACTTTCCCTTCTGGGCTTTAAAAATATAAGGTTGTGAAGTACTTTTATGAGTTAAAAATTGTATTATCAATCAGTTTTAGCCTTTCCTAAACACCAAGATATTATTTCTACCATTCAGAATAGAGTTTTACATTGGAGGAAGAAGGAGTTCATATTTTATTTTTCTGAATTTGAATGAACATACACTATTTGTAAAGACCCTCTTCTTTTTTTCTTTGCTCCTGTCTCTGCTTCCCATGCTGGCCCTGAAAACCCAGAAGCCTGTCTTTCAGTTTTAGAGAATAGGCAGTTCTCCAGATGATGTGATTTAAGAAAACTTGGAAAATTCCTCTGTCCTGGAAAATTGTTCCCCAGGAGATGTCCTGATGCCCAAATTGCTCACTGTGTTGGGACACAAATATTGTGCACCTCCTAAGAGTCTTTCAGCCACCTTCATTGTCTCTTGGTCAGCTCCTCCCCATGCCAGGTTGCTCCACTTTGAGACTTGGATAAAACACCATGTCCCAGGGCATGAGTTCTGGCCTCTCTGTCACCAAGGGGTCAGAACTGAGGGAGTTCATACTCAGTGGGGTGAATTTTGACCAGTGGGAAATTGGTGATGAAAGTGATTGGGTCTGATACATTCTTCCTCCTTTCATTTTTTTTCCACTGGACTGCTTCAAGGTATGAATTTTTTTCTTGAGCCATTCATGTGGCCTACATACTAGTAAACATGCTGTCTGAGCAAATTTCTGTGTTTCTCTGCATCTCACTTTGGAACTACACACTGCATGATAGGTGCACACATTTTATTGTTTTGTCCCTTTCTTTGCTTCGTTTCCTTTCTTCCTTATTCTCACTACCCCAAGCTTGTAACTCTCAAATAAAGTGGTAATCCCTTAGTCTGTACATTAGGTTCTGCTTTCTAGGAAACCCAGATTGAGGCACTCCAGATTTTAGAGTGTTTCTTTTGAGTTAAATAATTTCTCTCCTTGAAGGTCTGCTTTGAAAGCAAATACATTTAGAAACAAAAATCTGCTCAAGAATTATGTTCTCCTTGGGGCCATGTTAAAGCAGAATGAGGACAATGGATTAAAGGAGGGCAAAAGACAAGAAGAAGAAAAGATAGAAAAGGAGTTAACAAAAAAGGAGAACGCTGTAACATTACACCCATTTCACAGTTTTCATCTCAGCTAACCACAAACTCAGTGTTAAACATTATTTTCACTCCCTATTTTTTTTTTCAAACTCCACGTTAGATAGGGTCTCTTTTTGGACTTGGAAATTACTCTGTGTATAGTATGCATATTTAAGATTCTGTTTTCTTCCTGACAGTGAAGATGTAATAAGAAAGTTCCCCAAATGCTTATTGCTTTTACTCCTAGTGTTGATTTCAACTTAAAAACTTTAATTTTATTTTTTAAAAATTAGAGATATGATTTATAATTCACTTGATTTTTAGTTATTACTATGATCTGACTTTGTCAGCTATATTTGTATTATTGAATCATTTAACCAACCAACTGAATCAGTAATCCCAACTGACATAAATGGTATGCTGAGTCACTGGCAGAACTCTACTGAAAACACAAAGAACTATGTATGTAGAAGGTGTCATATTTCTATTAATTAGCTGAGGCATATTAACTTCAAATTTCTTCCAAAAATTAGAAAGAAGGAACATGCAGAGAGGCCAAAATATAGTTTTGTCTCATTAAGTACATACAAAAAAGCATACTGTAGAAGGTATGCATATATATGTGTATTCATCTTTCATAGTTTATATCAGAAACATATTTTATACACAGTGAAATCACACCATAAATGTAGAAATTTGTCAGTATCCACTTATGAGGCTGAGAATCTAGTTTTTTACCAGGGTAATTTAAATTTTTGTTCTTTTACTTCTGGTCACTTAACAGCTACTATTTTTTGAGCGCTTACCCTGTGCAAGGCATTACCTAAGTTACAAACGCATAATTTCTACCCTCCACCTTCTTTTCAGCACACAGCTACATTTTTACCATGGCTATGTAAGTTAGGTATTATGAGCCTCAGTTTACAGAAGAGGACCCTGAAGCTCAGTGGTTGAGAAACTCAATCTTAATTATAAATCTCGTGCATAAAAGGTAGATCTAGGATTCAAAAACAGCTCCATCTGACCCTAAAGCTGCCTTTTCTCCGTTACTCTGCACTGCTTCTCTTTAATGTAAATAAAATGATAGAGGTGCGACAATGAAATATTCTTCTAATTTCTGCTTATGTTCATAGGTTGATACATTCTTCTTTGACTTAAAGCTGGATTTTCTAATGAGACATGGAATGTGATTCTGATCTTAAATGATATGATATGGCAAGGAATCACTGGATTTAGTATACATAAGTAGAAGTTTGGAGTGTATCTAGGAAGATGTCCTAAATCATCAGAATATAAATGAATGGACATTTTGTGATATTATATTTATTTTTAAAATACAAAATGCACTTGGCTCTAAAAATGGAAAATTCAGCTCAGAGATGAGGCAAATACAACGCACATGACTGTTTAAGTTGGTCATGTATGATCTTTTTAAATAGTTGACCCAGCTGGTGTACTACTTACCTCAGCATTAGCAGTGACTTTGAGACGGCGTGTCATGCTCCTTGTCAGGCTGCCTCTTTTTGAATGCTTGTATTGTTTACACTGACTTCATTCCCCATGCTGACTGATGGGGATAATACTTTTAATACATTCTGTAATATTTAACTTGAGAATCTCAAAATGCATAAAAATAAATACAGCCTTGATTCACTGAAGTACAATTGGATTTCTTTTCCTTTTGTCTTTAATTTTATGAGTGGAGTTGATATTTTAAAACTATCCCCAGAAATAAGGACTAATTTCTAGTCACTTAGCAAATGCAGTTAACATTAGTTTATTTTGTTTGTATTGCTTTAATGCACCTGAGAAATTCTTCAGGTCCTGCAAAACAGGGAGGTATGGATAATAGGTTGAATGAAAGGATCAGACAACAGATTGTGAAATATTTGAATGATAGGTGAAATCTGACCCAAAAAACATTTAAAAGGAAAAAGTGTAAAAACTATTTTCTTAAGGTAAAAAAAAAATGCCACAAAACAGAGCTATAGCAATGAAAAAAAGAAACCATAAATATATTGCTTTCCAGCAGTATAAAAAATAGAGGAGCTTCATTTTATGGTAAGGAGAATAAAACCCCAGTATTAATGTGATAGGCAAAAAGGGCTGATATGCTATGGGGAGCTCCCAGTGTAGGGCCTGAAAGCCCCACTTTATTCTGTCTTTGCCAGACCCTGTGGGATGGCACTTTATTTTGACTTTGCATTTAGGACAGGACGACAAGGCTTATGAGGGGTCTTGATGATACCATAAAATATGATTGAAAGAACCGGGATGTTTAGCTTGAAGAAGTGAAATTCTTTCAGGAAGACTTGATAGCTGGCTTCAAATATATGAGAATCTGTCAAGGAAAAGAGAGCTTAAACTTATTTTAGGTGATTCCAAGGAGCAGAGTAAAATAACAGGAAGGCAAAAACCAGCTCAATATGAAGAAACATTTATGGAGCTTTAGAAGTAGGTGTTTAATTTTTTTGAATGAATGAATGATCATGATTGAAAGAATTGATGAATAGTCTCCTTGAAATGGCATATTTCGGAAGAGATTGAAATTTCTGTACTGAAATTTTAAATACGGGCTTGAGGAACTTTCCCAGGGGATGATTTCTGGGGAGTTGAGAGTTAGTTGGTGGGAAATTTTAATACTTTTAGTTTTTACTAATTCTAAATTTTAACATAACCTATGATCTTTTTGAGTGGAAATCTTACTGTGTTTTCTACAGCTGAGTATCATATTTTCCTTCATCTTCTTTAAAATACAATTCATGCTTTCCCAGATAAAGATGATTATTTTAATAATGTACGTTCCTTTAAACTTTCTTATTTCACTGGATTTTCAGAATTCTGCCCTTAATCAGCATTTTCTTTTCACATTTCCTTTTTTGAGAAGTCTATTCTCATGGAATTAAATTCCAGTTTATTTTCCATGATTCCCCAAAATAGAACCTGCAGCTTGGCTTTGCTCCAAAGTTGTGGATCTATACCTCATCTACTGCCCTCTAGATGAGCCACAGTCATCTCAAACTCAGTGACCCAAACTGAATTCCTCTCTATGCTCAACCTGTTTCCCTTCTTTATACCTTGTATCTTTGTGATTGGTACCACAATCCAGACAGTTATCCAAGCGGTAAACTCTGGGGTCATCCCAGACTCCTTTTTTTCACTTCCAGTCACCAGGTCTTTCATATTTGATCTGTGGCTATCCCTCATAGGCCTTTCTTTTTTCTGCATACCTGGTGCTATCATCCTGGTTTAGGTGTGTCTGAATCACCCATGCTGATATTAAAGTAGTCTTTTCAAAATGGAAAAAAAAAAGATGATTATGTTGCTTCTCACTTAAAACTTTTCAGTGGTCTCAACTTAGCTGCATAACAGAATCCCAACTAATCAACATGGCATTGAGACCTTTGGTTGCCTACGTGCTTGCCAGCCTCCTCTTCCATCACAATCCCCACCCACCCTCCAAACAAGCAGGAAAAGTTGTGCTGTTTCATGCCATGTCTTTTAACAAGTTATTCCTTTTACTTATTACAAGTTGTTCCTTTTTTTTTTTTAAAGAATGCCCTGGTTAACTACAACTTTATTTGTCCTTTTCTTAATAATCAGTTATGTTTTTAATAAAGTGATAAAAAATCAGATAGTACTAAAAGGCTTATAACAGTAAATAGCAGATCTTTGCACCATACTTTCCTGCCTCTCTACCAACCACTTTTGACTCGTTTTGATGTTTCTTCTGGTATTCAAATGTTTACTGCAATAATTTCCTTATAATGCAACTTCTTGACTTGTCAGGCTTAGACTTTATCTGCTGACCTTATATTCTCTCATAATTCCAAGACCGGTACTCAAAACATTCAAGAACTGGCAGAGCACACACTGATTAGTCACAACCAGTTATCCCATATGGTGTATGTGGGCTAATTACTGGCCCTGAGTTTCTGAACATATTTTGTTAAATTATCAATATTGACATTACTATGACCACATAAATATTATCCACTGCTGAAACAATTAACACATTATGATTGTTATCTTGCTTACACTTTTTTTGTTTTTGTAAAAGTTATTAACTGATGCTTTTAAAAATCATTTATTCCTCATTAAGAACTCATGGCAAATCTCAATTTCTCCATGAAGTCTTTGCCACTAGGCAGAGTTGATTCTCTATCCTATTACTTCTGCATTATCATCGTTGTTGTACATATTATACTGTACCTTAAAGATTTGTGTGTCGGGCCGGGCTTGGTGGCTCATGCCTGTAATCCTAGCACTTTGGGAGGCTGAGATGGGTGTATCACTTGAGGTCAGGAGTTCAAGACCAGCCTGGTCAACACAGTGAAACCCCATCTCTACTAAAAATACAAAAATTAGCCAGGCATGGTGGCAGGCACCTATAATCTCAGCTACTTGGGTGGCTGAGGCATGAGAATTGCTTGAACCCAGGAGGCGGAGGCAGCAATGAGCCGAGATTGCACCACTGCCCTCTATCCTGGGCAACAGAGTGAGACTCTGTCTAAAAAAAAAAAAAAGTTTGTGTCTATCTTACCAGAATGTGATCTCCTTAAGGTTAATGATAATACCTGTGTCTGTTATCTTAGAGCCTTCAGTGTCTTGAGTCTTGCACCAGTGTCAAATACATCATGCTTAATAAATATTCATTGAATTATGAATGGAGTGTCCTTTCTCTTTATAGCAGCCTTTATTGTTTAGTAGATAGTTTTGTGAGCATTTATCTGATTTCTGAGTCTCTTTTTACAGATCACAAACTCAAATACCTGTTAGGGCCTGAGTAGTTAAAATAAATAAGTGCAGGAAGCCTCATGGGTTCTGGGACACTTAAAGGGGTCACCTGCTTCTTAGTTGCAGCCAGCTGTTGCTAGGAAAGCATTTCAGATCTGTCTTGCGAGACCTTCCACTATTTCAATGGAAGAAGAAAACTCAGGTTTAATATGAACTGCTTTGATTCAATTATTAAAAACTGTGCAGGCCAGGCAAATGCTTCTTCAGGCTTGCTTTGGTTCACACCCACCAACCTGTGACCTGTAGGTTGCTGGGGTGGGCAGGAAGAGGAGCAGCTCATGCTCTGCTTGGTTTGGGAGCTGGCTTGGCTGAGGATACCTCCGCCCCAGTACTCTGCCTCCACCTGTGAGGACAGCAAACTCCTTTTGCCAACTGACACCAGCATGTGAAACAAAGCTTAGCGGAAGGAGCCTGGGCCATAGCCCCCAGCCTGTGGGGATGTTTGAAGGCCTCAGCAGGGTTTCAAAGGAATTAGAACTCCCTCTGTGAGCAGAATTGGAGAATAATGGGTTAAATTATAAGTGATAGTGAGAAGGCGTGCAACTGGACTGCAAATTGTATATTATGTGCCAAGCCACGTGCTCTTTTTAAAAATAAACTTAAGTTTTACAATAACCTCGAGAAGGAGATACTACCATCCTCAGGTTGCAGATGCGGAATCTCTATGAGATTTAGAGTTTTTTTTTTTTTTTTGTTCTCACCATTAGAAGAAATTAAGGTCTCCTATTACTGCCCATGAAGAAAGCCCATGGATGGGATTTTAGAAATGAATTAAACATATTTTATTATTTTCCAGTAGAAATTGCTCTTGGGATTTTTGAATATAAAGAGTTTTTTTCTTGTTCGTTTATAGATTGATTCACTCAGTCTTTTAACATTTGTTGAATATTCATTAAATTCTGTATTAGGCACCAGGATTACAAAGATGAGTAATATAAAATTCCTGTGCTTCAGAAGCCCTAAATGATTGTTTGTTTCTATTTGTTCTAAGTGTGAAGGAAAGGGCAGGTGCTGGGAGTAAACGTGTAAATAATCTAGAAATTTGGTAGCCAAATTGCAATTCACAAGAGAAATACATGAGTCACTCCTTTTTTCTTGTTGCAACAGATAAAATGTGCTTTTAGAAATATTAGAAAGTACAAATAAGGAAAATTAAGAAAAATGTTGACTTAAGGAAATTGTGAGCAACTCTCTATTTACTTATTCACCTTTTGACTATATGGATAGGTTTTTACACTTATCACACTTAAACTCACATACACAAACAGATGAGTACATACTCCCACAAACAGATCACGCTATATTATTATTCTGTGGTCTGCTTTATTTAGGAACACAAGATGTTCTATTCATGTTTGAATATCATCTTTTAATGGCTGAATAGTATTTTATTGCATGAATTCATTCAATGTACTTAATCCTCTGTTGTCAGTTATTTAGGTAATCTACATTTTTTTTAAACTCATGCCATTTTGCAGCTAAATCTCTTTATTTATCCTGAATTATTTCCTTAGGAAAAACCATTAGCCATGTAATTACTGAATTTAAGACTTATACATTGTGTGTGTATTTGCTTTTATGTTTTGTATAGTGCTGAATTGTTCTCAAGAAAAGCAGTACTAATTTACCCATCACCAGTGGATTTGAGTTTCCATTTCTCTTCACTGTTACCCATGTTAGGTACATTTCTTTCTTTGAAAACATGTTCCAATTAGATAGGTAAAAAAGAGCCTCTCTTTCAAAAGACCCTTTTGAAAACTCTTGACCTTTGAACTTGCTGGCCACTGTTGCTTTCTGGTACAGTAGTAGCACTTTGTGTTATGGTTAATTGGCTCCACAACTTGGGGGCAACTTGAGGATCTAGCGATCTAGCACATCCTATTCACCTGTGTGTTCCTGTATGTTCATGAATGTTTGTTGAACCAAATTGAGTTGGAGAACATACATAAGTTTAGAAATCATTAGATGTATAAATTTCAATACAACTGGTGGACAGGCTACTTTATTCTTGTCAGTTGCATAACAATAAGTAATTTTTATTGCACATTGATTACCTACCAGCACCGTGTTAAGTGCTTTTCATACTTATCTGGCAAAAACAGCTCTTAAACTCAAGACCAGCTAATTCCTAAGCCATCTTTCTCTTCCTTGACTTTCCTCCCTCCTCTTCTTTCTTTTTCTATTCTTCCCTCCTATTATTATGGACATGTTTAAACATATACGAACCAGAGAGGACAACATAATGAACCTTGATATACCCACCATCAGCTTCAGCAATTATCAATATGTGGCCAACCTTATTTCATCCATGCCTTTTCGTCACTTCTTCGTATCCTCCTTCTCATGTTGGATTATTTTAAAGCAAACCCCAGATACATCAATTTTATCCATAATTATACACACACACACACACACACACACACACACACATACACGATATAGACCCTGTTTTGTAACCTAAACCACAATATCATTATCATACTTTAAAATATCTATAACAATTTTTTAATATTATCTAGTGTCCAGTCAGTGTCAAATTTCCCTGATTATCTCAGAAGTGACCTTTTCTGGTTGGTTTGTTTGAATCAGTATCTACACAAGGACTGCACATTGTATTCTGAACCATTCTAACCACAGCATGGCATTCTTCTCTCCCTCGTAAAACATGTGGCCCGTCCTTCTCAGAAACAGAGATTCTTAGCTAGAGGAGCCTAAAATTTTTAAAGAATTCTCATGGATCAAATATCTCCCCAGAAAGAAGCACATTCAGTTGTTAACACCTGAGAACGCTGGCTCTTTGTGGAATGGAGAAGGCACTTTGCTTGCCGTGCAGGTTCACCATTCACTCTCCCTGGAAATTCATCAGTAGTTTCACTCAGGGACTGGGAATTCAGCTGCTCTTACTTCTGCTTTTGTTATAAGGCTCTTTCACAAGCTATGACCAAGTTTCCTCCTTAAGATCCATAGTTAGATATAAGTGATGGTGGCTTGAAAATTCATTCTTTAGCAATGAGCTGAAAATGTGCAGCATGCTGGCCTCTGTATCCCTTCCTGGGAGTGAGTGACTTGGAAATGGAAACCATAGTCTTGTTATTTTCATAAATGGGTGAAATGGGTGATGACTTTGATAGACTGTTTCACAATAAGCAAATTTTCATGTTTGATTTTGGTTCTGTTTTGAATTTGAAGGTCTAGTGATCCTTCACTGTGTGGTGGCAGATGGGAATTCCACCAGAAGTCCTGAAACTAATGGCCTCCTCTGTGGAGACCCTGAGGAAAACTGTGCAGGTAAAGTTTAACAAGTTTTATATTCAAATCTGAGTTTTAATTTTCTGATAATAATAGTACTCATAATACTAGGTAAACATTTGAACATATATTAAGGTACCAGTCACTGTGCTAAGTGCTTTATATACAGTAATTAATCACTACTCACAAGAGCCCCCTGAGCTAGATAATATTTTTTATTTTATTTCAAGGAGAAACCTACAAAGATTAAGTAACTTGCCAAAGGTCATACAGCTGGAAAACAGCAAATCTGGAATTCAAATGCAGGTCTTTCTGATTCTAGAGCCTCCAGTCAGCCACTATATTTTGGGTCACAGATGCATGCTCCAGACTCTAGCATGTGATGTCTTGGACTGGATTCAGGAAAAGCTGACATATTCTACCCAAAGTTAAATTCTTTTTTTCTTTTCTATTTCATAGTTAAAAGAAGGGAAGAAGGCAAGGATTTTACATATTTTACCTTGGAGATGCTTGAATTAGTGTTCTCAAACTTATCAGTCTAAGGCAGTATTTGGCCTTAGTAAAGGTTTTAGTGAAGGCCTTAGTAAGAGTTTTAGGCTTTGTGGATCATGATGTCTTTGTCACAACTACTCAACACTGCCACTGTACTGTGAAAGCAGTCATAGACACTATGCAAATGAATAGGCTTGGCTCTGTTTCAGTAAAACTTTAGTTAGAGAAACAGGCTGTGGGCCAGATCTGATCCTTGGACTACAGTTTGCTGACCCCTGGTCTAAGGTTATGTTTGTTCTGTATAGATTGTTTGTTCTGTATAGATTGTATGTTCTGGTCTTCTACAGGGGTTATTTCTGACTTAAAAAAAAGAAAACAAAACACAGACCAATTAAAAAAGTGGGGTGCAGTAGAGAAGAGCCTCCTGTATTCCCTGGAAACTTCTATGAACTGGGAGTATGATGACTTGGTGCAAACTGCTCCTTTCCTAGCACCCTCGGGAAGTTGTAACAGAGCCAGGAACACACTGAGCAAGTCTTCCTGATGTGAGTCATCAGTTCCAGCCCAATTTTCCCCTTTCATCCCTCACAGTAGTGGGTGGTCAGAAGGTGCTCATCGGCTGTAAAATCTAATGGTGTCTTAGGTCATGTTTGGGTCTTGTCATCCATGTAGGCAGAAGAACAAGGCCAACTTTATGTGTTCATGTGTTTTTCTTCAGTCTGGTTTCAAATGTCTTCAATGATGGCATTTTTTCACATTTCCCTTGGGAAATTATCCCATAATTTGATGACAGACAATGTTCAAAAATCTTCCTCATCATCATCCTAAATGTGTTTTCTAATTTTATTTTTATTGTAGTAAGAACATTTAACATGAAATCTACCCTTTTAACAAATCTTAAAGTGGACAATACAATATTGTTAACTATAGATTAGCAGATCTCTTCAAATTTATTAATGTTGCACTAACTGAAACTTTGTACACATTGAATAGCAACTCCCCAAGCCTCCAGGAACCACCATACTACTATCTGCTTCTATAAATTTGGCTATTTTAGATGCCTCATATAAGTAGAGGCATTCATATTATATTTGTCTTTCTGTGACTGTCTTATTTCACTTAGCAAAATTGCTTTCAGGTTCATCCATGTTGTCACAATGGCAGTATTTTTCTCTTTTGTAAGGCTGAATAATATTCTATGGATGTACTACCGTACTTTCTTTATCCATTAATCTGTCAGTAGACCCTTGGGTTGCTTCCACCTTTTGACTTTTATGAAATAATGCTACAGTAAACATGGGCATACAAGTATCTAATTGAGATCTTGATTTTTATTAGGTTATTTGTTTCCTTGTTATTGAATTGTGAGAGTTCTTTATGTATTTTGGATATGTGTAATCAATATGTTTTGTATAGTGCTAAATTGTCTTCAGGAAAAGCAGTACTAATTTACCCATCAAAATGGATTTGAGTTTCCATTTCTCTTCACTGTTATAACTTCTAACCCTATCTCTGCACAGCCCAAACTCTGTTGTTTCTTTTGCTGTGAAGAAGCTTTTTCATTTGACATAGTCCCACTTGTTTATTTTGCTTTTGTCACCTGTGCTTTTGGTGTCACATCTAAGAAATCATTGCCAAAACCAATGTCAAGAAGTGTTATCTTACGTTTTCTTGCAGGAATTTTACTGTTTCGGGTCTTAAATATAAGTCTTCAGTCCATTTTGAGTTGATTTTTGTATAACAAGCGGGTCCAATTTCATTCTTTTGCATGTGGATATCTAGTTTTCAAACATCATTTATTCAAGAGATTACCCTTTCCTCATTGCGTATTGTTAGTACCTTTGCTGAAGATCAGTTGTTCATATATTCATGGGTTTATTGCTCGACTGTCTATTCTGTTCTATTGGTCTTTATGCCAGTACCATGCTGTAGATGATTTAAAAACCAGGAAGAACGATACCTCCAACTTTGTTCTTGCTCAAGATTGTTTTGGCTATCCAGGGTCCTTTGTAGTTTCCTTTGAATTTTAAATTTGTTTTTCCATTTCTGTAAAAAAAAAAGTCATTGGAATTTTGATAGTCAGTCTGTAGATCACTTTGGGTAGTATGGAAATTTTAACAATATTAAATCTTTTAGTCCAGAAAAACAGGATGTCTTTTTATATATTTTTGTCTTCCTTAATTTCTTTAATTAATATTTTATAGTTTTCAGTGTGCAAGTCTTTCATTTCTTTAGTTTATTCCTACGTGTTTTATTCTTTTTGATGCTATCGTAAATTAGCTTATTTTTTACTTTGCTTTTTGAATAGTTCGTGATTAGTGTGTACAAATACAACTGGTTTTTCATGTTGATTTTGTATCCTACAACTTTTCTGAATTTGTGAATTAGTTCTTACAGTTTGTGTGTGTGTGTGTGTGTGTGTGTAGTCTTTAGAATTTTTTATGTATAGGATCATGTCATCTTCAAACAGAGATGAAATTATTTCTTTTTTTCCAATTTAGATTCCTTCTATTTTATTTTTTCCTAATTGCTCTGGTTAGGACTTCCTGCGCTATGTTGCATAGAAGCGGTTAGACTGGGCATTCTTGTCTTGCTCCTGATCTTGGAGGAAAAGCTTTCTAATTTTTTACCATTAAGTACCATGTTAGTTAAGGGCTTTACATATAAGGCCTATTATTTTGGGGTAATTTCCTTCTATTACTAGTTTGTTAAAAGTTATTATGAAAAGGTGTTGAATTTTGTCAAAATGAATTATGAATGAGTCTATATTAATTAAGGACATTGCCCTGTAGTTTTCTTTTCTTATAATGTCTTTGTTTAACTTTGGTATCAGGGCAATGCTGGCTTCGTAAAATGAGTTTGGAAGTGTTTCTTCCTCTTCAATTTTTTGAAAGAGTTTAAGAAGGATTGGAATTACGTATTTAAATGTTTGATAGAATTCACTAGTGGAGGCATCTGGGCCCTGGCCTTTATTTGTGGAGGTTTTAGATTATGACCAATTTCCTTATTAGTCATAGATCTGTTCATATTTTCTGTTTCTTTATGATTCAATCATGATTGGTTGTTTCTAGGAATTTATCTGTTACTTCTTCGTTATTCAATTTTCATGGTAGTCTAATATAATCCTTTTTATTTCTGTGACATCAGTTTTAAAAGTACAAAAAATAGAAAAAGCTTATAGAATAAGATACAAAGAAAATATTTTTGTAGAGCTGTACAGTGTGTTTGTGTTTTCAGCTGCTATTACAACAGTCAAAGGAAAAATTAATTTAAAAGTTTATACAATAAAAAAGTTACAGTAAGTTAAAGTTAATTATTGAAGAAAGAATTTTTTTATAATACAAATGTATTGTAGCCTAAGAGTACAACATTTATAAAGTCTGCGGTGGTTTATGATAACGTCCTAGGCCATCATGTTCACTCACCACTCATTCACTGACTTACCTAGAGCAGCTTCTAGTCTTGCAAGTTCCTTTCATAGTAAGTGCCTTATACAGATATACTATTTGCAAACTTTTATATCATATTTTTACTGTACTTTTTCTATGTTTAGATATAAAAATACTATTATGTTATGATTGCTTACAGTATTCAGTACAGTAACATGCTGTATAGGTTTGTAGCCTCAGAGCAATAAGCTATACCATATAACTAAGGTGTGTATAGGCTACACCGTCTAAATTTGTGTAAGTACACTCTATGATGTTTGCTCAATGAAAAAACTGCCTAATAATGCATTTCTCCAAACATATCCCTGTCATTAAGTGATGGTTGACTATATATCATCCTTTCTGGCCTACAAGGTTTCTGCTGAGAAATCCACTGAGTGTGATGGAGGTTTCTTTGTGCGTGAAAAGTAATTTTCATCTTGCTCCTTTCAAAATTGTCTGTTTATCTTGAACTTTTGACAATTTGATTGTAAGGTGTCTTGGTGTAGATTTCTTTGGGTTTATGTTTTTGAAATTTGTTGGTTTTCTGAATATGTATGTACATTTCTTTCCTTAGATTTGGTAAGTTTGGGGCATTATTTCTTTGAATAATCTTTCTGCCCCTTTCTATTTTCCCTCTTGGACTACTATCAGATGTATATTGGTCTGCCTGTGTTATGGTGTTTCATAAGTCCTTTAAGCTTTTTCACTTGCTAAAATTCTTTTTATTCTTTTTGCTCCTATGATTGTATAATTTCCAATTATCTGTCTTTAAGTTTGCTGATTCTGTCTTTCGCTTGACATAGTCTGCTGTTGAAGCCATCTGTTGAATTTTCCAGCTTAGTTACTGAATTATCCAGCTTGAAAATTTATATTTGATTTAAAAAAATATTTTCTATCTCTTTGTTGAAAATTTCAATTTGTTCATGTATTGTTCTCCTGTCTTCATTGAGCATCTTTATGATAATTTTAAATTCTCTGTCAAATAAATTATACATCTTCATTTCATTAGTGTTTTTTTTTTTCTTTCTTTAGGATATATTTACCTGTTCCTTCATTTTTCTTAACTTGCTGTGTTGGTGTCTGTGCATTAGAGAAAACAGCAGGGACAGGTAGAAATAATTGATTCATAGTGGCAATTTCCCCCATACTGTTCTCATAGTAGTGAATAAGTCTCACGAGTCCTGATGATTTTATAAATGGGAGTTCCCCTGCACAAGCTCTCTTGCCTGCTGCCATGTAAGACATGACTTTGCTCCTCAATCACTGTCTGCCATGATTGTGAGGCCTCCCCAGCCATGTGGAACTGCAAGTCAATTAAACTTCTTTCCTTTATAAGTTATCCAGTGCTGGGTATATATTTATTAGCAGCATGAGAACAGACTAATACAGCATCTTCATAGCTTATCTCCCACTTATAAGTGAGAACATACACTATTTGGTTTCCCATTCCTGCATTACTTCTCTTAAAATAATGGCCTCTATCTCCATCACAGTTGCTACAAAAGACATTATTTTGTTCCTTTTTATGGCCAAGTAGTATTTCATGGTGTATATAAACCACATTTTCTTTATGCATTCATTGGTTGATGGGCTCTGTTTTCTAATTTTTTATGTACTACAAATAGATGTGGTTTTTTATGTCTCTCTAACACCCTTTGACAAAAAGAGGGGTCTAAGGAAATCCTTGAACAGAATAATCCCCAGTCTCTCATTCTAAGCCATTTTGTTGTCTTAGGCAGTTTTCTGCTTCCAGCACCAAAATTTTCATTTTGGTCTATGCCCATCAATGCAGACCTTCCCATCACACGTCTTCCATAGTAACTCAGTGACAAGTTGCAGCCTGCCTGGTCTTAGCGTGCCACAGGTCTAATCACTCATTGTGTAAAAGCCAGTTTCCCACAGTGTAGAGGCTACAGTATATGGTCTTTATTTTTAATTTTTTTAAATTCAAATACTCATTTTTGCATTATTTGCATAATTTTTAGCTTTTACATTTATCTCTAATTTTTCCTCTGGAGGATCACTGAGGAAGTAGTTATTTTTGTTCACCCACTCAAATCCATAATTTTCTCTGAATTAGTTGTAATTTCTTTTCTGAGACTTGGTCTGGGGACATTCCCAGATAATTATTTTTTGGTGTATTTTCTGCTTTCTTTAAAATTTATTATTATTATTTTTAATTAACACAATAATTATACATATTTACAGGATACAGTGGGCTGTTTTGACACATGTATACAATGTGCAGTGACTAAATCAGGGTAATTAGCATGTATCTATCACCTCAAACATTTATCATTTTTATGTGTTGAAAATATTCAAAATCTTCTCTTTTAGTTATTTCAAAACATGCAGTAAATTATTGTTAATTATAGTTACCCTACAGTGTTAGAGAACATTAGAACTTTATTTCTCCTATCTAACTATAATTTTGTATCCTTCAGCCAATCTCTGGCTATCTCCCCACCTCCTCAGCATCCGTGAAAAGTGAAATTTATTAATCCCTGATTCTTTTTTTCTCACTACTGTTGTATGTTCCCTTTCTCTCCCATTCAGGAGGTTAAGCCTGCATTTATAGATCTTATAAATATTTTAGTAAAATTATTGTAAATATTGTAAATTATTTTACAATATTAAATGTAAATGTATTGTTTACAAATAATAAATGTAAGAGCCGAAAACTATGCAAATAAGGCAAAAATGAGTATTTGACTTTAAAAAAATTAAAAATAGAGACCATATACTGTAGTCTCTACATGGGGCAAACTGGCTTATACACAATGAGAGATTAGGCCTGTGGCACACTAAGACCATGCAGGATGCAACTTGTCACTGAGTTATGATAATTTTAAGAAAATATTATTTGTAAATTATTTTGGTAAAGTTATTGGCATAATTAAAATACAAATACATTAGTGATTTGGTGGAAGATCACTTTGCTTAAATATCACAATAATAATATAATGTCAAAAAATTATTTAGTATTTTTCTGTATAGGATATAGAATTTTTTCGGGCAAATGGGCTTAAAAACAGTTATACATTTTACTATTTGAGAAATATTATCTAGAGATGGAGAGAAAACAGACTTCAACATGTCTATGTGTGGACAAATGTTGAGAAATCAATGAGAAACCAGAAATACAGAGCAAAAATGCTTAATTATTTCTTTGGTTTACTCTTCTTCTCCTAGTAGCCTATTAGAAAACAGAAACAAAGCAAACAAAAAATCTCAAGAACACAATTCCAGAGGTGTTGAAAATCAGTTGATTTGATTTTGAAAATTCTAATTAAGGATTGAGCTTCTTGAAATTTTTGTGGCATTGAGTAATGTTATTTATGTTACCACTGTCCTTTCACATTATCAGGCTAAAATAACTGCATTACCTTAAAACATCAGGTAAAATTAATAGGTAGACTATGCTAAATATAATTGAGCTTGATCTCTCAGTATCTAAGGTAGATGGGTCTACTCTTATATGATGGTCACAATAGCATTAATTATTTAAATCAATATTTTTCCCCTTTCCACCCTCTTTCTCATTCTCCTTCCCTCTTCACTTTTTTGTTTCCTTCCTTCCTTCAGCCCTCCTTTCCTTCCTTTATTTGGTGATTTATTTTATTATACTTTATTCCTTTGGCGTATAGCATCATCATCAACAAGTACACTTTTAATAAAAAGATAGCATCCATCATCTATTTATCTCCTACTATGTGCCAAGGACTGTTCTGAGTGCTTTATGTATATAAATTCATTTAATCCTATGGCGTACCTACATTATTCCCTTTTTCAAATGAAGACACTGAAGCACAGAGAGGTAAAGTAATTTGTTCAAGATCACACAGTAAACAAAGTAGCCTGACATGAATTCAGAGACACCATCTCTCTAGAAAGTGTGTTGTTAATCACCAACCTAAACTGCTTAGAATCACATGGGAAGATCAAAATGTGGAACATGTGAGAAAAATGCTAAAAATAATAAGAATAACAATTATTTCCTGAAGGCAAAATGCAAATGAGAACAGTGGGTTCTTGAAAAATAAATAAATACGGTGCAGGAACAGATCTTATGTACTGACTGTATCATTTTCTAACTTGGGTGATGCATTCATTCATCTTACTAATATTTATGAGCACCTACTATGCAGCAGGCTGTCATCCAGGTGTCAAGGATGCAAAAATGAACAGTGGTCAAATATGAAGTCAGAAAGGTAACAGAGAAAGAGAGGTAATGAGTAATGTATAATAGAGCCTTGCCAAGGAGTATAAGGCCTTCAGGTTTTTTCTCTGAGTGAGTTTTAATGACATTACTCTGGTTGTTGTATGCAGACTTGATAGTCAAGTGGGCAAAGGCAGAAGGAAAGAGACTAGTTAAAGGTGTCGTCATAGAAGCTATTTCCAGTCTGAGATGCTACTGGGCTCAGACCAGGGTAGTGGAGATCGTGAGGTTATTCTGCATGTATTTTGAATGCAGCCGGCAGGGTTTGTTGATGCATTGGATGTAGTGTAAGAGAGAAATAAGTCAAGATAATTCCAATATTTTTGGCTGAAATAATAGAAGAATGGATATGATTTACTGAGATAAGGAAAGACCAAGTTTGAATGGGAAAATCAAATATTCTATTTTGATAGTGTTAAGTTGAAATGCCAGTTAGATATCCAGGTGAAGATGTTAGTTGGACAGTTGGGAGTGAGGGATGATGTAAACTAGGATGTAAACTAAATTTAGAAATTGTTATCATAGAGATGTGTTTAGGACAGGAGTCTTGATGAGCTTACCCAGGAAGGAGAAGAGATGAAAGAGTATCCAGCCCTGCTGTATTTGCAAAATTTTAGAGGTTCAGGGAGGCGAGGAGGAGCCTGCAAAGGAGAATGAGCCATGGATTCATCATGGACACAAGAATTCTATAGCATGCATTCTTGGAAAACGAGAAAGATAAGTTTTCTTCCTGTCCCTTCATTTTCATTTGCCTCCAGCCATGAATATTTTTAAACATATGCAAAGATACCCATGCTTCAATATTGATTCTTTTTTTTTTCCTCCAAAGGGATTAGATGAAAAAGGGCAGCTCTGGGTGAAGGCCCATTCCTATAAGCTCAGAAATGGTTGGCAGGGCCCTCCTAGTTAAAAGACATGCTAGGCCAGGCGCATTGGCTCACGCCTGTAATCCCAGCACTTTGGGAGGCTGAGGCAGGCGGATCACGAAGTCAGGAGATCAAGACCATCCTGGCTAAAACGGTGAAACCCCGTCTGTACTAAAAATACAAAAAATTAGCCAGGCGTGGTGGTGGGCACCTGTAGTCCCAGCTACTCAGGAGGCTGAGGTAGGAGAATGGCGTGAACCCGGGAGGCGGAGCTTGCAGTGAGCCGAGATTGTGCCACTGCACTCCAGCCTGGGCGACAGAGTGAGACTCCGCCTCAAAAAAAAAAAAAAAAAATGACATGCTAATCTGTCCATATCATGCTACTGAACTCCTACATAAGCAAATTCTAGTAGCTCAGAAAAAGTTAACATGTACCTCTGTGAGATGTAACGTCCCCTTTCACTTTTCTGTAGGAAATGTCATTGGATGCAAGACAAATGAGAATCCTCAATTTAAATAAATTTTCAAAGTTTGTATTTCTTCAAGGACACTGTGAATTTACATTTCCCTGACCAGAGATAGCTGGCAAGATAAAAAAGAAAATTAACTTTAAATATCTAAAACTTTCTTCTTCACATTTTGGCCTAAGAAATTTGTAAAAGGAGGAAATCCCTACTGGGAAGATGCCTGGAAGCCAAGGAGTAAAATAACAAAGCCCTAGGCTCTACTTCCTATATGTGTGGGAGGATGAATTTATAGTTGTTTTTCTTCCTCAGTCTCCTTGTTAAGACCTGAGACGTCTATTTCAAAGTTTAGCCTTTCCCTTTACATTTGTACATAGAGATTTAACTATGCATCTAACTACGGAGCTGGAGATACTATAAGGCTATAACCATTGTAATAGGTATTACAAAAAAGCACTGTAATAACAGTTGTAGTATTGATTGCCCTTTGAGTTGACTTCAGAATACAGTAGCTGATATTAATGTCATCTACAAAATTATTGAATACATTTGGATGAACACTGTTAGAATAAATAAGCAAAGGTTTTATGAAAGATACACCTAACGGATCTACTCTGAAGAGTTTTAGTCACAAAGGCATCACAATTGTCTTGAGTACTAGAATCACATAGAGACTAAGGAACTATCCTATGTTTAATCAAAACATCCGTCAAATTGAGGAAAATTCCATATGGAAACTAAGTCATTTAGGTGTCTGCCATATTCCTCCACTTTGGCTTAGCCCAAGGGAATCTAGTACGTCTCATGTAACTTCCCATATGACCCAAAGAGGATGACTACTTCTTGTCTAATTGCTGTGTGATCTAAGAAAGATGTCCTTACTTCCGATTCCTTTTGCAAACCCTTAGAGTTAGGTTTTTACATCCACTGACGTGCAGTAACCCTAAAGGTTTCTTTTTTTTTTTTTAACTTAAATGTCATGTCTTTATTTATATTTATACTTTATTTATACTTTATCTCCATTAAAGTGACATTTATTTTAAAATATATTTTAAAATTATTTAATTGGTGTTTAGCATCTTCGGAATATAGAGTCCTGTGAAGAAATTGGTATATATTACCTGTGGTGCCCATCCACTTATGAGATTGTGTTGCAGCCTGGTCCACTAGTGGATGTACTTTTCCAGTGAAATTCTCTGGGACAGGGGCATATTTTGTTTTTGGCAATTTGAGTTGGAAAAGGGTAATGTGGGAGGAAAAAAATCGATTGTGTCCCACCACCTCTAGGACCAGAGGGATATTTCTGGTTGCTACATTGCTACATTTTCAAGACTATGTCATTCACTTTACAGCAGAGAAATACGACACTTAGGACCAATCCCTATTTTGTCATAGGATTAACTTTTCCTTCTTCTTGATAAATATCTCTGGAATGGATGGGTATATTCCCCCTCCCGTGCCCTATATTATCAGGTCTCATGATGGGCAGAAAACGCTGGGTTCCATAGTTCAATATTTAGATAACATGAACTTGATGAATACTGGATTATAAGGCACTGAAATTTTAGGTGCCGTTCAAAAAAAAGAATGCTGATAAGCTTTCTCATTTTCACAAGGGAGAGACCAGCCCATCTGGGTTTGTGTATGTATGTGTGTATGTGTGTGTGTGTGTGTATATTTATGTGCATGTGTGGCAGTATGTGTGATTTATTTTTCTTTCAGGTTTTAAAGCTCCATAAAGAAATCGCTGGACATTTTCTGCCTGGTGGCATGGAAATGTTTTAAAATCTAAATAATGCTGGGAATATTTAAGAGCATGCTTACTTGGCAAAGGAGAGAGCTCTGTGAGCGATCAAAACAGGACCTGGCAAATATTTCCTTGGCATAGATTTGTGCTGCTTGGATGAACGAAGGCTGATCAAATCACTGCATTCAGCAGCTGCTGGTTAATTTGCTTTTTGGTATCACACTCTGCATGGTGTTTATCAAAAGTCTGGGTGCATTTAAAGGGGCACAGCAACTAGAGAAATAAAGTTTAGGATACATAGCCAAATGACTTTGATATTTAAAGGCCGGTATGCTTTGCAAATCTGGAAAAATCTTTCCAGTTCATACAAGATCTGTCATTAAGTCTTCTGCCTCTTGAGTTAATCTCCTTGCCCTCCCTCCCCTTCGCCCAGACTCACATTGTATGTGTCCGCCCTGGTTTTCTCTTTGCCCCCACTAAGAGCCCAGTCTATACTCTCTTATATAATATGGTGACAAAATGGTCCACAGTTTAAAGTATTTTTATGTATACCATTTAATTTCATCCATAGGAATCATCTTCAGCTCTCTCTTGCTTTGTGTTTCAAGTGTAAACACTTCAGCCTACTGATATCTGAGATTTCTAACTTTCATTCGCAGCCATTCTTTGCTGTTCCCCTTCAGGACCCTTCCATTCCAGTGAAATCTGCCTCCCACTGCCTGCATTAGACCTGCATATTCTTGACTCTGTGCCTTTGCTCTTGACATTCTCCATAACTCAATTGCTTGTTCACCTCCTCTAAAATCTACATTTTCCATACATTTCTCTTTGATTAGGTCAGCATTCTTCATACTTATATGAGATTGCTGTTAGAATTGCCAAGATTTTAAGATTCTGGGATTAACTCATTTACTGAGGAGTTTACTATCCCAGGAATTCTGCTATGAACTTCTACATATCCTTTGTATCTGCACCTCTCAACAGACCTTCAATGTAGATGTTATCATGTCTATCTTACAGATGAGGAAACAAAGGTTCAGACAGCCTAATCAGCTTGCCCAGACTCATACAGCTAGTGAAAGGCATAGCTAAAAATTAAACACGAATTTTCTTTCTCCGAATCCAGTGTTCTTTCTACTGTTTCCAGTGTACTAAAACTATTATCTGGTTATGATGGTTGTTTTTACCGGTTAATTGTTTATTCTTGTTTTTTATTTATTCTATTCTAGCAATTTAAATAGTAAGATAAGGTATCCTTTATTTCTTCGATGTTTTCTAGTGCCTATTATAGAGCTCTGCAAATGGAAACACTCAACGAATGGAAGTTGACATCAATTGATTTGTCAAAATACAGAGGTCTTTGCCTTTGATACATTTTGCAGTTATTTCTGGAAGAAATTTCAGTCCTTCTGATGAGTCTCATTGGTTGACATGTATCAAGCAAATATCTGGCATGTAGTTCAAGCAGTCAGCATAGGTGGTTATCAAGTCACCAATCAAACCAGGTTAGCCAGTTCCTCAGTGAGATTCTGCCATCCCCTGAAACTCTGCACTGTGACCTGGAATCACAGGAATTTGCAGTATTTAGATCATCCTAAGTCCTTTGAGATTCCTCTCTCTTGTGGCCTGGGGCAATTATATGTACCCTTTTCATAATATTAATTAAGATATTTAGTAGTCATTGCTATTAATAAAATGATTATTCAATGTCATTGGGATGCCAGGTGCCATACCAAACCTAGCGTGACATGCTCTTCTGACATGAACACACCATGGTCCTCCTGGCTCCACAGGCATCTGGATCCTGCAAGCTGTTGGTTATACCATGAACGTGGAAAGTTTGACCCTGGGCTGGAGCTGGCTTGTTAGTTGTTTTCTGTTTTCTGTGGGTGTGGGCATTATGTCCCTTGTAAGTTAACATACGAAACAGCTAGTTAGTATTTCTGTTCTGTTTCTCTTGATTGTTATTTACTGAAATTTTACATGTCGGTGATGGGGAAATGGCTACATATTACTATTCTCAGGTGAAAAATTAGGCAATCAATTAGGCCTTTACCTAAAAGCATAAGGCAAGGAAGTCAGTTCAGGAATGAAATCCAGAGCATGAAGTTTTCAGTATTTTCCTCCTCCTTCAGAGCAGCAGAACGAATTCATGGGCCAAATGAGAGACACAATTGCCCACGGAGGCAGGTGTGACTTGTGGATGCATCAGGCTGAGAGTCGGTGACAGACACCTGGTGAGCAGCTGGCTCAACAAATGCCAGAGTGTATGTGGCAGTCAAGAACGTGGACTCAGTGGCAGACTGCCTGGGTTTGAGTCCCAGTTTTTCCACTTTCTATCTGTGTGATCTTGGAAGGTGACTTAGCCTCCATGTATCGTGCTTTGTGCATCCGTAAATTGGAGATTGGAGTGGTTCTTACCTCACAAGGCTATTATGAACATTAAATGAATAATATACAAGAAGCAAACAGACCAGCATCTAGCACTCAGGAAATACTATGTAAATGTTTAAGTTAAACAACCAAAACCAAACCCCAAAACCAACCAAACAAAAAACCTCTCTTCTCTAGTGTGGCTCTGATAACTTTCATGGAATGAAAGCCTTCTCTCTTATTATACTTGTGTTTTACCCTTTAAATGACACTAAAGTTTCTGAAAGGTAGGTTGAAGTCAAATCTTAATTAAAGTAGGAAACATTCTGACCATAATCCCCATTGTCCAATGTCTAGAGCTATTTTGGAGTCACAAAAGTCTGACTTTTATCCCAGTGCAGAGAGAAAGAAAAATGAGAGATTCAAACATATTCTACAGAGAAACTGGCAGCAAGATAAGAATATGATTCTATTTACAAGTGAATATTTAAAGAGAGTTGATTTATTGAACTTTTTCTCATTTTCCAGCTACCACCACACAATCAAAGCGGAAAGGCCACTTCTCTAGGTGCCCCAAGCAATACAAGCATTACTGCATCAAAGGGAGATGCCGCTTCGTGGTGGCCGAGCAGACGCCCTCCTGTGTGTAAGTGGAGTGTCCTCAGCCAGCAAGCAAAAGGGTGCAGAATGGTGCCCGCCTGGGTCTTGCCAGGACTGGAAAGTGTGAGCTAACCATGCCATCTGTCCGAACACAGTTCTGCCTGGTCCTGCCCCCAGCCACTTGTTTAGGGGCCCACTCAGCAACTACTTATGGAGAAACTGACGCACACTTTCCTCCTGAAACATGAGTATGTGAGAGTCCAGCTCCACTTCTGGGCTGGGCAGTGTCCTCTGATTTCTTGCGCAAGCAGAACTGATTCTTTTTGGCTCAAATAATCTCCTGGGTGGTTCAAATGGAAATGAATTATTCTGGCAAGTGTTTGGTGGTTTATAGTTAGTGTAAATACGAGGAAATTCCTGCCAAATTAAGAGCTACTTTTGTAGGAGTCACTTAAGTAGAAGGAATTAGTCCTATTTATAAATAAGAGATTAGCGAAGCCTGTTTAGTATAGTGGGGAATTGGGAGAAAAGTTTTCTTTTCAACTCTTTGTATTTGAGCCTAGCTCAATTTTACTCAGGCATACACAAATTTCTTTTTGCATCTTTTAAATATGTGTTTTCTTCTAAAAAGATATCCCACTAATGTGCTTCCTGGGACCTTTCCTTAGAGAAGTGGGAGGAGATTCTTCAAGTGCAATTTTGACTTAAAGTTCATAGAATGTTTATGTTCTTCTGCACAGTTGCCCCAGTATATAAGTTTTCTTTCCATAAGTATCTCAGAAAAATGATTCCAAATCCTAATTTTGTGGAAACTTTAAGGGTCATGAACTTTTTAAAAACTTAAATATATTTAATTTAAAAAGGAAATATGCGTGGATAATACATGGAGGCAGATAACAATTGCTAATGTAAGAAAATAAGGAAATGTGTGTGTGTGAGTGTGTGTGTGTGTGTGTGTGTGTGTGTTGAGAGGGATAGATCTAATTTTTTAAAAAAATTCATTTAATTGCTCCCTGGCTTGGAAGCACATATTGAATTTTAAAAATATTAATGATCTTTAACCCAATACATTTCCCTAATTGGTTCCTATGTCTGCAGATTTATTGTTCTTAGATATTGCTGCCCTCTAAAATGAAAACCACAGTGTGTAATCTACCTGCCTAAGATCAACACATAGATTGTTCCCTTCAATGTAAAATTTAAACTCGTTTTCTTAGCCTTCATAGATCATCTGATCCTGGCTTAATTTTCTAGCTGTATCTCACCATATTCCTAAGTGCTTTTCTAAAATTCTACATTTCATTTCATGATTTATTATATAAGCTCTTCTTGTAGCCCAGAAAGCTTATTCTTGCTATGGTTTAAGATGCACTGCACTCATCATCTCCTTGTGGACCCCTTCACTGACTTCCTCCTTCTCAGGCATACACTCAGGTCTGAGTTAGATGTCCTTCCCCTGTGATCTAGCCACACCTCTATGAAAGCTCTTATCCACTGGAGCATAACTGGTGGTTTCTTTAAATGTGCCTTCTGTGACAGTGAGCTCCTAGAGGGCAGGGCTCATGGCTTATTCATTTTTGTATTTCAGTGTCAAACACAGTCCTCAGAATTTACTAGGTGCACAAGAAATGACTGATGCTTGAACAAATAGTGCCCCTATTACAGTCCATCTAATGCTATACCAAATTTCCAGACCAAGGCCTTAATCTGAATGGAACATCTTCTTAGTAGAGGAATAATACACAGTCAATGGGAAGCAGAATATCATAGCAGACAGGGCACAGATTTTGGAGTCAGATAGACCTAAAGTAAGATTTTGCTTTTGCCAGTTATAAGCAGTGTTAACAATGGGTCAGTTACCTTTTCTGAGCCTCAGTTTTATCATCTGCAAGAGAGAGTAATAATACTGTCCAGTCAAGTGGTGAAGATAGCAAAATAATAAATGCGAAAACACTAATTGTGGTACCCAGCAAAGAGCAAGTGTTTCATAATTTTTAAAGTTCCAACTTTTTAAGAACATATTTAAGTATGCCATAAATAAAAAGTTCCCACTTTTTAAGAACAATATTTTTTTTTTCTTTTTTTGGAGAGAAGGTCTTGTTATATTGCCCAGGCTAGACTCAAACTCCTAGGCTAATGTGCCTCTCCTGCCTCATCCTCCCAAGAAGCTATGAGATGAGTGGTAGATAATCAACCTAGGACTGATGTTTCAGGTGATATAGCACAGATTCAGGCAAAACTCTCTTGCCATTGGTGATAACACTGTCTTGAGGAACCAGAAGTATCTCCTTTTCTTGGGATCATGGGAGTTTGTGGGTTCTTGTTTTTACATAAAAAACCAAAGTGTGTTTCAAATAATGCAGATCTTCTCCTCTTAGTAATCTTCTCAGTATTTCCTTTGAAAAGGGACAGTTCGTTTCCAGATACATAATTTTTATTTATACATGCAGCATAGCACATTTACTATGCAGTTAAGAGCATGAACTTGAGAGCCAGACTGCCTGTTTGAATCCCCATTCCCTTAACTTCTCTGTGCATCAGTTTCTTCATCTATAAAATGGGGTTAATGATAACACATACCTCAAAGGTGGTAATAAGGATCCAGTTAATATTCATAGATCTTTTACAACAGTTTCTGGTGGTTATTTCAGAATAGTGATCCCAACGCCCAATTTTGCATTGCCCTTAAGGATCATGAACATCTTTAAAAATTATTTTTGATTTTAAATAGTATAAGATGCTTATTAAATAAAAACCCACTTAGTCACCATTTAATAAAAAAACTTAGAATCTGCTCTCTTTGCCTCTTCTTCTCCTACATGAGAGATACACTCACTGAAAATAAACACCAGCTGATATGTTATTGGTTTGCTGAAGGGCAAAATAACATGAGAACCACTATAACCAGCTATGTTAAGGTTTGACCTTTTAGCATGGATTCACTGGGGTACAACTTACAGGAAGTACTGCTTACTGAGAAATTCAATTAAAGCATTGTTAAGCCACCAATCCCACAGCATATAATTAGAAAAACATTCTAAAAGAGTAGAAAATAATTGCCATGCATTTTATGGACAAAGCTATTGTTTAAAAATACCACATTTAGTAAATTTGTTAGAGGAATATTTAAGCTAGTTGGAAAAAAATATATTTGTAAGATTTATTTCCAACCTTATAAAAACTCTGAAAAATCTCCCTCGTATACATGCAATTAAAAGTGATTCCCGGCCAGTCACGGTGGCTCACGCCTGTAATCCCAGCACTTTGGGAAGCCGACGTGGGAGGATCACGAGGTCAAGAGATTGAGACCATCCTGGCTAACATGGTGGAAACCCTGTCTCTACTAAAAATATAAGAATTAGCTGGGCATGGTGGCGCGCGTGGTTTAGTCCCAGTTACTTCGGAAGCTGAGGCAGGAGAATCGCTTGAACCCGGGAGACGGAGGTTGCAGTGAACCGAAATTGCGCCACTGCACTCCAGCCTGGCTACAGAGCGAGACACCGTCTCAAAAAAAAAAAAAAAAAAGTGATTCCCCCATCCCTAGTTTTGGTCTTATGTATGACAGATTTTTGATATCTCAAGATATTTCTAAGCTCTCTTCCTGTAATTTTGACCTCAGAATGAAGATACTTAGCTATCTTGCAGGAAGCAATTTTCTTTCATTCATCCTTGGGTCCTTTTATAATAGATGCCTTTAGTTGTCTTTTCTCCTTTGCTTGCATTAAGCCTCACCTTTCAAGTGATGGCTGTTACTGAGCTTGTTTTTTTGTTTATTTGTTTTGAAGCACTGTCTCAGCTACAATATTGGCATTAAGGGATCTCTTCACTTGAGAAATACAGGCTTTGTGAGGATTAACTGCCTTGGCTTTTGTCAAGCATAAGCTATAGAACAGCCCAGCCGTAAATCCTTTCTTAAAGGAAAATGGGGTTGCACAGAAGTTTTCTAAGGAGCAGAATTTAATCTTTTTGACCTTTGAATAATTATGTATATGACCAGTATCACTTTGTGTTTTAACTTCATTTGAAGCATTCTCTTAAGGAAAATATTTATTAATATTTTTGATTACTATTTCCCTAATATTAATAAAGGAAAATGTTTATTAATACTAAGGTACTAAGGTTACAACAGATAATTTTGGTTAAAATGTCCCCAAACTTTTTATGTACCTTAATTCTCTGATGCAGTTCAGATAATTCTATGGGGAGTACTCAAATCACTGAGTTGTTAGCTCCCTGGATGTTACTCAGACAAGCCCCAGCTTGGTCAAGTGGATGCATAACTGTAATCTCAGATTAAGGACATCTGTTTATGTTAGATGTATCCTAAGGCAGATTGACAGAAAGCTGAGAGAATGAGGGAAATGAAGAGAGACTGTTGATTTCTGGTCATTCCCTTGAAGAAGGCCATGGAAAAAAGGGAGGGCATTTAGAGGAGAGTGAAGGGAACGGTGAACAGATCTGCAAATGTGGTTTTAGGAATCAGATAAAGGAGCTAAAGAGGACAAGACTTATGTGTTTGCAGGGATGTAATGAAGGAGGCGGCGAACAGAAGAGTAATAGAAGGGCATGACCTAATCTGTGATGCCCTCAAGCAGTAGAACTAGAATCAACGGGTAGAATTTACAGTGGAGGAAAGACGAAAGAAATTCTGTAGAAATAACACTTATGGAACATTCTCTCTATCTAACGTTTATGGAACATTGTGTTATGAACTTTCACATGCATTAGCACATTTGATCATATAAAACCATACAATTTTTATATAATTTATAGGAGAGCATGAGAACATCAAAACTATTTGCATTATCCTGTGATGAAATGGGAAGTCCTGGGGATTTTTGAGTTCCTTGTCATGGAGTTATTTAAGCACTGGGAATTTTATCCTCCTTTCCTTTTTGAATTCAGAGACTAAAATTTTAAAATACATTTTAGTTAATTGTCATCATCCTTGTGTATTTATATTAGACATATCAATAATGTCTAATGATCAAGTGATGACAGGTATTCAGCAAAGCAAAAAAAAATTGAAATTACTGGTCAACAAAGTAGTGCATCTTTTTTTAAAAAGGGAACTGTGTTCTTTATTAATTTCAAGTAATGAGAACTGTTAATTTCTTCAGAAAAGAAGTAGAGATTCTTAAAAGTCTTGCAAGTTTTACTTCCTTGCCCTCGTCTTGTTTTATAGCTGTGATGAAGGCTACATTGGAGCAAGGTGTGAGAGAGTTGACTTGTTTTACCTAAGAGGAGACAGAGGACAGATTCTGGTGATTTGTTTGATAGCAGTTATGGTAGTTTTTATTATTTTGGTCATCGGTGTCTGCACATGCTGTCAGTAAGTATTTTTAAACTTAATTTTAAGTAAATCTGAGAAACAGTATTTGCTCATAGTTTTTCTTCTTTTCTTCCTCTTTACATTCTCTTTTGCTTTTTCTTTGATTCAAATAAATTTACTTTTTGAGCTTTGCCATTGTTGATATAGAAGTATTCATAATAAAACACATAATACATGATTTTTATCATTTACTGAATAAAATTGTTGTAATTTAAAATAAAATTTGTATAGTAGGCTACATAAGACTTCTATTTTCTAAAACTGTACCATAACACAGTAACATTGAAAGATAAAAACAAAAATTTGTTTTTGCTTTGCCACATTAAAATAATAAACTTTATGTGTAAACCATGTTACTTTGTTTTTCCTTTTACTTTCTATTATATACCAGAACTTTGAAAATCAGGAAACATCCTGCTTTTTCTCTGAGACAGAGTGGCTTTGCACAATTTTTATTTGTATTTATTTATTTATTTTGAGACAGAGTCTCGCTCTTTTGCCCAGGCTGGAGGGCAGTGGTGTAAACATAGCTCACTGCAGCCTCAAATTCCTGGCCTTAAGCGATCCTCATACCTCAGCCTCCTGAGTAGCGGGGAATACAAGTGTGTGCCACCAAGCCAGGCTTTTTTTTTTTTTTTTTTGTGGAGACTGGCTCTCACTATGTTGTCCAGGCTGGTCTTGAACTCCTAGCCTCAAGTGATCCTCCCGCCTCAGCCTCTTGAGTAGCGGGATTACAGGAGTGAGCCACTGTACCTGGTCCTGGGACAATTCTTAATTAAATTAGTTAAATTAGTTTCTTTTTGGGAACTTTTTTTTTTTTTTTTTTTGCAGAGCAGGACTAACACCAAGTATGCTACCAAAAACAACAACAACAACAACAACAACAAAAAAAACTATCTTATTAAAGTGGTATCTTTTTGTCTTGAGAAGCTTGCCCAGATTCCTAAACTCTTGCATCTACCCTTCACTGTGGTCCACACATAAAGAGGGTTCTCGTGATTCCTTTCTTTGCAATGTGCTAGGGAAAAAAGCACTACGGTAGAGGGAGTCTTTGATTATTTATTTATTTATTTATTTATTTATTTATTTTGAGACAGAGTCTTGCTCTGTTGCCCAGGCTGGAGTGCAATGGCGTGATCTTGGCTCACTGCAACGGCGTGATCTTGGCTCACTGCAACCTCTGCCTCCTGGGTTCAAGCAATTCTCCTACCTCAGCTTCCTGAGTTCAAGCAATTCTCCTACCTCAGCTTCCTGAGTAGCTGGGATTACAAGGGCCCGCCACCACACCCAACTAATTTTTGTAGTTGTAGTAGAGATGGGGTTTCACCATGTACACCAGGCTGGTAACTCCTGACCTCAAGTTGATCCACCTACCTCGGCATCCCAAAGTGCTGGGATTACAGGCATGAGCCACCGCGCCCGGCCAGAGTACTTGATTTTTGTCTCGGTTCCTCCATTATGTATCTTTGAGAACCTGGGTAAATTTCTTAACAACTATGAACTTTTATTTTCTGTAAAACAAGAGTGTTAAACCAAATAATCTGTCAGATACTTTCTAACTATAAAATTGAAAGATATATTTTTATTTTACCTACTTTAAGGTAGGAAGAAATATTATGCCAGGTTTAGGGCAGAGAATCAGTTGGGCAAAGCTGGGAAACGGCCTATTTTGTTATATCAACTTGGAGCTGCACTTTAGGAAAACAGTAATGCAGTCTGGAAATCTAACACATTTCTTAATGTATCTAGAAGCTCAGTTAATATATCCAAACGCTGTGTCACTCTTGTTTTTCTTATGCCTGTTTCCAATTTGTACTGTTTCTTTTACACTACGTGTACACTACATAATACTTATTAGTCTATTTTGTAAAATAACTTGGCCTGAAAAATTTTCTTCTGCTAACTAAACTCCATCAATATAAGTGACATTTTTTCTATTTAGATAACTATATTCTACCCACACTGTTGCCTATTATACCTATCATCTGAACCTAGAGAAAGAGATGGGTTAAGAGAGAACCCTAATTTTTTTTTTTTGTGACGGAGTCTCACTCTGTCGCCCAGGCTGGAGTGCAGTGGCGCAATCTCGGCTCACTGCAAGCTCCGCCTCCCGGGTTCACGCCATTCTCCTGCCTCAGCCTCCCGAGTAGCTGGGACTACAGGCGCCCACCACCACGTCCGGCCAATTTTTTGTATTTTTAGTAGAGACGGGGTTTCAGCGTGGTCTCAATCTCCTGACCTTGTGATCCACCTGCCTCGGCCTCCCAAAGTGCTGGGATTACAGGCGTGAGCCACTGCGCCCGGCCTAGAACCCTAAATATTTTTTTAAAAAAAGAAACCTGATCATAGGATCTCTTGATGGATAATTTTGTGTTCGCATGAACTACTAGGCCCATACTAACTTCTAACACGTATTTTCCAAGCCCTCTTCGGAAACGTCGTAAAAGAAAGAAGAAAGAAGAAGAAATGGAAACTCTGGGTAAAGATATAACTCCTATCAATGAAGATATTGAAGAGACAAATATTGCTTAAAGTAAGTGAGATAAACTTGCTGATAGAAAACTATTCAGGTGACATTTAACTGGTTAGATTGGGCTTACTTGCATCTACTAAATCATTCATTAGAATTTGATTATATTTAAAAACATCTAAAAATAAATCAATGGTTTTTTTCATAGAATCTGAAGCCAGATAAAATACTTCCTCATATCTTTTTTCTGCATGTTACCACAGAGATAGGCATTCTAATTCTGCATGGTTGTGGGGATATTTATATAATTTTTTCTTTCTCATTTTTGGGCACAGGAAAGAGGTATTTTAATATAGACACTTCACATTGAAAGAAAATAACAATAGCAATAATAACTACATATATTGAGCATTTACCACAATGCCAAGCACTGTTACAAGCTCTTTAAATGTAGCATCAGTAAGGATTGTTCAGGAATCACAAATCTTCTCAGATGATCCAATAGAGAGATTGTAATGCAAGAACCATGGATCAAGGTTAAGAAAAGGTATACTGAGTCTCCCTGAGCTTGAGAATTGTTGGGAGCTGTTGCCCTTCCTCTACAGGAAGGGCCAAGGTAAATATTACCTTAGCATTCAGAGGCACATTGGAGGAGGGTCCCCTAGGCAGGAGCTGTGGTTGTGGAGGGAGTAGCCACTGTCAGATATAAACAAGGACAGAGGGAGGAAATAGGGGAAGAAGTATTCCAAACTTTCTCTCCTTTCGCCTTCGGATCTTCAGCAGGTGCCTCCTACTAGCTAAACCCACCAGAAACCAGAGGGCAATGGAGCCCTGGTGATGGAATCTGAAGTGGCCAGTCTCCTGGAGACAGAGCAGGGCAGAGAAAGGCTCCAAGAAGGCACATGACGCGTAACTAGCACAACAAAGCAGGATAGTTTTGGTTGTAATAACATAAAATCCAACTCAAACTGGCTTAAAATGAAGGCAACGTATTGGCTCACATGAATGGCAGTCCAGAGGTAAGGTGGGCTTCACACTTGTCAAACCAGAGGCTCACACGTAAGGAACCAGATTATTTCCCTCTTTCTGCTCACTATTCTGAGTTGGCTTTCATCCTTGGTCAGTTCCTCTTAGGTCCTAAGAAAGGCCAGTAGCAATTAGGGCTACAAGCTTCCTCGTTTACATCCAGTATGAGAGAGTAGTGTCTTTCCACAGCTCAGTTGTACAAAGAATCTCTTCCAGAAAATCCCAGCAGCTTAATGGGGTTGGTAAATGCTTGACGAGAAATTATATGTGCTCCTAACTTATTACAAAAACAACATTATTGAATTGAAAACAAAATGGCTGGCTCTGGATTTTTAAATTATTATTATTATTGCATAGTCCATTTCTTTTAAGTGATGTGCTGTTATTTTCTTCATTCTCAGAGGCTATGAAGTTACCTCCAGGTTGGTGGCAAGCTGCAAAGTGCCTTGCTCATTTGAAAATGGACAGAATGTGTCTCAGGAAAACAGCTAGTAGACATGAATTTTAAATAATGTATTTACTTTTTATTTGCAACTTTAGTTTGTGTTATTATTTTTTAATAAGAACATTAATTATATGTATATTGTCTAGTAATTGGGAAAAAAGCAACTGGTTAGGTAGCAACAACAGAAGGGAAATTTCAATAACCTTTCACTTAAGTATTGTCACCAGGATTACTAGTCAAACAAAAAAGAAAAGTAGAAAGGAGGTTAGGTCTTAGGAATTGAATTAATAATAAAGCTACCATTTATCAAGCATTTACCATGTGCTAATAAGTTTGAAATATATTATTTCCTTTATTCCTTTCAGCAATCCATGAGATAGCTATTATAATCCTCATTTCCTACATATGGAAACAGGGCCAAAGAAGTCAAGTCAAATAATCTAATCCAGATTTAGAGAGTTGGAGATTGGTAGAGACAGACTAGAAATCAAGATTTATCTAAATCAAAATCTATGCTCTTAACCATCATTTTTGTTAGTCTGAATCGGTGCAACCTAACTCAATAATATAACCCAAGGTTTTATACTGAACTGTGTTTTGGTATGATTGTGAGATGTCAAGACCGTCTTCCCACAGGCACACAGAATGAGAAATCCTGGCCTATATTGCTGTTACCATCATGCTTTCTATAGAATTGGCTTTTATTATGTTTCTTTGCTCCTTTATAAATTCTCAATGATGTGACTACATTTTTACATTATTAAAGCAAATAGATTGGCCCCATAACTAGGGAAATGAATAGAGATGGAAAAGTAAATGCTTGGCATTCCTTAAGCCCTGGGTAAGTGTTTATGCTCAATAAAATATAAATAATATTACTGAAAGAGGCTGTTTATATGGGAGTAATGGTCAGTGACAACACTGGAGAGACCAGGTAGGGACCGGTTGTGACCATATCCTCATTTATGTTCTTGATGACAGCATATATGATTGCTCTCAGGTAAATTTTGATGCAGTAAATTCATGACCATAACATCTATTACTTGGGACCATCTTGCCAAGTGCTCCTTTACTCCATGAAATATTTAATAAACACTGCTTTAAACCTGGAAAAGCACAATCTACATTTAGTGAATATTTCATAGAATATTTAACTTTTTACATTGATTACGTGGTTCACTTACAAAAATCGATGGAAGATGCCCCCCAACTTGTGCCTGTCGGCCAAGCAGCTTCTTTTTTAGAATCTTTGCAAATTTTACTTTGCAATGTAGATTCCATAGTGAAGTGGAGAATTCAGACAAATGCTGAAATCGCATATTACCTTCTAGCATCCATGGTGTTTTGAGTGAAGCTGGGGCTGTACTTACATATGATACATAAATAGCTCCCCTATTAGTAAAAGCTAAGCCAAACAACTGATAATTTTCAAAATCTATTTTTTCTCCTGATTTAATGGTCATACTTGAAACACAATTATATCCAACTGATCCATGTTGTATATGCCTTATTTTCAAAAGTCTCATTTAAGCTCATTCATGCCCTTTCTCTTATGTAGTCTTCTTCGATACGAAAGGAGCTTGGAATAAATATCCATTAGAGCTTTTAAAAACACAAAACAATGCTTTAATGTTTCTTTTTTCCTGGACTGAGTTTGGCTGACCAACAAAATCTCTCAAGCCATTTTGTTTTGATCCTAAAATATCAATGGTGGCTCTCGAAATTTGGTAGATCTGATATCAAGAAAGAATTTCAAAGATTTTTATATCTTTTCAAAATGTATTTTATAGTTGCTTTGCATACACTAAATAACTTTGTTTATGTAAACTGTCAATATTATCATGTAATAAAATAAATTTATTTTTAAAACAAAGTAAACGTGTGGTTACTTGGGAATTTTTTATTTTACCATGAATTACTAATGAAAATAAATTTGAACACTATTGCTTTTAAACACCTTATGCTTTGTAAACCCTATCCATTAGTGTACTTGAAAGAATCCATCCTGACCATGTGTTTTCTTTAGGAACTAAAGCATCTGGGAGTGTGTTGGACATCTATGGGACTGTCTTGCCAATATCCTGGCCATATTTTTGAACTCCACCTCCAGCTGCATTTGATTGGTCTGAGGTGGGCACTTAATAAACTTGGGCCAATTAGAGTCATTCCCAGAGAAATTGGAAACTTGAACTGAAGTCAGTCTTCTTTGGGTTCTTGGGGTGAAAAAATATGCATTTTGAAGCTATTGGCAGTTACCTTTTGCTTCATGTGGAAAAGTAAAACAAAGGAATCTGGTCAGCATATAGCAAGAGAAGATTTAAGCAAACGCTGAGTGAAAAACAGAGAAAAGGCACAAATTTCCCGACAGAACATGAGTCCTGATTACAGGCATTCTCAGAGTTTAGCACCATTCCTGTCTATGGGCACGATGAGACATGTTAGTGTCTTCATAATAAATTCTTCGTCTGTCTTAAGCTAGTTCTGTTTGGGTTTCTGTAACCTGGAACCAAGATCCTTACCAACTCAGGTGCATCCTGAGATTGTGGACAATGGTTTCTTAAAGAGGAAACGACATCTTCTGTAAAACAAAATATCAAATTATTATTTTCAAATAGTGTCTTTTATCATATTAAATGAACATTTCCAGCAACAGCATTCTGTTTGCACCACACAGACACTGATGGGAGCATGGAGAGGGAGCAGGGAGTTCAGCAAGCATTGATTGGGCACCATTGTATTTCTGGTCCTGTTCCACCCACTGTGACAAATGCTAAGAAGGAATGACTCTTAGAAGTTTAGAGTTTCTAAGTGGGGGAAACAGCTACTCACTGAACATTTCAATGCAATTTGTTGCTCTGAGAGAAGCTCAAGGTATTAAGGAACAGAGAGGAGTGTCACTTAGCCCTGCTTAGTAAGAATCAGGGAAAGCTCCTGTAGGAAATTACATCTGAACTGATGATTGGCTCTGAGAAATAAAGGCCTCTGTCCCAAATCTTTGGTAAGCTCAAATATTTCTTTTTTCTTTTTTTTGGAGACAGAGTCTTGCTGTCCCCCACGCTGCAGTGCAGTGGCACCATCATAGCCTCAACCTCCCAGGCTCAAGCAATCCTTCCACTCAGCCTCCTGAGAAGCTGGGACCACAGGCATGTACCACCATGCCTGGCTTTTTTTTTTTTCCTTGAGAGGGGTCTTCCTATGTTGCCCGGGCTGGTCTTAAACTCCTGGACTCATCAAATATTTCTTAAGTCTTTCTCAAATTCTACTGAGTTCCTCTGAAAGCACCAGAAGTGGAGGGACCAGGAGGTGGTGCTTCAAGGGAACAAGTGAAGAGAAAGAATCAAGCCTTCATCCCTTGTTCCAGGCTGTCCTGGGCATAGCAGGGTAGAGCATGTGGGCACGTGAGCTGTGAGAGTAGATGTTTCTGGTCCCAATGATGCTATCTGATTAAGTGATGTCCTGAGGTGGTGGGGAGAGATTTTTATAGTTTCCTACAGTTAGTTATTTAGGACTTTCCCATTTTCCACTTTATTTTATTGCCCATGGTAAAAGCAAGTCACATTGAGAGTGGAGTAAAATGTTCCAGGTCAAATAACCTTATTTAGATAAGACCCTGTTTGTGCAATATTTAGTAAATGAAGTCCAGAACATATTTCAAAACCCATGGCTTTAAGACTCAGCTATAGCTTTAATGAAATCTTCATTTGAGTATATTGTGAATGTACCTTGTTATGCCTAAACATATTGGGGCACTGCTTTCATTAATTAATTCATACAAAAATATTTATTAGGTTTCTGCTAAATGCCAAGTACCTTAGGTGCTAGGGGTATACCACTTGCATAAAATAATTTAAAAAACCCTATGACCTCATGAAGCTTATCTTCTAGTGGATTTAATCTTTCATAGCATGGAATTTAAAACAATACTTATCCAAGAAGTTATCTTATACTGAGGACATTGCGTCTAGACTTTAACTTAAACAAGTGTCTTAGAGCATAAAACTCAAGATGAACTCATGGAAGATCTCAGTATATCATAGGTTTGGCAGGTTTTCCTTGACTGAATAATTTTCATATTTTAATAATGATTATATAGAACAAACAAAGTATAACTATGTTTTTGCTGTCAAATATTTATTTTTGCTATGCTTAATATTGGTGCTACATTTGGACATCTGCTCTTCTTCAAAACATCTTCTATGCTTCAAAGCATTTTTCTACAAAGGACCCTGTTCCCATGTGATCATCTTTGTTAACTAAATGTTAATGCCAGAACATAATGTGCAAATAGTGTACTCTTGCCTGTTTGCTAATGTCGTTGGATCCTAGGAATGTGTATCTTATAATAATATCTAAGTGGAACTTCTGTAAGCTCCTAATTCTTCCCCAGGATGTGTCAGCTATTAGTGTTTGAAGCAGTCTGAAATTTTATATGAGGAAACTGTATAAACTATACAACTACAGAAACTATACTAGTGATTATTTTCAAGAGCTGAATGATGGTTTTTGGAAATTTAAAAATATGGCCTTCAATATGTTTAATCAAAAATTATAGTCAGTAATTGTACTCAAATAGAAGTGTTAACAAAACATGTTTTTAAAGAACTTTCCTTTTATATTTTATTTTTTTATTCAAGTTTAAATTACAAGAAAAAAATATGCAGCAGAGGTACTCAAGGCTTGTTTTCTTTATTTTGTTTCTAATCAATTTATTTTAAAAATGTCAAACAAAATTATTCACAAACATGGAACTCTAGTGTTGCTTTCTCTAGCAAGTATAATTATTCTTCCAAGATATATGCAGAATAATAAAATATTCTGAAACTCTGTGATCCAAGCTAAATAATGATTTACAGTATTTTGGGCTTTAGTAAGAAGTGACAGAAAAACTTGTATCTCTGACTTGTTCTCTAATACCATTTTTGAAATACTACAATATGTAAATTAATTAAAATAAACTTGTTTCTAGCACATTCTTTTTTAACATTCTAAGAACATTTTGTTTATCCAATGAACCAGAGCTAGCAATTCTAAAAAATCATTTACACGGTGTTTTTTGTTTGGTTGCCTGGTTTTTGTCTGTTTTACTCTTACATTAAAGATAATCTGGTCTCAGGTGTTGTATCACCATCACTCTGCCTCCTAACTTCAACTGGACTTCAAAATATCTGAGCTCTTAGCCAAGCCAGTGCTCCTGATAATTCTGTGACTGCAATAGGGATAGGAGAAATTTGCTACTGAACTATCATAATACAAAGGTGATGGACATAGGATCTTTTATTCAGACAGATGTAGGCTTCAATTCTAGGTCTGCCACTTACTGTGAGGCCCTGGGCAAGTTATTTAACCTTACTAATGTTTTTGTCAGCAAAGTCAAAATAAATAATAAATAAGGTGGGTTGAGAGACTTAAATGAGATAAAGTCAGTAAAATGCTCAGCTCAGCACGTGGAATATTTTAAATATTCTCTAGGTATGGGCTCAATTGATGTTAATTATTATTACTAAGATCAATAATCATAGCAATGATGATAGTGATGATGATGATAATGATATTCTCTAATTACTTCTGTGGAAAACAAGAAATTATTTTCTGAAGTTGAGTCACTGCACTGATACATTGAAAAGTTTCTGTATTTTTTAAGAATTCATGATCCCTGTGGAAAAGAGTGTCTTTCTATTCCTATTAGAACAAGTTATGTTTAGGTGAAGAATTCCAGCTCAGTGACTAGTCCTATGAAATTACTTCATTTTTCTCTCCATATTCTTCCTTTCTCCCTTCCCAACTCCTTCCTTAAAAGCCCCCAATGAGAAAGAATAAGGAAGAATCACTCTAAGACTATTGAAAATAACTGAGAGCCCAATAATTTTCAAAATTATGCTGAGACAGAGATATGATAGATATTTTTGAAGGTGGAGTTATACTCTGCACTACTTGTATGTTCAACATTAAGGGAGATTTTAAAAATAACTTGGGCAGGGACTGGGAATAACCTCTGCTATTTGTTACTCACAATTGGCCTGCTCAGTAAGTATTACGATACCGTCTTCTGGATGATAAACCTTATGCTCAGGAAGCGTAAGTACCCTGCTAAGGGTCATACAACTTGTAAATCACACTCATCTGCCTCTCAACTTTGGCATCTCCATCTTGAAATGAAAGTACACTGGAATTATCTATCTTCTAGATGAAAAGAAAAAGAAGCTTATTGTTCTGGACCCTGCCAATAGGCTAAATAAATGATTACTGAAACTATGTATTTGACAGATCTTTAAAACATTTTAAATATTGAAAAACTGTACAAGAACAGAAGAATCTGAGAATTTTATATCAGTCAGATGATTGTTTTTCTATTTAAAGAATTAAAGCTTTCAATCAGATTTAACAGGCTTAGCAAATATGAGAAAAGAACATTGAGTACAACATATAGACTGAGCAGTAGAGTTTGCACCCTTGCCAAGGGATGCTCTTACTGAAGAGTAACACAACTCGATGGGATCAAACTATTTTTCTCAATCAACACATGATATGAAGAAGTTGACCTCTAGGAAAGTATCTGGATGTTCCTAAAGCTTTTGCAAATAGTAAAGTTTTATACACACAAATGTAATTTTAAAAGTTTTATACAAATAGATGTAATTTAAAAAATCTGTTTATTGATAATCAAAATTAACTCCATAGTGCTTGAGTCTCTTGAATTCAATGTCATGTCATTAATTTAGGCCCCACCAGTCTGCAAGTTGTCACCAAGGCACTAACTAGGTAGATGTTTACCTTCATGATAATTAAGATGTAGTAATTTTTTTAAACTCATAGGGGAGATATTATTGTTATAAACGTTTCCAATACATCGAAAGTTATACTTCAGCAGCAGCAGAGTCTTCTTAATTTTGGTGTGGTAATAAAATCACCTTACATGACATCTGTAACATGTTTAAAATCAAACTCATTATTTTTGTAAACTACCTTCAGGTTCTAATTTAATTATTTAAATATAACTGAACACTGACAATGGGCACATACACAAAAGTGTTCTAAGTGCAAGGGGAGAGTTAAAGGAGATTAAGAGACAGTGCATTTTTTTCAAGTGGGAGAAAGACATATACATAAATAGCTATAATAAAAGGCCAAATAGTTCATTCATTCATCCAGTGAATATTTAGCATCTATGGTATGCATTACGCAAAGTGCTAAAGGGAAAAAGATGAACTAGACTCAGTTCATGCTGCCAAGAATTTTGTTCTCCGTTAGAGATGAGAGTTTTACATGAACACACAATACTTTCTAGTATAGATTATAGACTGAAGGGATTAGAGAACACTTCTCTGAAGAGGTGGTGTGTACCTAGACCCGAAAGAATAAATGAAATGTGATTGGCAAGTATAAGTGAGGAGACGTTCAAGTTCTGGGTCAGTTCAAGAACAGAGGAATTTTCAATTAATTGAGAAGTGGTGAATGCTGCTGGTATAAATCAGGTGCCTAGCCCAAGAAATGTCCTGGTGCAATGTTCATACAGATAATGATGAATGTAACAAGTGCTCATTTTGTTATCCAAATGACTGTCTGCTTCCACATACAGTTAATTCTGTCTATTGGACAAAATACTCTTTGGGATTTTATGGACAGAGTGGGTGTGTATCACCAATTTCACAACATATGGAGCATATCATGAATCATAGGCCTTATGTAAATTGATACTCAAGAATACAATTCGTTGCCAACAGTGTCATGCCAAGCCATATTGGAGCTTGAGGCAAAAAGGAAAAAATATGTTCCTCTTAAATATACACATCAAAATACTCTCCTATATTTTGAACCAACTAGAAAATGTTAGTAAGCACTCTATAATCAAAAAACATGACTATATACATAGTCATGTTTAAAATTACATCTATGTGTATACGTACATATAAAGCCTTTCATTGTCCACCCTGTTCACATACTTTTGTCAACCCTCATAAAACTTGGTGTCTCACAAGCTTCTGGGGACCTGATAGCCACAGGCCAGGGAACTGCAGGCTGATTGGAAACAGACTGTTCACATTTCATAATAATGCAAGGTCGTAAAACAAATAATCATTGCCTGTCTTTATCTACAAGTTTGATATTTTGTTCACTGTGAATTTTTAAAAAGTAATTTAGATTTTTTAGAAGATATCACATTGAATATTATTTACCTTGACTCCTGAGTTTTTTTAAACCCTTAAATTTTGGGCCAGAGCAAGTGGGTACCTCACTCTTCATACTCTGATCCCAGACCTGGTTGTTGACAAAAGGAAGGATGGGAGAGTAAAACTGGCAGGCTCTATATGCAGTTTTCCATAAACAAACAAAATATCCACTAAAATCTAAAAAAATTACATTTCAATGATTCCCACCAACACTCTGGAGATTTCATACAAAGTCCTTTGGATTGAGTTTTAATGTAAACTCTAGTCCTTGCTAGTGATATGAGTTCTAGTAAAGAACATAAATTTACCCAGGCTCTGTTCCTTAATCTGTAACTTGATATAATGTCTTCCCCATGGGTTGGTGTCCAGAGTTTTTATGAACTTCATGGATGTGTGACCTCTGCAGCCCACAGCCTCTGTATAGGGATGACACTGTAATTGAAATTCTCAATAATTTTTGAACAAGATTCCTAGCATTTTCATTTGGTACTAGATCCCCCAAATTATGTAGCTGGGCCTGGCCATGGCAGAGTACCTGAGATACACTATGCACTCAGGAAGCCCTAGTGGGACCAGCTGTATTGTGGTTGATTTGTGGACACATGTTTATGAGTATTTTCCCTGTTCTCAGCACATGAGAACCTGGAATTTAAAGAAAGCATTGCATTAGTTATGGTCCTTGCCTTCTGTGCAGGGAAACCAGAATGGAATGGAAGGAGAAAATGGAGACAATGGAGAATACCCTCTCCCTTCCCTGTTTCCTGGGTTCTTTCCTAATCAAAGTTCAAACTCCTTAGGTTCTCCTGCTGTCTCACAAGCTTAGTGGCCTTAGCCATACCTGTGTCAGGATGCCTATGTGTTTTCACAGAGAGAGATGGCTTTGTCTTGGGGTATGCTGGTTTCTTCCCTACCCACTCCCCAGGCAAACACGGAGGCCTTCGACTATACCCCTATTAAGTATCTGATCAAGCAAATCTTGCCGTTAAAGGGATTTATTCTCTGCCATGCCCCTTGAGAGATATCTGTATCCCTTTTATTAGTGAATTTTTAAGTCTATTTTTTGAAAACCATTACCTTGGCATTATTATGTTAGGCAAACATCTCTGACTCCCATCCCCCTCCCCTTGAGTTATATTATAAATCACTTTATCTTTAATATAGGCCACCTTAGGAAAGCAGAAAGTCGAGTCTTAATTGTATTCCCCTACAGGTCTTTAGACAAGATCCATCCCAGGAGGAAAGAGGAGATGGATCTTGTCTATTGGTAAAAAAAAATCTATAAAACGGATGAGAAATTAATAGGTGAGAGAGTAAGTGAAGAATTCCATTTGAAGAGAACAGCCATTACAAACAAGATCACATGGGTTTGTAAATGTATGGCACATTTGTAATATGCTATATGGAATAGTGTTGCCAGATAAAAGAAAGACATCCAGTTAAATTTGAATTTCAGATAAACAAATATTGCAGTGTATGTTCCAAATATTGCTGCTTATCTGGGCATCCTGTATTTTTATTTGCTAAATCTGACAACCCTCACATGGAATAGTAGATTATGGGATGCAAAGGGTCATATGCTTAAAATGAGGCTGTCTGGCACCTGATATGTCATGGCAAGTTTTCTTGCACTTTACTGAATGGCAAAGACAAGGTTTTGAGCAGGCTAGTGACGTGATAAGATGCATGGTTTAGGAAAATAATTCTGCAGGCATTATAAAGGGTAAAATGAAAAGTTGAGAGATGGAAGGCAGGGGAAATGACAGGAACTGGAATTGAGAGGTAGAAATGGAAAGGCTGTAATATGCTCAAGATGTTTTGGTCAGAGAATCAACATGATTTTGCGATCTGTTGAATTTGGAGATGTGAGGGAGGCCAGACTCCTTGAGAAGACTGTTAGCTCCAAACTGGTGACCAGCAAGTTCTTGGTGTGATTATTTGAGATATGGATTAGAGGAGGAGGAGCTGACTGGGAGTGGGCACTTGGATGCCATAGTAAAGAAAATGACTTTGGTTAAAAAAAATAGACTTGAGTACACTGGGGACATCTCTGTAGAGACATCCAGCAAGCAGTTGGGAATGTAGCCCTGAAGTTCTTGAAAAAGTCTTGGTAAAGAAAAAACAATCTTGGGCAGGGAAAGATAAAGTAAAGAAATCACAACTTCAAGAAGAATTACCTGAGAATGTTGGAGATGGACTAATGGGACCAGATACTGAGGTCATGAGGAGAAGCTGAGAGGATTTGCAGTGTCTTGATTTGCAGCAGTAATGTGAATGTGAAAATGGTGAGATAAGGGGTAATACCTAGATATACAGCAAAAGAAAGAAAGCATCAGGATTTGACATTAGGTATGGTTAGAAATAAAGCAGAAAAGAAGGAGACATAGGTAACTTCGATGCTGTGGGCAACGGAAACTGGGACATAGAAAAGCCGTGCTCATGACAGCAGGAATGAGGTGAGATGGAACCAATTTTACACTGCGCATCCATTGAGTTTCAGCTTGCCTATGAAACATCAAAGTTAAGATATCTTGCTAGTATAAATTATACATTTGGGTTGAAAATGTGGACTTTGAAAAGGAGTGTAACCATGTTGAGTAAATGGTATTTTGAAGGTATGAATATAGAATAGGAATCTTAACCATCAGAGGTGCTGTGTGAATGCCTGAAAAAAATGCCAATTTTTGTGTATGTTTTGATTTAAAAAGCGTAACTCACATTCTAAATTGGTTGTGCAGGAAAAGGAAGTTCAATAAATTAATTTAGTCCATTACTAATCAGTTTTTCTCTCCTGAATGCTCATCTGCTAGTAAGGGGAAAATTAAAACAATTAAATGTCCAATCTGGTTTAAATTTAGCCTATTTGAGAAATGTGAAAAGTCCCTTTCAGCAATTTCCTAACTTGCCGGGAATCCAAAGCATGGGCTCTCCGAGAATCTGCATCTCCTGTTTCTCTCACTACCATGGTACGGAGGGGATGAAGAAAGGGCCTCACGTGGGTCTTCAGATTGTTATGGCAGGTGTCCATAGTTATTCAAGAACATGGTCCCTCGCCCACCTGACTGATGTGCAGTTCTGTTGGCCTTGAATGCTGAACTCTGAGGTACAGGTATGATCCCAGGGAGCAGTGCATCCTGCCCTTGCTGACTTGACTTCTCTCATATCTCACTGGCTCTCAGCTCATCCTCCATCCGGCCTCTGTCTATCACAGCCTCTGTGGTGTTTGCTCACCTTGCCATTTGGCCTTTTGTGGCAGGGCAGGCCACATGGCAGGGTGTTTAGTTATCAACCTAACATCCATACCACATAAGAACTGAGGCATGCAGGGTAACTATGCTTCCTCATTGGCAATAGCTGACTGTTATGACCATGGGAGACTGGCACAGGGCTGTACGCTCAGTGAGGCAAAAGAAGAAGATGAAAATGTGGAATTAACTCCCTTCCCTGCCTCTTTCCAATACATGCTCATGTGAATTTTTCTGTGAATTGAATGTCTGTAGGTTGATCAGAATCTCAAAGTGATCAGTTCTCAAAGTCATCAGTTATGCTTTCAAGTGTTAAGGACCTCCATAGAGATAGAGGCAGAAAAGTGCAGGTAAAGCCTGGAAGGAAGAAAGGGGATGAAACAGAAGGAAAGGCTGGAGTTGGGAACAGAACAAAAGAAGTTCAATGTAAGGAAAATCAAAGCAAAAAAGGAAGGAAATGAGCAGGACAAGGTGATCTGTGGTAGCACATGACACTGAAAAAAAGTTGGAGGTTTATACCAGTCAGAAGCAATGATCCGTTCTGTAGAAAATATGAAAATATTCACTTTTCCCTCAGTCTACAGATGGTCCCACTTGGAGTAAAGCATGAAAGAGTCAGCTCTCAATAGGTGCCTTAAAGTATATGAACAAGTATATGCTTAACTAGACTGATATAACTTAGAGAACTCCTCCGGGAGGATTTAGGAGTGATAGCAGCCATAGAGGGATGGAGTGGTGAAAATGATGTAAGATTTGGATATACTAACATGTTTTGTAAATACTTGGCTGCAAAGCCTCTGTAGGGTTAGCTGACCAGTCAAGGGAACTGGGTATGTAAGTTTTGGACAACCTTGTTGTTATAGACATCTCTGATGGCCAAACTAGAAACTCTCTGCCTAATCATATCAAATAGTATGATAGATGATGGTCCTCATGGAGTGTAGAAAAGAAGAAATTGGGTAGCAAGAATTTGTCAGTGTTTATTCAGCACTGTCTATGTGTCAGGCTTCTGGCCTCTGCAGATTCCACCTGGGTGACCTGAGTTATTTGCTATACACGTAAATTTACCACATTCTTTTCTGCATTTCCCTCTGCATTGCAGGGCAGAAACCTGGAACCTTTTTTTCAGAATCCTTTTCCTCTTATAGTTCTAGATTACAATCTTCTAATCTGCACAGTATTTGGAAGGTAGAAGAGAAGGTGCCATTCTCCAGCTGCAGTTGTAAGCTGTTATCTGAACAGATGGCAGCCATATGGTTTGCAGTGGTTTCCAGGTGTGTGCCTGAGAATCACATGCTTCTAGCTGTAGCTTTCCTGACCTTTGATTCCCTAGCTTTTCCAAAGGCTGCATAGGCCTCTAATGCCCTGCAGTACAACTCTTCTACGTGGAGACCTAGGGAGATTCTGTTTCCCTGATGGAATCCAGAGTGAAGCATTGGAGCAGTGTTGACCCTCAAAAATATTGACTTCATTTTGCTTTAATAATCAATAATTAATAATTATTAATAGTAATCTAATTATTATTATATTGCAGACACACTGATGCCAAGAAAGGGATATGCTAGTATCTTGGTTTGAATTCACCTAAAAGAAGGCTTTGAGATGAGTACTTGGAAGAAATTGTTTATTTGGGAGCTAGTTCCATGATACACATGATGAAATGAGGCAGAAATGGGGAAAATGAAGTGGAGAAGCCACTGAGGGTATGTTAGTGAGATAATTACCTCTGTGGACAGCTGAGCTTAATTCCACTTGAATCTACCTGAGGAACTGTGAGATTGCCCCTAAGAAATATTCCACCAAGGCTGGTGTCAAGATGGAGTATTTATTCACATACACCTGTTCCTCCATGGCTGAGGGTTACCCCCGGGGGTGACATTCAATCCCCTGCACCTGTAGGGTCTCCTGCTCACAGGTAAAGAAATGCTCCTCTGTGTTGGAAAAGGCCCTCAGGCAGAGAGGCAGAGAACTTGAGGTGGGGAAGGGGAGTTTCTGGGTTTGTGGCACCGACGTCAAGGCCCCTGTTGTACCATCGGCATATGGCTTCCCTACAGGTCAGCCAGCCTCTTCTACTTCTGTGCAGTGGCAGAAGCAGAGGTCAAAGTGCAGAAGGATGAGGGGGTGGAGAGAGGAGTGAGTGCAGACAAAATGCCCTAGGAGTGTGAAGGCAAGCACTGAAAATAGCAAGAATTTAGCTAGGAGCCTCAGGGGAGCGTCACACACACTCGCGTTTATTCCCTTCCATCCTCTCTCTCTTTCTCTCTCTCCTCCTCATCTTCTTGATAATAATTTATGTTTCAGATAATGCATACAACAGAGTTTTAACTCAGTAACTTTTAAAGACTTTAGTCTAAGAGTTCCCATAACATTAAACAAGATTCCTTCTTCTAAATGGCCTCTCTCTGGACTGCTTCTTCCCCCAACCCCCATCAGGCTGAGGGAAAGCAATCACCTGCCTTCAGCAAATACACATAAAACTGCTCAGAAAATATAGGTTGCCTTGGAAACCAAACCAAAAGAGAAGAGAAAGGATGAATATTAAGGATTTGTTAGGCCTTAATGCCTTATTTTTCCCAAATCTGAATTTTCTTGGCCTTTGAAAAAGTGAACCACAGTCCCCTTTCAGGCATATACCAGGTGAATCCTAAAGTCACTCCTAACCCCAGGTTTCTACACATTTTAGTGCTTTTTCACCAACCCTTCTATCTCATTTTCTCTCTTCCAGGAGACTGTAAGAGAACCATTGCAAATAACCCCTGGTGGCGCCTGCATTGACAGGAGTGCTGTGGTGGACAGCACAAGAGTTTGGAGTCAGACAGACCTGGGTCTGACTCAACTCTGTTGCGATATTTTTCCATCAGCATTTGACACTGACAACTTATTACATAGGGGCATCTTTTTTTAATATTTATTTAATTTTTTCTTTTTTTGAGATGGAGTCTCGCTCTGTCACCCAGGATGGAGTGCAGTGGCATGCTCTCAGCTCCCTGCAACGTCCGCCTCCTGGGTTCAAGTGACTCTCCTGCCTCAGCCTCCCGAGTAGCTGGGATTACAGGTGCCTGCCACCATACCTGGCTAATTTTTGTATTTTTAGTAAAGATGGGATTTCACCATGTTGGGCAGGCTGGTCTCGAACTCTTGACCTTAGGTGATCCGCCTGCCTTTGCCTCCCAAAGTGCTGGGATTACAGGTGTGAGCCACCACATGTGGCCAGGGCATCTTGACTATTTATTTTATAAGTTAAAAAGCTCTCATTTTGCCTTATAAAATGAAGAGGGCTTCAAGGTCCAGGGCATTTTTTTTTGTCTTTTCATCTTACTGTTTATATTCAAATCTGAGACTTATTTCTTGTTATAAGCATGATTTTCTTAGTGCTGTAGTTAAAGTATTGTAACACAAAAAATTCAGTTATGCAAAATACACATACACATACAACCCTTTTTATTTCCCCATTTATTTCTCCACAGCTCAGGACTATCTCAGAAAATTAGTCTTTACTGATTTGGAAAAGAACAAGGCACATTATTGCCAATGGCAATATTATTATGTCAATTATCCAAAGGTCCTTTCTTGAAGTTCGAAGATGACGTTTTTTACCTAGGCTTGGGGAGGCCTCATGGAGCGAGTTTGGAATCAGAAAATGTGTGTTTGAGTTTCAAATCATGCAGTTTGTTAGCTAAGTAAACTTGAGCAGATACTTACACTTTTTGAGTCTCAATTTTCTTAAAAGTCATAGAATGATTTCTAAATGCCTAATGGAACAGTTGTGAGCTTTCTTTAGTCCTAATAACAGCTAACATTCATGGAGCATCTACTATGTGCCAAGAACTGTTTTAATGCTTCCCATAGGAACTCATGCAAGCCTCCCAGCAATCCTATGATAGTTGAAGTAGTTAAGGTTACCCTGATATTATCTCGAGGAAGCTAAAGGACCTGGGTGAATGCCTCGCCCAGGATCACACAGCTAGTTAAGTGGCAAATGCAGAATTCAAATTCAGGAAGCCCAGCTCCAAATTGTTACCACCAACAGAAAATACTTATTAAGTACTTACCAGGTACTATGTTAAACATCTTATAAAAGAAATCTAATTCATTCCATGGTATAGGTATAATGATTTATATCCCTATTGTGCAGATAAGGAAATAGGCTCAAAATCTGAGCTCAAGGAACTTGTCCGAGGTACTGTAATTCACAAGTGGAAAATGTTTCTTTTGCTTATCATATCGTTTCTTTTGCTTATAATATCACCCTCTCCTTTGTCTGGCTAAATGCTCATCATTTTTCACATCTCTATTTAAATTTGCTTCTTTTGTTTGTCTTCCCTGATAGTCCTACACTAGGCTAGACCTCCGTTTATATGTAGTTTTAGTAATCTGTATATTCTCTTTGTAGTAGCTACTATATTTTGATTTAGTTGTCTTTATGTCCCTATTTGGTAAATACCTGCCTCTCCCACAAGTATAGTTACATGGAGACAGGAACTATATCTATTTCTGCTGACCAGTTTATCTCTAACACTTAGCATGTATTAGGTATGCACCAAATATTTAATAAATTAATGCACTTTAAACTTTCTTAGATTGATGCTGATAAACATTAGAACGTAAACTGGACAAAAGGATTTCCATGCTGTATTTCTGTAAAGAATAGTGATAGGAGTCTTGAGAATAAAAATGGAAATGAGATGAACTCAAGGGAAAGTCAAGACTCTACTATGAAAAAGGGTTTGATTTTTAGGAAGATGAAGATAAGTGACCCATCATTTTAAGTGGAAAAAAAATCCAAAACCCAGACTTAATTTAAAACTGTGTTGGCAGGAACAACAAGGGTACTGTCCTTCCTGCTTAGACTTGAGAGTAGCTGAATGTTTTCCTCCTATTTCAAACCACATTTTTACCGCTGCTAGCTTAGGTAAAATCATATCTTTCAGAGGTAGATAATGTTTTTGTTCTCATTGAATCAAAGATCATTTTGTAGATGAGGAAATTAAGCCTCCGAAAAATGCAATGATTTATTCAAGGTTACAATTTGATGGTAGAGCCAGACCCATGACCCAGGTCTCTTTGTACTAAATCTGGGGAAAAGAGGGGGTTGCGGGGGAGACAGAGAGAGACTGACAGGGAGAGAGAAAGCACTCAGTAAACAATTATTAGAGGGTGTGACATGCGAGCTATTTTGAATGATGGACTGCGTGGTAGATTGAAATTAAATGGCCACAATCTTTTGCAGTTCCTTCCATCAAGAGACGGAGTCAATTTTTCCACCTCTTAAATCTGAGCTTAGCTATGTGTTTGCTTTGGCCAATGGGACTTGAGCAGTGCTTGCACACTGGGACTTGATACCTCTTGTTGCTGGGACCCCTGAGACCATACCTTACAAAGACACCTGGGCTAGTTAACTGAGGGTGAAGAATAATTTGGAACATGACCTGAGCCATCCAAACCACTTTGAGAATTGTGAGCTAAATGAAATGGTTGTTGTTGCATGTCATTATGTTTTGGGATGGTTTGTTATACAGCAATAACTAATTGACATGAGTTGTTGTACAGTGGGATGCTTCCATAACAAAACCTAAAACATATGACATTGATTTAAGGATTAGGTAGCTGGTAAAGGTTAACAAATTAGAAAGGAAACTGTTAGAAACTGCTGGTAAAATGTCAAAATGAAAAAATGTAAGTGGTGACCTGAAACTGCTACAGCAGGTTGAAACAAAATGGACACCAGTATGATGTGGCAGCAAAACTATTGGCAAAACTGTTACCATAATAACTTGCAAGATAGAATGTACTTAACTAACTTGTGGATGTGGAGAGGAAAACTTCCAAGCAGAGTGTTGAAAGTGTCAATTAGCTTCTTCTAGATGAGTATGATAAGTTATTTCAAGAAAGATAAAAGGTAAAGAAATAACTGTTCAGTTTTAGATAGAATTTAGAGGAAATACAGGAGTCTTAGAATTTTCTGGATTGGAAAATAAAATTCTCTCATCTCTAGTTTCTGCAACTAGTATAAGATCCTCAAAATGAAATAAATAATTAATGCAAAATACAAAGTTCAGTTATACAATCCTTTATTAAGACTTCTAGAAATTTGTTAAGATTTGTTGAAATGTGTTTAAATTTAGTGTATAGTAGACCTTTCAGTTAGATAAAAGAGTTTCTAAGACTCTTATAGGCATTCTGTCACATTCTGTCACATATCTTTCAGTTAGATAAAAGAGTTTCTAAGACTCTTATAGGCATTCTGTCACAGCAGCCAGGCACACCCTAAATAGAGACAGGTATGTCAAAAAAGAATTGTGGAGAGTCATGAAGTGGACTCAACTTAGAATCATCACAATCTCCCAATGTTTTTAAAGAGAATCGCAGGGCAAAAGCACTGTAAATTTGGACAAAAATGGACAGGAATGATTCAAACAAATTTTTGCTGGGTTCCCAAATTTTTACAAGTAGAAAAGAAGCAATCTGAGAACACTTCTCAGTTTCAGACATGTGTCATTTCTTATGGAAAATGAAGGACATCTCAGATGGTGAAAACAAGAGTGTAGGGAGTGGAACCAAGAAAGAAAGGACATTGGGGGAGGAAACCACTCCCTGGGAGCAGAATTGCATTCTAACCAGGGATCATTCCTTGTGATTCTGTGTGGAAAATCTGACAGTAAATATCCAGTTGGACTTCAGAATTACTACTACAAAACAGCAACTACTGTATGTCTGTCATTTCTTTTCTTTTCAAATGAGAATCTCTGTGATGATTATTTTGTCCCTACTTCAGCATTGCATGTTAGGAATGTAAAGAGCAGATATCTCTTCTTAAGTTTGAGAGGTCTCTGGGTCAAAAGGAAGTGTCAACATGTGACACGTGAGGACCCTCATCCACATTTGAAGAAGATACAAATTGCAAGATATTAGCTCTTGAGACTGCTGTCATGTTGGATCAGATTTTGAGGCAGTCGTAGATGCTCAGTGTATTTTGCATTGTGAATAATTTAAATAATTTAAACCAGAGAGTGGACTGTGGTAAATTAAGACAAAATAGACACAATATTTAGCAGTTTCTCTCATTAAGAGGTAGAATTACTTCTCAACCCCTTAAGTTGTGGATTTATCTACGTGACTCGCTTTGGCCAGTGGCACACTGGAAAACATGATACAGGCAGAGGTTTGAAAAGTTCTTGTGCATTGGAGTCACTCTTTCTTATTCTGGGACTGCTCCATTTGAAAAGAATGAACTGGCTTCCTGTAAGACGAGATCTAATGTGAAGAAAGTCCCATCAGTCTGACAACTCAGAGGATCATGAGCTAAATACAATGGTGTTGTTTTAAATCACTAAATTTTGAGGTGCTTTGTTATGCAGCAAAAGCTAACTGATATTGGTTGGATTTGCACAGATATACAGAAGATGAGAGACTAAGGAGTTCCATTTCTATCTTCCAATAAAATAGCATTAATGGAATAACATCTGTTAAGATAGTGCAAAGAGATCTATGTGCTATAGCAGCTTTTTTCCCCCTCCAGTTTATAAATTTAACTAACACACAAACAGCTACACAAGTCCAGAAGGTACAGAGATTTGCATCAGCTGTTAATCAAGGCCTTCCAGTTAGGATTGTGTTGTGAGATAATCCATTTGGAAGAAAGCTGAGGCACCAAACCAATTTATAATCACATCCATGAGATAGTCTAGAGACAGAAAGTGTACTAAATGAAACAATAGAAAGAAATTTTATTCATTCATCAAACATTTTACTGGGTGCTATATCTGGGCAAAGAGAAACAATATGTGATTCTACTAGGGTATTGTAATTACAACTTTAAAAATTGCTTTCCAAGGCATTTGTTATAATCTGAAGCTCTAACTAAAAGGCTGAATAACTAGGAAATAACTCAAGAAAATAGACCGAAGTATATGTTGGTAGTAATTTCACAGTAAATTTGGTCTAATAAAAATTTCACATGGATTATGTCTTAATTGACTCTCAACCACTGTGACTCTTCGGAAGATACATGTCAGAGAATAAATGTTACATCTTGCTAATTTTAAACACAATTACAATATAATGTCTAAAACAAAGCAAAGACTTTTATCTGCTTGTTTTGCAAGTTGAAATAGCATTTTTAAGTTGAAATAGCATTACAGCTATTCATAAACTTTCTTTTGTTCCCTCTAATACAGATTTCTTACATTTTTGCTATGTAAAGTGCTTAAAAGACATAGGCAAAAAATAATTATTCTTAATTTTTTTGCATTTAGAGTCTGAATCATTTAAATCACTTTTTAGAATAAACTTTACTTTCAGAACAGTTTCAGATTTACAGAAAAACTGTGAAAACTGTGTAGAGAATTCTCATATATCCTCACACCTAGCTTCTCCTGTTATTTTCTTATGTTAGTATGGTTCAAATTGTTATAACTGAAAAACCAATATTGATATGGTATATCATCTAAAGTCCATGCTTTACACAGATTTCCTTAATGTTTCATTAGTGTTCTTTATCTGTTCTAGGTTCCTAATCAGAGTGACATTGCATTTTGTCCTCATGTCTCCTTAGACTCCTCTTGGTTTTTTGTTTTTGATGACCTGAGAAGTTTTGAGGAGTAGAGGTAGGGTATTTTGTAGAGTGACCCTCCATCGGTATAGGTCTGATGTTTTTGTCATGATTGGATTGAGATCACAGGTTACTGGGGAGACCTATAGAGGTAAAGAGCCATTTCATATCAAGGTTACCAACCTAAGTTGTCATTATTGATGATAACCCTGATCATCTGCCTGTGGTAATATTTGTCAGATTCCTCTATGGTAAAGTTATTCTTATTTTCATCTTTTTCCTATTTTTGGAAGAAAGTTACTGTGTGTATCCCACACATAAGGGGTGGGGAACTATGCTCCACCTTCTTGAGGGTGAAGTAGCTACATAAATTATTTGAAGTTATTCTCAATGGAATATTTGTCTACTTTCCTCTATTTATTTAATAATTTATTTATATCAGTGTGGATCGTGAATATTTACTTTATACTTTGGGTTATAAATAATAATTTATTCATTTTGCCAAATTATGCAGCTATGGCCAGTAAGAGTTCTTTCAGTTGATATCTGTGTCCCTTTGACATTTTAACTTGACACATTCTCTCTCTTGTTTTTTCTTTTCTTTCTCTTTCCATTTGTTTTATTCATGATCTGAAAATAAAAAATCACATGTGATCTCAAATTTTGCTGTTTGAAGATAAAGTAAGTCTCCTGGGAACCTAGGCAGAAGTTTTTATGCATCCAGGGACAGATAAGGAAACTGTTCTCAGTTTTCTCATATCTAAGTTGAGGGGACTGATTTCAATATAATTAATAATCCTACCATATTTAAAGGTGTCATGAGTATGATTTTTGGTCACTTCCAGGCTGTTGCTAACGAATGTCACAAAAATTGTGAACTAATTTATTTTGTTATGGTTTTCTTTCCATTCTAGAACTTTGTCTTGGCTTTCAGAATACTTGTTAGAACTGGAGAAGAGTTTCAGGCCATTCAAATTTCTGTTGTTTTATGATCTAGTGAAGGCCATTTCATAAATGAAGTGCTCAGGATAGCAAAGCTGGCCAGTACCTTTAAGCTGTAAAAGAGATGTTATCTCACATCATGGCCATGTATCAGAGAGCTGTGTGTATGCATGTATGTGCATATGCATATGTGTGTGTGTGTGTGTGTGTGTAAGGAGGGATCTTTAAGTAGAACTTCAGAGCAAACATTTATAAAAGATACATATGTATTTACATATTATAAAAATATAAAATATTTATATTTATAAAATATATATAAGTAAATTATATGCATATATATCTAATAAATATAAATCTATAATAAATATAAATATATAATATATACTTACATATCAAGGATATATAATTTTATATATAAATCTGATCCTTTATATATCTATCTGTACAAACACATACAGACACACACATATCACAGAAGAAGAAAATGTAAAACCAACTGATTGAAACTCCTCTTTCCAGAATGAGTCATACTACGGCAAGTAAACAGGAATCTTTTGCATCTTTGTGAGGCTGTAACATGATTAAATCACGGAGTATCTCGCCTTTCCTTCCCTCTGGCTTGGCTTGGCATCTTCAACTTTTTTCCTTCTCCTGCAATCCAGGGATGTTCCTTTCTTGCTGAAGCTGGCAGTTTGGACTTTTGTGATGAAGGATCTGGAGGACATGGAAGCAAGGGGAAAAAGGAAGGGGTTGGCTAGAGGCAATCAAGGGGTTTTCCAGGGAGACTGGGTAAGAGAAGCACAGTAGAAAGGATGTGAGAGAAGTGGGAGGAACAAAAAGGTGGGGCTAAGAAATACTCTCCTGGCTTAGGTACCCGTTTCCCATAATGTGAGAAATATAATTACTTTGAAATTCCTTTTTGCTGTTGGAGTGTGTTTTGAGTGGTGATATGTTTTGGCTCTGTGTTCCCACCCAAATCTCATCTTGTAGCTCCCATAATTCCCACGAGTTGTGGGAGGGGCCTGGTGGGAGATAACTGAATCACGGGTTGGAGGGAGTGGTCTTTCCTGTGCTCTTCTCGTGATAGTTAATAAGTCTCACAACATCTAATGGCTTTAAAAACAGGAGTTTGTCTGCACAAGCTCTCTCTTTGGCTGATGCCATCTACATAAGATGTGACTTGCTCCTCCTTGCCTTCTGCCATGATTGTGAGGCTTCCCCAACTACGCGGAACTGTGAGTTCTCCATTAAACCTCTTCCCTTTGTAAATTGCCCAGTCTTGGGTTTGTTTTTAACAGCGGCATGAAAATGGATAATACAAATGGCAATGCTGCTTGGTAAACAAACCACATAATTAGTGGCTCTGTAAGTGTCACAAAAGTTTCAGCTCTTTGCAAGGAAAATCAATGGGCTTACTGGAGGAAGTCTCGAGAATTACTTTGGAATTGATCCTTTTTTCCTTGGAAGTCAGCATTAAGGCATCATTGACATGATGTTACAAAGACTGGAATTGTACTGCAGGGGCGCAGATTGGAAATCCCGTGAGGATGGGTCTTTACCTATTCTGATAGCTGATATGTTGGAGGAGTTACATACATCTTTTTGGAATGAATGAATATTCATTCCAAAATATTGAGTAAATAGGAGAATCAGTGTATTCAGGATCTGTTTTAGGTCACTGATCCATACTAATTGAGGGCAGTTTCTCTATAGAATGGTTCTCTGGACCAGTCCTAGGGAAATATATAAGTTTGTTGAGAGAGAGAAGCAGCAAAATATGTGGAAGTTTAGAGATGAGAAAAAAAATGAAACTATATGAGAAAATAAGGGTGTTGGTGATAGAGGTGGATTATTTGCCATTCTTATCTATAACGCATGACATTCTTAACTGGACGTAAGAGAAGGAGAAGAAAATGCATGTATTTGGGGTCATCAATCTCATATGTAAAAACGAAATAATACTGTCTTTCCTGTAACATGAGGACTAGGAGAAATGGTTGTTGATGTAAATAATTTATGCAGCCAAAAAACACATGAAAAAATGCTCATCATCACTGGCCATCAGAGAAATGCAAATCAAAACCACAATGAGATACCATCTCACACCAGTTAGAATGGCAATCATTAAAAAGTCAGGAAGCGGAGGAGGAGCCAAGATGGCCGAATAGGAACAGCTCCGGTCTACAGCTCCCAGCGTGAGCGACGCAGAAGACGGGTGATTTCTGCATTTCCATCTGAGGTACCGGGTTCATCTCAATAGGGAGTGCCAGACAGTGGGCGCAGGCCAGTGTGTGTGCGCACCGTGCGCAAGCCGAAGCAGGGCGAGGCATTGCCTCACCTGGGAAGCGCAAGGGGTCAGGGAGTTCCCTTTCCGAGTCAAAGAAAGGGGTGACGGACGTACCTGGAAAATCGGGTCACTCCCACCCGAATATTGCGCTTTTCAGACCGGCTTAAGAAACGGCGCACCACGAGACTATATCCCACACCTGGCTCAGAGGGTCCTACGCCCACGGAATCTCGCTGATTGCTAGCACAGCAGTCTGAGATCAAACTGCAAGGCGGCAACGAGGCTGGGGGAGGGGCGCCCGCCATTGCCCAGGCTTGCTTAGGTAAACAAAGCAGCCGGGAAGCTCGAACTGAGTGGAGCCCACCACAGCTCAAGGAGACCTGCCTGCCTCTGTAGGCTCCACCTCTGGGGGCAGGGCACAGACAAACAAAAAGACAGCAGTAACCTCTGCAGACTTAAGTGTCCCTGTCTGACAGCTTTGAAGAGAGCAGTGGTTCTCCCAGCACGCAGCTGGAGATCTGAGAACGGGCAGACTGCCTCCTCAAGTGGGTCCCTGACCCCTGACCCCCGAGCAGCCTAACTGGGAGGCACCCCCCAGCAGGGGCACACTGACACCTCACACGGCAGGGTATTCCAACAGACCTGCAGCTGAGGGTCCTGTCTGTTAGAAGGAAAACTAACAACCAGAAAGGACATCTACACCGAAAACCCATCTGTACATCACCATCATCAAAGACCAAAAGTAGATAAAACCACAAAGATGGGGAAAAAACAGAACAGAAAAACTGGAAACTCTAAAACGCAGAGCGCCTCTCCTCCTCCAAAGGAACGCAGTTCCTCACTAGCAACAGAACAAAGCTGGATGGAGAATGATTTTGACGAGCTGAGAGAAGAAGGCTTCAGACGATCAAATTACTCTGAGCTACGGGAGGACATTCAAACCAAAGGCAAAGAAGTTGAAAACTTTGAAAAAAATTTAGAAGAATGTATAACTAGAATAACCAATACAGAGAAGTGCTTAAAGGAGCTGATGGAGCTGAAAACCAAGGCTCGAGAACTACGTGAAGAATGCAGAAGCCTCAGGAGCCGATGCGATCAACTGGAAGAAAGGGTATCAGCAATGGAAGATGAAATGAATGAAATGAAGCGAGAAGGGAAGGTTAGAGAAAAAAGAATAAAAAGAAATGAGCAAAGCCTACAAGAAATATGGGACTATGTGAAAAGACCAAATCTACGTCTGATTGGTGTACCTGAAAGTGATGTGGAGAATGGAACCAAGTTGGAAAACACTCTGCAGGATATTATCCAGGAGAACTTCCCCAATCTAGCAAGGCAGGCCAACGTTCAGATTCAGGAAATACAGAGAACGCCACAAAGATACTCCTCGAGAAGAGCAACTCCAAGACACATAATTGTCAGATTCACCAAAGTTGAAATGAAGGAAAAAATGTTAAGGGCAGCCAGAGAGAAAGGTCGGGTTACCCTCAAAGGAAAGCCCATCAGACTAACAGCGGATCTCTCGGCAGAAACCCTACAAGCCAGAAGAGAGTGGGGGCCAATATTCAACATTCTTAAAGAAAAGAATTTTCAACCCAGAATTTCATATCCAGCCAAACTAAGCTTCATAAGTGAAGGAGAAATAAAATACTTTATAGACAAGCAAATGCTGAGAGATTTTGTCACCACCAGGCCTGCCCTAAAAGAGCTCCTGAAGGAATCACTAAACATGGAAAGGAACAACCGGTATCAGCCGCTGCAAAATCATGCCAAAATGTAAAGACCATCGAGACTAGGAAGAAACTGCATCAACTAATGAGCAAAATCACCAGCTAACATCATAATGACAGGATCAAATTCACACATAACAATATTAACTTTAAATATAAATGGACTAAATTCTGCAATTAAAAGACACAGACTGGCAAGTTGGATAAAGAGTCAAGACCCATCAGTGTGCTGTATTCAGGAAACCCATCTCACGTGCAGAGACACACATAGGCTCAAAATAAAAGGATGGAGGAAGATCTACCAAGCAAATGGAAAACAAAAAAAGGCAGGGGTTGCAATCCTAGTCTCTGATAAAACAGACTTCAAACCAACGAAGATCAAAAGAGACAAAGAAGGCCATTACATAATGGTAAAGGGATCAATTCAACAAGAGGAGCTAACTATCCTAAATATTTATGCACCCAATACAGGAGCACCCAGATTCATAAAGCAAGTCCTCAGTGACCTACAAAGAGACTTAGACTCCCACACATTAATAATGGGAGACTTTAACACCCCACTGTCAACATTAGACAGATCAACGAGACAGAAAGTCAACAAGGATACCCAGGAATTGAACTCAGCTCTGCACCAAGCAGACCTAATAGACATCTACAGAACTCTCCACCCCAAATCAACAGAATATACATTTTTTTCAGCACCACACCACACCTATTCCAAAATTGACCACATAGTTGGAAGTAAAGCTCTCCTCAGCAAATGTAAAAGAACAGAAATTATAACAAACTATCTCTCAGACCACAGTGCAATCAAACTAGAACTCAGGATTAAGAATCTCACTCAAAGCCGCTCAACTACATGGAAACTGAACAACCTGCTCCTGAATGACTACTGGGTACATAACGAAATGAAGGCAGAAATAAAGATGTTCTTTGAAACCAACGAGAACAAAGACACCACATACCAGAATCTCTGGGACGCATTCAAAGCAGTGTGTAGAGGGAAATTTATAGCACTAAATGCCTACAAGAGAAAGCAGGAAAGATCCAAAATTGACACCCTAACATCACAATTAAAAGAACTAGAAAAGCAAGAGCAAACACATTCAAAAGCTAGCAGAAGGCAAGAAATAACTAAAATCAGAGCAGAACTGAAGGAAATAGAGACACAAAAAACCCTTCAAAAAATCAATGAATCCAGGAGCTGGTTTTTTGAAAGGATCAACAAAATTGATAGACCGCTAGCAAGACTAATAAAGAAAAAAAGAGAGAAGAATCAAATAGACACAATAAAAAATGATAAAGGGGATATCACCACCGATCCCACAGAAATACAAACTACCATCAGAGAATACTACAAACACCTCTACGCAAATAAACTAGAAAATCTAGAAGAAATGGATACATTCCTCGACACATACACTCTCCCAAGACTAAACCAGGAAGAAGTTGAATCTCTGAATAGACCAATAACAGGCTCTGAAATTGTGGCAATAATCAATAGTTTACCAACCAAAAAGAGTCCAGGACCAGATGGATTCACAGCCGAATTCTACCAGAGGTACAAGGAGGAACTGGTACCATTCCTTCTGAAACTATTCCAATCAATAGAAAAAGAGGGAATCCTCCCTAACTCATTTTATGAGGCCAGCATCATTCTGATACCAAAGCCGGGCAGAGACACAACCAAAAAAGAGAATTTTAGACCAATATCCTTGATGAACATTGATGCAAAAATCCTCAATAAAATACTGGCAAACCGAATCCAGCAGCACATCAAAAAGCTTATCCACCATGATCAAGTGGGCTTCATCCCTGGGATGCAAGGCTGGTTCAATATACGCAAGTCAATAAATGTAATCCAGCATATAAACAGAGCCAAAGACAAAAACCACATGATTATCTCAATAGATGCAGAAAAAGCCTTTGACAAAATTCAACAACCCTTCATGCTAAAAACTCTCAATAAATTAGGTATTGATGGGACGTATTTCAAAATAATAAGAGCTATCTATGACAAACCCACAGCCAATATCATACTGAATGGGCAAAAACTGGAAGCATTCCCTTTGAAAACTGGCACAAGACAGGGATGCCCTCTCTCACCGCTCCTATTCAACATAGTGTTGGAAGTTCTGGCCAGGGCAATCAGGCAGGAGAAGGAAATAAAGGGTATTCAATTAGGAAAAGAGGAAGTCAAATTGTCCCTGTTTGCAGACGACATGATTGTTTATCTAGAAAACCCCATCGTCTCAGCCCAAAATCTCCTTAAGCTGATAAGCAACTTCAGCAAAGTCTCAGGATACAAAATCAATGTACAAAAATCACAAGCATTCTTATACACCAACAACAGACAAACAGAGAGCCAAATCATGGGTGAACTCCCATTCACAATTGCTTCAAAGAGAATAAAATACTTAGGAATCCAACTTACAAGGGATGTGAAGGACCTCTTCAAGGAGAACTACAAACCACTGCTCAAGGAAATAAAAGAGGACACAAACAAATGGAAGAACATTCCATGCTCATGGGTAGGAAGAATCAATATCGTGAAAATGGCCATACTGCCCAAGGTAATTTACAGATTCAATGCCATCCCCATCAAGCTACCAATGACTTTCTTCACAGAATTGGAAAAAACTACTTTAAAGTTCATATGGAACCAAAAAAGAGCCCGCATTGCCAAGTCAATCCTAAGCCAAAAGAACAAAGCTGGAGGCATCACACTACCTGACTTCAAACTATACTACAAGGCTACAGTAACCAAAACAGCATGGTACTGGTACCAAAACAGAGATATAGATCAATGGAACAGAACAGAGCCCTCAGAAATAATGCCGCATATCTACAACTATCTGATCTTTGACAAACCTGAGAAAAACAAGCAATGGGGAAAGGATTCCCTATTTAATAAATGGTGCTGGGAAAACTGGCTAGCCATATGTAGAAAGCTGAAACTGGATCCCTTCCTTACACCTTATACAAAAATCAATTCAAGATGGATTAAAGACTTAAATGTTAGACCTAAAACCATAAAAACCCTAGAAGAAAACCTAGGCATTACCATTCAGGACATAGGCGTGGGCAAGGACTTCATGTCCAAAACACCAAAAGCAATGGCAACAAAAACCAAAATTGACAAATGGGATCTAATTAAACTAAAGAGCTTCTGCACAGCAAAAGAAACTACCATCAGAGTGAACAGGCAACCTACAACATGGGAGAAAATTTTTGCAACCTACTCATCTGACAAAGGGCTAATATCCAGAATCTACAATGAACTCAAACAAATTTACAAGAAAAAAACAAACAACCCCATCAAAAAGTGGGCGAAGGACATGAACAGACACTTCTCAAAAGAAGACATTTATGCAGCCAAAAAACACATGAAAAAATGCTCATCATCACTGGCCATCAGAGAAATGCAAATCAAAACCACTATGAGATATCATCTCACACCAGTTAGAATGGCAATCATTAAAAAGTCAGGAAACAACAGGTGCTGGAGAGGATGTGGAGAAATAGGAACACTTTTACACTGTTGGTGGGACTGTAAACTAGTTCAACCATTGTGGAAGTCAGTGTGGCGATTCCTCAGGGATCTAGAACTAGAAATACCATTTGACCCAGCCATCCCATTACTGGGTATATACCCAAAGGACTATAAATCATGCTGCTATAAAGACACATGCACACGTATGTTTATTGCGGCACTATTCACAATAGCAAAGACTTGGAACCAACCCAAATGTCCAACAATGATAGTCTGGATTAAGAAAATGTGGCACATATACACCATGGAATACTATGCAGCCATAAAAAATGATGAGTTCATATCCTTTGTAGGGACATGGATGAAATTGGAAACCATCATTCTCAGTAAACTATCGCAAGAACAAAAAACCAAACACCGCATATTCTCACTCATAGGTGGGAATTGAACAATGAGATCACATGGACACAGGAAGGGGAATATCACACTCTGGGGACTGTGGTGGGGTCGGGGGAGGGGGGAGGGATAGCACTGGGAGATATACCTAATGCTAGATGACACATTAGTGGGTGCAGCGCACCAGCATGGCACATGTATACATATGTAACTAACCTGCACAATGTGCACATGTACCCTAAAACTGAGAGTATAATAAAAAAAAAAAAAAAAAAAAAAAAAAAAAGTCAGGAAGCAACAGGTGCTGGAGAGGATGTGGAGAAATAGGAACACTTTTACACTGTTGGTGGGACTGTAATCTAGTTCAACCACTGTGGAAGTCAGTGTGGCGATTCCTCAGGGATCTGGAACTAGAAATACCATTTGACCCAGCCATCCCATTACTGGGTATATACCCAAAGGATTGTAAATCATGCTGCTATAAAGACACATGCACATATATGTTTATTGTGGCACTATTCACAATAGCAAAGACTTGGAACCAACCCAAATGTCCAACAATGATAGACTGGATTAAGAAAATGTGGCACATATACACCATGGAATACTATGCAGCCATAAAAAATGATGAGTTCATGTCCTTTGTAGGGACATGGATGAAGCTGGAAACCATCATTCTCAGCAAACTATCACAAGGACAAAAAACCAAACACCACATGTTCTCACTCATAGGTGGGAATTGAACAATGAGAACACATGGACACAGGAAGGGGAATATCACACACTGGGGACTCTTGTGGGGTGGGGGGAGGGGGGAGGGATAACACTGGGAGATATACCTAATGCTAAATGACGAGTTGATGGGTGCAGCACACCAACATGGCACATGTATACATACGTAACAAACCTGTACGTTGTGCACATGTACCCTAAAACTTAAAGTATAATAATAATAAAAAATAGTAATAATTTATGGGACCAGGCACCATAAAATGTAAAGATATTTTTTTCTTATAGTTACTATTAACCAGTCTTATTTTTCAATTTGTCTTATACAAACCAACAAAAATCCACATCTTATTTCTTTCTAAAACAAAAATCTTATGTGAGTTAATGTACATAACAGATAAAAGCTGAAGGGTGTGGAACTTGGGCTGCCCCTAAGCACATGCTCAGAACCCTCCAAATGCCACTGAGTACAGCATGGAAACTGCCCAACTGGCCCACGGCTCTGATTTCCAATGATGGGAACTGAGGGTCAGAGGCAGTTCATGGTTCACTGAGAAACCCAGTTCTCTTCTGGAGTGTGTCTCAAGTCAGTGAAATTGGTTTCTGTCTTAGCAGGGTAAAAAACATTGTTACATGATTGTGATTTCTCTGATCTCAAGAAAAATGCTTAGTCTTTTCTTTTTTCTTTTTACTTAGCTTGGCTGTTTCTCTTCTCACCCTGCCCTGCTTCCTTCAGTAATTAGTTTTGGAAAGAAAGAACTCACATAGTAAAAATGACCTGGAAACTCAAATTAAAATTTTTTTCTTGCCCACATGGATTTGTGTGATTCATAGTTGCTTTAAACCCGTAGAAATGTGCTTGCACAAATTAGTAACAACTTTTCATAAACAGACTTCATTGTTCACTGCTAAACATATTCCAGTCAGGCTTTAATTGAAAGGAAAGATATGATAGGAATCTATCTCCATGGCAGAAATGCTTTAAAAGTACTTTATGCTTCTGCAATGATCTGTGACAGCTTTTGAAGATGTTTGGGGGTTTGTGTTTCACAACTACCTAGGGAGATGAGAGAGAAGAAATAGAAAGGACAGAAAGCTAAATATGTGGATTTTGAATGATCAGCTTACATGGCTACAGCTGGGTGAGTCTTCGCTTAATTATATGCAGAGGTGAAACTAATGGTGCTGTGATTATGAAACTGAAACTGGTTAGGAAGGTAAATTACCTCTCTCCGTGTGTAACTTGCCAACCTTGTGGATTAGTCTCTACCTGAATAGAAGACCACATGTAAGGTCTTGATAAGAATAATAAAGACTTATAGTTACGTAGAATTAATCTTGAGTTAAAACAAGGTTCCTCGGGCCATCTCACAAGTCTAAGGGAGACCAAGCATCAATGTTGCTGTAGGCCAGGCATGGTGGCTCATGCCTGTAATTCCAGCATGTTGTGAGGCCGAGGCAGGTGGATCACTTGAGGTTAGGAGTTCGAGACCACCCCAGCCAATATGGTAACAGAGCAAGACTCTGTCTCAAGAAAAAAAAAAAAAAAGTTGTTGCTGTTTAAATGGTATGTTTTGTTAGAAAGTGTTAGAAAGTGTGTCAGCACTGATTTGCTCAGTTATACCATGATAGAGACCTTAATAAGCCATACTCTATGGTGCTCTTTGCTGCTGTAGTGACAGAGTAAAGGGGGGGCAGTCAGTATGTCTAAGGAACCAGGCCGGCAAATCTTAGAACAGGTTTTGGGCTCAGTCAATACAAAGGAGGCTTCTTTGATGGCAAGTAAGCACTGAAGCAAAGTAACTGGGGTCCAAGATTCCATGTTCGAACATAAATAGAAACTAAGTAAATTTAGGGTGTTCCTCTTTATTTCTATTTTTTTCTGATTTGAGAGGGGATTATTGCTTATTGTTAAAAAATTCAAGATACACAGAAAAGTATAAGATGGAAAAAATTGTTCCATGCCACAAGCCAGCTGTAATGTCAAAGAGATTTTGACATTCTGAGATTTTGACATTCTACTTATGAGATTTTGACATTATACCTGTCTACTTGTTGTACTTGGGATTACCTAAATACATTTCATAACTTGGACAGAGTTCTTGTGAAAATACTAATTAATAGTAAAGCTGGGCCAAAAAAAGTTATTCTCATCAAAAGTACATTTATTTTTTCTCTGGCCATGTGCTTAATCTCCCTATTCTGGTATGTGGGAGGGAGGGCAATGCATCTGTGGTTAAACAATGAAATAGCTGTTACTCCCAATTACTTAAGCTGGCAGTTAATTAATCCAACTGGGAGTGTTTCCAAGTAATTAGAGAGCATCTCAGGACCCACAGACTCACGAACATGTTAAGACATTAATATTCCTAGTATCTTTTATTTTTAGAGGCTTTGCTTTTCACCATATCAGATATATTAAAATATAACCACACTTCCCATATTATGTATAATTTTTGGCTGTTTAATTTATGAAAGAATTTTTATAAAGTTGGGAGTTGTTAAGAGTTGATAGTCTTATGGTGTGAAGTTCATTATGTTATTGTTATGATAGCTGAGCTGCAGACAAGTTGGCATCTGTGTTAGTTTTCTATAGCTGCTGTAACAAACTGGGTGGCTTAATACAAGTGAAATTTATTCTCTTGGAATTATGGAGGCCAGAAGTCCAAAATCAATTTTGGCTGGCAAGATGGCCGAATAGGAACAGCTCCAGTCTGCAGCTGCCAGCGAGATTAATGCAGAAGGCAGGAGATTTCTGCATTTCCAACTGAGGTACCCAGCTCATCTCACTGGGACTGGTTAGACAGTGGGTGCAGCCCATGGAGGGTGAGCAGAAGCAGGATGGGCGTCACCTCATGTGGGAAGTGCAAGGGCTTGGGGAACTCCTTCCCCTAGTCAAGGGAAGCCTTGAGGGACTGTGCCATGAGTAACAGTGCATTCCAGCTCAGATATTGTGCTTTTCTCATGGTCTTTGCAACCTGCAGACCAGGAGATGCCCTTGGATGTCTACACCACCAGGGCCCTGGGTTTCAAGTACAAAACTGGGCAGCCATTTGGGCAGACATCAAGCTAGCTTCAGGTTTTTTTCATACCACAGTGGCTACTGGAATGTCAGCGAGACAGAACATTTGACTCCCCTGGAAAGGGGGCCGAAGCCAGGGAGCCAAGTTGTCTGGCTCAGCAGATCCCACCTCCATGGGGCCCAGCAAGCTAAGATCCACTGGCTTGAAATTCTCGCTGCCAGCACAGCAGTCTGAAGTCAAATTGGGAAGCTCCAGCTTGGTGGGGGGAGGGGCATCCACCATTACTGAAGCTTGAGTAGGGATTTTTCCCCTCACCATGTAAACAAAGCCACTGAGAAGTTCAAACTGGGCAGAGCCCACCACAGTGCCACAAAGCTGGTGTATCCAGACTGCATCTCTAGACTCCTCCGCTCTGGGTGGGTCATCTCTGAAAGAAAGGCAGCAACCCCAGTCAGGGGCTTATAGATAAAACTCCCACCTCCCTGAGACAGAGCACCTGGGGGAAGGGGCGACTATGGGCGCAGCTTCAGTAGACTTAAACGTTTCTGCCTGCCAGTTCTGAAGACAGCGGTGGATCTCCCAGCACAGCGCTTGAGCTCTGCTAATAGACAGACTGCCTCCTCAAGTGGGTCCCTGATCCCTGTGCCTCCTGACTGGGAGGCAGCTCCCAGCAGGGGTCAACAGACACGTCATACAGGAGAGGTCCAGCTGCCATCTGGTGGGTGCCCCTCTGGGATGAAGCTTCCAGAGGAAAGAACAGGCAGCAATCTTTGCTGTTCTGCAGCCTCCACTGGTGATACCCAGGCAAACAGGGTCTGGAGCAAACTCCAGCAGACTCCAGCAGACCTGCAGCAGAGGGGCCTGACTGTCAAAAGGAAAACTAAGAAACAGAAAGGAATAGCATCAATGTCAACAAAAAAGATGTCCACACAGAAACCCCATCCAAAGGTCACCAACATGAAAGACCAAAGGTAGATAAATCCATGAAGATGAGGAAAAACCAGCACAAAAAGGCTGAAAATTCCAAAAATCAGAATGCCTCTTCTCCTCCAAAGGATCACAACTCCTCACCAGCAAGGGAACAAAACTGGATGGAGAATGAGTTTGACGAATTGACAGAAGTAGACTTCAGAAGGTGGGTAATAACAAACTCCTCCAAGCTAAAGGAGCATGTTCTAACCCAAAGCAAGGAAGCTAAGAACCTTGAAAAAAGGTTAGAGGAGTTGCTAACTAGATTAAACAGTTTAGAGAAGAATATAAATGATCTGATGGAGCTGATAAACACAGCATGAGAACCTCATGAAGCATACATAGGTATCAATAGACAAATCAATCAAGTGGGAAGAAAGGATTTCAAAGATTGAAGATAAACTTAATGAAATAAAGTGTGAAGACAAGATTAGAGAAAAAGGAATGAACAAAGCCTCCAAGAAATATGGGACTATGTGAAAAGACCAAACCCATGTTTTATTGGTGTACCTGAAAATGATGGGGTGAATGGAACCAAGTTGGAAAACACTCTTCAGGATATTATCCAGGAGAAATTCCTCAATGTAGCAAGACAGGCCAGCATTCATATTCAGAAAATGCAGAGAACACCACAAAGATACCTCTTGAGAAGAGCAACCCCAAGACACATAATTGTCAGATTCACCGAGGTAGAAATAAAAGGAAAATGTTAAGGGCAGACAGAGAGAAAGGTTGTGTTAATCACAAAGGGAAGCCCATCAGATTAACAGTGGATCTCTCTACAGAAAGCCTATAAGCCAGAAAACAGTGGGGGCCAATATTCAACATTCTTAAAGAACAGAATTTTCAACCCAGAATTTCATACCCAGCCAAACTAAGCTTCATAAGTGAAGGAGAAATAAAATCCTTCACAGACAAGAAGATGCTGAGAGATTTTGTCACCACCAGGACTGCCTTGCAAGAGCTCCTGAGGAAAGCACTAAATATGGAAAGGAACAACCGGTACCAGCCACTGCAAAAACATACCAAATTATAAAGACCATTGAAACTATGAAGAAACTGCATCAACTAAAAAGCAAAATAACCAGAAAACATCATAATGACAGAATCAAATTCACACATAACAATATTAACCTTAAATGTACATGGGCTAAACACCCCAATTAAAAGACACAGACTGACAAATTGGATAAAGAGTCAAGCCCCATTGGTGTGCTGTATTCAGGAGACCCATCTCATGTGCAAAGACACACATAGGCTCAAAATAAAGGGATGATGGAATATTTACCAAGCAAATGGAAAGCAAAAAAAAAAAAAAAAAAAAAGCAGGGTTGCAAACCTAGTCTCTGATAAAACAGACTTTAAAACAACAAAGATCAAAAAAGACAAAGAAGGGCATTACATAATGGTAAAGGGATCAATGAAACAAGAAGAGCTAACTATTCTCAATATATATGCAACCAATACAGGAGCACCCAGATTCATAAAGCAAATTCTTAGAGACCTACAAAGAGACTTAGACTCCCACACAGTAATAGTGGGAGACTTTAACACCCCACTGTCAATGTTAGACAGATCAATGAGACAGAAAATTAAGAAGGATATTCAGGACTTGAACTCAGCTCTGGACCAAGCAGACCTAATAGACATAAAAGAACTCTTCACTCCAAATCGACAGAATATACATTCTTCTCAGCACCACATCACAGTTATTCTAAAACTGACCACATAGTTGGCAGTAAAATACTCCTTAGCAAATGCAAAAGAATGGAAATCACAACAGTCTCTCAGCCTACAGTGCAATCAAATTAGAAGAAGGATTAAGAAACTCACTCAAAAACATACAACTACATGGAAACTGAAAAACCTGCTCCTGAATGACTACTGGGTAAATAACAAAATTAAGGCAGAAATAAATAAGTTCATTGAAACAAATGAGAACAAAGGCACAATGTACCAGAATCTCTGGGACACAGCTAAACAGTATGTAGAGGGAAATTTACAGCACTAAATGCCCACATGAGAAAGGGGAGAATGATCTAAAATCGACACCCTAACATCACAATTAAAAGAACTAGAGAAGCAAGAGCAAACAAATTCAAAAGCTAGTAGAAGACAAGAAATAACTAAGATCAGAGCAGAACTGAAGGAGATAGAGACATAAAAAATGCTTCAAAAAATCAAGGAATCCAGGAGCTGGTTTTTTGAAAAGTGTACCAAAATAAAAAGACCACTAGCCAGATTAATAAAGAAGAAAAGAAAGAAGAATCAAATTGACAAAAAATGATAAAGGGGATATCACCACTGATCCCACAGAAATACAAACTACCATCAGAAAATACTAAAAAAACCTCTATGCAAATAAACTAGAAAATCTAGAAGAAATGGACAAATTCCTGGACACATACACCCTTCCAAGACTAAACAAGGAAGAAGTCAAATCCCTGAAAAGACCAATAACAAGTTCTGAAATTAAGGCAGTAATTAATAGCTTACCAACCACAAAAAGCCCAGGACCATACAGAGTTACTACCAAATTCTACCAGAGGTACAAAGAGGAGCTGGTACCATTCCTTCTGAAACTATTCCAAACAATAGAAACAGAGTGACTCCTCCCTAACTCATTTTATGAGGCCAGCATCATCCTGATACCAAAACCTGGCAGAGACACAAACAAAAAAGAAAATTTCAGGCCAATATCCCTGATGAATATTGATGCAAAAATCCACAATAAAATAATGGCAAACTGAATCCAGTAGCACATCAAAAAGCTTATCCATCACCATCAAGCCGGATTCATCCCTGGGATGCAAGGCTGGTTCAACATACGCAAATCAGTAAACATAATCCATCACATAAACAGAACCAATGATAACAACCACATGATTATCTCAATAGATGCAGAAAAGGCCTTTGATAAAATTCAGTGCCCCTTCATGTGAAAAACTCTCAATAAACTAGGTACTGATGGAACGTATCTCAAAATAATAAAAGCTATTTATGACAAACCCGCAACTGATATCATACTGAATGGGCAAAAGCCAGAAGCATTCCCTTTGAAAGTCAGCACAAGACAAGGATGCCCTCTCTCACCACTCCTATTCAACATAGTATTGGAAGTTCTGGCCATGGCAATCAGGCAAGAGAAAGAAATGATAGGTATTCAAATACAAAGAGAGGAAGTCAAATTGTCTCTGTTTTCAGATGACATGATTGTATATTTAGAAAACCCCATCGTTTCAACCCCAAATCTCCTTAAGCAGATAAGCAACTTCAGCAACGTCTCAGAATACAAAAATCAATGTGCAAAAACCACAGGCATTCCTACACACCAATAATAGAAAAACAGAGAGCCAAATCATGAGAGAACTCCCATTCACAATTGCTACAAAGAGAATGAAATACCTAGGAATCCAACTTACAAGGGATGTGAAGGACCTCTTCAAGGAGAACTACAAACCACTGCTCAACCAAATAAGAGAGGACACAAATGGAAAAACATTTTATGCCCATGGATAGTAAAAATAAATATTGTGAAAATGGCCATACTGCCTAAAGCAATTTATAAATTCAGTGCTATCTCCATCAAGCTACCATTGACTTTCTTCACAGAATTAGGAAAAAACTAGTTTAAATTTCATATGGAACCAAAAAAGAGCCTGCATAGCCAAGACAATCCTAAGCAAAAAGAACAAAGCTGGAGGCATCAAGCTACCTAGCTTCAAACTATACTACAGGGCTACAGTAACAAAAACAGCATGGTACTGGTACCAAAACAGATATATAGATGAACGGAACAGAACAGAGGCCTCAGAAATAACGCCACACATCTACTACCATCTGATCTTTGACAAACCTGACAAAAACAAGCAATAGGGAAAGGATTCCCTATTTAATAAGTGGTGTTGGGAAAACTGGCTAGCCATATGCAGAAAACTGAAACTGGATCCCTTCCACACACACTATACAAAAATTAAGTCAAGATGAATTAAAGATTTAAATGTGAGACCTAAAACCATAGAAACCCTAGAAGAAAACCTAGGCAGTAGCATTCAGGCCATAGGCATGGGCAAAGACTTCATGACTAAAACACCAAAGCAGTGGCAACAAAAGCCAAAACTGACAAATGGATCTAATTAAACTAAAGAGCTTCTGCACAGCAAAAGAAACTATCATCAGAGCAAACAGGCAACCTAGAGAATGGGAGAAAATTTTTGCAATCTATCCATCTGACAAAGGGCTAATACCAGAATCTATGAGGAACTTAAACAAATTTATAAGGAAAAAACAACCCCATCAAAAAGTGAGTGAAGGCTATGACAGACACTTCTCAAAAGAAGACATTCATGCAGCCAATAAACATGAAAAAAAGCTCATCATCACTGGTCATTAGAGAAATGCAAATCAAAACTACAATGAGATACCATCTCATGCCAGTTAGAATGGCAATCATTAAAAAGTCAGGAAACAACAGATGCTGGCAAAGATGCGGAGAAATAGGAATACTTTTACACTGTTGGTGGGAGTGTAAATTAGTTCAACCATTGTGGAAGATAGTGTGGTGATTCCTCAAGGATTTAGAACCAGAAATACCATTTGACTCAGCAATCCAGTTACTGGGTATATACCCAAAGGATTATAAATCATTCTACTATAAAGACACGTGCACATATATGTTTATTGCAGCACTATTCACAGTATCAAAGACTTGGAACCCACCCAAATGCCCATCAATGATAGACTGGATAAAGAAAATGTGGTACATATATACCATGGAATACTATGCAGCCGTAAAAAAGGATAAGTTCATGTCCTTTGCAGGGACATGGATGAAGCTGGAAACCATCATTCTCAGCAAACTAACACAGCAACAGAAAACCAAATACCACATTTTCTCGCTCATAATTGGGAGCTGAACAATGAGAACACATGGACACAGGGAGGGGAACATCACACACTGGGGCCTGTTGGGGGGTGGAAGGCTAGGGGAGGGATAGCATTAGGAGAAATACCTAATGTAGATGACAGGTTGATCGGTGCATCAAACCACCATGTCACATGTATACCTATGTAAGAAACCTGCACATTCTGCACATGTATCCCAGAACTTAATGTATAATAGTAAATAAATCAATTTCACCAGGTTAAAATCAAGGTGTTGACAGGTTTGTACCTGCTCTGGGAGCTACCACAGAGGATGTTCCTGGACTGTCCCAGCTTCTGGAGGCTGTTGGCATTTTCTAGTTTGTAGGTATATCTCTTCATTCATTGTCTCAATCTCCACATCACCTTCTTCTCTCTGTGATAACTTCCTCCTCTGTCTCTCTGTTCTATGGACCCTTGTGATGGCATTTAGGGCTGGCTCAGATAATCCAAGAGTATCTCCTCATCTAAACATCCTTAACTTATTTCTGCAAAGATTTTTTTTTCAAATAGGTAATATTTATGGATTCTGGAGGTCAGTGCTGGATATCTCATTCAGTCCACTACAGCATAATATTATGCTTTGTAGTTAACTAAACTTTTATCAATTTTGATTTAGTAAGACTTTTATTTGCATATGCCAGTACCAATACATTTTTCCAGGTCTCAAACTTTCCTGTGAGTCCTTCAGAAGCTTTTATCCTGGGCACCTTGCTCATAATGATAGAGACTTTCTCCCTACCTAAAGCAAATTTGATTAAAAGAAATCGCATCACCTATAGCTAGAGCAGGTGTTTTCTTTTTTTAAAAAAAAACTTTTATTTTAACTTCAGGGTACAAGTGCAGGTATGTTACATAGGTAAACTGGTGTCACATAGGTAAACTGGTGTCATGGAGGTTTGTTGTACAGATTATTTCATCACTCAAGTATTAAGCCTAGTACTTGGGTGATGAATTACTTAGTTATTTTTCCTGATCCTCTCTTTTCTCTGACCCTCCATCCTCTGAAAGTCCCCAGAGTGTTTTGTTCCCCTCTATGTGTTCATGTATTCTCATCATTTAGCTCCCACTTATAAGTGAGAACATGTAGTACTTGCTTTTCTTTTTCTGTTTTACTTTTCTAAGAATAATGAACTCCAGCTCCATCCATGCCCCTTCAAAGGATATGATCCCATTTTTTTATGGCTGCATAGTGTTCCATGGTGTATATGTACCACATTTTCTTTTTCCAGTCTATCCTTGGTCGGCATTTAGGCTGAGTCCATGTCTTTGGTGTTTTTCTAAGAGGTATTTTGCAGAGGGAATTGCTAGGATGCGTTGGCAAAGGAGGAGACTTCTGTCTACAGAGTTCTTGAATTTCATATTTCTGTGGCAACAAATAAGAGAATTACAGAGAGAGTGAAATAGTTAATGTTAACTACAGCTCAGACAGAGAAGCATTAAACTTTAAACCTCAAACTTTAAGCAGATTGTTCCATTTGCCAGCTCTCAGGGGCTTACTGTGCTGCCAGGCACTATACACAGTCCTTTTTACTTACTAGTTCCACTGCTCAGACAATTTCTTCAAATGACGTATAATCTCTTCTTATAGATGAGGAAGCAAGGTACAGAGAGGCTAAATAATTTGTTCAAAGTCACCCAGCAAGTGGATGGCAGAGGCAGAATTTGAACCCAGGTCTGTTTAGCTATAAAGCCCAACTTATCTTGTATGTACTATGCTGTATCATTTCAAAAAAAATACATAAAGCACATGACAAAGAAATTAAAACTGTAGCCTAAATCACAAAAGATTATAACCAGAATAGAGGCTTAACCTCTGTCACCCCAACTTAGTTTTCATTCATTCTCTGAGATAGGGAAACAATAGTCGATACCATTACTTGAACTACAGATGTGTGTGGTTATTTACTGTTTGATAGGACTATATATAATTGATTTCATTATATAAGTTTTGATCTTTGCAACTAAACTTTTTCTGTAATCTTTAGTCTTTGAGTGTCTTGAATTAGAAAGAACTTGCTCAGATACCATTCATATCCAAACTTAATGTATTCTGTTAATATTAACAGTCATTATCACTGTGCCCATAGTGGATGAGCCAGGAAAACCATTATCTCATACTAAAGAATTTCCCAAATGTTGGAATCTTGTTCAATAATTATACATTTCTCTGTGCTATTTACTATAGTATTATTTACTTGATATTCCTTTATTTCCTGTGTTTTAAATTCATAGTTATTTAAAAGGCAACTATATCACTATCGTAATTAGAATATCAGCATCTCTATAAATAGAAGGCAAACAACAAATATTAATGCAACGAAAAGGAAACAATATTTTAAAATTCTGGATAGATAGTATTAACTGCCCATGGAAAAGGTTTTGGACTTGCTTTGTTATTGTTAGAAAGGGAGATGAGCAAGTCTTTGAGAGCTGGTAAATGCACAATGGCATTGACCCCAAATTTCCTCCTTGATAAAATCTGAGGATTGAATGAAATTCTCATTCAATCCCAGCAAAAGGAGTAATTTTCTCACTAGATAATCAATATACTTATGTATGTGTTGTGAACCACATGAACACATCTTGCTATCACCCGTGACTGTCCTCCGCCTTGTGGTATCAGGCTTGAAATTAAGATTCAGCATTATGTGCTTCTTTGCCATCTGAAACTGGGAGAGTTTTTAATGGCCTAATCACAAGCTCCCCCCTCCTCCACTCTACTCCTGTGGATAAAGTCCTCCAGCCAAACAACACTACTTACCAGAGGAACCAGGCACAGTGTCTGTTTATCCCTCAATAGCAGGCTTTAATTCTGGGCCTGCAACATTATTAAAACAAGCCAAGCACGTGCTTCTGCAGGAATCAAGGGTCACCTCACCCTCTTGGTACTACAAAGCCTGCCTCCCACAACTCTGCTTGTTCACTGTGTTCCCAAATGCAACTCACCCCGCCGTCCTGAGTGGAGTGCAGTGTTCTTCCCCAGTCTGTGCATCTATGTGACTGATAAACTGCTGGGATATAATCTGCCCAGTGCTGGGCGTTGTGTGTTCTGCCATCCCTATAATTCCAGGGTGGGAATGCCTCCCTCACCAATGGAGTGAAGAAGAGACAATCAAAACATACTCCAGTTTGGGAAATAGTGCCATCCTATAGAATGGCACCCAAGCAGATCATCTTCCTATTTATAGGATCCCACTCCTTCCTTAAAGGAGCACCAGATCATCACTGGAACAGAAAGACTACTACAAGTGTCATTTGGGTAGTAAGTTCTTGAGATGAGGGAATCTTTTATCTCCTCAAGAGTCTTCATTTAACCTTATGAAGAGAAACAGTGAACTTGGTTTGGCACGCCATTGGTAGGTTTTTATCTACAAGGTCTGATGTGAGGACTTTTTATGCAAATTATCTTTTCTTATTGTCCTGCCAAAGTAGTTTTAACTCCTGTGAGCCCAACACTTAGCATTAAAACCTCTTATTTTCCAAAGATGACTGACAAAATGCTAAAAGTTGTGCTGTATGCAGTTAAAAGCATAGATTCTGGATGCTCAGGAATCAGACTGCCTGGGTTCAAATACAAACCACTTATTTGCGTGTGTTTGGGCAAATTTCTGAACCTCTCTGAGCCTCAGTTTTCCTACTAACAGTACCTTTGTCATGGGATTTCAGTGAATATTAAACGAGTTACATAGAAAGAGCTTAGAATAATACCTGGTACATAGCAAATGTTCAAGAAATGCTAGCTATTATTACTAGAGAGGCAGCAACACAGTATACCTTTAACACTTGTTAAGTAAGAACCAGAGGCAGTAAGAACCTGAGGAAAAAGGAAACTTGACATGCATATACTGAGGGGAGTATGGGCATAGGGTACCATCCAGAGCTGCTGGGACACTGCAAGGGAGGTTTATAGAAGACAGAAGGCTCTGGGTGCCTGGGAAAGGAGGAAGAAATATGAAACAGGCAAAAAAGATGGGTGCAAATAAGCTTCACCACCCTTATCATTTTCATGCAGGCTGGCTTGTCATTCCACATATTTGGCATTCAAGAAAAGATGTTGGTTACAAGTTTAACAGATTGACAGAATTTTATGCTGTCTTCCTTCTCTGATGCATTCTTGCATCCTCCCTTGCTTTGTAGTTACTTCTGTGCATATAATTTTCTACTAGTTTTTAACCTCTGTAAGGGCAAGAAATATATCTTCTGATTTTTTTTTAATTTCCCACTGAAAGTAGCACAGTACCTAGCACAAAGAAAGGAGATAATCAAATACATGTTGAATTAATTGCTGTGGGTGCTAGTTTGGATACTAATTGAACTTCTGTCATCAACAAACTGAAAGCACCGTTGTTTAAACAAAATAGAAGTTTAGTAATATTTTTCTGTCATGTAACAGCTGAAAAGTAGGTGGCTTTGTTTCATGATGTCATTCAAAGAACCAGGATCCTTTAATCCCATGGCTTTATTACTCCCTAGGGATTTGCCTTCATCTTGGGGTGGTCAATGTTGTTCAGTCCAAGGAGTGAGGAAAAGAGCAGTGTAGGGGTTGCAGTTTCCTTTGGGGAATAGCTTCTGCTCACACACTCTTGGCCAACACTCAACCACACAAACTCACTTAGCTGGGAGAAGTGGACTGTAGAAGAGCAGCCATTCACTCAACTAATACTCAGAGATATAAAGAAAGAAGGAGAGAACGCTGTTGTGAAATGATTAGAAGTCTCAGCACACTTTGCTAATTCTGGAATATTCACCCAACACTTACTTTGTGTGCCTTAAGTGCTTCTTAAGAATAGAGATTAGATGGGAAAGGAGAGGATGAGAATTTTGACTCTAGCACCCTCCTGACATAAGGAGGCTTTGTGTGCCTCAGCCTCTGAACCAGGACCTCTATGACTGACACCCAGCTATTCCAGGAAGTCACAGATCCTCAGGTGATTTTTGGTCTGAGGCCAAATGGCCTGTGCCATCCATACCTTGAAAGCATTTTTTTTCCCCATGAAAGAAAAATGTAAAGGCAAAGGGGAGCTGGAATTACATGTTAAACATGGTATGATCCTTCAAGAAATAAATGTGCATATTTTTGTTTCTGATGCAGTTCTACCAAATATAGAAAGCATTTCAGAATTCTCTAAGAGCAATCCTAGATTGGAATGTAAATGTAGACTGGAGAAATAATTTTTAGCACAAATAGACAGACACATAAATGTGAACAGTCTTTCTAATTCAGGAGTTTTCCATTTTTAAGTCATGAAAACTTTGCAATTAAAAAATTTTGAAGCATGAATCAAATGACTAAACTTTACTGATGTGAATGTACAAAGTAAATGACAATAAAACTAACAGTCCGTGTTTGGGGACAATCCATGACTGTCGGATAGTCGGAGGTTTTAGAGTTGGAATAACTTTTCTCTTCTTTCTTTGCTTTTTACCTGATTCATGCAATTCAATTATAAGGCAGTCTGCCTGTATGTGGTCACAAAGACTTTCTGTGCTCATTTTTTAGCTTCTTAATTATACTTGAGGATAATTGCCCTAATATAGTATGTAAATGGGAGTGTAATTGTTGAGTTAGGAGAATAGAAAATAACTGATTTCAGAAATAATATTCGTATGAAATGTAATCATATAAAAATTTGAATAATATTACACACATACACACACACATACACACATTATCTTTAAAAAAAATTCCTTAAAAGTCTAGGGTTATTCTTTAGCTGAATCTCTTTGAGTTTGAGGTTAGAATAATTGGGGTACTCTTATTCACCCTGATATGATTTCTCCATGAATGTACCCAAACAACCAGCAGCTGAAGGGATAATGCTGTGTTCACAGACTCTGCAGCCTGGGATCACAGGACACTGACAGAAAGCTGCATTTCCACAAAGCAACCTTTCCCTCTGAAGGCATCTTTCCCCTCTGATGGGTCACTCTGGGGGAGCTGCTCGTGCAGGTCTTAGCACGGCTGCCTCCTGTTACTGAAGTGTCAGCTCTTCTTAAAGAAGCTCACTGTGACTATCTTTCTTAAAGTCACTCTTTACCTTACCCCAGTCACTTGGTGATATCATCATTTGATTGTCCTGTCTGTCTCTGCTTCCATTAGACTGTGAACTTGATGGCAGGAACCATATCTGTAGGGCATAGCTATGTCTCCTGTGCCTAGAACAGTGCTTGGCACTGAACAAGTACAGGATAATTGTTGGTTGGATAAACAAGTGATCCTTGATTGTGATTTATACTTCATCCTGGTGACTTTTACTTTACTATATCTTCACAATGAAAAGTGTGATTATTGTAAATGGCACATTTATTACTTAGGAGATGCAGCTATTGAAGGAGAGGCCCAGAGAATTTAGGCAATGTTCCCAAGGCACACAGGATGTGTGCAGCTGGAATCACAGGCCAAGTCCTTCCTAGTCTAGGACTCCTTCTCTTTCAGCTCCCTCAAGTTGCCTCCCAATCTGATGAGAATCCAGTGATGTAAGGTATGTGAAAATACCTTGGAGAGTGTAATGGATTATGGAGGAGATATCTTTATATATTTTTTAGTATACAAAATTCTCACTGTTGAAAATAGTTATTTAATGGCAAAGTGTTTTCAGCCTCTAAGTAGAAATAGAGATGCTGTCAGGGTACTCGTTGGAAAAAAACTATGCTAAGACAATGCCTTTCCACAGCAATGTAGCTTAGCGTGTCCATTAATAAATTGGTTCGCAGTTGTGTGAGCTTGCAGAACTGATATTTCTAGTGATCTGAAACAAGTGTGGAGAAGGTGATGAATAGAATTTAGTGAGGTTTTTTGCTTAATCATTGATTTAAATGCATTTTTATATTGTTGAAATCATCACAAATTTACAGAAAAGTTGCAAGAAAAATACATAGACCTTTTTTCTTGAAGCTTTTGAAAGAAAGTTTCCAAACGGGTGTCCCATCATTTCCAAATACATTAGTGTGTATTTCCCACAAAAATGACGTTTCCAATATAACCACAATACAACTATTAAAATCAGAATATTAATAGTTATACATTATTTCCATTGAGTTCTTAGGCCTTATTTAACTGTCTACCCCATAGCAAAATAATTTTATAAATTGAGTTTGTATTTCATTTTAAATTTTCTTTAAAAACCTCAAAAAGAGCCATTGTCTAAATAAATTACAAATAATTGATATTTTTTGTGGCAAGTTAGTTTTGGCCACATTACAACTATATATGGTCACTTAGATGTAGAAGAAATAAAATTCTGATGGTTTTAATATTCCTTAATTTATTCCTTAATATATCTTAACATTTTGACAGAACTGAAGGCACCTGTACTCACCGTGAGCTTGTCTGACTGCCACTCATGTGAGGACCTTCTTCAGAGTATTCTTTATGCAACAGTTTCTATCTTCTCCTCAAGACAGTTCTGCTGGTGCCACAGACTAGTCTGAGCTGAGGGTTTCTTACTTTCTCAGGAACAAACAGAGAACCCCAACCCCCACCCCCAATCCCTCCCGTGTTCATCTCCACAGCTGGTCATGTGCTCTGTCAGCAGGTTTTTAAGCAAACAGTAGGTTTTGGTTTTTGTTTTTGTTTTGAGACAGAATCTTGCTCTGTCACCAGGCTGGAGTGCAGTGGTGCGATCTTGGCTCACTGAAGCCTCTGACTCCCTGGTTCAAGCGATTCCCCTGCCTCAGCCTCCCGAGTAGCTGGGACTACAGGCCTGCACCACCATACCCAGCTAATTTTTGTATTTTTAGTAGAGATAGGGTTTCACCATATTGGCCAGGATGGTCTCAATCTCTTGACCTCGTGATCCATGAAGCAGCCTTAGAATAGTCATGCTATCTAAGGCAGATACATTACCGGAATGTAGTTCTATTACTTAATACAACATGCAAGAACTTAACACATGTCTCCATTCATTCCCCCCAAGTAAGCAGAATTCTACTGAGAAAACAGTATTGTGTTTTTTTTTTTCTGATTACAAGAATGACATAAGTAGTTATATTTTATTTAGATAGTATGGAAAAACAAGTAAATAGATAAAAATGTTCAGAAGACATAATCTTCGTAAACATAAATACATACTATAACCTGTTTTTTTACTTAGGAAAAAGTTATTAATTATGTCCTATATTATTGATATGTCATACACCAGAATTTCCCAAACTTTGTTCTAGTGAAACCAGGGCATTGAAATTGATAATGAAATAAGTGAGGGAAATGCAGTATCCTGTACTTCCTTAAATAAAGTAAGCTGTTTAATTTGCTTTAACTTGGTGTTTCCCAAACCATTGTTCATAGGACTGACTTTTGATCAAAATCTTTTAACACACTTTGATAAATACTCTTATTTCTAAAACATATACTTTAATGACTGGAGCATGTAGTCCACATTATGTCAGTTAAGAATTAATTCACATCCAAATGGCAGAAGATTCAATCACAGTAGTTCCACCAGATAGGAGTTTATTTTTCTCATGTCATAAGAAGCGTGGCTCTGGAGCAGCTTCTCAATGGTGTCATAGGAGCTCTTTCTGTCTCGTTCCACCATTTTAAAATTTCTACTTCACTGTTGTAAAATGCCTGCTACACCTCCAGGTATTAATTACCTAGTCTAGGCAAGAAGAAAAAGGAAGGGGTCAGGAAGACGGAAGGACCAAAGGGAACGACAGCCTTTGGCCAGACTGTCCCTTAAAAACCAATCATATTTCTTGGAAATCTCACCAGTAACTTCTACCCATGCCTCATTGGCCAGTTCTGGGCTACTTGATTACCCTGAGCTACAAGCATGTCTGGGAAGGTGAGTGCTTTAGCTTTCCAGCCCCCGCAATTGAGGAGGTCAGGAGAGGGGCATAGGGAAGAGCCTTTGGATAGACAAACCACCACATTTACCTTTACCCATTCCCTTGGCTACCCAACATTCCCAGGCCCTTGTTCCTCATTATTGCGGGTCTCTCGCCTTTCCAGTGAAGACCACACCAAAGTTTCATTCAGTTACCACATCCAGCTTGAAATTCAGGACCTCTGTGTGATATGCTGTCCTATTTGTCAAATCTGAGTGTAGCTTACGTTCTAGTGACTCATAAGTCAAAAGTTAATTATCTGTCTTCAATGTGTACAACATACAATGATGGAGAAAGAATTTTCATATAAAAAATGTGATAATGGCAAACAAAAAGCAGTTTCTATCTGTAAAAAATAGCAAATCTTGTTTGTTAAAAATTGCAGGGATAGGCCAGGCCCAGTGGCTCATGCCTGTAATCCCAGCACTTTGGGAGGCCCAGGCGGGTATATCACCTGAGGTCAGGAGTTCAAGACCAGCCTGGCCAACACAGCGAAACCCTGTCTCTACTAAAAATATAAAAATTAGCTGGCCATGGTGGCAGACACTTGTAATCCCAGCTACTTGGGAGGCTAAGGCAGGAGAATCACTTGAACCTGGGATGCGCAGGTTGCAGTGAGCTGAGATCGCACCATTGCATTGCAGCCTGGGTGACAAGAGCAAAACTCTGTCAAAAAAAAAAAAAAAAAAAAAAGAATTGTAGGGACCACCGGACTTGGAAAAGACTGCACTTCTTGGTTAACCAAACTGGCAGTTCCTAGTTCTGCCACAGTGAGATTCCTCATTGTTCATTGTCCTCCATGAACACAGGCAAGACGACTTTCTGGGAGCCTGCACATCTTTTTCAGGTCCTTCCCAGTGGTACAAGTTTAAGGACCCTAATCCCGCTTTATGGATTAAGCACTCACAAGGTTACCATTAGCCAGGGCTGGGATTCCTCTGTCACTACAGTTTCTTTAAAAATTTAGCTTTCTTGTCTATTTTCTCTGGATTAATTCCATGTGTGAAAAATCATAGCCAAAGACTTGTGTCTGGTGGCAGGCTCCTATGCCCATCCTTCTCTTCCTGAGATAAAAGTCATTATTACCTTAAGGCAAGGAGGAAAACAGTCTCTATTGGGGCACCTCATGTCTTTCATTTGGAAATAATCTTCTTGCCCAAACTCACACTTCTTTCTTTGCCTCCAGATATACCCCATATCATGGCCATGCCCTGGCTAAAATATCCACCCCCTACTTTTTCTACAAATCTTGCTCTCCTCTTTCATGTACATGCACAGGTCTGGTTTTAATAAGAGAAAATGCAACCTGAAATCAGTAGGCTCACAAGAAGAAAATGATTTAAGTTTTCTCCCACGACTTCCCTCCAACATTCTGTTTCTTATCTCCCTTCCATACCTTAGATGACATTTTAGGCAGAGCCCCACATACCTATTGGCTTCAGCTCTTAAATAGCAGTCATTTTTGTTGACTCTAAATTTCACCAAAGGCATTAAAAAGTGCAGTACAGTTAATATTTCAATGTCACATGCAATTAAAAATCTTCCTCCTCCCCGGTAATTTCTGTCCTGACTTTTGGCCTGGAGGCTGCTGTGGAAAGAGGGACCATGCCTGTTTTTCATTATTCCTTCACCCATACACTTTCCTGTTGCTGGCTTCAGGAACGAGGAAGTTGAAGTTTAGGGAAGAGAAAGGAAAAATTAAAGGAAGAGGTATAGAGTTGTATCTGCCTGGAGCTGTGGCGATAGGATAGTTGGTGTCTTCTGTTACCTTTGAGGGAGGCAGTGCACAAACAGCTGGTCTATTGTGAACTTCCCTTCACAGATGTACCCTCTGAAACCCTAGTGCACCTCACTCATTCTAGAAGTGACATGTTTGAATTAGATCTACTTCAACAGCTTATGCTTAACTATTTTCTGTGCCATCACTTAACTGGCAGGAAGAAGTTCACGCATATTTCACCACTAAATGGTGGGCGTATAACTGACCCAACTGTTGGCCACTTTATTGTTGCTCTGCTCTTCTCTACCACCGCAGCATTTCTTCTGCCTTTTGCATTCTTCATGTGGGAGACAGATATCAGTCTCTATGTTCTTGTAATTCTTACATTCATGGGGATCTATGTGATGTTTTTCCTCTTTAGCTCTCTCAGCATGTTTTTCTCCTCTTTAGTGAAAGCGCCTGGACTTGCATTTCTGCGGTTTGGTAAATAGGAATGAGGTGCTCATCTCTTCTTCCATCTCTAACAGAGGTTCTGGAGATTCTCTAACAGGGGTCCTTGTAAGGGAAGTCTTCCCTTACATGGCTTTCTTTACATGACTTAGGGAGAGGAAAGAAAACTGCCACTCACATCCCCCTGATGCTCCCTCTATCAATTCCCTTTTTGCGGCCCCCATTTTGAATGTCAATTTTCCTCTCATAGAGCCTAGAAAGAGTGATGTTCACAATACTGGGATGGCTTTTTTCTAATATCCTGCATGCAAATTGTAAAGAGTGATCTCTTCAAAGAGTGTAGGTCCTTATCACTAATGTCCTTAACTGCAGGAGTTTAGCCAAAAAATGCCAAGACCCCTGGGAAAGTCCCTTTTAACACCCAATAAATTTTACTGAGTGTTTTCCATATACCAGGCATTGCACTCAGGCATTGTATAAGTTCTTTCATTCTCATAACTCTATGGAGTGGATATTAATATTCCATTGTACAGATAAGAATATTGAGGTTTAGTTGAAGTGCTTACTCAAAGTCACACAGCAGACAAGTGTCTGAGCTGAAATTCAAAGCTCAGCAGTCTGATCCCAGAGCCAAGACCATTAAAACTAAGCTATCTTGTCTCCCTTTGTGTGTAAGCCCTCTGCATCCAGTAGGTTTTTCTGTATTAGACTGAGTGATAATTCTCTTGCTATAATCTCTCTAAGAAAATCCAGGGAAATCATTAGATTAGGAGTTGGACTATTTTTGTAAAGAAAGCTGAATTGGAACATGCCCATACCCATCTGTTTATGTAGTCTATGGCTGTTTGCATGCTATAGCTGCAGGGTTGGGTAGTGTGCCAGAGGCAGTATGGCCTTTAGGCTGAAAATATTGCCTATCTGGCTCTTTACAGGACAGGTCTTCTGAAGCCTGTCCTAAAGAATTAAGGAAGTTGACTCCGGCTCTGCAATTTACATAGTCTATTGTGCCACTTCAGGTGGTGTCCCTCTCAGCTATCTGTTTGCTCCCTGGGGTTGTTGTGAATATTAGCTGTGCAAATCTAAAATCTCCTCATTTGGGTTGTGCAAATCTAAAATCTCTCAGACTTTTAACAGACTTTTTAAGCTGAGAGTTGATAATGTGTTAGGTTGTACCATGTGAAATTGCCAATATCTGACTACCTTTGATCTACAAAAATGGTAATTTCATATGTTTTAACCAAAGTATTATGTAGTTTTCAGATGAAACAGACATAGAATTTGAATTCTGTGCTCTTCACTTATCAGAGATATGACTTTGGAAGACTTATTTAACTTCCCCAAATTGCCGTCTCCTTACCTATACAATGAAGAATAGTAACTTCTCTCTTCTCAGAATTGGTACAAGAATGGCGAGTATTATATAAAATATTTAGCAGGAAATAAAAGTTCTTAATAATCTATAACTGAGTTTTTATTGCTGTTTATTATATCATTATCAAGAAGGTGTAGATCAGGGAACCCCTTTCATAAGATTTTATGAGGTCTGGCCTTGCTGGGGGCAATTTACCTGCCTCTGTGTATATAGATTTCCCTAGGATTCTCCTTACCATATTTCCTTATTGACAGATCCCATATATGGGAACAGTTAGCTCCAGTCCAGGAGACCTGTATTCTCAGAGAAATCTAAAATTGATATGCTTTGGCTGGGATGGTAGTAGTGAGTATATGTAAATAAGATGGGTGACCTCTACCATCTGAAGCAAAACACAGGATATTGAGAAATAGTTTTAGAATTGACTAATTAGGTCATGATATCTCACCTCAAACTGATTTTTTTTTTTCTATTTCCCATCTAGTGGGTTAGGCCTCTTTTCTATAAACTCTCCTTTCTGTTCAACTAAATACTGGAACATACATTTATTGTCAGTCAATTTATTTGCACTCAGGAGCAGAAACTGTTAAACTGCCAATAACAGCTAGTGATACATCCTGTCTCCTTCAATCTAAGGCAGCTGTATTCTAGATTAAATATAAAATTGATCTGACTTAGCTGGGGCGATGGTGATGGGTATACATAATGAAGAACTGTGGTCTTCTAAGATGGAGAGAAGAATCCAGAGCTTAGAATTCTTAATGCTAAGTATAATGGAAATAAAGCATGCTCATTTAAAAGCTATAGGCTTTAAAATATTGGGAGAAAACATTATTTTATTTAGCAAAATACATTCTAACATCTTCGGGTTGTGAAACTTGATGTTCTTATAAGAAAAACACTGCAAATTGAAGTGTTGAGGTGGCTGGCAGCCATGAAAGGAAGGAAGATAGTGAAAGAGAAATAGAGAAATGAACAAGGAGCTAATAAAGCTAATGAAGTCTAGGCTTTGGGGCACCTCATTTGCATGAGCCCCTCCCAAGGCCCTGTATCTAATATTATATTTATAATTTTGTACTTGTTTGTCTTTTAAAAGGCCCCAGAATAGCACAAGCATCAGACCCTTAGGAAACAGTGAAACATGAAGGAAGAGAAAGAGGAGGAGGAGGAGTTGTTTCTAGTTGTGGGAATGCAGGAGAAAATTTTAAGAACCAGGAGAATTAATGTGGATTTTAGGCTGATTGCCTTGCTGCACTGAGATATAACTTCCTTTTGTAGTCACACTTTGGGTGACTATTTTAGGAAGTTTAAGAAGCAGGGAAATGTCCACTGTGAATGGGCACAGTGAGGGAAAGGGCCAGGGTGAACAAGACCTGGGATACCAGAGGTGGAGGTAAAAAATTTGGCAGGAGATGCATGGCAAAAAACCACCATAATCTCCCTTTGCCCTCCAATCTTTGGAGACACTGGACTTTCCATTATACATACTAAGGAGATATTTTTTCCTTTGTTTATATGTTAAAAAAGGCAATTCTCACAGGGTGAAGTGCTTGGCAGCCATGTGCATCCCTGACACTGGGATACGTCTTTAAATACAATGTAGGAGTATTTACTAATGCTCACATTTGGTTTAATCACAGGAATAGTCCTGGGAAGGGGGTAATGGTTAAATAAGCTGAGCCTTGATGGGTTGAGAACATTCATGGTGCTTATCTATTAAATCGGGAAGGTAAGTAGCCTGGTGTATATGGGAATTAACAAAACAAGACATAAGCTGGATATATAAAAGGTGAGGACAATTCGTCAAGAGTTTCATATCAGGCAGAAATAAAGAGCCCTGGATTTTTCTGCAAAAGAAACCAATGTTTACAAGGAAGCTTTACCTGACACCTCCTCTCCAAATTCTGCCCCCTGCAGAATTAATTACACCTTCTGCTCTTAGATTACACTGGGGATAAATGTCTGTTACTGGGCTCATTTGTTAGTATTATCATCAGCTGTTTATGTTAAGGCCTCCCTTTTGGAGCAGGAAAGAACAATACAGATAGTTACTGAAGGAATGCACTGCATGTTGTAAACACTGAAAAACATCTTAAGGATGGATGACTAGCATTTGCCTACTGTGTCTTTGGAGTCTCTTAGGTACTCCAACTCTTGTGAAGCTCCTACTATCTCTCGCTATATGTAGTTTGTGAGTGCCCAAAAAAGTAATTGTTTCACGTGGCGAGTGGTAAGATGTGGATGTAAAATGCTTCCAAAATTGCTCACAAATTTTCTTCTATTTTTGATGGAGAGGTGCTCCAGACACTCCTTTTCAAATACTCATATTTCATAAGTGTTAGTAGATTAATGCCTAAAAACTCATTTTATAATAATTCTTGGTGAAATCTTTTCTCTGTGGAAAAGCTTTGTCCACAGCTGATTTCCAAGTTTCTTCTTCCTCCTCTTGGCTCTCTGAAGTTCTGCCTTCTCTGGTCAGACATTTCCCTGGAAGGGAGGCAGATTTGCTGGCATTCCTCTGAGGACAGAGATGGATGAAGTGTGTGGGTTTGTTGATGTTCATTTGGTATTTTTAGCCCATGGTTAACAAAAGTAGAAACAGCCACGGGGTTTGCTTTTATTGCTCATGAAGTTCCCATCTCTCCCGTGAAAGTTCTTTTCTTCAGGAGAATCCATTTTAATTGGCTGCTACAGCAGCTGCTCCTGGCCCCACGACCGGGTTTGCTGCCTGAATCCTGGCATCTGGTGCAGTGGGCCTCACTGTTGCCAGGAGCCTTCCTAGTCCTTAAAAGGTTTGGTGTGTAGTCTATTGTAAGACTCAGCCTTAAAGACTACAATTATAAGTAATTTAGTTAAATGTGTTTCTAAAGGATGTGGATTTTTGTCCATCTTGGGAAGTCCCTGCCACAGGACTTTTTAGGATCAGAGTGTAGTATAGAAAGAACATTAGCTTCCAGCTGCCAGGTCCATCCCTACCCTCATCCAAATAATAAATGGCTGCAATATTGTTTTAAAGTTTCCTTGCTTAAAATAAAGAAAAAAATGAATATGCAGTCATCCCTTCATATCTGTGGGTTCTGCATGGATTCAACCAACCATGGATGGAAAATATTGACCATAAAATAGATGGTTGAGTCTGTACTAAACATGTACAGAATTTTTCTTGCCATTATTCCCTAAATAATATGCTGTAACAACTCTTTATGTAGCATTTACATTGTAGTAGGTATTATAGGTAATCTAGAGATGCTTTAAAGTGTGTGAGAGGATGTGTGTAGGTTATACACAAATACTACACTACTTTACATAAAGGACTTGAACATCTGTAGATTTTGGTATCCTTGGGGAGTCCTGCAGCAAATCCTTAGTGAATACCAATGAACAAATGGTATGTATCTCTACTCTATGTCTAAATAAAGAAGGTGTATGTGTTCATGAGAGTGTGCTTGTGTATGTATGCATGCACATGTAACATATATGTAGCATATATATGTATATGTCCAGTTCCACTTGGGTACTTATGCTGGGCTTTCATTCTTACACTCCTACAATTTATTTAGGTATCGAGGGCCCCAACCTTTGTTTTGCTTCATGTTTCATGTGCTGTTGAAAACAGGATGATGGTATCCATATAGGGTAGTTTGAATAAACTTCAACAAAGTCTTGGGTTCTGCTGGATAATGCACAGGCATCATGTAGGCAACTGACCAGGGCAGGCTCATACCACAAGGCAAGGAGAAAACAGGTTTCGTTCTTTCCTGAGGAACCAGAAGTCTGCAGGTGCTTGGTCTCCACAGATCTCATGTCCTGAGCTGCCAGCAGGGGGGCTTCCTGGTGCTGCCTCTGCTCCTCTCCAAATGATTCCCTTACATCTCCCCTACCACCCAGGCATCTCTCCTGTCCTCACTAAGGCAACAGGGCTTCAGGGTTAAGAGGACAGAGAGGGCAAGGTGGATTGGTCCTTTCCCTTGTCATAGCATAATCTCTGAGTTTCCTAAAGACCTTCCCTTTTGATTACCAAAAGAGTCTTAGCATAAACCTACACATTCCTCCCTTCTTCCATACACAGACTCTTTCTTCTTATTTTTGCTCCAACGTGCAATTTTAGGCACTGTGAATGCCTTCAACAGGGAAGTGGAAAGGTCACACACATAGAAGTGAGAAAAGAAAAAGCACAAGAGTTCATAAATCAGGCTAGGTGGTAAATACATTTAAATATGTGTGCAGTGTTGATATGAAAACCCAGGAATTATTTCATAAAATGAGCTTGGAAAGGAATTCACTTTTTAACAATTTGCTGAGTTCCATTTGTGGCCATACAGAAGATCGGAGACTCTGAACAACTCTCTTGCTGGAAACTATAGTGGAATCATATAAAAAGTAATCTTTTAAAATATATCATGGAGCTAAAAAGTAAGTAAGAGATACAGAATATGAGGCCTGGTCTGAAGATGTTTCTGTTGAGAGGATTTGCATTTACTTGAATTGACTAATAGAACATAAACTCCACAAGGGCATAAATTTTGTCTGTTTTTTTACTTCTCTATCCATTTTACCTAGAGCAGATAGTAGGCAATAGTAGGCACGTAAGTAGGCAATCAAAATTATTACTAAATCTATTAGAAAAAAATTCCCAGAAGGTGCAAATTTTCAGTGTTGCAATAAAAGATTATAGACATGCCAGGAAGAAGGCTGGAATGATCCATATAGTGATGGATTAGAGTTGGAGGGGTTGATATGAACTTTTGTTTAGATTAATATTGATCCAGGTGGATACATATAGAAATATTTGTAGATATGTGAATATACATGGGTTAGTATACATGCATATATTACCTTGATGTCTGAACTGAGAGGGTCTTGAAGCAACAACAACACAGTAACAATGAGCATACTCAGTATCCAGATTTTGGTTTCTTCATTCTTCAGTAAAATAAACCAGGGATCCTTGGAGAAATGGCTGATACTAGGACTGGGGCAGAAAATACAAATATACAAGATGAGTCTGGAGCATCTTGTAATGCCAGAAACTAAAAAAGTGCTAAAAAAAAACTCACAAAGATAAGGATATGTCAAAAGGACATAGAAGGCAACTGAAAGAGTTCCCCATGATCAAATCTGGATACTTTGAGCAACAAAATAAAGTAGTATTGGCTTATAACTCAGAGTACAAAATACATATCCGTGAGTCCATACAGATAGAAATAAACAATTGAATAAAAAAAATGAGAGAAATGAGATAAAAATCCCATGGAGATGAGTTCCAAATAAATTATGTAGATAATTTACCCTCAAGCAGGTGGAGCATGACTCCCCATCCATTAAGAAGGAGCTGCATAAAGTGACTTCCTTTCAAAGAGCACAGCACGGCAAGCAGAGTGAGAAGTGACTTTGCAGTGGAGAAACCTGCAAAACATTGCCTCAGTCAGGTAACCAAGGTGAATATCAACCTTCCTAAGTAATGATGATAGTATATACTCTAGATGTGATGTCATTACAGTGGCATTTTACCTTTGTTGTGCTTCCTCCCTAAAACCCGCAACTCTAGTCTAATAGTGAAAAAACATCAGACAAGACTCAATTGAGGGATGTTCTATAGAATACCTGACCAGTACTCCTCAAAACTGTCAAAGTTACAAAAAGGAAAAGACTGACAAACTGTCACAGTCAAGAGAAGCCTAATGATACAAACTGACAAAATGTAATGTATCCTGTCTGCGACCTTAGAACAGAAAAGGACATTATATTCAAACTAAGGAAATATGCCAGCCTAGTCAACATAGCAAGACCTCATCTCTACAGCCAAAATAAATTAGCTGGGCTTGGTGGCATGTGCCTGCAGTCCCAGCCACTAGGGAGGCCAAGGCAGGAGGATCACTTAAGGACAGGAGGTCGAGGCTGCAGTGAGCTGTGATTGTGCCACTGCACTCAAAGCTGGGCAACAGAGGGGAGACTCCATCTCTAAAACAAACAAGCAGACAAAACAAAAAAAAAATCTGAATAAACTGCCGATTCCAGTTAAGTGTAAGGCACGAATATTGGCTGCTTAGTTGCAACAAATGTATAATAATAATGTATGATGTTAGCAATAGGGGAAAGTGAGTGTGAGATATATGGGAACTCTATTATCTTTGCAACTTTTCTGTAAATCTAAAACTATTTCAAAATAAAACATTTATTCAAAAAAGAAAGTTAAGTGGTTATATTTAAATTATAGTGCCTATGTATACACATTTGGTGATATCAGTCTTTTAAAGAATAAAGAAGGGATTACTATAAAATTCAGAATAGTGGTAGTTTTGAAGGGAGAGAAATGTCTGTGATTGGGATGTGGCACTTAATTCTCCCAATAGCTTTAAGATGTGGGAACTAATATTTTCTCCATTTTAAAAAGGAAGAAATGGAGGTTGGAGAGGTTATGTTATTTTCCTAAGACCACACAAGTAGTATGTGGTGAAGTTAGGTTTAGCTGCAGATAGCTTCACTTTGAATCCTAGTCGTTTAACTACTGGCCTGACCAGTTTAAAGCTGTCTACATAGGCTGTAAAAATTTAAACATAAAACTAAGATATACTTCCTTCTCTATTTTTCCTTAACTAAAAATAAATTTCAGGAAATTATTTGCTAATTGGTTACAGAAGCTTTTATTGCTTTTGATTTTAAAGCAGTGATATGAACTGAATTTGCCTTAGAAGGCTAGAAACAAAAGCTAATAACAAATGGAAATACAAACAACCGGGAGGAAAGATGTTGGTGAAAACCCTCAACAATTTAAAATGGGCTCACTTTCTTTAGGGTCTCTGTTCAGATACGGAATCAAAGGTATGGCATTTGGAAATTTTGTTCCAGAAAGAAGAAGTTGGCATACTTTTTCCTATTTCTCCTGATAAATACATCTAAAAATCTTGGACGTTAGAGATAAAACAAACACAAGAAGATGAATGACGGAGAAAAGGCAACACACTGGCTATAGATTTTGGGACCTAAGGAATTACATGGTGGTGAATTGCCTGGCTTCTATTTTTGCTTCATGTATACCAGACTCAGAGCTGAAGAAGCTGGCAACTGAGAAGAACCAATGGGTGCAGGCAGAACACAGAAACAAACAAAAAACCGTCAAACACCTGCTCTCCCTAACCAAAGGAGCAGAAAAGGGGCAGCCTAGCAAGAAGACATGATACTTTTAGGTAGTAGCCACTGTACTTCAGCCCAACCCTGCCGATGCCAGCAAGAGAGCCTGGACTTATAACCTCGCCAGTTTTCAAGGTGGTTTCAGAGAAGGCTAAGTGGGAAATCAGGACTTTTTTCCCTGCCAAGTGGTGATGAGGTCCCACCCCTGCAGTATCAGTGGAAACCATGTATTTTGTGGTTGTACATGGATCTTGTACAGTTATGTCTGGATATCCACAGAGAATTGGTTCTAGGACCCTATGGGAATACCAAAATTCACAGCTTCTAAAAACCTTTATATAAAATGACAGGGTATATGCATATAACCTATGCACATCCTCCCATATGTTTTAAATCATCTCTACATTGCTTTCTTTCTTTTCTTTTTTTTTTTTTTTATTTTTTGAGACCAAGGCTTGCTCTATTGCCCAGGCTGGAGTGCTGTGGCACGATCTCAGCTCACTGCAACCTCTGCCTCCTGGGTCCAAGTGATTCTCCTGCCTCAGCCTCCTGAGTAGCTGGACCATGCCTGGTTAATTTTGTATTTTTAGTAGAGACAGGGTTTTACCCTGTTGACCAGGCTGGTCTCAAACTCTTGACCTCAGGTTATCTGTCTACCTTGGCCTCCCAAAAATGTTGGGATTACAGGTGTGAGGCACTGCGCCCAGCCCTCTACATTACTTATAATGCCAAATACAATGTAGATGTTATATAAATAGTTGTTATACTGTATTGTTTTTACTTGCATTATTTTTACTGTTTTTTTTTTAATTTTGTTCTTTTTTTTTGAGTATTTTTGATCTGGGTTGGTTGAATCTGTGAATTCACAGTCTGTCTGAATTCATAGAGGCCCTACCACACTTCCACACCTACTTGGCAGGAATGAGGTACTCTCTGTGTTGAGGCACTGCCAGAGAAGACCTAGTGAGAGTGATGATTTTCACAATTGCCCAGTAGTAATGGGGCCACCATCCCACTATGGTATTAATGGGGACCATGTGAGGCAAAAGCAATAAGGAATTCCTACTTCTCCCAGCCATGGAGACATTGCTGTAGTAAGGGGCCTAGAATTCCCACCCCCACTCAGTAGTAATGAAGACCCTTGGCTGCCAATAGAGGCCAAGTGGGGAACCTGAACATCTGTCTCCTCCCCTGACAGGTACAAAGCTCTGTTCCTCTTACTCTGCTGGATAGTATCAAAGAAATCCAGATAAAACAAAAGGTTTAAATAACATCCAGATTCTTAAAATATAATACCCCAAATGGCCAAGTATTAAGCATTCATAATGGCAAGAACCAGGAAGATCTCAAACAGAGTAAAAAAAAATACAATCAATACTGAAATGACAGGCTTGTTAGAATTATCTGACAAGTACTGTAAAGCAGCAGTCATGAACATTCTCCAAGAAACAGTAAGAACATGTATGAAGTAAGCAAAAACTAGATAGTAAAGAAATAAAAACCATCAGCAAAGAAACAGAAGATATAAAGAAAAACCAACTAGAAATTTTAGAACTACAAGATACATAACTAAAATAAATAAAATAAAATGAAATAAAATAAAATAAAAAAACCTCAATGCATAAGCTCAGTACTAGAATGGGTGGGGCAGAAGGAAGAATTAGTGAACCAGAAGATAGAATGATAGAATTACCCAATCTGAACAGAGAGAAAATAGATGAAAACAAAAAAACCCAAAAGAAAACAACAACAAAAATATCCTAGCTGGCCAGGTGCGGTGGCTCACGCCTGTAATCCCAACACTTTGGGAGGTAGAGGCAGGCAGATCACCTGAGATCAGTTCAAGACCAGCCTGGCCAACATAGCAAAACCTCCTCTCTGCTAAAAAATACAAAAATTACCCGGGCGTGGTGGCATTTGCCTATGATCCCAGCTACTTGGGAGGCTGAGGCAGGGAGAATTACTTGAACCCTGGAGGAGGAGATTGCAGTGAGCCGAGATTGCGCCACTGCACTCCAGCCTGGGAGACAGAGCGAGACTGCATCTCAAAAAAAAAAAAAGAAAAGAAAAATCAGAGCCAAAGCCTCTTGGACCTGGAACCTGGGAGATGGGAACTGGGAGAGTATGAAACAAGATCTAACATTTGAGAATTCAGATTCCTGGGAGGAGAGGAGAAAAGAGATAAGCCTGAAAAAGTACTTGAAGAAATAATGCTAAAAATTACCCAAGCTGGAAAAAGACACAAGTCTACAGATTTAAGAAGCTGAGTAAATCCCAAACTGGATAAACCCAAAGAAGTCCATGTTAAGAAACATCATAGTCAGATTTCTGAAAACTAAAGACAAAGAAGTTTTTGTCTTGAAAGCAGTGAGAGAAATGGCACCATACCCATAGGAGAGAAACAATTTGAACAACAAGCAGTTTGCTCATCAGAAATCCTGGAGACCAAAAAGAAGTGTCACAAAAATGTTCAAATACTGAAAATCAACCCAGAATTCCATATCTATTGAAAATATCTTTCACAGGAATGAAGAAGAGATCAAAACACTCCTAAGTAATGGAAAACTAAGGATGTTTTGCCAGTAAATCTACCTGAAAAGGGTGGCTAAAGAAGGGTTTCTAAACAGAAAGTAAACTATAAAAGAAGAGTCTATTTTGGCATATGTTACATGGGAATTGAAAAAAAATATGTATTCTGCTGTTGTTGGGTGAATGTTCTACACATGTCTATTAGATCCTGTTGTTTGATGGCATTGTTGAATTTTTATATTCTTAATGATTTTCTGGCTAGTTGTTCTATTAATATGGACAAAAAATTAAAAATGCACTACCATTTAATAATCACTCAGAAGGATGCAATAGTTCTGTGTAAATCTAATAAAGATGTTCACAGAACTTGTATACTGGAAATTACAAAATGCTGATAAAATAAGTCAGAGAAGATGTAAATCAACGGAGAAACAACAGATTCATGGATTGGAAGACTCAGTTAGTAAAGATGTCAGTTCTCCCAAAATTGATGTACAGGTTTAGTGCAACTTCCATCAAAATTTCAGCAAGATTTAGATTTACATATATGTGTGTGTGTGTGTGTGTAGACAATTACCCTAAAATTTATGTAGAAGAGGAGGAATAAAATAAGTCATTCTACTTTATTTAAATATGTATTACAGAGCTGCAATATCAAAACTGTGGAGTATTGGCAAGGAATACACAAAAAGATCAACAGAGCAAAATAGAAAACAGAAAAATCCCACGCAATATGCCCAACTGATTTTCCTTCTTTTTATTATTGTAAAATATACAAAACATAAAATTTACCTCTTAGTCATTTTTAAGTGCACATTTCAGTGGCGTAATGTGTAACCATTGCCACCATGCAGCCACAGACCTCTTATTCTGCAAAACTGAAATTCTGTACCCATTTAACAATAACGCCAAGCTTTACCCAACCCCCAGCCTCTGGCAACCAAAATTCTATTTTATGTCTCTATAAATTTGACTACTCTGGGTACCTCATATAAGTAGAATCATATAGTATTTGTCCTTTTGTGACTGGCATATTTTACTTAGCATAATGTTCTCAAGGTTCATCCATGTTATAGCATGTATCAGAATTTTATTCATTTTTAAGGCTGAATAATATTCTATTGTAAATACCATGTTAAGTTTATTCATTTATCTATTAATAGATTTTTTTCCCACCTTTTGACTATTGCAAATAATGCTGCTTTGAATATGCATTATTAACTGAGTTCTTGCTTTAAGGTCGTTCAGATATATGCCCATAAGTGGAATTGATAAATCATACGACAATTCTATTTTTAATTTTTTGAGGAGCTGCCATACTGCTTTCCAAAGCAGCTGACTATTTTACTTTATCACCAACAGTATACAAGGGTTCCAATTCCGCCACATCCTCTCCAACACTCATTTTTGTTTTCTTTTCTTTTAAAAAAATCTAGCCATTCTAATAGGTGTGAAGTAGTATATCATTGTAGCATTGCTTTGCATTTTCCTAATGATTATTGATGCTGAGCTTTTTATGTATTCGCTGGCCATTTTTATATCTTCTTTGGAGAAATATCTTACAAATCCTTGCCCATTTTTAAAATTTGAGTTGTTTGCTTTTTGTTGCTGACTTTTAGGAGTCATTTATATATTCTGCATATTAACCCCTTATCAGATATGTGATTTGCAAATGTTTTTGACTATTTCATGGGTTTCCTTTTTATTCTGTTGGTGTGTCCTTGTCCAACATATTTTTGACAAAGATGCAAAAGCAATTCAATGGAGAAAGAAGAAAGAATAGCCTTTTCAACAAAAAAGTGAATCTCAACCTGTCTCACACTTTATACAAAAAATAACTAAAAATGTATCACAGGCATAAATGTAACACCTAAAAATAAAAGTTTTAGAAAAAAACAAGAGAAAATTTTTTAGATCTAGGCCCAGGCAAAGAGTTGTTAGACTTGATACCAAAAGCATAATCTGTCAAAGGAAAAAGTGACATAGTGGATTTCATCAAATTGTAAAACTTTTGTTTTGTTAAAGATCCCATTAAGAGGATGAAAGACAAACTACAGAGTAGGAGAAAATATTTGCAAACCATATATCTGACAAAGGATTAGTAGCCAAGCAACTTTCAAAACTCAACAGTTAAAGAAAAACAACAAACAATCGAATTTGAAAATTAGCCAAAGACATAAAGAGACATTTTACTGAAGGATATATATATAGATGACAAATAATCACATGTTCAAGTGAGGCAGAGCTAGAGGGCCAAATAAAACACTCCAGTTTTTTGAGAAATTCTTTTTTGACAGCAGTGAGAGAAATGGCACCATACCCATTCACAGGAACACCAAACTGAACAACTATCCACACAAAAAACCACCTTCATAAGAACCAGAAATCAGGTAAGGCATCACAGTACCTGGTTTTAACATCATATTAAAGAGAGAGGCACTGAATAGGGCAAGAAAGACAGTCTTGAATCACCTACAGCACCTCTCCCGCACCTCCTGGCAGCAGTTGCATGACACAGAGAGAGAATATGGTGCTTGCTGGAGGGAAGGCGCAGTGATATTGGGACTTTGCATTGGAACTCAGTGTTGCCTTGTCATAGTAGAAAACAGCACATGTCAGAATTCAGTTGGTAACCACAGGGGCACATTTAGACCAGCCCTAGCCAGAGGCAAATTGTCCATCCCAGTTGTCAGAACCTGAGTTATGGCAAGTCCCACCATCATGGGCTAAAGTGCTCTGGAGTTCTTAATAAACTAGAAAGTCAGTCTAGGTCACAAAGACTGCAATTCCTGGCAAGTTCTGGTGCTGTGCTAGGCTCAGAACCAGTGAACTTGGAGTGCACATGAGATACAAGCCTGGGTGGCCAAGTAGTCCTTGTGTCACCCCTCCCTCAACCCCAGGCAATATAGCTTGCAGCTCCAGAAGAGACTTCCTCCTTCTGCTTGAGGAGAGGAGAGGTGAGAATAGAAGGACTCTGTTTTGCAACTTGGATGCCAGCTCAGCTACAGTGTAATAGGGCACCAGGAAGAGTCCTGAGGCTCCACTTCCAGGACCCACCTCCCAGAAAACATTTCTGGGCACACTCTGGGCCAGAAGAGAACCTGCTGCCTTGACAGAAAGGACCCAGTCCTGGTAGGATTCATGGTCTGCTGACTCACGAGCCCTTCAGCCCTGAATAATCAGCAGTGGTAGTCAGGCAGTACTTGCCAGGGGCCTTCGATAAGACTCAGAACTGTGCTGGCTTCAGGTATGACTCAGCACATTCCCAGTTGTGGTGGCTACAGTGAGAGAGTCCTGCTTGAGGAAAGGGGAGGGAAGAGTGGAAAGGGCTTGGCCTTGTGGCTTGGTTGCCAGGTCAGCCACAGTAAAATAGTGCACCAAGGAGATTCCTGACTCTAGGCCTTGGCTCCCAGAAGACATCTCTAGACCTCACCTGGAGCCACAGGCAACTCACTGCTCTGAAGAGAAGGGCACCAACCTGGTTGGATTCACTACCTGCTGATTGTAGAACCCTTGGGGTTTGAGTGAACATAGGCAGTAGCTAGGCAGTTGTCACTGCAGGCCTTGCACATCACTGCAGAGCCACTGCATTATTGGGTTTGGGGTGCACCCTAATGCATATAAATCTGCAGTGACCAAAGACTTAAGTCATAACACCTAAGTCCCTTCAAATACTTGGAAAACCTTCCTAGGATAAATTGGTACAAACAAGCTCAGACTGTGAAGACTACAATAAATACTTGACTCTATGAACATCCAGACACTAATGAACATCCACAGGCATCAAGACCATCCAGGAAAACACGACCTCACCAAATGAATTAAGGTACTCACCAGATACTAATCCTGGAGAGGCAGAGATATGTGACCTTTCAGAAAGAGAATTCAAAATAGTTATTTGAGGAAGCTCAATGAAATTAAATATAACACAGAGAAGGAACTCAGCATTCTATCATATAAATTTAACAAAGAGATAGAAATAACTTAAAAGAATCAAGCAGAAATACTGGAGCTGAAAAATGCAATTGACATAGTAAATAATGGATCAGAATCTTTTAATAGCAGAATCGATCAAGCAGAAGACAGAATTGGTCAGTTTGAAGACAGGCTACTTGAAAATTCAGACTCAGAAGAGACAAAAGAAAAAAGAAGAGAAAATAATGAAGGATGCCTATATGATCTAGAAAATAGCCTTAAAAGGGCAAATTGTAGTGTATTGGCCTTAAAAGAGGATCTTAAACAAGAGATCAGAGTAGAAAGTTTATTCAAAGAGATAATAACAAAGAACTTCTCAAACCTAGAGAAAGATACCAATATTCAAGTACAAGAGGATTATAGAACACCAAGCAGATTTAATCCAAATAAGACTACTTCAAGACATTTAATAATAAAACTCACAAAGGTCAATGATAAAGAAATGATTCTAAAAGCATCAAGAGAAAATTAAAAAAATTAACACACAAGGGAGCTCTAATATGTCTGGCAGTAGACTTCTCCATTGAAATCTTACAGGCCTGGAGAGACTGGCATGCCATATTTAAAGTGTTGAGGCAAAAACGTTTGCCCTAGAATAGTGTATCCAATGAAAATATCCTTCAAATCTGAAGGAAAAATAAAGACTCTCCCAGACAAATAAAAGCTGAGGGATTTTATTAACACCAGACCTGTCCTATGAGAAATGCTAACGAGTGTTCTTTAATCTGAAAGAAAGGGCATTAATGAGCAATAAGAACTCATCTGAAAGTACAGAACTCACTGGTAATATTAAACACACAGTAAAACACTAAGTAATATTACTAATTACTAAACATTACTAATATTAAAACATTATGATTGTGAAGTACAAACAATTCATATCTTTAGTAGAAACACTAAATTGAACTGATCGGAAATAATAACTACAACTTTTCAAGACATAGACAGACATAATATAACAAAACATAAGTAGAAACAACAAAAAGTTAAAAAGCTGGGTGATGAAGCTAAATTTTAGAGCTTTTTTACTTGTCTCTTTGCTTATTAGTTTGTTTACACAATCAATGTTGCCATTAGTTTAAAATACCAAGATATAAAATATTATTTGCAAGCCTAATGGTAACCACAAATCAAAAAGCATGCAACAGATACACAAAATGTAAAAAGCAAGAAATTGGAACATACCACCAGAGAAAATCACCTTCACTGAAAGAAATTCAGGAAGAAAGAAAAGAAACAAAACAGACAGAAAACAAATAACAAGATGGCAGGAGTAAGTCTTTACTTATTAATAATAACACGGAATATAAATTGACTAAACTTTCCAAAGAAAGACATAGAGTAGCTGAATAGATTTAAAAAAGGAAGACCCAACTATTGGTTGCTTACAAGAAAGACATTTCAACTATAAAGACAGACACAGATTAAAAAGAAAGGGAAGGAAAAAGATATTCCATGCAAATGGAAACCAAAAAGAGCAAAAGTAGCTATACTTATATTGGACAAAATGATTTCAAAACAAAAAATAAAAACTATATAGAGACAAAGAAGGTCATTATATAATGATAAAGGAATCAATTCAGAAAGAGAATATAACAATTGTAAATGTATGTGCACCAAACACTGGAGCACCCAGATATATAAAGCAAATATTATTAGAGCTAAAGAGAGAGATAAACCCCAATACAGTAATAGCTGGAGACTCCAAAACCTCACTTTCAGCATTGGACAGATCATCCAGACTGAAAACCAACAAAGAAATATCAGGCTTACTCTGCACTCTAGACAAATGGACCTAATAGATATTTACAGAACATTTCATTCACAAGCTGCAGAATACACTTTCTTTTCCCCAACACATGGGGAAACAAGTCTTAAAACATTCAAAAAATTAAAATCATATTAAGTATCTTCTCTGACAAGAATAAAATAAATGTAGAAATTAATAACAACAGAAACTTTGGAAACTATAAAAACTTATGGAAATTAAACAATAGGCTCTTGAATGACCAGTGGATCAACGAAGGAATTAAGAAGGAGATTGAAAAATTTATTGAAACAAACATTAATGGAAACAAAGCATTACAAAATCTGTGGGATACAGTGAAAGCAGTACTAACAGGAAAGTCTATAGCAATAACTGCCTACTTTAAAAAAGTAGAAAAACTTCAAATAAACAACATAACAATGCATCTTAAAGAACTAGAAAAGCAAGAGCAAAATAAGCCCAAACTTAGTAGAATAAAATAAATAATAATGATCAGAGCAGAAATACATGAAATAAAAATGAAGAAAAATACCAAATCTTACCAAAAGGTTGTTTTTTGAAAAGATAAACAAAATTGACAAACCTTTAGCCAAACTAACTAAGAAAAAAAGACAGAAGACCCAAATACATAAAATCAGAGATGAAAAAGGAGATATTACAACCAATACCACAGAAATTCAAACGATCATTAGTGGCTACTATGAGAAACTATATGCTAATAAGTTGGAAAACCTAGAGGAAATTAATAAATTCTCAGACACATATTACCTTCCAAGACTGAACCATGAAGAAATCCAAAACCTAAACAGACCAATAACAAGTAATGAGATTGAAGCTATAATAAAACGTCTCCCAGCAAAGAAAAACCCAAGACCTGATGCCTTCACTGCTGAATTTTTCCCAACATTTAAAGAAGAATTAATACCAATCCTGCCAAAACTGTTCTGGAAAATAGAGGAGGAGGGAATTCTTCCAAACTCATTCTATGGAGCCAATATTACCCTGTTACCAAAACTCGGCAAAGAAACATCAAAGAAAGAAAACTCCATTCCAATATCCCTGATGAACATTGATGTAAAAATCCTCAACATAATATTGGCAAGCTGAATCCAACAACACATTAAAAAGATAATTCATCAGGACCAACTGGGATTTATCCCTGGGATGCAAGGATGGTTCAACATATTATCAATGCAAATCACTTGCAAATCAATCAATGTGATACATCATATCAACAGTAAATTACAAAAACCATCTGACCATTTCCATGGAAATCTATTAGAACTGAAAAAGAAATGAAGAAAGCAATCCCATTTACCATAGCTACAGATAAAACAAAGTACCTAGGAATTAACCAAAGAAATGATAGACCTCTACAGTGAAAGCTATAAAACGCTGATGCACCAAATTGAAGGGGACACAGAAAAAAAAAAAGAATATATATTCAATGTTAGTGGATTAGAGGAATCAATAGCATTAAAATGTCCTATTATCCAAAGCAATATACAGATTTAATGCAATCCCTAACAAAATACCAATGACATTCTTCACAGAAATAGAAAAAACTATTCTAAAATTTATATGGAACCACAGAAGACCCAAAATAGCCAAAACAATTCTAAGCAAAAACGATAAAACTGGAGAAATCTCATTACTTGACTTTAAATGTACTACAAAGCTATAGTATCCAAAACCATATGGTACTGGCATAAAAACAGAAACATAGACTGATGGAACAGAATAGAGAACCTAGAAACAATCCACATCTATAGTGAACTCATTTTTTACAAAGATTCCAGGAACATATATGGGGGAAAAGACAGTTTCTTCAATAAATGGTACTGGGAAAACTGAATATCCATATGCAGAAGAGTGAAACTAGACCCTTATCTTTTGCCATATACAAAAATCAAATCAAAATGGATCAAAGGCTAAATATAGGATCTCAAACTATGAAACCACTATAAGAAAACACTGGAGAAACTCCCCAGGACATTGTATTTGTCAAAGATTTTTTGAGTAATGCCCCACTGGCACAGGTATCCAAAACAAAAATGGACAAATGGAATCACATCAAGTTAAAAAGTTCTGCACAGCAAAGAAAAAAATCAACAAAGTGAAGAGACAACCCACAGAATGAAATAAAATATTTGCAAACTATCCATCTGACAAGGGATTAATAACCAGAATATGTAAGGAGCTCAAACAATTCTATAGAAAAGAATCTAATAATGCAATTAAAAAATGGCCAAATGATCTGAATAGACATTTCTCTAAAGAAGATATAATAATGGCAAACTTGTATATAAAAGAGTGCTTAACATAATTGATCATCAGAGAAATGCAAATCAAAACTACAATGAGATATCATCTCACCCAAGTTAAAATGGCTTTTATCCAAATGCCAGGCAATAACAAGTGCTGGCGAGGATGTGGAGAAAAGGGAGCCCTTGAGCACTATGGGTGGGAATGTAAATTAGTACAACCACTATGGAGAACAGTTTGGATATTTCTCAAAAAATTAAAAATAGAGCTACCACATGAACCAGAAATCTCATTCCTTGGTTTATACCCAAAAGAAAGGAAATCAGTATATCAGTATATTGAAGAAATATTTGCACTCCCATGTTTGTTGCAGCTTTGTTCACAATAGCCAAGATTTGGCCACAACCTAGGTGTCCAGCAACACATGAGTGGATAAAGAAAATGTAATACTATTCAGCTGTAAAAAAGAATGAGATCCTGTCATTTGCAACAACACGATGGAAATGGAGGCCATTATGTTAAGTGAAATAAGCGAGGCACAGAAAAATAAACATTGCATGTTCTCACTTCTCTGTGGGTGCTAAAATTTATGACAATTGAACTCATAGAGATAGAAAGTAGAAGGATGATTACCCGAGGTTGGAAAGGGTAGACATTGGTTGGAGGGCAGGGGGAAGCATAGGGGAGAAATGGGGATGGTTAATGGGTACAAAACAATAGTGAGAAAGAATACCTAAGGCCTATTATTTGCTAGCACAACAGGGTGATTATAGTAAGACATAATTTAATAGTACATTTTAAAATAGCTAAAAGAGTATAATTGGATTTTTGATAACACAAAGAATAAACTTTTGACATGGTATACACCTTATACGTCTATTAACACACTGTATGCCTGTATCAAAAGATTTCATGTACCTCATAAATATACTTGCTTACTATGTACCCACAAAAATTTTAAAATAGAATCAAATACTTTTTAAAAGATGTTCCACACCATTACCCATCAACAAATTGTAAATTTAGCCCACAATGAAATATTTCTAGCCACCATCAGAACGCCTAAAATAAAATATAGTGACAGCACCAAATGATGGCATGGATATGTAGGAATTTGCTCACTCACACATTGCTGGTGGGAATGTAAAACGGTATAACCACCCTGGAAAACAGTTCTCAAAAAGGTAAACATGTACCATATAACCCAGCAATTGTGCTCCTGAGCATTTATCCTAGAAAAACAAAAACTTATATTCACAAAAAAACCTGCATAGAGATGCTTTTAGCAGCTTTATTTTTAATAGGTCAAAACTGGAAACAAACCAGATGTTCTTTATTGGGCAAATGGTTAAATAAACAATGGTACATTCATACCATGGAATACTACACAGCAATAAAAAGGAACAAACTGATGTGCACAACAACCTGGATGATTTTCCAGAGAATCGTGCTAAGTGAAAAAAAGGTAATCCCCAAGGGTTACACACTGTATGGTTTCAGTTATATAATAACATTCTTGAAATGACAAAGTTATAGAAATGTAGAAAAGGCTAGTTACTGCCCAAGATTAAACAATGGGTGAGGATAGGAGAGTGATGGAGGTGAAAAAGATAAAAGGGAAAAAATGAGGGGCCCTTGTGGGGATGAAAAATTTATGTTTATTTACCGCACCAATCTCAATAACTTGGTTTTGATATTATACTATAGTTTTTCAAGATATTACAGTTAGTAACAACTGGGTAAAGGGTACACAGGATCTCTGTATTATTTCTTAGAACTACATGTTAATTTATAATTATGTCAAAATAAAAAGCTTAATTAAAAAGACAAATCCCTTAATGAAAATGGAGGATAACTTACTTTTTAATGTCTTATAGTGTCATCATCATTATTTCTTATGGATTTGCCCTAATCTTCATCTAGGGGTGGGGAAGACTATCCCCATGAAGAAAGCTTAAGGGACAGTAGAGGCAAGAGATAGGGACAGTGTCATCAGCAAGAGATAAATTGCAAATGTGTGTAATGGCTTTGGAATTGAAATGTTACATTCATATTAATTTCAGACAAAATATCTTTTGGTAAAAGTTACTTGAAGTATAGAGATTTAAAAAAAGTCATTTAGAATACTCATATCACTCACGTTTAAGCCCATGATGAATAAGTGAGACCCGTACAGCCTCTAGGAAGTAAAATGTGGATGGGAAATGGTCCAAAGCTGGACAGTCAAGGTCTACAATTCTGCAGGACTTAGACGTTACCACAAGAGGGTGCAATGATTTCAGCTATTGCATGAGCAGAAGAGACCAGGTACAGAGAAACTTGAGACAAGAATATGGAGATACGTGGAAATGATACTGTTTTATAAACAACCTTTTTAAACTGTATGCTTTGTCTGGCGGATATATTTATGGTTAGTTTTTTTAATGACTGTAAATCAGTTTTTGAAAATTGTTAATTACTGAGCAAATCAAGGAAGGTGAAGCAAGATGGAAGGTATGCAAGAAGAAAATGGTTCTGATTGGGACTCAGTCCCTGAAGAGTCAGACAGGAGATCTCTCTCTTACTTCCTGTGGGGATGCTTCTCCTACAGCAGCTTACACATATGAAGGGACTTGAAAGCATCAATACAAATAGGTATCAAATATCCATTTGGATGTGAAATTGACTTCCTCTGCTTTATATATCGATTTACAAAGAAAATGGTCTCAAAGAGAACCTAGCCAAAAGTCTTTGGCCACTTTGGTTAGAACAGGGTTATAACAAAGAGTAAGAGATGAGAGGGGATGTTGGTGAGGGATGTAGCTAGGATATTGGCAAAGCGAATTCCTTCTAGAACATATGGACCAACTGTGAGTCCCCATCCTCTTTCTCTAGCCCCACTCATGTAAACCCTGGTCTAGTAATTGATTCCAGGAGGCTACTCAGAGAACTCTTTGGTGGGTTCCTCCATAGAGGACTGGTGCGTGCCCAACCGATACCTACAAAGCTAAGAGACTCTGGACAGAGTTTGACTCCCTCCCACCCACCAGGAAATTCAGAGGGAGAAAGAGATTAGCTGCTGGATACTCAAGAGCTGAAGAAGGAGTTGAGAGTGCCCAGCCCACCTAGAGAAGCATTTGCCTTGGTCAACGGAAGTGGAGGAAGTTTTCTGAAGAACACATGCAAACTCTCCTATGCAAGGGAGAGCTTAGCTTCCTGCCAGACCTAGAGAGTCTGTAGCCTCCAGTCATGTGAGGACCTCTACATTTCCTTACAGCTCCTCCTCTTTCCTCTGGTTGGTCCTTGGTGCTGAGCAAAAAAGTAACCACAGAAGATCTGAGCTAAGAAATTTCAAGCTAAGTTCAGAATTGTGATCATTGCATGCATCTGAACATTTTATTTTCTAAATAGAGATTGTTTGTATGACTAAAATTTGTCTGAAGTACTATCTAAGATTAACCAGAAAAGTTTTGAACTTGCCTGAATCTTCATTTAGGGGTAGGGAAATATCCTTATGAATACAGTTTAAGGGAAAGCAGAGGCAAATATTAAGATGTGTTTTTTATTGTGGCGTTACATTGACATTATCTGAGGTTTAGCTAATTCATAAACATTGATTTGGTACTTGGCTTTGAATGTGTATTGTTTACCTGGCTGGTTGAGAGTGTTTCTGGAAAATGAGCTTTGTCTCTTCTGAGTTTTTGATCTATCTGGTCAATTGGCCAATAACATGGAGTGAATTTTTAAAAACACCCGCAGAACTGAACTGCTCTCAGCAGCAATAGAAATAAGAGGCACGATGATCTATACATTAAAAGTCCAAAAAACATCTCAACCTGTACATGTCCCAGTGGAATTCCTGATTTCCTTCCATTCCTAACCTGTTATTCCTTTGGGCTTCCTCATCTCAGCATATGGCACCCACTTCATTTGGCTTCTCTGGTAAATCCCTAACAATTCTTCTTTATCCTCTCCTTTCCTACAGCCTCCATTCAAGTAGGCTAAGAAGAGTCACTCATCTCCACCTTCAAAATGCATCACACATCTGGCTGCTTTCCAGCACTCAGCTCTCCATCCTGACCCATTAATTGATCTCTAAGATGGACTCTTGCAATAGCCTCCTAGCAGGTCTCTGTACTCCTTCTCTTGCCCCCTTACAATCCAATCCGCTAACACCTAGGTTGATCTTAACAGAGTTAATTCCTACTCCAACACCTGTAATATTCGTGTAGTATCTAAATCTCTACAGTGGTCTCCAACACTTTCCATGATCTGACACGTTCCAGAATCACTTGCATTATGTTCTCATTTCTATTCTTCATGACTCTGTGATCACACCAAGATCATTCACATCTCAGGGCCTTCATTCTTACTTCCCCTTGTTACATCTTTCACGGTGTGCTCCTTAAATAACTCAAAACATAATTTAGTTTTCTATTCAAATCTCATCTCCTCAGATAAATCTTTTATTACTAGCACTTCTGAAAATTGCACTCCTTCTCAGTCATTAGCTATATTTTTATATTGCTTTATTTTTCTTCTTAGTAGTTACTTGACATTTTATTATTTATGTTGGTTTATTGTCTGTCTATACCATGCGAACAGGTACTACAATTGTTTTGTTCCTTGAACACCTGCAACAATCCTAACAAATAAGCATTCAACCTTTCTTTTTTGTAATTAAATAATTGAGAAATTAATTTTTGAGAAAGTAAATATATAGGATAATAGAAAGTGCATTGGATTTGGGGATGTACATTTTAGGCTTATTTTTTTCACCCTTTAATTGTGTAGATTCGAAAAGAATAACGTTAACTTTCTGTTCCTTTCTTTCTTCTCTTTAAGGAAGGATAATCTTTAAGGCAGCCTGAAATTCTATGAGGTCTAAAACAAAGAGCCATCTCTGATATAGGATATTACTTTTCTTTCTTTACATTTTATATGCAAATTTATAAATCAATGAATTTTCATGTCTTTCTTGGATATAGTTAGATATCTGTCAGACTTCTTTCCTTTCCCTCTTCTGTCATTGAAGTTTTGTGGGCCATCTTTATGTGACAAGCACTGTGCCAGACACTTGTGAGGCAGATGATTCTGATATTTTTTCTGCTTGCAAGAAGCTCAAAATCTGAAAAGGAAGACAGAAGTATAAGCATATTCATTAGAATATAATTTGAAAAATACAAAACCAGAAATGTGTTCAATATACAAGGTGGAGTCACTTTGTCCAGGAGCTCCAAGTAGAATAATGAAGGGAGATTGTGTGATGCACCTTTTTTGAGTGTTGTACTGCTAGGAGGAAGAGAGGGAATGGTGGTGGATGTGGAGGGTGGAGTCCAGAAAGATAAATGCATAACAACCAGTCCACTGGACCACTGATCTGGAAATCCTTGGCAATAATTCTTATTATAGTTTATCATTGTAGTTCTGATAAAATGTTGGGTACAAGACACAGATGTAGTGAACTAAGGAGCGACTGGGAAGGGTGGAAGAGGATACTTTTGCATTAGCCTCTCTTCTGGAAAGTTTGAGAAAGAGAGGAGAGAACTGGATAAGGAAAAGGGGTCAAGGAAGAAACTTTAAAGATGGAACAATCATAGGCGGTGTTGGAACAATCATAGGTGGTGTTGGGGAACAATCATAGGTGGTGTTGGGGAATAAACCAATAGAGCCAGAGGAAGAGCTGGAATTAGTTACAGGGATGGAGCTGTGTGAGAGCTTTAGTTTCTTGGTAGGAGGTTGTAGGAGAATGCGATCTGCAGCGCCGAAAGGTGAGGAGAGCCCACTTTCTTCTGAGACAGAGTCGGCAAGGGAAAGAAAAGAATCAGACTCAGGGCATTTTTAGGACACAGTGAGGAGGTGAAATTCTCAATGGCCTGCTTTTTTTTAGTGAAGTAAATGTTAAGGGCATGTGCTGAGCTGAAGGGAGTGAAGGTTGGGTCAGAGGAGATTTGAGGCAGTGAAACATTGGAATAGCCTCTAAATGTGAATGCTACCCCTGAAATCCATTGGCTCACTAATGCCTGGCCAATGAAGAGATAGTGTTTCTTTTGACAATTATACTTTCAACTTAATGGGGTAGTTATTTTTGATGAGTCCTGTCGTTATTATGGGCTGTTAGTAAGCACTATATTGTGTGTGGGCTTACTCTTATTTCCAAGGCTAATTATTGTTAATACTGTTTTGCTGTTTTAATTTCCTAATAAGAAAGCACAATAAACATTAATGCTTAGAACAGAAGGCTCAGCATATAGTGGCCCAATCAAGAAGTCATGGAAGCACATTAGTCAGCTGAAGCATTTTAACTGTCAGCCAAGCAAATGCATATAATCATCTTAAAACATATGGGCACATGCATGCATTTGTTCAGTACACACTTGTTTATCATCTACTCAGTGCCAGGTCCTCAGAAGCCAATGAGGATTCAGCAATAGAAAACCCAGTCCTCATCTATGAGGAGTAAATAATTTTGTAGATGTAGATTTGGGATTTATCCAATACATCTACTGGATTTCCAATATTGGGATTAAATACTACAGGTGTTAATGTAACCTATGAGGAATATTTTAATTTAATTTAATTCAGATTTCTGTAATATCTCTGGTGGTGCTACTCACTTGCAAATCACTGAGACTATATTTTTATGTTACTAAACTGCATTTTGTGCCCCAGAAGCAAATAATAATGTGAAAAAAAATAGCCTCTGGTACACCACTTTGTTTTTTACCCTCTGCCCTCAGCCTTCAAATTACCATTTTATGCAGGAAACTGCCCTTTATTTTAGTCACCCCCTCCATAGATATCCTTGAGCTCTCTGCCAATAGTAAATAAATGATGGCTGCTTTCCAAGCTCCTGCCTTTAGCCTCTGGGGGGCATCGTTGCCCTTTCTTACCCATCCGTGTCTGTAAATAGGCTATTTAGGTGGAATAGAAGGTAATTCATATGCAGTAATAGAAGAAACCTTATAGGAAATTTCAACTTTGTTACAATCATCTTGATCTGAGATAATATATCTGCCCATTTCTTCTTTATTTTTACCATTGAAATAGTTATTTCATATCACACTATTTATCTTTCAGCCATTGAGGTTGGAGAGAAGTTGTATTGACAGTAATCTCCAAAGGACATTGCCAATTTCCTTCCTTCTTCCTTTCTCTCCTTCCCTTCTCACCACCTCTTTCTTTTTTCATTTCTTCCTTTCTTCATATATTCATTCATTTCAGAAGTATTTACTGAGCACATATTCTGTGGTAGGCTCTGTGTTAGATTTTACAGATATAAAGTGAACTAAGAAACTCTTTGCCCTCGGGAACCTTAAAGTCTAGACAGAGACAGATAATACATGCAATGATTGCACTACCTAGCACTTAAGGCTGTAATAGTGGTAGACACAGGACACTGTGGGAGAACATAAGAGAGGACTTATAGAAGAGTGTGAGAGTCAGGTAAGGCTGCCTTTAAATTGATTTGTTGAGAATGAGCAGGAGTTAGTCAGAGGAAGCTGGGTAGAGGGAAGGGAAAAATCTTGACTATCAATTTATAGTTTTTAGTTGAGATCCTTGATGTAGAGGAAATTAATCAGAGAATTACAATAAAATTATTGTAGCATCTTCTGGAAAGGCCCAAGAAAGAATCTATTTCTTTTCTGTACTTCTCCTTGAAACTCTGACTTCCTTTCCCATCTATCAATTCAGATTTGAGTTGGGAGATATTGGAGCACTATGCACCATATTTACTTCTCAGGTTACAAGGAATGAAAGGTATGAGATTTAATTCTGCCCACTCTGCTGTAGCTCATTGTTTCTAATACTGTAGGGTCTTTTTATATGGACGAATATAAGGACTGGATGGAAGTATGATCCATCACCCTCCCAACTGATGAGGAGGAGTGTGGATTCCTTCATTTCATTTAACTTTCCAATGTAGGCAGAACTTCGTTCTTACCTCCACGAAGTAGGCTCCCCAACTCAGCCTACACATTAGAACTTTTCAGGGATGTTTTGAAAAGCGTTGTTGCCACTGTTCTTCCCCAGGAAATCCTGACTTGGGAAATCTGAGATGGGACCTAAACATTTCTGCTTAAAAAAAAAAAATCCCGTAGTAATTTTGATATCAAGATGGTGTTGAGAATCAATGTCTTTTACCATACTACAGTAATATCTTGTGGTGGAAAGTTTTACCATTTGAGGTCACATGAATTTGACTCCTAATTGTAGTTTTGTCACATAGTCACTGTGTGACCTTGCCCAAGTTACCAAACCTCTCTGATCTTCAGATTTTTAATCTGTGACGGGGCAACAATAATATCTAGCTCACGGGCTTGGTGAACTCAGTAAAGGCTAGAACCCTCCTGTAGGAAACACTGGGGATTTATTGTGCATGAGGTTTGTAATAAAAGTGGAATTGTAGGAACCATCCTTTGTCAACTAGATTAGTGAAACAATTATTAATAAAACACCAATAAACATTTACATTTCTTTGCTTCTCCTGAAGATGAGGTGAATCTGAAAGTGATTGAAGTCAGAGGGGTATTCAACAGCCAGCACTGTATTGTTGGTCCATGAATTTTTTTGTTTGAAATAGAGACTTTTTGAGCATGTCTTTTATGCAAGGCCTATTTATCTTTTTCTCTTAAATATGTGTAAGCTTTATCCCTTCTGATACTGTCGTAGATTAGTTTCTCACCTGCTTTCACTATTCTATGAGACTCCTAACCGATCACTCTGGCTTTGATCTCATTCATCTCCAGTACATATAATCACACAGCTTCCCTATTTAAATTCCATCTCCTCCAGGATCACATCCAAGCTCCTTAGCATGGAAAGCAAAGCTCTTAAGAGCTACTTATTTCTTTATCTTATCTTATATCGTCTTCCTCTTGAGCAAGGATTCTAATGAAACTTTAATGGTTCTGAACAAAATCTCTTGTGTTGGTAAATTTTACACAGGACACTCCCTTGGTCTAGAAAACCTTTCTCCCCTTTGCTCCCCTTTTTGATGAGAGACAAAATTTTACCCTGCATTATTGAGTGCTTGGTTTGAGTGGATCACTTTGAGGACATTTGTATGTTTCTTAGATCCCCCTGTGTGGTATGTGTTGTTACTTTCATGTTACAGTAAGGGAAACTTACGGTATGGAACATCCTATAAAACGTTAGACTTTCTGGGCTTCAGTTTCCCTATCCTCTCTGAGACCTTTGTCCATTCTTTGTTATCACTGCTTTGTTGGTATGAAAAGAGTGGAGGGAAGGAAGGAAAGGAAGAAAAGAGCCAGGGAGGGAGAAAGTTAAGAAACGATCAATTTGAATATGAAAGCAGGAACTGGGATTTCATCTCTTTATTGTCTTTGAATCCGCCTCATGCAATGCAGTACTGGGTTTGTAGCAGTTACAGTATATAGCTCAAATAAATACATAACATAAATGTATGACTGCTTTGTTACTAGATGCTAAATGTTATGAAAATATTTATTCCTCCATATCAAGGACTATGATTGGCGTTTAAGTAATTTCAAATTCAGTTCAACTACGCTCTCTGACATCTGTGAAAAAAAAAGTACACTGAATTTTCATTTAGTCTGTACAACTGCTGTAACAATCCTACTTTTTGTCATTAGAACAATGTACCCCACCCAGTCCTCCCCAATAACCCTTATCATCCCCACTCACTTCTACCTACATCCTCAATGAGGGCAAACTAAGCATGCAAAAAACAAAAACACAATTTTGGATTAAAAAAAATCTGTTAGCAGGACTTGTCCAATGAGATAGTGTTTTTGTTTTTATGAAAGGAGTTGTCATTTACAGAAAACACACCCTGTTCCCAAAGCCTGTCCCCTGTTAAATGCTGTCATGTACTAAGAGTTAATTATGGGTCTTTCCAAACAAACCTGGGGACCTCTGCTTCTTTGAAGATGGTTTTGTGTTTAGAAATCCATAGAAATCTTACATGATATGGAACTATGTATTATAGATCATAAAACTCCATGATTTGCTAAACAAACATTTCTTGGTTAATAAAACTCAGCAAGTGTTTCAACAAAAAGGGTGTAGCTCTATATCACAGAGGGTTTGCAGTTCACACATCTCAGTTTTGCAGTGATAAAGCAGTCATTAAAACATGAAAGCTCCTTAAAAATTACAGCTGCCAGACCAGATTAGGTTTATCTGAAGACTAGATTAAATATGAGAGTATTTACCTTGCATTCTAGGGGAATCCTTGGGAACACAGCTATAAAAATAAAACAGAGAGAGGTCAGAGTAATAGGGGCACAGACTTTGAGTGTGGCAGTTCTTGAATGTTGCCTTGAACGTCTTGGGCAGAAAGCAGGGTGCCTTCTGAAAGATTTTTAAAAGACTTTTATAGTCAAATAGGTATTGGATTAGAATTCCAATCCTTTCATTTCTCAGGTAGATCTTTTATTAAAATGAGAAATCACATATGATCTCAAAATTTACTTCTTCTGGCCAGAATTTCTTACTAACAATTTCTGATCTTTCAAGAACCACTTTCTAATGAAGAGTAGTGACAAAGAAAAGTAGAAATTGAAATTTGAGGAAGAAAGTTACTTGTAATTATCTAAACACCTCAAGACCTAGTTGGGTCATGAGTGAAATAGATAGCTTCTCTGTACTTACTTTTATGCCAAACATTTATTTTATTTTCTATTCAATTTATATTTAATTTATATACATACATCTCTTGCTATTTCATTAAATATATATAATAAATACTTTATATATATATATATATAAAATATACTTAGTGTGCAAAGAGCTCTTCAAGGTCTAAGAAAAAACTTACTGTTCTTAGTTTTTCTAAGAACTCAATGTACAAATGGTCAAAAAGTTCCAAAGAGAATGTTTGAAAAAATATTCAACCTCAGTAACATTTGAATTTCATTTAAAATTGAGTAACAATTGAATTTCATTTAAAAGAACAGTCAGATACCAATTAGCAAAGATTATAAAAAGAATTATCACTTCATGTGGCTGACGGGAGAGTAAAACAGGCAGTCTCAGACACAGGTGACATGAGATAGATTAAACAGAGTAAATTAGAAGACACTTTTCAACAACACTTTGGCAGCTCTTATGCGGAGTTTCTAAGATATTATGTGCTTGGAAACAGTAATTCCACTTCTGATCATCTATTTTAAGGGAATGATTAAAAAAAATCTTTGGTGCACAAAGATGCTTATTGTAGCATAACTTAGTCTCAAACTTGAAACAACGTATTTAACAGTAGAGGAACAGCTGAGAAAATGTAGATGCATCATTTAAAATAATATTGACAAAGATTTTGTTGTTGCGGAAATGTTAACAATACAATATTATTTATTGCATATCAACTAAGTAAAAGGTACTCCTGCTGCTCCTCCTTCCAATATTACTAATAGAATCCAAAATGTATCCAGCACTTGCTATGTGTGAAGCACTCTTCTAAGCTGTTTCCCTCTATTAATTAATTTAATTCTTACACAATCTGGGGAGGGAGGTGCTACTATTATTCCCACTTCACAGATGAAGAGAGTAAGACACACAGACATTAAATGCATATATGTATATGTATCCATATATATGCATGTACATATACACACACCACATTTTGTCATTTTGTTCATTCATCAGCTAATAGACATTTGTGTTGTTTTCACTTTCTTTCTATTATAAGTAATGCTGCTCTGAATATTTATGTGTAAGTTTTAGTGTGGACATATGTTTTTCTTTGTCTTGGATCTATACCAGAGTTAGATTTTGAACCCAGCAGCCATGTTTACATTCTGCACTTTTAAACATGATGCTATGCATAAAAGGAGGGAAATACCTCCAAATAGTAATAGCTGCTAATTCTAGATGATAGTATTAAGAATGACTTTTGTTCCATTATATGGATTTTTAATAGAAGTTTTCCATGATGAATACCTACTTTTACAATCAAGTAAAACCATATATTCGTAAATCTCATAAACTTCCTCTGTAAGTCTTTCAAACCTGTTTTTTTGCCCTTTTCACTGTCTGAAACCAATCCGAAAAGTTACTAGAAGCCACAATATTATGCAATCTAAAGATTTTCCATTTATTAATGCAAGCAAACCTAGGAGTGAAAATAAAACTAGAATATAACAAGATGGCTTGACACAATAAGAACAAATGAAGTAGACTCACAAGAGTGAAGCTGAATAGACACCAGCGTGGGAAGTATCTGGGAAATGAGAGGAATAAGAGAACAGAATTTCTTGGAATCTGGGCAATTCCCTTGCACATAGTACATAGCATAAAGAGGAAATGTGTCTTTTTCTTTCCTTAACATAATATCCTGGGGCCTAGCAGAGTGTCTGGCCCATCATGGATGCTAAAATATATTTTTCCTGTGAATGAATAAATGTGTGCCCTGGTGACCTGGAGGCTAATCCCTAATACCAACAATACCCAGCTGGCTAAGCCTGGGTTTCCTGATTCCAAACTGCCTCTCTGCCCTTTCGTCAGGGTTGAGCTCCTGGTTTCTGAACTGCCCACCTGGTCCTGACCCACTGCCTTGTCTGACCTACCTGTGCTCTGTGACTCAGGCTGACTGCTCATCAGCTCTGAATCGCAGCTCCATTTGGGGACAGGCCAGCCCTTCCCTGCGTTCCTGTTCTGACTCTCTGCACTGCTCACTCAGCTTGGCTCACTCAGGGTGGTTTCCACCCTGTCTCCATTATCGCCAGCCATGCCTGATTGCAGAGAAGGATTCTCCTGGGCTGGTTCAACTGCTTCCCATGAATGCCCCCTACTTGTGTCTCCTAGTCCCCAGGTTACCATGGAATTCAGGATTTGGTGAAGAAAGAGGCTCTAGGACTTTTACTCCTGCAAAGTCCTTCTCTTTTATATTTATAAAAGCAATAACAACTTGGCATTTGGTTTAGGTTTGTTTGTTTTTTTTTTTTTTGAAACGGAGTCTTGCTCTGTTGCCCAGGCTGGAGTGCAGTGGCGCGATCTCGGCTCACTGCAAGCTCCACCTCCCGGATTCATACCATTCTCCTGCCTCAGCCTCCCGAGTAGCTGGGACTATAGGCGCATGCTGCCACGCCCAGCTAATTTTTTGTATTTTTAGTAGAGACGGGGTTTCACCTTGTTAGCCAGGATGGTCTTGATCTCCTGACCTTGTGATCCGCCGGCCTCGGCCTCCCAAAGTGCTGGGATTACAGGCGTGAGCCACCGCGCCCAGCCTGGTTTAGGTTTGTTTGAAGTAAAAATTCTGTTGGAAAGAAAAGGTTAAAATAATCACTGTTCTTTTTCCTTAGAAATACTCATGTAACAATGTCACCTGTAACTCCATACCTGTGCTCTCGCTTGATCTATAGGCTTTTATTTTACCATCTAAATAAACATTTCTACTTAAATACCTCATTATCCTAAGCTCAACAGCAACAAAAACAAAGTCATCACTCTTCTCACTCCATTTTTCTTTCCGCCTCCACCAATTGAAGCCACTATTTACATAGCTACTCAGGCATTTCCAACTCACCCTTGCCTTCTATGTTCTTACCTTTATCCAATTAGTATGCTCAAGGGATTTTTTTTTTTCATTTTTTTCTTTTGAAATGCCTTTGGTATCAGTTCTTGATTTTTATTTTGCATGTAAGATCCTGCCACTCATCCATATCTAAATAGAAATGTGTCTCTATTGACCCCAGTGGCTGTGGATTTTTTTCATTCTCTGTTTTTCTTTCATAAGATTACTAGACTAACCATTGAATGTTGTTCTCCAATTCAGTACTCCTCAATGTAACTATGAATGTTGTTCTCCAATTCAATACTCCTCAATATAACTATCACCACTATTTAATGTTATGGCTTTTTTATCGTCCCAAAAAGAAACCCGTATCCATTCTAAGAATTTTGTCCTTAAAGTATCCAACTAAATGATGGCTTCTATTTTTCAAATTTCTCTATTATCTCATCGCAGCATACCAATTCATAGCAATTAGATTCTACTTCTCAAATGTCTCCTTGGCTTTAGACAGGCCCCCAGACACAGGTATATACCATGACAGCACCTGCCTCTGAAGCTTTCCTCTGACCTTTTTCTTTGTCTAGAATCTACTCCCCAGTTTCTCTCTCCAATTCAAATTCCACTCATTCTATAAAATCTTCTTTTTCAAGGAAAACATAGCTTACTAAGTCATCAGTATTCTAGCACTGATAATCTATAGAGCAAATATTGCAGTTTCTAACTGTATTAATTGCTCTTTTATTAACTATTCACTCTTTATGTAAATTGACCTCCTTACCCAAGAAAAATGTAATCTCCTTTTCCACCAAAAAACAGTGCTATTCAATTCCCTATTATCTAGCATATGTGCATAATAATACCTACTGCTTGAGTGATTCTGAATAAGGAAAGATTTAACTTGACAAAGAGAATTCACAAAACACTCTTCAGAGGAACTTTGTTGTTTCCTTTGTAGGTAACATCTGATCTAGAGATGTTAACACATTAGGATGATTGGACTATTTTTGTATGCTACATTTAATAGTATTTGAATGAGATGTTTAACTTTTAACTTTATATCTTTATAATTATTTGGTATTATTATAGATATTTTAATTGTATTCTTGATGTGTCAGTTGATAATCTTTAAATCAAGCATACCTCCTTCAGATAAAGATAGCTGCCAACTGCTTCTCCTGCGATTGTGATCTTGTAGGTCATGGCAGAATACTCTACAACTTGAGCTTAGACATTTTAAAATAGGCATCCTTGAGCATATCCAAAGCTATGTTTTCCTCATTCCAGGTATTTCCCTTTCCATCTTCTAGGAATATCTCCTTCCCTTTTATTAACTTCTGTCTTTTTGCCAATTAACTTCTACATCATCATTAAGAGTTCCCTTCTCTAGTGAGCTACCTGGAACCTATGACATGTGAATCTTATGTGTTCCCTCAGTCCTCTGTGCACGCCCCACATCGTAGCACTTACAAGGTATTGCCTGTTAACTTGACTAAATCCTCACTAGACTGTAAATCAAGGAGAGCAAGGTTAAGCCCATATGGAATGAATATGAGCTATGTAACAGTGGATCTTTGCAACGTAAGAGAAGTGACTGGTTAAACAATCACATTCACCAGTTTTTCATAATAAAATTCCACACTTTATGGAACTCTCCTACAATATATTGATTTTCCAATTATATATTAATTTGTAAATCATGTACATTATAGAAAAAACTTCATAAAGTGTGGAAATTAATTATTTCTCCCTATAACTGTCAGTTCATTGGAACCTTTGTCACTGTTCGTGCACTCTGCATCATTGTGGCAATACTATTTTGTGCTCTTTAATTTATTTTAGGCACATATGACTTTATATTAATACACTCAACATAAAATCTTTGGTTCATTCTTAAATCACTTAAGTGCCCATTCTTGACAGTATTTTAAGACTACTTATATTTCCATCACTACTTATATTTCCAAGGAGATAGGTTTGTTTCTTTTTATTTGGATTCTATACACAGCAACAATTATGAACTTTATACCCTGTGATTGTTCCAGGCAGAACCTTTAGTAAATAGTTATGCAGGTATCTTGAGAGACCTGGTAAATATGTAGAATCTGGTCACTGGGTCCCTGATAAGGATAATTACTATTAAGTTGGGTTGCCTTCACTGAAGGGCAGACTTCTTTTTAAAAGTGCTTTTCAAATCAAGTCATCATTTGTCTAGTGGGAGGTTGTCTCCTGGAACAAATGGAGTAATCAGTTTTTAGACTTTCTATGTAAGTAAATCCCTTTAGGGTGGAGGGACAGTGGTACAAACTCTTACTCAGATTTTGTCATAATAGTCATTGCACCTGGAGAGTCAATTCATATGAGAACTCAAGGTTAGGCTAAAATTTCTGGGAAGTTAGGATAGGGTGGGGTCAGTGGAAATTAAACATGTTTGTTATATATTAATTTATTTTCTTTACACAAAAACTATGTATGGAAGAATGAGTCACATTCTAGACCCCAAAGTGGCACTCACGGGTCACTTGAACAGAGAGTTTCCTGCAAGATTTCATGATGGGCTGTGCCCCTAGGCCACCAGAATGTGAAATGTAATGGCCTCCATTTCAACTGAGTGAGTCAAACAAAGAAGGAATCTTGCAGTAAGTGACATTTTACACCATTCCTTCGCTTCCAGGACTTGCATTTCATCACATCTATCTCTTACTTGTCTTATCCTGTAACAGTTGAAAATTCCATCTTGTTTTGCTAGCAATTTGTGTCATAGCCAACTTCCACTTTTTGGGTCAAAGATGACTTTGAGGAAAGAGACTGTGGCAACCTGAAAAGATGGTGATGACTCTGAGTAAATGAATGAGGTCTCCAATTGTCACAAGTCAGCAAATATTTGCTGAGACCCAGAGGCTGTAACAGTAGTTAATGACATTGTTCTGTTGCTTTGTAGCTCTGTCAATTTACTGAGACAGAAAATATGATTATGTTACCAGTAGAACCATGGCCTCCAGAGCAGCCCTTTAAAGGCTTAGAAGCCTGTAGGCAAAATGGGTCCTGAAAGAACAATCATCTATTAGTCATGGTATTAAAGTCAGTACTCCAGGCATTTACTCATTTGCAGCTTTTTCTATTTTACAAGTTTAAGTATCTCATAAGATTTCACTTACTCCATAAACCCTTATATTAAAAAAAAAAAAAAGTAAAGAGAAAGCTCATTTCAAGTTTCAAGTAAAACTTTCCAATTTGGCAGAGGTACTAAATTAATTTTCATTAATTACTCAGCATGACAATTATTCACACAGCACCTAGCTCTGGGGTAATGGTAGTGAGCACGTCTGAGCCTGTAGGTCAGGGGTTTCAGAGGTGTGGGTTCAAGTCTCAGCTCTGCATCTGCATAACCTGGAAAAGGTCAAAAACCCATGGTTTTTGTAGTGTACATTTTCAAAGAGTTTTTAATATGTCTGACACTGTTCTGAGTACTTTATATTTAATCTCCATAACAACACTATCAAATAAGTATTGTCTCTATCTTTATTTTAAGGATAGGGAAAGTAAGGCACAGAGAAGTGGAAAACCGTCTAATGGAATGGAGTAAGGAGAAGGCAAAGTAGGATTCCATTCCAAGTAGGATTCCATTCCAAGCAAGCTGCTATAAGAGCTGGTGCTACTGACCACAGTGCTCAATTGCTCTTCATAAGATCCCATGCTACAAACAGTAGAGAAAAAAATCCCCTGGGAATAGTCTGTCTATTCCTCCATAAATTTAGTATCCAATCAGGCCTTGAATCGTAGAAAATTGGATATATCTACTTCAAATATAATAAAGGTAAGGCAGCACTTTTTGAAACTTTTCTTGGGAGTTAAAAAGTTAACTAACATTATTACAGATTTGTAAACAAGGTTTTATTTGACATGGGTCCCAAGAGGCTCATAAATATCTTCCAAAATATTGTGGAGACTTACTGGCTAAATCTCTCACCTGTGGCTTTGGCCAGTGCTGAACTAATGTTTTTTGCTGAGTATGGTCAGTGATTTTTATACTGTTATCCGATCTACTGGGTTTTACCCTGGGGCCCATCTTTTATCACATTATTTTGAAAATCCTAAATTACCTGTAAATAAAAAAGAAATCAATTTGCCTGTGCTCTGCTGAAAATTAGGTTCCGGTTAAACTTTAAAAAAAAAAATCTTTTTCTTATCAATAACCAAACTGTGCTCTTGGAGTTTAATTATTCTAAGACCATACATTGTTCAATGGCCAACCATGGAGTTGAAAAGCCTGATTTCATTTAGTTTATCTATAACCAATGATTTGGAACGTTAAATTTAGCCATATGATAGAATAAGGATGAAGAAAATCATAGGAAAAGTGTATTTTCAATAAGGTGTTTGAGAAGAGAATCAGATCTCTCTCTCTTTATTTTTCTGTCTCTCTTTGTATGTGGGTATCTGTGTGTTTTTTGAAGGTTAAGAAAGATGACCTTTCAAAAGTAAAGAGTAGTCATCAAAAGTCTGTTTAGTTACTAATATCTTCAAAAGTTTCTAGTGTAAAACATCTTTTTTATCCTTTGACTACCTCTTTTGAAATGCATTTGGGATATTGACCTCACCTTTCACCTCACTCCTGTTTCTCATTCTCTTATGACTCATATAACAACTCCACTCCTTCTTTTTCAAAAATGTGTGGCAGTTGTGACGGAAGTACTTCTGAGTCAGTCAGAAGTAGGGAAGAATGCCAAATGGCTGATTCACTCCCCAGAACTTGGAGGAGGAGACAATTAGGGAATTAACTTCAGTTGTGGGGGTAATGGTTTATACAGTGGTTTGTGCAAGCTCACTTACAACCTGTGACATGCAGGAAATTCACCTCAATTTTTTAATTCAAACACCTACACTACTCTTGTCTTAACCTGTTGGGTATGGGTACTATCAGGAAAAACATCCTTTCTTTGTAATTTTTTTCTGAGACAGAGTCTCACTCTGTTGCTCAGGTTGGAGTGCAGTGGCATGATCTCGACTCACTACAACCTCTGCCTCCCATTTCAAGTGATTCTCCTGCCTCAGCCTCCCCAGTAGCTGGGATTACAGGCACAGGCTACCATGCCCGGCTAATTTTTTGTACTTTTAGTAGAGATGGGGTTTCTCCATGTTGGCCAGGCTGGTCTTGAATCCTGACCTCAAGTGATCAGCCCACCTTGGCCTCCCAAAGCGCTGGGATTACAGGCGTAAACCACCACACCCGGCCTACAATCCTTTCTTTCTTTCTTTTTGAGATGGAATCTCACTCTGTCTCCCAGGCTGGAGTGCAGTGGCAGTCTTGGCTCACCACAACCTCCACCTCCCAGGTTCAAGTGATTCTCCTGCCTCAGCCTCCCAAGTAGCTGGGATTACAGGCATGTGCCACCAAGCCAGGCTAATTTTTTTTTGTATTTTTAGTAGAGACGGGGTTTCTCCATGTTGGTCAGGCTGGTCTTGAACTCCCCACCTCGGTGATCTGCCCACCTCAGCATCCCAAAGTGCTGGGATTACAGGTGTGAGCCACCATGCCTGGCCAGACAATCCTTTCTAAGACTTTCTTTATAAGTTTTAGAGTAGGAAAAAATATTGTCAGCAACTTAGGATCACTGCTATTTCATTTTTCTTGAAATGGGTCCAATAGGGTAGCCAAATTCCTTGGGTGAGGGTTCTATAGAAGTCTCACAAAATGAGGATCAAGTACAACCAGGTATGTACTATTAGATGTTATAATTGCCTTACACATTTGGGCTGAGAAGCACTCCATTGTGAAACTTGAAATACCCAAGAAGTAAAAAACAAAAACAAAAAAAAAAATAAAAACTGTTACAAAGAGCTCCTAAATAATACATTATTGCACCTATTTGTCTTATATTTGACCTAAAATTGAGTCTAAAATTTGATAAGGTGTTTTTAAATTTCACTTGAAAAAAGTAACAAATGTTCGAAATATATGGGGGCAAATCAAGCGTACGTTGCTCTTTAACTCATTCAGATATCATACCAGCGAGTGACTCTGGACTTTATTTCCCATAGTGAAGATGAAGAGATCTGTGTTCCATTTCATTGTAAGGCTGACAAAATCATCTCTCTCTACCATATATGTCTCCATTATGTCTAAGTTTCGTTTTTTAGACATGAATTTAAATTCATCTGTGTATCTCTCACCTTTTCCACATGAGAGTTAGGTAGGAAGTTACAAAGGAGGGATTCTATTCTTTGGGTTGAGAATGGAAACAGGCTTTGAATGCTACATGGCCATCTTTCAAATGTCATGCAACAGAGCTTCAGCAATGTATTACATTCAATGGGCATTGCGAAAGTTTGAGAAAAGGAACCAAGAGTAGCAGCACACTCCCATTGTTTGGTGTGGCAGAAGGAGTCTGGTAAACACAGAATTGAGAATAACTGAGATGGAAACAATGTTCAGAGTCAAAGCTTACAGATCAATATTTGGAAGACAATGAGAGTCAATGACCAGAAAAGAAGAATGTTGTCTTTCAGTCTATATAGAGTGCAAAAGTGGGCATTCTTTCCATTGGTCCTTTCCTCTGTTTCTACCTTGTGTGATTGTCCAGTTCTTTATAGAGCATGTGGTAGAGTCTTGGGAGACTCCAAACTGGTCAGTTTGTTTCTCTGCTTTTTTGTTTTAATGTTTCTTTGCTTTTTTGTTTTCTATTCTGTCTGAGAATCTGCTTTCTTGTCAGCAAGCCTTAATATTTTATTAGAAAACATTGTGAATTTTCTCAGTAAAGACAGTGTATTTACTTCTTCCTTCATATCTTTGATAGAACCTAAGAGGTGCTGTGTTCTCAGTAGGTCCCAATCCTCAGTGAAAGTGATACTTCATATTTCCCATCTTGTTTCTGAATAAGTTGAAAAGTAATAGACATGAAGGCTAAATTATCATTGTCTTCCTAAGAGAGATTAGGTTAGAGTACTGGGCTTTAGATTTGTTAACCCAAGTGGACTTGCTAATGTTGAACTCAGATTTAGGAAGAACCACTCCAGTCACAGCAAGGTGGGCCACAGGATGGGACTGTCTAGGGAATGCTTTTCCCAAGGAGGCACAAAGCAGAATTTCTACTCTCCATGGCTAGATTCACTCTCATCAGGAATACCTGGGAGCTGAGCCAGGCATACCCAGTAATTTTTCCAAATTTACTGGATAAGTCAGTCATCTCTCTAAATATGAAATGAGTAAAGATATTAAGAGAGATTCATGAGTATGCAGTTTGAACTCCCTTCATGGGAAGCAAATGCCAGGATTTGGGAAGAATCATCCTGCATTTGCATTTGCCCTTTGGTGAATGTAATGAATGGCCATTTGTGGACACATCATGTGTTTAGGTTGTGCATATATGTATACTGGGAGGATGCTTTATGCTGGAGATAATTTAAAGAAAATGTTAATTAATAGAAAGACTAGTTTGTTTTATTATGGGGAGTTTGGATTTGGTGGCAGGAGTTGTTCCTCTTTTTTCCAAATTGTATGTTTTCTATATGTGTTATATAGTAAATCCCAGCATATCACTTGCTTATTTAAATTGCTCCAACGGCTTCACACTGCACTTAGACTACAATCCAAACTCCTGTGATGGGCAGAAGGCCTAGCAGGCCTCCACATGGGGCCCTTGCCTACTCTGATCTCTCATATCTCCATGAATACTCTGCTCCAGGAGCAGCCATAACTTTTTATTGTTGATGGTCATTTTATTGATTTTTTAAAAAATTGATTACACAAAACTCTTTCCACTTAAAGCATAATTGTTGCTCACTTTACCTGGAGTCTTTGCATGTCTGAGTGCTTCTTGTCATTCAAGTATTTGCTCAAATGTCATTTCCTCAGAAAGGCCTTTCCTGACCACCTAGTCAAAAGTAGTCACCCGGTGACTTAGTCATCCAGTTGTTCTATTCTCTGCACAGCACTTACTGCAATCAGACATTTGTGTTTGTTGTTTATTTATTGTTTATTTTATTTCTCCTGTTGGTGGTCTGAAAACTCAATGAAACCAGTGGGCCTGTCCATCTTCCTTGCTACTGTGTATCCCAGTCATGCATTTGTTAGGAGCTCAACAAGTGTTTGGTCAATGAGTGAATAGTTCCCCTCATCACACTACTGCTGAGCATAAAAATCACCCTGTGTATACAGCAATTAGTTCAGAGGCCACGCCAAAGCATAATGTCAGTTTTGGACATAGATGAAAGTGAGGATGCATTTCCTAACAAGCTTGTTGCCAGCTAACACAGAGAAATGAGCATTGTTAACCAAAATATACCTTCACAAACTTGAGAACAATCACTATAGTTTCAGAAAACTTCATGAGATTTCACCGGCTAAAATATTTCAGTAGCTCGTAAGTATTCCCATGGGTCAAAAGCAGTTTTCATTCAACATTACTTGTTTTTCCAAAATGATTTGTGTTGAAAAGATTGGCATGGGAACAGACCCACAGACATTAGTCTAGATCTCAAACATTGTCTGTAAAAACAAAGGTACTATGCAGATTTCAAAAACCAGGTGTGTCATTGTTTGGGGATAATGAACCAGTATGGATAATCTAGTCTCATATCTTACATTTGAACTGCCTCTTATGACTGGCTTTTAGGGGAATTTTATCTTTGGGGCTATGATTCGACTTTCTACTCCCTGCTTTATCCCAATGGATCAACTTAGAAAGGTTGAGTATTTCAGGGGTAACTCTGATACAAGATTGAATATTATTTGAGATTGAATTTCAGTTTTGAAGATTTTGTTTGATGTGCATCTTGGTGTCCTGAAGGGAGGCAGGCAAAGTGTGCATCACTATGGCACAAGTATGTTTGTGCTTTTCCCTCTTTCACCATCTTCCTTCCAACCAGGTCTTCTAGATACATATGGACCATTAAGTAGTAGTGTTGATACTCTTGTTTGTCTCCTTCATCCCAAAGTATTTGTTTAATATCCAGCAATGTGATGAGGAAGGTGAGGCCTCCTCCAAGAGCTGGAGCTGCACATGGGTGAGTTCATGGTAGCCTCAGGTTTAGGGCATGGTCCTGGAAGGGAGCAGTTATTTTCTTTTCTTCATCTAGATCTGCCTAATTTATGTGTGTGTGTACATGTGTGTGTATATATGAATTGCTTTTCCACAGGAATTGCTTTTTCATTGTGAGCATTTGATAAATCCTGGTCTCTCATGCTTTATTTCATGCACCTGTAATTCAGGCACACAGATTTATCTAGACTATGACTCAAGGATCTCTGAGGTTTATACTGAATTTCTAGACTTAGCTTAAAGTTTCATCTTTGTTAATATGAAGTGGTTCCACAGATGAACAAACAGTGCCAAACACGAAGTGAGGTGTACCGACGGTCCATTTTTACGTTATCATTTTGATTCTATTAGCCACCAGCTTGAATACTGCCAGATGTGAGTGCCAGAGTGAAAGTGGTGAAGAAAAGTTGATACATCTGAGCCAAAAGGAGATATGCTGAGTTCCACTTTAAACTTAGAGGACTACTTAAGGGAAGTATTGCTTCTTGAGTTGAAAGCAATAAGCACAATCCAGTAAATTCAATCTCTTTTGGAGGGGAGTCTGCCTCAGGATCTGGTCTTTTTACTCATGTCAAGACCAATTCCTTCCTAAATTCCCCTGCACAAAGAGAATGCATGGACTGAGGGGCTATGTGCTAGAATCTCTCTTGGTTTAAGATTTTACCCTATTTGCCAAGGACTAGAGGGTAAGGAAGTATAGTTTGTGGAAAGGAATTAAGATAAAGTCATCGACCTGCATGTTATGTCTCATAGCATGAAGAAAAGCACTAAAAGTTCATTGTCATCCTTAGTATATACGAATTGTCAGAAACCCACCCAATGGGGAAAGGGATTTTGTCTTTTTCTCTGGTGGGGCTAGAAAAGTACCTAGTAAAAGATCAATGGATATTTATTGAAAAATTGAATCAATGCATCGATGAAGACCTTACATTCTGTCACACTTATCTGAGTCAGAATTCATTTGCCCCTGATAAATAAATTCTCCTGCTTCAGGCCTCAGGTCAGATCAAAAGAGGAGACCACATCATAATGGGGTGATTTACCAGCTCGGATCCACATCATACTCATCATTTTTCACTTACAAACACATTACAGTTTGAGGAACAGAAAGCATGACTGTACATCCCTGCAAATACTTGTCAGCTTGTGAACAGGTCCAGAGATAACCCACTAGATAAGTCGGTTGCATCATTCAAGAAAATCATTTACTAGACCGAGAAGGAATCCAGCTTTTTCTTGCACGCAATGGGCAGGTGAGTTCAGAGAACAAGGGAACATGCTGTAGGATTTTCGCTGCGTTTCAAGCATTGCAGTGCAGTTACAAGTTAGGGTGAGCTGGGTCAGTTTACTTAGCACAGCTTACCATTGCGTTTCGTCAGAGGATCAATAGGTAAATTTCTTGTGACTGGGCTCTGGAAAACCCAACTCTCACCTGGAAAGGTCAGAAGAAAAAAAAATACATAAACAGTTAACATTAATTTTCTATGGGAATTAGCCCCTCTTCCATTTGTAGCTCTAGGTTTGTGCACAAATTGATAAGCCACCAGGTAATCCTAGGAAAAGTACTACAATTATCTTTGTGGATGTTTGTCTGGACTCTATGCTGTACTCTGCTCCTGAGTTATTAAGAAGTAGCTAACCTTCTTCATACCTGAAACCTACTGATGTCTAAAGATGTAAGAGATTATATAGATTCTTCTCTAAGGAAAAGCAGTAGGAAAAAATATTCTGATCTTTTTCTGTGATTTCCTTCTCAGTTTTGTGCCAATTTCTAGACATATTTACAGAATATAATTATAGAAATCAAACGGTATCAAACAAAGCATCTTTGGTCTGTCATGAATATTCAGTCCTAAGATAAAACAAATCAGTTTAGATTTGAGGAAGATTAGAAAGAAGATTTGTGGAATGACGTTTAAGAAGTTAAGAATGCCTGGTTTCATTCAGAATTTTCAGATGTGTCCTATTGGTGAATGGGCTTTATTTGTAGTTCCTATGTAAGTTTACATTTTTTCGGTAATGTTTAAAACGTTTTCTGCTAAGATTGCCTTTCTAACTCAGAATTTCCTTCCGTGCTCTGAGAGGATTTGTTCTAGAGATAAGCATCGATATCTATGGCTAATAATTATTTAACAGTTATGACTTACTAGCATTACAACGACTCTGTGAGACAGATTCTACATTGGTCTGAGGTTTGGATAGCTTTATTTATTTTTTTTTAAAAGGCCTTTTTATTAACTCTAAATTGAACATTAAGCTAAGCACTTGAACTACAAAACTAGAGAAATTATAATAAAAAAATCTCTGTAGTCTTGAGGAGGCAAAGATTTCTTAGAGCAAAAACAAAGAAACAATAACAAGGAAAAATGCACCCAGCATTGAAAAATGTTAAGAAACTAAAAGGTAAATCACAGATTAGGAGACAATATTATAAAATTATGTCTGATAAATAACACAATTGAGTAAGAAGAGGATAACCTGATTTTAAAATGATTTGAACCCATGCTTTACAAAAGAAGATATAAGAAATGCATGAAGTCCATAGAAGGATCCCCAATATCACAGTCATCAGGGACATGTAAATTCATACTGTGATGGAGTACTACTACAAACCCACTAGAATGGATAAAAATCAAAAGATCTACAATGCTGAGATATGGTAAAGATGTAGAGCAATTATAACTCTCATGTATTGGTGTGGGGATGCAAAATGATATAATCTTTTAAGAAACAGTTTGACAGTTTATTATATAATTATATATTTACCATAACAGCATTCCCAATCCTAAGTATTTTCCAAAGTGAAATAAAAGCATATGTCCAGAAAAGAATGGGTACTCTATTCATATAGTAGCTTTTAAAAATAATAGCCCTAAACCAGATCCAACCTAAATCAACTTGTGAATGAATAAAAAATGTGTATTATTGTGGAAGTCAGTGTGGCGATTCCTCAGGGATCTAAAACTAGAAATACCATTTGACCCAGCCATCCCATTACTGGGTATATACCCAAAGGACTATAAATCATGCTGCTATAAAGACACATGCACACATATGTTTATTGCGGCACTATTCACAATAACAAAGACTTGAAACCAACCCAAATGTCCAAAAATGATAGACTGGATTAAGAAAATGTGGCACGTATACACCATGGAATGCTATGCAGCCATAAAAAAATGATGAGTTCATGTCCTTTGCAGGGACATGGGTGAAATTGGAAATCATCATTCTCAGTAAACTATCACAAGGCCAAAAAACCAAACACCGCATGTTCTCACTCATAGATGGGAATTGAACAATGAGAACACATGGACACAGGAAGGGGAACATCACACCCTGGGGACTGTTGTGGGGTGGGGGGAGGGGGAGGGATAGCATTAGGAGATATACCTAATGCTAAATGACGAGTTAATGGGTGCAGCACACCAGCATGGCACATGTATACATATGTAACTAACCTGCACATTGTGCACATGTACCCTAAAACTTAAAGTATAATAATAATAAAAAAAAGGAAAAAAAATGTGTATTATACCCATTCAATGAAATGTATCTTATAATAAAAGGGAACGAACTCCCACATATGTACCAAGATGAACAAATCTCAAATCATTATGCTAGTTGAAATAACACAAGTGCAAAAGATGGCATATGTGTGATTGTATTTGTATGAAATTCTGTAAAAGGCAAAACAGTAGTTACAGAAACCAGATCAGTGTTTATCAAGGGCTAGGAGTAAGGAGGAGATAATATGGAGACAGTGAATTCATTTGTGCCTTAATAGTGGTGGTGGTTATATGACTGAATGCGTTTGTCAAAATTTATTGTACTGTACCCTTAAAATGGGTATATTTTTATTATATGTAAATCGTACCTCAAAAAATCTATGTTACTGTGGCAAGATTATATGAAGAGATGTTTTTAAAGTTGCTTCTCTTTGCCTTTTCTTGTGCTATTGCACTTAACCATGATTTTGGTGCAGCATTTGCTTTTTTATACACTGCCAAGAGGGAGGACACAGATGCAACTCAGAACTGTGCTGTCCAATGTAGTAACTGCTAGCCACATGTGCCTATTTGAATTTCAATTAATTAAAGTTAAATGAAATTTAAAATTCAGTTTCTTAGTCACATTAGAAGAGCTCTTGATACCACCTATCAAGAGCTAAATAGCCACAGGTAACCAGAGGCTACTGTACAGGGCAATACAGTTATACATAGCACATTTTCATTGTCACAGAAACTAGACAGTGCTGGCCTAGAATACATTTCTTCTTCCCTTCCCCCTCCCCTCCCCCTCCTCCCTCCCCCTCCTCCCTCCCCCTCCTCCCTCCCCCTCCTCCCTCCCATCCCTGGCCCTCCCCCTCTCCCTCCCATTCCATCCTCTCCCCTCCCCTCCTCTCCTCTCCTCTCCCCTCCTCTCCCCTCCCCTTCCCTCCCCTCCCATCCCTTCCCTTCCTTTCCCTCCCATGCCTTCCCTTCCCTTCCCTTCCCTTCCTTTTCCTTCCCTTCCCTTCCTTTTTTTTTTTTTTTTTTTTTTTTGACAGGGTCTCACTCTGTCACCCAGGCTGGAGTGCAGTGGTATGATCATGGCTCACTGCAGCCTCAAACTCCTGGGCTCAAGCCATCCTCCCTCAGCCTCCTGAGAAGCTGGGACTACAGGCACGGGCCATCACACCTGGCTAATTTTAATTTTTTTTTTTTGTAGAGATAAGGTTTTATCTCTGTGTTGGCTAGGCTGGTCTCAAACTTCTGGCCTCAAGCAATCCTCCTGCCTCAGCCTCCCAAAGTTTTAGAATTATAGGCATGAGCCACTGCACTCAGCCTAGAATACATTTCTAAATAAATTTTATAAGCACGTAGCACAAACAGAGTCTGAATGCCTTTGATCTGCAAAAGTTGCACTTCGTTAGATGAGAAAGAGTATTCCCCCACGCCTCGAAAGAGGGTATTAAAGTATTTAAGCGTGAGCAGTGTGTTTACCATCATCCTGGGTAGGAGAGTATATAGACAATGAAAATGGGTCATGATGGTGTCAGAAATTTCAGGAGAAGGTGTCAGACCACCAAGACAGGGACTAGTCAAGATGAATGAACCCTCAGAAGTTGCCAAAAAGGATAGAGAAAATCAGGCCTAACAGGCATTCTTCTCAGAATGCCAGGACCATATGCAAGGCCCCCTAAGATTAGCTCACCTCAGAAAAGAGAAAGGAAGGGAAACTTACAGGGAAATAAGAGGTCCTAGAATTTGACTGGGGTGCTACTTAAAGGAGACATGAATTTTAAACAGAGATGATCAGGTTACCATTAAGATAAAGTTGTCAGCCACCTGTAGAGATAAGCCTTGTAATGTAATAGGAATTCAGTTAAAGGGAAATAAAATTCATCTCACTTTACCAAATCAGAAATTTCCATACATTTTCTAACAGAAACTCACGATAAGAAATACATTTCCTATCCTATCATAGTATGCCTTTACACATATATAATTGAAACAAAAATTTACCCCATCTATTTGTAATGCAATATATTTTTATCCTAATCTAGTTCTTTCATTTGAAAAAAAAAAGTGTTGGTTGAGATTTACTAAGTTAGTTTCATAATCCTTGATGGCCAAAATCCAGAGTTGTGAATACAGTGAAGTAAATTTTTCATTTGAGAAGAAGGAAGATGAGAAGAATTAGTTAGCATAAATGATATTGAATAAGAGTTACATCAGGTTTTTCAGATAACCATGGTGGGTTTTTTTGTTTGTTTTTAAATTTTATTTTATTTTTCCTGCAGGGTGAGAGTCATGGATCTTTGGCAAGTAAATCAGTTAGAAGAATGATGTAGTCATTTCTCAACCTTTACCATTTTTAATCTAGAAGAGGAAAGTTCAAAGAGTAAAGAGTGTAGAAAAAAGATGGTTTATTGGTTTCTCTGAAACTAGATATTTACAGATGAAAAGAAGCTGCTGGTAGAGGAATAAATATAACATTAAATTTAAACCAATTAGACAATGGAAGAACATGCTTAATGAATTTTGTTACTAAGCCTGTAAGTGAAAAGGGGAAAGGAAGCTAATCCTGACAGAGCACCTTCTTGCTACTGAAGATTGGAAACATATGTAGTAAGGTAGGATGTCATCTGAATAAGTCAAGCTGGCTACTCACAAAAGAGTCTCAAGATCTAGCTCTAGATCTGCAAATTTGATTTTGTTGAACTCCCAAAGTTGATCCATTGCTTGAGGATACTGACACTAACCAAACACATAAAAGATTGTTCTGTAACCAGAATGCCGACATATGTATTTACAATAGGAAATGAAATTCCTCAGCCAGCCAGATATTTGCATTCTCTAGATAGACCATTCTCTTCCTTTAGAGTGATGTTTTTTAGGAGTCTTTCTTCTGATACCTGTATTAAAAATTACCTGGGGCTTGTTGAAAATTAAAATTTCTTAGTGGATCAGAATGGGTATTCTAGGGACCCAATGGGGAGGGGAAGAGATCTGAATTTTTAACAGGCACCCCAGTGGAATTCTGATCACACTAAAATGTTTAACAAAAACTATGTAGTCCCTTGGGGTGAAATGGATTCTGCATGGGGAGTCTGGTAGATTTGTTCATTGAACAAATATTTATTAAGTTCTTAAAATGTGTCAGGTTCTATTCCAAGTGTTCTGACACATGAATCACATTATTTTACTTACTGTAGCTATGTAGTGTATTTTAATATCTGATAGACCAATATTCTTTTCTAAAATATGTCTAGCTAGTCTCATACTTTTTAAGATGGGGGCCTGTGTTGTGTGGTAGTTGATTACTCAGGCTAAGCAATAGATTCTGATGACCTTAGTTTAAATCTCAATTCCCGCACTTACAGTCTAGAAAATCTAAGGACTCAGGGAAAATGGCTCCCATTGAAAACAAGTTTTGTTTCTGGATCTTTTATTTCTGTTCTGTTGATGGATTACTGTGCCAATTCCAGATAGTTATTATTCAGTGGATTTACCATATATTTCATAGTATGAAAGGGCATGCTTTTCCCTTATTGTATATAATGTAACTATATTTTTCAAAAAATTATTGGTGATTATCATTCATTGTTTTAAATTTCCAGAAGAAATTTAAAGTAAGCTTACTGGGTTAAGATACTGAGATTCTGATTTGAATTGCCTTGCGTTTGGGAAAAGATGGCATCTCTGCAGTACAACTTCTTTCCACTCAAAAACGTGGCATGTGCATCTATCCAGTTCTTGTTTTACATTCCTATAGTTTACACATTTTCGAGGAATTTTTATTCTTCCATTTACTCCTAAATTTCACTGGATTGTCTTGCTAGTTATTAAAGATCTATAGAAAAGCTATCTCTTTTTCTATGTTTGTTTAGAAAACTGTCACGTACTGATTTTATTTTTAAAAACTTTCTCTGTAGATGATCATTCCTGAAAATAATAACATTCTTTCCCCTTCCAGTGTTTATAACATGTCATTTAGAATCTTATTTTGACAAAATTTTCAAAGCCAAATATGGCTTTGAAAAACTATTTAATAAAATAGTAGCCACAATGGTGAAAACTCCCACCTTTTCTTTTGTATTTAAATGACACACTATACCTATTAGGATGACATTAGACACAAGTAATAGAATTCCCCATTAAAGACACTTACGTTATAAGTCTTCTGAGTCAGATTCTTAATAATTAACTTCATTTTTGCTGATTTTTTTGAAGATTTCAAGATGGCTTCTGGGTAATAAAGCAGGCATTACATTAAAATGTAACTTATAATGTCAAATTAATTTTCAGAGGGTTACATACCCACTAGTGATTTGTAAACATTCTTGTAGCTTCATATTTTAATTAACACTTGGTAATATCATACTTCATATCTTTGGAAACTTATGAAAAGGAAAATTCAAAATAAGATCATTTGAGTTTGAATATATTTCCATGTGCTTCCAAAAGCTTGACCAGTTGCTTTTCCTCTTCTCTAAATGTATGTTAATTGTTTCTTGCTCATTTTACTGATCAATGTTTATTCTTTCATTTTTAGTCTTTCTTTAAGAAAAGTCTATTCTAGCTCATTTTTTATATATATAGGGAATATTTTCTAACAATTTGTGCAAAAGTAATTTTCTACCATAACTACTTGTCTTTTCACTTTCCTAATGATGTCTTTAATAAACAGCTTTTCAGATATTTTCATATAGTTACATCATCAGTGTTATCTTTAATATTTCTTTGTATAAGAAATGTTTTCTCAGTCTGAGGTAATAAAACATCTAAAATTTTGCCTTTCACGTGTCTTTAATTCCTCTGAAACTAACTTTTGAGATTAATATAAGTAGGAATTCAATATTATTTTCCTTCATATGGATAAAGAATTCTCCCAGTTTCTTTTATTGCTATTTTGTATATGAATATATATATATATATATATATATATATTTAATTTCAACTTATATTTTAGATTCAAGGGGTGCATGTGTAGATAATGTTACCTGAGTATATTGTGTAATACTAAGATTTGGGGTATGATTGATCCTGTCACTCAGGTGGTGAGCATAGTACCCAATAGTTTCTCAACCCTTGCTCCCCTTTCTCTCCTCTCTTGTAGTCCCCAGTCTATTGTTCCCATCTTCAGGTCCATGAGTACCAATGCTTAGCTCCACTTATATGTGAAAATGTGATATTTTGTTTTCTGTTCCTGCATTAATTAGTTTAGGATAATGGCCTCCAGCTGCATCCATGTTATTTCAGAGGACAAGATTTCATTCTTTTTTGGCTGCATAGTATTCCACAGTATATATGTACCACATTTTCTTTATCCAATCCACTGTTGATGGGCATCTGGGATGATTCCATCTTTTTGCTGTTGTGAATAGTGTTGTGATGAACGTATGAGTACATATATCTTTTTGGTAGAACAATTTATTTTCTTTTGGGTATATACCCATTGGTGGGATTGCTGGATCAAATGGTAGCTCTGTTTTAAGTTTTTTGAGAAATCTCCAGATTGCTTTCCACAGTGGCTGAACTAATTTACATTTCCACCAACAGTGTATAAGTAGTGTTCCCTTTTCTCTGCAGCTTCACCAGCATCTGCTGTTTTTTGACTTTTTAATAATTGCCACTGTGATTGGTGTGACAAGGTATCTGATATGGTTTGGAACTGTGTCTCTACCCAAAATCTCATATTGAATTGTAATCCCCAGTGTTGGAGGTGGGGCCTGATGGGAGGTGATTGGATCATGGGGGTGGAGTTCTTATGAATGGTTTAGTACCATCACCCCTTGGTACGATATAGTAAGTGAGTTTTCAGAAGATCTGATTGTTAAAAGTATGTAGCACATACCTCTTCTCTTTCTTCCTCCTGCTCTGGCCATGTAAGACATGCCTGCTTCCCTTTCACCTTCTGCCATGATTGAAAGTTTCCTGAGGCTCCCCAGAAGCCATCATGCTTCTTGTACAGCTTATGGAACAATGAGCCAATTAAGCCTCTTTTTTTTTTATAAATTATCTAGTCTCAGGTATTTCTTTATAGCAGTGTGAGAACGAAGTAATACAGAGTCTCATTGTGGTTTTGATTTGCATTTCTCTGATCATGAGTGATGTGGAACATTATTTCATGTTTATTGGCTGCTTTATGTCTTCTTTTGAGAATTGCCTTTTTATGTCTTTTGCTCATTTTTAATTGCTTTTTGCTTATTTATTTAAGTTCCTTATAGATTCTATATATTAGACCTGTGTTGGATTCATTGATTGTAAATATTTTCTCTCATTCTATAGGTTATCTGTTTATGCTGTTGATAGTTTATTTTGCTGTGCAGAAGCTCTTTAGTTTAATTAGGTCCCAATATGAATTTTTATTTTTGTTGCAATTGGTTTTTAGGACTTAGTCATATATTCTCTCCCAATGCCAATGTCCAGAGGTTTTTTTTCCAGGATTCTTATAGTTTGAGATCTTACATTTAGATCTTTAATCCATTTTGTGTTAATTTTTATATATAATGAACAATAGGGGTCCAGTTTCATTCTTCTGCATATAGCTAGCCAGCTAGCCTAGCACCATTTATTGAATAGGGAGTTCTTTACCATGATTATTTTTGTCAACTTTGTCAAAGATCAGAGATCTGTAGGTATCTGGTTGTATTTCTGGGTTCTCTATTATGTTTCGTTGGTCTACGTGTCTGTTTTTGTATTAGTACCATGCTGTTTTGATTACTATAGCCTTGTAGTATAGTTTGAAATCAGGTAATATGATGCCTCTGGCTTTGTTCTTTTTGCTTGGAATTGCTTTGGCTATTTGGGCTCTTTTTTGGTTCCATATGAATTTTAGCATAGCTTTTTTCTATCTCTGTGAAAAAATGGAATTGTCACAGTTTTCACTGCAGAATAGTCTCTCACTTCTCCCAGTGATCTGAAATGTTACCTTTGTCATATACGACATTTCCATATCTATGGGTGGGGTTGCTTCTGGTTTCTCTGTTTCCCTCCATTGCTTAACTTGTTTGTCTCTGAGCCACTATACTGTCTTAATTACCATTGCTCTATAAAATTTATTATTTCTAATAGAGCAAGTTCTTTCAAATTGTTGATTTTTTTTGAATTTGTTAGCTGTCCTTGGCTTTATGTATTTCCTTTACATAAATGTTAAGATGAGCTTATTGAATTCTACAAATAATCTTATTGGTATTTTGATTCAAATTCATTTAATTTGTAGGTTAAATAAAGGATAAATCTCATCTTTACCACATTGATGTGTTGTATTCAAAAACACATCTATTTTTATGTTTTCTTTTATGTTCTTCAATAATATTTTTAATATTTTATTTTTATGTGACTACTATTAAATAAATTACTATGCATCTTATGTTTTCCTTGCTTTTTTTAATGAGATTTTTAAATTAAATGTTTCCAATAATCACTACTGCATAGGAATTATTCTAATGTTTATATGTTGATATTATTTCCAGTATCCTTGTAAACTTTAAATAATTTTTAAAGTTTTCATAAATTATTTTAGATTTCCATGTAAATAATCATATTATCTGTAAATAATTGTACTTTTGATATTTTTTCCAAAGTCTGTAAGTTTCCTTTTGACTTACTCCATTAACTAGGACCTCCATTACAATGCCAAATAGAAGTGGTGTCAGTGAACACCTGTGTATTAATAAGAATTTTAATGGGGCTTTTCTTACATTGTACCATTAACAATGATGTTTGTTGGGAGGTTTTGGTAGATATCCTTTAACAGGTTAAGGAAATGTCTTAGTCCATTTGAGATGCTATTATGACATGCCATAGACTGTGTGGCTTATGAAAAACAGAAATTTATTTCCCATAGTTCTGAAGGCTGGGGAGTCCAAAATCAAAGTGCCAGTGGATTCAGTGTCTACTGAGGACCATTTCTTGGTTTATATATGGCACCTCTGTCTGTGTCTTCACATGGTGGAAGAGGCTAGCTATCTCCCTCTGGTCTCTCTTTTTAAAAAAAATTTTTTTTTTTTAAATTTTTATTATTATTATTTTTTGAGATGGCGTCTTGCTCTGTTGCCCAGGCTGGAGTGCAATGGCTCAATCTCGGTGATTTTGACTCGTTGCAATATCTGCCTCCCGGGTTCAAGTGATTCTCCTGCCTCAGCCTCCTGAGTAGCTGGTACTACAGGCGCCTGCCACTACACCCAGGTAATTTTTATATTTTTAGTAGAGACGGGGTTTTACCATGTTAGTCAGGCTGGTCTCGACCTCAGGTGATCCACCCACTGTGGCCTCCCAAAGTGCTGGGATTACAGACGTCAGTCCCCGCACCCGGCCGGTCTCTCTTTTATAAGGACACTAATCCCATGATCTAGTGACTTCCCAATATCCCACTTCCCGATACCATCACTTTAGAGATTAGATTTCAACATATGAATTTTGAGAGGCTGGGGACAGGACACAAATATTCTAACCTTAGCCAGAAGTTTCTTTCTGTATTTATTTTGGTAGAAATATTTTTAAAAATATTTTACCATGAATATGTATTTGTAGCCAAAGCAGGTGGATCCCGAGGTCAAGAGATCGAGACTTTCCTGGCCAACATGGTGAAACCCCGTCTCTACCAAAAATACAAAAATTAGCCAGGCGTGGTGGCCGGCACCTGTAGTCCCAGCTACTGGGGAGGCTGAGGCAGGAGAATTGCTTGAATCCAGGACGGGGAGGCTGCAGTAAGCTGAGATCACGCCACTGCACTCCAGCTTGGCGATAGAGCGAGAATCTGTCTTAAAAAAATAAATAAAATAAAAAATAAAATAAAACAAATAACAAAAACATTTTTTTTGCATGTATTGATAGGATTATATACATCATCTGTTTAAATCTATTAATGTGATAATTTGCATTTATTTATTTTCTTATGTTAAACTATTATTGCTTTCCAAGGATAAGCTAAACTTTTTGATGGTGTACTTTTTTTTTATGCATTGCTGAATTTGGTTTTAAACTATTTAGTTAAGCAGTTTTTACATTTTTATTCATGGCTTAAATTAGCTTGTAATTCCTTTTTTTTCTTTTTTTTGTCCTTTTTTCATTTTAGTATCATGGTTATACTGCTTCTTTACCTAATTTGGGAATATTCTCTCTTTTCCCTCTTCATTAGAAAAGTAAAGAAATTGAAATGTCCTGTCATACGAAGTTCAAAAACACACCCATAAAGCTATCGGGAATTGGTGTTGACTGTGGAAATTTTTTTTTTATAATTTTAGAATTTTTCAATTAATTTAATCCGAGTTAATTTTAAGAAGACATTTAATTTTTCTGTTTTTAAAATTAACTCCCATCTTCAGTGCTCATCAGTTTCACTATAATTAGTCTAAGTGTAGATTTATTTTCATTTGTCCTACTGGCTAATCTCATAGATTAATATAATATCTAAATCTATGAATTTGTGATTTTTACTAATACTGGAACATTTTAAATTATTACCTCTTCAAATTGTGCCTGTCCTCAATTTTTCCTTTCTTTCTTCTGGGATTCCAACTAGAGATATGTTAATCTCTCATTCTATCCTCTATGTCTTCTGAAGTCTCCTTTTATGTTTCTCATCTGCTTTTCTCTCTGTGTTATATTCTGAGGATACTTTTTCAGTTCACTAATCCTTTTACAGGAATGTCTGATCTGCTTTTTGTCATCTGCTGTATTTTTAATTTTGACAATAATATTTCTTCTTTCTAAAATTACTAATCAGGTTCACTAATCCTTTTTTACAGCAATGTCTGATCTGCCATTTAAGTCATTTGTTGTATTTTAAATTTCAACAATAATATTTCTTGTTTCTAAAATTACTAATTTCAGGTTAACTAATCCTTTTTACAGCAATGTCTGATCTGCTATTTAAGTCATTTGTTATATTTTTAATTTCAACAATATTTCCTGTTTCTAAAATTACCAAACTACTGCTGCTTATTTTGAAATTGTCTTGGTCGTATTTTATTATAACTTGTTGCTTACTCATTCTTCCCATTGTTTCTATTTTTTATACATTTCATATATAATTATTTCATGCAACTGATAATTTCAATACCAGAAGTCCTCAAGGATCAATACCTGCTATGTACTCTTTTAAATTTCAGTCATGATAAGTTATTTTCCTGTGTGTGCCTCCATGTGTGTGTTTATTATGAGTTTTAATTTTTTGAACTCAATGTGTGGAAATTTTGAGGGCCTAAATTGGTGATGCTTTCCTCTGGAGAAGATTTGTATTAGCTTCTGCATATAGAACCAATGTGTGTGTATTTCCTGAGAGCACAATAGCCCTTTATGAAAATTAACTTGCCGTGTTCCAGAGACCTAAGACTTAATCTCCTAAAAGCAGAGCTAATACAGGTTGATTATCCTTTATTCAAAATGCTTGGCACCAAAAGTCTTTCAAATGACATGGTTTCTTAAAAATTATTTTGGCATATTTGCATATACATAATGAGGTATCTTGCAAAGGGGACCCAAGTCAAAACACAAAATCTATTTATGTTTTAGATATGTCTCATATACATAGCTTGAAAGTAATTTTATGCAATATTTTTAATAATTTTGTGCATGAAACAAAATTTGGGTACCTTGAAACATAAGAAAACAATGGTATCACTATCTCAGCCACTCATGTGGACAATCTGTTTGGCATCACCATCATTCCTGACTCAGAATGTATATGCTACTGATAAGCAATTATTTCTTACACTTATTCACACCTAAGTACTTAACAGTAAAAATATGAAATAACATTAATACAGTGAAAAAAATATGTTCAGGGTAGCTAAGCAGCATGGGAGCATCAGCAGAATACCTGCATCAGCTGTTAAATAGCATTTACAACAGACAATGGCAGGTTTCCACATACCATGTTGTGTTTGGATAAGAAGGTTACTGTACGCTGTGTTTTAGTTTTTTAGTTGAGAAGAAACACCAGAAGTAGTTGAGGCACCAGGAAGTGGGTCCTCTAGAGATGAGGAGGCATTTCACTGGACGGCTTTTAAAAATGTTTCCTCCAGAGTCATTGGCCTCATTAACAATAGTTTTTGTCTTAGAAGTCTGTCTTTGATATCCTAAGCTCATATGATTTCTTGTTCTGATATGAATGCACTATTCTCCACTCCTTCAATAAGCTCATCACACATTTTTACTATGTCATCTATAGGCACTTTTTCTGCAGTGTTAACAATCTTCATTGTTACTGTTATCACAGCCACCTTGATCCAGAATCATTTTAGCTATATGCATTGGTCAGCAAATGAACAACTAGAGCTTCATCATAGATGTTAAAATCTTCTTCGATATCCACCTCTCCCAGCTTACTGACAGACTCTGAAGGTACTGTATGTTTTTTTGCACAGATAAGGAGGTTCAGACATCTTTGTTTTTTCTCACTTGACATACTTAATCTTTCAGAGTCACTACCTTGTTTATCATCATGGAACACAGTCATGGGCCAGAAGTTGTGGCAGGTATACACAATTGTGTCTTTAGTCACTATGTTCCAAGTGTTGGCAACAGCACGTATGGCATCTTTCATGCTAAACTTTTGAAAATCTTCCGTATTCACGCCTTTGTTCACTACTGCTAGAATTCAAGAAAGTGTTTTTATATTTACTTTTCATTGATTTAGGGATACCCTGATCACATGGTTGAATTTAATGAGGTCACATTTGGAGAAAAGTACATGGCTTAAACATTATTTTGTTATGATAATTTCAGCTGAAGAATGAGCAGAACAGCTGTCAAGGAATAACAAAATCTTGTAGTTACAATCTAGTTCAGTTTCCTGGCAGTGAGCATGAGTCACTAGTACAAATGTCTATGAAGCCAATCCAAAAACATGTCTCTGGTGATCCATCACTTTTTGTTAGCATAGTAGTGGGCTAGTAAGAGATTTACTCCTTGAAAACAGTGAAGATGCAAGCTTTTGCTTATCACAACAGTTTAACTTAAGCATGTCTGCTGTATTAGCAAATCCCAGCACAGGTATTCTGTCCTAGGCACCCTTAATTCCTGTAGGGGCTGTCTCATCAGCCATAGTCAGTGTCTTTCTGGGGCAATAATGCCAAGACAGTGGTGTTTCATAAGCATTATAGACTTGTGCTGTTGTCAGATTTTCATCAGCTATGACCTTGGCAAATTTGCTAATTAATTTCCCCACCGCTTGGTGATCAGCAGTCACTTTATCATCACAAATCTTTAAAACTTAATGTCATGTGTTTCTTAAATTTCTGCAACCAGTCTGCTGAATATTCATAGTTCCCTTCAAATTTTAGTCCATTGTGATAGATCTTTGCTTGCTTGTTTTCATATAATTAAGTGGCATGTGTTCACTATGATGCTGATAGATCCACTCTTTTTTTTTTTTTTTTTGAGACAGAGTTTCACTCTTGTCACCCAGACTGCATTGCAATGGTGTGATCTCGGCTCACTGCAACCTCCACCTCCTGGGTTCAAGTGATTCTCCTGCTGCAGCCTCCCAAGTAGCTGGGATTACAGGCACCTGCCACCATGCCTGGCTAATTTTTGTATTTTTAGTAGAGACAGAGTTTCATCACGTTGGCCAGGCTCAAACTCCTGCCCTTATGTGATCCCCCCGCCTTGGCCTCCCAAAGTGCTGGATTACAGGCGTGAGCCACTGTGCCCGGCCCCAGATCGACTCTTTCAATACACAATTGAGATCTTCATTTTTAGCTTTATGCAGTGTTTTTCTATTTGTTATTAATTTCTCCTCATCACTTTCAGCATAGAACTTAGAAAGTTTATTCTTCTTTTTCTTCAGGTCATATATGGTATTCTTCCACAAGATGTTTCACACTCCACTGTCCAGTTTATCCCACAACTCAACATTTTATGCTATAAATAAACATAAATGATTCCTCTTATTACAGTTATCCATATGGATATATGCAGCCCTTTTTGACATTTTCAACCATATCTATATGCCACAGAGCAGACAATAAGCAAAAAAACAGAGTGAGTAATGCTTGTAGGTCTTGGCTCCATGTGAGGCACCATGAGGAACTTGCTGTTGGTGTGTCTGGCACGTACAGTTGCCATTTGATTACCTTTTATGGGTGTGCTTGGGTGGGGGAATCTGGGCCTCATGAAAAAGATACATTGTAGCTGAAGGGTGCTGGGAGGGTCTTTTTCCCCTTGGGGTTGCTGAATGAACTGTGTTGTGTGACTGCAGTTTGACTGCAACCCAGCATATGAGGTCACGTGTGGGATTTTCTAATTGCGACATCATGTGGGTGCTCAAAATGTATTACATTTTGGAGCATTTCAGATTTCAAATGTTCATATCACAGACACTCAACCTCATGGACTATCATTCACTGGGAAAACCAAGTTTTATTGTCTATATTTCCCTAATTTGCCTGCTATTTAGAGCTTTCTCCTATGGTTTTAGTAGACTTCTTTCCCTATGTATTTTGTTTATTTGTTTTAGTTTTTTATTTGATGTGATTTTTGGAGTTTTCTTCACTTTCTAGTTAGACCTACAATGCATTAAAATTTGTTGGAATTTGTGTTTTAGTGACTGATATTTTATCAAGAGGGTCCTTGAAACTGGCTTACCATCACATTTATAGAAGCAAAAGTTTGGTGATTGTTTTATTAGTTTTTTTGGCATAATTAGTTTTTATCCTTATTCTTTTTCATATATTAATAGAAGAATGGAATGCTTTAAAATTTTCACTGTATATAGCTTAGGTAATGTTTTATACTACATAAATTTTTCTTCATGATTTTGCCATTTAAATTATTTTTAACTTATTTACAATTGAAGCTTCCCATGCTTTGATTAAGTTATCTAGACCTTGAAGTTGTTTCTTAGCTCTGCTATGACTTATTTAGTGAAAGGCAAATATCCATGCCTATGCTAGATGATGAAACGGGATGCATAGCTCCTGCAGTCAGTGGGGTGGTGGGAGAAATTAAGGTCAGAATCCTGGAACAGATGGATTCTGGTTTGAGTCAGAGCCATGCAATCCAATTTTCCTTTCCCCTAAGAAAAGTGTTTCATTGATGCCAAGTTTAGAAGATTCACCTTGTATCACATTAAGGGGTTTATTGTAAAAAAATTAAATATGTAATTATCAGGTTATGGTTAATCACTTGCTTATTGAATTTACTTTTAAATATATTTAACTTTTATTTTTGGAGCCATAAACTGTTGAACCTTAAGAAATCTAGCATCTGCTCATTATTTTCTTTCACTGAAAAAGAGGCAAAGCCTTGTGAATGTAATGTATTTGAAATATGGTTAAAAACATCTGTTAAAATAAATGTCATCCATAATATATCATTGATACAGCATATACATTTTCAGAAAAAAAATGCTTATTAAAAAAAGGAAAAAGTTATTCCAGACAAAATAACAAATATTATTGTCACATGAAGCTTATCTTTAAAAACACGTAAGCCAACTTCTTTCTATTCCTCAGCTCTTGAATTTTGACTTTTCTCTATTTAGTTACAGGTCAAGTAGACAGCAATATGGTCATCATTTTCAAGCCTGTATAACAACAAATGGATTTTACTGCCAATTTTTTACCTTGGTTTTGAGGTCTAGTCAGAAGAGAAAGAACATGCATATCAATGAATATAATATGTGTATTTATACCTCTCTTTCTTCTCGTAGGTCCTGTGATCCCTGCCCCATGCCCTGTACATAGGCATTCAAAAATGTATTTGGCAATAATAAGTGGAAAACAAGAGAAAGCAGAAAGAATAAAGATGATGTTGAATTACTCTTTACTATTTAAAGCGAAAAAGCTGGATCCTTCAGAAAGTGTAAATATGTTTTTCCCTCCAATGAGAGACTGCCATTGGGTTGCCTCATCTCAGAAGTGCTATCATGCAGATAAGTGGTATAGTACAGTAGGACTGGAAGCCAGACTTCCCACCTCCAAATCTCAGCTTTGCCACATATAAACTTTGTGGCCATGGAGAAGTTACCTTAATTCTCCGTACTCCAGTTTTCTCTTCTGTAAAATAATATAATAGTACTCTTACCAGCTTATTTGGGGATTAAATTAGCTAAATACACTTTAAAAAACTTAGAATACTGCCTGTCACATAGTAAGCAATCAATAAATGTTAGAAATTTTACTATGGAGGTTTTATATTCAAGAAAATCATAATCAAAAAGAAACTTACAGATTCCTTGGTGTGGTAGTAGGGGTGGGGAGGGGAAATAGATGTTAATTTTTTTCTCCTTTTTTTCCCTGGCCTTTCATATGGCTAGCCTAGAGTATAACTATTAATTTATGATTATGCTGTTTGAAAGGGATAGTTTAATATAGTCTAAGTGTTTTTTTCTTTTGTACTTCTCCCACATTTCATAGAAGGAGAATACCAGGGCTTGTTCTGAGGGGTGTGATGATGTTTATTACCAGTACCTAAAATATGGTTTGTTTCAAGATATTTCTAAATGATAAGAAGAGTAAAATGTTTAGATTGCTTGTTTTTCTTACTCTTCATTTAAGTCACAATCTAGAGAACAGCTGTTTAGTGTTTCAAATCATTGCAGAAACAATAGCTAATTGCCTTGCTCTAAGATTGAAAATACAGTCAAGATGCCATCATTTTTTCTCCTTTGTTCATGGAGGGCTTTAGAAGCTACTTCTCCTTGAATATAGATGCAATCTCAGATATTTCAACATGACATTCTGAGAAGTCACTTCCAATTGGTCAGAATTGATATGTGAATTAAAACATATTTTCCATCTCTAGCTTAACCAATAACATGCACTTACATAGAAAATGAAGCATCATATATCTTATAGATTGTATCCTTAGTTCCCAAGTTATTAGGAAATATTTAATATTTAAAAATCTGAAAACTACATAAAGAATTCATTAAAATCTTGATTTTTTTCTAGCTTTAGTATTCTATGGCTTTTATATGGTAGGTCTGAAGTTCTGACTTTGTTACTACTATCTGTAATTATAGGTGCTTTTTTAGAGATCTGCTTGGGTTTCTTGTAGCCTCAGAAAGGAGGTTGGATTTACACAGTTTAGCACCTCTAGCTTTTCATGGCACCTGTCTACATAAAGGAGAGTATAGTTGCATGAGATGGTAAAATCAGCAGAGAAAACTCTCATGAAGCTGGTAGCATTCAAGCTGGGAGGGGAGCTGGCCCATGTTACAGTTCCCCCTGGATTGTGCTATGGAGAATGGAACAGCATACACAGATGAAAGCTGTGCATCAAAGGAGGACAGGGATTATCATCCAGACAGTGGTTTTTGATGAGTTCATAGGTCTTCAGGACCAAACTATATATTTAGTCTTAGTGATTTGCCAAGGCTCGTAAGAGTTAGTGAACTAACATTAGCTGAGGCCTTCTTGGAGATATAGGAGGATAAGCTTACAAAATCCACCCTGTGACCTCACCCTCTCCTCAGGCTTCTACCATGGACCTAGAGACGACAGGTGAGTATATTGGAGATTTGTGAGTCATAGGCTTTATACTTAGAGTTGGGAGTTCACCCCCACTTCAACTCCTCCCTTACCAAATTAAGAACAGTCACTCACCTGGATAATTATGCTACTTTAATTTATCTTATCCCTTTAAGATAAACTTGTTTAAAACATCAACTTATGGATTAGTAACATTTTGCCTTCTTTGACATTTCCTTCCCTGTGGAGCATTTTATAAGTCCTGCACTGGTAGCCAGTTTTACTTATCAATTATCTCAGTGTAGCTTTTAGTTTTAGGGTGTTATGTTATACATGTTGGAAACTGCATATTATAACCTTAGAAACTCTATTTCACTAAGTGACCTTCCAGGTGGTGAATCTCATACATGTCCTACCTCTTTTGAGAATGATTGTGACTCACTTTACCCAGTAGGATTTTTTCAATGCCATTGTGGCTAAATAAAATGTGGAGTAGTGGCAAGGTGCAGTGACTCATGCCTGTAATCCCAGCACTTTGAAAGGCTGAGGCAGGTGGATTATCTGAGGTCAGGAGTTCGAGACCAGCCTGGCTAACATGGTGAAACCCAGTTTCCACTAAAGATACAAAAAAATTAGCCGGGAGTGGTAGTGCACACCTGTAATCCCAGCTACGTGGGAGGCTGAGACAGGAGAATCACTTGAACCCGGGAGGCAGAGGTTGCAGTGAGCCGAGCCGAGATCACGCCACTGCACTCCAGTTTTGGCAACAAGAGCAAAACTCCATCTCAAAACAACAACAACAAAAATTTGGAATAGTAAAACCATAAAACCATACTTAACATACAGGTACTTGTTATTTAAAGAAATTGCATATGATACTTTATGCAAAACAAGTATTCTTTTTTATAAAGTGAGCATTCAGCCAATGTATTTATCTTGAGTTTAGATTTTTATATCTTAGGTTTTCTTAAACATAAACCATATTTGCCCTGATATAAAGAATTTCTGCAATTTTTTTCACCTGAGAGTTTTACTGCTCAGGTATTCTTAGCCCATGGTCACTTTAACCATGAAGTAAGTGTACATATTATATAATTTCCCTGAGCTTCATTCTTTATATCAGTAAACTAGAGATATTGCCAAAATACAGGTTTGTGTGAAGGCTCCATAAACAACAATTTGCCATACAAACATGGGATTTTTACCTAAACCACATGTATCAAAGTGTTGTTTTTGTCAACCCTACTGACCTAAGTACTATCAAACTGGGAGCAAAGTGGTGACTCTGTCTTTAATATTACAGAAATTATCTTTGTAAAATCAACTAGGTAGGTATTCTCTGAGCCCAGCATGACTGCAAGGCAATTTGAGACATTTGGGGAGTCAACTCCTTTTTTAAGCAAAAATGCCTGTGTTTATTATAGTAAGAAATTTTCACACGTAGGATGGTCAGATAAATAATACTTACAGCTACCCAACTGGACCAACTGTAGACACTCACTTGGCATCCCATGAGACTCTTTAAGTCCTTCATGAGAGAATTCAGAATCTTCATTATAATAGTCATCCACATAATAGAGAAGTATGGAGAAGTCCACAGATGGACAAGACATGGGACTGGAAATATCTTACTGAGAGCTATGGTGCTCCTGTTTAGAATACCTCACTCTGGGTCACCCACCTCCTGTCTTACCTATGTAGCCCCATCAATAGCATCAGTGCCTGCTTACTTGCTAAATAAGATTACATGGTTCTGAGGTTTCCTCTGACAAATGGAGAAAAGGGAGGAGAATAAAGGATTCTGTATTGTTTCATGATTTTGAAATGGGGTCATGAAGTCAGAGTCCATACCTAGATGATGCCACCATGGCAGACTATGGGTGAAGTTCCAGCAATGTTGCTTCATACACAAGGCTAAGAAACTTGAAGGAAAACCCAACCCATATTTAAGGGGGTACAAAAATTTAACTTGAGGAATTTTTAGTGCTAAGGATAAAAACTATTTCATTACATGTCTGGTTCTCTCCTCAGACAACTCACTGGAATTTTCAGGAGTGTCTGTCTTGTTTGAATCTGTACTTTCAGTGTCTAGTACAGTACCTGATAGAAATGAGTTTGTAACATATTCATGCTGAGTGAATGAAATGGATTTTGAAGATTTTAGACAAAGATTTTAGACATTTCTTCATCAAATGGCATTTTGATCTAGCTCTCAAGATAAAGAGACAGAAAGAGAGGAAGGGAAGAGAGAAGAAGAAGCGGGAGGTGAAGGGGAGAGAGAAATTGATTAATGTAGACATTGATGTTAAGGTGTAAATGAAGTAAAATACCCTAAAAGATTATCTTTTCCCCGAGGTATTTTAATAGAGTATAGAATTATAAACTGGAGAAACATGCCCATAATACTGGTGAGAGAGACCATCCTTTTCAATGGGCAAAGACGTAGCAGGACAAAAAGCGTCTCCTCCATCCCGCTCTAAGAATTTTGCATTCATTCGTAAATGCCTGTTTTGCTTCTATTTAAGTCACACAACGAATCTGTGTTCTCCAGTTACTGCCTTGCTCTTTAGTTTGATAAGAAAAGCAACATTTTTTCTTTCACATCATTTCCTAGTTACTTTAGCTTAATCGAATCTTCTATCTAATAATTCTAGGACTCCGCTACTCAAAATGTGTTTCTCATCTTGAAATGAAAAAAAAAAAAAAGATGTCTCAGCTCAAAGACTGGGCTTGATGAAGCCTGCTGGGTATGAGAGTGAAAAGAGAAAAGAACATACAAACCAGAACATGAAAGATTCTCATAAGTCCCTCTGAGAAATGCAGGAGTCATACGCCCAATTGCAAAATCAACACCATCGTTTAATATGCAGTAGGATGATAACACAAAGTACAAGCCTAGCCAAAAACCACAAGCCCTGGAACAGGTTCAAACCAAGCACAGACAGGAAACCACCCACCCAGGCACAGAGAGGTTAGGTGCTCCCGAGCAAAAGACAAATGGGCAAATGTGCCAATGACTGAGAGTCAACTCTCCTTGGTGAGTGCCTCAGAACTTAGGAAAAGAGTAAGTATATCCAAACATTTTAGAAAAAACTGGAAGTTGTAAAACGCATTGCAACTTAGAAATTTAAAATAATCTCAATATTTTATCATTTTCAAGAAATACAAATCTATTAATAGTTTTAGTCATTTATTTGACTATATTGCTGGAAACATGTACCAGTAAAACATTTTCTAGTGTGGGTTATAGATTAATAATTTAGACCTATTTTTCACTTAAACATGGGAAAGTTTTAGTGAAGGTGTTACTATTGTCCTGTAAAACCCACATTTTAATGGAGCTTTATGATATATCCTTGGATGATATAAATTGATTTTCTTACTGCTATTACTTTACTATCACTATTATTACAGCTTCTCCTAGATAACATTAATAAAACACTTAACAAATGCCAGGCACTGTTCAAAACAGTTGACATATGTTAATTGCAATTTATCCAGTAACAACTCTACAAGTTAGTGTTATTATTATCCACAATTTTTAGAAGAGGAAATTGAATCACAGAGAGATAAAGCTATTCTGTTTAGAAGTGGCCCAGTCAGAATTACTACAATAACATGGACTGGTAATTATAGCAAAATTAACAGTTTTTTTAAATGAGAAAACTCTTTTCCTGAAAACTTTGTTAGATCTAGGAAGTAGTTATAAAACATTTATTCACACATTCAAACATGTGTAAAGGGTTTACTATGTGCCAGGCATTGAGCTAGGGACTGGAGACAACAAGTTGACAGGCATCTGTATCTGTCCTCATCTAAAGATGTATATATAATGGGCCAGATGCTATAGGCCCAGAATCCCAGCACTTTGGGAAGCCAAGGTGGGCAGATTACTTGACCTCAGGAGTTGAAGACCAGCCTGGGAAACATGGCAAAGCCCTGTCTCTACAAGAAAATACAAAAATTTGCCAGGCGTGACACTACAGTGGCACACACCTGTGGTCCCAGCTACTTGGGAGGTTGAGCTGGAAGGATTGCCTGAGCCTGGGAGGTGGAGATCGCAGTGAGCAGAGATTGTGCCACTGCCTTTTAGCTTGGGCAATAGAGACATTGTCTTAAAAAAAAAAAAAAAAGATGTGTAATGATGAATGTTCTAGCTCTATTTGCACATCCTTAAACAGCTGCTACTCTGATGACTCTAGGATATAGGGCTGACCAGCGGTTTCCTCCTGGCCATATTAGCTGTTCTATTGACAGGTTCAGCTGGGCTGCTTTCCCTGTACTTTGCTTGTTCCTACACCTGTAGGAATGCAGAGTGCCTCTGCAGAAAAGTTCCCCTTCCTTGCCTTTTGTTAGCAGATCCATTTTAGCCAGCTGTTCCTTGATGCCAAGCAGTAGAAATCTGTCCAGTTTGACTCAGATGAACAGTTCCTTTAAGGATGTGCTGGTAGATTCGGAATTTCTTTGTGCCTCTTAAATGGGAAGGGAAAGAATATCTGTTCCTCTTGTCACTCAGTGCAGCCTGGGAAGGGGCACAGAGGTCAATTGACAAGATACCTTTCTAATCAGGAATATTCTAAGCCTCTTATCTAAACCAAAGAAGACCCAGGTAATCCAACAGAAAGTTTTGTGTTGAATCTCTACTTCACTTCCCTTTATCTTCGGTGCTATACAGAGTGCCACGTTTTGTTCCTCAGTCCAGGGTTCTTGGAAAGTAAGGATAAGTTTTCAATTCTAAACTACCGAGTCCACATATCACAACGTAATATAGAATGTACTTACGTATTGTCTTGGGTCAGTTTCCTCCAGATAAACATTTGAGGGTAATTAGTTTATTTGGGAAGTTTATCACCTTTCTATTGACACAATAATGCTGAGTAACAAGCAACCCTTTCTCTACACTGGCTTTACAACAATAAGCATTTATTTAGTTCAGAAGTTTGTGGCATTCAGCTGATTTGTGCAAGCTCAGCTGATCTTGGCTGGACTCCCTCTCTGTCTGGGGGTCAGTTAGCCGTGAGTTGATCTGGGAAGGCCTCAGATGCAATAACTGGGGTGCCTTTGCTTTGTTCCATGTGTTTCTCACCCTCCTCAGGAACAGCGCATGTCTCTCTCATGAAGATGACAGAGGACAAAAGCAAGCAGAAATATACAAGTATGTCTTAAAGTCTCTGATTTTGTCATGTCTGCTATCACCCCAGAAAAGTCACAAAGTCCAAGAAGCAGATGCCAAGACTGCCAAGATTAGACAAAACATATTAGGATTTAGCTACAGAAAATGGCTATGAGAGATTATTGGAAGGGATCCTGGAAAGGCTGGGATAGCCATGAGACCAAGATGCAGGTCTAACTCTGACTGAATGAGAGAGGGAAGGAAAGTTGTTTGGAAGCATACCTGACTGTCCTGCAATCTAACAATGCTTTGGCAAGACTATTGAGGAGTCCTCGAGCCAAATTTGGCTGTCAGAGGAATCCTGTGTCTCCCAAGAATGGACAGTCATAGGCTGTGGTGGTCTGTAGGAAGCATGGTCTCAGTACAGATGCAGTGATGAATTTTAGATAGCAGCTAGGAGCAAAAGCCTTTGGCCAATTATGCTTCATATAGTTGTTGGAGGCCTATGAAGAGCATTCTATGTAAGTTCATCCTAGACTCAAAAGGTGAGTAAATATATTTTGCCACTTTAGTGGGGTCACACAGCAAAGTATATTAATATGGGGATAGGTAAAGAAGTAAGATTATTGATACAATCAGTCTACTATACAAGGTAAAGGCAATGCCAGCAGAAGAATGGGGCGAGGAAAGAAACCCACTAATAAAAAGTTCATCACCAAAGTAGCTACCATTGTGGGAGACCAGAGTTTAAACCATTGGCAAAATTCTACGAGCCAGTATAAAACACCCCTTGCAAAGGGAGCCCACCCAAGGGGCAAAGAAGATGATGGGTATTCGTCGTTACATTTGGATGAAATTTATATAGACATACAAGAATAATAAAAGATAAATGTCTAGGAAGATAAGGGAACATATAATGGAGGGTGTTGACAGCTAGGATAAGTTTCTAGTTTATTAACCAGTAGTGAGAAGCATGTAAACATTTTAAACATAATCAGGGTTTATATAACGTAAAGATTGATTTGACAGTGGAGTGAGAATGAATTGTATTCGGAAGACATAAGAGGATAGGAAACCAGTTATGAGCTCATTACAAAAGCCTTACAGAGCTATAAGAAGTTATGAGAGTTAAAGCTTGAGTATTATCAATGGAAAGAGATAAGGGTGGATTTCACGGACATCAAAGGGAAAGACATCGTGAATACTTGTGGGTGGCAGGAACCAGGAAAGTCAAAGATGTTTGGAAATGTGCCAGCCTGTGTGCATGAAGGAATGAAGGGGCTTAGGACAGAAATTGTAAAATTAGGAGAGCAAAATAATAAAAAATTATTCTTGGTAGAGGAAGACTAGTAATATTGGTTTGGTTTTGCTCTTGTTGGGTTGACATGCTGAGAGAACTTGGCAGTTAGAGATTTTTGCAGGAGCTAGGCACATAAAACTACAGCTCAATTGAGCATCAGACTTAAAAATGTAGAGTTAGAAATCGTTTCAATGAGACCAATAGCTGTGGCCAGGCATGAAACAGGGAAGAAGAGATATGGAAGTGTCTTCACAGTTTTGCAGGCCATAAAGACACGTCCTATATGTGACTCATAAGAGAAGAGATGACTTCCCTTTTGCTCAAAGCCAGCCCAGCACTTTCTCCCATATAAAACTAGCCAAAGCACTGAACTCAAGCAGCTCACCACAGAAGGCTGGGGATGAACAGATGAACTTGAGGGATTTGTTCTCTCTTTTATTGAAGTCTCTATTAATTCCTGACCCTGGTTGTTTTGCAGTTTTTATTCAGTTGTGTCTGTGTTTTTGTCTGCATCTTCTCTTATCTCGGTCATTTTCAGGGATTTGCGTACTCTATTATGAATTTCTCTTTGAGAAATAATACCTGTGAGAATGCTGCTCCTTCAATTAGGTTCAGGATTGGAGGAAAAATCATATAAAATAGGTAAGTAAGACTGAGATAAATTCTTCAAGGTAAGTGTTATTTGCACCTAAACCCAATTTGAGACTATAAACCAAATAAAAATGCCAGTGGAAATTCCCTGATTTCTTCCAGAGAGGTTTAAATAGGACCAGCGCAACAGTGGTCTTCTGAAAGCTGGTTGATGGAAGATGTTATAATTATTTACAGTGTGAGAGGTAGCTCACTTCAAGGTCCCTAACAAAAATTATTTGCAGCTTCCCATCTTTCCTGCATGCTTGGAAATCCTCCTCCTGCCCATATACAGAGGATCTCCTGCCACATGAAATAACTCTTTATTAAACTCAGCCACAGACAGAATAGACCCTACTCAAGTCCACAATTATGTGTTCTCTTCCACTGAATGACATTTCATCTTTGATTCATATTGTGCTATGTGTCAGCTTCCTTCCCAAACAATTATGTGCTTATTAATAATTATAACAGTAACTCCTCAATATTAAGTATATCTTATTGCCAAACCCTGTACTAAGCATTCTACCTATATTACTTCATTTTCATAATTAAAATGACCCTATGAGGTAGATATTGCTATCTCCATTTTATAATGAAGAAACAGATTTAGTTACATTAATAACTTGCCAAAAGCCATGTGAATAACAAGAGGCAATACTGAGATTTGAACCCATAGCTTCCCATGTATTTAAATAAGATAATATGTAAACATGCACATATAATATCTTTGAAGCCACTTGGCATATTTCCTAGGTAATTAAGCCTGGGTATGAGCTATTATACTTGCTTGATATTTTATTTTTAAATGACCTTTCAAACTTGCAGCTCCTGGCTTTTCGGTAAATAACTACAGATGGTGCTGGTTGGTATCCGTCCTCATTTGATCAGTTTTTCTTTTTAATGGTATCTCATGTACCCGTGATAATCATTACCCCAGGTACATGTGAAACAGTAAAGTAACAAAGATAAGAATAGTATTGCATCATAGGCATAGGAACTACTGCCTCTGAGGCTGTGTTATTTCTGTTTATGTAAGGTAGGAAGGATCTGCCTTTTGCCTTACCAAACTTCACTGCATAAGTGGACATTGACTAAAAACTGTTATAACTCTGCACGGACAGGCAATATGAACAAAAGGCCAGAGAGAGATGTAATCTCAAAGTGTGCTGGTCACCAAGAGGGGTCTGAACAGGATACTACTCTCCTGATGAAAGTACCACAGTCTAGGGCCTGGCCTTTGGCTGTATTGCCTTAGGAATCAGGATACATAAACATAATGGAAATGGATCTGGTTCTTAGAATAGATTTAGTTAACCTAAAAAAAATTATAAAATCAGGGTGCAAATTTTATTGTATTTCTTAATAATGCTGAATTGCAATTTTTTAAGCATTTCAACATTATTAAAATGAAGACGCTTCTTACAATGGAGAAATTCATTTAATGTGGTGGTGCTTCTTTTTCTTTAAGGTTCTTTTAAAATACATGGGTTTGGTGCAGTGGCTCACACCTGTAATCTCAGCATTTTCGGAGGCCGAGGTGGGCAGATCACCTGAGGTCAGGAGTTCGAGACCAGCCTGACCAAAATGGTGAAAACCCGTCTCTAGTGAAAATACAAAATATTAGCGGGGTGTGGTGGCATGCACCTGTAATTCCAGCTACTCAAGAGGCTGAGGGAGGAGAATCGCTTTAACCCAGGAGATGGAGGTTGCACTGAGCCAAGATCGCACCATTGCACTCCAGCCTGGGTGACAGAAACAAGACTGTCTTGAGAAAAAAAAAAAATACATGGTTACATACCATAACCAGCATCTCAACATTGAGAAAAGGCAGCAATTAAAATGTGAAATATAATCCCCAAAAGACTAGGATCCTTTGCCTAGTATATTCTCTCCCAGTAGGCAAGGTACCCAGGAAATAAATTTATAATCAGAAGGTTGCCAGGTGAACATGAAATCCAATCAGAGAGAGTTAGTTCTTTGATATAAATGTTTTTTAAAAATTGTACATTTAAAACACCCATCTCTAAATCAGAAGGTAAGCAACACTAGTTCCTTGGAGGGCACTTGATGACCTTCACAGATAGGGTGGACTAGCTCTGAGCATCTATTCTTACCTCCTTCTAGTGGGCATTTCTGCCCTACAGAGTTTGGAAAGGTAAGAATTAGTTCCCATTCTGTATAACTAGGGGTCTGGAGGTGAAGTAGATTCTTCCAGTGTGTTCATTTGTGCAACATTTGGGAGACATAGGAGGCTAAGGCCATTTTTGTTTTCTGATGCTTTTTTCTGTGCTGTTTTCTGCTAGTAACAGAGTTCCAGCATCCAGTCTCCTGCTTTGAAATCTATTTGCAGTAGTGGCAGCTTTTTGACTCCTTCATCACAGCTCTAGTGGCATGTCCTTGAATGAAAGAGTTTTGGTAGCAGTTTCAATTTCCAGTACTGATCCTTGACTGATACAATGATTTCCTCCCTCTGATAGTCATGTTCTTTTTTTGTTGTTGCTATGTTAATGTATCCTGTCAAGTTACAATCAGCTTTTGACAACCTGGGAACCATTTGTTTCTTTAGGATATTTATGTACTTTTCTGCCTTATGACGTCTTGATTCTACATTTGCTCTTGGAGAACAATATTGTTTCCAAGCTTAAGGAAGCATTTAATTTTTGCCTCCTTTACAGTCTATAGAAAAAAGTAAAATGTGTACTGAGAAGATGTTTCAACACATGTTAACAGGTGTAGAAATCACAAGTAAGTGATGGGGAACATCACCACAAATGTGAAAGTACATTACACAATAATGCTATTACAAGTCATTTTATAATTGTTAGAATGTATGCTCCTCCATACTCTACAAGTTAAATTGCATTGGACCAGATCTTCTGCCTGTGAAACAGTCACTTTATTTTCTCTTTGGAGAACAACCTCAACAAGTCATCAGGACTGTGTAGAGAAGCTTAGCCATTTTATGCAAGTCACAGCTAATACAGGGTGAGGCCATGAAGAATGATGCTTGTTTTTTCACATGGCCAAAGAATCTATAATTTGGAAAGCTTAATATTTCACATAGTCTTCTTTCATCTTCCAAACTCAAGGTAATATCAGAAATGATATTTCCTCGCAAAAATCATAAGATGTGACTGCCTCCTCCTTTCCTCAAAGCCGTCAGACTGATCTGAGGTAAAACTGTTTTGGACTTAACCCAGCATTTGGTATATCATCTAATGTTCAACAGGAAGTAATCCACTGACCAACTAACCATCGGCTTCTTCTCAGGAACCAATAATTATTTCTATATTTTAAAAATAGCTAAGATACATTTATGCCTATGACACAACAATCCTGTTCCTTCTTACCACCAATTGCAGCTCCTCGTCTTTATCTGCTCATTATATTCAACTGTGTCTAAATTAGCAAACCTAGGCTACAATCCTTTCGTTCAACAGAACAGGTAACTTTAGCTCACACTGACAAATGCAGGCTTTGCTTGCTTAGAAATACTTTTTTCTAAGGTAGTTTCTAAGAAAAGAAGAGAAGAGGAAATACTGGAAGCTCAAAATTAGGTCTGGCCCACCAGGCATTCACCTATTTTAAAATATTATACTATAATTTTGTTGTGGTTAGGAAAGAACCAAGGGCCTTTGTATAGGAGAGAGAAGTGTGGATTCAATGAGGTCATCTTGACAGGATGTGTCCCCAGTTCCCTTTAGTGACTCATTGTAAATTAATTTTCCATCAGTATATTTAAACTGTACTTTGACTTCATTTTGTTCTCACTTTGTGCAGTATGTTAGGATGTTTATTGCTACATAAACTTTGTGGTTATTGTGGTTCTCAAGTTATCTCTTTAAAATCCCACGAGTCCTGGAACTCACTAAGCAAGACTGTCACCATTCTTTAAGAAGCAGAAGATGATAGTTGAAAAATAAAAACAAGAATGTAGGTTAAAAAAGCAGAGGAGAGAGTAAAATGAGAAAATAAAAGAAAACATTTCTTTTTTCCTTTGTCATTCTATTCTCTGTCTTTGAGTGCTTATCTTCTACTGTCTTCAGTTTATACAATTAGGTTGTCTTCTGTTTTTTCTGCGTTATTGTCTATTTCGTTTTGAAGCCAGGGGTCATTGATGAGTAATGCATCATTGGCACCTTGTGCCGTCAGGTAGAACAGAAAATAGGAGCCGTGTTTCTCCATTCATCTTTGGGCTTTTACACTGCATAGGATGCTGGCCTCAGAAATAACAACCACTGGTGCCTCACCATTATTAAAACAGTATATATTTGTATAAGCTTATTGTTTTCCAGAAGCTTTCATTGTAAGTTCCACCCTTGGTAGTGTCTCTCCACTTGCCTTTGTTCTGTTCTTTACACTGGAGGAATTCACTCTTTTCACATCACAAGTTTTCCAGTATTTGAAAAACTTATCAAGTCTTCCATAGGCCCTTTACCCTCAAGCTAAGACTCTCATTTGGCATGCATTTAAACTCTTCATTACACAGGTCATTTTTTTCTAGTTGGTCAAAATCCTTAAAATGTAGCACAGAGAACTGCAAAGACTCCTCTTGACTCTTACCTCCCTTGATCCAGAAAAGGTACTTAAAAAAATCATAAGTTAATATTCCGTGTCTTTTCACACTTTTAACATATATTGAACCTGAGGCCAACTAAAATTTCCATATCTTTTTTATAAGCCAGGTTGCTACCATATTTTGCATATTTTTGTTTTCACCTTACATGAAGGACTTTATTTTTTTTTAACTTTCAACTTGTTTGTTTTAACCCCCAACTCCTGGTTGTTAAAAACAATTTTGAATCTTGAGTTTGTCAGTTTATTGAGCTACACCCTTAATTTTGATAACAACATTTTCCAATGACCTTGAAGATGAGAACATTGCAGCTATAGAATGTGGTCCTTTGTAGCTGTTCAATACAATTAAATTGAACATTAACAGGTTGGAGCTCTCTGTGAAGCCATGATAGAGAATTATCCATGAAAGAGCATCTTATTACTACAACTACTATTATTATCTCTTCAGCTTCATGTTTCACCACTCCTACCCTCCTTTCCCTTCAGTTTTCTGGGTTCCAGCCACCATGGCTTCCCTCACTTCTTCAAACATGCCAGGCTCCCTCCTGTCCAGTCCCCTACGCAGTCTTCTCCCCTTCATCTCCCTATTTCCTCTGTTTGCCTAGAGAACTTAGACCCTGCCTTCAGCCTCAGCACTCTCTGATCCCCAAGATTAGGACCGTTCCATCTTGCCTCTACTTTTGTGATTATTTTATTAATATTTGCCTCCCCTGATAGTGGAAGTAGTAGTTTATTTTGCTTACTACTGTACCTTTTGTGCCTGACGCAGTGTTTGACACAGAACAATGCACCATTACTATTTTAAATGCTTTGGCTCATAAACTTCTGTCATGTCATGTCACATCATGCCAGTAGGTGACACCAAAATGCATATTATCTGTGACGAAGCCCCTGAACTACAGCTGTGTTTTCATCTCAGCATAGTCTGAAGCCCAAGAGCAGTTCAGAAAGTCTGTTTCTCAGTTTTTTAGGAGTGGAAAAAGTTTGGGAATTCAATATATGCTTATATTTATATTCAAATAAATATTACCTAGCTGTGAGTAATCTTCCAAGTGCATTATTAATAATTTAAAAATTTGATATTCACAAATTAAAATATTACCCTTCTAAAATTTGAGGGTCCTAATTTAATATTCTGCTAAGAAATCCCACTGTCAAGCAATGCTTAGCAAGAACTTTTAACGCACACTTAGATTGTTGGGATTGCCCGAATTTTCAGAGAAGATTCTCTAACCTTGTTATAATTTTAGGATTGTTTTAAGCTAGCTATGGTTTTCAGTTGCTCCTATTTTTGCATTATTTAATTTATGTATAGAATTATTCCTAGGTTACACTTTTCCTGATGGCTTTGTTCCTGCGTAATTGCTGAAATGCTGCTATTATAATTATTCCTCCCTAATTGTTCCCATCACAAAGCTTTCTTCAATGCTAGAATCAGTGAAGTAGACCATATTTTCTTTTGTTTTCCTTTCGGCTCAGTGAATCCTGATCAGAGAAAGTTTGAGAAATGCTGCTTTTGAGCAGTGTTTAGAGAGAAGTGCAAATGTCTGTGTAGGGAGCTGGGGGTTGGGGGTTCTGTAGGAGAGAAGTTTTGGGAACCTAGGTAGAAATTGAAAGTAGGAAAGACCTTGAATTTCTAAAGTTTAATCTTAGTTGTTCAAAATTTGCATTTTATTCTAGAATCAACCAAACACCTGTTATGTTCCCATTTTTTTTTTTTAAGACAGGTTTATTTTCCATTGTGTATCACTGGGTAAAGTAGATGGTTCCTAGCGTGGGCCATTTCATCCTGTAGCTTATTCCCCGGGCTGAGCACTTCCAAGTATCTCTGTTTCCTTCTATATTGCACAAGTATGAAGATGAAACTGTCAGTGGATAAGCATGATTATGTGAAAAACTTTATCTAAAGCACACTGTTAGCCTTTCTTTTATTTTTCAATAAAATGATTGTTATATTTCAAAAGTTCTGAAGTTTAGAATTTTAAAAATATAAGACTACTTATAAGACTCCAATCATAATTTGTCATAGAATTTACCAGAAAAGTTTCTCTATCTATTCTATCTTCCTTTCTTCGATGACTTTATTTTGATGACTCTGATATATGAATGTAACAGTTTCTGATTAGTATGATAACTTCTGGAAGAAAGGAAAACCTGAACAAATTCAATTTATGGATAATTGCCAAGTCTTGTTTACTATATTTCTAACTCTTCTTTGAACAAACATTTTACAAGGCTTTAAGGGCATTTGGCAACTGTCATTCATTTATTATCTCCTTTATTCAGTCATCCTGTTTTCACTCAGATTTTTTACACACTAATCATACACAAGACAATGCTGTACATGCTGTGAATAATAAATATATGGATGACACAATCCCTGTATACTGTGAGCTTATAATACAATATTAATAAATGCAGGTCCTTGTTATGTTACTTTAATTCTTCCACTTATATTTTTCTCTTCCTTCCTAAGCTTGTTTGTTTGAAACTTTGACAAGCAGCTAACTTCTACCAATAAAGTTTAGAGAAGGTAATGCAGTCATGATTTGGGATTGAGGGTTTTGGGACAGAAACAACAGTGAACTTTTTTCTCCATGAAATAGGAAAATATATTAAAAATAGAAAACATCATCTGGCTGAATAAAGATAAACAGAATAGTAATGACTAACATTTCTAATCATCTTGCATATATTAGCTTGTTTGCTTCGTAGTAATAATTCATAATGGGTACTATTGTTTCTAATAATTTGTAAATGAGGAAACAGGCATGTGTGATAAAGATTGAAAATAAATGCCATGAACTGAGAAAAAAAAATGTCAGATTATCATGATTGTTCTTTTCTTGGAGTCACTGTTGAAAATGTCTTGATAGTAGGCCTGCAAGTCCTATTGGGTCTTTGGTAACTGCATCATTTAGAAGAAGTACAGTATAAGGGAATTTGAATTACCGTAAATAATATTACAGAATTCATGAATTTACTTTCATGTTAGTCCTATTAAGGGCAGTCTCTGAAGTCACGTGAATTGAAATGTACTTAGGAGGAAGACATCAAGTCTTAAGGAATGAAGTTTCAATTCCTTATCTTAAGTCAACACTAAATAGAGTTCAATGAAAGAATCCTCATGAAACTTGGCCTAACATTTGAAAGAGATATTCTTAAACCAAGAAGTATTGTGTTAAGCACAAAGAAAGAGAGATGAAACACATAATTTTCATAAAGGAAATTACTTCTAGGATTCCTCCTTTTCATGTATGCTACTATCTCATTAGCTACTGCAGACCAGCTTTCGAGAAAAATATAAAAGCAAATATATGTCAGCATGATAAGAATAAAAGAGGAGAGTAACATTTTTGAGATTAAGGGTAAAAAATTCAATCAGAAAACTGGGGGGAAATTTTGACATTAGTCTTCAGGTATCATGGCCATACCCATGATTACTATGGCAACAGGTAGCAAAACAGTGATATAGCCTTCCAGTTTGAGTGCCAAGTTTAGAAGACCAGTCACACCCTGCACAGCTCAACAGGCTGTCTCTATATCTCTCCTTTTTCTGCTAAGTGGCTGTTGAAAGACCAAAACCACAGAGACGCTCATTGGCCTCAGCAACTATATTAATTAAATAATTCAAACATGTATTTATTCTTTCATTTATTCAGCAAATATTTAGAGTCTAGCTACCTAGAAACCCTTCCCCTTGGGGCAAAGCCAGTTCTTAGAGAAAGCTTGATACACTGGGGCAAAGCCAGTTCTTAGAGAAAGCTTGATACACTACTTAATCTGTTTTTCCCTTAAAGAGGCTGGCTACAAAATAATAATGCTTCTTTTTATGTTTCTTAAAAAAAAAGCTGATGAACTTTTAGGAGCATCAGTAGGTTATCTGGTCAAAACAAATGACTTGCAAGCATATTTTTTTTGGCACCCCTAAGACTACTGAAAGTTAGGCTCCTGCAGGAATCTGCTGAAATCATTAGTAATGACTTTGCAATTCAGGCTTCATTTAATCTCTCTGAGGACGATTTTTCTTAGCTTGATAAAGTTTGTAGATTTAGTCTTTAATGCTAATGACAAAAAGAGCTTAAATGCCCAAGAGCAGAAATGAAACAAACAAATAAGAGAAACAATAAAATGGAGTGGAGATAAGTAAAATGAAAGACAATTTTTGAAAATCAGTTGTATATCAGGCATGTTACGTACATTATTTTATGCAGTTCTTTCAATAAATGTAATAGGTAGGTAGTGTATCACCCTCATTTTACAGATGAGACACATGCTCAGCAGGGAGCCCAAGGTCACGCCCCTTGTCTTGGGTTGGGCAGACCAGGATTCTAATCAAATCCATCTTGCCCCCAAATTCAGGTTCCTTTCACCACACATAAGTAGAGACCCTTGCTTTTATTGAACAATGGTTGTTAACACATCACTTAAGTAGAGTCTTCTAGAATTTTAGTCAATTTAATATCTATTAAATTTCACTCAAAATAAGGCACACTTAAGATCATCAACAAATTATTGAGACTGAAAGGATATTGGTTAATGGCAGAATGTATGAAGTTCACAATCTATTACTATGATAAGGCAGCTGCCTATTTACTCACTTGTACATAGGCTTTTTTCAGATAATTGCAACTGTAATAAGGAAATTATTCTTTAAACGAGTGCATTAAGGTTATCTAGAAGGAAAGTTTTAATATTATGCATAAATACAAGATACCTAGAAAAAATGAAGAATTTGTGGCCCAGAAAGGATTATTGGGCTACCCATTTATTGATTTATTCACTTACAAATTCAAGGATATTTTTAAATTGAAAATTATGTGCTAGGAATTTTTCTAGATGCTGAAGCCCATGCCAGGGTAATTAAGATTCAGCCCTTCCACTTACCTAATATGTTCAAAACAGTCTACAAATGCCTTCTCTACACCTAAAACTGTTTTAGGCATTTGGCATGCCTTAATGAATCAACAGACAAAGATATATGTTCTCATGAAACTTATATTGTACTGGCAGAGACAAAATATCAACAAATAAATAGGACATATGATGATGATGAAAATTAGGCAAAGAGAGTGGGGAGTATGAAACTAAAGAGATAGGATTAAAATAGGATGATCAGAGAATTCAATGGGAAAGTTATGTGAGTCAAATATTTGAAGGAGATGTGAGTCAAGCAAATATCTTGGGAACAAATATTTCATGAGCCAGGAAGAACAAGCACACAGTCTCCAAGGGGGCAGTGAGTCGGGGTGTTTGAGGAAGAATGATGTGGTCATTGTGACTGCCTGGAGTGAACTGAGCATGGGGGCAGTGGCAGGAGAAGAGATCACAGCTACTACTGGGAACCAGATTGTGTGGAGCTTTGTGGCCAGGTTATAGGTGTTGGCTCTCACTCTCAGGGAGATAGGAAAACATTGCAAGATTATGAGCTGACATGACTCAAATGGGGTTACTCTGACTTCTGTGATTAAAAAAAAAAAAAGCCTATAGGAGGAAAAGAACAGAAACTGTGCACCACTTAGGAATATGATAATAATTCAAGTGAAAGATGATGGCATTTTGGGTAAGGGTGCAAGTGGTGGGAAGAAGTGAGATTCTAGTGATAGGTCACAGAAAGTTCCAACATGCTTGGCCTGGTAGGTTCTGCCTCACAAATACCAACTTTCAGGAAAATAACAAGTATAAATATAATAAGCAATTTCCTGAACATAATGGGAAAGAAATAATCGCAGGCAGACACTTGGGACAGGAGGCTGACACTTGAAAGAAGGGAAGGGCACTGAGTGAGTTTCCTGTCTTTGGAGCTTTTAATCTGAGAGCAGATCCCAATCTGTAACAAACAAGGGCCACTAAAACCTAGACAGTAGCTGTATAACCTCATAGGCTTAATTAACTTCAGGACAGATTTGGGGGGACCTTGGCAATTGTAAAGTGAGTGGGGGTAATCCCAGAAAGGAGAGTCACATAAAGGGAGCTACAAATTCTCTACAGAAAGCCTGCTTACATTTCTGGGTGACACTGAAGAATGCCTGTGTAGAGCAGATTCCAGGCAGTGCACCTAAAGCTAAAAGAACTAAATTCGATATTAGAATTTGGAGCTTGAGTTCAGCCAAGTTAACTATCTGTTACAACAACATATTGATATTCTCTAAGGGAAAATAAGAGAATTCAGAGTCTCTTTAATGTATCATTTTTTAATGACCAGGATACCACATAAAATTATGGGCTATACAAAGAAACAAGAAAGGCCTGGTGCAGTGGCTCACCCCTTTAATCCCAGCACTTTGGGAGTCTGAGGCAGGTGGATCACAAGGTCAGGAGTTCAAGACCTGCCTGGCCCAGATGGTGAAACCCTGTCTCTACTAAAAATACAAAAATTAGCTGGGCGTGATGCCAGGTGCTTGTAATCCCAGCTACTCGGGAGGCTGAGGCAGAGAATTGTTTGAACCTGGGAGGCAGAGGTTGCAGTGAGCCGAGATCGCACCACTGCACTCCAGCCTGGGTGACAGAGCGAGACCCCATCTAAAATAAAAATAAAAATAAACAAGAAAAAAAAAAACAAGAAAATACGTCTCAGATTTAAGAGAAAGGTAGTCAGTAGAAACCAATCCCAAGATGACCAGAATGTTAGAATCAGCAGGCAAAATTTTTAAAGTGGCTATTATAAACATATTTAAAATGTAAAGAATATTCTCATAATAAATGAAAATATAGGACATCTCAGTAAAGAAATAGAAAGTATTTTAAAAGAATAAAAATGAAATTCTGAAACTGAAAAACAGAATATCTAAAATGGAAGAAATCACTAGATGGACTTATCAGCAGATTGGAAATGGCAGAAGAAAGGCGTGCTGAACTTGAAGAAAGATCTATTAAAAATGATCTAATCTGAAGGCCAGAGAGAAAAAAAGATTGCTAAGAAATGTACAGAGGCTCAGGAGCATATGACAATTTAAAAAGTCTAACATACACGTGACTCGAGTCCTAGAAAGGGATGAGGGTTCGAAGATAGCAGAAAACACATATACATATATAATACTCAATGATTTTCCTTTTTTTTTTGAGGCGGAGTTTCACTCTGTCGCCCAGGCTGGAGTGCAGTGGCGCGATCTCGACTCACTGCAAGCTCCGCCTCCCGGGTTCACGCCATTCTCCTGCCTCAGCCTCCCGTGTAGCTGGGACTACAGGTGCGCGCCACCATGCCCGGCTAATTTTTGTATTTTTAGTAGAGACGGGGTTTCACTGTGTTAGCCAGGATGGTCTCGATCTCCTGACCTCGTGATCCGCCCGTCTCGGCCTCCCAAAGTGCTGGGATTACAGGCGTGAGCCACCGCGCCCGGCCAGTGATTTTCCTTTTGATGAAGGACATAAATCTACAAATTCAAGAAGCTCAGCAAATTCCAAACAGAAAACATACAGATAAGCCAACAACTAGGCACATGATAGTTAAACTTCTGACAACTAAAGCTTAAACAAATCTTAACAGCTACAGGAAAAAAAAATGATATATTTCACATAGAGGAAAAATGATTTTAATTATCACTGATTTTTAATCTGGAACATTAAAAGCCAGAAGAGAATAATGATCTTTAAAAGGTAGATAGATAATAAAATTGACAACCCTGAATTCTACACTCGATCTTAGCTAAAAGGCAGAGAAGCAACACAACCCTAACTTCTATATCCAGCAAAATATCCCTCAAGAATAAAGGCAAAATAAAGACATTTTCAGATAAAAGAAAACTGAAAGAAGTTGTTACTAGCAGATCTGTACTAACTGACTATCAAAAAAAATGCTTTTCAGGCTGAAAGGAAGTGATAATCAAGAGAGACTTGCATTTTTCAGAAAGAAGAATGAAAATGAAATTATGGGTAAACATGCAAGACAAAGTTTTTCTTCTAATTTCGTTAAAGTACATATGAGGGTTTGAAGCAAAAATTATGTTTTTACATTGCAATGTGAAAAGAAGAGAGGATAAATGAACCTAGGTGATTGCAAGTTGCTTACATTTTAGGTGATATAATACAATTTCAATTCGAGGTAGACATTGAAAAGTTAAGGTTGCATATTGTACTTCCTAGAGCAACCACTAGAAAAATAATACAAGAGGAAACAGCTAAAATTACAATAGACATTAAAATGGAATTCTAAAGAACTTGTATTAATTTCCTCTCCCACCCCCTCAAAAAGGAAGAAAATAACAACAATGAAAGAACAAAAAAATAGGAAGTGTAAGAGAGAAAAAACTTTTCTTCTACCCTCCCAAATTCAGTGGCTGGAACTTATGAATTAAACTGACAAAAACCAGATAAACAGGAGAAAAATGTTATGCTTACAGAAGCCAGCACAAATGTCATTAAATTGTTAAAGACTTCATACATAATTTAGTAGAAAAAAGGGAGGGGGAGGAAAAGGCTTCTGAGAGAAAAGCAGATGGGTTTCCTTAAGAAACACAAGTGAGCTTCCAGGAGATTAAAAGTTTGTGATAATTGCCTGCCTTAGTGGGTAGCTCATGGCTATAATCCCAGTGATGGGAGTGGGAATAGGCTGAGACGGGAGGATTGCTTGAAGCCCAGAAATTTTGCTTCAGTGAGCCATGATTATGCCACTACATTCCAGCCTGGGCGACAGAGTGAGACCCTGAAAGTTTGTGATAATGTTTGTATATATGAGTATGAATATGCTCTTTCCATCTTCTTCAGGGACATAAAACTCTTCTGGAGAGAGGATTTATGGTAGTTCTCATTTCTCAGAAGTTTTTGCTTTTGGTCAGATAAGGAAAGCTCTGCTCTGAGAAATTTTCTTTCTGCATCTGCTGACTTTCAGTTGCCTTCAGCTCAAAATATACATATAATAAAGTGGCATATTTTGGGATGGCATGTTCTGATTCTCTCTAGGACAAACACACAAACAAAAGGAAATGGTAGATTTAAATTCAAACGTATCAATAATCACACTCAGTGTAAATTGACCAATCACTCCAACTTAAAGGTAGAAATCATTACACTGAACTAAAAAGCGAAGACACAAGACCAAACCACATGCTCTCTATAAGATACTTTAAATATGAGACAAATAGGTTCAAAATAATTGGTTGGAAAAAATATACTATGCAAACAACAAGTATAAAATACCAGAAGATAACTATTTTTTTAATATATTTTTTAGCAGATAAAGTAGATTTCAAGTAAAAGAGTGTTATCGAAGATAAAGAGGGAGATTATGTAATGACCAAAAGGTCAACTATATCAGAAGACATAATAATCAGAAATCTATATGCACTTCATAACAGAGTTTCAAAGTACATGAAGCAAAATTTCAGAGAACTAAAAGGAAAATATAAATAATTTTACAACCACAGTTTGAGATTTTAACACTCTCTTTTAGCAATTGATAGAGCTACAGAAAACCATCAATACAAACATAGATTATTTGAACAACACTTTCAAACCACCTTGACCTAATTCACATCTATATTAGACTCCATCCAAAAACTATAGAACGCAACTGTCTGGCCTAATGGAAAAGATGGAACTGCTATTGACAGATGTGGTAAAACTCTAAGAAATGCATTGATGAGAAAAGATCAGGTGTTCAGTTTTCATCATACACACTTGAGATGTTCATTAATTACCAGTGAATATATCGAACAGACCAAAGATATACAAGTCTGGATTTCAGACAAGAGGATTAGATTTGAGTATTATCAACATGTAAATAATATTTTAAGTCAAAGGACTGCAGTTTTCATTAGAGCCGTCAGGTAGTCATATAGAAAAGAGAAGAGGGTCAAAGACTGAGTGGTAGGGTGATGGAACATTTAGTGATAGGGTAAATGAGGAGGAGCTAGTAAAAGATATTGAGAAATAAGTCATTAGTGCCTTGAGAGTCAGTTTTGGTGGAGTGAGAAGGTGAAACGTCTGACCAGGGTGGGTTCAAGGAAGAGAAGTTGATTGAATTTGGAGACAGTGAGTACAGATCAAAGGTGGGTGAGGGTGTGGGATGGTGTTAGAATTTTTTTTTTTTTTTTTTTTTTTGGTAAAAGGCCAGAGAGTAAATGTTTTAAGCTGTGTGCATCATATGGTCTCTGTTGTAACTGCTCAACTCCACTATTGAAGTACAAAAGCAGACACAGACAATACTAAGTGAAAGAATATGGGAGTATGGTTGCATTCTAATAAAACAATGATAAAAGCAGTGAGCCATATTTGACCCACAGATTTTAGATTACTACCCCTGATATGGATAATTCTGTTGAAAAATGGTTCTCTGATTTGGTCAAAACTGGAGGAGGATGGGAAGCCAGGAGGCTCAGATGAAGGTTTATTTTTGGGGAGACAGAACAAAATAATTACTGGTGTGATGACCTCGAATAGTATTAGTCCGCTCAGGGAATTTACATTTTGACAGGGCAAAATTTACAAATAAATAAATACAAGTTTGTTTCTGTTTTGGTGAGAGTTCAAGCTATAAGCTTGAATGAGATTGCCAAGGAGAGTATGTAGAGAGAGAGGAAAAGTAAGTTAAGGACATAAGTTAGGAAATCCCCGGGATAGGAGGAGAAAGAGCAGCTAGAGAAGACTTCTAATTGAGGGATTAGAGAGATTAGGCAAGAATTAGGAGCAGAGCCAGCTTCGTAAGTGTGAAACCTGTGTAGTCACACAAGGCCCTGTGCTCAGAAGAGGGAGATGCCTGGTTTAATAATCTGTTACTATCTTGCAATGTATAATAATTTTTGAGCAAGTGGCCCTGCATTTTCATTAGTATTGAACCCTGCAAATTTTGTAGCTTTTCCTGGCCATGAGAGTATAATTTTACAAAAGCAAGGATATGAAAGAGTTTCAATCAACAGGAGTTGGGACAAGGAGGGCTTCTGCACAAATAGCTTTTCAAATGTCAGTGAGAAGATATTATTTCTTGATTGCCCTCTTTAAACTCTCTGAAAACAAAATAAAATGCTGATACAAAAAGTATGCCATTTTCAATTATACAAGAAAATTATCATAACCTCAAACCACGAATTGCGATGCATGCTGTTTACTGTGCATTGTTAAGCAGGAGAAGAATGCTGGGGGTGAGCCTGCACATGTCACATCAGAATCCAGTAGGATTCCACCCCCAAAAGGTATTCCCAGTGGGTAGAGCAAGAAGAGCTAAGGCAGGGCCATCTGCAGAGGTGGGGTTGGTTTAAAGTGGCATCTTAAAAGGCAAAAGCCAACATGCCATTTATATTTTCTATGTTAGAGGCTAAAACATGAGAGTCTGCAGATGTGTTTTGTTTGAACTACATTTTTTTTTCTATTTGTTAGATTTACCTTTAAAAGTTGTTGTATTGATACATGATATTTTACATATTTATGGGGTACATGTATTTGTTACATGTATAGAATATGCGATGATCAAGTCAGGGTACTTGTGACATCCATCACCTTGAGTATTTTTCATTTCTGTGTTTGAAACCTTCTAAGTCGTCTTTGAAATGTACAATACTAATGTTGCTAATTATAGTCAATGTACTATGAGCATGATCAAATGTTAAACATTATTGCTATCAAATTTTAAACTATCAAACATTAAACATTATTGCTATCAAATTTTAAACTATCAAACATTAAACATTATCACTATCAACCATTAAAACTCATTCCTTCTATATAACTGCATGTTTTTACCCATTAACCAACCTCTCTTCATCTTCCTTTCCCACCCCCACACCCTTCCCAGCCTCCAGTATTTATCGTTCTATTCTCTACCTCCGTGAGACCAACATTTTTAGCTCCTACATATAAGTGAGCACATGGCATATTTGTCTTTCTGTCCCTGGCTTATTCACTTAACATAATGACCTCTAGTTCCATCCATGTTGCTGCAAATGACAGGATTTCATTCTCTTTATGGCCAAATGGTATTCCATTGTGCATGGCATTTTAAAAATAGAGGTTCACTTAAAAAATATGTATTGTTTGACTGTTGAAAAAGAAATTCTGGCCACCGTGGTCTCACACAACAACCTAATAGCAGTCAGCTAAACTGATTAGCTGCTGTCACCTTAGGATGAAGCACACAGTGCAGTTCACCACAGACCCTACCACTCCCTTTGGTCTCAAACTTAGCCCATTTCGCTTATTTATATCTTCTACTCAATCTCTGCAAGTATTTGAGCTTCAAAACTCTGTTATATATCTAACTTTCTAACCAAGGAGCACTTCTAGGGGAAATGGAAAAAAAAAGAGCTTTGCTGAGACACACGTTGACTTAGAGGATAAAGAAAATAATACATTCAATGTGAGATTATTTAAGAAGACAAGTGAAGTGAAGTCCAAACACTCAGCGCTCATTGCAGACCCTCTACCCCAATTCTTTGTCTTCTATTCTTAAGAAAAATGAACATGAATTCAAAAGTAAATATTAATCAAAAATAAATCTGCTTAGGACCCATTTATAAGATTTCAATCAATCAGTTAATTAAAACATGAGGAAAAATTAGCAAAAAGAAGATGAAACAAATATACAAAAATCAATAGAAATACTTACAGAATATTTTATAGTCACAGAAACTATAGCCACAAGGAAGACAATAGAATTCTAAGTATGAATATAAGAGATTTTAAGACAACAGAAGAGATGATAGTCAGATAGCAGAGCACAAAACAATGTGGAAGGAAAAAATAATATAACCCATTATAGAGATTAAAATCAAATGGAAACAACAAGAATTAAATTAACAATGCAGGATCATAACAAAGACATCTATATGCTTGAAGAATCACACAAAATGATACAGAACAATGATATCAAAATGATTATAGACAAGCTATGGACAAAGGATAGCTAACATTCATAAAATTATGTTCCCGATGGAACAAATGGACAGAAAACATAGAGAAATCATTCCAAAAAAAAAAAGTTAATGCATCTACATACTGGCTCTCTAGGTTGTTGAAAATATTAATAAGGAATGATAAGCTCCAGACTACATCCTAGTGAGGTTCTCTTACCTCAGTGATGATCAATTTAATGTGCTCCATATCGGGTAAAGCACATCACATTTAAAGGGGGAAAGATCAGGTTGGCCTCAGATTTTTTTTCATAATAACACTTATTACCAGGCAGAATGGAGCTATGTCCTGAAGAAAGAAAAGTGTGGGTCAAGGATTTTACAAAAGCAGGTAGGCCCCATGAATTCTCAAACATGCAACATTTCAGAAAATACAGCATTTGCTAATCTTTTTCTCATTTTAGTGGTCTTCACCACAGTATCTATTTCTATTTAACAGTGTTTGCTTTGCTGACTATAATGTCCGAGAAATAAAAATAGATGAGTGTTGAATGACAGCCTAAGTGCAATGCTACATCATGTTCACCTGCCCTCTGTAATTGGCTACTTGAACTGAGAACATCATGACATTTCCAAGTATAAGTAGCACCGAGGGCTCCCTATGCTAGAGACAAGTTATTTTGGCTGCAGCTTTAGTCAGTGGGTCAGTCTGTAGGAAGTAACTAGTAGTAACATCTTAGGTTCATAATTTCAAAGACACTTGGGTCTCTCTACAATACTATATGAAGTTCACACTATGAGGTTTTCTTTTAGAAATTTTATGGAGATTAGCATATTTAATGTTTAAGAGCACAACCTTTCAGTTAATAAAAGTGGATTAATAGTTATGTGATGTTGGCTAAGTGACTTTATCTCTCTAAGCCTTAATTATTCAACCTTAAAATGAAGGTAATAATATTTCTGTCAGATGGTTCTTGTAAATATTCATCAAGTAAGTGTATGGAAAGCACTTATCAGAGGATCTGTAACGTAGCAGGTTCTCTGTAATCAGTTGCCTTTATGGAATTCAGTTCTGATCAACAAATATTTATTGGACACCTTGTCTATGTTATATTCTGAGTTAGGTGCTAATGGCATAAAGATGAGTAGCATGTGGTCTCTATCCTCATAAAGTACGTGGTTGTAGGAGAGATAACTACACATCCAGATAATTCTAATATAATATGGAGATTATTAACAGAGATATGTGGCCGGGCGAAGTGGCTTCTGCCCATAATCCCAGCAGTTTGGGAGGCCAGGAGGGCGCATCACCTGAGGTCAGGAGTTCAAGACCAGGCTGGCCAACATGGTGAAACCCATCTCTACTGAAAATATGAAATTAGCTGGGCATGCTGGTCCGTGCCTCTAATCCCAGGTACTCAGGAGGCTGAGGTAGGAGAATCAATGGAATCCAGGAGGCGGAGGTTGCAGTGGGCCGAGATCATGCCACTGCACTCCAGCCAGGATGACAAGAGCAAAACTCTGTCTCAAAAAAAATAAAAAAAATAAGAGAGAGAGAGATGCACAGGGCTTCTCAGCTGTTTTTTAGAGGGTCATTTGCAGTACACCTTATCAGAGGTCTCAAACTATGCTTAAAAATTGCCTGAGGACTTTGTTAAAAATGTACATTTTACCTGCATTTTTAACCACTGATATAGTAGTCTCCATCTTTAATAAGTGGTTTTTAATTACACTAAGGCTTGATGCCCGCTGATCTGTAGGGTCACAGAGGGAACTCTCTTAGCTCAACCCAAAGATTCAGGTCTGACCCTTTAGTTGAGTGTGGTTGGCATGTGCCTGTAGTCCCAGCTACTCAGGAGGCTAAGGTGGGAGGATCCCTTGAGCCCAGGAGTTTGAGAACAATCTGGGCAACATAGTGAGAACTCATCTCTAAATTAATCATAATCATAATCATAATATAATGAATAAAAGACAATTAGATGAAAAGGTGTGGAGAGAGCCTTCATAGCCAAGGTCTCAGAGTGAGCAAAGGTATGACTGCAGGCAGAAGTGGCATGATGTGTGTGCATGCCTGGCAGGGTATTCAGAAGCATGAGTGCTCCCAGGGTGATGAACAGGGTATGAGAGTGTGGCTATCAAACATGACTCAAGTTAGAGATTCTTGGAAAATTGTCTCTGTATATACTTCGCCTTTCCAACATGAGTTTTCCCTGTCCCACATATTGAACCATCTATCAGATCATGCCTACATCAAAACTTCTCTTGAATCACTGAGTAATAGTAGAGTAATGGAATCCAAGAGATGCAAGGGATTTTTGAGACATCTTGGATTTGCCCTTTTTTATTTTAATACAGATTGGATTAAATATAAAAAAGTGGATATCATTCAATGCTCATTCTTTATCCCCTGGTTCATAATAATCTAGCAGGCCTGTGAAAGCCTAGTAACAGGTGCTAGCTGACCAAGAATTCCCCGGGGTGATAACATCAGGTTCTTAAAGTTTAGCCCATGAAGTGCAGCAGGGCTGCACCTTTTCACTCCTACTGAAATTCCTCATAAGCTGGGATGACTCAGACATAGAGTGTGTCATAGCTTCACTTGTTTGGATTGCTTCACTCTACCATGATCCACCTTCTCTAGTTTCCAAAATTCTCCATCTTAGTGAATGACCTAGGTTTACTTCCTAAAAACTGAAATCTCTATGAGCAAAGGGGCTGTTGGAAGTTATGGTTACATCAAGAGAAATGGTGGACAATCCAAAAGTAATGGCCAGACTTAATTCCCTTGTTTCTTCTCATGAAACCACTCTCATTTCACTTTGATCCTCAGGGAACCATGTTTGCAATGGAAACAGCACTTGGCCAGTAACCAGTGGAGGCAATAATCTAAATAATTCCTTTCTCAGGGTTTGATAAAGAGATTAATGATTTCCTAGCTTAGTGAGAAATACTGTGCTTTATGTAGTGAGGTCAACAATCATTGCATTCCACTGGGTATTCCTGATGAGAAGAATAGCAGTTAACAGAGAACTTTATCTCCTTTGCTTATCTACCCAATGTAAACTGGAAACTTATGCTTAAAATGTCAGCACCAACTGTTGAGCCAACAATGAACTCCTTGCTAATATCTTTCAAATTCTCTTGGGACATCTTTTTACGTTAATCAGAACTTCTATTGCAACCCATAGAAATCTAACTCAAAATTTAGAAACAGAGTTTATTGTCTTTCATAACTAAAAGTTTGGTAGCAGATTCAGGTGTCAGTTCAACACATGTTATCAAGAATTTCTTTGTCTGTCTAGCTTCTCAGCGTTGCTGTACATGTGTATCGGGGCACGAGAGGTAGAGGGAAATGGTAGGGAGGGATGTGTTTGCCAAACTCTCAGCTTTGTTTTTCTCATTAATAGCCTTAATATATTGGATAACAATGAGTTTTCTGTATGATTGGGTTAAAGAGGAAGAATTATATTTCTGGTAAAGGGCAGAGGGCATGGGAGATTGAAACAGCAAGTACTTAGGAAGCTTCAAAAAGGTTGGTGTGGCCTAGATAAGGGACTGTAGATTTTCTTACGTCAGTAATCTAAAGTCACTGAGGGTCTTTAAGCTGCAAAAAAAAATTGTAAGATTTGAACTTGGCGGCTGGGTGCCATGGTTCACGCCTGTAATCCCAGCTCTTTGGGAGGCTGAGGCGGGTGGATCACCTGAGGTCGGGAGTTCGAGACCAGTCTGACCAACATAGAGAAACCCCTTCTCTACTAAAAAAATACAAAAATTAGCAGGGCGTGGTGGCACATGCCTGTAATCCCAGCTACTGGAGAGGCTGAGGCAGGAGAATCGCTTGAAACTGGCAGGTGGAGGTTGTAGTGAGCTGAGATCCCACCATTGCACTCCAGCCTGGGCATCAAGAGCGAAACTCCGTCTCAAAAATAAAATTAATTAATTAAAAATAAAGTTTTGAACTTGGCAAGATTATTCTGGTATCGTTATGGAGAGTGGATTTGATTAGGTCAAGACAGGGAGCCAGAATTGCTCACAGAGAAATAAGGACAGATAATGAGGGTCTGAACTAAGATAGAGCCAATGGAAGTATAGAGAAGAGGGGGAAGTGTTAATTTCTTGAACAAGGTGAATATTCAGGGTTTGGTTACCAATTAGAAGTTAGGGGAGAGGAAGTAGAAGAAATTAAGGAAGGAAAAACAGGTATAAAATTACTTCTGGATATAAAAACAGGTATAAAAGCACTTTGGGAGGCCAAGGCTGATGGATCGCTTGAGGCCAGGAGTTTGAGACCAACCTGGGCAACATAATAAGACCTTGTCTCTACAAAAAAATAAAAACATTCAGTAGAAGGATTGCTTGAGCCCCAGAGGTTGAGGCTGCAATGAGCCATGATAGTGTCACTGCAAAAAAAAAAAAAAAAATGCTTCCAGACTTCAAACTTAGAAAAACCGCAGTCCATTCAGAAACAGCAGAAATAGAACTAAGAGTAGATTTTTGCTAGAGTTGAGATGTGTTAAGAGGCAGATAGATAGCTCAATATGGAGTATGTTGTCATGCAGTAAGTTCAGGTGAAGACCAGCAAGCATCATCTGGAGTAGGCTCAGAAAATTCACATGCAGAAACAGGTGCACAGGTGCTCTTTCTCTTGGCACCCTGCAGAGAGGCATGCTTGGGCTGAGATTCAGTGGAATATAGGGTGGAGCTGAGCTTCATTGGAGTGACCTTGTCATCCTAAAGCTGCCTCTTATATTTGTGCAAACCTGAGAGCACTCTTTATAGTGGGAATAAATATTTTGGGGGCAGGAGCCAAGCAGTTAGAGCTCAGATGCCAGCTGTTTAAAGGAATGATGCAAAATGTCATTTCCCAATGACTAGGCCTTAGGGCCCTCAATCCCATAGGAATTTGGGGTTAAATGAAATGGTGAACCCTTTTTATATTTGGTCCTGCTTGTCTCCACAAAACATTTTCAGTAGTCTACCATAACCATGGTCCTGTAGTTTTGAAAGACTTCTGAAGTATGAATACATTTTATTTAAAAATATTAATGCTATCGATATATAATTTGGTAAAGTATTGGGCAAAGATGATATTCCTCAAGGAGAATTAATTATGCTAGAAGAAAGAGTGACAACAAAAGACATGTGGAAAAGCCCAGTATTTAAGGGCTTGGAGGGGGAATGTTGGATAAAGAGAGTTCATGAGAAGGATGAAGGGAGACTGGGAAGAAACACACACTGGCCAGATAAACGACAAGAATAGAGGGACACCCTAATGTCAAGTAAGACAGTCTATAGAATACTCCCAAGATATTAAAGAGTTAAAGGATTATAGATTATTCTTGTCCCATGTTTCCCTCATTCTAAGACAAGTTCACATTTTAATGCTTCTAATTCTGAATAAGTCTTATAATCTATATATATATATATATATTTTTCTGGTGGTTTTTTGTCCTGTTAGAATATTATTAAATTGATGATGTCTACTTTAATCCATAGATTAAATCCATAGATGGCATCTTGGATCTGAGATGTGGATTAATTTGGAGCTTACTGGAGATTTTACAGAAAGCAATATTTAAACATCCGTAACTATTGTAGTAGGACCACAAGAACACCTGGGAAAGATTCCATCACCTGTATCTCACATGACCAAGAGTTTGAAGAGAAAAAACTATGAAGTGAAGAAAATTACCATTAAGACTTAAGTTAATAACCTAATTGACGAAAGCAGAAAAATAATTCAAGTCATATAATTCAAGTCATATAATTCAAGACAATAGTAAGGTAGCTTGTTCATCGAAGGAGATAGATAGAGCAGAATTACAGAAACAAAATATTGGTATTGCCTATCAAAGCACCCCTCAGGGACTTGGAATCTTGATCAATAAGCTTAGAGTAGGATTGCCTTCCTGACATGGACAGTCTTGGTTTGAAGATTAATTCACCAGGCTGTTTTAGCCTAAAAGCTTAAAATAGTCAAGTTATATAAGACCTTAAACTCGATTCCATGCTAGCATATCAAGCTTCAAATTATAATTTGGCTTTCCTAGGTACATATTCCATATGTTGGGTAGAGTAATTTAATGAAAGGTATATTTTCTATGTAAATTAATGTGCTTACATTCATTCTTGCTTTTGATTTGCTGGTAAAATTAGGTCTCTGGGTCTATGAAGATGTAGGTCAGAACAAGGTGATCTTGCCCCACCTTTGAAGCTTCCATGGAAGACAGATAGCTGCCCTCCTCTAGAAATTTCTCTATCTTATCTTATCACTTATCTCAGAAATTCTGCCACTGTAATTTAAAGAAAAAAGATGATAAGTTTTAGTACAAGGGCTGAGTAATCAAAAAACAACAAATGAGAATATAAAACAATACAAAAATCTCACTTCTATAAAAGCCCAGAAAAGTGAGTGATTAATTTCAGTTTAGGGAACTTTTTTCACTAACGGAAGTGGCCTTTGAGTTGACTTTTAGGTAATATAAAATCAGGCAAAGATGGGATACAAAATACACTTGAGGTATGCATAAATGTTGAAAATTGGGAAAGGATGATCAAAGTATTTACAAAGCAAGTCACTTAAGTTAATCATTATCCAAATGTAAGAAAATAAGCAATTTAAAGTGTACCTTAAAAATATGTCAAAACTGGATCTTAATTAAATAGTAAAATTTCCACATGAAAATGATGATTTATTTCTGGACAAAGCATACTATTCTAAGATCAAACTATCCCAAGTAACCTCAATCCATTTAGTATATCTCAAATAAACAGTGCTATTTTTATTTAAATGTAAATGGTAGATGGATAATAAATGACCAATACAGTAAATCAGGAGTTTCTGTTTACTCTTTTCTTGGGTTAATAAATGTTGCATTTCATATAGGAAGGGTCTAACACTTAGGACTGGATAATTAGCAAAAACAAGGCCCTATATAATGTTTTTGTAATCATGGCTCCATTTACTGAATTATATTAAACAATTCTTTTTAGAGGAGGTAACTGGTACTAGGTCAAACTAAATCAATTTCTGATGGATTACCTCAGAAATCAAATAAGGCAGAATAAAAAAACATTAAGTACCAATTACCTGTCATGCTGTAGAACTGTGCAGGTAGAAAACTGAACTTAATTTAGCAGTTCTAAGAGTGACTTCCTCAATATTAGAAGATAAAATAAATAAGGCATATTTATGTTGAAAACTATAATCTCATTACATTACTGCCTTTGAATTTATGAAAAAGGAAAACATTTTTTAATGTTCCCTTAATTTTCCTCTTATCCATTCTCTAATTTTGCAATTATTAAAATGCACTTAGCCAATTATTGCTAGGGAGCCCACTTGGGTGTGTATTAGAGCATTGTACTCAATAATAATTAATATGTAATATTTTATACTTTATGGTTATATTAGTATTATAACTTGGTTTCTAAAAGAGCAAAATGGACTGATTTTGATTTTTTTGTGTTGAAATTATGCAAATGACAGGTGAATTCTCTTTATTCTTTTTCACTTGGTAAATGACTATTATCTCTTCCTTGTGATATGCCAAAGTCTTTAGGTGAGAATCTGCATACTACCCAGAACATAAGAAATAAATATGAGAGCAAGAGAGAAAGAAATTTGGTGAGATGTATATCCAAGGAAGAGTTTTTAAATGGTTTTATCACAGGAATAAAACCTGAATTTGGGGGCTTCTAATTGATAGCAAAGACGACATTCTTTTAAATCATAGGCTTGAAATCAACCTGAATGTTAGAGATGTGGGTGCCCACCTACTATTGCATAGTGCAATTGGTGCAATTTTTTATTAGCACAAAAAAGAAAGAGAAGTGGCACTTTCCCAGCCAAGAGGCATGCATAGTTATGCATTGACAAGTTCTGATGTAACAGAGAAGATACTCGGAAAAACAACATATCTCAATTCTGTGACAGACTTTACTGAGCTACATAAATCACCTGTATTTGTAATGCTTCTTGTGAATGATTAATTTGGATGCCTTGTTTGAAGTAAACATGATGGGTTAATATACTCGTCACTTTGTAATGGAGGCAAATTCTCTCTTCCGAAACCCAGTCCTTGACATTTGTAAAATGGGTTACTGGGGAGAGAGTATTTTCATGCTATGGAGCTAATAATATGTAGTTTAGTGTAATCGCTCATTAAGATTCCATAAATATCTATTGTGCTTTAATTTCTGGTTAGTAAAGTTTCTTTGCATGGAGCTTATAGGGTTATTCAGAGAGTCAGAAAATTGATGGTAACTGCTGTGTGCTAAGCATTGTGAAAACTGTTTATGAAATTGGACTGACATTTTATAGGAACGTATGGAGATGAGAAAACAAATGGATACATAACTTGAGGTTGGATTTTTATAAGAATGACCAATTTACAACTTCACATAGCTACTCTTTTCTTTTTCAGTTGGTAATCTTTCTTCTCTAGAAAGTGGCAACGATATATAGTACTGTTGAACCATGCCTGCCAGTGTCAATTCCTGAAATGGCAAAAGAAAAGGGAAGAAGAAAAGATAATGCTATAATGATCAGCTCCCAAACCTCTACTTAAAGCATAAATGGAGAAAAGAAAGCTCGGTGTAGTGCTACGGAACACTATTCGGCATTAAGCAGAGTAAATAGCTTAGTCAACAGTGTGGGCCATTGTCAGTCTTTATTTGTCATCTCTCACTGAGTGATCACAACTCAGCCTCTTATGTGTCCTGGAAGTGTCCAATCTCCAAGTTAACTATTTATTAAGAGGAGATGCATCTTAAAAGTAATGCCTCATATTTAGGGGAATTATATTAAAGATATCTCATTTTGTCAACCCTGCTATTCGTTCCATCCTTTCCATGTAACACTAATAAGAGGACACTCTACTGCACTGGTGTCTCATCTGTGATGATTCAAATGTTCTGTTTTCTTCATGATACTGTGTTGTAGACAAAATTATAAAGCAAGTAAATTTGTGGGAGTTTTGGCAATCGTAGAAAGCCAGTAAAGAAAAATTTTCTAAGCCATTTGAATTATAACAAATTACACACATATTAAAGCTACACAAATAAAATAACTTTATTTGGGTATTTGGATTGCAGGCTCTTGAAAAATTTCAAATTTGTCAGTCTTCCAAGTTGCATAAAAGGCATAAAAGTCTTTTTTATTTAATGTAGTGCTATAATTCTCCAGCTGATAGAATCAAAGCGTAATTGCCTAAATGTATTTTCTAGTCAGTGTTGAATCTCTGCCTAATTTTCACAATTATTAGCCCTAAATGACAATACCAGTTGATACAGTCTCAGGGAATCCAAGCTAATTTTAATGTTCATTCAAGCAAGACAGAATCATGAAGGTATTCTCTTGGGGAAAAATTCCTATTAATACATTATAAAAGCAAATTGTGAGCTCTAATTGTCATGATTTTGAGTTTAGTGTGCAATGCTGCTCTCCTCTATTAGCAGATGATGAAAAACTTCATTGAAAATGAATGTGCATGTGTACTTCACCTGAAAATAAAAACAATGTGTGTGTTTCTGAAAGTATATTAAAATTATATTAGAGATGATTAACAACAAATTGGAACTTAGACAGCTCCCACAAAGTAATATCATTGTAATCATATCTATTTTGTAAAGGTCCCCTTTGTAGAGAATAAAACAAATTAGGTGTGTGTTACAGGTTGAATTATGTTCTCTCCCAAAATTCCTATGTTGACGTTTTAACCCCAGGTACCTTAGAATGTGAAACCTTGTTTAGAAATAGTGCTTGTTGTTGAAGATGTATTTAGTTAAGTTAGGATGAAGTCATATTAGAATAAAGTGGCCCCCTAATCCTATATGACCGGTGCACTTATAAAAGGAGGAAAATATCCATTCTTCAGTCCATGGGTCAAGAAATAATTCTGCCTTTCATATCCTATTACTTAAGAAATACATTTCTTAATGCTATAGCTGACATAGATAGTGATTCCTCTTATGGATCTGGGTAAAGTACATCAAAAACCTTCTGGAAAGGATTCACCATTCTAGGTGCCATTAACAACACTCATGATTCATGGTAGGAAGTCAAAATATGAACATTAACAGAAGTTTGGGAGAAGCTGATTCTAGTCCATGTGGGTGATTTTGAGGGGATTAAAACTTCAGTGGAGGAAGTAACTGCAGATGTGGTAGAAATAGCAAGAGAACTAGAATTAGAAGTGGAACCTGAAGATGAGACTGAATTGCTATAATCGCATTATAAAACTTGAATGGATGAGGGGCTGCTTCTTATGTATGAGCAAAACAAGTGATTTCTTCAGATGAAATCTACCCTTGGTAAAGATGTTGCAAACATTGCTGAAGTGACAACATAGAATTTAAAATATTACATAAATTTACCTGATAAAATAGTGGCAGGGTGTGAGAGGACTGCCTCTAATTTTGAAAGAAGTTTCTACTGTGGGTAAAATGCTACCAAACAACATCATATGCTATAGAGAAATCTTTTGTGAAAGGAAGAGTCAATCAGTTGATGCTGCAAGCCTCATTGTTATCTTATTTTAATAAATTGCCATAGCCACCTCAACTTTCAGCAATTACCACCCTGATCAGTCAGCAATCATCAATATAGATGCAAGACTCTCCACTAGCAAGATGATTATGACTCACTGAAGGCTCAGCTGATTCTTAGCATCTTAGTAATATTTTTTAAATAAAGTATATACATTTTTAGACATACCGCCATTACCCACTTAATAGACTACAGCATAGTGTAAATATAACTTTTATATACACTGGGAAACAAAAATATATAACTTATATTTTGATATTTGCTTTATCAGTAGTATCTCCAAGATATGTCAGTGTGTGCAGTCATGTGTCACTTAACAAGGGCGATATGTTCTGAGGAATGTGTCATTAGGGTATTTTGTCATTGTGGGAACATCATAGAGTATATCTACACAAACATAGACAGCCTCTCCTACTACACACCTGGACTATTTGGTATTGCCCATTGTGACTAGGCTGTAAACCTGTGCAGCTTGTTACTGTACTGAATAGTGTAGGCAATTGTAGCACAATGGTAAAATGGTATTTGTACGTCTAAACACTTCTAGGCTATCTCTCAGGGTTTTTTAAAAATAGTTTTAGGTGTTACATTTTAGCCTTTAATCCAAGTTGATTTCTGTATATGGTATAAGGAAGAGGCCCAGTTTTAATCTTTTGTGTATGGCTAACCAGTTATCCTAGCACTATTTATTGAATAAGAAGTCCTCTTCTCATTGCTTATTTTGTCAACTTTTGTGAAACATCACATGGTTATCAGTGTTGTGGCATTATTTCTGGGCTCCCTAGTCTGTTCCATTGACCTGTGTGTCTGTTTTTGTACCTGTATCATGCTGTTTTGGTTATTGTAACCTTATAGTATACTTTGAGGTTCAGTAACGTGATGCCTGTAGCTTTGTTCTTTTTGCTTAGAATTGTCTTGACTATTTGGTCACTTTTTTAGTTCCATATGAATTTTGAAAAAGTTTACACAGCCCTAAAAAGGAATGAGACCATACCCTTGGCAGCAACATGGATGAAGTTGTAGGCCACTATCCTAAATGAACTAACACAGGAACAGAAAACCCGAATACCACATGTTCTCACTTATAAGTGGGAGCTAAACATTGAGTGCACATGGATACAAAGAAGATGACAACAGACACCAGGGCCTACTTGAGAGTCAGGGGTGGGAGGAGGGAGAGGGTTGAAAACTACCTAATGGGCACTATGCTTATTAGCTGGGTGATGAAATAATCTGTATACCAAACCTCTGTGGCATGCAATTTACCTATATAACAAACCTGCACATAAACCCCTGAACCTAAAATAAAAATAAAAGCAAATAAACATATCTAAACATAGTAAAGATACAGTATTATCATATTATGGGATCACCATCATATATGCAGTTCATCATTGATCAAAATGTCATTATGTGGCTCATATCTGTATTAGATTATCTCTATTTTCTCTGCTCAAATGAAAGCATGCTGTGCAAGTTTTTATACTGTGTATTTGGAAAATTTGCCACGTTGATTAGTAAAATGTTGCCTCATTCTTTTTGATGACTCTATATTCCATTGTTTGAATGCATCATAAATTATGTAACTATCCCTATTAATGGATATTATTGCTTAAGATATGTTCTATTATGAAAGTGCTTAGGAGAGTTTAGAAATGACAAGAATGACATGGAACATGAAGAAGAGGTTATGTAATAAGAAATAAACATCAGATTGGCCTGCAATATCTTCTTTGCAACACTGAATTCCAGAAGGCAGTGAGGCAATGTTTGCTGTATGTTAATGGAAAGGATGTAACCTCACATTTTATATATAGTAAATTGTTCAAACACGTACACTATAAAGGTATAATGCCCATGAAAAGAACAATTCTCGGAAACATGTTAATAGCTGTGTTTTATTTTCCAAAGGTTCCTGCAATAATATTGCCCCTTGAGTATGGGTGGGCTTGTGACCTGCTCAGTGCTAAGGAAATGCAGTGGAAATGATGCTGTGTAACTTCTGAGGCCAAGTTATAAAAGATCATGCATCTTTTGCCTTGTTAGGTGAGACATTGACCTTGTTACTCTAAGCCACCATACAAAACATTAGACTAATCTTAGACCGCAGTATGGTGAGGAAACTCATGCTAAATGAAAAACCAACAAGTAGGCATTTTTGCTTCTCTTCCAATAAACTTAATTTCAGCAATTCTTTTGATAAGCCTATCCCCTAAAGAAATTCTTGTTTACGTGATGAAATATATGTAAGAATGCTCTTTTCAACATTAATTTAAGAGTAAAAAACTGGATGTGCTTTGTGTGTCTGTCAATGGGAAATGGATAAACAAAGTGTGACAGTCCAATGAAATACTCTACAGCAACTAAAATGAATGAACTTACACTAAGTATATTGTATTAGTTTTTTTTCCATGCTGCTGATAAAGATATACCCCAAAACAGGTAATTTATAATTAAAAAGAGGTTTAATGGACTCACATTTCCAGATGGCTGGGGAGGCCTTACAATCATGGTTGAAGGTGAAAGGCACATCTTACATGGTGGCAGACAAGAGAGAATGAGAGAGTATGTACAGGGGAACTGCCCTTTATAAAACCATGAGATCTTGTGAGACTTATTCACTATCACAAGAACAGCACAGGAAAGACCCGCCCTCATGATTTAATTACCCCCACCTGGTCCTTCTCCTGACACATGTGAATTATGTGAGCTACAATTCGAGATTTGGATGCAGACACAGCCAAACCATATCATTTTGCTCCTGGACCCTCCCAAATCTCATGTCCTCACATTTCAAAACCAATCATGACTTCCCAACAGAGCCACAAAGTCTTAACTCATTTCAGCATTAACTCAAAAGTCCACAGTCCAAAGTCTCATCTGAGACAAGGAAAGTCCCTTCTGCCTATGAGCCTGTAAAATCAAAAGCAAGTTAGTTACTTCCTAGATATAATGGGGGTACAGGCATTGGGTAAATACAGCCATTCCAAATGGAGAAATTGGCCAAAACAAAGGGACTACAGGCCCCATGCAAGCCCAAAATCCATCAAGGCATCAAATCTTAAAGCTTCAAAATGATCTCCTTTGACTCCATGTCTCACCTCCAGGTCACGCTAATGCAAGAGGTGGGCTCCCAGGGCCTTGGGCAGCTCTGCCCAAGAGAGGGTACAACCCCCTGTCCTTGCTGCTTTCATGGGCTGGCATTCAGTGTCTCTGGCTTTTCCAGGTGCACAGTGCAAGCTCTTGGTGGATCTACTATTCTGGGGTCTGGAGAATGGTGGCCCTCTTCTCACAGCTCCACTAGGCAGTGCCCCAGTGGGGACTCTGTGTGGGTGCTCTCATCCCACATTTCCCTTCTGCACTGCCCTAGTCAAGGTTCTCCATGAGGGCTGCACCCTTGCAGTATACCTCTGCCTGGACATCCAGGCATTTCCATACATCCTCTGAAATCTAGGCAGAGGTTCCCAAACCTCAATTATTGACTTCCATGCACCCACAGGCCCAACACCACATGTAAGCTGCCAAGGCTTGGGATTTTCACCCTCTGAAGCAATGACCAGAGCTGTACATTGGCCCCTTTTAGCCATGGCTGGGAGGCAGGGTACCAAGTCCAGAGACAGCACAAAGCAGCAAGGTCCTGGGTCAGGCCTACGAAACCATTTTTCCCTCATAGCCCTCTGGTCTGTGATGGAAAGGGCTGCCGCAAATGTCTCTGACATGACCTGGAGACATTTTGCCCGTTGTCTTGGTGATTAACATTTGGTTCCACGTTACTTATGCAAATTTCTGCCAGTGGCTTGAATTTCTCCTCAGAAAATGGGTTTTTTTTTTAATCACATAGTCTGCAAATTTTCCAAATTTTTATGCTCTGTTTCCCTTTTAAAACTGAATACTTTTAACAGCATCCAAGTCACCTCTTGAATGTTTTGCTGCTCAGAAATGTCTTCTGCCAGATACTTTACAATTATCTCCTTCAAGTTCAAAGTTCCACAAATCTATAGGGCAGGGACAAAATGCCACCTGTCTCTTTGCTAAAACATAGCAAGAGTCACTTTTACTGCAGTTCTCAACAAATTCCTCATTTCCATCTGAGACCACCTCAGCCTGGATTTCATTGTCCATATCATTATCAGCATTTTGGCCAAAGCTATTCAACAAGTCTCTAGGAAGTTCTAAACTTTCCTATGTTTTCCTGTCTTCTGAGCCCCACAAGTCTCTAGGAAGTTCCAAACTTTCTCATATTTTCACATCTTCTGAGAACTCCAAACTGTTCCAGCCTCTGCCTGTTACACAGTTCCTAAGTTGCTTCCACATTTTCAGGTATCTTTACAGCAGTGCCCCACTGTACTGGTACTAATTTACTGTATTAGTCCATTTTCATGCTGCCAATAAAGACATACCCGAAAATGGGTAATTTATTTTAAAAAAAGAGGTTTAATGGACTCACAGTTCCACATCGCTGGGGAGGTCTCACAATCACGGTGGAAGGCAAAAGGTGAAAGGCATGTCTTATGTGTAGCAGACAAGAGAGGATGAGAAAGTGTGTACAGAGGAACTGCCCTTTACAAAACCATCAGATCTTGTGAGGCTTATTCATTATCATGAGAACAGCATGGAAAAGACCCACCCTCATGATTTAATTACCTCCCACTGGGTCCCTCCCACAACATGTGGGAATTATGGGAGCTACATTTTGAGATTTGGGTGGGACACAGACAAACCACATCATATATCAACACAAATAAAGAATAAACACTTGTCATTTGGTGTATGCATATTCTTTAATAACAAGAAAAACAGTCTTTCTCTGTCTACATGACAAAAATGCCTTAGTCTGGATTTGGTCTCTTTCAGTATTTATTGTCCATTTACAAGAGGAGTAACGAAGTTAAGGATTCAGTTCTGCACATTTGCTTTTTCCTCTCACTTAGTTCCACCTACCAGATTGACATTCTACACCCAGGCATCATAGGTTTCTTCCAACTCCTGTTGAAAAGAGATTACACTCTTACGGTGTTATCATTTCCTTGGCAACGAGTAGAGCCGAGTTTGCTGTATATCCCCTTTAAAATTCTGACATGATCATTGACAAGAGAAGATATTAAGCACATTGGGAAGCTGTGGAAATAGATCCAGGTCAAAATCTTCTACTACTCAAAAAATAAGCAAACTGAAGAGTTACAGAAGATTTAAATAAATGATAAATTATCACTGTTTTCCACCCAAATAATATTCAGTTGAGCAGAAATGTTTCAAAAAGTTAGATATTGAAACCAGTATGTGGTTTTTCTAGATGTTCGAATTATGGATGAGAAATTTTACTTTCCTCAATGTGGAATGGTAATACCTATGTAGTAGACCAAAAATAAGTTTTCATGTTCATTTTCTTGGTGTACACTTAAATTTTGAATTGATGTCTTTAATATCTATACATTCTTTTATCACATTTCAGAGAGTATAATGTATAATGATTTATAAATTAAATTGTTTCCTATAAAAAAATACATTTCTAAGAAAATAGCAAATGATATGTATTTTATAGATTCATAAACACAAATTAAAAGTGATCAACTCATTAAATCAGGGAAATGACAATTAAAATCACAGTGTAACACTCCTACAAAACCCCCACAATGCATAAAAAGTACAGTACTGATAATACCAAGTATTGGTGAAGATATGAAGCAGTGGAAACTCTCATACATTCTTTGATGGGAGTGTAAAAATTGATCAACCTCTTTGGAAAACTGAAACTATCAAAATTTTTAATATGAAAATATCCTATGATTTAATAATTAAACTCCCAGGATAACACAGTTACAGATATGTACACACATTGAAAATAGCTTCATTTATAATAGCCCCAAAGTATAAACAATCCATATGTCCTTCAACAGTAGAATGAATAAATAAATAGAATGTAATCATACAAAGGAGTGCTCTGCAACAATGACAATGAACAGGCTACTGTTACCTAAGACATTATGAGAAATATCACAGCATAATAGTGAGCAAAATAAATAAGACATAAAATACTACATAGTGTATAATCAAGTTTATATAAACTGTAAGAGATAAGCCTAATCTCTGATGTAAAAAGTTTACTTAAAAATTTCCCTGGTATCATTTTATTTTATTTTATTTAAAAAATTTTGTGGGTACATAGTAGGTGTATATATTTATGGATATATGAGATGTTTTGATACAGGCATGCAATGTGAAATAAGCACATCAGGTAGAATGAGGTATCCATCCCCTTAAGCACTTATCCTTTGAGTTACAAACAATCCAATTTTACTCGAAGTTATTTTAAAATGTACGATTAAGTTATTATTAACTATAGTCACCCTATTATGCTATGAAATAGTAGGTCTTATTCATTCTTCCTATTTTTTGTACCATTTCTGTAATCCAGAAAAATAATTCTAAAGTTTATGTGGATGAATAAACAGGGAAGGAAGCTTAGAAAAAAATGTAATTAATACTACCAAGAATATCTTGCTCTATGTCTGTGAAATACAAATTACAATATCAAACAAATTTGAACTAGAGTTTAAAACCACAGGGGGGTTGAAAGAATGAGAAAGTGTCCTGTATAATGTGCTAACCACTTTAAGACTTCTGTGATATTATTTACTAATCACAAACTATTGTCTTCAAATAAAATATGATTCACTGTATGAATTGTTATGGTTAAAACATTTAATGAAAATATGTACACTTAGTAAGGTACACTTAAATAATTACTATGAATTAGAAAACATCCCATCCATGCAGGTTGAGAAAGAGCACTCCAGGAAACAACAGGTGCTGGAGAGGATGTGGAGAAAAAGGAACACTTTTACACTATTGGTGGGACTGTAAACTAGTTCAACCATTGTGGAAGTCGGTGTGACGATTCCTCAGGGATCTTGAACTAGAAATACCATTTGACCCAGCCATCCCATTACTGGCTATATACCCAAAGGATTATAAATCATGCTGCTATAAAGACACGTGCACACGTATGGTTATTGTGGCACTATTCACAATAGCAAAGACTTGGAACCAACCCAAATGTCCAACAATGATAGACTGGATTAAGAAAATGTGGCACATATACACCATGGAATACTATGCAGCCATAAAAAATGATGAGTTCATGTCCTTTGTAGGGACATGGATGAAGCTGGAAACCATCATTCTCAGCAAACTATCGCAAGGACAAAAAACCAAACACCGCATGTTCTCTCACTCATAGGTGGGAATTGAACAATGAGAACACATGGATACAGGAAGGGGAACATCACACACTGGGGACTGTTGTGGGGTAGGGGGAGGGGGGAGAGACAGCATTAGGAGATATACCTAATGCTAAATGATGAGTTAATTGGTGCAGCACACCAACATGGCACATGTATACATATGTAACAAACCTGCACATTGTGCACATGTACCCTAAGACTTAAAGTATAATAATAATAATAATAATAAAAGAAAGAGCACTCCAGAAACCTTTCTCATATTCCTCCCAATCTCTACAACCTTCTTTCTTCCTCAAAAAAGCCACTGTTGTGTTTTCTTTCTTTCTCTATTTCTTTCTTTCCTTCTTTCTTTCTTTCTCTTTCTTTCTTTCTTTCTTTCTTTCTTTCTTTCTTTCTTTCTTTCTTTCTTTCTTCCTTTTTCTTTCTTTCCTTCTTTTCTTTCTTTCTCTCTCTCTTTCTTTCTTTCTCTCTCTTTCTTCTTTCTTTCTTTCTTTCTTTCTTCTTTCTTTCTTTCTTTCTTTCTTTCTTTCTTTCTTTCTTTCTTTCTCTCTCTCTCTCTTTCTTTCTTTTTCTTTTTCTTTTGAGACAGAGTCTCACTCTGTCACCCAGGCTAGAGTGCAGTGCTGCAATCTCAGATCACTGCAAACTCTGCCTCCCGAGTTCAAGTGATTCTCCTGCTTCAGCCTCCCAAATAGCTGGGATTAGAAGTATACACCACCAAGCCCGTCTAATTTTTTGTATTTTTAGTAGAAACGACGTTTCACCATGTTGACCAGAGGCTGGTCTTGAACTCCTGACCTCTAGTGATCTGCCTGACTTGGCCTCCCTAAGTGCTGGGATTACAGACGTGAACCACCACACCCAGTCCACTGTTGTGCTTTCTAACAATATAGATTAGTTTTGCATGTGTTTGAACTGTAAAACTGGATTGATATTACATACATATTCTTTTGTGTCTGCTTCCTTTTGCGTAATTTAATGTTTGAGATATTTTAAAAATAATATCAGGAAAAATGACAAATTGCAAATTGAGAGTTTTTTCACCTTCTTATGTACAATAACATTAAAAGCTAGGAGAAAATATAATTGAAACTTCAAATGGAGAAAGCTGTTTATTACATAAAATCAACAGAGGATACCACAAAGAAATAATTGCTAGATCTGAGTTTATTAAAATGAAATCTATATCAAATTCATCTATATCAAAACTGGTAAAAAAAAAAAAAAACTAAGTACTTGAATAACCAAGGAATATGTGTACAACAAATATGACAAAGTATTATCATTTATTTTATATACAAAAAATTTTATAAATCAATAAGAAAACATTACTTTCCCAAGACAAAATTGGGCCACCAAGCACCCAATCACAGATACAAATCAGAGCAAGCAGGTAACCATTTTATGTATCTAATTGGCAAAGATATTTTCATTTATAAAAAATATATTTTTAGGTAATAATCTGAATTTCAGTCAAATATTTATATATAAAAATATTTCATAACAATGTAAACAATCAAAATGTTTATCAGTAACCTTAATGTTCCTGTGAATGTTCCTATGAACATTCTTACTCTGGAAAATTATATAGCTATTAAAATAATACTTTTAATGAGTATTTGATCATAAGTCTTCAGTGTACACTGTTAATTGCAAAACATGAAACTTAAAAATATACCTTGTATATGTGTGCTTATGTGTGTGCATATTTGTATAAAAACATTTGGAAGGAATTATATAAGATTGATGGCTCCTATTGCCTCAGCGCAGTTAGTGAGATTACAGGTGATTTTTAAATTTTTCTTGAGTTAATTCTTTTAATTTTCTACCTTAACTCTCAGTTACTTAGTTCAGTCAATAAATATTTGTGTACCAGGTGTATATAACTGAATTTTAAAAGGCTGCAGAAAAGAGGACTGTCTAGGAATCAATGTGTGACAAAGGAAGATCAAGAGGAAAGTTTCTAGGTATCTTACTTTAGAATCAGAACTCAAGTCTAGTGGATGATTTTGTTTAGTGGATTTTGGCTCATTATTGAGTCTTTCATGTTATTCTGCACAAGCTTCAGCTTTGTCTGAGCCTTTCTCTTCCCTGAATGGTATGCACATATGTCTCACTGAATCCAATTTTTTACTTGAATACAAATACAAAATTAATCAATGTATTTTGAACAAATACAAACATAATTACCACCCGAAGAAGTATTCCTTCTTCTCTTATATGAGTAATACTTCTTATATACTTCATAAGAATCAGCTTTTCCCTCTGCAGTGTTTTTACTGTCTGATAGAACCAGTCTATTTTTAGGAAATACTGAAATACAATTTTATATTAAAACAAAATAAAACAAAATCCCTTGTTGTTATTGAAGGAGGAGTTAATTTTTGTAGGTGTTCAGCTTCCCTCTGTATATACTTCCACCCATCTAGAATTCCAATAGCTTCACAACAGACTTCATCCTGAAAGCAGCCATTAGTTATTTGCCAGGCTTTCCCTAATTTTTTAGGTACCCATCAGTTTCGTCCTGCATATGACTGTTGTCTGGCCTGGAGCAGGGTGATATGCTTCTTTATGCAATTGCTTAAAAGAACATTTTAAATGTAATTCACTCTATTATCAATTTTTCAAGAAATTTCTGGGACCACTGGGCCTAGTATAGATTTGGACATTAGTTTGAACAGATTCCAGCTCATTTTTAAATTCAAATTGAAAGCACAAGTAATTGCTACAATCTAATCTAGAAACTAGAAACAATAAAATTGTAACAGAACCACCCAGGCAAAAATGTCACTGATTCATTCTCCCATATTCTTAGTCATGCATTTATTGTCTATTTAAGTAAGTATAATAATGATGAATAAATAAATAGACTGCTTATTACATGCACACCTTCTTTGAAAGCAAATCCTCCATGTTTTCCAACTATTAACACTGTGTTTTAAGCAATTGCCTCCAGGACCTGATATTAGAATACTGAAATGTTCTCACTTTCAGTTAAATAATTTTTAAATACATGGTGCAATCATCCCAAGGAGGAAATGGGTCAGCTTTTGGATGCATAGACCATTGATTTTATGTGGCCTAATTATTCTGAGACATAGTGCTAGGTGACAGGCTGGTCCCTGGCACTGCCCACTCTCCTCTTACCTCTTTCTTCTACCTAGAGCCCCGGGGCTGTGTGTGTCCTTTAGCTCACACTGCTGGCTGCTCATCCTGTTCTCAGTTCCACTTACTTAAGTTTCTTCTGATATTCACTCTGTCACTACAATGCTTTATAAAAATTTATAGTAAAATAGCATCTTGGGCCCCATTCTTATCTATTTAATGAGCTATCAAATATCAAATGTTGCAAAAATCACCATGCCAAATTAAATACAGAGCTCAAGATGAGAAATATAGTTACTCTGATAGACTTGGCCTTCTCCTAGTTATTATCTGAATACAAGAATATATATGTTTCTCAATGTTCCTTGTTCACGTTTTTTGTGCCCTTTTAGGTTAATCTGTGGAAAAATGTTTTTTCATAAACGATTCAACTTAATACATCTTTTTTCTGTTACCAAAAGTATATGTGTGGCAAGTCAAATATTACATAATATGCTAACCTTTCCAATTCTTAGTTTCCTCATGTGTATAAGGAGTAAAAATTCACAAACACGAAGATTCATTCTAAGTCTGAAATCTCTAGAACTCTGCTGTTGATGAGTGGCTACATGGGACCAGCAGTAGGCAAACAAAATATTTTCTACTCCTATAAGTAACTTAGACATTCTTCCTTTATTTCTCCCCCTTCCTTGCTTCCTTCCCTTCTTCCTTCCTTCCTTTTCTTTCTTTCTTTTCCTTCTTTTTTTCTTTCTTTTCTTTCTTTCTTTCTTTCTTTCTTCCTTTCTTTCTTCCTTTCTTTCTTTTCTTCTTTCTCTCTTTCTTTTTCTTTCCTTCTTTCTTTCTCTATCTTTCTTTCTCTCCCCTCCCTCCCTTCCTTCCTTCTTTCCTTCCTCTCTCTCTTTCTCGCTCTCTATTTCTTTCCTTCTGACGGAGTCACACTCTGTTGTTGAGGCTGGAGTGTGCAGTGGCACCATCTCAGCTCACTGCAACTTCCATCTCCTGGGCTCAAGGAATCCTCCCATGTCAGCCTCCCAAGTAGCTGGGACTACAGGCATGTACAACTATGTCCAGCTAATTTTTTTAAAATTTATTTTTATTAGAGACGGGGTTTCGCCATGTTGCCTAGGCTGGTATTGGACTCCTGACCTCAAGTGATCCACTCACCTCGGCCTTCCAAAATGCTGAGATTGCAGGCCACTGCATCTGGCCTTAGCCACAGTCCTTTTCTTTTTCCTTTCCTTTCCCCTTCCTCTTCCCTTCCCTTTTCTTTTTATTTATTTTTCTTTTCTTTTGGAGGGTCTCAGTCGGTCACCCAGTCTGGAGTGCAGTGGCATCTCCATGGCTCACTGCAGCCTCAGCCTCTCAGGATTAAATGATCCTCCCACCTCAGCCTCACAAGTACCTATGACTATAGGTGTGCACCACTATGATGGGCTAATTTTTAAATTTTTTGTAGAGACAGGCTCTCCCTTTGTTGCCCAGGCTGATCTCAGAATTCCTGGGCTCAAGTGATCCTCATTCCTCAGCCTCCCAAATTGTTGGGATTACAGATATGAGCCACTGCACCCTGCCTCCATACTCATTTCTATCCTAGCTTTGTGTTGTATACATGCTTCACAGCACTTAATACATTTTGTTATAATTATTTATTTTCACATCATTCTCGCCTTCTGGTTTGTGAGTTTCTTGACAGAATACTTATGTCACTCACCTCTATATACTGCACATCGTGACAATTTCTGAACTTTACTACGTATTACATGGTTTTTAGATGGACACGTAATTGATCACAATTGAGAGGAGGTCTATAGGCTATGATCTGTACACCAAATCCTGCCCACTGCCTGTTTTTGTAAATAAAGTTTTATTGAAACACTGTGCACCCATTCATTCACATACTGTTTATGGCTGCTTTCTTATTATAACAAGGGAACTGATTAGTTGCAACAAAGATTATATGACTTGCAAAACCTAAAATGTTTATTGTCTGTTCTTTTTCAGAAAAGTTTGCTGACGCCTGATATGGAGCACTAGAAAGAAATTATTTTTCCAAGCATCAACCCGGAAGTCCCAGCATACCGAGGTTAACCAAAACACTTATATTCTGTTCTCTCACAATTCTCTGAAACTACTTCTCTTCTAAAATGTATGACACTATATGGTAACCTATATTTCCCACTAGAATCTGGGAATATGTAAGCTTTATAGGGGTTGTGCATGATATAAGTATTTTTACCTACTTTTTACCTGCTTACCTCTTAGGAGAATTTTGAAAAACCCAGCACATCTTAAAATTGAGATCTAAAATTTTTCACTGGAGATTCAGGCCACTGCACAATACATAACTTTGTGCAAATATAAATATAGACTATTTAAAATAAAACTGTTCCACCCAAGATAATTTACACAACAAAGTGTTTGATATCCACTATTATCCATCTAAAGAAGCTTTGGCTTACGCTTAAGATGAAGAAGGCCACAAGAGAAAACCCCTTCCACTCTAACAATGAGAACAAACCAGAGAGTCTGCAAAATCATGATGTTTGCAGCCCATTAGTGAGCTGAGGTTGCAAGGCCACCTGGTGAGCTAAGACCCAAGGTTGACAGGTCATTCTGAGGACAGCAGGACAGAAACAAGCTGTTGGACATTTATCGCAGCAGTGAGAAGAGATGGCTGCCATAGAATTCTTACTAGTGAGTGTTAGCGTGGTATGCTTCCATAGGAGAAGGCTGCACTCTCCTGCCAACTCTTTCCTTACACCTCTACCTGATGCTTACATGGAAGATCTGGACAGGAACCAGGGATCAAAGGGGCACAAAAAACCTTTTTCCGATGAAGGAATTTTTCTATAGCTTATATTGGTGGTTAAACAATTGATATAATTATCAAAATTCGTCAAAATGAACCACCTAAAAGTGGAATTTATTATATATAAATTATACCTCAAAAAAGCTTAAATATAGGCCAGGTGCAGTGGCTCATGCCTGTAAGCCCAGCACTTCAGGAGGCTGAGGCGGGCAGATCACGAGGTCAGGAGTTTGACACCAGCTTGGCCAATGTGGTGAAACCCGTCTCTACTAAAAATACAAAACATAATTGGGTATGGTGGTGCTTGCCTGTAATCCCAGCTACTGGGGAAGCTGAGGCGGGAGAATAGCTTGAACCCAGAAGGCACAGGTTGTAGTGAGCCAAGATCGCGCCACTGCACTCTAACCTGGGTGACAGAGTGAGACTCCATCTCAAAAAAAAAAAAAAAAAAGCTGAAATAATTTGGAGCAAAAGGAGTGGTAGAATTGTATGAACAATATAATATTCTTTATGTAATTTTTAAAACATGAAAAAATACTACATATTATTTATGGATTACAGTATGCACAGAAATGATAAACACAAAATTTAGGATAGGGATTACTTTGGGGGAGAGAGGGGAAGAATAAGGTAAGAGTATACAGTGAGTGTTAACTGAATATACTGTGCATCATTTCTTTTTCAAAACAAGAAGTAAATATCAATAAGCAAAAGGTTAAGATTGTATATAGTTGGGTGATGACCATATAGAGGTTTGTAATGTTACTTTTCATAATTAATGAAAGTAATTTGAAGTTAAACTTACATAGTACAAAAATTCTAAACAATAAATAACATAATTGAAATTAAGACAAACAAGGGGCAAGAGCTAGATAGAGCTGTGGAGGGGAACAGGCAGAACAGCATGGTCGACCTGTGGATTTTGTAATGTTTTTGCAGCACAAATAAAATTCTTCCCAAAACAGTTATAATTCTCATTCCCTTCCATGCTACTGTACTTTGCCCTTCTTTTTTTAGGGAAAGACAGATTTCTACCCATCAGTGATGCTTTTCCTTTGAGAATCAGAAGGGACAAGTGGCCAGGCCTGCCAGCTTGATTCTATCTTTAAGGACAGGTGCCTGCTAACATTCGACAATTTTAAAAAAGTATAACATCTAATAAAGCAGTCAAAGAATAAAATGACTGTATTTGGACAGTAGTTCCTCTGGTCCCCAGCATTTGTACTTCTCGCCACGATATGGGTAGTTTACATAGTTGCTCAGCAGCCTGCCTCCTGCAGTTTGTGTTTCAAGACATACAATTTATCTCCTGGACACCCTCACTTCCCACCACTTTTGGTCACTTCTATTCCCTTTGGAGTGCGTAGATTGATGCTGAGGAAGATATCAGCCAGCATACAGAGATAACTACTGGTACTTCCTCTTCCTTCTCCTCCTTGCTTCCTCCTCCTCTTTTCATTCTCTTCTTCCTTCCCATGTTCTTTTTCCTTTTTTTCTAACAAGGACGGCAATTACAATCTTGGCCATGCCTGACATCCATGATCTTTTCCTATTTTTATTACATCTCTCCTGACAATATTACTGCTAAAAACTCAGAAATATGAGAATTTTCATTTTTAAGATTTCTGTAACTAGACTTAAATCCATCTCTGGGACCACATCTCACTTTTGTAGGTAGAAATTCTATCTCAGTCCTCATTAGGGTGTTTCCTCATCCCATGGGCATGCACCACAGTACTGGGATGTTCACTTGGCCGTTGTTCATTAGTCCACACTTGTTGAGTCTTCTGTTGTTCCAGAATGAATGGCCCCTTCCACATCACAGGCTCTGTTGTCATAGTTTTTGAAGCATGGGCACTTGGACGCCTAGTTTCTATATCCCCAGGGGTACCAGGTAGTCATCTCAAAGTCTTATCACCTTCCCTAGATACTGCCTCTGATAGCAATTAGTTCTTTCACCTTCCACTATGTCTTAGTCCATTTTTGCATTGCAATAAAGGAATATATGAGGCTGGGTAATTTATAAAGAAAAAGGGTTATTTGGCTCCTCATTCTTCTGGCTGGAAGATTGGGCATCTGGTGAAGGCCTCTGGCTGCTTCCACTCATGGCAGAAGGTGAAGGGAAGCCAGCATGTGCAGAGATCACATGGCCAGAAAGGAGGAAATAGGTGGGCTGGGGGGTGGGGTGCTAGGCTCTTTTTAACAACCAGCTCTTGTGGGACCCAATAGAGCAAAAACTGACTCATTCCATGAGAACAGCACGAAGCCATTTGTGAAAGGTCTGTCCCACCTCTCACTAGGCCCCACTTCTAGTATTGAGGATTAAATTTCAACATGAAATTTGGAGGGACAGACAAGCAAACTGTAGCATATTACACTGAGATTTGCTTTAAATTGGGATTCATTTCTTCCTTTCCCTCTTTTTTTGTCAAGTGTTGCCATTCTCTCATTCAGTTCCCCTCAGCCATTCTCCCTCTCTTCTCTCCCCATCCCCCATCAGGGTGGCAGACATCATTTCTTCAATGAACTTAGTATTTAGAAAGATATCTTCACTCCAAGCATCAAGTCTTTTCTGTCCTGCAAAAGTCTTAAGGTAAGAAAATATATACTGGCCTGGCCACATGTTCAAAATGAGGAAATACTTAAAAAATATGAAGACCAAATAAGAGTTAATTGATACTCCTGTGCATTATCCTGGAACGCAATCTATAGAAATGATTCCTGATGATAGCAACTGTTCATTTTCTAATAACTCACCTCTGGCTTGAAAATACATGTGTGAAATTCTTTAGCCTGATTTAGACAATTACTTTTAGAATCAAACTGTCTTACATTAAACTTCTCAGCTTTCTCACATTCTAGCTGACATCTTGGTTCCCTGAGGTGGGCACTGTAATGGGCCTCCCAGATCCCTCTTCAATGGCCAGATCCCTCTTTTGCCCCAACTTGAAAGTGCTCTTTGCAGACAACCTTTGGCTCCTCTGCTGCTTCAGGCATTGCCTCAGCTGCAAATAAGCTCCTTACCCCAAGTCATGCCTTTTTTCAGTATAGTCTGCCTTTAATTACTGACTGATGCTGGGTAGTAAAGGCATGGCCATACTTCCCCAACCTGAGACCACTCTGTTGGACCCTTACAGCTTTAGAACTCCCTGTGGTTGGTTGAGGCTTTCTTTGAGGCTGCATCACAGCTCAACTTCTTCCCCTCCCTCCCTCTGCCTACTACTGCTTCTCTTCTCTCCTTTCAACTAGTTTTGATCCAAAGGGCACTCCTTAATAAATTCCCTGTGTACTGTGATCCATTTCACCTGCTCCCCAGCTTGCAACACTTCCTAAAATCAACTCCCTCATTTGTAACACAGCACTATTGTAAAGATTAAATAAAATAGTATATGCCTTACTATAGTGCTTGGCACATACACACACCAACAAATGGTGGAAACTATTATTTCTATAGTTGCTCAAAAATAACTTTGCTAAAATACATTCTCAACTTTTCATCTTTCTAATCTAGTCAAACCAGAATCCACTAGTAGAGGGCACCTTTGGATTCAACAGTAAAAGGAGAATCTACAAAACCAGCTCATCAAAAGGGTAAGTTTCTCTTTCCATGCTATGGCTGCTAGATTTGTTTGCCAACAATATGTTGCAACATTTCTGCAGGCAATAGCTTAAATAATGTTTTTCTAAATGGAAGTAGGGAATTCTGGTTGTGACACAACACCTGCAAAGATATTTTCACTTTGGTGCCAAGATATCTTTAGAAAAAATACTATGCATTCCTTATTTTCATCAAAATGAGACTATCTATAGATACTTACAAAGTAATGAGTGGCCAGGAGTGGTAATGCCAATATCTGATTATAGTATTTGTTTAGCTATCCTCTCTAAAAGATCCTTGTCCCATTATAATGCCCCAAATTTGACTCTTTACAATTAACTCCTTTCCTTCTTTATGACAAGGTGAGAATACAAGAATAGCTTATTGTTTTCCATATTAATGTGCATGGCAACTCACTTGGGAACTTATTATAAATGTAAGTTCCAGCATGCTACTCTCAGAGTTTCTGATTCAGTGGATCTGAGTTGGAGCTCAGGAATGTGCATTTTTCAATAAGCACCCAGAAAATTTTCATGCTTATTGTGAGAAACACTTGCATAGAAAATGGCTGGATTAGTCCCTACTCAGTCCAGGGAATAAAGAAGAAGGAGTAAGATTAAAAATAAATTTTTAAACATTGCCACACCCAGGATTTCAACTATCATCTTGTGGAACCCACATGAGACACTTTTGAAAGAGCTAAAACAAACACCACTCCTACAGGCCAAGCTTGTCATATGACACTTATTATTAGGTGATCATTTATCATGTGGAGCAAGGCTTGATCTAGGGTTAAACACTTGCATTTTTTTTTTCTTTCCTCACTGACAGCTCTTTCCCAGCCTGTGTTGAAGTGTCACAGGGCTCAGACCTTCGTCTTCTCATTTCCTAGGTTGTCCATGCTCATGACTGTAAATGTCATCTATTAAATATAAATTCCTAAACTTACATTTACAGTTTTGGTCCCTTGAGCTTCAGTTCAGAAATTTGTCTACTGGGCATCTCCACTTGAATACAGAATAGACATTTCAAACTTAACTTGTCCACAGTTGAGATCTTAACTTATAATCTCCCCAACTATTCATCCCCATGATTTATGTATCTAAGCAAAATGATAACTGAATTCATCTATTATCTCAGGATTTGAAGTCCTTTTTGGCTTATCTTTTTATATCTCTCATGGTCTACATTAAATGGGTAAGCAAATCTGTTGGCTCTACTTTCAAAATAAATCTGATATCCAAGACAGTATTTCAGTTGGATATTTTATCCTCAATGTTCCTGTCTCACCACTTTCATTCCTGCTACATTGAAAAAGCCATCACCATCTACTGCCTGAATTCCTTGCTGGATCCCATGCTTCTTTTCCCAACTTTCCTACAACATATTCTAAACAGAGCAGCTAGACTGATTCTATTAAATCATAAGTCAGGTCCTACTCTCCTTTATTGAAATCCTTCAAAAGTTTCCAATTCATTTCCAGTGAGGTAAAATTCGTATCTTTACTATGTGTCTTAGTCTGTTCAGACTGCCATAACAAAATACCCTAGATTTTGGTGTCTTAAATAACAGAAATTTGTTTTCTCATAGTTCTGGAGGCTGGAGGTCCAAGATCAGGGTTCCAGCATGATTGAGATCTGGTGAGGGCTGTCTTCTTGGCTTGCAGATGGCCACCTTCTTACCGTGTGTTCGCATGGCCTTTCCTTGGTGCATGCAAGTGGAGAGAGAGAGAGAGAAAGAGCAAGCTCCCTTGTTCTTATTAGTGCCTTCTTATAAAGGCACTAATCCTATTAGACCAGGACCCCGCTCTCATGACCTCAGTTCACCCTGACTAACTTCCAAAGGCCCACATCTCCAAATATGATCACATTGGGGATTAGGGAATATGAATTTGGAGGAGACACAAATATTCAGTGTCTGATGTATGGCATATAAGACCCTTCACAATTTGGACCTGGCCTTATTTCCCTCCTCTCTTTTATTCACCTATTCAGATTCAACCATCTCTGTATTCTGGGTTTTATTTGAACCTACTCAGGAATGATCCTACCTTAGGATCTTTGCACTCACTGTTTCCCTTTTCTTCACATAGCCAAATGGTTCTTCTTTAACTTTATTCAGGTGTTTTATTAACTGTCAATTAATCACAAGTGACTTTTTTTTTTTTTTTCTGAGACAGGGTCTCATTCTGTCACTCTAGAGTGCAGTGGTGTGATCACAGCTCAATGCAGCCTCGACCTCCTGGCCTCAAGTAATCCTTCCACCTCAGCCACCTAAGTATTATAGCTGGGGCTACAAATGCACACCACCACGCCCAGCTAATTTTTGTATTTTGAGTTCGAAACCAGCCTGGGCAATATGGCAAGACTCTCTTTCTATAAAATACACATAAATTAGAAGTGACTTTCTTGTCTATGATTTTCAACCAAAGACCATGAGGAACACACCTATAGTCAGTGTTGGGCTTCTTGGCTCATTGCTGTGAGAGAAACACACCATGAGTAGCCATGTAGTGTACAATAAGGGAGTTTTAGAAGGAATTTGTCATAGGGCTCAGGTTTGTGCTAGGTGATTTTAGGGAGGATTCAGTGAAGCATGATTTTGCTTCCATATTGGAGGCTGTCAGAAAATGGGCAATTCTTAACAATTTTTAACTAGGATGAATGGTGTGAGACTAAAGCTATAATTGATGAAGAATCAGCAAAAGCTATTATTTATATTAGCTGGATGAAGGGAATGTTTGATCATTTTTGCGATTTGCACAATATTACTGTGTTTATCTGTGCTCAGATAGGGTTACTATTGGGTTTTGGTTTTGTCTTGTTCTAATACAGTCACAAAGGTGGTCTGGTCTGATTTTACTTTTCTGCAAAATTATTTATGTCTAACCAGAGAACACTTTGGCCATCTCTTAGCTGACAGCAGTTGGGAGCTTCTTTGTTCATACTCAGTCTGAAATACAACTTCTTATTGTTTTTCTTCCCTAATGCCCCTTTATTTTTGTTATTTTTCTTCATAGTACATATCACTGCCATAGTACAACAAACATACCAACATGTTATTGATTTCTCCATTGTCTATAGTCCCCTACATGTAAATTCCATGAGAGTTGGGATTCAGGTTCACTTGTTCCACTCCATGACCCGGAATATAATAGGAGATCAATATAACAGGACATTAATATAATAAATGTTCAATATATACTTGCTAAATGATTTTTTTCTATTACTTGCTAATTTTCCTAAAAAACTCACATCAAAACGAACCAAATTATAAAAGAGCCAAAAGGTAACAAATATCATCTTCATAGTGTATGAAGTTAAACATAAATAAGATGTAAATGAAGACACAACTAACAGATTTATATCAAATTATAGGATTGTTATATAAATGTTAGTATGACTTTTATAATAATCTTCAAATGTTGGACTGTCTTTTACACAAAGTATAACTAGCTTTTAACTCTCTGCAAGAAAAATTGGAATTAAATTAGAGATAAAAATAAATTCCCCAAGTGGGCAGACTGCTAAAGATGAACTACTTAAATATACATATGCATGAATTATTACATAGCTTTTAAGGAAAAAAAATCAAAAGTGCTCCTTGATAGAATATATTCATATTTTTTGCACACATGTACAGTGCATTTTTAAGTAATTTTCATAAGTAAGTAAAAGGGAAGAAACTTACTTTATTGAGTACACGCATAACCTATTTAAGACAACTGCTCACAGTACTTTGCTAATATGCTGCTTTTCTTTGAAATTACATGTGTGGGTGTGTGTTTGTCCACTATGTGTGTATCTGTATTCCCCACTCACCACCCAAAGAGCCAATTACTAGTAAAGCAAACAGAACTGAAAACCATCCTGCAAACGCTTCTAGCTGGTGAGTGCTCGGGGGCACTGTTCAGAGAGTGTCTGGGTCAGTGTGCCCTCAGTTATAAAATTGGCTTTTGGTTAAAATTCCTATAGCCAAAACTTTCTAAAATGTTTATTGTTTCTTTCTATTTCCTTCTTGAGATCTCATTATTATTTCCCTTTTAAGGAATAGGTCATATTGTTTTGCTATAGAAATTGAAAACATGAGACATTGGCTTTCATTTAAGCAAATGAAAAATTAAAGCTTTTGTACTTCCAGGGTTTATGTGTCTATAATTAGAGTCAATCAAAGAACCAGTCTGTCATATTTACCAAATCCAAGGATAATAAAACCTGCATACTAACTATAATGTATTGATACCGTGTGCCAGCCAGTGTAGTAAATGCTTTATACTACTTGTCTCCTTTAATTCTCGCAACACTGAGATTTGTAATAATTCCCATTCTAGACATAAAAAACGGTCAGAAACATCAAATTTCACCTTATAATTGGCAAAGCAGGCATATAAACAGTGGTAAACAGTGCAATAATCCCCTAAAGATGTCCATGTCCTAATCTCTGGAACCTATATGTCACTTTACATGGCAAGAAAGAGTTAGGAGATAAAATTAAACTAAGGATTTTGAGAGGGAAGATTATCCTTGATTAATTGGGTAGTGTAACGCACTCCATGTAACACAAGGGTTTTTATAAAAGGGAGGCAGGAGGGTTAGAGTCAGAGAACAGATCTGATGGTGGAAGCAGAGGTTAGAGTCATGAGCTTTGAATGTGGGAGAAAGGTGCCATGATCCAAAGAATGCATGTAGCCTCTAGAAGCTAGAAAAGACAAGAAACAGATTATCCTCCAGAGCTTCCAGTAGAAAAGCAGCCCTCCTGACACCTGAATTTTAGCCTTGTTCACCCATTTCAGTCTTCAGACCTCCAGGACTATAAAATGATAAACTTATGTTGTTTAAAACCGTAAGTTTAGCCGGGCGCGGTGGCTCACGCCTGTAATCCCAACACTTTGGAGGCCGAGGCAGACGGATCGCGAAGTCAGGAGATTGAGACCATCCTGTCCAACATGTTGAAACCCCATCTCTACTAAAAATCCAAAAAGATTAGCCGGGCGTGGCGGCGCGCGCCTGTAGTCCCAGCTACTCAGGAGACTGAGGCAGGAGAATTGCTTGAATCTAGGAGGCGGAGGCTGCAGTGAGCCAAGATCGCGCCACTACACTCCAGCCTGGCAACAGAGCGAAACTCTGTGGAAAAAAAAAATAATAATAAGTTTGTGGTAAATTTTTATAGCAGCAATAGGAAACTAATACATAAATCAGGTCTGTCTAACCCCCATGTTATAAAACCATATGACAATACAGGCATTTTCACCAACTCACACACTGGTTGGTTATATAAGGCAAATTCAACTGAAGAAAAGTAATAATCTTCATTTTGTTACTGTAGACCATATTGACTCTGCATATTTGAAAACTACTTCATGAAACATGATTTCTGTTTCCACTGTTTATGTTAAGGAAGTGTGTTCTCTCAGTGAGTTTCCCTGGATGAAGTTATTTGTTTTCTCTGTCCATAATAGATGATTAATTTATTTAAGGATGAGTAATAAGCAATTTTTGTATTGTACTCTGTCATCTGTACTTACTGTATAACTACTTAATCTGCTAGTTTTAACAACCATATTGATTTAGCCACTCAAGTTAATCCCTTTCTGTGTATGTTTTGAAAGCATATAGGTGAAAACCCAGCTATAGTTAATGCATCATCAAAATAAGTTTACCAACCAGGACTATTATAATCATCTTTATCAGCAGTCTTCTTTCAGCAGGAAAATTAGTATTAGATTCTTTTTCCAAATGCCAGTCCTCTGGTAAGGGCGTCTGAGGTGAATTTTCATTCTTTTTTTTTTTTTTTTTTTTTTTGAGACGGAGTCTTGCTCTGTCGCCTAGGCTGGAGTGCAGTGGCGTCATCTCGGCTCACTGCAAGCTCCGCCTCCCGGGTTCACGCCACTCTCCTGCCTCAGCCTCCCGAGTAGCTGGGACTACAGGCGCCCGCCTCCTAGCCTGGCTAATTTTTTTTGTATTTTTAGTAGAGACGGGATTTCACCGTGTTAGCCAGGATGGTCTGGATCTCCTGACCTCGTGATCCGCCTGCCTCAGCCTCCAAAAGTACTGGGATTATAGGCGTGAGCCACCGCTCCTGGCCAATTTTCATTCTTTAAGGGGAAGAATTACAGTGTGTTCATATGCCTTCTATTTCAAAAATTGAAGTTAGGAAGAGATGGAAATCTTCTGAGGGAAGGTGACTAATGCTGGCAAAGCCTCCTGTCATTTATCAATTATTTATTGGGGACCTATTATGAATAGTAGGAGCTGAGATGACACTGCTATACATGCTAGACAAAGAATAGAGTTTACTTTCAAGGGTGGGAGATAAAAAATGAACATATAAAAACATAAAAATCAGAAGAAGTTCTATGAAGAAAGACTAGCAAAATTGAAAATGAATGTGCTTGTGAGATTAGCACCTAGCTTCAACACACAAAACAGAACAAAAAGTGGCCAAATAACTCTCAGAGTTAACTCATTTCATTATGAGTATGTCAACATGAACAATTTAGATTTTATGTCGAGCAAAAGCAGAAAAACCATTAACTACAGATCTTTCATCTTGGCTTATCTGTTTAGTTGACATAAGCAATCAGTAATAGTCTTTTCCCAACACCTCTTCATACCAATAACTGGGTCTCACAGTGACAATGGCAGGGAGACAAACACTCCAACATGACTTGCTGGATTTGTCCCTCAGCACCAAGTGGTGAGGGTTTGTCTTGCTGTATCTTTTAGTCTATGCTAGAAAGTTTCTCTTGAATGTTTCCATTGAATGTAGCATATGTAACAAAAATACCATCAAATTTGAAGGTAGTTTTGGTTGTCTGACCATCAATACTTCTTCCTTGGGCACCATTGAGACGAATCATTAATATTTCAAAGAGAAGCTCATTTGAGACATTGAAAAATATACCCTCAGCCTCCAAATGGAGTTTTTATGTCCCTTTCAGCTAAAAAGTGATATATTGGTTATCTGGAAAAGAAGTCTTGCCCCATTTAAACCTCATCCACTTCTCTAAAGATGAAGTCTCAGGTTGTTCACATATCTTTAAAAGTCTGAATAAGCAACAACCACAATTGATTTATTATTTTCTATCTGTACTCTTTAATAACATAATCAATAGCATTTTGATGGGTTGCCTGACATTTCATCATGAAGCAATCTTCTAATAAGGATTGTGTGTATAAGGATATTGCTAAGTGGCCCATCCACTCTAGCTCCCTGGAAATAGCTTGAGAACAAAGATAAGCCTGGTTTTATCCAAAAGTGTTAAGAAAATATTTTTTTTCTTTTTGCCTTTACTTTGTGTTTTATATTCTGTCAAAATCGGCACTATCTTCCCTCTGTAGGAGGGACTGTACTTTGTTTTCTTTCATTGCAATGGGGTAGAAATCGTCCTAGTACTTCTGCCTGAAGTTGTGATTCAATAACCCCTTTAGGGTTTATCTGATCCAATTAGAAGTCATGAACCTTAAAAATCTTCTGGTGGGCAGATCACTTGAAGTCAGGAGTTCGGGACCAGCCTGACCAACATGGAAAAACCCCATCTCTACTAAAAATATAAAAATTAACCAGGTGTGGTGGTGCATGCTTGCAGTCCCCAGCTACTCAGGAGGCTGAGGCAGGAGGGTTGCTTTAACCCAGAAGGCAGAGGTTGCACTGAGGCAAGATTGTACCACTGCACTCCAGCCTGAGTGTCACAGTGAGACTCTGTCTCAAAAAAAACAAAAAAAAAAAAAAAAAAGAAAAGAAAAAACATTTTTTGGTGGGGTTAGGGGGACAAAGAATGGAGATGTCTTCTTCTTTCATTGTTTCACTCAGACAAAACTTAAGGGCCTATGGCAAACACCCAACACAATGTTCTCTATTTCTCTTGTTGAGGACAATGATAGGCCTTCAATCTTTTATGTGTTAGAAGTTCATTCAAGCATATGAATATATGCCTGTGTATATCCATTCAACAAATACTTTTCTAAGCATGAGGGACATAGGAGTGAATATTATTAGAAAAATCCCTGACCTCATAGAGACTATGTCCTGACAAAGGTGTTCTTTTCATAGGGAATGTGCTGATCTTACATATTCATCTGCTCTCCTTCTTTACTGCAGATGTGTGGAATGTCATTTGGAAGGGGTCCAGAGACATTGGAGAATTTTATTTAATCTCATCTTATTTTCTGGGAGAGGGAAAAGCCATTACACTGGATTGTGAGGGAGATCTCAGGCCTTTAATAGAGTATCTTCCAAATATTTTTCTGCAATAGCTGATTTCTCTTTTACTGCTTTTCATTACTCAGATCAAATTAGCTAAGCAAAAGGGGGAAATTAAGTGCCTGGAAGGATTTGGGATTCCAAGGGTAGAACTTGGAGGTGTACTGGACAGACAAATGATGTGGATCTCTCTGTCTCTCTGTCTCTTTCTCTCTCAACTTTGATTCTGTCTACATTAACCTTATTCTATCCGTATGCAGGCAGGCTTTCTTCAGGTGTAGCTCATGGGATTTGGTGCAATGTCTTACACAGAGTACATGCACTGTACCTCTAGAGAATGAGGCAAGTTTTGAATGGAGCAAACTTCCATGCTCAAGGGGTAAAGGGGGCATAGCTATGGAGAGCTCTAAGTGTATAATTCTGTTTAGTGACCTCAGACTATGCACTAAAAGTCTGTATATAAAAGCTCAGCTTTTGCTATCTGTCTATCCCCAGGCTAGACCATGTGGTCATGATCACATGAAGTAGGGGAGGCAGGCACCATTCCCAGAGAAAAGGATGTTTTCACCTGAAAAGATGGGAACTGGATACTAGGAAGATGTTGCCAACTCTCTCCTACAGCATCACTGCTCTGTAGGGCCGATGGGACAGGATTGTCTTTGCTGCAAGTGGATGGAAGCAGTTTGGTCCTTTTCTATCTTGGTGCTTTTCAAAATATAGTCCCATCAGGATGCATCCCCACTGCACCCTCAGTGCCTGGAACAGTGCATTGCACTGGGTATGTAGCAAAAAGTTGATTGACTGAATGAGGAGGAAACTCCTAGAGGATATTGTCTATGAAAACAGGAAAGTGAACCATGAAAGAGGAAGACAAAGTCTGACAAACAAGGGATACAACAAAGGATGGTGGGGATAGAAATCACCAAAATCATGGTAAGGTAGCAGGCCTTGAGATTAACCAAACTAGACTGGGGCAGATCAGAAGGACTGGAGAGAGATTATAGGAAGGTAAAATTGATAGGCTACTTAACGTACTTAATATTTGAATACATGGAAAGAAGATTAACACAGCTGGAGAAGAGTTTCCATAAGTTCGTGATAAATAGAAAAATTGGCAAAGGAAAATGAGATAGAGCCTTGGGATTCAAAAGAACTTAAAAGTGGAAAAAGTCAAAAAGAAAGAAAAGATACTCAAGAGATATGAAATGGCTCCACTGCCAAAAGCATCTCCATCATCATAACAATGTAAACAGTGGATATCAATCTGCTTGTTATCACATCGGGAGACAGCAGCAGGAGTGTATTCACATGTATGGTGTGACTGCAGGTAGAGTATGAGAAAAAACAAAACCTTTATTATCTGCAGCTGGAAGCCAACATGTAGGGCTTAGAACTGAAATAATATTAAGCAATATAAATAAGCATGCTAGCTAGTGATATGGAATTTTTTTATTTTTTTAAATTAGTTTTTATGTATTATTATTATTATTATTTTATATGGAGTCTCTCTCTGTTTCCCAGGCTGGAGTGCAGTGGCATGATCTTGGCTTACTGCAACCTCTGCCTCCCAGGTTCAAGCAGTTCTCTTGCCTCGGCCTCCCAAGTAGCTGGGATTACATATGTGCGCCACTACACCTGGCTAATTTTTGTATTTTTAGTACAGACGGGGGTGTTGGCCAGACTAGTCTTGAACTCCCCACCTCAAGTGATCCACCCACCTCTGCCTCCCAAAGTGCTGGAATTACAGATGTGAGCCACCACGCCCAGCCAAAAATTTTTAAAAAATCAAACAAGTTGGAAATAGTTGCTTTTGAGGAGCAAGAAATGATTGGGAACCAGTGGGTGAAACAAGGCTTACGTGTCACATAATCCTGTAAGCTACCTGCATGAATAAATTTAAGACAAATAAAAACTGCATTATAAGTTATCTGTAGTGTTTCTTCCCATGTCTTGGTATAGCCTTTGATTCTAAAATACTAATTAGATCATTTCAAGCCATTCATTTCTACTCTTTACCTGTCCTCACTCATCCTTTCCATACGAAACAAAGCTATTCATCTACTTTGTAAGGGTCCAAGAAACCTCTTAGCCTTCCTTGTCAAAGAGATGATTAGCAAATGATGTATTTCAGGTTCTAGAGCAGCCAGTGAGGAGATAGTTTGAGATTCCCCACCCCCCCTCAGTGCTCCTCCAGTCACTCCACATGGGTTTTCATCTGCCTGATTTTCTAGTAGTAAGACAGAATTCTTTGGAGAACTATGGGAAAGTAGGTAATTTTGAGAAAATTGATTTTGATCTCTCGATACTCTTTCCAAATCCTCATGCAGCCCAGGAGTCGTGGGAAGTTTAAAAAGCCACCTCTAGTCTAAATGTTTTGTTTTTTATGGAAGTTTAAAAAAACACCTCTACTCTAAGTGTCTTATTATTTATCTCCAGTCAGGCTTGATGCATTTCCTATAGTAAGGAAATGTTTTAGTAATAAATGTTCTGACTGGCCACCCAATGTCTTACCTGTAAAGAAAGGACAAAGGGTGACATCATTCTATCCAGTCAACTCAGTAAATATTTAATAAAAATAGAAGACATCTGTTGAGCACTTATAATCCACACAACAGCCTTATGAGCTAATCACTCTATTGACCATCCTTAATTGAAAGAAAGATTAAGCAATTATTTGCTTAATTCCCTCAGCTTGGAAGTGACAGAGCTGCAATTCCGGCCCAAGAAGTCAGACCCTAGAGCTCATCTCTAAACCACCACTCACTCTGTATCTATCATCTGGAAGGCCCTCTTTCTGGAGACTTCAGATTCTTGGAGCATCACATGTGTGTACCAATGTTCATAATATCTTAAATTTTGTCCCTCTATTTAGATCAGAAAGATGAAGGCCTGAAACCTAATGGATCTTTCATATTGTTTAAGTTAAAGTCTTTTATAATCCCAATCTTCAATATTAGTAACAAAGGAAAAGCAAAAAGATGTACCCCGACTGTCAGTATTAGTAAGAATAATGTGCTCCTTTGGAAGCACAACAGGTTAGGAAGGAAGCAACACCCTTTTTATCTAAATGTCATCCTGCAGTGACAAAGCAGTGTGCTCTGGTGTTGGCCAGAACCAGAGTAGCTGATACACATATTCAAGAGGCAAAGCTGGCCCTAGAAACATCCTACATCTCTCAATGATGGCATCTGCAGCATTTACTTTCATACTCTGCCATTGTGTAAAAGCCTGCAGTAATTTTTGAGGATCTGGCCTTAGGCCATTTATTTCTAGAAAATAACTAGAACATGCCTCAGAATAATCTAAGATCATTCTACATCTGAAATATGCAGATGTAGACAGAACTGTCTTTGTTGTTTCTTAGAGTACAATTTTTCCTTGTTTACATATTTTAGTACATTAGTTTTCTGTTGCTGCTATAACAAATCACCACAAATTTAGTGTTCTAAACAATACAGACTTGTTATTTTAAAGTACTATAGGTCATCCATCTGATATGGATCTCACTGGGCTGAATCAAGTTGCTAGAAGCTGCATTCATTTTGGAGGCTTTCAGGGTGATTCTGTTCCCTTTATCATTTGGATTGTCAGCTGAATTCAGTTCCTTGTGGTTGTAGGACTGTGGTCCCCATTTACTTGTTAGCAGTCAACTGAGATCCATTTCTAGCTTCTAAAAGATATCCACCTTCTTTGGCTCAGGTCAGACTCTCCTTCCATCCTCCAGCCCTTCTTCTTTTGTCATCTCTCTCTCTAATCATATCTATGACATATTCTCTGACTTTAAGGATTTGTGTGATTACATTGGGCCTACGAAAATAATCTGGGGGAATCTCTCCATCTCAGCTTCCCTAACCTTACACACATCTGCAAAGTTTCTTCTGCATGTAAGGTAGCATATTCACAGGTTTTGTGGATTAAGATGTGGATATATTTGCAAGATCATTCTTCTATCCAAAACCATTTTGGAGCAGAGTTAAAATGGTAAGAAGAATGAGGAAGAAGAGGAAATACAGCTGCCACTGCTATGGCTGTGTGTGCGCATGTATTGTGTGCATATGGGTGTAGGCACACATGCATGTATACAGGTTGTCATTATGAATAGGTAGCTATTCAATTATATAAAAAAGAACTTTAAAAACAGATGGTAAGCATGGTGTTGATGCTGAAAAGAGGATAGTTTTGTCTGCCTAATTCTTTCTTCTTTAAATTCACTGGACCCCAATACACAATGTATGCATTAATACATATTAAATTACATGCCGTTCTGGCTGAGTCTAAGTGCAGAGACGATAATCTTTATTCCTGCTTCTAGAAGCAATAGTTCTAAGTTGAGGCTATTAGATTGGGTCTTTTCTCTGCGTTGAATTTTCTGTGGAGGAAAAGGTTCAATGAATTTAATTGGTTGTTTCGTGGAGTGAAGAATATTAAACTGCTAACTCCGTAGAGACATAGTCTTTCTTTACAGCTTTGAAAAGAGTCTAGAATTTAGAATAAAACGTTGTTATACTACACTGCAGCTGATTCAAAATCTAAGATTATTCCAATGTGTGCTAAGTAAAAGTATACCCACATAGTATCAATTCTAATTAGATTTTGTTAAGCAACTGAATATTGTTAATAAGGGTTTAAGAAAAAAATTATTGACTTGTGAAAGGAAATGGCCTTATCTTTCACTCAAGCAAGTAGCTTAAAATACAGTTGGCATAAACAAATATTAGTCATTCCTCTAGTTTCTGTATATGAAATTAATTAAAGTAATGGATGTAAAATATATTCAGCAATAATATTGCTCTTAGTTTTTAAGTTTCACTTTACAGGTTTCCAAATCTTTAACCTGGCTGTTGCTGTTTTGTTTCATTGGCAGAAATTACTAAGACTTACCTGCATATGAATCCAACAAGGAAAATGTTTTCAATACTAATTGTATTCATGGATAAAATCCCAGGAATTATTTTATACATTCCCTAAAGTTTTGTTGAGACACTGCTGTTTCTGAGACTGGGAATCATGTATAAATCAGATTTTTTACTAGCACTTTTTATTATGTTATCATCTATGAAAGAATTATAAGTCCTTATGACAACTTTAATATAAAAAGCCTGTCATTTTGATTTTCTTAAATGCTTTCTTCTATTGATTAAAAAATTAATAATCTTAGAAAGAATTTTTCACAGGCAGAGCCGTTTCTAGGGAATTCAAAACAGTGGTGATCACCCAAGTCCTTGCAGTTTTTGTAATAGACTTCTGCCTTCTACTACAAGTAATATAATAGTTGGTTTTGCCAGCCATTAATATCAAAAAGTAAAAATTATTACCTTCAATATCTTGAGAAATCAGATAAAGTGATCTTTCCTATTTCAGAGCTTCCCAACCAATGTGCTACAAATGGGTAACAGACATCTTAGATTCATTGATCCCTTCACACCTGGCATTTGTAACATATTTTATGTGTGTGTCAGTGTCTCTAGTTTTAAAGCGTACGGGTTTCTCCTCACCTGCTGCACTTCCAAAGGAGCTGATTTCAGCACTTTTTTGTTTCCCTTTTCTTTGTGGTATTGAGGCTTAGGATTCTAAGGAACTGGAACCTAGAAAATAAAAATGATTCATAGATCTCAACCCTTCACCTTTCTGTTCCAGCAAAGGAAGAAAACCCAAATGTCGTGAACAGCTTGTTGTCTCTAGCACCATAGTCTTTTTCTTTTTTAAAAAACCACTTTATTGTGGTTCAATTGACCTACAAAAACTGTACATACTTAATCTATATAACTTGATGAGCTTAAATAAAATATACTTGTAAAACCACTACCATAATTAATGCCATAAACATACCACATCCAGAAGTTTTCTCATGTCCCCTTTATCAATTACAATTATTATAATTCATGATAAGAACACTTAACATAAGATCTATCACCTTAGTAAATTTTAAGTTATAGTACAATAAACTATAAGTACTACTATGCCATATAATAGACTAGGTCTTATTCATCTTGCTTGACTGAAACTTTGTACCAATTGACAATAACTCCTAATTTCCCCCTCCCCACAACCCCTGGCAACCACCTTCTACTCTCTGCTTCCATTAGTTTGACTGTTTTAGATTCCTCATAAGTGAAATCATGTAGAATATTTTTTCTGTGTCTGGTTTATTTCACTTGGCATAATGTCCTTCAGATTAATCCATGTTGTCAAAAATTGCAAGATTTTCTTCTTTTTTAACGATGAATAATATTCCCCTCTGTAAGTGTGAGGGAGTGTGTGTGTGTGTGTAACTTTGTCTTTATCTATGCATCCATAAATAGACATTCTGATTTCTTCCATGTCTTGGCTATTGTGAATAATGCTGCAATGAACATATGTGTGTAGATATATCTTTGACATATTGATTCATTTCCTTTGGATATATGTCCAGAAGAGGGATTGATGGATCATATGGGAGTCCTATTTTTAATTTTTTGAGGAACTTCCATACTATTTTCCATAGTGGCTATACCAATTCACATTCCCACCAACAATGTACAAGGATTCCTTTTTCTCTACGTTTTCGACAACACTAGGTATAAGGGGATATCTCATTGTGGTTTTGATTTGCATTTCCCTGATGATTAATGATGTTAAGCACTGTCCGTTTACCTTTCAGCCATTTGTATGTCTTCTTTGGAGTGATGTCCAGTCAGTTCCTTCACGTATTTTTAAATCAGATTTTTTCTTTGCTATCGAGTTATAGTAGTTCTTTATATATTTGGATATTAGCATTTTATGAGATACACAGTTTACAAATATTTTCTCCTATTCTATATATTGCTACTTAATTTTGTTGTTTTTCTTTGCTGTACTGAAGCCTTTTAGTTTGATGTAATTCCATTCATCTACTTTTGCTTTTGTTGCCTTGTTTTCAGTGTCATATCGAATAAACAATTTCCAAAGGAAAGGTCAAGATGTTTTTTTCCCTATGTTTTCTTCTAGGAGTTTCATGGATACAGGTATTATGCTTAAGTCTTTAATCCATTTTGAGTTTATTTCTTTTCAGAAAGTTTGTTGTTAGTGTGTAAAAACACAACTGAGTTTTGAATGCTGATTTTGTATCCTGTAACTTTAATGAATTTGTATGTTAGTTCGGATAGGTTGTGTGTGTGTGTGTGTGTGTGTGTGTGTGTGTGTGTGTGTGTCTGTGTAGTCTTTAGGGTTGTCCATACATAAGATGATGTTGTCTGTAAACAGAGGTAATTTTATTTCTTCCTTTCTAATTTGGATACCTTTTTCTTTTCCTGCCTAATTTCTCTGGTTAGGGCTTCTAGTACTATTTTGAATAGAAATAGTAAAAGCGAACATTCTTACCTTTTCCCTGATCTTACAGGAAAAGCTTTGAGTTTTTCACAATTTAGTATAGTGTTACCTGTGGGCTTTTCCTATATGGCCTTTATTATGTTGAGGTAAATTTTTTCTATACCTAATTTATTGAGACTCCTTACTATAAAAGGGTGTTGAATTTAGTCAAATGCTCTTTCTGCATCCATTGAGATTATCATATAATTTTCATCCTTCTTTCTGTTAAGTAATGTACGACATCGTTTAATTTGTATATGTTGAACCATTTTTGCATCTCAAGGATAAATTCCACTTAGTCATGATGTCATCGTTTTAATGTACTATTGAATTCACATTGCAAAATTCATGTTGCAAACATATTATTGACGATTTTTACATCTATTTTCATCAGGAATATTGGCCTATAGTTTTCATTTTTTGTGGAGTCTGTCTGGTTTTGGTAGTAAGGTGATAGCCTCATAAAATGAGATTGCAGTGTTCCCTTTTGTATTTTGGAAGTATTTAATAAGGTCTGTTATTAGTTCTTTTTTAAATGTTTGGCAGAATTTATCTGTAAGGCTACCTGGTCTTGGACTTTTCTTTTTTGGCAAGTTTTGATTGCTAATTCAATATCCTCATTAATTGTTGGTTTGTTCAAGATTTCTATTTATTCTTGATTCAGTCTCGGTAGTTTGTATTTGTCTAAGGATATATCTATGTCCTCTAGGTTGTCCAATTTGTTAGAATGTAATTGTTTATAATAGGCCTTTATTTTTTTATTTCATAAACATCAGTTGTAATGTCAACTCTGTCATTTCTGATTTTATTTGTTTAGCTCTCCTCTCTTTTTTCTTAGTCTATCTAGTGAATTGTCAATTTTACTTACCTTTGCAAAAAATATTATCTTTTTTATCTTTCTAGTGTTTTTCTATTTTCTAGTCCATTTATTTCTACTCTAATCTTTATTATTTCATTTTGCATGCTACTTTGGGCTTAGTTCATTGTTCTTTTTCTAGTTACTTGAGGCATAAAGTTATTAAGGTTTTCTCTTTTTTTTTGCTTTATTTCTTCTTCTAAAAAAAAAAAGGACACATGTGCAGGACGTACAGGTTTGTTACATAGGTATACATGCCATGGTGGTTTGCTGCACTTATTGACCCATCCTATAGGTTCCCTCCCCTCACCATGCACCCCTCAACAGTCCCTAGTGTGTGTTTTTCCCCTCTCTGTGCCCATGTGTTCCCAGTGTTCAACTCCAATTTCTGAGTGAGAACATGCAGTGTTTTTTTCCTGTGTTAGTTTGCTGAGGATGATGGCTTCCAGCTTCATCCATGTCCCTGCAAAGGACATGATCTCATTCATTTTTATGGCTGCATAGTATTCCATGGTGTATATGTACCATATTTTCTTTATCCAGTCTATCATTGATGGGCATTTGGATTGGTTCCATGACTTTGCTATTGTAAATACTGCTGCAATAAACATAGATGTGCATGTGTCTTTATAGTAAAACAATTTATATTCCTTTGGGTATGTATCCAGTAATGGGATTGCTGGGTTAAATGGTATTTCTGGTTCTAGATCCTTGGGGAATTGTCATACTGTCTTCCACAATGGCTGAACTAATTTACATTCCCACCAACAGTATAAAAGCATTCCTATTTCTTCAAAGCCTCACCAGCATCTATTATTTCCTGACTTCATAATAATAGCCATTCTGACTGGCATGAGATGGTATCTCATTGGGTTTTTACTTGCATTTCTCCAATGATCAGTGATGTTGAGCTTTATTTCATGTTTGTTGGTCATGTAAATGTCTTCTTTTGAGAAGTGTCTGTTCATGTCCTTTGCCCACTTTTTGATGGGGTCGTTTTTTTTTCTTGTAAATTTGTTTAAGTTCCTTGTAAATTCTGGATATTAGACCTTTGCCAGATGGGTAGATTGCACAAATTTTCTCCCATTCTGTAGGCTGCCTGTTCATTCTGATGATAGTTTCTTTTGCTGTGCAGAAACTCTTTAGTTTAACTAGATCTCATTTATCAATTTTGGCTTTTGTTGCATTACTTTTGGTGTTTTTGTCATGAGACCTTTGCCCATGCCTATGTTCTGAATGGTATTGACTAGGTTTTCTTCTAGGGTTTTTATGGTTTTGGATTTTACATTTAAGTCGTAAATCCATCTTGAGTTAATTTTTGTATAAGGTGTAAAGAAGGGGTCCAGTTTCAGTTTTCTGCACATGGCTAGCCAGTTTTCCCAGCACCATTTATGGAATAGGAGATCCTTTCCCCATTGCTTGTTTTTGCCAGATTTCTCAAAGATTAGATGGTTGTAGATGTGTGGTGTTATTTCTGAGGTCAATGTTCTGCTCCATTGGTCTATATATCTGTTTTGATACCAGTACCATGCTGTTTTGGTTACTGTAGCCTTATAGTATAGTTTGAAGTCATGTAGCATGATGCCTCCAGCTTTGTTCTTTTTCTTAGGATTTTCTTGGCTATATGGGGTCTTCTTTGATTCCATATGAAATTTAAAATAGTTTTTTATAATTCTGTGAAGAATGTCAATGGTAGTTTGATAGGAATACTATTGCATCTATAAATTGTTTTGGGCAGTATAGCCATTTCCGTGATATTGATTCTTCTATCCATGAGGATGGGAACCATTTGTATCCTCTCTTATTTTCTTGAGCAGTGGTTTGTAGTTCTTGAAGAGGTCCTTCACTTCCCTTCTTAGCTGTATTCCAAGGTATTTTATTCTCTTTGTAGCAATTGCGAGTGAGAGTTCATTTATAATTTGGCTCTCTGCTTGCCTATTGTTGATGTAAAGGAGTGCTTGTGATTTTTGCACATTGATTTTGTATCCTGAGACTTTGCTGAAGTTGCTTACTAGTTCGAGTATTTCTTGGGCAGATATGATGGGCTTTTCTAAATAAAAAATTATGTCATCTGCAAACAGAGACAAGTTGACTTCCTCTCTCCCTGTAAGAATACCTTTATTTCTTTCTCTTGCCTGATGGCCCTGGCCAGACCTTCCAACACTATGATGAATAGCAATGGTTACAGAGGGTATCCTTTTCTTGCACCAGTTTTTTTTCTTTTTTTTTTCTTTTTTTTTTTTTTGAGACAGAGTCTTGCTCTGTTGCCCAGGCTGGAGTGCAGTGGCACAATCTAGGCTCACTGCAAGCTCTGCCTCCTGGGTTCATGCCATTCTCCTGCCTCGGCCTCCCAAGTAGCTGGGACTACAGGTGCCCGCCACCATGCCCGACTAATTTTTTTTTGTATTTTTTTTTTTTTTTTTTTAGTAGAAATGGGGTTTCACCTTGTTGGCCAGGATGGTCTCGATCTCCTGACCTCGTGATCTGCCCGCGTCGGCCTCCCAAGGTGCTGGGAATACAGGCGTGAGCCACCGCACCCAGCTGTCTTGTACCGGTTTTCAAAGGGAATGCTTCCAGCTTTTGCCCATGCACTATGATATGAGCTGTGGGTTTGTCATAAATGACTCATTATTTTGAAGTATGTTCCATCAATACTTTAAAAGTTATCAAAATTTCTGCATCTATTGAGATAATCATGTGGTTTTTGCCCTTGGTTCTGTTTATGTGATGGATTACATTTATTGATTTGCATATGTTGAACCAGCCTTGCATCCCAGGGATGAAGCCAACTTGATCATGGTGGATAAGTTTTTTGATATACTGCTGCATTCTGTTTGGCAGTATTTTATTGAGGATTTTCACATAGATGTTCATCAGGTATATTGGCCTGAAATTTTCCTTTTTTTGTTGTGTCTCTTCCCCGTTTTGGTATCAGGATGATGCTTGCTTCATAAAATGAGTTAGGGAGGAGGAGTCTCTCCTCTTCAATTGTTTGGAATAGTTTGAGAAGGAATGGTACCAGCTCCTCTTTGCATCTCTGGTAAAATTCAGCTGTGAATCCATCTGGTCCTGGGCTTTTTTTTTTTTTGGTTAGCAGGCTATTAATTACTGCCTCAATTTCAGAGCTTGTTATTGGTCTATTCAGGGATTCAACTTCTTCCTGGTATAGTCTTGGTAGGATGTATGCATCCAGGAATTTATCCATTTCTTCTAGATTTTCTAATTTATTTGCATAGAGGTGTTTAAAGTATTCTTTGATGGTAGTTTGTATTTCTGTGGGGTCAGTGATGATATTGCCTTTATTTTTTTTATTGTGTCTATTTGATTATTCTCTCTCTTCTTCTTTATTAGTCTAGCTAGTGGTCTAACTATTTTGTTAATTTTTTCCAAAAACCACCTCCTGGATTTGCTGATTTTTTGGAGGGTTTTTTTTTGTCTCTATCTCCTTCAATTCTTTTCTGATCTTAGTTATTTCTTGTCTTCTGCTACCTTTTGGATTAGTTTGCTCTTGCATCTCTAGCTCTTTTAATTGTGATGTCAGGGTGTTAATTTGAGCTCTTTATAGCTTTCTGATGTAGGCATTTGGTGCTATAAATTTCCCTCTTAACACTGCTTTAGCTATGTCCCAGAGTTTCTGGTATGTTTCCTCTTTGTTCTCATTGGTGTCAAAGAACTTCTTGATTTCTGCCTTAATTTCATTATCTACCTAGGGGTTATTCAGGAGCAGGTTGTTCAATTTCCATGAAATGGTGTGATTTTGAGTGAGTATCTTAATCCTGAGTTCTAATATGATTTCACTGTGGTCTGTGAGACTATCTGTTATGGTTTCAGTTCCTTTGCATTTGTTGAGGAGGGGGTTAATTCCAATTATGTGGTTAATTTTAGAATAAGTGACATGTGGCACTGAGAAGAATGTATATGCTGTTGATTTAGGGTAGAGAGTTCTGTAGACATCTACTAGGTCCACTTGATCCAGAGCTGAGTTCAAGTCCTGAATACCCTTGTTAATTTTCGGTCTCGTCAATCTAATATTGATAGTGGGGTGTTAAAGTCTCCCACTATTATTGTGTGGAAGTCTAAGTCTCTTTGTACATCTCTAAGAACTTGTTTTATGAACCTGGGTGCTCCTGTATTGGGTGCATATATATTTAGGATAGTTAGCTCTTCTTGTTGAATTGTTCCCTTTACCATTATGTAGTACCCTTCTTTATCTTTTTTGATCTTTGTTGGTTTAAAGTCTGTTTTGTCAGATACTAGGATTGCAAACCCAGCTTTTTTTTCCCACTTTCCATTGCTTAGTAAATTTTCCTCCATCTCTTTAAAAATAAAGAGGCTGTGTGTGTCTTTGCTTGTAAGATAGATGTACTGAATATAATATAATGCATATATTACATTATATATATGATATATAACATACACTATATTATATGATATATAACATACGCTATATTATATATGATATATAACATACGCTATATTATATATGATATATAACATACCCTATATTATATATGGTATATAACATACGCTATATTATATATATGATATATAACATACGCTATATTATATATGATATATAACATACGCTATATTATATATGATATATAACATATGCTATATTATATGTATGATATATAACATACGCTATATTATATGTATGATATGTAATATACGCTATATTATATATATATGATATGTAATATACGCTATATTATATATATGATATGCAATATACGCTATATTATATATGATATATAGTATGTATTATATTATATATATCATCGATGATATATATTATGTTATATATCATAGATGATATATAATATATATTATATTATATATGATATATAATATATTATATTATATATGATATATAATATATAGTATTATATATCATATATAATATATAGTATTATATATGATATATACTATAATATACACTATATATCATATATAATAATATATATTATATATCATATATCATATATAATAATATGTAAATTATAATATATAAATTATAATATGTAAATTATAATATATAAACTATTATACATAAATATAATATATAATTATATATAATTATATAAGTAATTAATATATAATTTATATATAATTATATATAATATATTATATAATATATTATATATATAATTCATATATATATTATGTATTATATAATATATATAATTCATATATGGTATATATTACATAATATATATATAATTCATATATATTATATATTATATAATATATTATATATATAATTCATATATATATTATAAAATATATAATATATATATTATAATTTACATATATAATAAATACATATAAAATAAATATACATAAATTATATATATAACATGTATAATGTATATATATAAATTATATAATATATAATGTAATATAACATATATATAAAAAACTTTTCACCTTAGTATAAAAGTTAAAAACCCAAAGTACCCAAAGAAATAAGTATAACTATGATTGAAAAAGTTGTACATGGATATACATATAAATATAAAAAGAAGTAAAACCTGACACAAATATAGTGTGTGGGGAGAGAGGAGTGTTAGTATGCAATGAATTTAAAATGTTATTAGCTTAAAATAGCATGGAATAAGTATACGATACTTTAGGAAAGGCTTATGGTAACCAAAAAGAGAAAATTCCCCACCACCCTAATAATACACAAAAGAAAGAACCAAAGTATATCACTACAGGAAACGAACAAATCACAAAGGAAGTCATCAAGAGAGGAGCAGAAGAACAAAAGAACTATAAGGCAGAAACAAAACAAGAAATGGCAGTGTAACCCTTTACCTATTTATAATTTACTTAGATGGAAACAGAGTATATATAATATAATAATATATAATACATATTATATTATATAATAATATATAATACATATTATATTATATAGTAATATATAATACATATTATATTATATAAGAAGATATAATACATATTATATTATATAATAATATATAATACATATTATATCATATAATAATATATGATTCATATTATATCATATAATATATAATACATATAATATTATATAATAATATATAACACATATTATATTATATAATAATATATAACACATATTATATTATATAATAATATATAACACATATATTATATAATAATATATAACACATATATTATATAATAATATATAACACATATATTATATAATAATATATAACACATATATTATATAATAATATATAACACATATATTATATAATAATATATAACACATATATTATATAATAATATATAACACATATATTATATAATAATATATAACACATACTATATTATATAATAATATATAACATATATTATTATATAATAATGTATTATATGTCATATTATATAATAATATATTACATGTTATATTATATAGTAATATATAATATATATTATATTATATAGATTATTGTATACATTATATATTATATAAATTATATATTATATATTATATATTATATAAATTATGTATTATATATTCTATAAATTATAAATTATATATTATATAAAGTATATAAATATATGTTACATATTATTTGTAGTTTATATTATATTATATATTCTGATGTATATTATTATTTTATATATATTATATATAATATATTATTATATATAATATATATAATATATTATATATATTATATATAATATATAATATGTTATATTATATATAATATATAATATAACATATTATATATAATATATAATATAACATATTATATATAATATATAATATAACATATTATATATTATATATAATATAACATATTATATATAATATATAATATAACATATTATATATTATATATAATATATATAATATAACATATTATAGTTAATATATAATATATAAAATATAACATATTATAGTTAATATATATTATATAACATATTATATATAATATATAATAGAACATATTTTAGTTAATATATAATATATATTATAAAATATATATATAATATATAATATATATAATATATATTATAAAACATATATATAATATATAATATATATAATATACCATATTATATATAATATACGTAATATATATTATATAACTTATATATTATATATAATATATATTATATATAATATAAAATATATTATATATAATATATATTATATATAATATAAAATATATTATATAATATGCATTATATATATATAGTCATGACACTATTGCATCATTCTGTACTTCTATGTATATTTACTTTTACCAGTGAGATTTATTCTTTTATATGCATTTGTGCTGCTGTTTAGTATCTTTTTATTTCAACTTGCAGAACTCTCTTTAAGCACTTCTTAAAAGGCAAATGTAGTGGTGATGAAGTCCCTCAGTTTTTGTTTATCTGGGAAAGTCTTTATAGATCCTTCATTTTTAAAGGACAGTTTTGCCAGGTATATTATTCTTGGTGGGTTTTTTTTTTGAGCACTTTAAATATATTATTATTCCACTCTCTCCTGCCATCAAAGGTTTCTGCTGAAAAATCTACTGATAGCCTTATCAGTGTTCCCTTTTATGTGATGATTCACCTTTCTCTTGCTGCTTTCAAAATTCTCTCTTTGTCTTTGATTTGTAACAATTTAATTATAACATCTCTCAGTGTAGTCCTCATTAGGTTCAACCTATTTGAGTGTTTTGTTGTTCTTCTTCCTTAGTCTGAATGCTCATTTTCTTCCCCAGATTCAAGAAGGTTTTCGACACTATTTCTTTAAATAATCTTTCCTTCTCTATCTCTTTCTTTTCTTCTTATGGGAGTCTCTTAATGTATATATTTGATGATGTTTCATAAGTTCTGTAGGTTCTATTTAATCTTTCTCTTTTTATTTATTTTTGTTTCTCTGAATAATTACAAATAAACAGTCTTTAAATTTGCTGATTCTTTCTTCTGTTTGACCAAGTCTGCTGCTGAAGTTCTCCATTGAATTTTTCAGTTTAGTAATTGTATTCCTCAGCTCTTACATTTCTGCTTTTATTTTTAATGGCTTCTATCACTTTGTTCAACTTCTAATTTTTTTTCATGTATTGTTTTCCTATTTTCAATGTCATGTTTTCCTGATTTTTTATGATCTTTATGACCTTGCATTAGTATCTGAACATTTGAAGAAGCAATCACTCCTTCTGGTCTTTACAGTCTGACTTTGGCAGAGAAAGCCCTTCACTAGTTAGCCTGGCCAAAGATTCTAGATGGGCTAGTTGTTTTTGTCTGAAGATGGGATGTCTGAAAGTATCTGTGGGCCCTGTGGGTGTGGTTGGGCCCATTGATAGTGTCTGCAGGTGGGTGGGCCCACTTCTGAGGCCATGAAGAGTGAATATGATAGTTCTTTTCTTCTTGTAGCAATGGATAGGCCACACATATTCTACAGTTATCTACTGTCTAAATAAACAGTACTCAATTTTACCTTATCTGTTAATGGTAAAGCTAACATACATTCATTCATTTTTCTCCCTTCCATTTCCCAGTTGCTCTAAACATGTACCATTGTCAGTTACTTTTAAAACATTATTTCATATGTCATGTGTTGTATTGATATGCTACAATCTGATACGATCATGGCTGTTCATTCTTTTTTTCTCTTAACCAGATTCACATTATCTAAAGATGCAACATAAGGCAAATAACAATGTATTCTTTATCACTTATTGATTAGAAAGAGTAATTGATTATTTCAATTAATTAGGTCAATCCATGGCTCAGGTCAAACTATGTGTATTGGTCAGGGTTCTCCAGAACGACAGAACCAGTAGATTGTATATCTATATGGCTGTGTGTGTGTTTGTGTGTGTGTGTGTGAGAGAGAGAAAGAAAGATATTTATTATAAGAAATTGGCTTATGAGATTATGAAGGCCGAAAAGTCCCATAATCTGCATTCAATATATAGCAATTTCAGCTCTGTGGCTACCAGAAATAATTGTCTTGTTCTGAGCACACATAGAAGATCTTATGTCATTTATACACTTGGCTTAGAATTCAATCCTTGAGGGCATCCTTTCTTTCACCATTTTGTCTAGCAAAATTAGGAGCAACTAGCCAATATACACCAGTACATATCGGCGTGTATGTATATAAATGTCATTTAGTAATGAGTCCAAAGTTCTTAGAAAAAGGTGAAGAAGTGGTATAAATCCAAATCTGAGGAATGGAGAAGATGAGATTATATGTTGCAGCTCAACAGTTAAGTAGGAGGTGAAAAGGGCACATTTCTCTTTCCTCCGCCTTTTGTAGCTTTCAGGCCCTCAAAAAATTGGATAATGCTCACCAATATCAGGGGAGGCATCTACTGAGTCCATTGGTTTAAATACTGATCTCATCCAGAAACACCTTTACAGACATACCCAAAAATAATATTTTATCTGGGCACCCTATGACCAATTAAATTCACACTTAAAATTTACTATCATACCATGTGTATATCCATAACCACTCATGCCATTATTAATTTCTGTCTTTTTTCAGTCTCTGTATGTGGAGAACCTATAACATGTTAGCTACTGTCAATTACATCTGACTTAAAATTAAATGAAATAGTCCATATTCTAGTAGCATTTATCCTTTGCAGAATAACACAGAAAAGCAGCTACTTTGCAGACAAGAGAATACATTTTAAATACAAGGATCATGCCTAGCCAGAACCTGAGGATCCCTGGAGTTAAGAGTCCCCAGAAGCTGTCAGATTACCTAGAAATTAATATACTTCTATTATAGACTTCAAGTCTTATGACATCATAATCACCATCATTATCATTAAGCATAATCAGGATGTCTTTATCATCACAGCATGGTGCCTACGTTGACACTATTCAGAAGTTTTACTCCAAGAAAAAATAACTTTTACATGAATTTTACAAAAGTGACCAAATATCAAATGGACACAAATATAAACCCAAGATTATATATGAAGCAAAGTGAATCTTCAATTTGTTTTCCCAGTTAAGTGAATGGGGGAAGCATGAAAACTTCATTCAGAAAAAATACAACTTTTGTTTTTCTTTTTCCAGCAAGACATTGTGATCCAAAAGTCACCACTGTGGTTCACTGAAAGCACCAGCATGCATATCCAGTATCATATTATAGATAAAAGGTAGTTTAAAAAACATTAAAAGTTAAATTGGCCGGGCGCAGTGGCTCACGCTTGTAATCCCAGCACTTTGGGAGGCCGAGGCATGCAGATCACAAGGTCAGGAGATCGAGACCATCCTGGCTAACACGGTGAAACCTCATCTCTACTAAAAATACAAAAAAAAAAAAAAAGTTAGCTGGACATGGTGGCGGGAGCCTGTAGCCCCAGCTACTCGGGAGGCTGAGGCAGGAGAATGGTGTGAAACCTGGAGGCAGAGCTTGCAGTGAGCCGAGATAGCGCCACTGCACTCCAGACTGAGTGACAGAGCTAGACTCTGTCTCAAAAAAAAAAAAAAGAAAAAAAAGAAAAAAATTGAATTAAAACATTTTGATTGATTCACTCATTCAATTTAAACAATGTCTTGGAAATTATGGGATGTATAGAATTGGACTAAAACTCAGTCCACATACTGCAATTTTACTTGAACTTTGCTCAACTTCCATTTATACTACCTGGAAATTTTCTTGGTGCTAGTTGCGTTGTCTATTGACTGTTATAGCATTAATTTTTCTTCAAAGTATTATTCTCATTACCAGGAATGAATATGATTACACTCTTTGTTAGAACGTACAGTACCTTGGTAATATGTACATCCGTCATTTCTTGTGCAAACAAATATCCTATATGGTTTGTTTAAAGTCTTTTCCAATGACTATCTGTTCTCATGGGACAGGTGAAAGTTGGTATCTAGTGATTCCTTTCTTACTTGTAGCTTGCTTCAGCTCCAAAAATATTGTATATTTCTTAACAAGCAGGAATATCAGGGATGTTGACAGTTACTTTTTGATTTTTATTTTTAAAAATATGTACTCTTGGGAAAAAACTAACTGTTCAGAATGAAAAGTAAAATCCTTCACCCTCTCACGTCCTCATTCTAACAAATCCTCAGAGGTAACTAACCACTAAACAGTTCCTTTTGTTTCCATTTGGTCATTTTCTATGTATGTGTAAAAATATATACCTATATGTATAATCTCATTTTTTTATTTGGCACAGCCAGGATTGTATTTTACTGTTCTGAGAACAGGAACTTTAACCCAATGTAGAGAAAATAACAGCAAATTCAACATTTTAGTGTCATTTAATTATTATAGAATAAGTCTCAGAACTTTTGGGTTCTTTGAGCTTAATTCAGTTGTTAGAAAAATTGTCTCTCTTCTGATTAACAGAGCAATGACTCTAGAGGTAGTCTATCTGGTTGGAAGTCTCATTCCATTACTTTCTTGATATGTGACTCTACTGAAGTTGACTTAGCTTTTTGGGTCTCAACCTCCTAATGTGCAAAACAGTGGATATAATACTACTTGCTTCAAATGTCTTGAATTAAAATCAAAGCAGATTGTACACTATGCCATTTCAGGGCAGTGATGGGTATAGAAGCCTGACCTTGCTCTAAGTTCAAGCAATGATTAATCTAGCTTCCCTCCTGGTGGGTGACTGAGGCCTTTGCCTGAGGACAACTTTAAAGAGGTAGGAAATCCACCATTGTGTGTTTCTAGTGTGTGTCTCAATTATTGCCGTTACATAGTTACTCTTGATAGTTTTCCTACATTTTTGGTTTGTAAAGATATATCAGTATGCATGTATCTGAAGCAGTTTAAAGTGGCCACTATTACTTGTGTAATTATAAGGATGTGGGCAAAAACCAGTAGATTCTGAGACTATACGCATGTCAATGAGTGGAGCAGACAACATACCTATTTATATGTAAATAACTGAAAAATGTAAATTACAATTGTTGAAATGGAACTACTGTTTGTGCTGTCTTTAGGTTTCTATCTATATAGTAGAAGTAATAATTATATGGTCAAATATATCTTCGAATGCTCTAAAGTTTCATTCATTAATATTTACAACTATAGATTAAAAGTACTATAGAAAATCTTCCAATATTTATAGAATATATGCACTTATTTACTTAGTTCTTCTACATTGCCACAGGTGACACATCTAAGTAGGTCATATTTCAACAATGGTAGTTTCCATGTTTGGGTTCTTTGTAGATCACCATGGATGCTGTGTCTGACTCACTCATTTTGGAGGGTTAGGTGTAGAGAGTCTCCCTGGATCACATTCCATGGGTATATTCCAAGATACACACTCCACTTAACAGGCAATTGGATTGGTAAATGGAAACCAGTTAAAGAAAGAAATATAAACATGCCTGCCATTAGCAACACAATATTTTTGCATTTGGATGTTACTGACCCAATCTCATTCCATTGTTTTATTGGAATGAATTCAGTTTATAATTTATTTATGTTTCAGGGCAAGAAGTTAATTTTGTTAACTAGTTTCATTCCAGAGCTCTCTTTCATCCCCATATCATGCTAAAGTATTCCTTTAAAAGCCACTGGAAAAGTCTTAATGATTCTAGAGACAGTTCCACTCATGTCTTTGATTTATTCATTTATTCAACAGGATATTTACTAAGAGTTCTCTCCAGGGTATAATATGTCAGCAAAATATTAAAATAAGAAATAACTTCAGCTCTTTCATTTATACCCTTATGGTAGGGAATAAAATCATGATCATGGTCTATTTTCTGTCATTCCCTATCTACAGTTTCTTCATTGTCACTCTAATGCCAAGTTTTCTAGGAAAAAGAAAAAAAGTTATCTGATCTAATTTTCTCTTTCTTTGAGAAGTTTCAGGGTTCAAAACCACTTTTTGGTTTCCTATGACTTTTTATATTTCCAAGTTGTCACATTTAGCTTAAGTAGTGTATAAAACAATATTTGTAGGATACTCTATACCCAATAAAATCTTAACTGGTTACATTTTCCTATTATTTTTATTCTTATTTGTGATCTAAATATGAAATATCTCACAAAATCATAAACTGACAAGTAGTTATAGTATTTGATAAAATTTCTCCTTTGATGTGTAAAAAATGTGATGTACTTTTTATAAATAATAAAAGTATTTTTCTGCTTTATATTCAAAATGATCCTGATAACAGTAAATCATTTAGTTGGCAAACTTTTCTTTTTCACTGAATATACTTGGAATCTTATGGCTGAATTTAGCCTACCTCTCCATGGTAACAAAATATCCAGCCAATTTTTCAAGACAAAAATAAAATTGTTTAGTTCACTGATAGGCCATATCATAACATAAATGTAAACATAGTGTTATAAGTCATCTCTATTTTTATCATTTAGTTCCTGGCCATTCTTAATTTGCTTAAAAATTTCTCCACTTGGACGACATAAGAAGCACATACACTTAGTTTTTGCCTCCATAGTTACAATTAAACAAAGAAAGAATGAGTGTGGAGATGAATGGGAAAGGAAAACAAAGGGGAAGGGGAAGAAAACTAAAACTGACTTTTCTCCTTAGAAATTCCAATTTTTTAATTCATGAATGCAAGGCTTTTTAGCCTCTTTATCTACTTTGATGTATTTTTGGAGAATATTACTAACAGTTGAATTCAGCTACAATTTTTAGCTCATTTCCACAGAAGCCTGTATAAACAAAAGATTATTTTTTTCCAATCAGGTAGAATCAGTAATCTAAGATTTTAATGTTCTCTGCCATTAACTATTTCCATTTAAATACAAGATTTTGGTAAAGTCATCACCATTCTCTCTATTTTTAAAATAATCAAATAATTCTGAGGGAAAAAAATATGGAATGCAATATATAGGTATTTCTACTATATCTTCCAAACCAGTTGTTTCTTCTCTGGAAGAAAAAAATTCTTTTGTCCAACTTCAAAGTATATATGCTTATGAGAATTAGCTGAAGAAAATCTAGAAGTTATCTTGGTAATACATTTAGAAGTTTGGGAATGACCAGTTTTCCTAGAGTAGTAAGAAACAAGATTACCTTAGGGAAATAATATGGCTAAAGATACACCACACTTAGCAGTTGTCTCATACTCCACTACATTATCAAATGGGGTCAACTTTTAAGCGGGAGCAACCTTTCAAGATTTCTCCTAATCCTTTCTTGCTGACATTATTCTAAGAGGTGTGGGAACTCCTTTCAATGACCACGGTGGTCTTGCCAAGCAAAAATTTCCCACCAGGTTTTTGCCAGTGTGTAGAGCTTAACAGATGCCTGGGAAGATTGTAGCTGCTGAGCAAAAATGCTGCCTCTCTTCTAGTAGAGGTCACGTATAGAGAAACCATTTTGGATTTCCTTGTTAAGTTTATGATGGTAATATTCTGGTGCTTAACTTTAAAAATTATTTTTTTCAAAAACTTGGAATGTATATGAATGTGCATACACAAGCAGTCTTACACAGTGGCTGAAAGTATAACCTTCAGAGTCCAACAGATGGAGGCTCTATCCAAATGTCATCACCAACTAAGTCTGTGGTCGACATATTAGGTTGTCTATGCAAAATCCATCCCCTTCTTATTTCTTTGCTAACACAGTTCCTAATTTGTTTAGACTTTGGACACCCTTATATACAGAGATGGCTGGATTTCGTCTCAGCCTCAGGAGGCAAAGCTTGATTAGTTTAAGCCAGTCAAGGGTATTGTATTCACTGCAAGAATGATGAATTTAGAAATTGATATGTCCTGAAATGAAAGCCAATAGGACTTGAGGTAAATCACAGAACAGCTTCTGGGAAATTGCCCTCATCCTTAAAATGCATGTTCTTTTCTGTCTTTTAGATATTGAATGAAGCTATGATACCTGTAGCAGTTACTGCCATTTTGGACCCATAAACTGACAATCCTTAAACATTACCAGGAGGGCAGAGCGGAAAGAACATTGATGTCATCACTGAGTTGCTGGATTACCTTACTCTAGAAATAGCCAACTCTGCATGTTTGGTTATTTTTTTAAAAAGTCTTCTTTATTATTTACATCATTTTGAATGGGCTCTAACTCTAGCTCTTATAGTAAAAAGCATTTGAACTGATACAAATAATTATCTCCATATGGTTATTTTGAGAATTAAATGAGATAACACATAAAATGTATGCTTGGGACAACGTCATACATAACACTCAAGAGTACATATTGTTAGTATTATTGATGTTGTTGATGTTAAAGCTGTTACTTCCTGCAATGATCTTGCAATGCATCAGGTTTTGACTTTAGTTTTGGGCAAAATTATGAGGCTTGATTAGGAAAACATGATGAAAATTTTATTTCCTACAGCCCATTTTCTTCTTTCAGCATGTCTTTTACTTACTTTCATGCCCCTTTGAGTCTCCCCAATCATCTAGAAAGGGGATCTACTAGTGATGGCAACAAAGGAGCATGGACTGCTTAATAAGGCAATTTTTAACCCAAAAGAATAAATCCCAGCGTTAGAATTCCAAACACAATATCAAGTTGTGGGTAAGAATTTGGAGTAAGCAGGACTTCTCTACATCTCCAAAATGTTATCACACAAGCCTCTACCTGTATGTAAAGCCAAACTTTCCAGTATACAATTGGGCACTAAATTCCAGATAGTTTTTTTTATCTGGTCATGGCCTTGTAAGAAAAGAATTCTCCTTTCCTGTTTAATGTTAACATTTAATAACTATCAGGTGGTGACCTGGGCACTGCAGATCATTATCTGTTGTCAGTGACAGTGCTGTTCATTTTCAAACCAGTAAGAGAAGTTTTTTTTTCCTTTTCGTATCCGTAAAATTTGTGAGGGATTTAAAACTTGAAAAATGTGGGTTTTTCTTGCATTTCCAATGGACTAGGTCTTTACAATCATTAACTGTTTTAAAGTTGAGAAGAGCTGCTAAATTCTTCCGAGCGTGAAAAAAGATGGGCATGTGCTGTAAATTGACATAAAAAAAGTGGCAGCTTTGAAAGTTTGCAAGATCATTTTTACCAGAGCTTATATTTGGTATGAGATATCAGTAAAGCAGTTTTTTTTTGTTTTTTTTTTGTTTGTTTGTTTTTGAGATGGAGTCTCACTCTGTTGCCCAGGCTGGAGTGCAGAGGTGCCATCTTGGCTCACTGCAACTTCTATCTCCTGGGTTCAAGCAATTCTCCTGCCTCAGCCTCCCGAGTAGCTGGGATTACAGGTGCGTGCCTCCATGCCCGGCTAATTTTTTGTACTTTTAGTAGAGACGAGGTTTCACCATGTTGGCCAGGATGGTTTTGTTCTCCTGACTTTGTGATCCGCCCACCTCGGCCTCCCAAAGTGGAGGGATTACAGGGGTGAGCCACTGCACCCAGCTGTAAAGCAGATTATTAGGAGGAATAGTTAACTAGGAAAAAAAGGACAAACATCACATTTCACTTCTATCTGCCCTTAAGAAATATGACAATAATCTGAAAAATTGTCTAAAATACCTAGAATGCCTTGAGATCAATTTGATGACTTATCTGTTAGACAACTATACAGAAGGCAGATCTCTTCATTGCAATGCCCCCAAGAAGGCCTTAAAGGGACTGTTTTCTCCGCTATGTTCTATCTATCCTCACAGGTAGGACCAGCTATACAATTTTATTAAGAATTTTAAGACAATGATAATAGAGCATTAATCCAGCACAGGACCCTTCTGACCTGATTCTGTGCTACTACACAGGATGTCTATCTGTGAAGCTGGCCCTGCTGGAAGGGTCTGATTTTACTCATCTCTCTGCTCCTTTAGTGCTGGGTAAGTGAAGCAGAGGAAAGAGAATGTAGAGAGACAGACATGATTGAAAACTTGGCTTTTTTTCTTTTTAAATGTGTGGATGTGAGTGGGTGAGTTAAAGTCTTTGTCTGTTGCATGACACTGTTCAGAAAGTCTAATGCTGCATCTTGCACAAGAGGGTCTCAGTAAATGGTTCAGGAGACTTTGGGTTTGAATTCTATAAAAACCTAGTCTGTTGTCCAGGTGACTATGGCTCTATTTGAGTGAGTGCTAGGTCATGGTTTTATGGGCTTTATTTCATTCTATAGCATACATCCTAATGTTAGCTTATAAATACAATCATGCATTGCTTAATAATGGAGATACATTCTGAGAAATACATCATTAGACAATTTCATCCTGTGGGAACATCATAAAGTATACGTATGCAAACCTAGATGATACGGGCTACTACACAGCTGAGTTATAAGGTATCACCTATTGCTCCTAGGCTATAAACCTGTGCTGCAAACCTGTACAGCATGTTACTCTACTGAACATTGTAGGCGACCGTAACACAGTGGTAAGTGTTGTGTGTCTAAACATATCTAAACAGAAAAGGTACAATAAAAATATAGTATAAAAAGTTTTTAAACTTGTGCACCCATACAGAGCACTTACCATGAAAAAAAAAGCTTTCAGGGCTGGGAGTTGTTCTGATGAGTCAGTGAGTGTGTGTTGAGTGAATGTGAAGGTCTAGGATATTACTGTACACTACTGTGGAATTTTTATACACCATACACTTAGGCTACATTGAATTTATAAAAAAAAAAAAAAGTAATTATGCCTCAGCATTACAGTGGCTATGATGTCACTATGCAATGGGAATTTTTCAGCTTCATTATAATCTTATGGGATCACCATCATATATGCAGTCCATCCTTGACTGAACCATCGTTATGTGTCACATGACTGTGTACGAGTTTGGTCACAAGAAAAGCTGATTGAGAAGTCCTGGAGTGGCTAAATCCACTCTCATCACATAAAAACTAATTCAGAAGGTTTGGCAGTATTGTATCTCTATATAGTAGGTGGCATATTGTTATCATTACAAATAATGGAAGATTTTCTCCTTTCTTTTACTGTTTTATATTGCTTAACATATTCCAGATAGGTAATGGCATTTATGTCTTTTACTTTTTTGCTTTGAATTGACAATCGTAATATGTCTCTAATCTAAAAGCCAATGTCTAAATTCCAAATAACATAGAAATAAGGTGCTTCTTTGGAAATCCTCAGTTAAAATAAACTAAAATATCCTTTGTTTGAACTTCATATCTAATGTTGGAAAAGTGGTTACCTCACCGATCTGCTTCTAGTACTCACATTTCTTTTCTTTTCTTTTTTCTTTTTCTTTTTTTCTTTTCTTTTTTTTTTTTTTGAGACAGAATCTCGCTTAGTTGCCCAGGCTGGAGTGCAGTGGCTGGCGCGATCTCAGCTCACTGCAAGCTCCGCCTCCCAGGTTCAAGTGATTCTCCTGCCCCAGCCTCACGAGTAGCTGGGACTACAGGCATATGCCACCACATTGAGCTAATTTTTGTATTTTTAGTAGAGATGGGTTTTCACCATGTTGGCCAGGATGGTCTCGATATCTTGACCTCGTGATCTGCCCTCCTCGGCCTCCCAAAGTGCTGGGATTACAGGCGTAAGCATCCATGTGAGTACTAGGCTGGGTACTAGGCACCCAGCCTAGTACTCACATTTCTAAGAATAGACGTAATGAAAACTAAATAGGTGACCAAGAGAGAAATAGATTACACTCATTATTAATTATTCTATAGCTGCATGACATGTTGAAGAAAGCTTTAGATCAACAGTAAAATTAGTTAAATTATCTGCCCTGATTTCTTGTTACCCTGTATTTAAGATTTTTGCCCATCCTTGGACAAAGTTGCCATTGGAAAAAAGGAAATGTCCCTTTGGACTTGGATTTAGTCCTAAGATATTCTTCAAATGTTGACTGACACCTGAAAACACACATGGTTTTTGGAATACCATCTTTAAACAAGTGAAGATATTGAAGCCTAGAGATATGAAATAAGTATGCTGCCTAGTGTTAGGCACTTAAGCACGATGATGTTTCCATGTTCACAGGAAATGGAAAGATTGTCTCACTGAATAAATGTTTGTTTCTCTTGGCGAATAAGGATCTGACCAGTGTATTACTTGATTGTATTTATTTTATGTCCTTCTGTAGTTGTCTCTATCAGTGTGTGGTTAGATTTTTAACTCCCAAATGGTGAAGCTGGTGCTTAGTGTCATCTAATAATGTCTTTAAATCCCTCTTTAAATCTGGAGACCAGGACATGCCTGGCTTGTTATCATTATTAGGAATCCATTTTAAGATTCAGGTTTCATGTGATACACATGAAACACGAAGCCAGCCAGAAGCCACACTTGTATTGGTTGTTTCCATACCTTGCCTTTGACAATGGCATCAACTCTCACAATTAGCAATGTGGGAATCATAAGTGGATGAAGGGGATTGATGACATAGTACAGAATAAATGATATCCTCACATAGGCCTTTCCTAAGAAGTATTAACTGTAGGCAGCCACCACTCTATCTGGAGGAAAATGGATCACCACACTGATAAGCTTGAGACCTTCAAAAATAATCATAAATATAAAGCCTACAAGGAAAAATTAATACAATCAAATAAACTTCAAAAGCTTAAAAAGTTTGCTTTCCTCCTCCCCAGCTTTAATTTCTATCAAAGCTATGCTGTGAAAGCGTCAAAAAACTAAAACTCTACTATGTTTAAAATATGTAAGAAACTGGCTGATGAGAGATTATGGTGAATGAGGTCTGAGATGTTGCTGAATCTCTGTGTGGCTGCCTTTGGCTTGAAAATAAGAGCCTTTGTTTGCAGCCATCACTATTTTTGTTCCGTGGTGACAAAGTAGCAGTTTCAGATAAATGGCTGTGGGAATAGAGATGTGCCAGAATTAGGGGAAGAAGTACTGCATAGATGAGATTCACAGTATAACACAGAAAGCAGCAGTGATGTCACACAACAGTTCAGAGTTTGGAATCAATCAAACACAGGCATAATCCAGGCTCAGTCCTAGGTACATTTCAGTAAGTTGTTCACTACATCTGAACCTTAACTTCATCATCTCATAAACAGGACTTAAACAATCTACCTACCTACCTACCACGATGGATTGAAATTGAAATGGAGTGATTTAAAGCACCAGATCCAGGCTCATAATGGCCCTGGCACTTGCCAACCACATAACCACGGGCAAGTTCCTGAGTCTATGGACCTCAGTTTCCTCACTCGTACAAGGCAGGGAATGCCATCTACCTTGCAAAGTTGATTTGACAATTAAAGCTCCTGGAACATAATAATTAATAAATGTTAGTTATTCACATTCAACAAATACATAGTGTGTGCCTACTATTTGTGGGGCACTGCCCAAACTACTAATGAAACTAATGCACACAAAGTGCCTTGAGCATAGAAGACACTCAAGAAATATTTGATGAATAAGAGGAAAGGCAAGCTTCTTGGTGTGTCCCTGAGATTTGGTTAGGCTTCAGATATCCAATCCAGTATTCTTTAGGTGTCACTGGACAAATGACTGGTTTTTGCTGGCATTGCTAATTCACAGAAAGTAGAGTCCAAAGTATCCCTTTACCTAACAATAAGACTCACAGGAAGAAAGGAATGATTCATTGTACTTTTCTTTCTCTGAGGTATATTCTATTGTCCTGAGGGGCAACAAGAATCAGGTCAGCCAGAGGAGAAGACAAAAAAATTATCACAGATTTTTTTTAAGAAGGCACTTAAAATGGAAAATGAAATACATATTTTTCAAAATTAAAAGCCAATATCTTTATATTGAGGTAACTATGAGATTAGTGATTATGAAAACCTTCAATAAACGGTAAGCAGTATTTGATGTATTCATGCATTTTTGCAGGGGAGAAAGAGGTGATAGGTTTTATAAAGTTTTAGAGGAAATTGCTATTCATAAAAGGATTAAGACCTACTGGAGAATGAGTATTGGAGAAATAAAATTAGGAGATTAAAATGATTTTGAGGCCAAAGATTAGATGTATGGAATGTAAATGTAAATATAAAGAAGGGTCTGAGTCAGAAATAAGTGATCAAGCTAGTTAGTTTCCAAAAGGGATAAAAAAATCTACCTTAGGGAAAGCATTCTCTGCATAATTGGTGTCAAGATGCAATGAAGTCTGCTGATCCACACATCTCCCGATTAATTAGGGACTTGGAAGGTTTTTGAGAGATCAAAAATATGCATTATGAAAACACATTCTCAACAACAGTTTCAATCTGTTGATAATTTTCATAGATTAATTTGCTTGAAATATGAAACTCTAAAAACAGTAGACTTTGAAATCAACAACAAAAAGAAAAAATTGATGTCACCTGAGTTGAGTATTCAGTGCTGCTTTAATGCTTTTTAAAACAAAGTATGCCAACATCCATAGTGCATAAACAAAGTAGAGTGACATGGGTGCATTAGCATTTAATGAAAACAAATGCCAGGAAACACCCTTGAAATTTCAAGGCATTTTGTAAGAATAGGCATTAGGGAGGATCTGATGGGGTTAGAATGGATTGGTGTTTCAGAACATTCTCTCTATTGTTAATGAATGCGTGAATCAGCCACTTAACTTCTATTCTATCTGAAACATGGGGAATTCCCCGGAAAAGATTTCTTAATACTCTATCCTGAGCAACAGAGAACATCTCATGCTTTGCTCCATTTCTCAATTTACATTTTTTTTTAAGTAGGAGTGGTATAAGATAATGATCAGGGATGGGGGCAGAGAATGGGCATTAAATTTGGTTTGTAGACTTAGTGTTTTCAAATCCTGGATTGTTTAATAATTTTAAAAACAGACAGAAAGTAAACCAAATATCTGAAAATACAAAATTATTTTAATAATTATTATGTGTGCTTGTATTTACAGACATCTAGGTCTGTGTAAACTTTGACCTCTCACCCGTTTCTGAATATGTATTTATTCCGTCTTGATTTCTCCTAGCATCCATTTCTCCTTCTAGGAGTATCTCTCAGATCTTTCTAATAGAATTATCCCCACCTAGCTCATCACATATTAGATTAAGGTAGCACTAATCCCCCATCCCCAGCCTAACCAAATTCCAGGGGGTTATGACTTAGGTTATGCAATAAGAGTATTTTGTCATCTTGGCTGCAGTGACTGGCTCAGGGCCAGGCTTGTCCCAAGTCAGGCAAATGAGACTCAATCCCAAGATGTAAGTGCCTGAATTCTGTAGGGTTGCTGAGTTGGCAGGACATGAATCTGGACCTTCAAGGCCCCACTCTAGAGGACAGCCTTCTGAGAATGAAGACAGAGAATCACAGTGGCATTTGGGCATTTGCCTCCAACCATATCTGAAGCTAGAGATACCCCTAAACTTTTTGACATCTGAATCAATACTTTCCTTGTTCTTCCTTTTAGGGGCTAAGAGGTAGGAAAAGGAGGAGGTTTTTCTTGTAAATCCAGTTTAGATTTAGTTTAATAAGTTTCTCCAAAGAATGTATACAAGAACACTCTCTATTCTCTTTGCCTGGAAAACCTTCTTGTCTTCTCTTTACCTCCCATATGCTCATTTTTTAAGGCCTAGCTCAAACCCCACTCCTTCCAGGAAGTCTTCCTTGAATATCCAGCCAGATGAGCTCACCCTCCTTTGACCTCTTACAGCACTCAGTGTTTCTATCCCTTATCTGCCAGGATTGTTGACCTTGTAGTGCTGGTTGTTGTTTTTTTTTTTTTTCAAGTGATACTCTTAATTCCTAAAAAGGTAAAGTCAGTCCTTAAATGTTTTTATTCTCCTCAGCCTTTGCCAAAGAAGGTTATACACAGTATGTGAGCAATATATATTTGTAGCTTTAATTAATGTGATAAAAGTAGATACATTTTTTATTCACTGTTGTCCAGGATAAAACCTTGCATAAAATACATGATTGCAGTCATAAGGAAGATAAACATCAGGGATTGCAGCTTTCAGGATGATCCTATCTCATGTAAAAGGAAGGGCAAATAGAGAGTATTAGAATTGTGACCTCATGCGTATTATATGGTGAACATCTTTCATTGCTAGGAGCAAAGAAGCTCAGTGTTAGTCTCTGCCATTTATCATGTTTTACTCACAGTATTCTCAACATCAGAAGAGTCTTGGTCTTATTAAACCATAATATATATTTTAATTAGGCATTAAACTGAAACCTATAAATGAAATAAATCTCAGCTATTAAAATATCTGAATTCTCAGCACTCAACACCACCACACTTAAGATCATTTCAACAAAATCACCAAACTTGCTTACCAGAAAGAATGATTGCCCATGTCCTTACTTGAGCTCCCTGCTGCTGCAATCTATTTTTCTTGTTCAGTTCCCTGTTTTTCACCAGCCTCATTCTACAGTCTGCCTGCCACTGGTTTAAAAACGTATTCAAATCAGTAGGCAAGCTGTATTAGGATCATACTGTCCAGACTGTTCTAGCAATGCTGATGCATTTAATATAAATGCATTGTGGACATACTGTGTACAATGCCTAAAGGAAGTCCGGCAGGTTGTAAACAAAGGTTCCACTCAAGAAAAAACTTAAGGCTTAACAGAGAAAAGAAACCTGAGCTCCAGTCTTTCTGATGTAAGTGTAGGCAAAGTGAGTGTCCACGTTCCAGAAGTGTGAGTCTTCCCAGTCTCTCCCTGTCCACCCTCCATCCTCCTACCACTCACAAACCTCCTCTTCCTTCCACTTTTGTGGGGCTGAGTTTATCACAGAGCTGAATGTGTCTAAAGAATAGGAACCTGGGGGTAGTTAAATGCAATAACAATTCTCCAAGTCTCACAGTAACTTAGAAGCCAAGGTTTCAAAATCACAACTGTATTTCTGGTCCCAGATTCAGCCATTATCAGTCTTATCACCAATTATATTTTTCATTGGGTATGGGCAAATTGTTTTCTGACAAGGTCATTTCAATAAAATTGCTTTGATTTTTTTTAAGTCTATTGTCTCAAATTCACATTTCATCAGTTTTGTCTCACAGATAGGCTCATGTAGCATAATTCCTTTTTTCATCATCTTCCAAAACTGATCACTGCAAGATTACTTTGTGAATGTTTATTTTCATATTCTCATTGGTAACTGGTGGCACTTCAAGGTGAAGAATGTGTTTTTCTTGGTCATTACATATTTGACTAATGCCAGAAATTACTTCCAGTTGCTTACCTTGTTGCCTGAGAGATTTAAGTTTGCTGCATGAAAATAGCAATTTGAAAAGATGAAAGTTTAACAAATGCTATAAATAGCAACCAACGCTCTTGTCATTATCATTAACTACAGCACCACGCCCACTTCCCTTTCTGTTGTCTGTCATTAACTGTTATAGCTGAAGTGAAACTTGTTTCTAGTACAATCACTAGAATGAACAATGAAACCATAAAGAGATCAAAGGATTAGTGAAATAATTTGTTCTCTTTCATGCACGGAAAATGAACCTGACTTTCAGGGATTCATACTGACCAAAGCTCCTTTTGAGTTCCAAAGTTTGCTGCCCATTTCCTCTTCCACTTCCCTATAAGGAATGTCTCAATTGCTCAGTTTATGAAATGTTGTAAAAAGAAGAATGCTTATGGTAAGAAATTACTTCCTTAGGTGTCTGAATGGGTAATATTTTCTATACTTACTCTACAAATCATAAAACTAAGTCTTGTTGAATATCCATACAGCACACATTAACCATTTCTAAAGTAGTTTCTTTTTACCAATCTTGGAAATGTATTTATACAAGTGCTAGATTTGCAGGTGCTATTACCAGTAGTTAAATATTTTTAGAGTTGAAATGTTCCAAGCCAAAAAGGATTTGGTTCTTCCCCAAAGCAAAACACATAATTGGAGAATTGTGGCAATGGTAGATAGAGATGTTGCCTTATAAAATCTTCTGTAATATGTGGCTATTTATTTGGCATATATTTTCATTATGAAAAAAATGAATGCAGAAGATTATGGGGAACAATATAACAAACATCCATGTAGTCATGACTGAGAATTAATGATGTTAACAAATATTATGTGGAAGCTAAAATAAAGTTGATCTCATATAAGAAAAAAGTAGAACAGAGAATACTAGAGGCTGGGAAGGGTATGAGAAAGATAGGGATGGGGGAAGATTTGTTAAAGGATACAAAATTACAGCTAGAAAGGAGAAATAAATTCTAGTTTCTATACCACTGTAGAATGACCATAATTAACAACAATATACTCTATAGTTTCAAATAGCTAGAAGGAAGATACTGAATGTTCCCAGCACAAAGAAGTGATACATGTTTAAGATGATGGATATGCCAATTACTCTGATCTGATCACTATATATTACATGTCTCAAAATATCACCATGTACTCCATAAATATGTACAATTATGTCAATTATTAAAATTTAATTTAATTTTAAAAAATTAACATTTTGTCCTACTTATTTCGAAATTTTTCTTCCTTCCTTTTAAAATAAATTAGACATAAAAAACAGCTATAACGCCCTTCACAGCACTTGATTTTGCCCTTTCTTTTCTGCTAATGTTTTCATGTGCTAGTTTAATTATTCATCTTTATGGTAAGTGTTTGAAAACAAAAGCTTGCTTGCCTTTGTTTCTTGTGCTAGTGACTAGCACAATTTCTGTAGCATAATAGATAAATGCTTGTTGATAAATGAATGAGTGAATAAAACTTCTTTTTCCTTTGCTATTTTTCTTCCTACCTCTATATACCTTCTTCTCACTACAGTTTAATTGGCTAATATAGGGGCTATTTATTTCGCGTTTGCTCCTCCTTCCAGGCATTGGACTGATGCCCTGTTTATCACTGGAGTCCAGTGGGGTGTCCTTGGGTGTTGGCATCTGTTGCTGCTGCGTTTAGTGCTGAGGTACTGAATCTTTCCTGCTCTTTGGAAGTACAGACATCTGCTGCTGAAGTTTATGATTGCTGTGCTAGTTTCTCGTGTTGAAGTGACATGTGTCGCTTTAGGGAACAAGAAGGTGTGACTTACGGTGCTCTCTGACTGAACACGCCACATTGCCTTTTCCTCTCTGCTGCCACCACCACATGTTGAAGGACACTCTGTGATGTGGTTCGTCCTAGTGGTCCCAGTGTGAAGTGGCGTGTAAGTCCCTGCTTTTATCACACTGCTTCTCCTTGTATCTGAAGTTTCTATCACTTCATTGCTCACTCTCAGCTCATGGTGAAGTCCAGGACATTGTGGGAACTCAGTCCCTGAGAAACTGGGAATATCTTCATCCCTGTCTTGGACTCAGATTTATAAAAAGTGGAACACAGTGGTTAAGTGCTCAGTCTCTAGGGTCAATGTAGCTGGGTGTAAATCCCAACTCACCAGCTTCCTAGCTGTGTGGCTTTGGGCAAAGCTATTCGCTTTTCTCTGTTCTGAGTTTACTCATTGTAAACTGTTATAGTAGTACCAACCTCATAGAGTTGCAGTAAGATTGAAGTGAATTACACATATAAAGCATCTAGAACAGTACCAAAGAAATAGAATTAATGCATCATTTTATCATAAACTTCTCAATTTTACTGATGCTGAAAGAATTGTTTTCTCCAAACTGCCTCACAAATATGGACATTATTAACACAGTAAATAAAGTTAATCACAAGCAACATTTTGACCCTTATATTATGAAAACACCCTCTATACGTTGAAGATTTCTACAAACTAGGAGTATTAACCTCAATGACATTAGATATAATGAAACTGCAGCTGTCACATGAAGAGTGATTAAAGATAGGCAGCCAAAAATGTTTGAAAAAAGGATTATAGAGAAGTATCAGGTAGTTAATTAATAGGAATATTATGTTGTCATACTAAATAATGGTCACTTTCATGAACAATTTCACATTTGTAATTTGTATTATTTTTTTTAAAGAGAGCCCCTAAAGCTTCATCCTCTTCTGTATAATCTAAATTTGTTCCTGAATTATTCTTAATCTTTTTTAAAAAATGAACTTCTTTGAGAATCTTATGCATTCCATGGACACTGCCCAGAAATCTGCATACAGTTTTTGTACAAGTATAAGGAGTTCACCTATACCCTTAAAGCCCATTCACGAACCCCTGGTTAAGAACCCCTGATTTAAGGAAGAACCTGCTGAGCTTAGCATTATACATGAAACATCAGTTGAATAAGAATAACAGCTGCCCTGAATTTTCTTACAGACACCCCAGCCTCATATCCCTTCTTTCCACCTTGTTTCCCTCAGTTTCTCATATACTTATGGCTTTTCTGCAGGCCCCAATACCAATTAAAGCTTTAGACAGTGGATGCCCTGGCAATGATGAAGAGATGGTGAAGTGCTCTTACCTGTGGGTTTTCTCTAAAACAAACATTCCTCAGGAGAAAAGTCACACTTATAAAGAGTAAAAAGGAGGATTTAGTTTTTCCTATTGCCAGCTACTTCAAATAGGCCAGCAGCTTCCCACACAATCCCACAGCAACATTGTTTATGCCTAACTCACCACACCATGCTAACGTGGTCTCATTATTTGTCTCTTTCCCAAATTATGAGGTTTTGGCAAATGGAGGCTATTTTATTCATTATTATGACTCAATCTCTAGAACATAGTAAAGCATCAATAAATGATTATTCAGTGAATGAATGAAGAGAATTAGGTTTTCTTAGCTATTTTTTATACCTGTTGAATAAAACCCATGGAACAAAAATATCTTTCCCTAACATGGCAATAACCACAAAGCTTTCTGCAGTTTATGTTACTAATAACTTTTATTCTGCTTTTATCCTAATATTCACACAGCTAGCCAATGTAACCTGGTTAACAAAATCTGAAATAATATTCATGTTAGGCAAAATTTTTGAGGTTGAAACTAAAACATGTGTGCTATTTATTCATTTATTTTTACATTTATTATAATATTACTGGTTTGTGTTCTCTGGGAGTATTGAGATTTTTAATAATCAAAATATGTTTTGCACTCCCAGGAGGTGGTGTACTGGCATACAGCAGAATCCACATGGCTTTCTTACAACAAAATTACAGATTGAAATGAAAAAAACTGCTTCTCAAGCAAAAGTGTTCTGGATTCCCACTCAGTTGGACTTCATAGTCAAAGTAAAGATTGCCGTTAAAATTGAATGTATGGTTTTATCCTTGGCTGGCCACCTTAAGAGCTCATAATACTAGAGTCATCTCAATGCTTAGTAATTTCCTGTAATGAGTTTAGGCAATGAGTTGATGGAATTCCCAGAAAAGGCCCTAGATGTGGATCTAACCAGGGTTCAGGCCTTTATCATCTGATGCGTTTTCACACTTTGTCCTCATAGGCACTTCAGGAGGCAGTTACTGCCAGTTTAATGTGATTTAAAAGCCCTACTTCTTGGGTTCTCTTTTATAAGGTTGCTTTGAATTCACATAAAGAGTATTTATGGGTTGCCTAATGGTTAAGAATCTGGACTGTGGAGCTAGATTTGGGCAAATTTAATCTCTTTGGCCCTTGGTGTCCTCAAGTGTAAAATAGAACTAACAATAGAATCTAACTACTTCATAGATTTTTTGTAAGGATCAAATGAGTTAATGTTTACAAAGCTCTTTGAACACTCTGGCACATAAGTACTGTGGACGTGTTAATGATTATTAACCATATTGCATCACTATAGCATTGCATTCTTCCCATGTTATGCACCATATTGGGTTGGTATATTAAATGGAGCAATGAAGAGAAAGGGTTTAAGTGGGAAGGGGAACTATCTGAGTTATTCCTTGAAATATTTTAAGTTTTATAATAAAGTAGAGGAAATTCTTTAAGCAGAAACTCCTCTGAGGACATTTAGGAACCTGAAAGCACAGGTACCAGTAGCCGATCTCTTTGCTGATGCTCTACCTAATCATGTGGCTGTAGGCTGAACGTGAATTAACAAACTAGGGGATATTAGGGAAAGTATATGTGACTCTAGTATAACCAACAAAAGTTAAATTTTTCTAGGTATTTGACTGTCCTGGAGATTCACTAGTAAGTACAGTACCCTAGCCTTTAGTTGGGAACCTGGAGGTACAAGGTCAAGGTTCTGGTCCTTGGAAATTGTGTAATAATAGTATCCTGGTGGAACTGCTCACACCAAGCTCACCACGCCCACTCACCTGTCCTTGCATTCATCTTACTGGTCTTATGTACAGCGTTTGACTGAAAATGCTCTCCTTTCTTGACTTTCATAAGCCCATGCTTTCCTAGTTTTCCTTTTAATTCTCTGGTCCACTCATTCTTAGTGTCTTTTGCTGGTCACTGAGATATTTCCAGATGTAATTCCACAGGGTTTGTACTAGGTTCTCTTCTCCTCTCTCCCTGTACTTTTCCCCTAGTGATTTAATCTATTCTTATTATTTTAAATATCATCTATAAAATAATTAATGTTATATTTACATATTGAGCCCAGACTTTTGACTACAAGAATCATTATATTCTACTTCCCCATTGACCTTTCTGTTTGGATGTTTTTCACAGAACATGTATAGAAGTGAACTTTTGATTTTTTCCCAATTTATTCCTTCTCCTGTCATTCTTATTTTAGTAAAAGGCAGCAGAAGTCTGGAAATTCACCTTGACTATTTCTTCTCTGTTAAGTTCTATTTTTTAAAACTGTGTAGAATACTCACTGCTACCATCATAACTCAAGCCACCACCATCTGCTATCTGGAAAACTGTGATAGCTTCCTAAAGTGCCTTCCCATTTTCTCTTTCCCCTGTCTATATATTTTCACATGGGTGGGAAATTGACAAATATTTCTAAACATGCCCTAGAACATAGTGAAGAAATCAAATGTAGAGAAGTTAAGTGAATAACCCAAAGTGAAGAAGTAGCAGCAGTAGAGAGCTTTCCACACACAGCTCTCTCCTCTTTCTTTCAACAGAGCAGCTGCCTTATTAATGTATACTTTAGTGGAAAATGTGGTCCCCCTCATAAGTATGCTTTACTGTGAGTATTTTCACCTTTCTCAATGATGCTAGCATCTGCCTTTGTGTTTCGCTCCACTCCAATCCCAGCCAACATGCTTGGGAAGTTTTCTCTTAACGTTAGTTACCCTCTGATACTCAAGTCTTTTAGTTTCCCATTTTCCATTCAGAGATCTCTCTATCCATTTCATGCCAGTTGCCCACTCACATCACCATAATGTTGACTTCAACATTATTCAGCACTGCTCCACCCACAATGTTTCCACATACAATTCCTCTCTCTGCCTGTAATCTTTTCTCCCACCTCTTCCAGTTCCTAATACCCATGGTACCTGCTCTTTAGCTTCATCAAAGCCCCTAAGTCTTCAGCCTCCTCCTCTACTACGACTTCATTTCTCCTTTTCTGGAAGTAATTGGCTCTATGCAGCTATGATTTTATTTCAAGAAGGAAGCCACTCTTTCTCATCCCTCTGACACAGCCAAACATAGCCCCTGCCCCCCCAAGAAAAGTCACAAAGTGGCATAATGGGATCCAAAACAAAACAAAATCATGCTGTCAACATCACTTATTCCTTATGAAGCTGAGCATTTCTTCCATTCATCTGTTTTTGATATTCTATTGAATTAATTATGATGGTTGTTTTAAAACTTTTTCATTATTTTAAATTTCCAACCTCATTTCATCATACTTATTCTGAATACAGTGGCTTTTCAACCCTTTGCTAAATAAGTAGTACCAGAAAATTCATGTTCTCTTTACACACATTCAATTCTGTTTCTCTTTCTCTCTCTCTCTCACACACACACAGACAGTCGGACTAAAAATTAAATGAATTATATATAGTACAATGTTATTTAGAGGAGACAATCTTACAGAATCCAAAATTTTATTTTCCTTCAGATTTCAATTTGCAAAAGTTTCTTTTTCATTTCTCATATTACAGGCAATCACATTTGATATTACTAGAACTTTCTCTTCACCTTAATAAAGAGTAGATGTAGTGAATTAACATTCTCAGGTAGAAGTGACTCCACCACAGTTGTCACCTTGCAAAGGGGAATCCAAGGCACTGAAATCTTAAATCACACTTACTAAATCCAAAGAGCAAGAAATTCGTAAAAGGAAAGACAGTTTTTCACACCAGATGCCACCTAGTGTACACAAAATCTAACACCACCATCTGTTAAAGTTATAATGATTTTGGAAAAATCAATTTTTATAAAACTTTATGCATAACTTTAATTTGATTAAAGTTTATTGCAATTGTAACATTGAGGCAATTTTTCAAAAAATGATTTAAATATTGTGTAGTGTTCTCAACTCCAAGACAATAATATAATTAAATATCTACACAATAAATTCTATACAAAGGCCACAGGTCATATTTATATCATATTTGCCATATGCCAGAAACCAAGTAGTTTACATATCATCGGTTCATTTAATCATTACTGCAAGCCAGTTAGATGTATACTATTACTATCTTCATTCTGAGGGTCGGATTACTTGGCCAAGTTCACACAGCCTGAGCCCACACTTTTAACCATGTAATTTCACATCTAATCTTGTTCAGTGTCATATTGTTGAATATAAGATTCTGCATATACATAAGTATAAAAAGCCTAATATTGAAAAACAAGCATACAGTAACAGCATCAATTAATACACATTGGTCAAACTGAACTGATTACTGAAAAAATAAACTAGTAGAATTTAGACACCGGTACTTATGAAGCCAATGTAAATGACTGAACACATACATAGGCCAACAATTAGGTCAATCTAGCCAACAATTATTGAAGTTTATATCTGCTCAGTTTATCAGTAAGTATAAACTTTTTTTTATTTTATCTGGGGCTATATATGCTTCTTCTTGGCCTTTAAAACTGTGTATTCTAACACACGTATTCACACCTAGTACCTCATCCATGGAACCGGTAATTTTAGCTGATAATTTTGAATTCTTTTCGTGTAAATTGATTTTATTCACCAAATAGTTAGATTTGTTATTTGCAGTTCATTCCTTTTTATGCTCACCCATTTAAGGTTCTGGGTTTAACGTCTAGAGACTTAAGTTCAAGGCCTGACTTGACCACTTACCAATTGTTTGACCTAAGGCAAGCCACCAAAGTTCCCAGTTTCACTTTTCCCATCTGCAATGATACCTTCCAGCCAACTTCACAGGCAAAAGGGTCAAGTGAGATAACATATATGCAAATGCTTCTGAAACTACAAAGCACAGGATAATGTGAGGTATTGCTCACATCTGATTGCTCCCATAAAGGAAGTAAAGTCCTCCTTAAGGAACAAGAGTGTGAAATTTAGAACTGGGTTAACATTCCTTAAATAATATAAAAGTAAAACAAACAAAAACCTTTCTATATTAAAAATATATAACTTTAAAATGTTTCTACTTCTGATTTTAGTTGTACCAATCTGAAAGTGTACATTTGCTTTTACTTGGTTTTGGCAGGATAAAATTAGTTCAGAACTAAAAGAAGGGTCATGATTGAAGTTTTCTTTAAGAGTTTCTTTTATGTTCAGTATGATCATTAGAAATTCACAAAGAAAATCTATTTCTTTATCCATAGAAGAATAAGCTCTTCTGTTTTTAAGAAACTTACATAAGTTTAAGCTGGTGTTTAGATGTCTCCCTAACAAGTTTTGTTTTTGAAGAAAGTCTTTCACTGCAATCCCCATATCCTTGTTAAGCCATGTGAGTTGTTTCACTTGCTAAGAGTTCAGCTGCAACCAATTATAGGGGGTGGAGGTGCCATATTCTCATTCCTTTAAAACTCATCAGAGGGAAGAGGAAGTTGATTACAGTAAATGAAAAACAGGACTCAAGTGGCACTGATGGCATATGCAAAATGTATCTTCTATATCTCTTACTGTCTGCCAGAGAACCTAGTATCATCCTTGTCACAATCACCTTCCTAGCAATAAAACTGGGCATTACAGTAAGAAACCAGACAAATATTATTCCGCCACTTGTGTAAGAAAAATAAACTCATACTTAAACAATCAGATAGTTTAACAAATATGAACACAATATCTTATTTAGTGGCTTATGTAATAGTAGTAGTAGTAGAAGAAATGATTCTTTTATAAGTGAGGACTGCCACAGAATTTTGCTTAAGAGTTAAAGGAGAAAGAGATCCAATAAGGAACCCTCAGGCTTTCTAACAGCTAGAATCAGGAATTAATCTCCCTATGGTACAGCATTGTCTTCTTTCATGGAGATAATCATGCCTGCTATGCTTGTAAGGATCAAATGAAATGTCATTCATTCACTCATTAAATATCAGGTACCTACTGTACTTAAGAAAGTGGGTTAGACACTGTGAAAGATTCGATGGTGTTTAAAATAGCCTCAGTTTTTATGAACTTAAAACCTAAGGGCAAGATCAATGACATCAACACCATGGACAATAAAAGCAGGGTGAAAGTTCAGGAGTCATAAAGGCTAAAATAATGTGATATGAGAATTCATGTCATGAAAACGTGCTTTGAGACTGTAAAATGCTATACAGATGCAAGCTATCAGAATAGTTTAGGACATGGCGAAACTGAGCAAAGGTGTTTGATGACTTGTTCCTGTAAACATTCCCTTTCCCCTTTCTGTAACTTGGTTAATAAAATAGGATAGGAATCAGTGACTTAATATGGTGTCTTACAAACTCCAGATGCTCAGTAAATATTTGTTGAATGAACTAATGCTTAACGATCTACCTCTCAGTGTTATTTGAAGGAGTACTTGGTAAAAATTATTCTAGTTGGGAATGCAAAAGCACTACTTAAATTATTATTAATACTTAGAAAAATAATGCTATTTTAGAATCTATTTTAATCAATTATATTTTATAACATTTGTTTCAGATGAAACAGCTACCCTATATATAGATTACCAGTGTGTAATGTGGGTACAGTGTAAACCGGTAGAAAATACATCGATTTGGGAGCCAGGACCTCTGCATGAGAATCCCCAATATCCACTAGCTCTAGGAAAAGCTACCGTGTGTGCCTTAGTTTTTTAATCTGTAGAACATATTAAATATGAATTTACCAGATAACATAGAATATACCAGATAATTGCTAAGATCTCTTCCAGCTTTAACATTTTAATGTCTCAATACAAGAGTACTATTTAATGAAAAACATTTAAATTTTATAAAATGGACTTAGCTTGTAATGGGCTATCGCCGTGTTTTAAAAATGACATTATCATATTTTGGGATTGGTAAATTGTGTGTATATCTATAAGATAAGAATGACAAGATTACAAACATATCAAGATATTCTAATATAGGTTAGAAGTACTAGCTCTGCTCCTCACCTCACATACCTTTGAGCTATTTGGGGAGCAATCTATGACCAGTTCTACATAGTTAAGGCTAACTGAGGAGTATAATTATTAAGTGAATTGGACTAGTTCTGGACAATTAAAGCAGAAACTTTCAGTTATTTAAGGACATACCCATCTTTCCATTTTGTTTTAACTTTGTTCCATGAGTAACAAATACAGCCTGGCCAATCATGTGCTAGAGCTGTGCACTCAAACAATTTTATTTACAATAAATTTTAGGGAATTAATGAGGCATCATATGTGGCCACACACTATTCACAAAACTGTAATCAAAATGGCCCTTTAAACAATATGTTCATAATGGTGATTGACTGAGCCTTCTAAAGACAGGAAACCTGCAATAGGAGAATGAGCCTTCTAAAGTTAGAATCCCCAAGAAATTAAGATGAAAAGACAATGTGTTATTTATTGAGTACCTGCATTCTGTGTGACTCTGAGCTAGGCTGTTAAATATATTTACTCATTTGAAACATGATAAGATATTAGCAAATTTTGATTTAATCATTCCCATTTTAGAGATAAATAGTCTCTGATAAGTAAATTGCTTAAAGTTGTAGAGCTAATTGGATTTGAATTCAAGTCCCTGAAACTTCAAAGCCCTATGCTTTAACCACCACCTCCCATAACTATGCTTATGCACTATGTTCGATATTATATTTTAGGAGATAAAAATGTAAATTTTAAATATTAGTTTGAGGCATCTTATGTAAATCAAGAACTCATTTGATAATCCATTAGCTCATGTTTCATGCTGTATCTACACAGATTGACTCATTTTTCTAGAAAGCATCCCCTGCTACCTTCTTCTACTTTGATCTTGCTAACTTTCGGTCCTCCTTCTGGTCCTCACTTAAATGGCATCTCTTCAGGAGGCAAACTTTGATATTGATTTAAATTAACTTCTTACTCTTAAGTCATCTTATGCTTTTTCAAATTAGCCTTTCTCCCGTATGTCCAATGCTCACAGTAAACTGTCACATCCCTGAGGGCAGATATCATATCTGTCTTGTTCACCTCTGCATCTCCACCATTTAGAACACAGCTTGGCGTGTAGTAAATACTCAAAAATATCTGTTGCATGAATAGCACATGTATCTGATGTAATGAGCTGTAAGACTCCAAAAACATATGTCCCTTGGGAAAATTATATTGTACATTTCTGTTTTATAGCATCATACACACAATGAAAACAAGAAAGGTGTTGTAGTAATGTTAATATATTAACAGATTCAACAATGGAGTCCCTGGTGTGGGCTCAAATTGCTGGAAAGTGAATTATTTGTTAGCAAATTCATGAAGCACTGCTCCATTTCACTTTATCTTGTTTTGTCTTATAAATTCCAAAGAACTAACAACAGTAGAGTGGGTCGTTGCATCAACATTGCTTCCATTTAGTAGACTGATGCAAGTAACCAGTAACAAGGTCTTTCTTTTTCTCTTTGTGATACTTCTCATGGTCAAAAGATGGCAGTGTGTTCGAGAGTGACAGCCTTCTTTCTAAGTCCGAAATGAACAGCAGGGTGAGTGGTTAGCTGTGGTCCTGATGAATTGAGTTGGCTTTGCAAAAATCTCAGGTTTCAGAACGATGTCCAAAGCAGAAATCCACGCCTTCCCAGGAGAAACATTCACATTTTTTGGATCTGCTGCTTACCTTTGTTCAGGAGAGAAGAGCTCCAGAAAGTGTATATTCTCTTATAAACAGATAAAAAAGTAAATTTGAGCCACAAATGAAAAAAAAATTATTAAATGCCAGAAATAAAAGTATTGCTAGCTTCAAATACCAAATGTCAAATGCTGTGATCAATCCACTCGTTGACCCCATTTGGAGAACTTCTATTTTCACTGATAAGCCAAGGTATCTCTCCTAAAATGTCTGTATTTTATTTTATGGGAAGTTAAGATGGAAATATTTGTCTTCTTCATGAACTATTTTTAATTGTATTTACAGCACAGATATTCATAAATAAGGTGGCACTGTGACATTGCTGTAAACTAGGTGAGATTGTCTTCAGTACCTTCCTCTACCCTGTGAGAGCTCTCCTCCTTCTCTTGTAGCTGCTATTCTTAGAGACCCAGACATTCAGGACCAGGGCCTGAGCTCTCCTCCAGTGCGGGCGTCTTATTCTGGATGATGCCTCAGGCTCTAACTCAGTCATTTCATCTGTCCTCCTTAAAGACTTTCTAGTGCTGTTCTCCAAGGATGGCCTCTCTGTTGGAAAGGGTCAAATCGATATCTGTCTAATGGCCGATGAGGTGCACTGTATTGCCAGGTACCCAATCACTTATTTGTGTTTTTTTCAGCAGTCATGAATGGCACTCACCCAAGGTTACCACCAGGAAAGTGAGAGCCAGACAAGGTACAGCTAACAATAATAATGCTTCAGACAGGTAAACTCTGAGGCAGAGCAAAACAGATTGCTGTGCAGTGTGCAGAATTTTCGTACTTTAAGAGGAACATATTCATTTTCTATCCTTAACTCATGGCATAATGCCTGGGCCATGGCAAACATTCAATAGATGTCTAGGCCTAAGCTTTTAACAATGAGACATTGACACAAACTGTTGGGGCTGATATTTTTGCACCTCTCTCTTGTCCCTTCATATTATCACATGTTAAGAGTAAAAATCTATGCCTACTATGAACTGCCTGTGCCTATGACATTAGGACTTAAACAGAAATTGTGATGGATTGTGATTCTACTTTTTTGTTTTGTTTTGTTTTGAGACAGAGTCTCACTCTGTCACCCAGGCTGGAGTGCAATAACGCAATCTCGGCTCACTGCAACCTCCGCCTCCTTGATTCAAGTGATTCTCCTGCCTCAGTCTCCCAAGTAGCTGGGACTACAGGCCCCCACCACCACACATGGCTAATTTTTTGTATTTTTAGAAGACACAGGGTTTCACCATGTTAAACAAGGTGGTCTCGATCTCCTGACACTGTGATCCACCTGCCTCAGCCTCCCAAAGTGCTGGGATTACAGGTGTGAGCCACTGGTGATTTTACTTTAATTCCTCCTTACTGTGGCTTCTGCAGTGGAGAAGACAGAAGGGCTTGTTAGACAATAAGATAATAAAATGAAGATGGAAATAAGTTCCTGAAGCTTACTTCAGAAAAGTCACAGGGGTGTGGGAGGTGCCACGGGGCCATGTAGCACTTGTTCCTAGCAGGGAATAGGCCTAATTTGTTTGGCTTGACTAATAAATAGGACGCAGGCATTCACACTAGCAAGTGTTTATTTCCTTACAAATGTGTTATGCTTTTGTTTAATGTGTTTCCCAGCGATTTTCATTTATCCCCACAGCATCTCCTAAACTGCACAGTTCTCTTGAGCGCTGTCTTTATGAATAAATCGATCAATTCTTTTGAGAATCTACAGGTTTTTAAACTATTTTACAGGAAACAGGCCAAAACACTGCCAGTTGCCTGGATGATTTGACTATAAAATGACCTGTAATCCAGTTCACAGCATCTTTCTTCACTTGTCTTGAGAGATTATTTCTCTCAAGGATAAAATAAATGTATCAGCAAGAGTCTCTTTCCTCCTTCTCGTTTGAATTCAAGCACATTAGGTATATCAGGAAATAGCCCAGTGCAACCAAAGAAGAAAATCACCCAAGGGATGTGACCTTCCTTACTGTGACTTCATGCCTGTAAACCGAGGAATAGCCAGTTGATCCGGCAAAGCGGGTGTGTATCTATTGGAGTTGCCAGGGAACAATGGCCTTCACTGTGCAGGCTGCCACATGGGAAACAGGCTTGTTTTCGTTTTCCTTTATGTCATTTTGGGGTATAAAATATAATTGTTCTGTTCTTTATTTGAATGCCGCAGAGTCAGTAGGGAACTCCAGCTTCCTGCTCCCAAATATAGGGCCAGTTATTCCAGAAACTCCGTAATTCATTGGCATTTTAAAGCACTATAGTTGTAATGGTAGCCTTTTACTCCAACATCAGAGCAAGAGGAGCAGGTTTTCTTGTGGAAGAGGAGGGAGCTTTCAGGAAGTTCCCAGAGAGTCATTTGACATTTCTGCCTGGGATGAGGAGGAGGAATGAGATAAGGGAAGGGCGAATGGAATGCAGCGCCTTCACAAGGACAGTATATGTATCCTGGCATGTGCAAATCCAATGTGAATGCAAAGGCTTTGCAAACATGTCTTCACCGATCAGAAGCACATACATAGTCAAATTTCCCATCTTCACCTTACCACTATGCGTAGAATTTCCTCATAATGTAACACCATAGAAGTTTTAAGGCTAAGAAAATGATTCTCATTACATTTAACTTGCATGTGTTAAATTGCTAAAGCTAGCCAGACATGGAGAAAACAGCTAGCTCTCATAAATTCTGACTTACATCTCCTGTTCTATCAAGTCAATAAATACACTCATCCTTGTCAGAGATATGACTCAAATTTTGGCCTGTTTTTGAAATTGTGAGAGTTGATAAATAACAATAGAAGGTGAATTTGATTTAGGACTTAAATGTAGAGGGGATGCTTAGTCAACCAATTAATTTCTGAGGGTTTCTAGCCGTTACCTTGTAAGCTTGTTGCTATATATTAGTAGACACAATTTTAATTAAAAAAAGACACTCAAAGACATAATTGGCAGTTAAAGTATTTACATGTTTCCTGGATTTTATGGTTACAATTGGTTACATATGAAAGGCATATGCTTTTTCAAATTCAAGTCCAATTTATTTATGCTTACAGACACAAGAGCTTCCTGGCTCTTGAATACAAATGGAAAGATAACAGGCTCTCATGGTCTAATAATATGAAGCTAAACACTTCAACATGAGAGTAATTTTGTTTGTGTTGGCATTAACTCTCTAACAAAGTACATTTCCCATTTATGGTCATGACACCCCAGCCACAGACACATATAGCATCTAGCTCCATCATTCCTCGCATGGGAGGTCACAAAATAAGCAAGAATCCCTGTTAAAATTGCTGCTATCCCAGGTAAAGTGCCCAGAAAACTATTAATTGTGATTATTAAACTATCTATACTATATTAAAGATGTAGACAGAATGTCTGATGTTGTACAAAACAGGATTAAATACTGTGGCAGAGGCAGGGAGGGCTCAACAAATAGTCTGTGTGCTCCTCTCATTATTCTCAGGCTCCTTTGAAGTTACGGGTGTGTGCTGCTATCCATATTCCTAACTATTCACAGTCTCTCTCCCTTGTATGGCTGGAAATGTAGGACTGCAAAGAGGCAAATTGTGTGATAGGATGAGTTTTGGGTCCCTGAGTCACTCTTTAGAGGAAAAGTATACAAAAAAGCTGCCTAGATCCCATTGGGTTATGAGATGAGCAGTAGACAGACTAGGCTATGTTAAGACATTGAGATTAAGGGTTTGAAATTGGAATTGACTTTGCCACTGGTTTTTACAAAACCAATCCCAACGTTCTTTCTAAAATAATACATTTTTCTCTGAATGCTGGTGATACATCCATTTTATATATTGGAGACTTTACATGGTTAGCTGTATTGCTACATAGTCAATCTTATGAATATGTTAATAATAAAAGTTTAAGACATTAAAATATTAGGCTTAGAAATTTTAGTGGGTTAAATTAACATGTGTAGTAAGTCTGCTAGGCTGGCTTTTACTAACGCTCTTTATTGAACACTAAAGTTTAATTATAATCCCTGTTGTGAAGTTACATGGTTTGACTGTGGGTAAAATTTTTCACTGGAAATCTTTGGTTTGGTAGTAAAAGAAGGGAAAGCTGTGTAACTACAAGAAGGGCAACTTCTTGAACCACACTTAAGATATAGCCAAGGAGAATACAGAAGACTCACCCCACAGATAGAACCAGTAACCAAGAAGAACAGTGGTCAAGAAAATTCTCCCTAATGGTATCAGGGCTAAATAATGGAATATTCCTCACGCTAAAATAAAAAGCCTTAAGAATATCTGACCCAAAGAATTTCAGAATAGCTGGGAAACAGTGATTGAAGAAAGTCCCCCATTTTTTTCTGAATGAGAATGTTTACTTAGTCTTCCTATATTATGTAATGAATGTAGGTGTGAGTATGCTGGAGGAGGGACAAATAACTTCACAGGTTTCCTAATCTAAAAGGAGCCATATGTGCAACTCATGGAGAGACCATTCTGCAGAGACTCACAGATCCTCAGCCTCAGACTAGATGTGGCAACTACTAGGACTTTAATTTTCTCCACTGGGAGAGGTTAAGTGTTTTAGATGATCAGAATTGCAGACTGTAACAGTGACTATTAGTGCTCAGTAAGTATATCTCAGCTTTTGCGGTTGAGTGAAGATCATGTGACTAATTCTGGTCAGTAGATTGCTGGTGGAAGTGAAGTGTGTCACTTTAGGCTGGAAGCACTTAAGATTAGGGGGATCTTCTGCAGCTGCAAGTGAAGGACCATAAAATGATGGGTATGCAAGATGGGGGCCCCTGGGCAAGTAGGGGACCTATGCAATAGCATTGCCTGACCTACATGGAATTGTGATATGACCAAGAAATAAACTTTTCTTATGTTAATCCACTGAGATTTTAAAGTATGACCCCGAGGGACTGGTTTTAATTATTTGACTAAAAAATAAAATATTATAATTACTACTGATCCTACAATCCCCTAAAATATTCATTTTATTTTAAGAGGAACCCTTATAGAATTCAACACTTATATTCTCTTACATGTTTTGAGCCAAGTGTTAGGGCATATACAAGGAAATTTAGGGCACATTGTTTTCTCCCCTCTCCAAAATTTCACAGTCCAGTTCTCTCACCTGCCTTCCTACAAGATAACAAATGACTACACTGCTCTTCAACCTTTTTGAGGTTGCACCCACTAGCTTCTAGGAAAGCTTTTGGATGAATAAGAAAGTATCATGTACTCCACCTGTTTTGAGTAAGGACAGAATCTTGGAGAGATCATTGATGAGTTCAGCTTAGCTGAACAAAAAAGACTACACACGCAATGATTTAAATTTTTCTTTCTTCAACAGAGATTTTTCTCCCCTACAACTTTATGTCTAGCACTTGAAATTTTTATTACAGCCTGTAAGAGTCAAAAAAGTTCTTTCTGTGTTTAAGTATAACCTATTTCCTCAAAAGCAAGTGTAGTCCAAAAGAGGACCTCAAAATTTGTTTTATCTTTAGACCCATACACACACTATCTCTCCCTTTTTTCCCTCCCTCTTCATTTTCTCTCTGACAATCAATAAATTATGACATCTATAGAATTTACCTTCTCAATAGTTCTCAAATACTCTTGCCTATGCTCCTCCTTTTACCTTGACCTGAGACACCACCATCTCTTACCTCTATAGCTATAGTAGTTTGCTAACTCAGCTTTCTTTTTTTAATCATCGCTCTCCTAAAATCTGATCTCTGCATTGAAGATAAGGGATGCTTTCTAAAATAAAAGTGATCATGACACCACTTGCTTAAAATCTTCTATTGTTTTAGGAATGATGTACAAACCATTAATGTGGCTTATAAAATTTTTTATTTCTTCAGCTTCACTTCTCATAACATCAACCCTTCCTCCCTAACCCATCCCAATCCTCTGTCGACTTTCTATAATCCAATCATGATAAACTTTTTCTTTAACAAGTTTATTTTATATATCACTTCCTGTGTCCTAATCACCTCCTCTCATTTCTAGGTTAGAGGCCCTCATGTATTTAATAGCAGCTTGTCTGCTTTCTCTCATAACATTTTCATACCATATTGTGATTGTCTATACATTTATCCATATTTCTCATTAAACTGTAAATTCCATGAAGGCCAATACAGTGTCTTCATAATTCACCATTACACACCTATTTACCACTTCTTACAATATAACCCTCATGCATTTTCTGTCTCCTTTTATTTAACTTATTAAAGATACTTTCTATATGTTCATAGGGAAGATGATGAGTTTACTTTTGAACACCTCGAGTCGATTTACCTATGGAACATCAAGTGAAGATGTACAGTAGAGAACTGGGTAGAGGTTTCTGGACCTTAGGAGGGAAATCTGGGGTGCAGATACAGAGATCCAGAGGGAAGTAGCATAGAAATGCTAGGTGAACCCACTAATGTACATGAAATCATCTAGGAAGAGTGGGTGAATCAAGAACAGAAGACATTTGGGGATGGAGTTCCAACATGTATGAAATAGGAGGAAAATTATTGATGGAATTCTTAGAAATAGCATTCAGACAAGTAGAAGGAAAGCTATGAGAGTGGGGAATGAAGAAAACAAACAAAAAATAAATTCTCAAAAGGAAGGGTATTCAACTGCTGCATAGAGGTCAAGCAAGATAAGAACTGAAACCATTCTTATTCATTGGTTTTAGCAGTGAAGACATCACTGATGACTTTTCCCAGGGTGACTTCAGTAAAGTGGTGGGTGTGGAAAGCAGATTCATAGGTTAAGAGATGAATCAGTGATAAAGAAGTAAAAAAGGGCTCCAGAAATTTTACAGTTAAGAAAAGTAGAGGAGCTAACTCTCATACATCCTCCAGGACTGTCAGACTTTACCTCCTTCCAAGAACCTTTTTCAGATCCCACCAACACATTATTACACCACACTCTAATAGAAACCACCACACTCCGGTTTCTCTTACACAGCCCTCATGTTTGGTCTATGCATACCTTCATTTTATCATTGATTATACATTATAATCAACTGATTGTCTTTTCTAGTAAATCAGTGGGTTCTGAATTTACTTTGGGTTTTTCATTTTCTTTATAATCTGCTGTAATCTAAAAAACAGTCTTTGCTGAAAAGTTTATTCATGCACATAGTCACAAATTTGTGCATAAAATTTCAACAAGTTAAAAGGAACCATAAAAGGTCATTCAGAGTACCCAAGTTAGAAAACCCTGCGTAAGACTTTAAATTTTTTGATAATGTAGAGATTTTATATTAGTTATCTTGTGTTATTGGGCCTGTCACAGTGCTTATTACATAATGGTACTCAATAAATGCTTGATAAATGAATGAATGAATAAATGAACTGTAGAGTAGAAATATGCACCAAGGATATTGAAAGTATGAAAGCAGGAACATCTAACACTGCCTTGGAAAAACAGAAATCCTTCAATGCAAAAGTTTGAAGGAGGACATTGCCAAGATGATAAAGAAAGATACTTCTCAAAGAAAGAACATCAGAGGAAAAGGCCCACCAGACTGTTCAAAGAACAGATAATCTAATCCAAATGGAATACAGTGAGCCTTTGGGAAGTATTGAAACACAAGGTAAGTAGCCATTCTCTTACACTTTCAGGTGGGCCTGAATAGAGGGGTTTTTATTTATTTAATTAATTTTTTAAAAAATATCACGGCCTCCATTGAAATTATATTCTAGAAAAGTTCAGCCTTTACTATCTATGTATCTGCCCTGAAATCACACCAAAATCCTTTGTGCTTTATTTAACTGACCATTTTAAGTAAATTTATTTCTAAAGATGTAATTTTTAAAAACTAAATTAAAAAGCAGACCAATAAAGTAAACTTCTTACTTGTAATTAAACATGTTACTTTCTGAATTTTTTTGTCACAAACTACTGTATTCCAAAACACTACCAGCAGTACCAAAATCTATCTAAAGAAGTAATCAAATAATTATGGAAATTTGATGTAAAGAATTCAAAGTTCTGGATCAGACCTAACAAATCAAAAAGTAAAAATTCCCTCTTATTTTTTAACTCTGGTGAGTAGAAGTGATAGAATAAGAATATTTATGTTCATACACATGAATACCATGACCAAAGTATTGACCTATCTTTGGGACTTTAAAATCTGTGAATAATATTGGGCTAAAGGGGCTCTTTAGTTGAAAGGGTTTGAAATACACTTTTTTGGAATTCTTACCAAGACAAAATTATCAATGATTCTCAGGTGACTTTGTTGGTTTATTTCTCAAATGGATAGATTTGAAGGGAGAATATGGTTAAGATTAATATATACCTTTTCAGAAGTAAAAGATTTTCAGAGATTCCAAAATCCATTCAGAATTCCCAGAGCTGAAATATCATTTAATACTTATTAGACCAAGTCAAAATTATAATAATTTCCTTCAGTTATTTACAGTCTTTCTGGAACTTTTCTTTTATACATCTAAACCTCAATGTTTTCCTGAAGAGTAGTTATCACACTCATTTTGTAGTTGAATAGTTGCAGAGACAGCCATCATGCCCTGCTAAATATAACACAGCTCATAAAAGCCAAAATAGCATCTTGTGGATTTGTGTGATAAACTCGATTTTATTCCCAGCACTCTGGAAGGAATTTGCCTTCTGCCACTGGTAACACCATCAATTTGGTATTTGAGGTGACTTAAATGGCTGAAATTGATTACCACAGAGTCATTCTGTAGCTCATGATAAGACTCCAAAACACATTGCTTAATATTTTATAGATACAGTAAATGTACACTGACAGAATACTCTAAGTCCTAGGATGGACTGACACAAGGTTCTCAGGTTTCATAATTATGAATTATATAAATGTTATATGTCTGAAATTTCCTTAGAAACTCTTGCAAAATTCCCACACTGAGTGTAGGTGATGGGCAGAAGTATTAGCTACAATGTTTTGGCTTGAGTTGAGCAGTTCAGTTGGTCAGAACACAGTTCAGGGGAAGGCAAGGAAGTGGGTAGAAACTATGTGGGCCAGTTTATTTACTTGAACCTTGTACAGTTGTATCAACAATGTCTGCAGGAACAATTATATCCTTCTAAAATACAGCGAATGTTTCAAGGAAAATCAAGGCTAATACATCACCACAATTAGGAAATCAACATAAAGTTTATGTCCCTTTTATAGTTGAATCATCTCTGTAGCATCATTCTCTCAAAAAAAAAAAAAAGACTTCATTACTCTCATTAACCAAAAGGTCATTGCCAACACTCGATTAATCATCAGTACATAGTGTAGCTTATCTGGGACAAATATTTAAATGATCAATGATGAGGTTTGAGTGATTGTAGATGACCTGTAAATGGAGTAGTGCCTCAAACTTTTTTCTGAACTATTGTAGTTTTGAAATTTTCCATTTCTATGGCTGCCTCAGCACCAGAAAATGTCTATGAAACAAAAATGTTTAAGTGAGTCAGAAGAGGTTTATTTTCCTCTATGCTATGTTCTCATCAGAGCTAAATAACCAAGTCAAAGACTTGTGCATCATAGCTCCTTTCACAGTTTATTCCATGGAATTTCATAGCAGATATTCTAATGAAGTTTTGTAGATAAAACCTCACGGGTGTGTGTGATACTTGGTCCAGTCTACCTTAGAATATATTCAACAGATCTGCCTATGGACATTACTTGAATCCATCAAAAATGCTAAATCTTATGTTTTAAAGTTTTATTATTAATGTATTGATCATATTAACTCATAATATAATACCTACAGCCATTCAAAATTACCAAATTACTAACTCAATAGTGTCTCCAGTACCACAAACCAAATTGATTATTTTAGAAGAAGTGCTAGTTTGAACTGTGTTCACCACTAGGTTTAGAAGGTCTGATTTGGATTATTCATATACCCTTCACTTTCTTTTGAAAGCAACAGTGGGCAGAAACTGAGGTTATATGCACAGGGCACCAAAATTAACAGGAGATATGCAACATTAATTCATTCATCGTGTCTTCCAAGCAGTACACATTAATATAGACAGGTTCCAGAGAATGGCTTCATCACAAAGGCATATTTTCACTCTTTGTTTACTACATTATATTTAAGAGCTTGGGAAACTTAATTTTTTATTGGCATAGTGTTTATGATTACAAATGGCATGATCTCCTGGAGATGATGCAGTGGGATATTGATGTTAAATTTAAGGAGGGCTTGTTTACCAGAAAATCATGGTAATATGTGGGAAAGGCCAAAGGTAATTCTGGGTATTATTTTTCATGAGTAACAGGAATTCTCTTTGCAAACATACAATAATAGGATTAAATAAAAGTATTGTCATAAGAAATGTGTACAGATAGTGTTGCTTATTCTCAAACAATCATGCTCATGGTCATGAGCTTTTTCTTCTCTCTGTTGTTTGGGTACAAAGAAATACAAGTTTTTCACTTTTTAAACTATCATGGATAGAGCAATTTGTGGAATGCAATAGAGCACATGATAAAACAAGAGCCTAAATCTGATATATCCCTTCAGTGAAGATAAGCAATGTGTTGTGTTCCTCAGTGCACAGAAGAGTTCAAGTCTTCAGTTCACCTTCACCTGAATTGTCTCATTGAGTTAGAATTAGCAACTGGATAGACATGGTCTTATTACAGAAAGATACATAAGGATACTGTACCTTGATCAATATAATAGCATAACTGCTGGTGTCATGACTTTGCTTTTGTGCTTTACAATACTTCCCTATTTATATAAATCTCTAAAGATCTTACTTTGTGAATTTTCATTTATCCAACAGATTCTAAACTCGTGAATTTTCTCTTTATTTTTAACTTTAATAAAATTCAAAATAAAATAAAATAAAAATCAAATAAAATTCTTTGGACAAGATGCTATTTGATTTTCTCCATTTATTTTTATTATGTGCTTATAATTATAGAATTAACTGAAATATTTTCTATTCTAAGAATATTCACCTATAATTTCACGGTAGCAAGTAATAAATGATTTTTCATTTCATTCCAATCATAGTCCACCTATGGTAACTATGTATATAAAATTTAATAAATATAATTTTTTATTTAAAAAGTCTTTCACAAATTGCAACGATGTTTTCATTTTCATTGTTTACAATAGTTTACTAATATTTTACTATGCAAAAGCTACCATAATTTTATATGGTATGGTAGTCATAGGACTAACCTAAATATATTGTAAGAAAAAAGACCTGTGGCTTATGCCTCTGGGATGCTTAGTTGCGTTTAAATAAAATATTATTGCTGTCAAAGGTCCTATTTGCACAATGTTTGAGGTGATTTGGAAGTTGGTAGGTGAGGATATGGGTACCACATATCTACATCTAGTTCTACCAAAATTCCTTCCAATTGCTTTCGGATGGGTAAATGTTATAGGTAAGTATAGTAACAACCCCATGGTGTGGTATATACTATCTTTAGACTCTACACAGTCATCCATGAAATAACCATGAAAAGCTCCATTCTGGGCAGGACTACACTCAGGGAATACACACAACCGTGGATCACCGTAAAACCTCAACCCCTCATCCATCAAGTGAGGCAACCCAGCAAATTTAAGGAGCTACTGTATGTATGCTGGAGTAATGATTGAAAATTATCTAAAATTTGGTAGAAATGTGAGGATTTTAATAATTAGGATGGTTAATGTATATGAGGATTGGGGATGGGGGGTTAGAAGTACCTGGTAATATTAAAAGCCCTAGCAGATGTTCAGGAGTCATAGCTGACTACATTTAAAATAGCACAGTTAGAAAAAAAGGGTGAATTGTACTTTTTTTTTTTAACCATGCCTGACAATGTGCATTAGGCTCTTCTTGTATTGCTATAAAGAAATACCTGAGACTGGGCAATGTATAAGAAAAGGGGCTTAATTGCCTCAGAGTTCTGCAGACTGTATACGAAGTATAGCACCATCATCTGCTTCTGGGGAGCAGGAAGCTTCCAATCATGGCAGAAGGTGAAGCGGGAGCAGGTATCTCATATGGCAAGAGCAGGAGCAAGAGAGAGTGCAGGGGAGGTGCCACACCCTTTTAAATGACCAGATCTCATACAAACTCATTATTTCGAGGACAGCACCAAAAGGGTGACTCTAAACAATTCATGAGAAATCCATCCTCATGATCCAATCTCCTCCCACCAGACCCCACCTCCAACACTAGGGATTATATTTCCCTGTGAGATTTTGGTGGTGACAAATATCCGAACTATATCACCATATATTCAGAAGCACAAAAAGACCCTTGAGCTGGGCTACTAATCATTTCAGATGAGTTTCACCACCATATGAATTTGAAGGGGACACAAACATTCAGACCACAGCATTCCTTTAGAAGTTCTCGGGAAGTTCGGGCATTTTAAAGTATGTATAGTGTTAATTGTGCCTGGAGTGTCTATACTCAGTGGCCACTTTGGGAAAGCAAACATAGCTGAGGACCCAATCTGTCTGTAATCCAGCAAAGACCTTGGCATATGGGTTTTAGAAACACTACATAATTTCTGGAATTTTTATCTCAAATTCATCTCGTTGGAAGGTGATTAGGTTATGAGGGTAGAGTGCTCATCAATCGGATTAGTGCCCTTTTAAAACAAACCCCAGACAGCTAGCTGGACCCTTCTACCATGTGAGGTTAGAATGAGAAGGCGGCTAACTATGAGGAAGAGGGCACTCACCAGACACCAAATCTCTCAGTGCCTTGATCTTAGATTTTCCAGCCTCCAGAATAGTGAGAAATATATTTCTGTTGTTTATAAGCCACCCAGTTTATGGAAGTTTGTTATAGCACACTGGATAAAGTAAGATAAAGGCTGAGACAAAAACTGATTCACCAAAAGCTACTCATCCTTGGACCCATCACTATACCAAGAGTAATTTATTGACTATCATAAACTTCGGCATTGTCTAATCCATCACTGCTGGCTTAGGGACCCTAAGGCAATAACTATGTTTTTGTTACATAGAGAACTAGCCTAACTGAAGTCACTGGAAACCAGACTCGCAGACAGCATAGTTAAACGCATGTTCTTCACCATCCAATCACAGGAAAAAAGTTAGCTACATCAATTCTGAGAATTTCTGGGTCTTGTAGCACAGGCTCTTCAGGCAGGGGTTCTGATAAAACACGCAAGCTACAGAACACGGTAACCATACACACTTGGCCTATGTAGTATCTGATTAGTGGCAGCACTGAGAAAGAAAAATTTAAGAATAAGTTAAGAAAAAGTTAAGAATATGCTAATAGCTAGTGCATGGTGGAAAGGATTTGGAATGGCTTCCTTGCCAAAATAGCCCTATTAAGAGCTTTTCTGGTGCTGGCAGTGGCTTTGGGCACTGAGGACTGGCACAGGACTATTGAGAGAGGGAGTATCTAAATGAGGTGGTGCGGGAATTCCACCCAAAGGAATGTGACTCTGAATTGGGTGAAGAGTCTGTTTGGGTAAAACACTGAAATTGGAGATTAGATGCTAGGATATGCAAATCAGGTTTTGGAGTTAGAGATGATTGTCTGAACGCAAGCTTTTCAGACATCTTCTGGCTGATTTTGCTTGTTCTATAACATTTATGTAACTATTTCCCAAGGAATCTTGATCCCTATCTTCAATCTAGCAGCTGAGACCTGGTGTTCCAAAGGAACTGGTGTTCCAAAAGCAGCTGAGACCTGGTGTTCCAAAGGCATGGGCTGTGTGAGCATGCCTAGCATATTCCAGAGCATGAGAATGCAGTACCTGCCTTGGGATGGTAGCAGCCCCAATTAAAGACAAGAGACTCATTCCTCACTCAAACTGGGCAAAAACGAAAGGACAATGACTCCAGACAGAAGTAAAAGGTGTGTGGACAGGTGACCTCCTCACTAAGCGCAACGATAACATACTTAAATAGTTCATCTGGCCTGGCGCGGTGGCTCAGGCCTGCAATCTCAGCACTTCGGGAGGCCGAGGCGGGCGAATCACGAGGTCAGGAGTTCAAGACCAGCCTGGCAAACATGGTGAAATCCCATCTTTACTAAAAATACAAAGAATTAGTTGGGCATGGTGCCAAGCACCTGTAATCCCAGCTATTTGAGAGGCTGAGACAGGAAAACCGCTTGAACCCGAGAGACGGAGGTTGCAGTGAGCTGAGATCTGCTATTTTACTCCAGCCTGGGTAACAGAGTGAGACTCCGTCTCAAAAAAAAGTTCGTCCATGCAGTTTGAAGCCATTCATCAGGGTATGGCCAACTACAAGCAGACCTTATTTGCTGAAAAGGCTTTTGTGTATGAAATCGAGGACTGTGGTTTTTAGATTTGCTGGGCCTAAAGCTCTAGCATGAAGAGATGGCCATGTGGACCTTCAAGTAATGAATAGTGAAGATTTCCTCTGTATTAGCAATGCTAACATTGCTAATGCTACCAAATCTGAATTCCAGTTTAATTGTCTGGGTCTATAAGTCCTTTGGAGCTATAATTTTTTTTTTTTTTTTTTTTTTTTTTTTTTTTTGAGATGGAATCTCACTCTGTCACCCAGGCTGGAGTGCAGCGGTGCAGTCTCGGCTCATTGCAACCTCCGCCTCCCTGTTTCAAGCGATTCTTCTGCCTCAGCCTCCTGAGTAGCTGGGACTACAGGTGCGTGCCACTATGCCCAGTTAATTTTTTTGTATTGTTAGTAGAGACGGGGTTTCACCGTGTTTTCCAGGATGGTCCCGATCTCCTGACCTTGCCTCAGCCTCCGAAAGTGCTGGGATTACAGGCGTGAGCCACTGCACCCAGCCAGAACTATAATCTTTAATTTTAATTTGTCTGTAAGAATTCAACAAAGGAGAAGAGTTATATGTATACAATTTTTGAACATTTAAATGTTGCTGACACTATTAATAGGATATTTTAATTGTTTTGAATTCATAGAATGATTAATGAGCCATAGTGGACATTGTGGATTGCCGTAATTTGAAATAAAAATTAGAATAGAGGGTAAAGATGCTGCCCTAGGCAGAGCATAACTCTGAAGTTAAGTTAATCAGTGAATGCTCTGACCTGAGCATATTTCAACACTGAATACTAGACATTTGGAGAGGATACACAAAAGACCAGTGGTTAGTCTTGAGCAAGGGACCTCAAGAAGATGAAAAGTAGACTTCCCCAATAGACTACTCACCTCTTCCTCCAAGTAGATAACACTGACTTGGGCATGTTAGAGATGAAGGTTTATTCCACACTCCTGGTTTTCATGAGAAGGGATTTTCCTAAAAACAGATGGCCAGTCATCTCACCCTCTATTCCTCCCTAAGAAGGTGAGCTCAGTTACTTGGTTGGTGAAAGGCAGCTCTAACACCAGAGCACATTGTTGAATCTCATTCAGCTTTAACAGTGTATTTGTTAGTTTTTCCTGTGGTAACAAACAATGCCAATTTATCAGTGACTACCAACCACAAATATTTATTTCTTGCTAATGTTACATCAGAGCTACAGGCTAGCCATAACTTTGCTTTACTGCTGAGGCCAGACCTATTTTCTTATGTTTATTAGTTACTTGAGCACCCCTTCTATTGCATTGCTTGTTCATACCTTTTGCTATCAATATTTTTGTGCTTATTAATATTGGTGTGTTCTTTATATATCAACCCTTTGTTGATTAAATATATTGCAAATAACTTCTCTCAGACTAATGCTTTACTTTTTCCTGTCTTTTAAAGTGATGTCTTTTGAAACACAAAAGCTTTTCTGTTGTGTAGTACAATTAATATTTCTGTTTATGTTTTTCTTTTTAATATCATTTAAAGAAACCATTTCTTATCCTGAAATTATAAACATGTTCTACATTTTTTTCTAAAACTTTAAAGTTGTGTTTTTCACATATAGATTTTAATCACCTAGAATTTTTTTATTATTTATTTTAGAGTTATTTTCCCATAGGAAAAAACAATTTCTAGCCATCATTCATGGACAGTTTATTATTCCTTTCAGGTCTTCTATGGTACCTCTAATAAAAGAAGTTTTCACATATCAGTGTTCATTCAGTTGAGTTCCTTATTCTGTTCCATTAGTCTGATTTTTTTCTCTCTAACCAAATACATGTAGCTGTAAATAGTATAGCTTCATAATGTCTTCATATCTGATAAGATATGTACCATAACTTCTCTTTCTTCTTTAAAACTTTCTTGCTTGTTCTTATATCTTCTCTTTTTTAAACTTATTTTAGAATCTGAAGGCTAATTTCCATACAAACATTATTGATATAGTCATTGAAATTTCATTGAATGTACAGATTAATTTGTGATGTTGAGTTCTCCTAGCCATTTTAGTTCATCTCTCCATTTTGTAGCTCTTCATTTTTTAAAGTTTTATTTGAGACCTTTAAATAATTATAACTTAATAATTATAACGTTTTATTGTAAAATTATACTTGTAAATTTTTATAATTTTCACCATAAAGTTTTTATGAAATATATCATTTATAATGTTTGTTCTTCTTCTTCTTCTTCTTCTTTTTTTTTTCTGAGATGGAGTCTTGCTCTGTTGCCCAGGCTGGAATGCAGTGGCATGATCTCGGCTTACTGCAACCTCCACCTCCCAGGTTCAAGCGATTCTCCTGCCTCAGCCTACTGAGTAGCTAGGATTATAGGTGTGCACCACCATGCCCGGCTAATTTTTGTATTTTTAGTACAGACCGGTTTCACCATGTTGCCAGGCTGGTCTCGAACTCCTGACCTCATGATCCACCTGCCTCGGCCTCCCAAAGTGCTGGGATTACAGGCATGAGGCACCACGCCTGGCCCATATAATGTTTGTTCTTGAATTCCTTACATATTTGTTAATATTGGAAATGCTACTTTTTTAACAAGACATATTTTCCCTCTGTTGCTAGAGTATAAGATACAATTAACTTTGGTATATTGACTTCATGTCCAGCAATTCTTATTAATTCTATTGATTTATCTCTAGATTTGTTTAGCTTTTCTATATAAATACAGTTTTATTTCTTCCCTTTCAAATCTTACAGATTTTATTTTTATTTCTTGACTTACTTTCCTTACTGTTCCAGTTAGCATTTCATTATTTAATAGATTTTAATAGGTACACTTTATCAAGTAAAGGAACTTCTATTTCCAGAAGATTTCTCTCTTCTATTTGGCTAAGTTATTATCATCAAAGTTGTTGAAGTTTGATGCTTTTTTTGATCTCTTAAATAATAGGATTTTAACATTTTATCTGTTAAATGACTAAATGAATATATTCAATGAATGCCTTTTTTTCTTTTCTTTTCAGACAAGGTCTCTCTTTGTCACTGAGGCTAGAGTGCAGTGCCACAATCAAGACCCACTGCAGCCACAACCTCCTTGGCTCAAGCAATCCTTCCACACCAGCCCTTAAAGTAGCAAGGGACACAGTCATGTGCCACCATGCCTGGCTAACAATGAACACCTTTCAATATAAACTGCACTTCCATTTTTAGTATAAACTTGATTTGGTTGTAATTTATAATACTTTATAGTTTTTACTGCTAATATTCTTTTTGGGATTTTAGCCAATATGTTCATGACTAAGATTAACCTGAAAACCTCTTTCCTTCTAGTGTCAGTTTATGGTTTTGGCATAACAATTATACCAATACAATTATTTGGGAAACTTTACCTCTTTTACTATCATCAGAATTATTCTATTTAACTTTTTACACCGTAAAGTTAGCTTCTTAATTTTTAGCCCATGGTATTTTGGTTATCAGTGCCAGTTTGTTCTTTGCATATTCTAATTTCTTCTAATATTTTTTCTTTGATTTGTGAGTTACTTAAAAGTGAGTTTTTAAATTCCCAAATACATATGACTTTATTAGTTGTTTTATTTATGATCATCTTAGTTTCAATTTGGTTAGAAAATGTATTTTACATGATTATGATTCTTTAATGATTATTGTAACTGGCTTTATAACTAGAAATGTGGTTGACTTTTAAAAATAAGAAGAAAAATCATTTCTGGATTTAAAGTTCTCTATATTTTCATTAGATTGGACTTCTTAATTATGTTGCTTAAATGTATTGTATTCCTACAGACATTTTTGGACTAATAACCTGTAAATTACTAAAAGAGGTACATTAAAAATTGCCTAGTAGCAGGAGAATTGCTTGAACCCGGGAGGCAGAGGTTACAGTGAGCCAAGATCGCACCACTGCACTCCAGCCTGGCAACAGAGCGAGACTCCATAAAAAAAAATAATAAAATAAAAAATTGCCTAGCAGAATGCTTATACACTCTTGGTGGGAATGGTTCAGCCACTGTAGAAAGAAGTTTAGAGATTTCTCAAAGCATTTAAAACAGAACTACCATTTGACCCAGGAATACCATTACTGCATATGAACCCAAAAGAAAACATATTGTTCTGCTGAAAAGAATCACTAGGTGTAATACTGGGTGCTTCTACTAAAAGAATCACTAGGTATAATACTGGGTGCTTAGTTCAGAAGTCATAGGCAACCTGCTAGAAAGGGATGTCTTTGCACAGCTCAAGAAAATTGTTGTTCATAGATCCGAGTAACACAGAGCTACCCCTCAAGGCACCTCATGAAAGAAACATGCCAGGCTTAAACAGCTTTCAGGTCCAGATAGTGCCAATGTTAGACCATCACAACCATACAAACCAAGCAGACACTTAGAGGAAGAGGAGTGTCACTAGGTGAGGAAAGAGAAAAGCCGCTGACCACAACTCTTTTTACGCTGCAGGCAGCAATAAACCTATATTAAGGGAGGGGAAATATTTTAATTTTAGGTGTAGTTTGACGATAAATACGGCTGAATATGTTACTTGCTGAACTAAGATTATTTTTCTTATTAGAAACCTATATGAGAATTTCTACTATGTGAGAACAGTAAGAAAAGAAAAGTCATTGACTCTGCCGTAGTTTTCATTCAAGAGTCAGAGGAACAGCTATTCTTGGTATTTCAGGATATCTAGGTCCCAAATTTCTAGATTTCTCTTTAAGCAAATATGAATGCCAAGATTGTCACATTTATTAAGACTGTACATACCTATTTTTGAACCGAAGTTGGTACTTCCCCTTCTGATTATAAATATCATGTTATTTTACTTAAACAACTAATTTATAAGGTGGAATTTGGAAAGTTAAAAATTGATGCTCAGAAGGATTAAGAAACTTTTCTAGCATACAGTAAATAAAAGAACGAACCAGACTTTCAACTGATCCAGTTAGCTTGACTCCAGGACAAACATACTATTTTCTATACCAGGTTTCCATTTTTATAGAAAGATGAAAACTTATTTTGATTTAGGTGCCCTACTAGGTGCTTCCCTAACATCTAGAACTTTACACACTATATTGCAATTGCTTATTTTTTAATTGACTGTAGTTAAATTATAAGGTCTACGAAGGCTAAGATTGCAGCTACCTCCTTCATTGCTGTCTTTTTGGTTTGTAGCACAAACAAAAATAATGCAATATATGTTTTTCTTTTTTTATAATTTATTTTAAGTGAAAAATCAGAATTGTGTATATTTGTGGTGAATAATAATGTTTGAAAATATGTTTACATTATAGAATTACATTATAGAATGGTTACCTTTAATTAACATGGAAGTGCAGATATTTCTTAGACATACTGATTTCATTTCCTTTGGATTGATACTCAGTAGGATATATATCCAGTGGTATTGCTTGATCATATGATAGTTGAATTTTGATTTTGTTTTGAAAAACATAACTTTATATGGGTTATCTGAGAAAGGGGAAGTTGACGTTCATGGCTCAGTTACTTCCATTAGGACTAAATTAGAATACGATGGGAAAATGCTACTGTGATGAAAAGAAAAACCCTTACAGCAAGTCATTCGTGTTTAATAAGAATCTGATGTTATATATCTAGAGTAAAACATTCTCCCAAATTAGGTAAAATATAGCAGAACTTTAGCTCCACCATTATTGGATAAATCCAAATGGCATAAGGAATCCCTAATTCTAATCCTAGCAGGGCTATGAAGGTACCCCTTGAAACTACGTATAAAGTTCACTAAGAAGAGTCTTTGGAATAGGACAGTGCTATAGTAGTTGTGTTACTGTGGGAAAGCCACTTAATCTCTGAGTGCCATGTATTTAGAAAGTCAGGTTAAATATCACCTTTGGATCAGGCATCAGGCAAGCACTGAAGAATAACAGGGAAACAGGCAGATAAAATCCTTGACTTCATATTGTTTACATTATAGTGTGGATTTTTTTAAAGGGAGTGAACAAACAATGACAGTTTTAAATAAAATAAAATAAAAATGCAGATTTTACATAATCTATGTTATGCATACATTATATGTTGTTGTGAAGATGATATAAAATCATGAAGATAATCCCTTCACCTCCATAGTTACATACATTGTATATCTTAATTATCATTCATATTATTAGCAGCAAAGTGAGCATCAGAAAGGTATTTTTTTTATACTTTAAGTTCTAGGGTACATGTGCACAATATGCAGGTTTGTTACATAGATATTCATGTGCCATGTTGTTTTGCTGCACCCATCAACTCATCATTTACATTAGGTATTTCTCCTAATGCTATCCCTCCCCTAGCCCCTCACCCCCGGAAAGGCCCTGGTGTGTGATGTTCCCCACCCTGTGTCCATGTGTTCTCATTGTTCAACTCCTACCAAAGAGTGAGAACATGCGGTGTTTGGTTTTTTGTCCTTGTGTTAGTTTGCTTAGAATGATGGATTCCAGCTTCATCCATGTCCCTGCAAATGACATGAACTCATCCTTTTTTATGGCTGCATAGTATTCCATGGTGTATATGTGCCACATTTTCTTAATCCAGTCTATCCTTGATGGACATTTGGGTTGGTTCCAAGTCTTTGCTATTGTGAATAGTGTGGCAATAAACATAGGTGTGCACGTGTCTTTATAGTAGCATAATTTATAATCCTTTGAGTATATACCCAGTAATGGGGTCGCTGGGCCAAATGGTATTTCTAGTTCTAGATCCTCGAGGAATTGCCACACTGTCTTCCACAATGGTTGAACTAATTTACACTCCCTTCAACAGCGTAAAAGTGTTCCTATTTCTCCACATCCTCTCCAGAATCTGTTGTTTCCTGACTTTTTAATGATCACCATTCTAACTGGTGTGAGATGGTATCTCGTTGTTTTGATTTGCATTTCTCTGATGACCAGTAATGATGAGCATTTTTTCATATGTCTGTTGGCTGCATAAATGTCTTCTTCTGAGAAGTGTCTGTTCGTATCCTTCACTGACTTTTTGATGGGGTTGTTGTTTTTTTGTAAATTTGTTTAAGTTCTTTGTAGATTCTGGATATTAGCCCTTTGTCAGATGGGTAGATTGCAATGGCTTTCTCCCATTCCGTAGGTTGCCTGTTCACAGTGATGATAGTTTCTTTTGCTGTGCAGAAGCTCTTTAGTTTAATTAGATCCCATTTGTCTATTTTGACTTTTGTTGCCATTGCTTTTGGTGTTTTAGCCATGAAGTCTTTGCCCATGCCTATGTCCTGAACGGTATTGTCTAGGTTTTCTTCTAGGATTTTTATGGTGTTAGGTCTTACATTTAAGTCTTTAATCCATCTAGAGTTAATTTTTGTATATGGTGTAAAGAAGAGATCCAGTTTCAGCTTTCTACATATGGCTAGCCAGTTTTCCCAGCACCATTTATTAAATAGGGAATCCTTTCTCCACTGCTTGTTTTTCTCAGGTTTGTCAAAGATCAGATGGTTGTAGATGTGTGGTGTTATTTCTGAGGCCGCTGTTCTGTTCCATTGGTCTATATATCTGTTTTGGTACCAGTAGCATGCTATTTTGGTTACTGTACCCTTGTAGTATAGTTTGAAGTCAGGTAGCATGATGCCTCCAGGTTTGTTCTTTATGCTTAGGATTGTCTTGGCTATGTGGGCTCTTTTGTGGTTCCATATGAACTTTAAAGTAGTTATTTTTCCAATTTTGTGAAGAAAGTCAGTGGTATCTTGATGGCGATAGCATTGAATCTATAAATTACTTTGTGCAGTATAGCCATTTTCATGATATTGATTATTCCTATCCATGAGCATGGAATGTTCTTCCATTTGCTTGTGTCCTCTTTTATTTCATTGAGCAGTGGTTTGTAGTTCTCCATGAAGAGGTCCTTCATATCCCTTGTAAGTTGGATTCCTAGGTATTTTATTCTCTTTGTAGTAATTGTGAATGAGAGTTCACTCATGATTTGGCTCTCTGTTTGTCAGTCATTGGTATATAGGAATGCTTGTGATTTTTGCACATTGATTTTGTTTCCTGAGACTTTGCTGAAGTTGCTTATCAGCTTAAGGAGATTTGAGGCTGAGATAATGGGGTTTTCTGAATACACAATTACGTCATCTGAAGAGACAATTCAACTTCCTCTTTTCCTCATTGAATACCCTTTCTTTCTTTCTCTTGCCTGATTGCCCTAGCCAGAACTTCCAACACTATGTTGAATAGGAGTGGTGAGAGAGGGCATCCTTGTCTTGCGTGGGTTTTCAAAGGGAATTCTTCCAGTTTTTGCCCATTCAGTACGATATTTGGTTGGGTATGTCATAAATAGCTCTTATTATTTTGAGATACATTCCTTCAATACCTAGTTTATTGAGAGTTTTAACATGAAGGGCTGTTGAATTTTGTTGAAGGTCTTTTCTGCATCTGTTAAGACAATCATGTGGTTTTTGTTGTTGGTTCTGCCTATGTGATGGCTTACATTTATTGATTTGCATATGTTGAACCAGCCTTGCATCCCAGGGATGAAGCCAACTTGATTGTGGTGGATAAGCTTTTTGATGTGCTGCTGGATTCAGTTTGCCAGTATTTTAGTGAGGATTTTCGCATCCATATTCATCAGGGATATTGGCCTAAAATTCTCTTTTTTTTGTTGTGTCTTTACCAGGCTTTGGTATCAGGATGATGCTAGCCTCATAAAATGAGTTAGGGAGGATTCTCTCTTTTTCTGTTGACTGAAATAATTTCAGAAGGAATGGTACCAACTCCTCTTTGTACCTGTGGTAGAATTTGGCTGTGAATCCGTCTGGTCCTGGACTTTTTTTGGTTGGTAGGTTATTAATTATTGCCTGAATTTCAGAACCTGTTATTGGTCTATTCAGAGATTCAACTTCTTCCTGGTTTAGTCTTGGGAGGGTGTATGTGTCCAGGAATTTATCCATTTCTTCTAAATTTTCTAGTTTATTTGCATAGATGTGTTTATAGTATTCTCTGATGGTAGTTTGTATTTCTGTGGGATCAGTGGTGATATCCCCTTTATCATATTTTATTGTGTCTATTTGATTCTTCTCTTTTCTTCTTTATTCGTCTTGCTAGCCATCTATTTTGTTGATCTTTTCAAAAAACAGCTCCTGGATTCATTGATTTTTTGAAGGTTTTTTTTTGTGTCTTTATCTCCTTCAGTTCTCCTCTGATCTTTGTTATTTCTTGTTTTCTGCTAGCTTTTGAATTTGTTTGCTCTTGCTTCTCTAGTTCTTTTAATTGTGATGTTAGGGTGTTGATTTTAGATGTCTTCTGCTTTCTCTTGTGGGCATTTAGTGCTATAAATTTCCCTGTACACACTGCTTTAAATGTGTCCCCGAGATTCTGGTATGTTGTGTCTTTGTTCTCATTGGTTTCAAAGAACATCTTTACTTCTGCCTTCATTTTGTTGTTTACCCAGCAGTCATTCAGTAGCAGGTTGTTCAGTTTCCATGTCGTTGTGCAATTTTTAGTGCGTTTACTAATTCTGAGTTCTAATTTGATTGCACTGTGGTCTGAGAGACAGTTTGTTGTGATTTCTGTTCTTTTACATTTGCTTAGGTATGTTTTACTACCAATTATGTGGTCAATTTTAGAATAAATGTGATTTGGTGCTGAGAAGAATGTGTATTCTGTTGATTTGGGGTATAGAGTTCTGTAGATGTCTATTAGGTCCACTTGGTCCTTGGTCCAGAGGTGAGTTCAAGTCCTGGATATCCTTGTTAACCTTCTGTCTTGTTAATCTGTCCAATATTGACAGTGGGGTGCTAAAGTCTCCCAATATTATTGTGTGGGAGTCTAAGTCTCTTTGTCCTTTCTAAGGACTTGCTTCAAGAATCTGGGTGCTCCTGTACTGGGTGCATATATATTTAGGCTCTTTAGCTCTTCTTGGTGAATTGATCCCTTTACCATTATGTAGTGGCCTTGTCTCTTTTGATCTTTGTTGGTTTAAATCTGTTTTATCAGAGACTAGGATTACAACCCCTGCTTTTTTTTTTTTTTTTTTTTTTGCTTTCCGGTTGCTTGGTAGATCGTCCTCCATCCCTTTATTTTGAGCCTATGTGCACCTTTGCACGTAAGATGGGTCTCTTGAATACAGCACACTGATGAGTCTTGACTCTTTATCCAATTTGCCAGTCTGTGTCTTTTAATTGGGGCATTTAGCCCATTTATATTTAAGGTTAAGATTGTTATGTTTAAATTTGATCCCATCATTACGATGTTAGCTGGTTATTTTGCCCGTTAATTGATGCAGTTTCTTCATAGTGTCAATGGTCTTTACCATTTGTCATGTTTATGCAGTGGCTCATACCAGTTGTTCCTTTCCACGTTTAGTGCTTTCTTCAGGAGCTCTTGTAAGGCAGGCCTGGTGGTGACAAAATCTCTCAGCATTTGCTTGTCTGTACAGGATTTTATTTCTCCTTCACTTATGAAGCTTAGTTTGGCTGGATATGAGATTCTGGGTTGAAAGTTATTTTCTTCAAGAACATTGAATGTTGGCCCCCACTCTCTTCTGGCTTGTATGGTTTCTGCCAAGAGATCAGCTGTTAGTCTGATGGGCTTCCCTTTGTGGGTGACCCGAGCTTTCTGGCTGCCCTTAACATTTTTTCCTTCATTTTAACCTTGGTGAAGCTGACAATCTTGTTTCTTGAGGTTGCTCTTCTCAAAGAGTATCTTTGTGGTGTTCTCTTTATTTCCTGAATTTGAATGTTGGCCTTCCTTGCTAGGTTAGGGAAGTTCTCCTGGATAATATCCTGAAGAGTGTTTCCTAACTTGGTTCCATTCTCCCAGTCACTTTCAGGTACACCAATCAAACGTATATTTGGTCTTTTCACATAGTCCCATATGTCTTGGAGGATTTGTTTGTTTCTTTTCACTCTTTTTTCTCTAATCTTGTCTTCTTGCTTTGTTTCATTAATTTGATCTTCAATCACTGATATCCTTTCTTCCACTTGATTGAATCAGCTATTGATGCTTGTGTATGTGTCACGAAGTTCTTGTGCCATGGTTTTCAGCTCCATGAGGTAATTTAAGGTCTTCTCTACACTGTTTATTCTAGTTAGCCATTCATCTAACCTTCTTTCAAGGTTTTTATCTTCTTTATGTTGGTTTAGAACATGCTTCTTTAGCTCAGAGAAGTTTGTTATTACTGACCTTCTGAAGCCTACTTCTGTCACCTTGTCAAACTCATTCTCCGTCCAGTTTTGTTCCCTTGCTGGTGAGGAGCTGTGATCCCTTGGAGGAGAAGAAGTGCTCTGTTTTTTGGAATTTTCAGCTTTTCTGCTCTGGTTTCTCCTCATCTTTGTGGTTTTATCTACCTTTGGTCTTTGATGTTGGTGACCTAGAGATGGGGTTTTGGTGTGGATGTCCTTTTTATTGATATCGATTCTATTCCTTTCTGTTTGTTAGTTTTCCTTCTAACAGTCAGACCCCTCAGCTGCAGGTCTGTTGAAGTTTGCTGGAGGTCCACTCCAGACCCTGTTTGCCTGGGTATCACCAGCAGAGGCTGCAGAACAGCAAATATTGCTGCCTGATCCTTCGTCTGGAAGTTTTGTCCCAGAGGGACACCTGCCTGTTTGAGGTGTCTGTTGACTCCTATTGGAGAGGTGATTCCCAGTCAGGCTACACGGGGTTCAGGGACCTGCTTGAGGAGGCAGTCTGTCTGTTTTTGGAGCTCAAATGCCATGCTGAGAGAACCACTGCTCTCTTCAGAGCTGTCAGACAGGGACATTTAAGTCTGTAGAAGCTGTCTGCTGTCCTTTTTTCTACTATGCCCTGCCCCTACAAGTGCCTCTATAGAGGCAGTAAGCCTTACTGAGTTGTGGTGAGCTCTGCCAAGTTTGTGCTTCCTGGCCTCTTTGTTTACACTGTGAGCTACTGAAGCGTCAGCAATGGCGGATGCCCCTCCCCCTGTCAAGCTGCAGCCTCGCAGGTTGATTTCAGACTGCTGTGCTAGCAGTGAGCAAGGCTTCATGGGCATGGGACCTGCCGAGTCAGGCACAGGAGGGTATCTCCTGGTCTGCTTGTTGCTAAGACTGTGGGAAAGTGCAGTATTTGGTCAGGAGTGTACCATTTCTCCAGGTACAGTCTGTCATGGCTTCTCTTGGATAGGAAAGGGAAATCCCCTGATCCCTTGCACTTCCTGGGTGAGATGATGCCCCACCCTGCTTCAGCTCACTCTTTGTGGGCTGCACCCACTGTCCAGCCAGTCCCAATGAGATGAACCAGGTACTTCAGTTGGAAATGCAGAAATCACCCATCTTCTGCGATGATCTTGCTGGGAGCTGCAGACCAGAGCTCTTCCTATTTGGCCATCTTGGAAGCGACCCCTCTATTTTGAGTTTTTAAAGAAAACCCCATACTGTTTTTCAAAATGGCTGTACTAATTTACATTCCCACCAACAGTACGCGACAGTTCCCTTTTCTTTTTATCCCCACCAACATTTGTCTTTCTCTTTTTGACAAGAGCCATTCCTACGGGTATGAGGTGATATCCCATTGTGACTTTAATTTATGTTTCCCTGGTGATTAGTGATGTTGAGCATTTTTCCATATACCTGTTGGGCATCTGTATATCTTCTTTGGAGAAATGTCTATTCAGGTCTTATGCCCATGTTTAAATGGGATTTTTTTTTCTTGCTATCAAGTTGCTTTATTTTTAATTATTATGGTCACATAATAGTTGTACATGTTTTGGAGGTACATGTGAAATTCTGACCCAAACATACAATACATAATGATCAAATCGGGGTAACTGGGATATTCATCACATCAAGCATTTAACATTTCTTTGTGTTACGAACATTCCAATTCCACTCTTATTTATTTTGAAATATACAATAAATTATTGTTAACAATAGTCAGCCCATTGTGTCACTGAAAGAATATTAACCCCTTACTAGATGTGTGGTTTACAAATATTTTCTTCCATTCTATAAGTGGTCTCTTCACTCTGAAGTGGGTGTGTGTGTGTATATATGTGTTTGTGTGTGTGTATGTATGTGTGTTCTGTGCAGAAGTTTTTAGTTTGATATAATCCCATTTGTCTATTTTGCTTTTGTTGCCTGTGCTTTTGAGATCATATCCAAAAAACTTTGCCCAGACCAATGCCATTGAAGTTTTCCCCTATGTTCTTCAATATGCATTTTTCAAGCGGATGAATAAAGTAAAAAAAAAAAACCTATGGAAATTATGTGCTGTGTTTTCAGCATTATAATTACCACAGAGTTAAATATTTTGGTTGGCCCTGAGCCATCTACCAGACAATGTCCTTTCTGCTTCTCAGAAGTTGCAATTTAAGGTGGAATTCTAAAGCTGAGAGACAAGTTACATATCAGGACTAGTGGTTTAGTTCAGATCAAAAAGTATGTATTGAGCATAAACTATGTGTTAGGCACTATTTTAATTTCTGGAGTACAAAAGCAAATAAAAATATGATCTGTGCTCTTTAGAAACTTACAATCTAAAGGCAGATGAGCACACAGTAAATTTAAAGTTACTATGGCAACTATAACAAAAGGCATTTATATTAGTTAACTTAGCAGGGTCATTTAACAGAGGGAAAGCTACCTAGTACAGAGGGCAACTAAAATTTGTCTAGAATTATGAAAGAAAATTATTCAAATGAGAAAAAATAAAGGTGTAGGGAACTGCATGCAAAGGTGCATATAGCTAGAAAGGTGTGGCATTTCTGATAAAATAGAGGTCATTTAGTTCTATCACTACATGCAGTAAGAGTTGGACACTGCAGGAAGTGGGACTAGAAAGGCAGAAGTGCCTCCATCAAAGAAGTGAATGCGTCATTTCCCATGGCTCATTGTAACTACTCTCTGTGTGTCATGACTAACAATGTAATGACAAGCATAAAGAGTGTTATTCTTTCAGGATTGGTAGGGAAAAGAGGAAATGGACCTTGGTCAGCATCCCTGGAGAAGTCTTCCTACACACCATCTCAGGTCCTGATGCAATGAATTATCTCATATCTTCCCCAAAGTACCATCTCATTCAGTGAAAAGCTGAGTCGTTGGAGTGGGGTTGCCTTCATGACCCCAGACAAGCAGATCCACCAGTATGTAATTCCAGCTTGAGAGAGCTGCAGGCATATAACTCCAATCCATGAAAGCTGAGGCATGTCTCACAGCTGTGGGGAAGAGCCTCCCAAACCCATGGGGGCCCAACCTTGCACAGAAAAGCTGCAGGAACAGAACTTCCACTCAGTGGGTCCAGAACGTGAGACCTCTGTCCCAATGAGTATAGAGGGTAGAGTATTGGATCAAAGAAGATTATTCTGAAGCCTCAAGATTTAATGTTGCATGTGCTGTTGGATTTTAGACCTGCCTGGGAGATGTCATTTCTTTCTTTCTTTTTTTCATGTCTCTCCCTTTTGGATGGGAATTTCTGTCCTATGCCCTGTCCCACAGTTGTATTTTGGAAGCACATAACATGTTTGAATTCACAGGTTCAGAGCTGGGGAGCTATTTGCCTTAGGATGAATTCTATCTTGAATATTACCCATATCAGATTTAGATGATATTTATATGAGACTTTAAATTTTTGAGTTGATGCTGGTGTCACTTAAAACTGTCGGGGCTATTGGGATAAAATAAATCTCTCTCACACGTGAAAATAAAATGAACTTTGGGGTTCCAGGGGTAGAAGGCTATAGTCGGGATATTTTTGTACCCCCAAAATTCATATGTTGAAATCCCAACCCCCAAAGTGATGGTATTAGGAGGTGGTGCTTTTGGGAGGTGATTAGGTTATAAATGGCAGAGTCCTCATGAATGGAATTAGTGTCCTTATAAAAGAGGCCCAAGATAGATTCCTCACCTCTTACATCATGCGAGGACAGAATAAAGAGCATCATCTATGAACCCAGAATTTGGTGATCTCACCAGACACCAAATTTGCTAGCATCTTAATCTTGGACTTCTCAGCCTTGAGAACTGCAGAAATACATTTCTGTAATTTATAAATAACCCAGTTTATGGTATTTTGCTATAGCACCCTGAATGGACTAAGACAGTTATGAATAAGATAAAACCCACCACTTTTTACTGAAATAAAATTTTTCACTTGGTTTGGATATGATGATGGTTGTTTCTGTCAGGTTTTGACTAACCATACTTAATCTTCAGGTAAAGCTGGGGTGGAGCAGAGGTTTTGGTTAATAGTTCTTCTAACACTTTAAAAACTCCTGTCAGGAAGCATATCATGACAACATTTAGTGTGTTAATAAAATGTAACATTGGGCCCAGAATGAATTTGATCATCCAGTGGATCAAATTTTCATGCTGCTTGGCTTCTGAGTGAAGATGCTGCTTGTGTGACTTGTGGAACCTAGAGCAACCCCACAGAGATCCAAAGCTGAAGAGAATTGTTAGGGCAAGAATAAGCTTAGAGACTGCAGGCAGTCATTTTTCTCAGCATGGGAAAACAATAGAATAGATTTTGAAGATCCAGTATGAAAAAAATGTAAACTATCTTATTAAGAAGTTTATATTGATTACATGTTAAATGATAACATTTCAGATATACTGGGTTAAATTAACTAGATGATTAAAAGTAACTTCACATTGTTTCTCTTTTTAATAGTGTAGCTACTAGTAAATTTAAAATTAAACATGCACATCTTATTATGTTTCAGCTAGACAGTACTACTCTAAAAGCATGTTTCAAAGTACATAAATGATCATTCTCTTGACGTCACCTAATTTCATGTGTGTGTCATTTCATAAGGTGTTTATCAACATTTTTTGGAACTTGTAGTTAATTTCAGTCAGCTTCTTATGAAGGCCACATAAACAATGTAGCTTGAAAGAGTCTGATGTATTTTCTTGCCTAAACATCCTTATTCCATGTGGGATGTGGCATGCCATCTTTCCTCTAAACCACAAATGATGAGCAATCTACAAACACTTCATGTGGATTATATGGGTTATCAACTGAATGTTCTTCCTGTGGGTATAAGAGTAACTCTGACTAATGAAAATCTTACAGAAAATTTCCAGCTGCCTCTTAAGGCATCAGCTGTCAATTTATATCCAATACCAAAATACATTTTTTGATTTATACAGGAAATGACCATTGATAGGTTCAGAAATTATAAACACAGAGAACCAAAAATACAACTGTTTAATTTCATGCTGGAGGAGAACACAGATATTCATTATTAAAATACAACATAAATGATTTAACCTTAATTGAACTATATTCCCTCAGAACTTAAGTTTGTGAGAATGGCTGGGTAAGGTGTGGCATCCTAGGAAAATGGAAATGCTGGAGAGTGACATCAGCAAGATGGTTGACTAGAAACTCCTAGTGCCCTTTTCCCCTCACACACATAGAAAGGCCCCAAAATAACAAATAAACAACTACATTTTGACCGAAATAACTAAAGGAGAACACTGAGCAACAGCAAAGATGCAGCAGAAATTCTGTAAAGGAAACTAAACGTGGCCATGTAGAGAAGAGACGGAAACATCTTGCCTTTGTCACCCCATCTCTCTAGTGGAGATCAGCTTGGAATCAGGAGGGGCTTTTCCCTGTGGAGAAAATGTAAGCAAACAGACCCCAGTGCCCCCCATCAACCCTGCACCTGCAGTCTTTGCTACTGGAGACTTCTGAAGTCCTCACAGTCTCTAAGCCCAGCTGAGGGAACTCTCAGACTCCATAGACTTCTCCTTCCAGAGAAGGAGCTGACACTGTACCTAACCCCTGTGGCCAGTGCTGCTGCTGCTGCTCTGTGCTATCTTCTAGCAAAAGCCACTGCAAGAGTGTGTTCTGCTTTGGGGTCAAGTGGCCATTGCATCCTTCCACTGCACCGTGCCTACCCAGTAGCATGCCATCCCCAAGAAGAGCTGCTGATATGTCCTACTCACTAGTGCCAAGCTACCACACAGCCACACCATCCCTCCATCCCAGTTGCTGGTATATCTTCCCTTTAGGATCAAACTGAAGTGGTTCCCTGACCTTGGGGACACAAAACCTTGAAGTACTAGGGCAGCCATGCCCTCCATACCACAGTGGAAGCAGCACTCTACTCCCCAGGGACCTCAGGCCTCTGACACACCAGAGCAGTCATGCCCTCAACCACAGAGCAGACATGATTCTCCCTGTCTCAGGATTTCAGGCCTCCTCCACACTGGGGCAGTTACCACTCCCATGACACGGATAAGGTAGCACTTTATCTGCCCAGGGGCTTCAAGCCTCTGGCACATCAGAGCAATTGCATCTCTCAACATCACAGCTACCATGATTCCATGCCTAGGGATCCAGTAGCTTAGGTAGCCCTGTTTTCTGAGGCTGAGAAGATGCAGTGCCTTGCACTCCAGGGAATTAGAGTCTTGGCTGAGCTGTGTCACCCTGCCCTTCTAGCTGAACAGCCACAGCACCCTACCTACTGGAACTGTACTATCCCCGGCACTTGCGCTGCTGAGGTACTCTGCCTCTCCAGGGAGTACAGTCATCACTGCAGTGTTCCTTGCTCTCCAGGGCCCAAACCACAGAGGCATTTTGCCATTACTGGGGCCTTGTTGCTGCTGCACCTGAACTCCCAGAGCCTGGGCTACCACTGTGTCACATCATTCCAAGGACCAGAGTCAACACTGTGTGGTACCTCACCCCTGGAGCCTGAGCTGCTGCTGCGTCCTATTAGTTCCATGTACTGAATTCCAACTGTGCCCTGCTTCATGGAGTCTGAGCCTCCAGAGCAGCTCTTCTTCCCCAGAGCTGTACCAGTGCTGTCCCCTTTCCCCCAGAATAAGAATCATGGCTACATTCCAGCCTCCTGGGCCCAAATTGCTGGATTGCTGAATGGAAGAATGACATTCACTCATGCTTTGAATAGTAAATTTGGACCTTATATCCTAGTCAGTACAGTAGTTTTGCAAGACCCTAGGCCTATAAACCTGGCTCTACCTGAGCCCATAAACCTGGCTCCACAGCTGCTCCAAGCACTTTCCCCTTATGCCCTGGATTCTAGTGCCACAGTGGCTGCCTGTGAGCCATGTTAGACCTAACACCAAGAAAGATCACCTTAGCTAAGATGCCCCACTGTCAGGAAGACAAGAACAGGAGGATTCCTAATGCTTTTAACTGAGGTACCCATAGTCATCACTAATACTGATCACAACAAAAGAAGCTGCACAGAGACCACACCGCTGTTTCTGCATGTAATTAGAGCCACCCCACCATGCCCAATCATCATCCTCAGGCCCATCTGCAGGTAAAAGTGTTCCCTTACAAAACCACTCTGTAAAATCTGGAAGAGGTGACTGTGCCACCAGAAGCACAGATGTCTATGCAAGAACACAAGAAACAGGAAAAAGCAAGAAAACATGATGCCACAGAAAAAATGCAAAAATTCTTCAGTAACTGCCCCCAAAGAAGTGGACATTTATAAATTGCCTGAAAAGAAATTCAAAATATGATATTAAGCAGACTCAGAAAGATACAAAAGAATTCAAACAGGCAATTGAATAAAATGAAGGGAACTTCGTGATCAGAATGAGAAATTCAACAAAGAGATAGATATCACACAAAGAAAGAACTAAACAGAAATCTTGGAACTTAAGATTTTAATTAATGAAATAATACAATTGAAATAATCAATAATGAACCACATTAAGTAGGAATATAGCAGCTGTGATTGAAGGTAGTTCTTTCAAAATAACTCAGAGGAAAAAGAAGAATAAAGAATAAGAAAGGATGAAGATAGCCTACAGGACTTCTGAAACATCATTAAGTGAACAAATATTCACATTATGAAACTTCCAGAGAAAGACAGGACAGAGAAAGGAACATAAAGCTTATTTTAAAAAATATTTGCTGAAAACTTCCCAAGTGTGAGGAGAGATATGGACATCTAGATCCATGAAACTCAAAAGTCTCCATATAGACTCAACCCAAAGACATCCTCCATGAGGCACATTATAATCAAACTGTCAAGGTCAAAGACAAAAAGAGAATTTTTAAAACAATAAAAGTAAAGCATCGTGTTACACATTAGACTATCAAAATATTTTCAGGGGAAACCTTCAGATCAGGAAAGAATAAGACAATATATTCAAAATGCTGAATGAAAAAAAAGTCAGCCAAAAATTTAATAACCATCAAAGCTGTCCTTCAGAAATGAATGAGAAATAAGGTCTTTCACAGACAAACTAAAGTTGAGGGAATTCATTACCACTAGACCTGCCTTACAAGAATCCGAGTTTTTCAAGTGGAAACGAAATTTTGATCATTACTATCATAAATACATATGAAAGTATAAAACTGGTAGAGGCAAATACATAGTCAAATCCAGAGTATTTTAATACTGTAACGGTGCTGTGTAAATCACACTTATTTCTACTATGAAGGTTAAAAGTCAAAATGGTAAAATGTAACTAAAGCTACAAAATATTTGTTAAGGAGCACACAATCTAAAAAGCTATAAATTCTAGCATCAAAATCATAAATGATGGAAAAGTAAAAGTCTGGAGGTTTTTGTATGCAACAGAAGTTAAGTTGTCATCAGCTAAAAATAGTAGATTATATCTATAAGATGTTTTACGTAAACATCTACAGCAGATATACAAATGATAAAGCAAAAGAAATCAAAGCTTAGCATTACAGACAACTATCAAATCACAAAGGCAGACAACAAGAAATAAAAAAGAAAGGAACAAAGAACCCACAAAACAACTGGAAAACAGATAATAAAATGGTAATAATAGTACTTAACTATCAATATAGCCTTGAATGTAAATGGATTAAATTTTCCAGTCAAAAGACACAGAGTGGCCTGCCTGCAAGAGACTCACTTAAGCTTTAAGAATACATAGGCTGAAAGTAAAAGGATAGAAGAAAGTATGTTATGTAAATGGTAACTAAAAGAGAGCAGGAGTGGCTACATCTATGTCTGATAAAATAGAATTCAAGTCAAACACCGTCATAAAAGTCAGAGGTCATTATTTAATGTAAAAGGATGAATTCATCAAGAAGACATAACCATTATAAATATATATGCAATCAACATTGGAGCACCTAAATACACAATCAAATGTTAATGGAAATGAAAGGAGAAAGAGCAGATAGCAATAATAGTAAGATATTTCAATACCTCACCTTAAACAATAGATAAAACAGACACACTATTAATAAGAAAATGCTTGACTTGATTTGCGCTTTTGACAAAAGGGACCTAACAGACATAAATAGAATTTTCCATTCAACAACAATAGAGTGCACATTTTTCTCCAGCGCACATTAAATATTCTCCAGGACAGATCACATTCTGGCCACAAAACAAGTCTTAACAAATTTAAGAAGATTGAAATGATGTCTACCATTGTTTCAGACCAAAATGATATAAAACTAAAAACCAATAAAAGGAGAAATCTTGGTAAATTCACAGATAAGCAAAACTTGAACAACGTACTCTTAAATAATCAATGGATCAAAGAAGACATCAAAAGGAAATTTTAAAAATATTTTGAGACAAATGACAGTGGAAACACAAAGTGCCAAAACCTACAGAATGCACCAAAAAAAGCTCCAACTGGAGAATTTATAGTGATAAGTGCCCACATTTAAAAAGAAGATAGATCTCAGCTACATAGTCAACAACACACCTCAAGGAACTAGAAAAAGAAGAACAAGCTAAACCAAAATTAGCAGAAGGAAGAAAATAATAAAAATCAGAACAGAAATAAATAAAATAGAGAGCCAAAAAATGATAGAAAGTATCAATAAAACTAAGAGGTGGTTTTATGAAAAGATGAAATTGATAAGCTCTTAGCTAGTCTAAGAGAAAAGAGCGAAGATTCAAATAAAATAAAAGGTGAAAGTGGAGAAATTTACAACAGATGCCTCAGAAATAAAATGGGTCATAAGAAACTATTAAGTACAATTAAATGCCAACAATTGGATAACCTAGAGAAAAATGGATAAATTCCTTAAAAAAAAAATGCAATCTACCAAGACTGAGTCAGGAAGAAATAGAAAGTGTGAACAGACCAATAACAAATAGATATTGAAGAAGTAATTAAAATAATTCCAACAAAGGAAAGCCCAGGACAAGATGGCTTTACAGCAGAATTTTACCACTCAAAAAAGAATTAATATTAATACTTCCTGAACTATTATGAAAAATAGAACTAGAGAACATACTTCCAAACACATTTTATGAGACTAGTATTACCTTGATATCTAAGCTAAATAAAGACATCACAAGAACAAAAACTATAGGCTATTTTTTCTGATGAATATCGATGCAAATATCTTCAATAAAATATCGAATATTAGCAAACTGAATCCAACAACATATTAAAAAGATTATGTATCATGACAAAATGGAGAAATGAGATTTGTTTCTGTCATGCAAGGCTGGTTTAACATAGGCAAATCAATCAAGGTAATACACCATATTAACAGAATAAAATATTAAAAGTACATGAGTATCTCAGTTTAAATAGAAAAAGCATTTGACATAGTTTAACATCTTTTCTTGATAAAATGTCTCAACAGTTAAGTATAGAAGAAAAATTCCTTAACATAATAAAGGTCATTTATGAAAAGCCCACAGTTAAATTTTATAATCAATGGGGAAACACTAAAATCTTGACCTTGTACCAAGATTCAGTACAAGGCAAGGATGCCCACTTCTATTTAACATATTACAAGTACTGGCCAGGTGCATTGGCTCACACCTGTAATCCTAGCACTTTAGGAGGCCAAGGCAGGTAGATCACTTGACCAGGAGTTTGAGATCAGCCTGGCCAACGTGGCATAACCCTGTCTCTGCTAAAAAATATCAAAATAATAATAATAATAATAATGGCCAGTTATGGTGGCACATGCTTGTAATCCCAGCTACTTGGGAGGCTGAGGCATGAGAATTGCTTGAATAGGGAGGCAGGTGTTGCAGTAAGATGAGGTCGTGCCACCGCGCTCCAGCCTGGGTGACAGAGCGAGACCCTGTCTCAAAAAAAAAATATATATATATATATATGTGTGTGTGTGTGTGTGTGTGTGTGTGTGTGTGTATATGTGAGTATATATATGTGTGTGTATATATGTGTGTATATATATGTGTATATATATGTGTATATATGTGTATATATGTGTATATATGTGTGTATATATGTGTGTATGTAAATAAAACCAAAACATATATATATATGCGCACACAGACATATATATATGTTTTCATATATATTTTTTTCATATATATATATATATATATATATATATATATATATATATATATATATGAAGTACTAGCAAAAGCAATAAAATAAGTAAAAGTAATACAAATCAGAAAGGCCGGGCGCGGTGGCTCATGCCTGTAATCCCAGCACTTTGGGGGCCGAGGCGGGCGGATCACGAGATCAGGAGATCGAGACCATCCTGGCTGACAGGATGAAACCCCGTCTGTACTAAAAATACAAACAATCAGCCGGGCTTGGTGGTGGGCACCTGTATTCCCAGCTACTCGGGAGGCTGAGGCAGGAGAATGGCGTGAACCCGGGAGGCAGAGCTTGCAGTAAGCCAAGATCAGCCACTGCACTCCAGCCTGGGCAACAGAGCGAGACTCCTTCTCAAAAAAAAATAAAAAACAAATCAGAAAGGAAGAAATAAAATTGTAACTATTTACAGATGTTATGATGATTCTATATGTAGAAAACCCCAAAGATTCCACAAAAATCCTGTTAGACTAATAAATGAATCCAATGAAGTTGCAGGACACAAAATAAACACACAAAAATAAGTAGCATTGTTATAAGCAAGTAATGACCTAAGGGAGAAAGAAATTTTTAAGAAGTCCCATTTACAACAGAATAAAAAAATAAAATATCTAGAAATAAATTTAACCAAGGAGGTAAAACATCTGTACAATGAAAACTATAAAACATTGATTAAAGGAATTGAAGAAGACAAACAAATGGCATGATATCCTGTGTTCATGGATCAGAAAAAATAATATTGTTAAAGCAACATACAGATTCAATGCAATCTCTATCAAAATCCAAATGGCATTCTTCATAGAAATAAAACAAAATCCTAAAGTTTGTATGGAATTATAAAAAACTCCAGATATCCGAAAATGTTCTGGGAAAGACAAAACATAATAAATATTGGCAAGAATGTGAAGAAAAGGAAACTCTTGTGCACTGTTTGTGGGAATATAGATTGGTACAGTCATTCTGAAAAATAATATGGAGATTTCTAAAGAAATTAAAAATAGAACTACATATTATCCAGCAATCCCTCTTCTGGATATTTATCCAAAGAAATGTAAAGATATCTGCACTCCAATGTTCATTGCAGCATTTTTCACAATACCCAAAATATGGAAACAATCTAAGTGTCCATCAGTAGGCAAATGGGTAAAGAAACAAAATTATGGTACATATATACAATGGAGTATTATTTGTCCCTAAAAAGGAACAAGATGTTGCTATTTGCAAGAACATGAATAAGCCTGGAGGTCATTATGAAATATGAATAATGACATAATGAAATTTCATATGTCTGGCATATGAAATATGCCAGGCACAGAAAGGAAAAATACTGCATTATCTTACTTATAAGTGGCATCTAAAATTTTTAAAAAATGAAATGTACAGAGATAAAGAAAAAAACAGTGGCTATCAGAGGCTAGGAGGAAATGAGGATATAAAAGTCAGAGGATGCAAAGTAGCAGAAATTTTTTAGAACAAGTTGAGAGATCTAATGAACAACATGAGGACTATAGGTAATTAAATTATATTGTATACAGGATCCATGCTAAATGAGAAGGTTTTAGATGGTCTTACCACGAAAACAAAACAATGGGTAACTATGTGAAATGATGGATATAGGGCTTTGTAACAGTCAGGGTTTGAAAAAAAAAAACAAAACACCAACAATGAAAAACAATTCTGCAACTCAGCAGTTGTAGCAAGTGACTTGGCATCTTTGAACCACAGTGTTTTTGTGTGTAAAATGGGTACAATTACATCAACCTTGCAGGTGTGTTGTTATATAAACCTAGCAAAATAAATACTGGCTATCATTATTAATAGTAGAATTTATTGATCATTTCTTTAAAGGGATCTCTTAGGTCCTGGCTCTTATGGCAAACTTTTCCATGTAAAGTGAGCTCCCAATTTCTGCCCTATAATATATCTTTTAGGGGCATATTGAACTTGTAGTAATTCACTGACTTGAAATGCAGAGTATTGTGCCTGCTATTGAAGGACACCCATAATTGAATTTGATTCATATCTTATAAAGTATTGATCATTTCAGAGAAAAGAAGACATCCACATATATAGAAATATGCAAGGTAGATTGTACTAAATATCTCAGGATAGTTTTTAAACATACTGACTTAGAAGGGCTGGTAAAATATCCAGGTAGAGATGTCTATCAAGAATTTGAAAATGTAGGACTGGTTCTAAGGAATGAGATGCATGCTGGAAGGTAGAGATGAGGTAACTATTCACTTGATGGCATGTTAGTCTGCTTTTGCATTGCTCTAAAGAAATACCTGAGGCTGTGTAATTTATAAAGAAAAGTGGTTTGTTTTGGTTCATGATTCTGCAGAGTGTACAGGAAGCAAGGTGCTGTCATCTGCTTCTGATGAGGCCTCAGGAAGCTTATATTTATGGTAGAAGGCAAGAGGGTGCTGGTGTATCATATGGAAGGAGTGAGAGCCAGAGAAAGAGCGGGGAGGTGCCACAGGATTTTAAACAACCAAACCTTGTGTGAACTCACTCATTACCATGAGGAGGGCACCATGCCATTTATGAAGAATCCACCCTCATAACCCAAACACCTCCCACCAGATCCCATCTCCAACATTGGGGATTACATTTCAACAAGAGATTTGGAGGGGACAAACATCTAAACCATATCAGATGGTATCCTTGAAGCCATGGGATTCATAGTCTGAAAGGAAAGTGAAGTGAGGAAAAGGGAAGAGGAAGAAGGATAAGTAAAATGTTATGGAGCACCTCTACTGAGGCAGACCTCAAACAGTGCCAGTGCCCAGATCGTGTGCTTCCCCAGGGAGAGAAGTGAGACACAGATGACTGCAAAGCCACTAGAGATAGGCCTACTACTATTTCACTAAGTGGAACAAAGTAAAACAAATTTTAAGCATAAAATAAACATTTTATTTATATTAATGTCAAAGATCAATTTAGCGTTATTTTTCTATTTAGTAGAAGGTTGCCTGGTGAGTGGTCAACTACAAATGTCAAATAACTTGAATTTGGGAAAAAAATATTTTAAGCCAACATACTTTCTCAAATAGAGGGGGAAAAACTAGTTAAGTCTAAACTATGTATGTGTTAGCATTCTATGTATCTGGGATAATTTTTTGGTTTTTCCAGTTGGAATATTCATATGGAGATATTTTTAAAGACAGATAAGAGTGCCATTAAAAAGTTTGCCTTCAGCAAAAAGGTTGCAGAGGTGAGACATACTCAAGATTGCCTGAAAAGCATAAAGACAAATGAGAACAAATTATTATGTAGTCATCAGAGTCTACTGTCCTCTCTTGGTTTTCCAATTTGTGGTTATCTATTGGGTTAAACAGTTTTAAAATGGCTGAATTGGAAACCATGGGCTGTACTTGTGTTTATTTTTAAAAGGTTTGTTTCTAGGAATAATTTCTGTACTTTGGTACAATAACTCAATTTTTCTCCTTGTGATTTTCTACAATCATCACAGTTCCTGTTTGTTGGAGACTATCCCTGAAGCAGAGCATGGCTTTGGCAGTGATAATCATAATTTATAGAGAAATGACCTGTTTTTACACCCAACTCAAAGAGCTGTCATTTTAAGAAAAACATTTATTATTGTTCAATTGTTGTTTAACTTGTCTTATTATTGAACATGGTCTTATTTTACCCAATTATTTTTAACAAAAAAAGGAAAACTTGACTAGTAGAATGCATGGTTGGTTTTGAAATTAGAACAAACTTGGTCCTAGGGCTACTTCTGAGATATTAAGCCATCTTGAGGCTGGCTGAGAGACTTGTCAATCTGAAATAATAAAAAGGATCAGAACCCAGTTTAAAAGCTGAGAATGGTCATTCAGGTAACACAGACTCCAAAGGAATAGAGTTAGAAATCAAAGAAAATTAATAAGATTATGTTTCCTATATGAGACTTATGTGTTATAGCAATTTGATTGGCTACAAGCTTGTTTTATTTTCCTTTTCCAATTAAAAAGAATATATTTAACATACCATCTTAGATGATGTGGTAGTCATGAGGCCTTTGTGTAAAAGAAGTAAGAAGGAAGTTAATCTATGATGAAGATCAACAGCGGAGAGGGACAGGGTCTTCTTCTAGTGTCCTATACTCTTTCACAACATTTTACAGAACAATGTAGGTAAAGAAAAAGTTTGTCTATTATCAGAGCAACAAAGGTTACAGCTGCCTAGTTATAGCTGCCTACCATGTGACTCAGGTCCCATAATCTCATTCCTTTAAGGAACAAAATAATTTAAAATTTCAACAGCTTCGATTTTGAATGACTTATTTTTACAATCTAAAGTATAACAATTAAGATGCTCCTCATTGTTTTGAAGCACTTTATTTTCTAACTTAGTGTACTCCAAAACATGTTTTTACTTGTTAATTTATATATGACTAATTGGAGAACAGATTTGCGGTGGATTTTATAGTTCTAAGATACACTTAGGATGATGAAACATAGACTGAATGACCTGAACCAAATGAAAGTTAAGCCTTGAGAGATACAGATCTATGCTTTAACTAAATGGTTTCAAAATATTCAATGTGTCATTTACTCATCCCACTCAGCAAAAATAAGATATATTGAGCCCCTGTTGTGTGCATTGTTCATGTCCTCATGAATCATTTAGTCTGTGGAGTGACATATGTTAAGCAAATACATACTTAATTATGATTGTGATCCTACTTCAGAGAAATAATGGAATGTGCAAAGGGCATGTAACAGAGACACCTGACAGGGCCTGTCTGGGAGGGCATGATCAGAGAAGACTTACCTGAGGAAGCAACATCTAAACTGAGGTTTGAAGAATGAGTAGAAGCTGGACAGGGGATGGAGGAGGGGAAAGATAAGCCTTTGTGAGGTAACTAAGGATGGAGAAACCTTAGTACCTTTGGAGAATTCTAAGAAAGCCAGTGTGGCTGAAGCGCAGTGACAAGATGAGGCTGAAGGTGGCTGGGGACCAGTCACACAGGATCTTGTATTATGTGACTACGTTTCCTAGGGAGACAAGAAATAAAATGCAGACACATGCTCGACAATGTTAGCAACAATTGCAATGAAAATAGCATTGTTGAGTATTTACTCTGTGTTGAGCTCTGTCCTGGGAATTTTACACGTATCTTTGCATTTAATTTTCACAACAACCTACAAGGTAGCTATTTATTATGTTCCCATTATATTAAAAGGATAAGTGTATTAACTTACAGACAATGTTCGACTTTAAATTTACGTGGCCAGTCAGTGATAAAGCCAGGATTGGAACCAAGAGTTTCCTAACATCAGAATCTGCCCTCTGAATACACCTGTAGGTGAATTAGCTGTAATAATTATTTCAACCTCTTTGTGTTTAGTAAGTATTGTTTTTATTTACTTCTTAGGCAAAGGCTTGGCAAAAGATACAAAAGATACCTTTTCCTCCTTATGTGCTTTCATCTAGAAAAGCAAAATGAGAATTCGCTTGCCTCTCAATTTGTAGAGATGTTTTATATGGCATCTGGGCTGAGAATGAATGGGAAAAAGTTAGGATTTTTAGACCACAAATTCTTTGCACTATTTCACTTAAAACACCAAATACAGTAAGTGACTGAGAATAATTTACCCATCCAGATGCTGGATGAAGCTGAGACATAACATTTGGACAAACTTCCTCAATACGTTGGAGACCCTAATGGAGCCTATTCTGAAACTTCATAATATGGTTCAGAAGAGGGTTTAGAGTCTAGCACAGCATGATTGAGTTGAAACTCAGCTACTTATTAGCTGTGGGATTTTAGCAGATTAATTAAACTCCCTGAATCTTTGCTTCTCATCCATATGTAAAGATAGTGAGAACAATAAATAAGGGTTTCATTGATACCTACTTCACATGAGTGTTGTGAAGTTTAACTGAGATAATGTATATTCAAAGTTTAGTAATTGCTTGTCAGTCATTATTAATTAACTTTTTGGAGAAAATGAATACCAAGTAGTTTCAAATTTTAAGTCACTCACAAAAATAGGTCAATATGATGTATAATGCCCTAAATTATATAGCTAAAAAGGGCATGAAACATTAAATAGAAAAATTGAATAATCCATCTCAAATATAAAAATATTTTTTACAAAGATAAAAAAAATCCAAGGGCAGTAGCCTTAAACAGGTTATATGTCTCCAATAATGTCTTATTTATCTTTATCTTTATAAGGTCAACACTTAATGCTATGCTGGAAAATACATATCTCTCAATAATTGCTTGTGAAGTGAATGGATGAATAATAAATACAATAATTAATAAGTGGATGGATGAATATAGCTTCATATATTGAGTGGTGTAAGTGTAAATTCAGTGACTGTCCAATGCAATAATCACTTACTTCAAACTGAAACTAGTAAAGAGAAAGCAATGTTGGAAGATAATCGGAAAGCAAAGCAAAAAGATAAAACCTCCATTAGAATCAGCAAGAAAAAAAGATGAAGAATCCCAATGCAATTATTCCTGACTATAAAGATATACTTTTAAAAGAATGAATATTTAATTTCAACTTAATGGACATACCTGTGACCTAAATGATCTTTCGTAAAGGGCAGCTCTGCATTCACGCACACCTAAGCCTAGAATGGACACCTTCAGAAGCCATTTTAGAAGTCTGTTCTAAACAATGCACATTTCCAGAAGATGAGGTATTTGCAAATCCTTCAATTCATATATGCCACTTAGTCATATTTAGTTTTCCAGAAATTTCCATTATGCACTCTTGCTATCCAAATCAAGACTTTTAAAATACATTTGCCCTTCACTCCATCCTTCAAAAATCATGTGTTTAAATTTTGGAGAGAAAACAAATCAGATGCAAATGATTGGCTGTTTGGGGAATCAAATCAAAATGTATTAAAGTTGAATTAATTAATACAGAATAGATATTAACAAATGTGGCCATGAGGGTGTGTATGATACATGCTGTCATCGGAACTTTAATTTCCAGTAAAAGGCACACACATAAGTTGAGAATGCTATTTATGGACTTTCCTTCACATATATATATATATATATATATATATGTATATATACATGAAGAATACATATGTGTGTGTATATATATACATATGCAAACTTATAGTATTTATATATAGACAAACTTATACGGTATTGAGAACACAATGTCTTAAGAATACATATGTGTGTATATGAGGGATCTAGCAATTGGAAGTTAAGAGCAGACTTTGGTTTATTATATTTGCAGAAGGCTGAGGGTAAGATTATACTAAAATTTAGAAGAGCTGTCTTTACATGGCTCAATATTTTTCCATTCTGTCTTTGTCAAGAAAGCCATGAAAAAGAATCAGTAAAAAGTTGGTTTAATGCAATGCAATAAGAATAAAGTATAGAGAAACTTGGCTGCATGTATTAACAATGAACACAAGCTGGATTTGGGCCCTCTTCACATAATCCTTTGTTGGTTTAGATACAGTACTTGGCATTTATCAACATGTGTGTTAACAATGAACTGTTTTGTTTATATTTGTAGGGAATGTAAGACCAAGGAAAGCAGGTGAAGAACAGCGTGTTCATAAAGCACAAAAGGAATAAAGATGATTAAGAAGTCATTTCAAAGAATATTTGTAACAATACCCACAATATACCAGTGCACCTGTGGGCATTTATCTTTATAAGACTATAATGTTTATTATCATGATACCTCTATCCTTCACAAGAAATGTGAAAATTGAAGTAGCTCTTAATGGAAAGGTAAAACTACTCTTAAACAACAATAAAAGGCCAATGTGTCCCACATAAATCCCTCCTTCATTCTACAGTTCCTAGAATTCATGAGTATTTTCTCCTCTTGCTTCATACAGTGTATATAGACAAGCATACACACATGTACTATAGCATGTATATATATATGCATACTCTAAATATACTGTATATACACATATATGCTTGATGTGTAACTAATAAGATTATATATTCTTCCTGGGCAAATAGTGTCTTCTATTCATTTTGCACAACATATTTTCTTCTTTCTTCTAATACTCCATATTCTGTTTCATATTAGATAAGCCCTAAATGTGTTTGGATGAACAAATAAATGAAGGAATGCATAAACATGTTTTTAGACTGCTAGATGATAAGCCCCTTGGAGGGTAGGAAACTTTTCCCAACTTTGCGCATTAATTGTGACAAAAGAGTGCCCTCCAGAAACAAACTCTCCAAAGTAAACAATCTCTGAAGATGTGTTGCCATTACCTCTTCTCAAGTCCCAAACTACTGAGACTAGACTTGGTGTCAGTGTCTTTCTCAGTCACAAGCCACTTCAGTTGCTTCCCAGTCAATTATGAGTACCTGTTTTTGAGTCATCTCTGGTACACAGCAGTGAATGTTTGCCAAATTGTAGATGTCATCTACCATTTCCCATTAAAACAGAAACCAAAATACAGAGAAAAAGTGAGACAAATGCAAAAACGCAATATTGTGGTTTCTATTGCTTTAAGTGGGAACACTGGAAGGGTCTTTATTTTATATGCTTTTTCCTTGCTTCCATAGGTACTAAGCATGATGTGCATTTATTTTAACATTTATTCAGATTGACAATCACCAAACGGCTCCAGCCAAATATTTAACCAGATTGTTTGCCACATCCCCATCACACTGATAATAGAGAGCCACAGGCCTGGAACAGAAAGCAAAATGAGGGAAGAGGATGACATTTCCAGTTACTGCATTTCTCAGGGACTAAAATGAATATCAGGCCTTTTGGATGAATGTAAGTACTTAGAGTTACCTCTTTCACAGGAATAAAGGATCGCTCTTTAGGCCTTGCACTGGAAATGCCTTTATTTCCTCCCATATATCAAGAAAATTTAGTTATGGTTATATGATGTAAACAGTAAGTAGGAGGAGTAACAGTCATAATAACAACGTTGGAGATCATGATTCCATATAGACAATTGTCACCAAAATTAGACTTAACTAAAATTTATATTAATAAACTGCCTTTCACTGTATTAGAAAAAACTAATATTAATATCAACTATATTTTATTTTGAGTATTTTTGTAAAGTGAATCCTCACAACATATTCTTTGTGTAAATGTGGGTTTTCATATATTGCTTTTTTCCCAAAGTAGCCACTAAAATATTGCTTTTTCTTTCTGTTTTTGTATTTTTAATTGATATAGCACAGTTGTACATATTTTGGGGGTACATATGATATTTTGATACATGTATACAATGTGTAATAATCAAGTCAGAGAAATTGGGATATCCATCACCTCAATTTTGACTATAATTCTTCTAGCTATTTTGAAATATACAAAAATTACTATTAACTATAATTTCCATACTGTACTATTGAATACTATAAGTTGTTCCTTCTATCTAACTTGGAAATCCCTTTTTATTTCATATTTGTGGCTACTACAGCTCAAGTGGTAAACTCAGTCAAACATGGCCTCGTGACTGTATTATGTACCAGAGTTTTAACTAGGAAAGCTGCTACGTTTCAGCCCTGCATCTTTGAATCTTAAAAAAAAAAAAAATAGTGTGCATTTGTAACAAAGTCTATTGTTAAAATGATCTGATATGTAAATAAGCATATCAGCTAAAAAAGATTTAACAGACTGCATAAATACAGAAAGCACTTAAGACTATTCAAAAATCATGAAAACTGGGGGCGTTATCTTCAGAAAAAGAAGGCAAAGCCTTCAAGTGGGCACTGGTCTTTATTTTTAAGTTCATTGCTCATAAACATTGGTATTAATTAGCACTTCTTATAGCATCTATAGCATCTTATCACATTACACTGTAATATTTGAATCTCTGTTTCTCCTGTTAGAACCTCCATAATAAGAAATGTATCTTAGGCATTTTTCCAGCCCCAGCATTGAGGATACTGCCAGGAACCCCTGGGAGGTGATTGAATTTTCCCTTGTAATTGAGTAAATAAATGAGGATTGCATCTGTGAATAGATTTCCACTCTCCAAGCTTTAGTCCTCCATGCATTAAAAACTCAATGGTAGCCCATGAGATATAGTTGCACATAAGCAGGGGTGTTCCTGGTACAACAGGTTACAATTGTAGGCAGGTATGGGTGGAGGAATAAGAAAGTTTTGTTTTGATTTGATTTACTGTTCAGATACCCTTGCAACATAAAGAAATTAGCTAGATTCATTGGAATTTTTTTTTTCAGTTGCTTTTTAGACAGTCAGGGAGTTCATATGTCTGTGAAACTACATATAAAAGGATGGAGCTTTCCAGATACTTGGGAGAAATACAGGCTTCTTTCACTAGTGCTGACTTAGAATCTTGCACATACAAACTAAAAGGGAAACTAGTCTCCAATTTCTAGGTGCTTAGTGACTCCAAACCAGGGAAAAGTAAAATTTAAAAATATAAATGGGGAAGTGTTTATCATTGTAGAGCACCATATTCCATTGGGGAAATCTCTGCTCAGGCTTCATTGATTTTTAGGCATTCCCTATATTTTCATTACTTAACTTTGGTAGATCTTGGAAAAGTTTTAACTTTTTTGGTTGCCTGACACCTGAGGCTGGGGTGGAACCTGCTATTTATCTTAATCTAGATTCTTATCCCTCACACTTCATCTCTTATTTGTGTTGGATCACAGTTGACTTCAAAGGAGACTTTGGATGAAAAAGAGATACAGACTGGTGGAAAAAATAAAGGATAACTGGATATCTGGTATTGTAAAGAAAATTTCCCCGAACTTTACATAAAAACAGGAATTTCTGTGTTTTTACACAAAATCTGGATTTAAGCCATTTAGGTGTATTAATAAAGTATCCTTTTCTGCCCTCACCAAGAAAATAAATTTCCCCAATGACTTTTAACAGACATTGAATCCAACTATTCATAGGGGGAAAATCTGGGAACAAAGGGAATAATTGTCTCTTTTTCGTCTTCTGAAATGTATGAAATCGAGAGTTATCCTGATTATATACTCTCATTTCACCAGTCTTGTACTGATGTTATTGGTATAAAAGTGCACTGCATATTTTTTCCAATTAGTTCATCTAATATATAACATATAAGCCACAAAGAGAATATATTTATTTTTGTTAATGGCTATATCCTGCCAATTGTCTACATTAATTTGAGATAATTACAAGATCTCCACTTCAATTGGACATATTTTCTTACAGCTGGGATTATGGCTGTTCTGCATATATTTGCATGCTCTGATAACTTCAGTCCAATGTCTAACAGCCCATATAATTAGATGAACTGGGGATGTATCCAGCAAAATGTGTCACTTTATTTGACCAGATGTCCAAAAGTTCACTTTCTTTTTCTTTCTATTCTATGAATGCTGCAGTGAGTAATTTCTATGCATATTGTTCTGAACCATAGTTTGGGGATTTCTTATTTGTTAATTGAGACTCTACATTATCCAGAATGAGATTGCCACATTTCTATGAGAAAGGAGACTATACTGTCTGGCAAAAGATCACATCAACTTGGTAAATGACATCTTGATCTCAGCGGAGTATGATCTCCTTTCTTGGATGATACTGGACTTCCAAAAACCATTTGAATGCACCACTGCTTTGTGGGATTAGGTCTGTGAACATAGTTTATGCTGTCTTAGGAGGATCCTGGAAATACAGTTAAATACAGTTCTTTCTTCCTCCCCACGGTTCAACTACCACTTTATAAAACAGAAGTGAAAACTTAACGCGTGTGGGTGGAGTGATGAGTAACAATTATAACCTGGCCAACCTGCTTTTGGCAGAGAGTATCTGGGAGAATATGATCTGCGTTTTGGAGAGGGGAGTGATGCTGCCTTACTCCTATCTGAGGTAGTTCCCAGTGCTATGGCATCTACCTGTGTGTATTGATACAGACAAGCTAGTAAAATCAGCCCAAACCACTTCTGGCTTGTGTCTGCCTCTAGATAAGGCACTCACACTCTAGACATGTAAGAGTGGGGGAAATAAGGTGCCTCACCAGATAACATCACCTGGAGAAAGGCTATCTGTGCAATAGCAGCATTGTGCTCTCTTAATGTTGAAGATTTCTGTCCCCGATAAAAAGGACATAAGAGATTCTTATCTCTACTTTCCTCCACCCTTTCTTCATGACTCTTTTCGGTACCTAGAATTCCTGGATAACTTGTTCTCTGAATGAATCAAATATCATAACATGTATTATGACAAACTGGTAGCATTTTAAAAGACTGATCATCTTCAATGTTGGCAAGGGGTACACTTTACATTGTTACTAGAATTCAAAATGATGCAACCTTGGGGGTTGGGAGCAATTTGGCATTACGTCTCAAGATGTAAAGTGTGAACACCTTAGACATGGCCCTCGGAATTGCCCACTAGCAGTGGGGTGCTAGAGCCAGCTTCAAGCCAGCAGAGCCGATTTTACACATTTTGAGTCACTTCTAGGTCATCTGTCATGAGAGTGTAAAGATACATATACTATTAGCTAATATTTACTGAACACTTTCTGTGTGCCAGGTATTGTTTTAAGCATGTATGTTAATTTTCTTATTCCTTATGACAGTACGAGATACTATTACTATCAATCTCAATTTGCAGATTATGAAATTCAGGTAAGAAGAGGATAAATAACTTGCTTAAAGTCACACAGATAGTCAGTGGCTGGCCAGGATTTGAACTCAAATAATCTGTCCCCCAAGGAATCACCAAAATTAACCACATACCTCCTCCTTATGAAGTTGCATATTTCAGCATATTTGTAATAGTGGAAGAATATAAAACCATCTAACAGCAGCACTTTGAAGCTATTTCTGGGATTTTTAAATAGCTATTAAAAGGAACTATACAGATTTAAATGAGCTCATTGAAAAAATACCATTATGTGTCTTAATTGAAAAATCAAGGCTTAAACTATATATAATATGATCTCATTTTTGTATAACATTACAAAAAACACATTAAAAATGACAATAAAAGCCCTAATTATCTGAATACCAATAGGTATAAACCTTGAATGATATATGCCAAATTATTAAAAGTGGTTGATGCTAAGTTGTGTAATAGTAGGTGAGAAGGAGGGAAATAGTGCTTTTACTTGGTAGCTCTCTATATTGTTTTATTTTTATTTCCATTAGAATTTACTTTTGGAATTAAAAAAAAGAATGAAAACATATCCCGGGAGAGTCTACATGTCATTACTCAAACACTGAACTATCTGATGCCACATTTGAACCAGCACAAGGTGAGATTTCTGTATCTCAGACACCCTCCTGAAGGCCATCCCAGAGAACCGGCATTGGTGTTGATGATTGCTCACAAGTCTTTCCCAAGACTCTCAACAGCACAATGCTAGATAAAGATGCGGGCTGCCCTGTCCTCACCCCTATATCCTTCTCAGTTATTTTGAATAATTTTAAAGCCAGGTAAGAACACTGATTACTCACAACAGCAGTGAGCAGAAACAGGCAGAAATGAAATTTCTGAAGAAGATCTTACATGACTGCTGGTTAGGCTCCACCTGTGACTTTTGACCTCTGTCAAGTGGTGCTTACTCCAGAATGACTGACTGTAGTTACAGCCCCAGTACGAGCAGGCCTACTAGATATCTACAAGTACTTCTTGTCAGATCTTTCTCAAAAACTCGATTTTTCAGCTAAATGACTAACTTGGTTTTGCACAGTGATATGGTTTGGATGTGTGCCCTCTCCAAATTTCATGTTGAAATATGATCTCCAATGCTGGAGGTGGGGCCTCATGTGAGGTGTTGGATCATGGGGACAGATCCTTCATGAATGACTTAGCCTCATCACTTTGGTGATGAGTGAGTTCTCACTCTATTAGTTCGTGGGGGATCTAGTTGTTTAAAGGAGCCTGAAATCTTTCTTGTTTCCTCTCTTGCCACGTTACACATCTGCTCCCACTCCCATCCTCTCACCCTCATTGCCTTCCACCATGAGTGGAAGCTTCCTGAGGCCTCCCAGAAGCAGATGCTAGTGCTACGCTTCTTGTACAATCTGCAAAACTGTGAGCCAAATTAACTTTTTTTCTTTATAAATTACTCAGTTTCAGATATCCTTTTATAGCAAGGCAAAACAGACTAACACACACACGAAAAGACCTCAGGAGTGCCCTCAGGAAGGGGTGTGCTGGAGCCAGCTCGGATTGGCTTGCTAAAGGGGGTTGTGCTTACTTCTTCCCAACTGTAAGCTTTGTGAACTCACCACAGTAGCTTGAAATCAGCTATAGTGGAAGTATTTACACCAGGGAAATCAGTAAATGCCATAAATCAAGGCTCCTCCAGTAAGCTGTTAAATATTTGTCTGCACACCATTGCCCTCAAAGGGTTCTACATTATTAACACAGGAACTTTGTAAGTAGTCTAAACGCTTCAAGACTACACCGTCTACCCTGAGAAATTCAGAATGTTTGATCCTTACTCTCCCTCTCATAAAGGAGCAGTCACACAGAAATAGATGAAACACAAGTATCGCTTGTCCAGGAAGACAGTGATTATTCTCCAGAAGGCTCAGAAATAGCACCAGAAGAACTGTAAGCCTAATTCTTATGTTGCAGTTCCCTCCACCATTCCCTACAGAGCCCCCACCCCTAAAATGGCAGAGAAAGAAAAATATTTATCATCATGACCTGCATGGTAAATGAACTTGGTGGGGGAGAAGAAACTGCCAAGGTAAATCCCAAGCAAACTCATCTCTGCATACCTGAACCCTGTCCTGTTGAGGTCCTCTCACACCCTGGACAGAAGTCTCACTCAGAATAATTCTTCCTGAGCTTTTTATTACTCTTTGTTCAAAGTTAGTTATAGAGGTTTAGCTGGCCTTTATTGTGGAGAAATCTTCTGTTTATTCCTAGGGCAAATCTTGAAGCAGCAACAGCAACAAACTCTGCATTTTTTCCTTACTGTATTTAATGAGAAGTAAACAACTTTTAAGCAGTGACAGCTACTATACCAGCAGCGCTTCTTGCCAAACCTGTCTGGGAACACAGCCTGAAGGGATTCTAACTCCAACACACCTCTTCACCTGGCACAAAGCTTCCATTGCCAGAGATGCTCCACACCTCACAGTCTTTATCCAGTCAGTCTAAAAAACCATAATACCTACCCCTAGACCACTGGGGCAGATAACACGAGAGTAACAGTTTCTGAGTAGAAAGGGTCTCAAGTCATCTTGCCAACCACCTCCTTTTATGGACAAATAAACTAACAAAGAGATGTTTGATGATTTGCCCAAAATCACATAGTGAAGTAGCAGAGCCACAACCAGGATGCAGGACTTTCTCACTGCAAAGCTGGTGCTTCTTCTGATCATGAAGCTGTAATAGGTAAAACCTTCATCATCTTTCAAACTCTGGAAAAGTGGCACATATTGTTCCTTGGACCCCAGTTAGGTATCATGCCTGCCTACTCCGAACCATCCTTATATCTGCATATATTTATGATGCTCTATCTTGTATTAAAATCACTAGTCTTCTTCTTATCGTTTTCCTTCCCACTGGAATATATATTTCTTGGGCTGAAACCAGGTCTTCCTTTCACGTTTCCTCAGCAGCAACTAGCTTAGTGCCTTGTACTTGGTGGGTACTTAATAAATATTTGCTGAATGGGATTGGATTGACCTGAGCTTTGAGTTGGTTTTTTACTGCAGTGGCTCTCAATTTTGCATGCATGTAAAAAGCAACTCAAAAGCTTATTAAAATGTGGATTCCTGGGATTCTGATTCCATAGTTTAGTGAGGGTGCCAGGAACCTGTGTTTTCAAATAGCCAACAAGTAATTCTGAAGCATGGATCTATTTATGCTCTTGTTCCAAGTCTTTCTTACGATAAAATATGGTTGTGATTGTTGGCCAATATTAGGGATGTCACTGAGTGCAGAAAGCATGGGAAAGATCCAAACAGGGCTGGATGCTACAGTCTTAGATGCATTAACAAAAATATCTAACACAAAAGTTCTCAAATTGACTATAGGGAAAAAAATCTAATGTTCTGTTAGGTGCCATCTTCACCAAACGTCTCTACTCCCCAAACTGAGATAAGGTTCTCTAGGAGTAGAGAAGGTGGGACAAAGAAAGGATTTCTTTGTCAATTGAAGTCAACGTAGAAGTCACAACTTCAAAGAGTAGACAGGCATATTAGAAAGAAATAGAGCTTAAACAAAGACTCATTACTAGACTAACAATCTGCAACCTGGTATGCTCAATTGGTTAATGTTTGTAAAGTGCTTTGATCTTATAAAGCAGTGAGATAATCCCAGTCCTTGTTTACCAAGTGCCTTTCTTCCCAAGAGCTCAAAGTGATTTACAGGCAATGAGCCCAATTCTTTGCTTGCCAGTTCAGAGGGACACTCAGATTTAATGGGCATTGGTAGTTGCTTTGGAGCCATACTATAGAAGGGCACTGAGGGGTATAGTGATGGTCAAGGGTGGGGGAAGATCACAGACCCTTGTCAAGTTCCAGGAGGTATGGCTGATCCTCTACACTCACTGATCAACTGTGTGGGGTGCTATCATAGCATTTATCATGCTGTAGTGTAGTGTAAACATTTATTTATATGTCTGCCTTCTGAACTAGATTATGAGTTACTTCGGCAGAGAAACTGGGTCTTTTAACTTTGCATGATGTTTCCTTGCCCAGCTCCCCAACCTTAACTCATACAGCTTTCTCCATCCTTCACCAAGAGCTAGCCAAACTGATCTTTCTGTTTCTTAAGCATACCAAGTTTGATCTCTCCTTTGGCCCTTTTGTACAAAGACACCTTCTCATCATTCAAATTTCAACTCAGCTGTCACCTTCTCAGGTGACCTTGACCACTCTTATCTAAATGTGTCACTCCCTAGTCACTATCACATTACTCTGTTTTATTGCTGTTCTATTTTCTTCATAGTGTTTTTCTGACATTATCTCTTATTTTTTATTTTATACTACTCATTTACTTTTTGATATCCTGACATCATCTCATCATTTTGGGAGGAGAGGTGGCTATCTTCATTTTTTTTTTCTCTTACTTACCTCGGTTTTATTCCTTCTACAATCGTCTGTAAACTTCTTAAGAGTAGGGGCTTTATCTACCTTCTTCACCATTATACCTATAGTACTTAGGAGATTTTCAGTGGTCAATGAAAAGTTGTTGATTGAAATGTTGGTTGTTTCAGTATCTTGTACAGTGCTCAATGGATACCTATTAAGTGCATAAATGCACAAATAAATTAAAGACTTAGAAGATGGGCTGATGCTTCAGGATAAATTCCTTACTCTACTAAATTGTTGGTTGGCCCTTTTCTTCATAAAGTGTGTCAGGATTATATTAATTTAATAATGCTATATATATTTATATACTACATTATAATTTACCAAGCACTTTCACATATATTATCTAATTAAATATTGTCAACAAGATATTCATATGTATAGGCAGCTATTAAGAATTCAAATACTGCTAATAAAGGTCACATAGATACTATAAAGAAATGAAGTATACCAAGTGGGACTCTGAAGTAGAGAAAGCAAGAACTAACTAAAGGGGACTCAGGCTAACAACTACCATAATTTAATGAGGACCCACATTCCCAAATTGTTCTATTTAAAACAAATAATTAACCAAAGTTTCATGTTTTCATGTAATTTTTTTTAAAAGTTTAAATTTTGGCAAGTAATCCTATAATCAGCTCTCCACAGAAAGCAGGTTTGTAGACCAAATTCAGCTAGTGGACCATGATTTTGCCACTTCTGGTATAAACTAACAATCTGATTCTTTGCTATCTCTTAGCCAAGAGCCCTCAAACTTGATGATTTCTTTTTTTATCTTTTATCTCCCTCTTTCTTTCACATTTCTATTGCTTCTCCCTAGTGCACACTTTTAAAATTTTACATCTATATGATTTCGATATTGCACTGATTGAACCGCTGCCTCCAGAAAGCGCCACTCAATAGGTTCTAAGTGCGTATTGATAGATTTAACCCCGTAACATCCTGTCATTCCTCTTCTCTGAATACTCCAATTATTTACCCTCAAATGCTCGGGCTCCTCTGTTTACCAGCTGTGAAACCCATGGGCAAGTTATTTAACATAATTTATTATTCTGTCAAAAAGAGGCTGATTAACAGTACCTAACTTACAGCTTGTCATGAAGATTAGAGGAGTTAGTTAACGCATATAAAGGGATAGTCACAGTCCCTAGCATGAAATAGGAAACCACCAAATGGTAGCTCTTCTTATTTTCTTATTAAAACAATGGTTATAATATTAAGCAAAAATGCCTTAGCTAAGATCTTGAATTCTGGTCCAGCACTATCTTTCTATCCTAGTTATCCCTACTCTTGACATTTCCATCTTTACTTTTCCAAATTTGAATCGCAAGATTCAAATTTCCTCACCTAGACTGTTATTTTTTCTAATTGAGAATTTGATGAGAACAGTGTTACTGACGATGTTGATTTGCTCACTTCTCCATTTTCTCTCTTTCTTCTGAAATTCTTTAATTCTCTATATTACTTTCTTTTTTTTTTTTTTTTTTTTTTTTTTTTCTGAGATGGAGTTTTGCTCTTATGCCCAGGCTGAAGTGAAGTGGCGTGATCTCGGCTCACAGCAAGCTCCACCCTCCAGGTTCAAGCGATTCTCCTGCCTCAGCCTTCCAAGTAGCTGGGATTACAGGTGCCCAACACCATGCCCAGCTAATTTTTGTACTTAATAGCAGAGACAGGGTTTCACATATTGGCCAGGCTGGTCTCGAACTCCTGACCTCAGGTGATCCACCTGCCTCAGCCTCCCAAAGTGCTGGGATTACAGAGGTGAGCCACTGTGCCCAGCCTACTTTCGTGATACATATACTGGCTGTGATATCCGTTCTAATATTGTACTTTTTTTTTTTAAGAGAGTCTCGCTCTCTGTACTTCAACTCTTGTTTTTGTTTAATTGTAATTAGACTGCTGAAATGTGGGATACCTTTGAGTCCAAGTAGAATATACAGCATTTATCTTTTGCTTCTTATGTTTATTTCCTGTATTAGCAAACTACTTACACTGACAATGATAACCTGTAAGGAAACCATTGGATAGCACAAACCACAGTTCTTTCCTTTCAATATCTCCTTATTAATTAGTAAGCAGAAGGTAGAGAGTTAGTAGAATGTGTGCATATCAAGAAGTAAAATAAAAACACGTGAGTTAGTTTAGTCATGTCCAGTGTTTCTACTATTCTGGGAAGAAAGAAATGCATATGCATATATGAACTACAAAGTAAGAATCGTGCAATATTATTGATTCTGTATACAAGCTAAATGATGTTACATTTGCATTTAAAACTTATTGCACAATATAAAGATGAATGGTAAAATTCAAGCTAATATAAATTTATTAATTTTTTTACTTGGACATTTAAAAACACCATGAAAAGCCAAAGAAAAGACTGCAAAAACATATCTTTTATTTTATTTCCTTTAATGAAAATTCTTTCCTGTGCTTTGAACCAGTAGCCCCCCGATTTTCACTGTGCACTGGGCCCCATAAATTATGTAGCTACCCTGATAAGTATTAATGCTAATGTAACTTAATTTGGGACTTATTAATATTAGGATTATATATGTATTTTGTATTCTTATTCTAAGGAAATTAACTTATATGAATGTACATGGGTTTGGAGTAAGCTTTTAGAGCAGGCTTTGTTCACATGTTCTTAATTTCAGCGAAAAGGGATTTGAAATATGGCTCTTGTTTAGTTTTGTTTAGAAAATAAATAAAGCAATTTTAATTCTTCCTTTTCTCTTCTTTGCTGGCATGTTTATGTTCAAAAGATTGTCATATTGACCCCAATTTTATTGCAGCAAACCCATTACCATTTCATCAACAGAGCTCATTAAGCCATCACTACAAATTCTCAAATTAAATGATGACTGGACCACAGCCAAACCTGCTGGAGTTGTACAGCTCCCAGTCCAGAGTGACATTTGCTGTACAAGCATATATAAATGCACCCAAATAGAGAAATCATAGCTCACAGAGCCTCTGACCTCTTTTTCTTTTTTCCTCTCTAATATTCTTTTTGCAGTCTCATGAACTTTATCAGGTTTAAAGACGGCATGCCTCTGACCTACCAGTGCCAGGCCCTGCTTATTGTACTCATGCACAGGAGCACAGCCTCCTTGATGCCTTGTATACAATGACTGCAAGATTGTGAACTTGGTGCACTCTCCCAAAGCCACACCTTCTCCTGGCAAAGCCAAGAACCCAGGGCCATAAGCAAAGACTTGAGCTGAGGCAGGTTAGATGAGGGCATGTTGCCCTGTTTTAACAACCTGTCAACAACTTAAGGGGAATTACAGAACATTTTAGTTGGCAAGGTAAAGAGATCAACCTAAGCTGCCAAGTTGCCCAGATTTAAAGGAGCCTTAATTACATATATAAAACCATAAAGATCACAGGATTTTTCTCTCTCCCCATCTTCTCACCCACACTTTCTATACCCACCCTCCTGCTTTAGGAATGCATTTCCTCCTGTGGCAGCTCATCGATTTCATGTTATTGATATAATTAATGGTTAACTATGATACTAATAGGCTTGGATGTATGCACAAGGCTCCAGTTGGAGTGTGACTGCAGAAAAACTTTTTTGGTTCCTTTCATGATTCATTGCCTGACAGTGTGGGAACACTACATCTGGGCTGGTCAGTACCTCAATGACAGCATTTCCTGGAGGGAAGGGGAGGGATAAAGGTGCCAAGAATATTTCTGGGTCTCTTATTAAAATAGAAATCGTGGTAAGACACCTTAGAAGATTGCTGGATAGATGGGCTGAGGTTAATTCCTCACATCGATCCAGTACTACTGTTATAGACTAGACTTGTCTTGGAAAACCGTCTTTTAAAAGAGGAACTTGTAGGCATGCTTGAGTACTGAGTAAGGAGCAGTGTTTTGATTCTGGGAGCCAGATCATCCTAAACACATGGAGGTAGCTGAGGATGGGAACTTGGCCTTGACTCACAAACTTAATGTGCTTAAAAACTCCCTACTATGTAGAAGTTGCTGAGCAGTGGTAGTGAGGGGAATAGACAGGGGATCTCATCTATAGGAAAAGAAAGGGTGCATCTCAGAAGTAATATTGGAAGCTACTCCCAGGATTATGTGTCCACTTCATGTTTCCAGGGAATAATGAGTATGCAGGAATGGGTGGTCATTTAGGAAATAAAAGAGAATAATGACATTGGATATTTAAAGAGCAAAATTATATGACCAGTGATTTGTTCCAGTAATATTAATCAGGCAATTCTATGAAACATTAATGGGAGAGGAAAGTAATGAACTGTTGAAATGCAGGAAATTCATGAAAGAAAGGCTTTGCAACTGTTTAAACAAGTGCTAATTAGAGCTAAGTAATAGCAGAGAATGAAAAATAGAAAACCAACCAATGTAAGAAGTTTTATTCAGGTAGATTCAGTACTATTAGATATTCAGTAAAGAAAGGAGAAGAGAGAGGGAGATGTTTTAAGCAATAAATGTAAATTAGAAGCACAGCAGGTTGAGGAATAAAGGTAATGAGTTCTGTTAGGGAAATGTTGGTTGAGATGCCATCCTAACACTAAGATGTATGGACAGATTGTCACAGAAGAAAATTAGAGTGATGTGGTGACCTCCAAGAGGAGAAAACAGCCCAAGCCTGAGGTAAGCGGGGTAACCTGGAAAGGAGAGGCCATCTCTGAAGAAAAAATATGTGGAGAAATGAAGAGGTCCTGGAGAAAAAGCTCAAGCACTCTCAAAGATAGCATCTTTTCTGAAAAAAAATTTAAACAAACAGACAAAATGTTCTGTAATTCCCCTTAAGTTGTTGACAGGTTGTTAAAACAGGGCAACATGCCCTCATCTAACCTGCCTCAGCTCAAGTCTTTGCTTATGGCCCTGGGTTCTTGGCTTGCTGAGAGCAATAAATGTCCCAAAGTTTCTCAGTCCTACCCATCATTTCCTAACAGAGACATGGACAGGGATATAGAGACTAGACCTGAATCTAGAGGCCAAGTTTCTCCCAGACCCTGCTTCCTGCAGTCAATATTCATCTCGTCCAACCCCCTTGGAGCAACTTCATTTCAGCTGATTCTCTTTTCCCTGACTGAATTCCAGCATGGCTTAGTCAGCACGGCTCTGATTATGAAAGATCTGACATGCCTATGAATAGAACAACTTGATCTGAGAGTAAAGAAATGTACCCGTGCTCAGAAAGGAAGTTATCCGCACTTCACAAAGGACCTAGTCCCTTGAAAGGAAGTGCTCAACCTAAGTCTAGCAAGTAGAGTGCCCTAAGAAGATATATTCAAAATATTAGCTAAATGGGGTCCTATGCTGGAAGAAGAGTCAAAAGTAGTGCCTGGAAAAGAATGCTTAATTCCTTGAATTCCTTAAAGTAAGGAATATGACATTTTGTGACATGATATTATGTTGCATATGACAAATTTGTGTGCTGGGATTCTATCAATGGTGATAACTCGTAGGATGACATACCTGCAGACAGGAATATTCTGGGCAACAGAAAGTGGGGATAAGACCTCTAAGCTATCCCAACAGCAAGGCCTTTTGAAGAAAAATAAACCAGCCATCCATCAATTGCTCAGAAGATGCTAAACCAATATTGCCAGAAGCAAACAATGATGAAGATATAGTGGGGGAGCCGAGGAGGGCCATTTCAACACATGAACCCAAAGGCCAATGCCAGTGGATAAATACAAGGGCTACACCTCTAAAAAACTACCTAGAACATAGTCACAGAAACAATACTCTGTGTCAGCTGAATCGCCAGTGAGTTTTTTGCTAAAAAGGCTATTTTGCACTCTATATGGTCTTGGAGTATATTCTTTTGAGCCAAACTTCCCTCCACTATGGTGCTAGGCTGGGCATTTTGATTCCTTTCTCATGGATGGCAGTATGTAGTTGCTAAAGACACATGTTCTGGGATTAGATTGCAAGGTACAGTGCTCAGCTTTACCATTATTGTTAGCTATGGTATCTTGCTTAAATTGCTTAAGTCCTCTACAGCCTAATCTTCCTCCTCATCTGTAGACAGGGAATAATTACACCTACTCATAGTATAATAATGACTAAATAAGATAATACATATAGAGAAGTGCCTGGAATATGGTTTATCCTCCACGAATGTAACTTACTTTATTATTCTAAGCTGTGAACAAACAAGAAAGTTTTCATATCTGATTTAAATTGGCTCCTTAGCAGTCAACTCAATTCAGTTTCATCATTACTTATTGATTATTGCTTATTTATATCAATTCACTAAAGACATACTCAGTGTCACCTCATGGTGTGCTGTTTGTTAATTCTGTTTTCCAGAATTTTTCAAGTTTCAATCAATGTATTGTTCTGCCTAACCTAACATAGCAAGATATAGTAGGAGGGTATATGTTTTGTATGAGATAACACCTTTATTTGAATACTTTCAAACAATATTTTAGAAGTTTAACTTTTTTAAAATTTATGGTCTTTTCAATTCAACCCATAGCAGTTTCTTCCTGTGAGTCTCCACAGCCCATTTCTCAGACAGCTGTGTTAGCAGTGGTTCTCAAACAAAATGTGAACAGTATTCTCCTGGAGATTGTGTTCAAATGCAGATTCATTACATCTGCATTGGGGTCTCAGATCCTGTGCTCCTAACAAACTCTCAAGTGTCCCCACCACACAGTGAGCAACAAGCATTAGTTTATAGTTAATGTTTCATTAAATTTGGTTAAATTTTCTCTGAACCCATCCTTCCCTCCTAGTGATCCCTTTCCTTCCAGCTTTCCCTCTCTCACCCACCCTTCTTTTCACAACTCCCTCTACCTCATCCCTGTTCCATAATGTTTGTCAAATTTCCTATTCTCCATCCCCTTATTTTTGTCATGCTCTAGAGCTTGGTAGCTAGTTGTCAGAAGACTTGGGTGTGCCCCAATGCCACAGGCAATCTTTGCTTTTAAATGGGAAGCTCTACCCAGAGCCTGCAGTTCTACCCTAAAGAGCTTTTGTTGTGTGTCAAAAGGTAATCTAACTGATCAGCTGGCCCTCCCAGAACAAGTTCAAACAGTACATTTCCCTGAAGTGTCTAGCTAGATCTCTGGGCTTTTCAATTAGGAAGGCCCCTCCCTTCACCTCTCTCTTATATAGGTCTTGCTTCCCAGAGGCGTGTTAATTGTCAGTGATTCCCCAGAAAGATCACAGATCCATGAACTCCCAGAGGGGAGTCATGCCTTCTGGGGCATCATCCCCAAGAAAAAAAAAAATGATTTTCTTCCACTGAAAAGAAGATAGGTTTTTAATAGGGATAATTTTGATTCATTTTTCTGTTAACCTCGTACAAGTATTCCCTACTTTAGCTTTAAAGGAGATTGAAAATGCCAATGTCAAATAGAGCTTACATGCCTCGTGGGAAGAGTTACTGTCCAGAAAGTGAAACATCTCAAAATCCATAATTTTGTCACTTTTTTCAAATAATTTTGATGGTACTTGTTACTTCTGTTCTTTCCTTTCCCAAATGAAAGTAATCACAATATGTGTCTGACGAGGATTAAAAACTTGTCACTTTGGCAGTCTATTAATGTGTATCTATGACTTAATTATATGAAGTTATTTGTGTTTCTACTTTTCTATTTCCATTTATTTTATGAGACAATGATAGAAATATAAAATTCTATTAGTGATTTTTTATTGTTTTGAAGTTATACAGAGTTTATTCTGATGAGAACCTTCTTAGAAGTCCAATTCAACACACACAGAAGCAGAGATTTCTAATTGCAATGGGAGTGGAAGACATAGAACCTAATCGAATTGCCCTCACCTCAACTCACGATATAATTCAGATGCACTTCCCAATGTCATGTTTGAAAACAACTACAGTAAAATATTTAAGTAATGGCACAAATAAAAACTGTCGTACTAACAAAGAACACAATAGTCTCCAACTGAATTCTTGGTTGATAGGAAGCTCTGCCACATAATGACTTGAAATGTGTATGTATTGGTGCATGAAGGTTCAAGTAAGGTTTATTAAAACTAGTTTAAGAATTCAGTTTCTAATGCATGAAAATAAAGGATGAAAATTAAATGCATGGAAATTCAGGAGTGTTTTTATGAAATGGAACATTAAACTCTACACTGCTTTCGTGTAACTTTACTCTCTATCAGGGCATCTGGTGTAGAGTAGGTATTCAATATATGCTAAATTGAGTGGAATAAGATTTTTTTTGGCCTTTTTTATACAGTTGATGTATCATTTATTCTTTAAGAATTGTCTTAGTAAATTATGAGATGTAATATTGTCACTTTATTTGAGGTGAGACTAGACAACAAACAAATGGAGGCTCATTTTCTCTAGTCTTTTGTAGTTCCCAGAAAGTGCCCCCTCCTCACCCCTGCAGTGGCATCTTGCATTATGTTCCACCCTGTAGTCCCACTGTGCTTCAAGGGGAGCCTAAAAGCCTTGAAGTAACAGCAGAAGGGAATAGAAAGTCATGGTGCTTCATTTTGGGTAGAAATGTGTATTATTTAGAGTAGAGCTTTCTTACTAGCTTTGGATGGGCTCAAATACATCTTTGAGGTACGTAAATGAAACTCCTTGGAGGAAAGTACCATCCAGAACAGAAGTTTTTGGGAGCCACATAGTATATATAAATGATAGGCAATGCACGGCCATATACACCTAACCATGTGCAATTGTACCTTACTGTCCGGGCACCTGACGATCCAGAAAAATGCTACAATTGCCAAAGCCATCGTTCAGTCATCGGACTGTTAAATGTGACAAGACGGCTAAAGAGTTCATGTAGTTTAAGATAGAGACTTATTTTGAAGAAAAGTTTGATTAGAAAAAAATTTAAGATATGGTAACAAACAGAATTTGAAAAACAAGAGTTTGTGGTGGACATGACCAGAGACAGGAAGCCTGTGCCAGGGGGCCCAGAACTGCTGCAGGGTTGGACCTTTAATCGAACAAACCAGACTTTCCCAGTGAAACCCCTGTGGGCTTAAGGGCCAAGCTGGGGTTCTTGGCAGAAGGACCTTTGGTTATTGCACCACTCTTTTGCACCAGGCCTATTTGTCTTGAAGGTCAAATGCCTTCAGGAGACAAGAGAAAGTTTGGGATGGTAGCTTCAGTGCCCAGCATATTGGATTGATTTCCACAGCCTAGAAAGGGTCTCTGGCTAGAATCAGCCCATGCTGATAGCACCAGCATTCAAGGGCCAACAGCCCACACATTGTCTAAAATATGGAATATTTTTAAACAAATGAGGATTTTTAAAGGAATGAGATGCAGTTTATAAGGAAAATTTTAAATGAGAAGTTTGAGCACCACTGGGCTAAGAATAGAGATTCCCAGCAGGCCACTACAGACCATAGTGGTTTAGTTATAATGAACTATCAAGGAAAAAAAAAACTTTTAGATGTGCCTGAATTACCATTGTTGCTATGCTTTCATCCTTTTGCTTGTAATAATACAAGTCCACAATCACTTATCAAAAATTTTGGAACCAAATTTTTCTGATTTTAGATAGGTAAAATTCTTACATATTCCATAAATTTCATAATATCTCTAGTTGGGACTGGGTTACAAGAAAAATCATTCATTGTTGTTTCTGCAATGAAATAAGTAAATATTTTCACTAATACAAATAAAGAAAAAATGTTGATTTGGGGGATTTTTAGATTTTCTAGTTGTCTATAGGGAATTAATGATATGTATTTTAAAGGCCCTCTAAGTAGACTTCTAAGTAACTAAATATGTTCAGATATTGATGTCATCATAAATGTTTATATATGTTTTTCATTAGATTAAAATGCATCTCTAAGAAAGTGTTCACTTCTATTGTGTTTGAAAACAGTAGACACATGCTTTAGAAAACTTTTTTTTTTAATTTATGGGTTAAAGTAGCTTACTAATGAAATATTAAATACATAATATTAAAAGAATATCTGGGGAAGAAATTTATTAATACCAGTAATTGTACATCTCAGGATGTTATGACATTCCCAGGTACAGGAAAAAATCACATTCAACACAATACTTTTGACATGACAGATATGTGGAGAGGTGTTTTCCCACAAACCAAGAAATTCTGTAGCAGACACCAGCTGGGTGGCCTATAATTATTCAGTTCTGACTCCATCTACCTGGAGGTAGTATCAGATCTCACAGGGTGAGGGCTCAGGCCCACAAGACTTTCCCCACTTGGGATGCCAATAGCAAGTACAGGGCATTTCACCTGTGCTTCTGACCAACCAGTTATAAGCTGGGCTTCACACAACTCCGTTCTCAGGTTACACTCTATTTGCATTTACTGATGTTTTTATAAAGGTATTACAAAGGATACAGATGAACACCAGACGGAAGAAATGCAAAGGGCAAGACATGTGGGAAGGGGCACAGAGCTTCCATGCCCTCTTCAGGTGTAGCACCGTCCAGGAACCTTCATGTGTTCGGCTACCAGGAAGTTCCCCAATACAATCTTTTTGGATTCTGAAGGCTTCAATACATAGGATGCCTGATTAAATCTTTGGCCATTGGTAATCAACTCAACTTTTAGCCCCTTTCACCTCCTAGAAGTTGAGGAGTGGGACTGACAGTCCTAACCTTCTAATCCTGCCTTGGTCTTTTGTGATAACCAGCCCCCTCCTAGATGCTATCTAGGGAACCCCAGCTACGAGTAATCTTATTAGTACATAAAGGACACTCTTGTCACTGCAGAGCTTCCAAGGGTTTTAGGAGCTATGTACCCAGAACCAGGAGCAAAGAACAAATTTCTATTTCTTACTGCATCTCAGTATCTTAGGTATCTAATGTTTTTATAGCACGATTGTTAGCAAAGCATTTTCAGATATTTGATTCTCATCAGAATTTGATGGGGTAAATAGGACAGTGTTACTATTAGTCTCAATTTGCAAATGAGAAAATTGAGGTTGGGAAAACCCCCACACATTGTCAAAGGCTACTCTAGGCTTTCGATGGCAAATAGAGTGTTCATTTCATTATACTTTATTGTCAATTCAACTGCATCAAACCTTTGTTATATTTTAAATTATTGTAAGATACTTCACAATATGGTAACATTTCACATTCTAAGAAGTCATTCATGCCTTCTACATGGATTAAAAAACCCTCATTTATTCGCATATTAAAAATAAAATGTACTGAGTGTGTATCGTGACTTCTAGGCATTCTTCTAAATACTGTAGGAAGAGTCACAGGTGCAGCTCAGCTGAAATAAAGAATCCTAACTTAGGTGGCCCTCAGAAATTGCCTTTTGAAAAGTGGAGGAACTCTATCCCCAACTTTCTGAAAAGACTATTTACATTTTCTAAAACATTTATTAGGCACCTTTCTGAATGGGAATAGTAAAACGACCTGTGCCCAAGAAACCATTTCAGTATTCGAAGAGAGTTCATGGTCATCTTTTCCATGCCCCTCATTTTCAGATGAGGCCAGTTTTGAGTGATAAGGAACAGCTCAGGAGAGGCAGACTGTTTACGAGATCCAAGTCTCCTGAATTGGGGTTCTGTGTCCTTTGCAGTCCTTTCTGCAAAGTTCATAGCATTTTAAAGATAGCCTTATCTTCTCTCACTGGAGGAGCCTAATCCTTTATAAATGAGCAAAAATGGCATGCAGAAGAGAGAATGCAGAATTACACAGTTAAGTCTAGGTCTGATGAGGAAAGAACACAGTTCCTTAAAGCCCCTTCTAGTGACGCTGGCCCTTTCACCGTACGTGCATAACAGGAAGAACCGAGAGTGGAAGGAGCACCTAGGCCTGTGGTATGCTTCATGTCTTCATGAAAGCAGTCTCTGAAATCCTCCATGAACTTGAGTGATAGAGTCAGCTGATTAAGATTTAATTAGGTGCTTTGCTTTCCTTGTTCATGATCTATCTCCAATAGAATCCTGGCCATTAAGATTCTCCCTGCTTACTTTTCAATGAAAGCTATGAATGAGCCACATCTGTAGCCTTTTCCCTAGTATTGAGTTTATTGGCTCTAAAAGCCTTCGTGGAGTGAGTCATGTGCTTGAAGTGATCCTTGGGGGAAGCCTAATAGGCAGGCTCCCAAGTTACCTGAGTGGCAGGTGACCTTCCACTAAACAAAGCACCTGAAGATTAATGGATCACTGATTTCAAGCCATGCTGAGAATCACAGAATACTTTTAATTAATTAGTTAATTAATTATTCAATAGACATTTGATCATCAAGCACCAGGGAGTTCAGGGGACTTATGCTTACATGGATGGCACAGTACGGTCATTAGAAACCAGTGCCCTGGAATAAGGCCCTAGCCAACACCTCCTTTTCCTTAATACCTAAGGATCACAGGGGTAATACAACGCTTATACTACAGCACACTCGTTAATATAACTGCAATGAAATAAGTCTATATTCCCACTCACTGGGATGTGTCTGAATATACAGACCACATTCATGTGTATGTATAAATACTAAACTCATATGCAGCATGAGTTGTTGAGATCAACATGATTGCATCAAATGCAACATGATTATACTCAAGTTCACTCTGGGTATACTGTATGTGCGCTCACTTGTTAACAAGGCAGCAAAATATTCATCTAAGTCTCAGCCTGCACAATGAGAATCTTGCAAGAAAAAAAAAAGAGTTCAGGAATTCTTACCTGGAAAGAAGATGTGCCAAATAAATGGGGAAGGAGAAACAAGAATGAAGAAAGAAGCTGCCAATTTATGTGGAACCTCACAGGGCCTTTGTTTTAAGCCTGACCAAAGGTTTATGTTGGCCCTCCTGATCTTTCGACTGTTTGCCCATCCCTGTTGTTTTTCACAAGTTTCTTTGCATACTTTCAACAGCACAAGGAAAAGCGTCTTTGTGCCTCCAGAGTCCAGTGTTATTCTTATCCTGCCAATCTTTCTGCACTAAGTTCCTCCTCCACTTCATCACTTTCTTGGTACTCTAAATTGCTAATCAGAAATTTTCTCCAAATTTTCTCTCATGATTAGAGAAGGCTGCTTTTTGTGGATTCCACCAAGCACTCCTATGTTCAGCAGGATGGTCAGGGCTATGATGAAAGGAGTTTTTATTTATTTACAAACCCCTAGAATTGGAGCTTTGCTTTTCAGAATACTAAACAGTTTTCTTAGTGCAATCGAGGTTTTAAAAAATTAAGGTATGTAGGACCTGTTAGAAGTTTGTAATCCAGGGATTCTTAAACCTGATCCATGGACTTGAGTAGTTAATATAGAATAGGGATTTTGTAAGGAATAAATGGATTTACATATGTAAACTGATTAAAGCTCATTTGGCACATGGTAAGTAAGCACTCAAAGCTAGCTCTTACTTACTGATGCCTTGGAATCTGTCCAGTATGAAAGATCCTTCAAACTCAGCTCTTCTAGCCATATAATTTTATAGTGTATGTCATACATATTATTTAGAAAGTCTCATCACACCTGTTTCAAAATTATCCCTAAACTCTCAGGATTGGCACACAATGAGAGGCTCTATAGCATTAAAAGTTATATTACAGAATAATATGTAATGATATGGGAAAGATATCTATCATATATTGCCAGATAAAATATGATGTGTTAAAGCAGCATGAAAAGAACAAAAAAATTCTTACATTTTATGTATATATGTTGATAAAGTGTTTGGAATAATATACACCAGAATATTAAAAGTGTTATTTCCGATTAGTGGAATTTGGGGTGATTTTCAAATTTTCTTTCTTGTTAAGTTTCAACAATAAACATGCACTTCTATGAAAAATAATTGAAGTTCTTTTTTTCTTTTTTTATCCCACTACTCACCTCTAATTGAGGTTATTTTAAAGAAAATAATTCAAACTCAACTCCTTCAAGAAGATATTTGAGACCTGATTCTATTGACTCCAACTATAAGCACATTGCTAGAGTGATCTTAATGTTTTCATTATCCTAAGACTGAGCCACAATGTATTTCACAATTTATTTGGATCTACAGTCAACTGTTTTTTGACAAAGATGCCAAGAACATTCACTGGGAAAGGACAGTTTCTTCAATAAATGGTGCTGGGAACTTAGCTTTCTGCTCTTTTCATAGAATGAATGCTATTTGACTTTGGAAGACACCATAAAAGTCATTTAGCCCTACCTCTCAGTATTGCATAGATTTCTCTACTGCTACTCATTCTTTTCCACCACAGATTCAGACGTATTTTTGGCTTATGTGATTTATTGACTGAAAATCCAGAAATTCAGGGACAGTGAAGTCCACCATTAGACAGTTCTCAGGAATTTATTTGTTCTAAACCAAAATCGACCCACAAAGGATTGGAATAATAGATGCATTTTGTTTTCTCTAGAGTGACAGAGTAATTATACTTTTTTATAGCTAAGGCTTTAAACACTAAACTAGAGCTAATATTTTCCCCAATCATCTGTCCCTTAGGCTAAGCCTCTCCCAGTCTTCCAGCAGCTATTTCTCTCCATTTTCACTGCCACCACTGTGGTTTAGACTCCCTTCATCTCCCTCACCTGACCCCCTGAAAGAGCTGCTTCCCTAGTTGATCCCTCTGCTTCCCCCACTGCATTTCTCCAGTCCTCTCTGCACATAGAAACATGATATGTTAATCAGATCATGAGACTTTCCACTTCTTAGACAATCCATAATTCCCCATTGCCTTCACACAAAAATCTGAATTTCTCCAATGTCCTGTGGAAGATTTGGCCCTGCCTTCCCTCCTCCATCCCATTCTCATCACAGCTCTTCAAGGGCCAAACATCTTCCCATACCACTGTCTTGCTGGGTACCCCCATTGTCTCAGGGTCATCCCTTCTTATCCTTCAAGTGTCAGCTAAATGACATCTCCTCAATAAGGCCTTCCACCTGGTCTACAGTAGCCCTTTCGCTTAATCACAAAGTGAGCCTCATGTTTATTAGCTTCATTTCCTTGTCACCATTGGTCATTTTCTTCATATATAGAGAAATAGATGGGAGACAGTGTTGCAGAAGGCTGAATTAAACATTCTTGGTGCATAGCATGCCACCAGCATTGTTCCAGGGAAGGCTTCCTGTTGTTTTACTTAGCTATTTTTCATTACCTTCCCTACCACTTCTCTGTTCTCATCACATTTCCCTGACCATTAGGCAACCATTCTGATGTGTTCCATGTGTATTGCATCATGATCTTGTAAATGTGTATTTTAATTAACAGAAATACATATGGATGTTATTGGCTTCTTTCTTTGACTCAACACCTCCTTTTAAAATTTCAACATTAAAAAAATCTACATTATTACTATGAATACATTTCCTTCATTTCTAATGGTTGCATAGTATTTCCCAGTGAGCATCCACACCGTTGATTTCTGCATTATCCAGTTTGAACACATCAATTGCCTCTAATCTCTAACATTGAAAAAAACTATAATGAATACCCTCATGCAAGTCTTTACATGTGTCAGGAATATATTTACTCTGGATAATATGGTATATTCATTTTTAATTTTACTAAGTACTTCCATAATGGCAGCTCCATGCTAATCTCCAGTCAGTAATGTTTAAGGATTCCTATGTCCACAAGCTTCTACCAACATTTGGCATTACCCAGCTTCTATTTTTGCAAATCTTATGGTCATTAAGTAATATCCTATTGTTATTTTGATTTGTATTTCTGTTTATTTCAAGAAGTTTGAGCATGTTTATATGCAGGGCCATGATATATGGATGCGGGTACTTACAAAAGAACACCTAGCCAAGAATGTGAGTGGGAGCTCAAAACCAGCTTGTGCCCTGTGTGCACTGGCATGGATGGGACAATAGCTATTTGAAGGAAAGGCTGACTATTTATTTCTAATTCCACCAAAGCAACAAATGGGCTGTCACTAGTCATAGCCACATGCTTATTGGTTACTTAGGTTTTAAATTCTGTGAATTCCTAGCTCATATCCTTTCCCCTCTTTAAATGGAAGGTCCTAAGTTGAAGGTATTTCTTTGTTGACTTTTTAGTCATTACTTGAATATTATAATCTCTTTTTGTTTTTAGACCCTGTACGTTCCTTCTCCCATTTTGTCAGCTGTCACAGATTTGTCCATGACATTCTTCTTGTAACAGAACTTTTAAATTTTGATGTAATGTAAAACAATAGCTAATTTTCTCTTTATGTTTTTAAATTATGGGATTTTGCTTAAATCCTTTCCCACCTTTAAATTACATGTATATTTTCTACACTATTTTTGTATTAACTTCATAGATGCACATTTTACATTAAGATATTTTATCTTTGTGGAATCTATCATTGTCTGTGGTATAAGGTAGCCATCTGAATTTATTTTTCTTCGTATTCTAAGACCCCCCCTTTTTTTTTTTTTACATTTACTAAGCAGTTTATTTTTCCCTATTAATTTATAGAACAATTTTATTGTTTAATAATAAATTGGCTCTGAGCTCCATCTGTCTTTGCACTGGTCTATTTGTTCATGATTACACGAGAATGTCACTGTTTCAACTCTATATATTCTTGGACAATATGGTATATTCATTTATAATTTCACTAAGTACTATTGTAATGGCAGCTCCAAGCTAATATCCAACCAGCAATGTTTACAGGAACCAGTAAGCCAAAAATCCTTTATTGTTTTTGTTTCTTTGTTTTTAAATGACAGCTGTTTATGGACTACCACTTTCCCATGCAAATTTTAAAATATTATTTATCAAGTTCCTAAAAATATCCAGTTGAAATTTTGATTAACATTTTAATGAATTTAAAGATGATTTGGAGAGAGAATTACCCTCTGTACACTAGAAAGTCTAAAACAAGGGAATGTCACTCCATGACAGACTTCTTTGTTTTCTTTTAATAGATGTCTAAAATTTTCTTCAATGAAATCTTATATATTCATTGTAAATATATAAATAACTTATAGTTTGCTAATGATTGTGAGTACTATTTTATTTTTATCTTGCTAATGATTGTGAATACCATTTTATTTTTATCTTAATATTGCTCTTTGTAAAAAAAAAAGCTGTTAATTTTGAAATTTTATACCTGGAAATTCATGAAATTCTCTTAAAATTTCTAATAGTTGCTATGTTGATTCTGTTGGCTCTTCTAGGTAGATTACCATTGTGACTGCAAACAAAGATTCAGTTATTTCTTTCCTACCAAATCTTACACTTTTTATGTTTTTTTCCTTATACTTTTTATCAGAAATTTCATACTGTGTTAAACAGTAGTAGTAATAATGGGTATCCCTGCCTTAATTTTAAAAGAAAAAAAAAGCTATTACTTTGACAGTAAGTATAAATTCTGTTATAGGTTCTAGTATATAGCTGTTATCAAGTTCAGGAATTGTTCTTTCATTATTAGCTTAAAAACTACTTTAAATTATACAATTTTGCACTTAAATGTTTTTTCTTCCTTTAATGACAAAACCCTATGTTGTTTTAAATTATATTTTATATAACAATGATACCCTTTTTGATGGTGAACCATCCTTGCATTCCTGGCAAAAAGTCTGCTTTCATGATATAATTTTTTAAAATATAACTTTCAATTTTTGTATCTGTGTATAAGTAAAATGTGCCTATGATTATATTCTTATATTGCCCTTCTACATATTGGCATCAAGATTGCCCTATCTTCATAAAATGAGTTGGGCATATGTCACTTTCTTTTACATTCTGAACAACTGTAAAGCCATGTGAGCTGGGTTGTGGGGTTTTTCCTTTCTTTTTTGGGAGAATGGGAGAAGATGAACTTTGATTATCTTTTCAATTTTGTATTGCTTATTGGTTTATTTAAGGGTTGTTATCCCCATCACACATTTTGTACTTTTTTTTTTGTATTTTTGTAGCAATTTATCCATTGCATCTAGTGCTTTTATATATTACTGCCTTCTGGTAACTATGAGGATACAACAAGTAGCAATAGGGAAACAACCTAGTTCTTGGTTACTATTACTGGACCATTGAATTAATAAAACTTATAGTGTCCTACTTCTATATTTATTTTATTAGAGATAATAATAAATTCTCTTATTTTTAAGCCACTAAAATTTACTTACATATGTGGATCCTCATACTCTTTTTTAACTTTTAAAATTTATTGTTTCTACAGTTACTAGATAACCTAGAAATTAACCCAGGTATCTACGGTCAACTGTTTTTTGGCAAAGATACCAAGAACATTCACTGGGAAAAGGACAGTTTATTCAATAAATCATACTGGGAATACTGGATATGCATATACAGAAGAATAAAACTTGACCCTTATCTCTCACTCTATTCAGAAATCAACTCAAAATGGATTAAAGCCTAAATATAAGACCTGAAACTTTAAAACTACCAAGAGAAAATATAGGGAAAATCCTTCAGGACATTGGTCTGAGAAAAGATTTTATCAATAAGACCTCAGAAGCATAGGCAATAAAAGCAAAAATAAACAAATGGGATTATATCAAAGTTAAAAGCTTTTGCACAACAAGGGAAACAATCAACAGGATAAAGAGACAACTTACAGAATGAGAGAAAATATTTGCAAACTTCATCCAACAGGGGATTAATATCCACAATATAAAAGACACTCAAGCATCTCAACAGCAAACAAACAATCTGATTAAAAAATGGACAAACGATCTGAACCGATATTTCTCCAAAGAAGACATACAAATGGCTGACAAATATTTTTAAAAGTTTAATATTGCTAATCATCAGGGAAATGCAAACAAAAACTATAATGAAATATCATCTCACTCCAGTTAGAATGGCTATTATCAAAAAAGACAAAAAATAGCAAATGCTGGTAAAGATGTGGAAAAAAGAGAACTCATGCACTCTCGGTGGGAATGTAAACTACAGCAGTCAACTACAACTACAGTGAACTAATAAACATACGGTAAACTAGTATGGAGAACAGTATGGATGTCTTTCAGAAAACTACAAATAGAACTACCATGTGATCCAGCAATCCTACTACTGGGCATTTATACAAAGGAAAGGCAATCAGGATATCAAAGAGATATCTCCATCCCCGTGTTTATTGCATGTTTATTGCAGTACTATTCACAGTAGCCAAGATATGGAATTAACCCAAGTGGCCAAAACATAGGAATGGATTTAAAACTGTGGTGTATATACACAACGGAAAACTATTCAGCCAAGAAGAAGAATGAAATCCTGCCATTCACAGCAACAAGAATGAAACTGGAGGATATTATGTTACATGAAATAAGCCAGGACCAGAAAATTAACTGCCATGTGTTCTTACTCATATGTGGAAGCTTTAAAATAGTTGATCTCATAGAAGTAATAAGTAAAAATAGAAGATACCCGAGGCTAGGAAGGGTATAAAGGAAGAAAGAATAGGGAGAGATTTGGACACAAAGGAACCAAAATTATCACTAGATAAGAGAAATAAGTCCTACTGTTTCGAAGAAAAAAAATGAAGAAGGAAGGAGGATCTAACATCAGAAGCAATTTCAAACAAAAGAAACTTCCCCTGAAAGGAACAGCCAAGTGAGGGCCATGAAAACTGAAAATTTTGAGTATAATTTTTACACACTCTTAAATAAAGTGGGAATTACATCCATTGAGAAGTTATTACTGTCACTTTATAACCCATAAAAGGGTTTTTGCTAGTGAGTAGACACATTATGTAGGACTTCAAACCCATACACTTCTCCCAGTTGCAAAACACTTTCTGTCATGACAATTATAAAAAGAAATCATATTGAAAGGCCTCTAATCATTCCTTCTTCAATCAACATATATTTATTGAGCAGTAAAAAAGACAGTCCCTGCCCTTGGGAGCTTATAGACCAGTGGGGGAATAAGATATTAAATAAAGAATTATACAAATAATCATTGAATTGAAAGTTAGTAAGTGTTATGAGAGTATATAACAGGATAATTTTACCTAACCTGGGGGCAAAAAGACGAGGGGATAAAGTTATCTGGGAGAAAGAATTAGTTCAGCTGAAATAATAGGCTTAGGCAGAATTTTATGATTCTTAAGCTACTAAGTAGGTTTTTTCATATACAAAATAAGCACCTAAGCTTGGGCACAATACAGACAAATAAGGAAAATATTTTGCTGTTCTCTGAGATAAATTCACAAAATGAGGATCTCTTGAGGACCTGGCTATGATAATAGCATGCTCCTCTCCCAAAGTGCCACAGTGCTGGAGATACCCAGGGAAGAGAAAACAAAGGTTGTTGATACACACTCATTTAACCTGCCTAGTCATCTAAAATTAACTTTGACTCCAGACTTTTAGCTTCTGAGATCATGAACAGGGGAAAATGAAAAACTGAATGTTATTTATCACATCCTGGAATTAATTGAGTTTGCCTCCAAGAAGGAATGTTGTAGTCTAACCTAACCAGCATTTCATAAATTGCCTTTAACTTAAGCAAAACACACATATGTAGATGATATCTAACCAATTAAAAAACAGCCTTTTCAGAAAGTGGGGTGGCTAATGAGCAGTATCCAGCTTTAATTCCAATATTTATTTGGTTGATATATCATTGTCTCTGTTTTTCATTCTGTGTGTGCACATAAGTAAGAGCTCAGTTGTATTTTAGGAGATGATGAGGAAATTTTGTGGCTATAGCACAGGTACATAAAATACAATACCACCTTATTTGGGTCTTAAAGAGATAAACCAGCTATTTAAATATTTTATAAATGAATGGCAGTCAAAACCATGCTAAACGAACATACATATAGAATTCTCCAAACCCAAAACAAACACCTTGACTATAGGAGGAGTAGAGAGAGGAGTCTAAGTGGACCAACTCTGTAGCCAGAGACCTGACACTGTCATTTATTAGCTATGTGACCGTGGTCAAGTTTCTTAATCTCTCTGAGCCTCACTTTACTTATTTATAAAATGTATCTAGCCTCTAAAAAAGTAGATGAGTTACCACTTGTAAAGCACTTAGAAGAGTCTATGGGATACCAAACTACTCAATAAATTTGAGATTTATTATTATTTTTAAGGTAATAGTGTTTTCCCTTCTACTCCACTGTAATGACTTCATAAACTTTTGTTTTAAGGGCTAGAAAAGTATATGGGATAGCAAGCCTAGAACCTTCACAGTGGTGACCACTGGCAAAAATTGTCAACACACATATTTCTTCTGACTTATTATAGCCTCCTTTGGTAATCTTGAGCGCTTACGTGGCTTTTGTTACCAAATATATTTTGATAACTCTCAATCTACAAGTTTTTTTTTCTCCATGAACTTCTTGTGTATCTAACTGCTTACTGGATGCCTTCCAGCACCTCAAACTCCACCGATCCAAAGCAGAATTCATTATCACACTTGTAGGCCTTCTCTTTTTCTTCCCTATGTTCAGTCTCACATGTGAGGTAAGGATCAGGGTTGATTCAGTTGACTAACTGGCCAGGCTGATAGTTATTTCCTCGTAAATCTGTTACAAATTTAAAACGATGACTTTACAAAATAGAGAAGAGCCATTCTTCAGTCAATAAGTGAAAAGCTATGTTTCCCTTCTAAAATATAGAACAAGCCAGTTCAAGGATTCCTTACTTTAAATCATTTCACCAGCCACCTAGCCATTGAAGCCAGGAATCTGAGAGTGATCCCAGATTTATTCTCTTCTTCCATTATCTCATTACTTTCAGCTTTGTTTCTATAATAAATAATCTTTTTTTGTTGTTGTTTTTGTTTGTTTTGCTTTTTTCAGATATGAGGTCTTGCAATGTTTCCAAGGCTGGAGTGCAGTAGCTATTCACAGGTGTGATCATAACACACTACAGCCTTGAACTCCTGGGCTCAAGCTTTCCACCCGACTCAGCCTGGCAAGTAGCTAAGACTACAGGTGCACTTCATTGCCCCCTGCTACGTTTTTGTGTTTTTATAAAACTTCAAATCAAAAGTTTCCCTTCTTAGCTTCAGATGTTCTTTACATCCCACCTGGAATAGCTCAATTGCTTCTAAGCCTATCTTCTGACCTTTGGCTTGGCTAAAATCCCTCCCCAGCACTGTGGTCTGATGACCTATCTGGAATGCAAATCTGATCAAGTTTGTACCCTGATTTCCCATTGCTTTCCATGGCCTACAGTGTGACCCTGCCCTCACCACCCAGCTTCCTTAGATCCTCTTTTGACTTCATAGGTTGATACTGAATGATTTTCTGTATTTTCTCTTTCAGGTCATATTGTTTGGTGATTTTGTAATTTTGCTTATGCCTATAACAATCTCGTTTCCATAACTCCTATTCATCCTTCAAAAAAGTTTCAGGTAGCATCTCTCCAGGAAGCCCTCCCTGACTCATTCAGGCTGAGCTAGGTGATAGCTTCCTGGGAGCTATCCTAGGGATTCCTGCTGCACACCTCAGCCAGTTATTTACTGCACTGCATTGAGAAAACATACCACCTCCTGCTAACTAGGTGGTAAATGTCTTGAAGGCAGAGCTTTTCTGTCTTACACTATACTTGAATCACCTGCAATAAATATTTAGTGAACTAGGATGAGGCTCAACACTAGTTGCATATAGGAAATATCTAGGGATCTTTTAAAAATGTTAATACCAACAACTCACTCTAGTCCATTGAAATGGGAGGCTCTGGGAGGGGAGTCTAGGAGCTTAGACATTTAAAACTTTTCAAGTAGTGATAAGGTATAGCTGAGGCTGGGAGCTCATTGGTTAGATGATCACTGGGCAAGGATCTGGTGGATAATATGCCAGAGACATATGAAGGTGTTGATGCTTAATGCACCTTTCATTCATGAATTTCTCTTCCGTGAGATGATTGCTGGTAATATTCCCCATACACATATCATAAAGGTTGTTTTGTTTTGTAAGTAGGCAACTTAGTTCATCAGCCAGACATCAAACTGCGAGGCATCCCGTAACCTTAGCGTTCTTGAAAGAGCATCCACCACCAATACACACACATTTGTTTAAAATACAATACTGTAAGAAAATAGTAACAAGAGGAGGGAAAGAAGGAGTGGGTTTTAGATACCTCATACATTCATGTCTTGATATTAGGGAAAGAAGTCTCAAATGTAAATACTTCCTAGTTCTCTTAAAATGTCACTCTTGTAATATTCAAACTTATTTTTCTCTCATTGTCTATGATGGTCATAGTGATGGGCAGTGAGTTTGCTTTCTTTTATAATAATCTAGGTGCACTGTAACAGAGAGGTAGCACCTTATCTTGATTCTAGATGCTTTTATAATTAACAGCACTTGGTATAAGTTCTACATTGGATAAGTAAGACCAATTTGGGATTATTATTATAAACACTCATGTTTGTGGGAGAACTATGTGACTCTAGATTATAATTCTCCCATGAAGAATGTCATCTAATAAAAAATGAGTTTTAAAAATCAACATAAAGACAGTAAAAAGAGAGAGAAAAGCCTTTTTAAATGATCAACCAACTGTTAGGAGAAAAGTACACTGGAGTCTTGCAATATCAGAACTAATATTCAAACTCTCAATCTGTTTGGTTAAAAAAGTTTAATGAGCTGTAAAATAAATACACTTCCATTAAATATTAAATAAATTATTTACAACTTGAAAAAATACTTTTTACCTTCGTGCACCTTTATATACAGAAATAGCATAAAAAGTGACAATTGAAAGTTTAAAACCATCATAACAAAAAGGGTCCATTGTCTTATGATCCACTGGAAAGAGGACCGACTCATCATTTATGGCTATGACTTGGCAGTGACTCCAATGTGATATCCTGTGAGAAAATAAAATAAAATAAAATAATAAAATAAAACAAAATGTTACAGATAAGCTCAATTCCAGCAGAGCTTTAAGAAACTTTAAAGCATAATCAGGAATCAGAATTTCTGTCAGTTGTTTTCTAGTACATCGTTTGAGAAATGCTAAGATTTTTCAGAGACCAACTCTTACTTCGGCTTGAGTTCCTCTTTCACACTTGCTTTGATTATACACCTAGTTCAGTAGAAGTCCACATATGCTCAAATCTGTTGCATCAAATTCTGCTTAATAAAAATGCAACAGCAGTCATGAGAAATAGTTTTCCTAACCAAATCTATGCAGTGGACATAATTAAAATCAAAGATTAACTGTCTCAGCATATTTATGATATATAGTTAATTTAGGAAAATTAGTACCAAGGGCATAATAATAGTAACTACCAGTTAATAGGCACCCACTATGTGCTAGCACAGCATATTCTTTTTCCTAAAATAATTCTGGGATCTATGCTAAAAAATCTCAGTGGCAAATAACCAAAAATCCATCCTTATTCACACTGGTGGTCTTAGCTTTACCAAAATTAGCCAATACATTAAAAATTTTGATGTAATAAATACTGAGTTTAGCATTGGTATGAATAATTACCCATTTTATGAATTATTGAGCTAATTCTGCAATAGGCTAAAAACAAAATATCTGTACTTAACCAATGCTAAATATAGCGTTGTTCAAGTATCAGAACCATCTGGAGTGTACATTAAAAATAGAATTCTGATTCAGTAGATTTAGGGCTGGGCTTAGGAATATGCATATTCAACAAGCATCTCAAGTAATTCTTTTTTTTTTTTTTTTTTAAGATGGAGTTTCGCTCTTGTTGCCCAGGTTGGAGTGCAATGGCGCGATCTTGGCTTACTGCAACCTCTGCCTTGCAGTTCAAGCAATTCTACTGCCTCAGCCTCTCAAGTAGCTGGGACTATAGACATTCACCACCACACCCAGCTAATTTTTTGTATTTTTAGAAAATTTTGTATATTTAGAAAAGGTTTCACCATGTTGGCCAGGCTGGTCTTGCACTCCTGACCTCAGGTGATCCGCCCACCTCAGCCTCCCAAAGTGCTGGGATTACAGGCCTGAGCCACTGTGCCCAGCCCTCAAGTAACTCTTAAACCTACTGAAGTTAGACAATCAATAACTGAAATGACATCATCTTTCTTGAATGTTTAAGGAAATAAAGTTCCTTCTTCTGACAAACTTTAAGTGTGTTCTTGATTTCCTTGCCTCCCTCTTCCTCTGGGAGTTTTCTTCCCTAGCTGCTCACTTTCATTATCAACGAAATATTCCTCTTCACGCCTTTTTACCTTATACCTACAACATGCTCAGTTCTCTCTCTTTACAAGAAAATATAAGTTTTCACCAACCTATTTATCAAATTTACATCCCCCTCCCTTTCTACTTCCTTTTGTAAAAAAAGAGCATTCAACCTATTGTCTGTCTCCATGCCCTCACATTATCAGTGCAAGCACCCGCAACTGTGGCTCTCCACCATGTGAGCTCAACCTATCATCACAACTGTATCTCCCCTAACACTCATTTAGATTAAGCCATTTTTCACAAGTTTCTAAAATTATCTCTTCCATTTCTCAGTATAACCCTTTCTTTCCCTTCACAGTTTCTTGAACCAATCTCACTAGTCCTTCAACGTTCACTTCCAAGGCCACCCCGAACACATCTTTTCCTCTTCCCTAAATAAATTCTACTGGATTCTTTCTGTTTTTCACTGGAAACTTCTCATACTCCATTGGTTCCTTTCTCATGACATTTATTTTACATCCCTAGTATTCTGGTTTCTTACATTTTTTTCCTATCTACTAAACAATAACTTCTTTGAGAACTGGACCAGTGTCTCTTATATTTATATCCCTAATAATACTTATTAAACACGTAGTCTATTCTCAACATTGAATTCCATCTTATACTCAAAGAATAATACTTTAACATAGCCATTGTTCATAGTGTATATATAATTAAGAACACATTCCATATTTTTCTTGAGATTATATAGTGTTAAATTTTTCAAAATTATAGGATATGATCTAAAGATATATTTTAAAACTCAAACCTGTAATTTTATCTTCAGTTATGCTATAGCATGTACATTTCCATTCTCTTGTCGAAGTTTCTTTCGTTCCTCAGCTTCTCCTTCATATTTCCTGACGTATTGTCTTCTAAGCCTTCAGAGAACAAGGCATTCTAATGTTATCAAGGTTCTATTCATCTATATGTTTGATTGGGGTTTTTATGAGTAGAGGGGGTTCCACTTCATGAGTAGTGATAGACCAGCAATCACTATACTTGACACTAAACCTAAACCTGGCTATAAAATATTACCAATTTCTAAGGGGGTATTTATGTTGACTGTATATAAATCCATTTCCAGAGGGCTTATATTTAAATGTGTCTTGATATACCAATTCTGAGAAGGTATGAAACACATCCATATGTCTTGTTTTTGCAGAACTTAGTACAGCTGCCATGCACAATTGGAGAAGATGATGGTATAGTTTTGCCATAGGAGAACTCTATACTTGCACAAATTAAATGATTAAATATTTTTGAAACAGGCTTACAAAACAAGTTGAGCTTTATTTATTTCTAGGTATAAAATATATCCTTCTAGTTTAATTTACTGCTGCTTTCCACTTTAAAAACTCAATTATTTAAAAACTTCTTGTTGTTGTATAAAAACCCCCTGTTGTTAGGAGGTCTTTAACCCACCACAAAACATTATCATTAAAATCATAAAAAGTTTTCTTTTATTGTAATAGTTGAGGGAAAAACTCACCTCAATTATGAAAACAAACCCAGCAACTTTTGCTTAGGTTTAGTGTTTGTTTTATGTTTCAAACACAAGGAGAATATGGGAGACACGGGGAAAAAAGCCACTGCTTAATTTTAAGAGTGCTAACATTAACAAAATCTATCCATTCTTTCCCAAAAAATGATTAAATATTTCAAGTCAAATAATTACAAGTTTAATTATTACAAAACATCTTCCTTAACTAGCGATTGTTTTGTTCTATCCTTTAAAATAATAATGGTTTGTCTGAGAGTATGTCTCCTAAACACCTTTGCATATCTGCCTTGAGGTACTAGAAAACCAGGACAAATTCTAGTGTGTGCAAAATAAATTTAAGCTACATATCAAACTTGATATGCATGATGAAACAATTTTTATGTGTCATGTTATGATGATCTCATCTAAATTTAAAATAATTGTCAACAATGGCAGAAGATAACCCCTTGTTTCCTGAATGGTAGTCGTGGTAGATCATGTACACAAGTGGATAGCTGTTAAAGTTATTTACCAAGACCTAAAATTAGAAGAATGAGTCCCTTGCTTTTCCCAAGCTCTAGTAGCACATGAGTCATCACAGAGCCATTCATGTCCTCCCCCAACTTCCCTTATTCAGTGACTTCTGTTTGACAGACAATGCCATTTTGATGCACCCATCAGTGCCTACTACCTGGGACAGTCTAGTCCTAACATTTACTGGCCATGAAGTGAAGTGTGTGATCTGTTATTATGAGCACAGGGAAGATACGCTGGAGTGAAACAGTAATAGAATTGTCCTTGCTTGCTATGCCATGTCTTATGATGGAAATTTATTTTTAATAATTGAGTTCTCATATTCGATAGTAACAAAATAAGCATAAGCTCTAAGTAAATTAGTACCATGTTATAATATTCCTAACTCAGAATTTTGCATTCTAATATGAGCAGAAAACATATCTATTCTTTACTGCTGATGATTTGTAGTTCTTTGTCGTTTTTAGTATCAAAGCAGTATGTCTGATACTACGAACCTCCTATAAACAGGTCTTAATTAGCTCCTGAGGCTTGATGAAGCATAGGATTTCACAGTAGATATAAATATTTTCTGAGATTCTAAAGTAACCATGAGTAGAAAAATAACATGAAATAAAACCTTCAATTACTTAAGTTCAAAAAATTTCTAGATCTTCTATAAAAGGGCTTTACATGTTAAATTTCAATGGTGGCCACAAGTCATAAACATTGACCACTTTCTGTGATATTTGTCAATAAAATATAAAAATATAAACCAAAGATCAAGTGACAATATAATAATTCATCTAAAATACCAGAGTAGAGTATGAGAGAAATACTGAAAAAATTAACCTCCCATTATTTTATTAAGAATTTGTAAGTTATGTCATACTTACTGGACTGTAATAACAGCAACAGCTGTGAGGATCACAGCAGACATAAAGGCAGCTATGGCTGCTAATGCAATTTTTGATAAACTACTGTCAATCATGCTGTGAGTTTTCATGGACTTTTCCCCACACCGTTCACCGAAATATTCTTGCTGACATCTGCAAGCAATTCACATTTAAAAATTATAATCACAAAAACGTGCGGTGTGTTTTAAGCTTATTCTCCAGATCATAAAGAACCATTTAATTCCAACATTAAAAAAGTTATGCCATATACTCGTATTTTAAATAATGAGACACAGAATGCATTCTAACTAAGGATCTATTAGTATAAGAACAAGTTGAGATTAGTTTGGGTGTGATAGTTCAAGAAGACACGCCTTGTCATTCTTTGTGTTTCTTTTATGACCAACTGATGAGTTCAGTGATTTGTTATGCAGTTGATACATTCCAATATTATTTAATGTGCTAGCTGCTTGTGGGAGGTAAGCGGGGAGGAGGTTAAAACAATGTGAAAGATTATGCAAAAATTACCTTTAGGTCCTTTTTTAAAGGAGTTTTTAAAAAATGCATACACACACACATACATATATATATAGAAAGAAAGAGAGAGAGAGAGAGAGAGAGAGAGAGCAAGCAGGAGCATGCACAAAAAATAATGGTTTATACCAGGGGTCAGGAAACTACAGCCCATGGATCAAATCCAGCCATTTGCTGCTTTTTTGTTTTGTTAAACAACCTGCAAGCTAAGAATAGTTTTTACATTTTTGTTTTGTTTTGTTTTGAGACAGGGCCTCGCTCTGTCTCCCAGGCTGGAGTGTAGTGGTGCGATCACGGCTCACTGCAGTCTCAACCTCCTGAGCTCAAGCAATTAATTCTGCTACCTCAGCCTCCCAGACTGCTGGGACTACAGGCTGTCACCATTGTACTCAGCTAAACTTTTTTGTATTTTTTGTAGAGATGGGGTTTCACCCCATGTTGCCCAGGCTGGTCTCAAACTCTTGGGCTCAAGGGATCTGCCCACCTCGGCCCCCCAAAGTGCTGGGAATACAGGTGTGAACCACTGCACCCACCAATTTTACATTTTTAAATGGTTACACTTTAATTCGTTGTTTAAGTACATGTAACAATCTTGGCCCACTAAGCCTATAATATTTACTATCTGGTGCTTTAACAAAAAGTTTACTGACCCTTGGTTTATACATTGGAAAAATAAATGGTTTCCTGCAGTTAGGGGTTTCAGACATGGTGCTAGAAATACAAAATTCTATATGCTTTAGGAAAACTTACTTGCATGTTACTGCTTCCAGGTGCTCTATATATTTGCATTCTCCGTGAATGCAGAAATTTTGAAATTCTGCATTACATGGATTTTTCTTCTTTCTGTTTCTTCTATTTTTTCCATTTTTGCCTCCCTTTTTCTTTCTTTTGGGTTTATCTGAAGTATTTTCACTTTCCGTCTTGTTTTGGGGGGGCTTAACTACCTGTTCAACTAAAAAAGAAAAGATTTATTGACAAGAGTCTCTCAAACTTGAATATAATTTTAGAGACATGAGAGAAAGATGTCATAGCAGTGAGCGCTCACAGGGGTAACAGCCATGCGTGCCTCATTACCTAACACAATATAAAAGTTAGAGAGGACTGCATAACCCTAATTTATAATTTTCAGTTTTTTCTACCTGAAAGTAGTGTCCACTCATGATTATAGTTGGGAATTAGTGAGTACTACTTGCAGGTGGAAAAAACTGAGAATTATAAATTAGAGTTACTCTATGTTACAATGCTCCAACACCCAGATTACAACAGATTATAATCAAATTGATAATTTCCATGGAGCTCATTTTCGTGGTCAATCTATTTGAAAACAGGAGCCCAGGAATATTTGTATTCAGTGCTTCAGAGATTTATCTTATCTGATCCACAGAAACTTTTGTTCAGTCTTGCAGTTATGCAAGGTGTAGTTTACCCACATACTAAAGATAGCAAATGGCTTTGCATGTTAGTGCTGTGCATTTTGTTACACTAATGTCTGAAGAGGTTTATCCAAGTGAATATTTAGCAAACAGATTTCAGTAAAGAGAAAATACCATTAGTCATAATGGTCATGCAGCACCCATTCAATACAAAACATTAGAAACATAGTGAAGGTCAACTAGGGTATCAAAGATAGAATATCTGTGATTAAGGAAATGGAAAATAAATACTGAGTATTTTAGCAGTTTATTATAATAACATTTAACAAAAGTAAAATTAGTAGCAAATGTTTAAGAGGTGGTTATGCGATTTTTATATTGAAACTTTTCTCTGACGATAAAAAAGCACAAGACAGAAAAGTCCTTTAAGAGAAATATTTTGAATGAACGTTGTAACTTCACTTTGTCAGATAGATTACAAACTATAGACAGAGGCAAATAAAAAAGTCACTATGCTGAAGTGTTGCGATAAGCACTAACATCATGGACATTTAACTTAGCCTTTCGAAGGTGTTCAGCCAACATTTTCACTCTATTTCACAATGCATTGCAATTTTGAGCACTAGTCATCATTTGTACTACTAATCATTTACTTGGCCTTCTGAAGTGTTAACAACTTGAAACATGTTTAAGAGAACAGTTTCTAGACACCTTGATGGGTCTAATCTCATGCCTTCAAAAATAAGCACAAATGAACCCCTTACCCACCTCACAGAAAAGCACACTTTGAGAAGGAAGGGAATTAAGTGGAGTGTTCGCTAAAGGTTTTCTCACTTCCCACTCACCCAAGTCACTGTCCCTCTGGTACCACTTGATGTCCCTTCACCAGTTCTGAGAACCAGACAAGAGGGGGAGAAGCCAGGGAAACTCAAGTCAGGACAGAAAAGGCCTTCAACAGCTCTGAAACCATCTTGCCCTGCCTCTGTAGTGGATGCTCTTAGGATATTTAGATCTTATTTACTGTTAACTTCTTCTTCCTTCAGACTCCAAAGTATGCAATATTTCTCTCTTACTTTGGTACTTTCACTCCAAGCAAAGGGCCTTTTTAAAATATGAGATAACAGGAAAGTGAAAGAAACCATGGGTTATATAACTAACAAATGGGATTTGGGGTTAAAGAGTGATTTTAGCAATACAAAATCTAAGTATATTCACCCTTCTTTAATATTTCCAGATGGCATTATTATTATTATTCCATCAGCTTCTCATCACCTAGTACTTAAACGCTAAAGTCTAATGCCTCCTGTCCCATTACTTCCTTGTCCCCTTATTTGTGTTAAAATGCAGTTATCTGGGGAAGGGTGGTGTTGGGGAAGGGGATACAAAAGCTAAGATACAAAGTAGATAGGAATGGTTAATGTCTAAATTTGTCTCTCAGAATGGGGGTCATGTAGCATAGTGGGAAAGAGCTTAGTGTCTCTTCTGCATAGAATCAAACAGACTGGAGCTCTAATTCTAGCTCATCTGCTTGTCACCTGTAGAACCTAGAGCAAAACCTTTTTCGGCTTCAGTTATCACATCTGTAAAATGAGGATAACAATTCCTACTTAAAGTCATTGTGAAGATTAGGTTTAAAAATGAGACATACACCATTTATGATCACTCTGGCCATATAGGATGTGCCCACATTATGGTTCTTTTTGTCACAGTTTACCTAGGGGCTATCCAACAGATATACAATAAAGCCACTAGAAAATCTGGGGAGCAGCTTTACTTCTGAAGCAGCTTTGCTCATATAAACCCACATCTCACAGGCCATATTTTTGCTTTATCCCCTACTCACCTCTGACTGAATCATCGACAATATAGCCAGGTATTTGTGGTTCGTTATCATACTCTTCTGAGTAGTCATAGTCGGCTCCCGAGGACGGTTCACTACTAGAAGGCATTTCACTCACAGGGGAAATCTCACTCCCTGAAGACATCTCACTTCTTGAGGTAACCTCAAATCCATCAGCACTGTGGTCCCCAGAAAATGGTTCACGCTTCCCAGAGTAGGTGTCATTGAGGTCCAATCCAGCAGCATAATGGCCTGCAGGGGAGGGAATAAAGGAAGAAAAGAAAAGGTAAAGTAGGGTGCCTTTCGAGTCAGCTGTGTTAGGTAGAAAAGTTTATCTTTTGACATCAAAGCAGTTATTGCACATGTGCTATTGTTTGTGATTGAGTCATTTCTATGAAAGAAACTTTACATTTTTGCCAGCAAGCAAATTCAGCTGTCCCAATTACAGAAGTGCTTTTCTGAAGTTTTTCTTTTCCACAGATAATCCACATTAATTTCCACATCAAAAAAATCCCGCCAAATTGGCAAATTAATCTAATACAATTACTTGATGGGTAATGTCTAAAAATTCCCATCACTTCACATTCCAAATGCATTTCTTTTTTTGCTAGAATGCCATCCTGGCCTATTTCGGTAGGTTTTAGATACAAATATCAGATTTTCTTCAGATGTGTTCATATTTTTAAAAGATATTTTTAAAAGATGTGTTCATATTTTTAAAAGATGTGTTCATATTTTTAAAAGATATTTTTAAAAGATAATCTTTTAAAATAATATAAACAGTGGTTAATTATATCGATTATTATTGTCATTTTTCATTATCATTATTATTATTACTACATAGACAATAAACTGAGTACTAAGTAAGATTTGGGGCCCAGAGTTAAGCCACTGCTTTATCTTGCTTTTTCTTAGGTCTCAATAAAACAGCATCAGAGTGGTGCTTTTAACCTCTCGCCGGGATACTCTAAGTCCCTCTAGGAAGGTAAAGAAGAAATCACTAGACAGAGATGGAGAATTAGGCAGGAGGCAGCAAACACTGCTGGGTCCAATATCTGCGGAAATCACTTCACCTCTCTAGATCTTGGTCTTTTTAATCTTTTAATCTGTGAAACGAAGGGTTAGGTTCAAATGATCTCTCCCGTCTTCTCAGCTGAACTAAAGAAAAAGTACAGCGATTCTCTGGGACACCTTGTCCTGGACGTTTGAGACATCTGCCCTTCTCTTTTCCTCCTAGGGAGGGAGCTACAGTGATCACCTCCTGCGGCGCAGGGTCGGGGGAACTAAAGGGCGATTTTTAGAGAAGCAAGAGCCAAACTCAAGAGGCAAAACCTGCCATGGGAGGAGAGCCCAGCAGTTCAGCGCCGGTGAATCCTCACCTGAGCCGAGTATCAAGAGCGACAGCACCACCGGCGCCGGCGGTAGCAGCGGGGCTCTCATTGGTCCTTCGCAGCGGCGGCGTCTCGGTCTCTGGGGCAACTCGGTCTCTGGGACACGAGCTGCCGCCAAAACGAGCGGGTGTTGGAAGAGCGAGTGGAGACCGGGAGTGTGCGCCGCTCTCGAAGGCTTGGGGAGCTCGGGGCGGCGGGCGCGGCGCCTCGGGCTGTCCCGGGACCTCTGGGGCGCTGGCACCCAGGTGTGCGAACGTCTGTAGGGCGGCGCGCACCTGCCGCTTTATAGGCTCAGCCGGGAGGGGGCCGCAGCCCATGACGTCAAGGCCCGGCCGTGGGTGGAGGCAGGCGGCGCCCCAGAAGGTGCTACCCGAAAACCACGCGCGGAGGACACACGCCCCGCCTCCCTCGTGCGTAAGGATTCGCTGAGAGGAAGTGGAACTTAAACCTCTAGCTGCAAGCCGTTTTTGAGGGCGAGCAGGACTGGAGTTCCGGAGCTAGTACCTGACAGAAGTCCAGATGTTTCAAACTCTGACAACCTCTTTGTATACTTAACATCTACAACAGACAGGGATTAAATAGAAGAGTTCCGTATTTAGATGTAAAAGTACTTTAAGACCAAGAGTGACTTTGCCTGATGTTTCCAACAAGGATAAAGGACGAGAGAACTCAATGAGGAATTGCTTCATGTAGGATGGGCTTCTATCTCAATCAAGAGCCCCTTCCCACCCATTTCTGTGAAGTGGCCAGAATTTCAAATCCCCTCACTCCCTATTTCTTTATGTGGCCCAGGGGCCTCATCAACATTAATATTTATTGATGATTTATTATTGCCAAATTATGCACTTAAAATTTTACCTACACCATCTCACAGCCGATAATGTTCAAAGCCAGGTGGATATGAATTCTTCATCTGACTCTGAAATCTGCTGTTTTCCTCTCTGATGAATTTAGGTTTAAACTGATCCTTGAAAAGAGGGTTTCTGGGAAGAACAATATTTAGCCTAAAGGATAATTTCTACTGGTGGCATACTGGCATTTAGGTGAAGAGTAGTGCTCTAGACTGTGCCTCTCAAATCCCAAGATAAAAAGGTCAGCGTTGAGGGCCCACTTACAACCTAGTAGGATATTTAATCATGACAAGTAGATAAAATGAAGCGGAGACAGGAAGCTACTTAATTTGACTAACTTGGATGTACTGTCAACTAAAGAACTGGATTTTTCTTGACTTGAGGAAGAGAAAAAGCATTGTTCATTTTCCTTCACCTGGAGATATGATTCTTTCCTGATTGTTTCAGTAACACAGCCCTTTTAAGAATGTAGGTCAGGCCAGGCGCAGTGGCTCATGCCTGTAATCCCAGCACTTTGGGAAGCCGAGGCGGGTGGATCACCTGAGGTCAGGAGTTCGAGAGCAGCCTGGCCAAGATGGCAAAACCCCATCTTTACTAAAAATACAAAGGAAATTAGCTGGGCGTGATGGCGCGCGCCTGTAGTCCCAGCTACTCGGGTGGGCTGAGGCAGGAGACTCCCTTGAACCCGGGAGGCAGACGTTGCAGTGAGCCAAGGTCATGCCACTGTACTCCATCATGGGTGATAGAGCAAGACTCCGACTCAAAATAATAATAATAATAATAATAATAATAATAATAATAATAATAACGTGAGTCACAGTGCATCTGTCCTAATTCTGGAAATTTTTTTTTAAAAATCACTTATTTTTAATGGTATATCACAGTGCGTAGTCCAAATAATATCATGCATTTAGTAGAATGAAATAATCATGAATCATGCCTTCTATTCCACATTTGTTGAGAGTGTATTTTGTGTGAGCCACCTGCTTTATATTTTATGAAGGGGAGCAGTATAGGTTCACCAGGAGCTCAGTGGTGTGGGCCAGATACATAGATAAGTAATTCTAATAGATCACATGATGAGAAGGGTTCAGAGTGCCATGGAAAAAAAGGACATGGTTTAATTTTGCCTCTGTTTAATGGAAAGCTCTGTGGAAAGATGAAGAGGCCCCTCAAAGGCCTTCCCAGCAAATCTTTTACATGGAATAAAGACCTGATGTGAGGGTATGACCAAGTATGGGAAATAAGGCTAGAAAAGTGTCATGCCCATTCCAAAGTGAAGTAGGGGCCTGCACTGTTATCTGTTCTGGTGGATGAGGCAATTGTGATTCAGAGAGATTGAGAGACTTGCCCAAAGATTTCAAAAGATTCTTTTGGAGACTTTGTTTGGAGCTCACGCAGTTGGTCTACACTGTTGCACCTTTATGCTCCCATAGGCTTCATTTCTGTTCTAGGCCTGTTCTTCTCTTTTCTTCTTTTTTTTTTTGATTGACAAGTAACTTCATATTTGTAGTATATGACATGATGTTTTGATATATGTATACAATGAGGTTAAATCAAGCTATTTAACATATGCAATACTTTCCATTTTCTTACTCTTCTTATTGAGATGAAAACACATTGTGCAGATCAGTCATCAGAAATGTTTCACTTTTGGGAAAGTGGACTGTTTATATTGGAAATTGCTTAGTCTTTTTCCAGTTGGAAATTTATAGGGTGAACATTTACATGATCTAGGCACATAACCTAGATCATGGGGACAGCATAGCTTAGTGCTTTGGATGAGCTTTAGATTCAAACCAATGTGGGTTTTCATATACAAATTCCAGCACATACTAAGTTACTTAATATTTGAAAGATTCAGATTCCTCATCTGAAAATAAAAAATAAAGATAACTACATGCTTTTAAGCAGATCAAATGGATAAGATACATGAACAATACCAGATCCTAGCATAGAGTGAGTGCTCAATAAATGGCAACTATCATGAATACCCTTGATATTATGATAGTTACACTATGTAAATCATATTTAAGAACTGAAGGACTCTTATAAATGGAGCTACAGAGCAAGTGAAGTAATCTTCAATATTTTCAATCCATGAACTTAGTATTTACTTCACATTAAGACTAACCATTTTGGGTATTTTATGGTGCATCATTGGGCAGCATGGAGCGTCGTCACAACCACATCACATTGCAGCACCTATTGATGTGTCATGGCATTCTGGAATATATGCATGAGTTGGAAACCAACCCTGTGTAAATGTAGGATTCTTTACATTCAACATTCTGCATGCTAGGCAGAGACAAAGGGGAACAATTTCAAAAAGTTTGAGTAGCAGCCCTTTTTTATCATGATAAATTGATGGTCCCTTAATCTATGTATAGGTTAAGGGCAGCCCTAAGAGCAAATGCTCCTAACCACTCAGTTTGATGCCTACTCCATGAGTCCTGATATTTCATATGAATAGTGAAATGATTTCACTTTGGCTCTGCTGAAAGATGTACTATAAAACCAAAAGTACAATCATGTTCATATAATTGATATTGAATTTTTATAGATAGTCCTATAGTGAGTAAGTATTGCATCACAGTTACTTTTATGAGTCAACACGCAAACCTCCAAACCAGAATTAAGAAATCCTCCAATGTATAAGCAACATTCCCTATATTATTAATAAATGCACTAGCTCCATTTAGATATATATATAATGTTCATTTTATTTTATAATTTATCCATACTGAAGAATACATCCATCAGGCTGGGCACGGTGGCTCACGCCTGTAATCCCAGCACTTTGGGAGGCCAAGGCAGGTGGATCATCTCAGGTCAGGAGTTTGAGACCAGCCTGGCCAACATGATGAAACCCTGTCTCTACTAAAATGACAAAACTTAGCCGGGTGCAGTGGCAGGCACCTGTAGTCCCAGCTACTCAGGAGTGGGGACTGAGGCAGGGGAATCACTTGAATGCGGGAGACGGAGATCGCAGTGAGCCAAGATCATGCCACCGCACTCCAGACTGGGTGACAGAGAGTGAGACTCTGTATCAAAATACATATATATATATATATATATATATATATATATATATATATATAATTTTTAGTTCCTTCAAAAAGAAGCCTTAACTGAGCATTTTGAGTACCTTGATATACCAATAAAGTCAAATTACAGTTGACTTTTTAACACTGTGGTGTGAAAGGGTGCCTACCTGACATGAGAAAAATCCATGTATAACTTTTGACTCCCCCAGAACTTAACCTCTAATTCCCTACTGGTGCCCAGAACACTTATTGATAATATAAAGTTGTTTAACATTATTTTGTGTGTTATATGTATTGTATACTCTCTTCTTACAATAGGTTAGAGATAAAAATTCTTAAGAAAATCATAAGAGAAATATATTTACTATTTATTAAGCAAAAGTGGTAATTATAAAGGTCTTTATCCTCATTATCTTCATGTTGAATAGGCTGAGGAGGAGAAGGAAGAGGAAGGGCTGGTCTTGCTGTCTCAGGAGTGGCAGAAGCAGAAGAGGTGGAAGGGGAGGCAGGAAATATTTTTAGGCCATACAGTTCATCTGCAGATTTTTTCAAATTGTTGCAAATCTCAGAAAACTTTTCCAATACATTTACTGAAAAAAGTCTCTGTTTAAGTGGACCTTCGTATTTCAAACCCATAATGTTCAAGGCTCAACTATACTTTCACGGCCTCAACAGTGTGGCTTTTGCAGAGCAAGAACTGGCAGATGGGGCTGAGGGCAGTGGATGATTATATACAATAGAAACTAAGTAAATGTAATATGCTATTGAGGCAGGAGAATAGGTTCTGGAGGCAGGGAACCTAAGGCCAACTCAGGCTGACTGGATATCAGAGGCTACTCCCTTTGAAACCCTCCTTTTGCTGTGCAGCAGTTGCTGCCTGGCAGCTGGAAAATGAAAGTACCTCTGATTGGTCCGCTCCCACAACCAATCAGACTGGTCACAGGCTTATGCTTCAACCAATCAGATTGATCGCAGGTCACTAGCGTGAACCAATAGGAAACCTTTAGAGGGTATATAAACTCCAGAAAATTCTGTAACCAGTGCTCCTGAGCTTCTTGTTTGAGGTCGCTTCTTCCTTGTGAAGTGTACTTTCATTTAAAATAAATCTGTGCTTTGGCTTGCCTTGCTTGTGTGCTTTGTTCAGTTCTTTGTTCTAAAGGCCAAGAACCTGGACAACTACCCTCAACCAGTAACATGTTTTGGCAAGCCAGCCAGGAGGTAAGCCCAAAGTTTAGGTTTTATATTTCTTTTTCTCTCTCTCTTTTCCTTTCCAACTCAGGACCTTCGGTGGACAGCGTCTAAGCATGGAGGCAACTGCAGGTTTCTGGCCGGGGCCACTCTGTGGTGAAACTGAAAGGTTTCGCCGGGGCCACAGCCTGGTTTTGGTGAGGGACCTGAGTCCTTTTCTTTCTCGGTCTTTCAGTGGCTGTTTCCTAGTAGCCCCTGGGTAATTGAGGGTAACTGGCTGGGACCACTCTCCAGTGTTACTTGAAAGCGGAGGAGTGAATGAGGATAGCTGGCCTTGCCCAGAAGGGGAAAGAACTATTTTCTATCTTATAGTCTCTGATCCCTATGTGTGACAGAATTGGCAGCAGCGGCTTGTCCAGGGCGAATTCACACACATTTCAGGTGACTTAAACCTTCTTCCATTATACTAAATAAATTCTCCTCTTCCCCTACTTGACTTGTTAAGGGCAAGCCGGGGGTTTGGCCATGTTGTAGATGGTCTGTGTGAGTCATGGGGGACAAGGTGTGATTCGTGGAAGGTAATCTATTATAATTTAATCTTGCCTAAATTTAGAGAGTTAAAGAATTGTTTTAAGTGGGATAGGAAAACCCAAAGGGTTGTAACTGTAGAAGTCGAAGCCTTCTAGAAGCTGAGGTCTTCATCCGGGGACAAGAAGGAAAGTTCATAGTGGGTCATCAGTGGTGAAAGTGGTGCCAGCACTCATCTAAGGTCAGAGGCATCTGACAGACTAAGTCAGGGGCTCTAAAGTGGGGAAACCCCCAGGGACCCCGGTCAGGACCCAAAATTCTTCCAGGAGGACACCCCGGATAAAATTTGGGTCTTCTAATACTTTGCTAAGTCCAGACCACTATGGGCAATTCTCCATCTATCACACCTGATTCTTCTATGGGCAACTCTCCATCTGTTCCACTTGATTCCCCGCTTGGCTGCATCCTCCACCATTGGACACTATCCTGCAATTAGGCCTATTTTGTACAAGTCAGGGCAAATGGTCAGAAATCCCATATGTACAGGTCTTCATGGCCCTATACCAAAACCTAATAGATATTATAGATGACCCCCTTTTACAAGAGCCACCTGTCTCAGGGTGAACAGCAACCACCCCCATATAGCCCCTTGCCAAGTGTTCCTGAGGCTAAAACCCAGCACTGGGGACCTTACCAAGTCCCCCTCACACTCAGAGGTGAACACCATATTTGACTCTCCCTCTATCCCTTCTACTCCTTAAGGAAGTAGCAAGAGCTGAGGGGCAATTCCTAGTGCAGGCTCCTTCTCCATAACTAATACACAACAATGTAAGGAAAGGCCAGGAAACTACCCTGAGAATCCTAGGAAATTTGCAGATGGTTTCATTCTAGCAAATTGTTGCACCCCCTTTGAAGAGGAATGAATCTTTGAGGCCACCCATTGGGAAGTGGGCAATTTATTCACCCGAAACCCTCAGGGAAATCACCTGGGCCCAGACACTCTCCCCACTACTGATCCTAATTGGGACTATAACACATCCATGGGAATGAACAACTGGGCTAAATTGCTTGAGGCCCTTCCTTGAAGGAATGAGAAAGGGAATAACTAAGGCAGTAAATTATGATAAAGTAAGGGAGATTACACAGGGCAAGGAGGAAAATCCAGCCATGTTTTATGGCAAGCTGGAGGAAGCTTTTTAAAAATATGCTAATCTGGACCCTTCCTTTCCCAAAGGTAAAATATTAATGGCACAACATTTTATTAGCCAATCCACACCAGATACTAGATGCAAGCTCCAAAAGCTACAGATGGAGCCATAAACTAATCAAAATCAACTTCATGATACCACCTATATGGTGTATAACTACCGTGATCTGGAAGAAGGAAAAAGGGAACAGAGTAAAGAAAAACAGCAAGCCAAAATTATGGCAGCCATCATTGGTGATGCCCTGAATGCCCAAAAAGCATCCAAGGGAAACCCAAAGGGCCACAAAGATAATGCCAACAGGGGCTCTTGTTTCAAGTGCAAGGAACCTGGGCATTGGACAAAGGACTATACCAAGCCTCTGCCAAAACCCGGCCAAAAATGTGAGGGTGCCAGTTATGATCCTTGGCACTGGAGGTGTTGGCTGCCTCCACTCCCACCAAGGAGCTCAGTCAGGCAAAACTCCAGCAGTGCTAAAAGAGGAATCAGATGAAGACTGAAGAGGCCCAGGGTCTTTCTTATCAACCCTGTACAGGAACACAGTAGTTACTACTGAGGAGCCCTGAGTAACTCTGGACATCATGAGCACCCAAATTCAGTTTCTTTTTGATACAGGGCCAAATTACACTGTCCTTACTGCTCATGCAGGAAAACTTTCCCCAGGGTCGACGAGTGTTAGGGAAATAGAAGGAAAGTCACAAACAAGATTCTTTACTCCTTTGTCAATTTGAGAAATCTTCCAACAGAAATTTCTAGAAGTACCAAGCTGCCCAGTCCCCCTGTTGGGAAGAGATATTATGGTTAAAATAAGGGCACTACTACAATTGAAGTGTCACCCAGTGAAACTGCTAGAAGTCAAAAATACAGACAACGCCCCAGACCACACTAATAAACAGGTTAACCCACTGGCATGGCATACTGGGAAACCGGGGAAGGCTAAAACAGCAGTGCCAGTCAAAATACAGCTTAAAGACCCCAACTATTTTTCCAATCAAAAACAATACCCAATTAAGTTGGAAGCAAGAAGAGGCCTAGCACCCATAGTTGAGGTATTATTTACCCCTGGGCTCTTGAAACTCTGTGGTTCTTCCTGCAACACCTCCATCTTACCCATTCTAAAGTCAGGGTAATGCCAGTTAGTACAGGACCTCAGAATAATTAATGAGGCTGTTATCCCTGTCTACCCATTGGTGGCAGATCCATACACCCTCCTGTCTCAAGTGCCATGGGATACAAAATGGCTCTCAGTCCTAGACTTATAAGCTACTTTATTCTCTATTCCTCTGGCCCCAGCGTCCCAATACCTTTTTTCCCTTTGAATAGAAAAATCCTAATACCAGAGAAAAACAACAATACACTTGGATAGTGCTCCCTCAGGGATTTTGCGATAGCCTCCATTTCTTTGCCCAAGCCTTAGAGAGGGATCTGAGGGATCTGCAACTGGAGAATGGGAGTGTACTCCAGTATGTGGATGACCTCTTGTATGTAGCCCAACTCAGGAAGCTTCTACCAAAATACTATAAAAACCTTGAATTTCCTGGCTGACAGGGGATACAAAGTGTCCAAAAAGAAGGCTCAGATTACCCTCCAATGGGTCCAATATTTATGGTATGTCTTAAAACCCAGAACCGGCAAATATCCATGAAACAAGTGCAAGCTATATGTGGTTTGCCTTCCCTACCCCCGCTACCCTCCCTGCCCTGCCCCCCACCTCCAAGCAGCAGCTTTGTTCTTTTTTGGGAATGGCCAGGTTTTGCAGGATATGGGTACCAAATTTTGGGCTCATGGCAAAGCCCCTATATGAAGCAACAAGGTGGCCTGAAAATGAGCTAATGGAATGGATCCCAGACATGAGGGAAGCCTTCACCAAGCCAAAACAGGCCTTACCCTGGCTCCTGCTCTTGGCATCCCAGGCCTAACTTAAGCAGAGAAGAAGGGAATAGCTGTGGGAGTGCTAGCCCAGAAGTTAGGATCAGAACTCAGACCAACCACCTACTTTTCCAAAAAGTTTGATGGAGTGGTCTTGGGATGGCCAAGTTGCCTGCTGGCAATACCAGCCCCTGCTATGTTAGTGGAGGAAGCCACGAAAGTTGCTCTGGGCCAACCAATGGAAATTAGGTAAAGTCAGTCTTAGAGATAAAAGGACACATCTGGATGATGGGGGAAAGGTTAACCAACTACCAGGCCATGCTCCCAGACAATCCAGATGTAACCCTTACAACCTGTAACACTTTGAATCCAGCTTCATTGCTACCCTTAGGCCCAATAACCAATCAGTCCTATGAGCAGGTCGTTGTAAACACATATGTCAGCCGGCCTGATTTAAAAAGATCAGCCTCTCCCACATTCTGAGGATGATTGTTTCACAGACAGCAGTAGTTTTGTGTCAAATTGGGAGCACTGAGCTGGATATGCAATAGTAAATCACAACACCATTTATGCAATAGTAAATCACAACACCATTATTGAAACCCAGCCACTGATCCCTGGCACATCAGCAAAAAAGGCTGAAATCATTGCTCTTTCCCGAGCATAAATGTTGGGACAAAAGCTTGACATCTATAGAGATTCTACATATGCATTCCTTGTGGTTCATGCTCATGCTACAATCTGGAAAGGAGACTACTGACTAGCCAACACTCCCCTATAAAACATGGGCCTGAAATTTTCAGCTATTGGAAGCAATACACCTGCCAAAGGCCGTAGCTATAATCCATTGTAGGGAGCATCAAAGGGGCTTAACCCCTATAGCACAAGGGAACAGAAAGGCTGATAGAGAAGCCAAAGCTGCAGCCCTCAGTGTGCAATCCCAACAGACCCTAGTACAGATTCCTTTCTATGACTGATTCCTCAGTGGAACCTAAATATACACTATAGGAAGAACAGTTAATAAAGGGGAAAGGAGGAAAAAACAAGGATCCTGGTGGTATATGGGAAGGAAAATATATCTCCCTCAAACAACCCCAATGGAGGATTATAAAACCTCTGCCTGACTCTTTCTATATCATGAGAGATGCCACCCTGACCGTGCTCTTCATTGGGCCTAACTTAGCTTTGGTGGTTAAGCAGGTCTTTCAAGCCTGCTCACTGTATGCACTTAACAAACCAGGAAACAAAATGCCTCCTCTAATAGAACCAGTCCAGAGGAGAGCAACTTACTCAGGGAAAGACTGGCAATTAGACTTCACCCATATGCCAGCTTGCAGAGGATTCAAGTTTTTGTTAGTGTTAATAGATATATATATACCTTTACTGGCTTGGTCAAAGCTTACCCTACTAGAACAGAGAAGGCTAATGAAGTTATAAAGTTTCTCTTAAAAGAAATAATCCCCTGGTTTGGGTTACCTCAGAGTCTCCAAAGTGACAAAGGTCTATCCTTTATCTCCCAAATAACTCAAGGGGTTGCTAAAAGCTCTTGGAATCAAATACTGTTTACATTCAGCATGGTGGCCTCAATCCTCTGGGAAAGTAGAAAGTGCTAACCAAACTCTAAAATGAGCGTTGGTTAAGCTATATAAGGAAACATCAGAAACTTGGATCAGCTTACTGCCCATAGCTCTTTTAAGGATTCGTAATACCACTAGAGAAAAAATTAATATAAGCCCATATAAAATGTTATACAGAAACCATTCTTAAGTAATGATCTAATTACTGAAATTAATTAATTAACCTGTCCAGAAACAGCCAGTTTAGTCAAATACCTAGTTAACCTAGGACAATTTCAGCAGGCTTTACAAAAGTTTGCAACTCAAAGGCTTCCCATACCAGCAACTAACCAACAATCCAAAATCAGGCCAGGAGATAAAGTACTTGCTAAAACATGGAAGGAGGGATCATCTGTTCAATAACTGCAACCCAAATGGAAGGGACTGTTTTCAGTGGTACTGGCCACACCTCCTGTGGTCAAGGTACTAGGATTAGATAGTTGGATACATCTATCAAGAATTAAGTCTGTGATACCTGAAGCCCTGGTATCACTTGGGTTCCCTGGACCTGGAACCTCAAGTTCCCATCAGCCACTACACCTGTGATCCTGTGGACGACCTGAAGTACCTGTTTAGAAGACAGACAAAATATAATATCTACAAACTTTCCTTGGTGTTTTTGTTATATAGTTACTGTAGGATGGATAATGGTCACCATGTTTGTATCTATCTCTTTATATCTATCTATCTATCTATCTATCTATCTATCTATCTATCTATCTGTCATCTATCTATCTACATACATAGATATATTTTGCAGTTTAATTGCCTTTTTTCAAATGGTTGGAATCATTTCTGTTGTAGTAATTAAGCAGAATGTTTTAATTCATTTCTGACAGCATAGGTATTCAACCTTTGAAGTTCCCATTAAATCTTTTAACCAAATTCATTTCCTCTTGCCTAAAGACCATCAAGCTTCAGATGACCAGGCAACAAAGCTTCCAGCAAGTACCAAATGAAGATAATACCCCTCGCCATCAAGAAACTATCCTGTTTCTACTAGACAGAGCATGGAAAGAGTCCCATGATCCCCACTAGGTAGGGACTCCACCCCAACTCAGCATGAAGTAGTTACACAAGAAAGACCATCAGTCCCTCCTCCTCTCATAAAGATTTATGGGGATCACATCTCTCAGTGGGGGAAATAAGGCAGGAGAATAGGGTCTGGAGGCAGGGAACCAAAGGCTGACTCGTGCTGACTGGATATCAGAGGCTACCCCCCTTTAAACAAACCCCTCCTTTTGCTATGTGGCAGTTGCTGCCTGGCCGTTAGAAAACGAAAGTACCTCTGATTGGTCCCTTTCCACAACCAATTAGACTGGACACAGGCCTACTCTTCAACCGATCAGACTGGTCACAGGCCACTAGAGTGAACCAATGGGAAACCTCTAGAGGGTATATAAGCCCCAGAAAATTGTGTAACCAGCACCCCTGAGCGTATTGGTCAAGCCCACTCACACCCTGTGGAGTGTACTCCTATTTAAAATAAATCTCTGCTTTGGCTTCCGTGCTTGTGCATGTCCAATTCTTTGTTCAAAATGCAAAGAACCTGGACAACTACCCTCAAATGGTAACACTGTTAACCACATTTATAGAAAACTGAATCTTCTAGGTAGTTCATTTATTCCTCAGATATGTTTTGAGAACTAGGCACTATTCTAGGCACTGGGGATAAAACTTTGAATAAGTTGTAATGCACCTGTTTAAGGACCTATATCCTATGAAGGGGGAAGAGATGAGCAATACACAAAATAATTTTAGATGGAAAGGAAATAAAATACGTGACATAGAGAACTTGGAATGTTGGAGGGAGATGGTGCAAAGAAGTATGAGACAGCCCCTACACTTAAGTAATTCACAGTTTCTCTCAGAATTTTAGGACATTGTAGAAGCATTCATTGCACTAGTCATTTCTCAAACATCCCTCTACTGCTAGATAAAAGCTTTTTTTTTAAGCTTTTTAACGAGTCAGCTGATCAGACTCACCTGATAACTGTTTTAAAATGTACATTCCATTCCCCTTTCTTGGTTCAGTAGGTTTATGGGGTGGGGTCCAAGCCTGTGATTTTTTTTTTAAATAACTCTCAAGAAAATTCTGATGTGCACCCTTAAGAATTGCTCCACTTAGGGATACATGGGTGAAAAAAAATCCAAGATTCCTGCATTCGGTGAGATTATAAACTGGTGGGGCTGTATATTCACGTATGTGGAAGTTTTGTTGGAAACGTGAAGAATAGATAAGTTAATTTCAACAGGAAGCTTACATGGGCTGAGGTGAATGTGATCTAAATGTGATGAAGATTTTTTTTATATCTAAAAAACTCATGTTAGAAAATTATTCAATTACTATTCCTTTAAATAGGAAACTGGTATACTAAAAATATGTTTGAATATATGAAAAAGAAAAAAATACTTTGCACATAATTCTTAAAGAACCAATTAATCACATATATGCAATATCTGCATTAAATTATTATGAATCTTCACTAATTCAATTGTGAATCTAAGATCAGAAAACAAAGTTTGCAACTATCATACACTGATTAAGGAAGCTTTCAAATTTTAGTATGCTATTAAGCCTTTATGAATTTATAAGTTCAGGATAAGATTTGGCATTTTATTATTTCAGAAAAATCATGTATTAAAGTCAGGTGATCAAAATAGTCAGAGTCCAATAGAGTTTTATGAACTCCAATTATAGTCACTAAATATTTATGTCTCTTGTGTTATTTCTATTATTATTTTATTTTTCAGACAGAGTCTTGCTCTGTTGCCCAGGCTGGAATGCAGTGGCACAATCTTGGCTCACTGCAACCTCCACTGCCTGGCCTTAGCCTCTGCAGTAGCTGGGGTTGCAGGCATGCACCACCATGCCTGGCTAATTTTTGTGTTTTTAGTAGAGATGGGGTTTCACCATGTCGGCCAGGCTGGTCTCAAACTCCTGGCCTCAAGTCATCCACCCTCCTCGGCCTCCCAAAGTGCTGGGATTACAGGTGTGAGCCACCATGCCCAGACACTTTTTGTTATTTCTAAAAAAAAACATTTTGAATGTGCTTAAAATGCATTTCTACACTTTCCTTGTTTTCTTACATTTTATTTTACATTTTATCACTCCAGTTATTGTACATTGAAAGATTGTGTGATAGCCTTTATTTTTATTTTTATTTTTTTTGAGATGGAGTCTTGCTTTGTCTCCTAGGCTGGAGTGCAGTGGTGCCATCTCGGCTCACTGCAACATCCTCCTCCCAGGTTCAGGTGATTCTCCTGCCTCAGCCTCCTGAGTATCCTCTGGGATCACAAGCGCACGCCACCATGCCTGGCTAATTTTTGTATTTTCAGTAGAGACAGGGTTTCACCATGTTGTCCAGGCTGGTCTCGAGCTCCTGAGCTCATGATCCACCTGCCTCGGCCTCCCAAAATGCTGGGATTACATGCGTGAGCCACCGCACCCGGCCGTTACTTTTCAGAGTTGCCAAACTTCTCTGTTGGCCTTCTTGTTATTCAAAACTTGAAAACAGATACGTACCTCTAAGAACTATAGGGTAGTATTATTAATGGTCAGTATTTCATGCATTTCTGTTATGAGTTTAAATAATATCTTTAAAGGTTTATGCATTTTTAGCAAAACTAATTATATACAGGTCTTGCTGTATTTTCTCATGAACACAACAGGTTTTTGTCTCAGTTAATGAGAATAGCAGTTTTGTAATATCATAAGTGAAGCAATTACTAACTTATCACTAACTTGTGGTATAGACCACTCCTGTACAGTCTGTTCTAAGCAGGGACAGATTAAACCACAAAGGAACTGGCCTTTGTGTTTCACACGTCAAAAAGCTTCCTGAACATGTGTGCTAAAATTACATGGCCAGAATAGGAAAAAGTATTTGTTAGTTAATGTGAAAAAGTACAGACACACGTAGAATTTGTAGAAAAGAGGAATTGTAAATCCAGTTATAAATTTTATGAATGTCAAATGTGTCAAGTATTTTTCCTGAAATCGATAGTTTTGTTCTTATTTGGAGTTTCAGATGATTTTGCCATTTATAGTAGGTATAATTTCACTCTTAGATTTCTTTCCTTTCATAGGAACTTCAAACATCGCTCATTTGGGTCACTTCTCAATGTAACAAGCATTTTAACAATATTTTTATTAACAATTTTCTAGAAATTTTGAGATCCTCAATCACTACCTTGTGCCAATTAAGGAAATATTTGGCTTTTCAACAGTTCAGCTGGTCTGAGCTAATTCTGATATATGGTGGGGTGGGGGAGTGCTACTTAAATGATAATAAATTCTGAAGGATTTTTAAAAAGAAATTTAAATTTAAATTTTCCATCTCAAAATGAGATGTAATGTAATTTATATGCTTATTTAAATAGAAAAAATAGAAACTTTGAAGACATGCTTTGCCTAAAATACATCTTGGAAAAAAATTATCCAGATTGCACTTTGAAAAGTTATTTTAACTGTGGATAAGAATATAGTAACTTGTAAAAACTCTTTATTAAATTTTATGTCACTAAATCTACCCAATTTGGAGATATTTCAACATATGCCTGTGCTACATTATGATACGTACTTTTTTCCTTATAATAATATTGCAATCTGTGCAAAATTACTAGTTTTAATGGAATTTTTAAGACATACTAAGTGCATCTTTATTTATCTGCACTCATAGATTTTGAAGGGTAATATACATGTATACACATGAGGAAACAAAAAACAACAGTATGAGAGCAAATCTGTGTTTTTTAAAAATTTATTATTTTTAAGAGTAAAACACAAGTTATAGATATATATATGTTTATTTATTAACATTAAAGAAATCTCTAATACTTATGTAAAATAACCTAACAAAACTCTATGAAATGAAACTCAATATATTTACAAAGATTTATATACATGTCATATATGAATATGTATCTACAAATATACATGCATAGAGATATTCAGAAAAAGTATATAAAAATGTTGTTTATCTTTTGGTTGGGGAATTAATTGCTTCCCTGTTATGTCTTAATATATGTGCAAAGATTATGTATTACTTTTATTTTTTAGGATAAAAAACCCAAACTATACAAGAAGATAATCTCCCAAGTAAACTGAGTTGTGATTTGTACAATTGATTACATCAGTTTTTCCAATAAGAATGTCAGTTTTGAAAGAAAATAATCTCTTGAGCTGTCAGCCTTTCTTACACTTGCATAGTTGCTCCCACATCTATGCTGTCCTTTGTGTTACAGTGAAGAAGTAGAGGTGGTCTAGGTTCTAGGAGCTGAGTCTAAGAATATTGGATTTTAACAGAGCTCTTCCCCTTGCCAACCAGAGAAATTAAATACCTTGTGGCTCCAGTTTTCTCATCTCTAAAAAGGGAGATGATGACAATAACAGTATTGAAATCATAGGGTTCTTGTAAGGTTTAAATGCAATATTACACTAAAATACCTGCAACAATATCTGACCTTTTGTAATTACTCAGTGTCTTAAGTATTTTTACTATAGTAATATTGAAATCAGTGAAGAAAGTACTAGGAATTCTAATGAAAAATGTTCTGATGTATATTTTAGAATTCAATTAAAAATAAATATTGTTGTGATTTCATAACTTGAGAACCTCTGCTTACTATGGCCAATAAGCCTGTAAGAATTTAAAATGTTTCAGAATGATGAAGTCAAGAGTGAGCCCAATCAACACCAATGTAAAAGAGAGCTAGTTTGTAGATACGAATCACTGTATCAATAATTATGCCATAAACTCTAGTCAGTGTCCATTTTTGTCTCTTTCCTAGAAAGATAAAACAGGGTAACAGAACCCTGATTGTATTTAGACTGGCAAAGTATCCAGCTAAAATATAACATTTCCCAGGATACTTTGAAGATAATGGTGGCCACATGACTGAATTCTGCTAGTTAGGTTCTGGTGAGCTGAAAGAAGTGATGTGTAGAATTTCCTGGAAGGCTTCTTGAAGGGAGCTGACAAAGGTGGGACACATTCCTATCATACTTCCCTCTTTACTCCTTTCTAGCTGCTTGGAATATGGACACTTGGCTGCATCTCCAAGAATCATACTAGACCATGAACTAGTCCTGAATTTGGGAGGTAGGTGCTAGAATGGTGAAAAAAAAGAGAGCTGAAATCACTGATCTGGAGCTACTACAGCACTCTATTCTTTTTATCTTCAGACTTCTTTACATAAGAGAGAAAAACTTCCATCTTATTAGAGCCACTATTATTTTAGGTGTTCTAATACATGCAACTGAGCCCAATACCAGATGATTTGGTAATCAAGAAACTAGGTTGTATTCATTGTGATATTATCTTCTACGTCAATGTCCTCCAGCCAAAGACCACTAGGAACATAGCTGAACACATTGCAGCAAGGGAGAACATACAGCATGGGGAGCCAGGTGCATCTCCTAAGAGTGGGCTAGACAGGACATAAAAGATTTAGGCTTCAGTTAGGTGATTTAGGGAGAGTTTAAGGGAGTAGGGCTTTGCTCTGCAATGGATGCTGTCAGGAACTTGGCATGATTCTGATTGGGTACCTTAATAAATCTATACAAAGAGAGAGGCTAACCTGTAATTATTAAAGAATCAGCAGTCACCCATATGAGTCAGGATGGGGGATGTCTGGTTATGGTTGTGGTTTGGACAAGGTTCAAGTTTTATTTATGTTCAAACATGATTATGAAATTATCTTGATTTTGCCTTAATACATTGTGGCTACAGAGTGGCCTTGATTGATGTTAATATTCTGTGAAGTTTTTTATGTGCAACAGAAGAACCTCAAGGCCCAGATGATAGATGATAGTACCAGACTGGCTCCCCGATGCAAAGAGCTTCTTTTTTCTTTGTCAGTTTTAACAGCACCTGGTAGGTACATGGTACAGGTCCAATTAATATTGATTGAATGAATTGAATAAAACAGCAAGTATTTAGTAATCAAACCAAGAACATTGAGTTACCATCTTTATTTCATAATTGCCAAGGTAACATTTAAATAAATATATGTCATTTTTAAAAATAAACATTGTTTTTACATAAGAAAACTACTTAGTGATTAGGTTACTACAATGACCAAAGCTAAGTGAAAGAGATATTTGAAAAACTACTGAGAATGAGAATTAACCACATCTAACATGGACAATATGTAAGAATGGAAGCAGGGATGTATTTTATTCATCTGTTCATCACCATTAATTTGTAGCACAATTTATAAACTTTGGATATTCTCAGTAAATAATATTATCATTGTATGCAGTTCCTGAGATAGGAACAGAAATCCATTAAGTGTTTCCTACCCAAAAAACAATAATAATTCACTGTTTGTTCTGAAACTGTTGGGGACTATTTTTCCTTTTACAGCAAGACATGCCTCTGACAAGAAAGAGTTCCTTTAAATTGTGAATATTATCATGTAATTTAGATAGCATTTCCTGAGAGTTTATGCTCTAAACTTTATAGATTTTATCTCCTATGATACTCATAAAACCCTATAATGTAAGTATTATCATCCCTGTGTAACAAATGAGGAAATCAAGGGTTCAAATTATTTGCTGGAAATCACACATTTCTGAAGAGAAGTAGGATCCAAACCCAGGTCTCTTTGACCCAAAGCTCTTGCATTTAATCACTATATATAATGGCTAGCATGGCACTATACATAGTGTAGGTGCTTAACAATGCTTTAAAGTGGAAATTAATTGCTTGATAAATGGAAATACTGATGGTACCATGGGTGAAAGTAACTAGAAATGAATTGACCTCTGAGTTTATAATAACGAATAGAGCAGAACAGATATGTGAAATAACTCTAAAAGACCAAAATTTCTCCTAGGCCTGTAAGATATTGACTAATTTAATAAAACTGAAGTACAAATCAGAAGGGAGATTTAGGAAGACTAAGGTTGGCTCTGTCTATCTGAACACATTTCTAAGAAGGGTCTTCTCTAACTGAAGGAATCCATCTCTTTTCTCTTGTAGCTGATACATCATTACTGAAGAGATGAATATATCCACCTCACTCAGTCTAATGCCGTTGCAACTTTCTGGTTAGAATTTGTCTTTTCTACTTCTTTAAGGGTAGTGCAGGCTAGATGGATCCTTTTGTCCTGTCACTTCAGTCATAATTCTCACTATAAATTTATAAATTCACTTTCTGGATTTTTACTTCACTCTTGTGCAAGTTTGGTTAGACCACCTCTCCAAGTCAGCTTTACCCTCCAAGAATAGCCATGATGGAGTTTTGAGCCTACAGGTCACTGATTCATTCACCAAGTATTTATTCAGCACCTATTGCATCCCAGGCACTGTGGTAGGCCCTAGGGTGCAGAAATTGATACACATAAGAAGCAGAAAATAACAGTACATTGTAATTAAGTGGCATGATACTAAGAAAATTACATGGAACCCTGAGATTTACAGAGTGTGGGCATTTAGCTTAGACTTGGTAGATTCAGCAAAGCTTCCTGGGAGAAATGATACCTGGAAAGGGTGAGTTGTACTGATTAGAATGGGACAAGGTGATCCTATGCATATTTAATTGGGGGCAAGGATTGGGGAAGGAGTATACTAGTGTTCCAGGCAAAGGAACAGCATTTAGTCTGCATCTAATTAGGAGCCAGAGAAAAGCAGCTGTCAGAGCTGTGTCTATAAGCTGGCTGGACCACTGTCAGCAGCCTCATATAGAAACCATGAAATAGATTCTGAAGACACATCTTAAGACATATCTGATGTCTCATTCTTAAAACAACAAATACTCTTCTTCCGTGACCTCTTTTCTTTGTCACAAACCATATAAACAGACAGCAAGCCAAAGCTCAGGCAGTCAGTGGTGTTCCTCTGGGGCTCATCTTCTCTGACATCATCTTGCTTTGTTTCCTCATGTTTTGAGAAAGACTGTTAGCTACCAAGAACTCTTGCTGTGGAGGTTCTATTAAACATGAGTCATTCTGGAGACCTTACCATGTAGCATTTTCATGCATTCAAGAGTTATCAAAATATGTGCTATTTGAAAATTATATACAATTCAGGGATTTGGAGACTGCTGTTTGAGGCTTCTGATATTAATCTATGGAATTAAGTACATGCAATCAAGAAATGATTCTCCTAGCGCAAGCTGAAGAGAATTTTATTAAGGATTTCAACATGATAAGGGCAAATTTTGGTATAGAATAAAAAGACTGTATTGGGCTGTTGGGAACATTGACAGCAGATATTGCATTTCAAAGCTCAGACATGTCATCTAAGATGGGTCGGTTTTCTACCCAACACAGATTATCAGTGGTGGAGTGGAATAACCACGGTGTGATTGAAAGGAAAACCTCTGATATCTCCTGAATCACCGACACGTTGCCTTGTAGCAACCATGTATTTTTGAGAACATTTTTCCTTCAACATATATTCTCAAAATGTCAAAAGGATGCCTTGGAAAAAACAAATTCAAAATATATTATTCGTATAAGAAAAAGCTTTAATAAATATAAAACCTAAAAACTCTCACAGAGGTGAGCCTCCTTAAATTCTTTTTGGAATGCCAACACATAAAAATAAGTGGATAACCACAGAATTGAAACCAAGTTGTTTCATTCATTTTATTGTTAAAATTTCAAAGTAATTATAGGGTATGATTAAATCAAAATAAATTCAGGGTAAAAATGTGCATAGAATAATTCCTAAAGGTCTCTTGCCTCCATTACCACTTCCTCAGTGCCATTTTCTAGATGTAATCTCTGGTATCCATTTGTTTTTAGTTCTTCTGGTGATGGTTATCATAATTTATATATATATATATAAATTTATATATATACACTATTGTGATAACTCTATTCTCAACTTATCAATTTTAAACATTATTTAGTTCCATTTATGGGAAAAAAGTAATACCTAACATGATCTCCCAATTCCATTTAATTCTCTCTCTCTCTTTTTTTTTTTTTTTAATTGAGACAGTGTCTCACTCTGTCACCCAGGCTGGAGTGCTGTGACATGATCTTGGCTCAGTGCAGCCTCTGCCTCCCAGGCTCAGTGATCCTCCTACCTCAGCCTCCTCAGTAGGTGGGATCACAGGAATATACTACCGCACCTGGCTAATTTTTTGTATTTTTGGTGGAGATAGGTTTTTGCCATATTGTCCAGGCTGGTCTCGAACTTCTGACCTCAAGCGGTCTGCCATTATCTGTCTCTCAAAGTGCTGGGATTATAAGCATGAGCCACTGAGCCCGGCCTAATTCTCAATTTTTCATAAGTTATAATTTTATTCTTCTTTATTCAGTTGCCTTTATGATTTAAAAAATACTGTTTTTGATTGATTGATTTTACATAGAGAATATTTCTCCTTCCTAATGAAAAATAGAAATTAGTGCATTTTACTCTGTCTTTTTACTTCTTCACTTTTTAATTCCTAATCTCCTCCAATGGTTATTTTATTACATTAATATTGCCCTACTTTATAGCTTTGACATTCTATTCTGTTACTACAATTAGCATCATTTATGCTTTTTAACATAGATTATTTAAAAATTAAATATTAATAAATAGCATTTACAACATTAGGGAACCATGAAAATATTATACCTGCAGAGAAAGGGATATCGTTTAAATTTTGCTATTCAAAGGAGAATTTTCCAAGCATTTCTGTGTATCAGTATATCCCAAAGTATCTTTCTGCCTAGTTTCCTTTACTTCTTGTGGGTCATATTCAGCTAGTATTGTTTTTTGTTTGTTTGTTTGTTTTTGTACCAGGTGTCATTCTCTTTCATGTTCTCTCTTTCAGTTTTGTTTTTGTATTTTTTTACCCTAATGTATCCCCTCAAATAAACATTTTCACAAAGGATATGTGAGCTGTTGAGTACTTCTACATCTTAAAATGGCTTTATTTTCTTTCACATATGATTGATAGTTTAGCCGTGTATCAAATTCCAGTTTCAGAATAATTTCACTCCATACAGTATAGTAATTGCTTCCTTGCCTTCTAATGTTCAGTCTTGCTGCTGAGAAGTCCAACAGCATCAGTCTGACTCTCCTTTTAGGATACCTCCCCCTTTTTGAAAGCTTTTAAGATTTTCCCTTAAGGCATATTGTCATAAATTTTAGATATTATTTTAAAATTTAGCATATCTGTATTCTATTCTCATATGAATCATTAACACTTTCAGGGGTAAGTAAATTTCAGTTTTATAGTTGCAAGTAATTTTAGTAAAATTTTTGTTTCATGAATAAAAGGGCTTAATACGGACGGGGAATGCGGAAAGGCAGAATTAAACTTTCTTGATGTATCTCTAAATGGGAAATTTGTTATGCTGCAATTTTTTTATTTTTATGATCAAATAGAGTGTACAAACAAAAGCATGTTTATATAAATTAATTATGCAAAGGAAGTACTTAAAGAGCATTTGCATATCTATTCTTTAGTTTCAGTATAATTGATTGTTACCTGTATGGTGTCAAGAAATATTTGGGACAGATTCTTAATCAGATGTAATTTTTTTCCCTAAATGATTGTTATTTAAAGCACCGACTATTGGATTTGTTTTCTCCTACATGTTTTCTAATGAATTTCCATGGCAGAGCTTTAATTGACTTCAAAAGGAACTCAGCATAAGGAGGAACTACGTGGGATACAAAGAAAGAGCCAGACTTGGCTTTCTATAAACATACCATGTCCTATGTCTGAGTCATAACCATTTTGTTGACTGTTTACTTTCCTTGTTGTCAGCACTATAGAGCTAACACCAACAACTTGGAAGTGAGTTACATGCTATTCTTAGTTTATTACAACCAGCTCTTGATAACTTTGTTTATCATCATGTACTCTGTGGACTGCTATCTTTTCCCTACTACAGCCTGGGATGTGGCCTTGTGCCAGAGCATTAGACTCTTTAAAACCAGAACTTTTATCAGTCTCAAAACATGGATGGGGGAATGAGAAGAGACTGTATTAGGACTGCAAATGAGATATTTACTTAAGTTAAAAGATTTGACCAATCTTCAGGTGGGTATAGAATTATGTGACCTCTATGGCACCTTCTAATTCCCATCATCATTTTAGCCAAAAACTTCAGATTCCTCTCTAACAATATCAAATAATTTTAAGAATTAGAAGGTACCATAGAGGTCATAGAATTCTATATCCACCTGGAGACTGGTCAAATCTTTTAACCTAAGTTAAGTAAATATCTCGCTTACAGTCCTAATTTTATCTTTTCTCATTCGCCTTATCCACATTTTGACACTTTGATAAAAGTTCTGGTTTGAAAGATTCTAATGCTGTGGCACAAGGCCACCTCTCGGGCCATAGCAGAGAGAAGATACCAGTCCCCAGAGTACATACAGAATCATGAAATAAGTATTAAATGATATAAGCATTACTGAGTAGGTGATAAAGGCCTGACTCTTGGAGGAAAACAGTCTGGATTCAAATCTTGTTTTCCTACTTATTATGTAGATGGCTTTAAGAAGTTACTTAACCTTTGAACACTTTGATTTACTTGTCTACAAAAAAAACTGGAAAAGAGATAGAGTTATGAACAGTAGATGTGGGAGCCAAAAGCCAGCCTGTTAACCCTGGGAGTTGAAGCTTCGATCCCACACACACAAAATAATGGCCACAGTTACCCTAGATGGCCGTGTTCAATTTAAGAAACAGTCAATCCTGCTTAGCCTCTTCTTTTCTTGAGGGCTGAGTTATGGTGAATAGGATCACTCTCTCTCCTTTCTAGTTTCCTATTTAAAACTAAGTTTCATCACCGTTTCTTTTCCTATACCCTCCACACTCTCTACCCCAACTTCTCCTTTGCCTTACTTAATGGTATATTTCCTATAAAAGTTATAGTAATAGCAAAAAAAAAAAAAATAGCCACTGTTAAAGGTTGTTCATCAAAGACCAGAAATAGCAAATCAGAGCCTATTAATTGTGTGGAAGGAGAATAATTTATGTGGTAAAAGAGAAACCCAAAATCTAGATTGATGTTGAGCCAAACATTTTGGTACAAGATGTAAATAGAGGAAAAGTGGTTTTCTGTTTAGCCTCATTTTCTGAAATAGGAGACATGTCTATGTAAATTAGGCCAAAAAAGACACAAACACATACACATATGACAGATCCTTGTGCCAAGAGCCTTAATGTATGTGTTTTCTTTCTTTTGTCCTTCTTTCCTTCCTTTCTTCCTCTCTTCTTCCCTCTTTCTCTTCCTTTTCCTCCTCCTCCCCATTAGCATCCTCCTTTTCTTCTTTTTTCTTCTTTCTCTTTTCCTCCCCATCTTCCTTCCCCTTCCCCTCCTCTTCCCCTTCCTCTTTTCCTTCTCCTTTTTTTTCTTCCTCTCCTTCTTCTTCATAGTGACGATGGTAAAATAAGTCTAAATCACTGAGGAAATAAGATCTCAGGGAAATAAGCATGTTTATGAGGAGGCAGAGGAATAAATGACCTACATTTTCTTTTATATTTCAAGGAATTCTGTTGCTAGGAGCCATCACGTTGAAATACTGCATGAAATGTGGAGTAGGGACTGGGGAAAGTGATAAAATAATCGGCTCCCCTTTTCACACAGCACTGCCCTTCTGGAGCAACTTGTTAGAGCAGAAAATATTAGTTTTGGAATCAGAACCAGCTTTAATTTTTAGTTTTGTGATCTTGGACAGACTATTAAAAACCCTTTTAATCTCAGTGTCCTCAGTAGAGAAATGGGAATGAAAAGGAGTATTTTGTAGGGTTGTTTTGAGGACAGTGATTGCACTCCATCCATGGGAGACACCCGGGGGAGGTGGATTGCTTTCACGAGCTGCACCTTTAGTTTATGTCTACTAGTTCTCCCTCATGTAACCATTGTTTTCCTCAATTTAAACAAAGAAGTAGGGTGAATGTAAGATGATTCTTGGTAAAAGAAATAAAAACATTTTATGTTTATCAAGTACACCACAATGTGCAAGTGTTTTTACCTGCATAATTTAAGAACAGCTGGGGAAGAGAAATGAGTAAGCAGATGAAAGAGAATCCGCAGGATCTAGTTGTCCTCTGGGTTTTGGCTCATAGAAAGGCCAATGTTATATTATACCAGAATCTTCTTCTTTTGTTTACTTCAGCTGTCAAGTGACTAGTTAGATACTTGAACATCTAAGCTTTAGACATTGCTTTCAATAAACACTTTTTTTGAGATGGAGTTTCGCTCCTGTTGCCCAGGCTGGAGTGCAATGGCACGATCTCGGCTCACTGCAATCTCCGCCTCCCGGGTTCAAGCAATTCTCCTGCCTCAGCCTCCCGAGTAGCTGGGACTACAGGCACGTGCCACCACACCCAGCTAATTTTTGTATTTTTGGTAGAGACAGGGTTTCACGATGTTGGCCAGGCTGGTCTCTAACTCCTGACCTCAGGTGATCCACCCACCTCGGCCTCCCAAAGTGCTAAGATTACAGGCAGGACCCACCAGGCCTGGCCCAATAAACTTATTTTATCAGCATAATTTGCATCATGTGCTTGTTTCATTCATTCATTGCTTCAATAAATATTTACTTGGCACCTACTATGTGCCAGGTGCATTTATAGATGAAAACTAGCTTTAAACTAGACAGATAAGGCTCCTATTCTTACTACAATGAAGGGCCACAACCTGTCAACAATTTAGTATAAAAATAAAGATAACAATTCCAAATGGTGTACGACAGTTTAAAAAAATGAGATAAAGAGGATTGAGATGATGATGGCTTTCATATGTTAAAAGTGTCAGGAAAGTTCTCTTTGAGCTTGGATGAAAGATGAGGAGACAACCATGCAAATATTTAGGGGGATGATATTCAAAGCAGAGGGAATGGCAAGTGCAAAGCCACTGAGCCTGGAATTATTTTAGGGCATGTTATACTGCCTTAGGAGTCATTTAGAGCAGGGGCTTCAACCTTCAAGCCAGGGAGCAATACCAGTTGGGTCCATGGCCTGCCATGAATTGGGCTACACAGCAGGAGGTGAATGGCTGGCAAGTGAAAGAAACTTCACCTGTATTTACAGGCACTCCCCATTGCTTGCATTACCACCTGAGCTCTGCCACCTGTCAGATCGACAGAGGCGTTAGATTCCCATAGGAGTGCAAACCCTTTTGGGAACTGCACATATGAGGGATCTAGGTTGTGTTCTCCTTATGAGAATCTAATGCCTGATGATCTGTCACTGTCTCCCATCACCCCGAGATGGACCCATCTAGCTGCAGGAAAACAAACTCAGGGTTCTCACTCATTCTACATTATAATTCATTATATAATATATAATGAATATAATATATAATGAATTATTTCATTACATATTATAATGCAATAATAATAGAAATAAAGTATACAATAAATGTAATGCACTTGAATCATCCTGAAACCATCCCCCCACCCCCTGGTCTGTGGAAAAAATTGTCTTCCATGAGACTGGTCCCTGGTGCCAAAAAGGTTGAGGACTACTGTTTTAGAGTGTGCATATGGTGGTACTAATAACCAGATGATGTTATTTGAACTGTGAAGAAGGCAGAATTACAAATATGTCTGGCCACACTCTTGTAACTGAATAGAATGGACTAAAATCCTTTCTATATCCAGGTTAACAACCTATGGGCATCTCACATCCACAAGGAGAACCAGGTTCATGTGTCCCAGAAGAGACTTGGTGAATTACTTAATATAGTAAGCTCTATGAAATTTTATGCTTTGATTTTTCTCATTTCAGGAAGTGTCTAGAAGATGTAGGGATAGAGGAGTTTTGTTCATATGCCTTCCTCTGCTTTCACTCCCCCTTACCACCTTCTTTTCTTTCTCTTTACAGAGGCTGTTGTGATATCCTGCATGGACAAGGAAATGATGTTCATCTAATACACCCACTTGGGAACACTTTGATGCATTGGCTATGATTGTCTTTCTGTTTTCCCTACCCTCATCTCTAGCCCTGTCCCAGTATGAGAACATGGAAACTCATTTTGGAAAATGTGAAATGAGTGATCCCCAAAAGTAGCCTTGCTCATGATTGGGTGATTATATTAAGGGTGATTTTTTTTCTTTATTGTATTTAGCTGTTTTCCATTGTGTTTTTTGGCAACAAATATAAAAAGTTATAGTTTTCTTATTTTTAAAAGACATGTTGCCTCATAGAAGTAGATAATATCAGAAAATGACTTTTTTGTGTCCAATGGCTCCATCTGCCCCTAGTTATTGTCCCTCAAAAGAGGGGCATGTACGACTTGAAATAGCCAAATGAACTTGTCTCATACAGTTGCATCCATTTTGGCTGACAGCATAGATAAAAATTCTTTATTTATACGTGACAGTGGGCAGACAGAAATAACTCCTTACTTTGTTTTCTATATTTTAAAGCATTTTTTCAGAGAACTGTTTTCAGTAGCAAGTTGCCATCATGCATTTAAAACATTTGATTCAGGGACAAATGTTGAGGAGATCACTTGCACAAAGGGAATTAAGCTTGCTGGGTGTAGCATGGGCTAGGGATAAAAAAAACAGTTTAGAAAAGGATGTGATATCACTCATCTCTTTAGGAAAGCATTTCTCTGTCTTAGAGTTAGAGCTCCAGGCAGAGGAAATGGGAAGGCGGGGAAAACATGGACAGGTTCCAAAGGAGATGATGGGTCATAGAGAATGAATGAGTCAACTAGCATCAGAGGGTGTGAGCGAGGGTTTGGGGGAGGGGGAATAATGGAATCTATGGGTTCTTTGAACCCCCTCACTCCCACACCCATATACACACACCAAGTTCTTGGGGGACATGAGCAGTCCTTAAGTGTCCTGAAAGAGTGACTGTGTTCCCTAAGCAACCAAATCACTCCAGAAACTGATTTGGCTGGGAGAGTGTGACACATCAAAGTTAGGGAGGTGACGAAAGTATAAGAATCACTCTAATAGGAGAGCATCGTCAATTGTCAGCATTTAGTTCTATTTAGAAAGGATTGGAAGGAAGGGAGAAGTCACTTCTTGAAGAGAAGACGCAAAAAGTTGATGGCATTTAGTCGTGCCAAAAGAAGTGCTTTGAAACAGTTCTAAAATGCAAGCCTAATTAGTTACTTTAAAGTATCCCACAGGTCTCTCCAGATCATGTGTGTGAGGTATTTGAATTTTTCAGTGGTCACAGATGAGAAGACTGTCACTTCTGCGAACGTCTATTTCTGCACCCCAGGCATCTAGCATACTCACCTATGTTCGCCCAAGTCTTTTATCATAGCTTGTTCATCATATTTATTAGGTTGGCAAAAATGTAATTGCAGTTTTTGCCATTACTTTCAATGGCAAAAAAAAAAAGGCAAAAACCACAATTATGTTTGCACCAACTTAATATATTCCCAGCATTAAAATTTCTTGTAATGTATTTCATGCTTGCTATTCCAGGAATCTTAAAATTCTCTACTAGGATTTCTTACTTAGTGTTTAAGTCCTTAAATTAAACAAATAGAAATACTATGTAAGACATGTGCCATATACAGCAAATAAATCTCATGAACCCACATCAAACAGGTAAATAAAAATATGAACTGAGTTTTGTTCATATTAATATTCAGTGTCCTTTTGACACTGCTTCTTCTGAAGCAAACCAAAAGTGCTTGGAAATAAAACTAAAAGGTTGATTTTACCATCATACATCTATAGCCTCCAGAGTGACCTATTAAATTATAAATGGGATTATGTTACTCCTACAATTAGTACCTTCTGTATGAGGAAACAACAACTTCATTATACCCAAAAGCTCCCGCATGATTTGGCCTCTGTCTGCTTGTCTAAACTAGGGTGTCATCACACGCCTTGGTTATACCATCAAAAGTATTGTTTGAAAGTAAATCAGGTGGTCACTCAACTCCAACCTCACTTCTTTGCTCCTTCTATTCTTTCACCATACTTAGGCTACACTTGCCATCTCTACGTTTCAGGAGGAGGCTAAATTATTTTATATTTTTGGATCCCTGCCTAAGACATCCCATCTGCCTGAAGCACACTTCTTCCCCTGTTCATCTGGTTAACATTTAGGCACCTTTCAAGCCTGCTGAAACTTAACTTCTGCACACCCCAGTATAGACCTGTGAGCCTCTTTAATTACACTCTCCATTGCACATGTAAGAATTTGTAGTCCTGTATTTTCTTATGTTTTTATTTCTTTAATATTTGTCTTCACAAGTCTCTGAGGCAGAGACAGGACTGACACGCAACTGATTCTCACTATTATGGCCTTTAAAGGTTGTTGTATATCTGTTTTGTTGACAACAGACACCTAGTACACAACACAGTACCTAAAACATAGTAGACACTCAGCACGTTTGTTTAACAAATGAGAGAATGACCATGGATGCTCTCATGGAATCAATTGTCGTGAATTCAATTAATGCAGCCTTTACCAAACTCTTATTCTGTGTAGATCATGAACACAATGGCTTAAAAATCAGCAGCACCAGTATCTGCTGGAGCATGACAGAAAGACAGAATCTTGAGTCCAAACCTAAATGACAATCTGCTGTTTAATGAGACACATGGGAGGTTTCAATTACACATTAAAGTCTAAATACTCACCTTAGCACACACTTATCTAGTAAGCCTGGAAAAATAAGAAGCTGAATGGCCATTCACACTCCTCACTTTTAAGAAACCTACATGGCCTGCCAAATGGGCCAATTACTACTTTTAATGGGAATGAAAAATGTTGGGAATTTGCCAATTTATTCTAAACTTTTAAAATGCTATCCCTAGTTTTTCTTGAAGATCATAGAGCAAAATAGATAAGGCTGCTAGTCATAAAGTTTCTGATTTCCTGTCTTAGCATATTGTCCTAATCTAAGAAAGAATAGTCATAATTGGGGGTCTAAGCTAAAATAAAAATAAAGGTACACAGTATTAAAATTCTACAATGATTTTAAAATAAGTACAATTGTCTAACAATAAATTTGCCATTAAAGTTAAAATCACAGTAATATATAATAAACTCATTCGCATTGGTGACTCACACATCATTTATGCATGTTTTTAAAGTCCCAGTGGACTTTCACGCACAAAGAAATTTTGCCTTTCACTTACTTCAACAGAGTCAATTGATTTCCTGTTAATCAAGATTTTAAAATGTCAACTGAGGTTTACTTTGAAATAAGTGAGGACAATTTAGGAGGACTCAGGTCAATATCCAGAATGCCAGTGGTGATCAAATGAACTTTGATTCATAGTGAATAATGTTACGAATTCCATAGCTGATCAGGCATTTTCATTGACTTGGGAGCCTTATTTATCAGCATGAATGCCATAAGGAGGTCAGAGAGAGCAAATGCAGTGATACATGCAGAGACATGTTTAAGTCTGGCATTTAGCATACCTGGTGGCTGCCAAATAAAAATCTTACATATTAGGCAACCTTTATATATATATATATATATATATATATATAGTTATCACTGTACTCATTAAAATGTTTGACATAGTATTGAGAAAATAAGTAAGGCACTAATTTGTCTTTTAAGGCCCCAAACCCAGAACTTACAAACAAAGTACCATATATGAATTAATAAATTGAATTTTCTATTGCAGTATTTATTGATGAAGTAGGCTGATTTAGCTTACTTCCATTAAATTTTGTAAAGATTCGTGAACAGAGAAGAACTATTTTTTAATGAATATGAATTCAGGGCATCCCCAGGTATAGATAAAAGTGTTCAAGGCTTCACAAAGGAAACAGAGACAGAGGCAGTACAGTGTGGAAGTTAAACCATAAGCTTTAGAGTCAACAGAACTAGACACAAGTCCTGGTTCCCATCATTAGCAGTGAGCCTCATCTATAGATTGGCAATAAAAATTATCTCAGAAAGGCTTTAAAGGATTAAAGCAAATAACCAGATAATGCATGAGAATTACTGTTAACAATAAAAAGAGAATAAAGAATGAATATTTTAAAAATCATTTAGCTTTCTGGAAACTTCAACAGCATTCACAGTGGAATAAAATAGCCATCGGAACGCTGCTCTTACCAGAGGTTAGTTTTGCATAGTTCATTCATTCGGTTAATGTGTCTTGATTAAGAACCCGTACTACATTGTGCTAATTACTAGAGAATAAAAAAACACACAAACATCCTGTGAAATGGAACTTAGAACTTAATAGAGATAATACTTTTAAAATAATAATTATATCATCAAAACTATATGATTTTAATAAGTATTATGGAAGAAAATCAAAATGCTGTCTATAAATATTTCAAGGAGAACTTCTTCAAATATCAAGGTCAAGAAAGGTTTCTGAGAAAAAGTGGTATTTCAGCTAAGATATGAAGAAGGAGTGGGAGTTTGCCAAGGAAAGGGGTAGGGGAGTAGTCCAGGTACAGATAATACAGATGTAGCTTTTAGGATGGCAAAGGGTTGACAGTATTGGAGGAGCTGATCAGGCAAAGATCAAAGTGATGGGAGTTCAGGTGAAGCTAGACCATGCAAACCCGTGGGTGTCTTTTATCCCAGATGCAATGGGCTGCCATCAAAGGGTTTTAAAAAGATGAATGATGTAATTGCATCACCCTGACTTCTGTATGGAGAATGAATTCGAATGTGACAATAGTGGAAGCAGAGAGACCAGTTTATTAGGGAATGTCTTAAAATGTTAAAACATAAATTTACCTTTAGCACATTCATTCTGGAGGCAACATTGCTGGAGCATGGGCAAACTGGGGTTCTACAGGTTCACGTTTCAGATCCTTTTCATATGATTTAATACATGTGTTTGCTAAGAGATTATGTAATAATTGTGTATGTTGGCTCATTCACTTTCAACAAATATTTATAAGGCATTCTCACGTGCCAGTTACTGTACTAGACACTGGGAATAAGGAAGAGAACAAAACACATGAATACATTATTCTAATTGATCGTACATTTTAGTGGGGAAAAATTAAACTAGTAAATAAATATATAAGATAAACCTATGAAGAAAAATCCAAATCCAAATGAGGGCCCTAGTGAGTAAGAGAAGATGATACAATTTGGGAATGGTTAGGGAAGATCTCTCAGATAAGGTGATTTTTGAGCAGAAATGAAGAGTAAGCCATTTAAAATCTAGGCAGTGGGAACATAAGTGCAAAGGCTCTGAAATGAGCCTTGTATTTAATTTTTTCAAGAGTCAGCGAGGCCAGGCACAGTGGCCAGTGGCTCATCCCTGTAGTCCCAGCACTTTGCAAGGCTGAGGCAGGCGGATCACTTGAGGCCAGGAGTTTGATACCAGCCCAGCCAACATGGTGAAACCCCATCTCTACTTAAAAAAAAAAAAAAAATTAGCCATGTGTGGTGGCAGGTACCTGTAATCCCAGCTACTCGGTAGGCTGAGGCAGGAGAATCACTTGAACCTGGGAGGCAGAGGTTGCAGTGAGCCAAGATGGCACCAAGGCAAGGCAAGGCAAGGCAAGGCAAGGCAGGGCAAGGCAGGGCAAGGCAGGGCAAGGCAAGGCAAGGCAAGGCAAGGCAGGGCAAGGCAGGGCAAGGCAAGGCAAGGCAAGGCAGGTCAAGGCAAGGCAAGGCAGGTCAAAGCAAGGCAAGGCAGGTCAAGGCAAGGCAAGGCAAAGGAAAGAAAAGGAGTCAGCCTGGTCAAAATTAATGTGATTCCATCATCACCATCATCATCACCATTCTTATTCTCATCATCATCACTACCCTCACCACCATTATAATCACCATTATCACCATTGCCACTGTCATCATCACCATAGTCATCAGTATCACTACCACCATCACCATCATCATCACCATGTAACTTTGGAAAAGTTTCTTAGAGGCTCCATAAGGCATATTATTGATACAGCTCCATCAGAGACAGTCATGTTAGTCAGAAAGAGTCTAAATATTTTAGTAGTTCCAGTTTTTATAGCACTTTCATCTTAAAAATTATGAAAAATGTCATTTAAGGCAAATATTTTTAGTCTTTAGCCTGAGTTAAGAATCAACTGAGACACTTAATAAAAACATCCATTCCTGTGACAAGATTTTGACTCATTTGATCTAGAGTGGAGCCCAGGAATTCACATGTGCAAGAAACACCCCAGGTGATTACTGATGCAAGTGGCCCAAGGACTATACTTTGAAAAAAATGCCATTTTAATGCCTTTAGTGAGTGAGGTCTTACAACTCTTATAGTTTGTAAGCACTTCCCCCATTGCACATCTGTGCTTCAATTCCATAATGGTGCTGTAAAATATTATTCTCCAAATGCAAAATTCACAGACAAGTCAAAAAGGACCAACCTTAATGAGAAACTATCTATAATACCTGGAAATTGATGGACAAGTGAAACCAATGATGTCAAATTCATTGCCACTTGAAGTCTGAGACCAATACTTAATAATTTTTCTTCCATGTAACTTACTTTACTAACTGGCCTCAATGACAAAAAATCTTTTTCAACTAATGTTACTTAAGGGGAAATTCTTCAAACAGATATATTTTATAAGAAGCCTTATATCTGGAATTCTTAGGGAATAGTGTTATGGTTAATTAAGATATGCTAAACATGAATTACATAAGTATTGTTTATTTTCAAGTAGTACTAGAGTATACAATATGCTTAGTTTTAAAATAATGTTTTGCAATGCTTCAGTATTCCAGGGTTGTAATAATGATTAATAACTACCCTTGTACTGGAAATTTTCAGAAGTGCCAATTAGTAGAGAATTCTGAATAATAAAATGCTGAGTAATATAAAACAAAATAACTATTTATCCCTTCAAATGTTAATATTTGCAATGCAGAAATGTGCTTTCAATAAAACTTATCTTGCCTTTATATCAAGTATCAGCTGATATTTTCATCTTAACTATTTAGTAGTAACCAAATTCTCCTCTATGCAATCTTCATGCCAAGATGATTATATCCTGTTAGTGAGTTTACAATCTTTAAAAGCAGTTAGTGGATCATCATCTTGTTTTGCCTTAGAAAAGGAAACTGACACCTAATGTAGATCAGCTGTTTGAATATTCAGGGTTTAGTTTTTTCCTCCCCAGCAATTAGCTCTTTTTATTACCTCATTTCAAAAGGGTAATAAGGTATTGGGTGATGTCTATTGTTTTTGAAACACAATAAACCTAAGATGAACATTTGTAGAAACATGGTAAGAAATATTAACAAAAAAAGCCCACTAATTTTAGATTAGACTCTGAGATTCTTGCCTCAGTAATTTGGTTAAATGATTGCCACACTGAAATTTTTTCAAGGTGCTTTTAAAAATAATTATGGCTATTATAATAAATAATTCTACTGAAGTTGAACTTAAAAGCAGACTAACATTTTTTATCCATATAAATCACTTTTATATTTGGACTAAAAACTCAAAATAACCTTCCCTCTCATTCCCACCCTACATCCCAGCATAATGTTAATTCTTCAATGGGGTGTTTACATTGACTATTACCTTGGCTTCATGCGAAGCACAGAGTTTTGCTGTTGTTTGTTATTGTTTTTTGTTTTTTTTTTTTTTTTTGAGACGGAGTCTCGCTTTGTGGCCCAGGCTGGAGTGCAATGGTACGATCTCGGCTCACTGCAACCTCCACCTCCCGGGTTCAAGCAATTCTCCTGCCTCAGCCTCCTGAGTAGCTGGGACCACAGGTGCCTGCCACCACGCCCAGCTAATTTTTCGTATTTTTAGTAGAGATGGGGTTTCACCGTGTCAGCCAGGATGATCTTGATCTCTTGACTTCATGATCTGCCCGCCTCGCCCTCCCAAAGTGCTGGGATTACAGGCATGAGCCACCGCGCCAAGCCGAAGTGCAGAGTTTTTTTTAACAGTATCACTGCCATTTTCCCATTCGGCCTGGCTGTGAAAATAAAAGATGTTTGGATCACAAAATCCAATGAAATTAAACTGTAAAATCCAAAGTAGAATTTAGTAGCTATAAGCACATTTATTTTTGGCCAAGTCTTACCTGGTCTACCCTGCAGACAAGGTGCCTGTGAATCAGGATGCAACTTGGAGTAAGGTTAGGGGGATGTATGATTTTTCACTTCTTCCCCTCCTTCCCTAGGACAGTCTTGAAATCATAAAGGCCAATGAGGCTGCTTTTCAAATCAGGTTATAGTTTCCATCAGTCTCTCTGATGATGCCCTGTTTTTCTTGCAAAGGGAGTGCAGCACTCGTTAGATCTTTGCTTAAAAGGATGATAAATGAGCTCTGACACTGGAGCACGTTGTGGGAGTACAAGAGCTTGGATTAACAGCAGGCTTTTTGAGGGTTTCCTTAGCCACTTTTTCAATTTTACCTAACCTAAGGGAAAGCCACCCTTATTCTTCTTAGAGTTGCTGATGGGTGATTATTATACATGCACACATACAGTTTTATTTTAATTGCTTTTTAAACTCATGCATGCTGAGACATCTCCCTGGCACATATCTTCATCTTAAATATTGCAGGTGTAAATCACCAGTAGAAATAAAAGACTCAGGTACAATCTCTCCTATGAAGAGATTGAATATAGATTACATGACATCCTGAGGCATTTGCATCATCTGCTAAGACTTCAGGTTTTTGTTCTAAGCATTGCTAATGCATTCCTTTGGTTGTGGTGCTTAAGTCTCTTGTGTGAGGAAGCTCAAAGTAATAGGAAGCTGTTGATTTAAAATGATAGAAAGATTGCAACAATCTAAGACAGGCTGATTCTTGATTGTCTGTTAGTCAAGAGAAAGGCATATGTCTCCTGTTTTTTTTTTTGGTTCATGCCAGTCCAGGAGCTCTGCTACGGCATGTCAGTACAGATGTGAGGCATGGATTCGTCCTGGAAGTTGAGATCTCAGTATTTCATACATTTCCTGTAGTGTAAGCTCCTTAAAAACAGGAGCTAGGAGCTTTAAAGTCCACTGTATTTAGAGGGCCTGCGTCAGACAGCCCAGAGGAGATGCTTAATAGTATTCATCGGAGCAAACAGAATTATTCGATCTTTCATTCAAGAGAAACTGACTGAACATTTATCAGATTAAAACATTTATGGAACACTTGTACAGTATATAAAGATAATATGATATAGAAATTAACCTTAAACAACTTGTAGTTTATTAGAGAAGTTATGTATGAGTTAAACTCTAGTAGATACAAGAACGTAATAGGCAACATTAGAGAGGTATCAGTTTTGCATTTTTTTAGATTAATTAAAAAATATTTCCAGGCTGGGTGCCATGGTTTATGCCCGTAATCCCAGCACTTTGGGAGGCCGAAGGGGAAGGATCGTTGAGCCCAGGAATTCAAGACCAGCCTGAGCAACACAGTGAGACACTGTCTCTAAAAAAAAAAAAAAAAATTAGCCAGACATGGTGGCTTGTGCCTATAGTCCCAGCTACTCAGGATGCTGAGGTGGGAGGATAGCTTGAGCCCAGGAGTTCAAGGCTGCAGTAAGCTATGATGGTTCCACTGCCCTCTAGCCTGGGGACAGAGCAAGACCCTGCTTCTGAAAAAATAATAAAATTAAATAATAATAAAGAATAAAATATTTCCATACTGATTATTCAATATGATGTGATGCCTTGGAAAACACTATGAAATATACTGAATATAAAATAAATGTGAAGAATTATTATAGTTATAAATATCTCTGTTGCTTCTCAAGGGACCCCATATTGGAGCCACTGCTTTAAGAGCCTTCTTCTTCCTAGATTTCTACAGATCTGTAAAGAGAGGAGGCAGACATCTATAAGGTCATCTTGGCCTTGCTGCATATTGGAATCATCTGTGGAGTTTTTAAAACTCTTCATGTTCAGGCCACATTCCACACCATTAAGTCTGAATCCTTGGGGGTGGAACCCAAGTATTTCTACTTTATAAAGTTCACTAAGTGATTCCATTGTTTGAGGCCACTGTTCCCAGCCATGTCTGCATATAAACATCATGAGGAGATTTTAAACACCAAATCTCATTCTAAGAAATTCTGATTAATTTGTCTAGAGTAGGGCCTGGGCATAGACATTTTTTAAGTCTAAATTTGATAGTAATGTGTAGCCGGGACTGATACCCACAGGGTTAAGGGATTATATAAAGTTATATTTGTGAGGAATATATGGCAAAATCAGTCACGTGTTTTTGCCACTGGCTATTGTTTGCTGGCCATCTTGGGATAACTAATATCCAATTTGAGAGACTACTTGTTTAACTAACTTTTCTGAGTTGCCGGGGGTTATGAAGATGATCAGAAAGGATTTCTATCCCTGAACCAATGACAGATTGCACCTGGGCAGGCAAGAAGACTTTCCTGGAATTCTTGGCCTCGTGAGCTGCTGTAGTCACACTTAGTCATTCCTCTTCAGTGAAAAAAGCCCAGGCATGAATAGCGTGCAAGTATGTGTGATCATTTCAAACAATGTCCCCACCTATACAAACCACCATATGGGAAGAAAATTTATTTACCTCATGTACATGTCACATAGGTAAAACAAGACATTGTGTTATTTCAATTCTGGCTTGCTCATGAATACTTCTGTTGTATAATCCATGATACCATCTGGAAATTTCTTAGAGTATGTGTTTCTCAGAACTATTGATATAAATGGATCTTTCTGATGCATTTTATTGCTGTTTATAAAAGTAAAATATTGCAAAACTGAATTTTATTCAAAAATTCAGATACCTCCCATTTAAAGACAAAATTACCAACTGGATTTTCAAGTTGGTAAAAATCTAAATAATAATATGCTGGTTTTACAACTTTGAAAGAGTTTGTGTGATTTTTGTCCAGTTAAGACAAAAATGTAGACAAATGGAGGCATGAACACAAGGTTAAAGAGAAGGTGAAATAATTATAGGAAGACTAATGATTCTAAGTGATGTCAGCAGGAATTCTGGTGCTTTTGAAAAAAAACAGTCATCTCCTCTCCAGACATTGAATTCTTCTTATTTAGATCACTTAATATAATAATTTCCTTATGCATTCAGATAATTTTGTGTTTTCATTCAAATAAATCACAGGAATGGTAGCCTAGGGCAGTTTATTTTTTTAGATTTATTTTTTCAGCTCAGCTCCACCTAGACAAAGTCTGACAAGTTATTGTGGACTCATAACTGCATAGATTTTCACTGGGAAGTGCATTGGTGTTTGATTGCTCTTTTTTGGACACAGTTCAAAGAGAAATGGAATCCAAAACAACTTTGCATTTACTGGTGCTTTTGCTTAACCTTCTTGCATATACTCTAATTGTAGCCAAAAATATCAACTCCATTAGTATCCTACCACTGACAAATTCCAAATCAAACTGAGGAAGATGAAAGATACAGATTAAATGGGTCAGCTCCATGTGGTTAGTCTTGGCTTCTCCTAAGAACAGTCCTTTTGGCAGAAGGGAAGGTAATATACACATAGAGTGAATATCCGTTAGATATGTTATTCCATGTAATTCTTATCACAATCCTTGAAGTTAGGGGAGAAAATTATACTAATTTTAAGGAGTCACAAACAAGAATTATTTATAAGTAATTCTATACTTTTAACATTTTTCATTGAGTTGATTTTTATAGATGTAAATATGTAATTTGAAAAAAATCTACATCTATATTTTAGTCTATTCGTCTGCACACTAATAATCCCACATCAATTAGATTACTTAGAAGCTGAATGCATTGAAGACATTGAAAAAAATTAAAAATCTCTGGGCATCGGATAAAAGAAAATCCATGGAATACTAGACTCTTAAATCCAAATCTAAAATATAATGTCAAACATACCTGGATAAAGAGATAAAAGAAACACATGGCATATATTCTATTATTTGAAACTTTGAAAAGCTAACTTGCCTATAGAGATCTCTTTTTTTCTTTCCTCTTCTTTTTAAATAAATCTCCCACCCCCACCCCCACCAGCACTGAGCACAAATCAGGGCCTTCCTGGTCGACAGAACTAACAATCCAAACCCTTTCATCCTCATTGGGAGCATGTCTGGGAGTCAGAGAGGGGAATAAAGGATGAAAAATCAAGCCCCTTAGTGTGGCTACGGAGCAGTGGCTCCTGGAAAGGGTGTGGGGTGAGGGAGGACGCTGTTATTATTGGTGTCTTGCTGCTCTTTTTTGGACATAGTTGAGAATCTCTAATATGACCTTAAAGTCCTGCTTAATTTGGCTCTGCTCATTTCACCAGTCTAATCTCCCACTATCTGCTCCTTACTCCTTTTTTTCTTGTTTTTGTTGTTGTTGTTGTTGTTGTTTTGTTTTTTTTGAGTCAGAGTTTTGCTCTTGTTGGCCAGGCTGGAGTGCAATGGCATGATCTCGGTTCACCACAACCTCCGCCTCCCGGGTTCAAGCGATTCTCCTGCCTCAGCCTCCCAAGTAGCTGGGATTACAGGCATGTGCCACCATGCCCAGCTAATTTTGTATTTTTAGTAGAGATGGGGTTTCTACGTTTTGGTCAGCAGGCTGGTCTCCAACTCCCAACCTCAGATGATCAGCCCGCCTCGGCCTCCCAAAGAGCTGGGATTACAGGCGTGAGCCACCACGCCCGGCCTATCTGGTCCTTAAAATCCAGACTTATCTTACAGGATTTCCTCCAGGACTTCAAATGTGACTTGTGTTCTTCCATCTCAGGGTGTTTGCTCAGATTCCCTCTTTTACCTGGAGAGAAAACACCTCTAGTCACTCCTTCCGCTTAACTAAAATCTAAAATGTACTCGAGTTTTTTTGTTTGTTTGTTTTTTAGAAGGAGTTTTGCTCGTGTCGCCCAGGTTGGGGTGCAGTGGCACGATCTCAGCTCATTGCAACCTCTGCCTCCCAGGTTCAAGCAATTCTCCTGTCTCAGCCTCGCAAGTAGCTGGTATTGCAGGCACCCACCACCACGCGCAGCTAATTTTTTTATATTTTTGGTAAAGATAGGATTTCACCATTTTGGTCAGGCTGGTCTCGAACTCCTGATCTCGTGATCCACCCACCTCTACTTCCCAAAGTGCTGGGATTACAGGTGTGAGCCACCGTGCCCGGCCTGTACTCAGGGCTTTAAGCATTCTTTTTGGGGAATATTTCCCTGATTCCTCTAGAGGTGTTTAGGTCCCTCTGATATATATATATACTACCATATCAGTCTGTGGTTTCTCTTTCGTAACATTTAATGGCTTTATGATTTGTTATCTAATAGCTGTCTTCCCTAGTGATGATGATGATTATAATTAACACCTATTTAATATCAGTAACAATTTCCTGAGGGAGGTACTATTATTATTTCCATTTACAGATGGGTAACTGAAAATTAGTATTATTTAATAACTGACACAGGGAGACAGTAAGTGATAAAGCCAGGAGTTAAATCTGGGCACTTGAAGTACAAAGTCATACCCTTGATCATTTTATGCTAGTTGAGCTGCACCTGGCTGTCTTGTTTTCCAATCTATTTCTTGAATGTCACACAATGCCAGACGCATCCAGAAACTTATATTTGTTGAATGTGGAAATAAATGATCTGAGAAAGAAAAAACAAAATAAAACAGCTCTTGAAACTGACAGCTAGACCATAGTATTCCCCACTGAATAAAAACTATACTCACAGAATACCAAGAAGGGCCAAACAGGGCCACTTCACCACCACAGTAGAACTTAAAAACAAAACCACTGCCCAATAATTGCAAGCACAGAGACAGGGATGCAACACAATCGCTAAAATAACCAAATACCCTCCTCTCCCAGCAAACATGAGTGGCTGTTGTTTCTTTACTGATGACACCTGAGCTCCTAATCCTTCCTAATGCCTCTTAAATAAAAATTTTTTAAATACCTAATTATTGAACTTCCCATGCCTTCTGACAGTACTCAATCCAGAACAAAGCCTTACTTCCTTAATCTCCTGCAAAATCATCCAGCACAGAACCGAACTCTATGATGCGCCCTTTCCTACTCCATCTTACCAAAAATGCCCTGTGGTTATTTCTTGTTACCACAGCAGCACTGTTGATACACATGGATTTTTTTTGACTACATGTGTGTTTCTGGACTTTCAATGGTGAACATTGACAGAGCAAATGTGTGCTTATTTAACAAAGTTGTGGTTAAGTAAATTTAACTTCAGAAAATTAAGTGAATTAATCTTCTGCCCATTAAAGTGTTAATATTCTTATTAGTAGTTTATGCAGATCAATTTTACAACATGCTATACACAGTAAGTCCTCAATGTGGTTGATGAGTTATTGAAAACTGTGACTTTAGGCAAAATGATTTATAATGAAAACAATATTACCATTGGCTAATTGATAGAAACAAGAGTTAAGTTCCTATGGCATATTTCTGGTCATAAAAACATCACCATACTTCTAAGTAAGAAACAAAGCACTTCTAATATTAAATATTGAAATAAATGTGAGCTATACACATGTTTAAAATAAAGATTAATAAAAGCAAGTAAGATAATTATTTACTAAATTTGTGGTGAATCAGTGAGTGACAGAGGCCGTAGTGGTGGAGAGTTAAATTAAGCAATACTTATTTGCAAAGAGAAAATTGTCCGGAGCATCTCCTACCACCACATGGTTCAAAAACAATCACCAATGCGGCCGGCCCTCTGAGTGCTTCTACTTCCTTACTGCAATGTTTATTGCTGAGTATTTGTATGATCGCCGCCTACTTTACAAATTTTTATTTGACAATACGTTGTGTTCATTCATTTCCCAACCCACTTATTCCAGTTCAGGGTAGCAGGTGGCTGGAGCCTCTCTCAGCAGCTCAGGGGCAAGGCAGGATCCCGCCTTGGTCATTCCATGCAGGGCACACATACACACACACACACATATACACACACTCAGACTGGGACAATGTAGGCACCCAATTCACCTACCATGCTCTAGTTTGGGAGCTAGAAGGAACCTGGAGTATCCAGAGAATACCCACAGAGTCCTGGGGAGAACATGCACACTCCACACAGACAGTGGCCTCTGCCAGGAATTATTTTTTTCATCAATTTTATAACAAAATGATGATGCTATTAGAGGACCTGCGGTACTGAATTACCCTACTCCTGACCCGTTGAATGATATATTAATGAATTTAGTTTACCATGTGAACATTTGCCCCTTTTAACCAACATATCTTGAGCATTGACTTAAAAAGCAAGCAAACAAACACAAAGCTACTCCCTACTTATATTGTTACTCTTTGGGAAAGCAGCATTATTACCAGGAAGAGAAAAGATGAAATATAGATAGACACAAATGATATGGCTAGCTTTATAAACTTCATTACATGAGTTACAGAATTTTCTTATATTTGAGAAACCTGGTAAAAAGCCGAAGGCTGTATATTGATGTCTTCCATATCTCTGGGCAGCATCCCTTTCTTTATTTATTGCTTCCCCCTGGCCTTTAAAGACTTCCTTCTGTCCCCTCAATTCTCACTGTTCACACTCTTGCTTCTTAGCCAGGATTATCATCTTCAATAACTTTCCATTTTTCCTTCATTCTCTTCACATTAAAATCCCTCTCCTGGTGGGGCACCTTTTTCCATTAATATGATTTATGAATGTGTGCTGATGTAGTTAAAGGTGCTAATAGATTAATGGGTTATACCTCCTCTATTACATTGGCCTTTTAAAAGGAATCATTTGTCTTAATCCAAAGATTGATGTTAATATTGGGAAGAACATTTATGGTTTAGTAGCAGAGATCTGGAATGAAAAAGATTTCAGCATAAGCCAGTTATTTCATACAAATAGAATCTGGTAAATGTACAAATAGTGATACCTACATAATTATTTTCTATTATAGAAGCATCGCTACTCAGGAACTTTCAACTTGTAAACTTATATACACTTTATAGATACAAAAGAGAAGTACAATGCAAATGTAGATCAGCTCTGCTCACCATTAAAAAGTGGCATATGAAATTGTGAGGGACCACTTCTGCTTTTGGGCAGAGTGTTTTATTGGCTGTTTTGCATAGTTTTTAGGTGTTTCAGAAACATAGATCATTGTACAGTAAGATACTTATTAATAGGTTAAGAGTACTGTTTATATGCCATCCACAGTAGTTAAAAACAGAAAACATTACAGACAAAAGTGGAAGAACTTCAGATTATGGTTAGAGAATACATATCATTGTTGAATGCTGTTAGTTATATTAATTCAAGAATTCAAGCAAAGACTAGGAATAGAAAATAACAAGTCAGGAAACTTAAAGTTTAAACAAAGATTGAAAGTATGTCTGTGGAAACTTTTCTAGCAATTCGCACATGGCTCATAGGTCTGGGAACTGTTGGCTTCGAAGCAACATCAAAGAGAGCAGTTACGTGGAACATAACCCATGCTTCCCTGGCAGCTCTCTATAATCCTGACAAAGATAACGAAGGAGGATGTTATGGCCCAGCCAACTGTCAGTGGAGATGATAGTGGTTTGTTTAAAAAAAAAATGCTTTGTAGGATATATATGACCAAGAAAGAGACAAATATAGCAAATTTTTAATGGTTTGAAGGATTAACTCCTTTCAATGTAATAAAATACCTATAAACTGACTTCAACATAAGAAGAAAGAATTTTGGAACATTCTTTCAGAACTTAACTCGTTCATAAATAAAGCAGCTTTTGGATTATTCTTCCTTGGTTATTGATGTAATCATTTTTAACACCTTTTAAAACAGGCAACACCTGTGTTGCACTCACAGTTTGTGAAGGCAGAGTTACAAATATAGAATTGTTTCTGTTTTTAAGTGTTATAGTCATTGTCATAGCCTTCAATTTTTCACAAAAAAATTAAAGATGCAAAAATTGGAAAATAAATGTCCAGAAACAGAGGAATGAGGAACTAAACCATGGTCCATATATAATGAAATATATTATATAGCTATTAAATTTATATGAAAGTCTTGTATTAAATGCAAAAAGAAAATATAAAATTGTATATATAAAATCAATGTACAGAAAGTAATACCAGAAACACAGATAGTCATTGTCTTAGGCATGAAACCTTAGGAAAATTTTTTTCTTCTATTTATATTTTCCAAATTCCATATTTACTTTTAAGATAGAAAGAAACAAACCTTCTCAAAGTGATTTTGCAGACAGGTACAAGAAGATTGTAACATATTGTTCTTTTACTAATTGTGAAAAGGAAACTTAGGACTTGCTATTTGGCTGTAATAAATGTTAACTTTATATTCTTAAATTTTGGTTTTAAAATATCAACTTTAGAGCTCATTCTGAAAACAGTGCTGGAAAATCCTCTTGAGTTCACAGGGAAACATTCACTGAAAACATATTTCTCTGCAAATCATTGAAGAATTGTGTATTGATCTAACAGCAAAAGTAACTGGGTATCTCTGTGACACAGGAATCTACACAAGTTTTAAAAATGATTATTTAATTTAAGATGGGAGTGAGAACATATTTTATTCCTTTTCAAACTCATTTTCATGTGAGTCCTTTTTTGTCAATTTTTTTATTGTAAAAACAATACATGATTATTGTAGAAATTTGTAAAATAATGGCCAGGTGTGGTGGCTCATACCTGTAATCCTGGGGCTTTGGGAGGCTGAGGCGGGAGGATCCTTGAGGCCAGGAATTTGAGACCAGGCTGGGCGACATAGCTAGACCCCAGTCTCTACAAAAAAATTAAAAAATTAGCAGGCTGGGCACAGTGGCTCACACCTGTAATCCCTGCACTCTTGGAGGCCAAGGCGAGCGAATCGCTTGAGGGCAAGAGTCCAAGACCAGCCTAGCTAACATGGTGCAACCCTGTCTCTACTAAAAATATAAAAATTAGCTGGGCGTGGTGGCAGACACCTGTTATCTCAGCTACTTGGGAGGCTGAAGCAGGAGAATTGCTTGAAGCCAGGAGGTGGAGGTTGCAGTGAGCTGAGATCATGCCACTGCACTCCAGCCTGGATGACAGAGTGAGACTCCGTCTCAAAAAATAAAATAAAATAAAATAAAAATAAAAATTAGCTGGATGTGGCGGCAGGTGCCTGTAGTTCCAGTTACTCAGGGGGCCAAGGATCGCTTGAGCCCAGAAGGTCAAGGCTGCAGTGAGCTATGATTGTGCCAGTGCACTCCAGCCTGGGCAACAGAGCAAGACAAAAAAACAAAAAAGGAAAGAAAGAAAGAAAGAAAGAGAGAGAGAGAGAGAAAGAGAGAAAGAGAAAGACAGAAAGAGAGAAAGAAGGAAAGAAAGAAAGAGAAAAAGAAAGAAAGGAAGAAAGAAGGAAGGAAGGAAGGAAGGAAAGAAGGGAGGGAGGGAAGGAAGGAAGGGAAGGAAGGAAGGGAAAATTAGTGAAATACACAAATGACTTTTTCAAAATTCATATTCACACAGATTATGCAGAGATAATAAATATTTATTTTATTCATTCTCTTTCTCTCATTTATCTTTTCCTTTCTTTCTCAAAGCTAGGAACGCATGGAATAGTTTTTGCCACAGCCTGAAGGGTCACCAATCAGATCTCCCATCCAGAAAGAATGTGCCAATCAACTGTGAAGAGTGAGTTAGCTAACAGTCGTCAGCCAGCAGGCACTTTAAAAATCTGCCATAGTGTTTGAGGAGCCCTGCTTGCGGTGTTCTCTGGCTTCTCTGCGTTCTCGTGGGAAGCTCTAACACGTGACTGAGCACAGCCCCGGGTATTAGGGCCCGGCCCTTTCTGCCCAATGCACCATCGTCAGCACTCTCTGTGCCAGAGCTCCTGTTGGCCGAGATTTTCTTGGGATTGAACTACAGCCAGTCTCCTCTTACCCCATCCTTTTTCTTCCCTCTGTCCTTCTACAGGTGTCAGACCTACACTGTCTTGTGAAGTCTATTCTCCTGTTTTATCGCCTCCTTTATCTGTCACAGGCATTATCCTGCCCAAAATGGTTTGCTTCCCAGAGGACCCAACTAAAACAGTTTTATATTTTGATTTTCTCATTTACCATTAAGTGGTGAGCATTTCCCAATGGTATTAAAATATTTTCATAAACATTATTTTCATTTTATGGATTTGTTTTACAGATGTATGAGATGTTCCCAACTCTTGCCATTACAAATAATATTATGATGGACATATTTGTTCAGATTCTTTACATGAATTTCAGAATATTTTTTTCAGAATGGATTTCTCAAAGTGTAATTACCAGCTTAAGATTCTTGCTACATTTTGAAAAACAGTTTTTTTTAAAAAAGTACCAACTTATGTTCTAACCAGAAATGTATTCCCTACTCACTGACCTTTTATGTGGTGCCTAAGTATTTGCTCTTAAAAATGCCATTTTAATTAATATCTTCATTGGTAAATCTTTGTTCACATCCCTGATTATCAAGTCCCTCCAGCTCTGTGGGATTTCTTCAGACATGCATAAAACACTGTGCTACCTCTTCCCCACTCCTGCACTATAGCCTCTAAAACAGAATCAGCAGCCCCTCAGAGGTGGCTCTGAGTCTTCTTTACGGGCACCTGATGACAGCAAGCTGGAGAAAGACCTGAATATGCTTCCTTGTCTTCCGCAACTATACAGATGCCAAGGAAACCAAATGTCCCACTGAAAGGAAATGCTTCAGCTATAATACCATCTTCTCATGATGCTATTGAGAGGTGACAGGGTGCTGGCAGCCCTCACAGCCCTCGCTCGGTCTCAGCGCCTCCTCTGCCTGGGCTCCCACTTTGGCGGCACTTGACAAGCCCTTCAGCCCACCGCTGCACTGTGGGAGCCCCTTCCTGGGCTGGCCGAGGCCGGAGCTGGCTCCCTCAGTTTGTGGGGAGGTGTGGAGGGAGAGGCCCGGGCGGAACCCGGGCTGCGGGTGGTGCTTGCTGGCCAGCACAAGTTCCGGGTGGGCGTGGGCTTGGCAGCCCCGCACTCAGAGTGGCTGGCCAACCCTGCCTGCCCTGAGCAATAGGGGGCTTAGCACCCGGGCCAGCGGCTGCGGAGGGTGTGCTGGGTCCCTCAGCAGTGCCAGCCCACGGGTGCTGCGCTCGATTTCTCCCCGGGCCTTAGCTGCCTCCCCGCGGGGCAGGGCTCAGGACCTGCAGCCTGCCATGCCTGAGCCTCCCCCACCCTCTGTGGGTTCCCGTGCGGCCGGAGCCTCCCCAAAGAGCGCCGCCCCCTGCTCCATGGCGCCCAGTCCCATGGACCACCCAAGTGCTGAGGAATGCGGGTGCACTGCATGGGACTGGCAGGCAGCTCCACCTGCGGCCCGGTGGGGGATCCACTGGGTGAAGCCAGCTGGACTCCTGACTGGTGGGGACTTGGAGAACCTTTATGTCTAGCTAAGGGATTGTAAATACAGCAATTGGCACTCTGTATCTAGCTCAAGGTTTGTAAACACACCAATCAGCACCCTGTGTCTATCTCACGGTTTGTGAATGCACCAATCAACACTCTGTATCTAGCTACTCTAGTGGGGACGTGGAGAACCTTTGTGTCTAGCTCAGGGATTGTAAACCCACCAGTCAGCACCCTGTCAAAACAGACCACTTGGGTCTCTGTAAAATGGACCAATCAGCAGGATGTGGGTGGGGCCAGATAAGAGAATAAAAGCAGGCTGCTGGAGCCCGCAGTGGCAACCCGCTCAGGTCCCCTCCCACGCTGTGGAAGCATTGTTCTTTCACTGTTTGCAATAAATCTTGCTGCTGCTCGCTCTTTGGGTCCACACTGCCTTTATGAGCTACAACACTTACCGCCAAGGTCTGCAGCTTCACTCCTGAGCCAGCGAGACCACGAACCCACCAGAAGGAAGAAACTCCGAACACATCCAAACATCAGAAGGAACAAACTCCAGACACGCCGCCTTTAAGAACTGTAACACTGCGAGGGTCCGCGGCTTCATTCTTGAAGTCAGTGAGACCAAGAACCCACCAATTCCGGACACACTACCTTCCACCTTCCATGGAAGATGCAGGAAGCTGTGTGTTTCCCTAGTTTCTATTGCCCAGGAATACTTCTGATAAAACATTAAGAATGTGTTCCTGAATTCTTACCAAAAACGAAACCAAAACTGTAAAAGCACAACTGGTGTAATTCTGTAAGGAGAAATACAATCACCCCAGATGTAATTTAGAAATAACTAGAAGTGATTTGAACAAATTATTTAAATTTTTTATTTCTCCCAAGTAACCACCAGTTGTGAGGAACTTCTTTCGAAGTAGTAATAACAGATGGTACTTATTGAACATTCAGTATCTGCCAAATGCTGTTCTTAGCATTTTATATGTATTGATTCAGTGAATTCTTATAGTAGCCCTGTAAGGCAGAGTTGCTATAGAGATGAGGAAATGGTGGCACAGAGAGGTTAGGTAACATGCTCAAGGTGCTTAGTCCCTCTCCTGAACTGGCATGAAAGGTCTCTTCTGTTTAATTTATAAACAATGATAGAACAAATATTGATAGTTCATAGTGATAAAAATAAATAAACCTTTAGGAAAAGCTCTTCCTTACAGTAGAACCCCAAATAACAAATGTAGAAGAAATGATCAAATAGGAAAAACATCAATATGGAAACTAGTGGGTGAAATTTAAATGAGAAACAGTATATTTACATGGTCCAAAAATATCTCCCCACAAATTAGTTATTAATTATAAAGGGCAAAATAGTAAATTTATAGTGGATAAATCTAATAAATGTCATCTTAACAAAATGATCAATCTTAATATCATAAACATTAGGATAAATTGATATCCTGGGGTTCACAATATAAAGTATTCTGAGGGACACACTATTACTTCCAATATGTTCCCTCCAAAGATACATAATCTGATTTTAATTATTAACCAACATCAGAGAAATACAAAATGTGGGACAATTTGGAACAGAGTTGTAATCTTTACAAATATCTAGATCAAGAAGTCCAAAGAAATGCTGAGGAGCTGTTCAATGAAAAAGGAAATTAAAGAGATTGACAACAAAATGCAACCTGTGATCTTGGATTGAATTCTGAATGAAAAAAAAAAAAGAAATAATCATAAAGGACATTATTAGGATAATTTAAATTTGAGTTAATATGGAATCAATGTCAGATAAAAGTATTCAATGTTTAATTTCCTGATTTTGACAACTTGACTATGGTTTTATAAGAGAATATCCTTATTCTTAGGAAATAATCACTGAAGTATTCAGAGGCAGAGCTTTGCAATATCTGTAACTTTTCTCAAATTGTTCAGAGAGGGAGAAGGAATGATGAAGCAAGTAGGGTGAAAAGCTCATAGGATAACTTATGATTGAATCATTTGCCAAGTTATCCTGTAGATATTAATATAGATATATTTTTTATTTTGTTACTTAAACTTAAAAAATAATTGCTGGGAGTTATATCAAACACAAAATTTGCTTATTCTTAGCTTTGGTTTAGTAATTTCACTTTAGGGACTTATTCTAAGGAAATAATATAAAAGAGGCACAATTTTGTTACAAGGGTATTCATCAAAACTTATATGCAACTGCGGAAAACTGAAAACAACTCACACATCCAATAATAGAGTGTTGTTTTAGGATTATGCAGTCATGGCCGGGTGTGGTGGCTCACACCTGTAATCTCTGCACTTTGGGAGGCCAAGGCAGGCAAATCACGAGGTCAGGAGTTCAAGACCAGCCTGGCCAACATGATGAAACCCTGTCTCTGCTAAAAATACAAAAAATTAGCTGGGCGTAGTGGCGGGCACCTGTAATCCCAGCTACTCAGGAGGCTGAGGCAGGAGAATCACTTGAATTTGGGAGGTGGAGGTTGCAGTGAGCTGAGATCACGCCACTGCACTCCAGCCCGGGCGACAGAGTAAGACTCCATCTCAAAAAATATATATATATTATATACATATATAAAATATATATTATATATGATATATATATAATATAATACATGATATATAAAATATATATTATATATATATCATATATATAATGGAGTGATTAAAATGCTGCAGAATAATATTTAATGGCATGGAAAATGTCATTGTTAAGTGATAAAGACAAGATACACAATGGTACCCACAGAATGACCCCATTACTGTGTATACATACCCACAGTCACACGCATGAAAGATTGCAAAACTATAAATGAAAATGTTCATAGTGGTAATTTTAACATGTAAGGGAAAAAAGGTAACTTAAACTTACTTAACACTACTTTGAAAATTTGCTAAAACAAACTTATTATTTTGTAATTAAAACAAATAATTTTCTGTAGTCTAGCGTATGACTTAAAGAGGTATAAGTAGCCATAAATTTAAATGAAACTGTGAGCTTCTTATTAGATGTGTGCACATATGTAAACACCCACACCTTTATTACATGCTATAACTGGCTTCCAGTGACACAAGATCCTGCTACTGAGGTTGGTGAATGACATTGAAGCCTGACCCCTAAACTTGTCCTTTGGTGGAACGTACACCCAGGAAATCTCTTTTCCATAGTTGTAAACAGATGCATGACTGTTTTAAAGGGCCATGACCTCGTGGATTTGTTTCCTGGGAAAGTATCCCAAGCCTGAAACCAAGTGCTGCACATTCTCAAAAGAAAATGTAATAAGGTTGATTAGAATCTGTGGAAGAGGTGCAGTTCTTATATGCTAAATTTGCATTTTCTCTATGTAAAAGCTTTCAAAATAATTCAATTACTTATTTTATAATTTAATTTCCAAGGTTAATTCCTTACATGTATTTTATGACCTAAATTTTACAGGGTGGGCCTAGATTCAGAAACTCTTTCTGTTACAGTCTTTGTTTTAAGCCTTTTTACAACCTAGGTTGGTGCTAAGGAGGAATGACGAATTGCTATTAGTGTATTAATAATAAACATTGAATTCTTCTATTAACTACCAAAGAATAACAAAGGACCAGAAAACAAACACATACTAACTACTGGAGATTGCCCCCAACCTAACGAATACCACAGTGGAGATTCTCATATTAAGGATAACAAATTGTTACCCCTGAAACGTCAGCTAAGATTTGTATCCATTAGCCCAAAACCTCCTACTCATGATTTCTAAATTATACAACATTATCGACAGGTCCAGGAGACATCGTGTGCATTGCGGAAGAATGAATTTTCAATATAGCTAATGTGTATGTTCTTCAATTCAGATTTCTGTTCCATAGCCCCACCCATGTATAAAAAGGCCCTACCCACTGATAAGGGACATATTCATATTCCCACAGCCAGATTCTCCCACTCTAATCAAGACTGCATCTAATGTAAGCACATGACTCACTCACATTGGTCCCTTTCCTGAAACTCAGGGTGAGAGCCAACTCTCAGCTATCTGTGGTTGGAGTGACAGAGGTGACTGGAAGAAGCGAAAACCACTGGTATTCCCAACTTCCGTTTTAACTGATAATCTTAACCTCCTCCCTGATGTCAACTCTCCTTTACTAAAGATTGTAATGAACACAGAAAGGGCCCAAGAAAAAAGGACAAGGCCTGCTAATTCTAAAACTATATAATCAACAACTGAACAATTGAGGGCTTGTCACTTCCATTTTCTTTCATGGCTAATATTCTAAATAAGTACTCTCTACCAACAGCCGCCACCAACTCCCTTAATCTAGTGCAATTCTGCCTCCACTTTCATCACTCACTAAAAGCACTCTCTTTCAAGCTTCATGACATTCAGAGGTCAAAACCAGGGGCGTTTTTCTTCTTTCCCATTGTTTTCTAGATTTTTTTTTGTTAGACCGTGTTGACTATCACTGTAAATCTTGGATTTTTTTTTCTTTCTTCTGAGTTTCATGCCATTATGTTCTCCTAGATGTCCTGGTTATAACCATCAGCAAATCCTATTGATTTAAGTATAGTCTACTTATACTCCTAATTCAACACTTTCTCATTACTTCCACTACTGCTATCTTTCCCCTAACCATTTAGGTGGGTTATTAAAATACTCCCCACCTTATCTTTCAGTCTTGTCCTTTTTAGTCTACTTTCGGCAGAGCAGATAGACTGATCTTTTTGAATTATTTCATCACCCTACCTCCAGCCCTCTGATAGTTTCTTTTATTTATTTATTTATTTATTTATTTTGATTATACTTTAAGTTTTAGGGTACATGTGCACAACGTGCAGGTTTGTTACATATGTATACATGTGCCATGTTGGTGTGCTGCACCCATTAACTCGTCATTTAGCATTAGGTATATCTCCTAACGCTATCCCTCCCCCCTCCCCCCATCCCACAACAGTCCCCGGTGTGTGATGTTCCCCTTCCTGTGTTCATGTGTTCTCATTGTTCAATTCCCACCTATGTTCTTATTGCATTGTTAAGAAAAGGCAAAGACCTTACCAAATCTTATAGCCCCTAAAGTTTCTACCCTTGACTACCTCTCTGACTTCTCTTGCAACTGTCCATTGAGTATGCCCTGGGCCAGGCTGGTCTTACTGTCTTCTGAACATTAGAGTCCTTGCATTTATTGCTCCAAGCCAAGGATAGTTTGCCTCCACAAACTGTAGGGATGCCTCCTTGACCACCCTAGCTAAAGACACCCTGAAATTGTAGCATGTTATGTTTTACTACCTTATTTTATCACTAACCATGAGACCTTGGACATGTTACCCTGTGTCTCAATTTCCCCATCTGAAAAATGCATTTTAAATAAATAGTTACATACCTCATCAAGTGGTTAGAAGGATTTCATAAGTTATTGTATTTGAAAAGCTTAACAACAAATAGCCCTATACACGTTTGCAACTGTTGTTGTTATTAGTATTTATTTTCTTTCTTTTCCTGCTAGAATATAAATTTCAAGTTTTGTTTGTCATTTATCACTTATTCTCAAGATGTAAACAGTAAGACACATAATAAGCCCTCAATAAGTATTTGAATGATTGAATGAAGAAATTAAACGTTTAATTATTTGTTTTGTCTGCAAAATCTTCTTTTCTTTTACCCATTCCTTAGATAAAGTTTCTTTTATCACTTTACTGAGACTCAGTCACTGGTTTTCTTGGCATTTTTCCTCTACCCTCATACCTTTGGAGTGTTTAACTTGAAGTGATTCTTTGGCTTCAGCCATGGTTTCTGTGATGGGGGTTCTCAACATCACAGCTTTAGTCCAGACCGCATACCCAACTTCTGCATTGGGGGTTCATCTAAGGGGAGGGAAATTTGGCCTGGGGCTTAGAGGCTGCACTAGGATAGTGTATGAGTTCTGTGACTTTACTTGCTTTGTGATCTGGTGCAAATCACAACTTCTCTGGAGACCATATTCTTTTTTAGGTAATAATTATGAATCTTACCTTCTATATCAAAGTGTGTGTCGAAACAGATTTAATAGATGTGAAAGTATTTTGTAAATTGTAAAACAGTAAGTAATTTTGAAGTGTTGTCAGGTACCTCAAATATGCTATTTCTACTATATACCCTGCTGTTATCTTAGAGTCAACATATGGAAACCATTTTTCCTCCTTCCTAAACTCAATTCTTTCCAACTTTGCTTTCTCTCATTTCTCATATCCAATTACTAAACACCTGATTTTCCCTCTGTGACATATCTAAAATGCTCCTCCTGCTCTGTTCTCCCAGACATAATCCTAGTCTCAACTTTCTTCAGTTTACATCTAGGTCATTACAACACTCCATTAGTAGGTCTCTCTGCCTCCTGCCTCTCTCAAGTAGTGTTCTCAAATAATCTCATTTCAATCTTTCCAAAAAATTAACCATATTAGATTTCTTTTAATATCAACAAACTGCTATGATTTCAGTGACTTAAAACAATAGAATTTATTATCTTACAATTCAGAAGTCTAATAGATACCTGGGCTAAAGGAAGGTGTTGACACTGGGTGAAAATCGAGGTGTTGGCAGGGCTACATTCTGTTCTGAATAATATAGGGGAGAGTCTATTTTCTTGTCTTTACAAACTTTCATAGGCCACCAGTGTTTCTTGGCTTGGAACCCTCTTCCTTTGTCAGCAACTGTGAGTCAGGTCCTTCCTTTTCACATCACATCTCTCTGATGACAACTTGGAATGACTCTGTACTTTTGAGAACTCATGTGATTAGATTGGGCCTACCCATTTAATCCACAATCACCTCCTCATCTCAAGATCTGTAACCTTAATCATCAGTCATGTCCCTTTTACCATGGAAGGTAACATATTCATAGGTTCTGAGGATTAGAACACAGATATCTTTTGAGGTGAGGGGTATTGTTCTGCCTACCACACCAATTTATGGTGTCATTCCTCTGATTAAAAACTATAAATGATTCTCAATGGTCCATAAATGTAAAGCTTATCTTTTTCTTACATCTTTACTGAGCCTTCAAACTAAATTTGTAACTATTCTCAAATATAGATCCTCTGCTACTGTCAGGATAGTCTCCCTGACACATCGTAAACATGCTATGCTTTTTGTTAGTGTTTTTGCTGATTATTCTCCCATTTGAAATGTCCTACAATCTCTCCTTTGCTTATATCAAAGTCCTGTCATTTTTTCAAAGTCCAATTAAAGTCCTACCTCTTCAGTGAAACTTCCCCTCTCGAAGTTACCTTTCTCTAAATTATTTTGTATGATACTATCTACTACATATGGTGGACTTCTGCTATTTGTCTTTTCAGAATTTATTCATTCTTCTGGTAATAGCATTTTATTTTTCTTTGGGGGATTTTTTTTTCTTATTAGATACAGACTTTTGCTTTTCTCAGCTAAAGTGCCCTTCTTTGGCCAGGGGTGTACTCATATTCTCAGTTAGACAGTCATATGCTGTCTTCTTAGACCATGAGCTCCCAAGAAGTAAAATGGTTGGAATACACAACTTCTAGAAACAACACACTGCTACCTAAATCACTAGAACTGTCCTGTTTTTTAGCTTTTACTCTAATTCTATTGACTGTCTCATATCTTTCCTATAAATGTTTTAGTTTCACCAGAATTGGTTTTTTCCCCTAAAAATCAAGAAACCCTAACTATTAAAGCCTCCACTGTTCTTTAAATGTTCTCATAACTTTGAATCTCTCTTCTAAGTTTTTTGCAAATGATAGTATATTTTATACTCTTTTGAATATTCCACAACCGTTTGCAAATTACTAGACACAGAAAAGCTTTTCAATAAATATTGATTAATTCATAAAGCACTGTTTTTATTATTTTTTAAGAATGCAGATTGTTTCTGATAGTAACTTGAAGGTCAGAAACATGACACATACTTCTTTGGAACACATCCTGCCATCCCCAGAAGAAGGGATGGTGCTGAGAATAATAGAAAAATCATTGATTCATAGATTAATTGGAAAGGTCATCATTGGTCAACAATATATGATTGTATTTTTATGTATATTTCATAACATCTGCTAGTATAACCAATCCCTTATCTGTTCTGTATCACTTAGTCACTTAGTCACATGTTCTCCATTCATTTAGCATGTAATGGATCCACGTACATTATCTGCATTAAATGAGCGTAAGTTTTGCTTATTTTCTTAATAGGTACTTTGCCCTACAAGCTAATAAGAAAATTATGGAAGTCTTTTCCCAAGTATTTCTCTGAAATTTAGATAAACTGAGCAGAGTATCTGTGTTTGATTTTGTATGACAGATAGTTAGCATTAGTGGGTGACCAGACAGGATATTTAAAAGTGATCCATGTTTTATGTCTTTTCTTAATGAATTCATGTTGGAACTTAATGAACAGCACATATATTTCATGTTTTATGACTGTTTAGGGAAAAATATGTTCTAGAATTGATCAGAGTCAAATTCAGTGCTTATAATTTTATCCTTTTGAAGACTCTGATATTCTGTTTAACTCCAGTTTCTTGGAATCTTTTTCCTCCCTCTGCATAATCTCTTCAAAATGACCAATTCTGCCACCATTGTAAAAGTTTAGGTTATTTCTCTCTGAAATCACTTGAAGATGAGTAATTTAGCAATTCCCAGAGAGAGAGATAGCAGGTTTTTGGTCTGAGATAAAAGAAAGATTGAGTTGAATTTTATTGAAATAGTAACTATATTGAAGAAACGTTTATAGGGGAATATTAGTTATTGATCGTGTCACCTTTGAATGCCTAGTGAATATGTAAGTGGAGATGTTAGGTAATCGGACACAGATATCTGGAACTCATGGCAAATATCTAGACTGGGAGAAATCAGTATATAGACAGCAATTAAAGATATGAAACTGTATGAAATGAAGTAGGGAGTGGCTATATGGAGAGAAAAATTACAATATTGAGCTCTGGGGCACTCTATTTTTGATAGGTCCATGGTAGAGAATAGGGAAATATTGAGGAAGATCTAGCTAAAGACTGAGAAGCAGGTAGAAAAGCAGATGAGTGTGATATCCTGGAAACCAAGAGAAAAAAAAGTGTTTCTAAGAGTTCTCTTCCTTAATCTTCTGGATTCTCAGACCTTGAACAAAATCAGTGTAATGATTCAATGACAATTCAAAGATTCTATTTTACAAGAATTTCTATTTCTCCCAAGAAAACTCTAAACTAGATCTGAGACTAACTCCTTATAATCTTCCTCTGCCTCTGACATGGCCCGAACATCAGTGGAATTAGGAGTGAGAAGACCTGAATTCTCATGACACCTCCACCTATTGCCAGTGGTGTGACCCAGGACAATTGCTTAACCTCCCTGTCAAAGGGTTGAAGCCATAGGTCCCTTCCCCAGCTGCAAGCTAATGAAGGATCCAAGGAGCTAAGGAATGGAGCAAGTACTCTGTAGGCTGCTGAATAAGTATACCAAGGAAGCCATCCATCACTGTGATGAAGGGTGGGAAGAATCAAGCTTGTCTGCTCTAAAGGCTCAGGGGAGCCAAGCCTCTTTGCAGAGGCTGAGAGAATCATAAGGCACCATTCTGGCTGATGAATCTTTTCAAATGCTACTTCCCAATAGGATATCTATTCTTTTTAGAAATACTCTTTTAAAATACTCTTTAAAATATTATTTTAAAAAATACTAACCCCAGGCTGGGCATGGTGGCTCATGCCTGTAATCCCAGCACTTTGGGAGGCGGAGGCGGGAAGATCACAAGGTCATGAGTTTGAGACCAGTCTGGCCAACATGGTGAAACCCTGTCTCTACTAAAAATACAAAAATTAGCCGGGCATGGTGGCACGTGACTGTAGTCCTAGCTACCCGGGAGGCTGAGGCAGGAGAATCGCTTGAACCCAGGAGGCGGAGGTTGTGGTGAGCCGAGATCGTGCCGCTGCATTCCTGCCTGGGCAATAGAGTGAGACTCCATCTCAAAATCAATCAATCAATCAATCAATCAATCAATCCTAACTCCTAGGATTTTTAAATACCAACACCTAGAATTTTATAACTAATGTGGCTCCTTCTATTACAAGAAATTCTTCACTATGCTGGCTATAAAACGTGATACATTTATAGAATGTTTTCCCAAATTAACACCATTGAGTCATTATGTCTACACACATTATATCCCTGTCACTGCTTTTAAACCCTTTAATGTATTGTGGGGAAAAAATTGCAAAAGAAAAAAAAAGAATGAGGCTGCATTGTCAGTGAAGATTTTGAATGCAAGATGTTCAATGCATTTTTATTTATTTCAATTTTTTTCAATTCCCAAGAAAAATAAATAAAAATTAATAATATCTTGTAAATTATCTATTTTCTCCTTCAATATCTTAAGGTACACAATTATCAAAGCTGATATTGAACACAAACAAATTGATACAATTCAGTAATCCGATAACATTCATAGTCAAATAAGTTACTTCAAATTGCATGCAATACAACTTTATGTTCCATAGCATCTTTAATAAAAACCGTTTACCAAAATGGCTCTTCAAACTTAAAAAGTGCAATTACAGAGTGCAAAATAAAAAGAAAATACATTATATTACATTTAACATCATCAAATTTGAATAACAGATATTTAAATGAAATTACTCTTTTTAAAAACATTAAAATATACACCAGAAATACTGTTTGTACAAGTCATTACTCCCCCTTCTCCCATATGAACAAGAATTTTTTAACGGTCAGAATATATTGGGCATCAAATTAAAAACTTTTTTTTCAAAAGTCTACAGAATGGATATTGGAGCAAAAATTACAAAGTGGGTCAGATACAGGTTTTTAAAAACTGCATTACTGAATTTAACAAAAGTCAGACACTAGAATCATATATTTGCTGCATAAAAGTTGATTTGATACCTGGTGGTGATTGAATTTAGTCTCAAAGACTCATAAATAAAAATCTGACTTAAGACGTAGTCATACCAGTATACCAATTCTCCCATCACTTTGACTTTCGGCAGAGAGATTAGAGCAAAAAATATTCAGGAGAACAGTGGAGTTACATTGTATTATGTATGTTTAATATAATATCAATTTTAAGGTTAAGGTTAAGGAAATCTTAATTTTAAGGTTAAACCTTGAGTACTAGTTATAGAACTTAATATTCCTGGTTAAAGAGTAAGTTAACTGGGTTATTATGTGGCCTTGGTTGAAGACCATAAATTATGCATTTATGCATTTGTGGTTGCTTTGGTTCTCAATACATTGAATATGCATAGCCCCTTCTAGAAATATATATAGTGAGAAATCTGTAAAATGGGGGAGTTAGACTAAGTGTGAACTAAAATCTTCCCACTGTGTACAGGACACATCAGCTGAGAGCAAATCAGTTTTTATGTTTACTCAGCACCATCCTCACTAAAACTATTATTTTTGTCTTATTTTCACCCATAAAAAGTAATGTGGGTCATACTTTATTATTTAATATGCATTTACAAAGATCTAACTATTTTAGGGATTAGCTTTTTTAAGCATTCTTAAAGATGAAAAATACAAAAATGACTTGTTTTTATGAATTGACATGCTTAAGATAAACTGACAAACCAAGATTGAGATGCTTACAATAAATCTTTTGTAAATGAAATAAATGGATTGCAGCTGATTTATTGAAAAGTCAATAGATTTTTTTGAAACAGCCAAGATCACTGAAAATATTCAGACTCTCCTCACATCTAGTAAGCGTTAATAAATACAGTTGTACCTTGGTATCCACAGGGGACTGATTCCCAGATCGCCCCCCTGCACATACTAAAATCGGGCACAGATGTTCAAGTCACTTATATAAAAGGGCATAGTGCTTGCATATAACCTATTCACATCCTCCTGTATACTTAAATCATCTTTACATTACTTGTAATACCTAATGTAAATGCTACGTGCGGTGGCTCACACCTGTAATCCCAGCAGTTTGGGAGGCTGTGGAGGGTGGATCTCAAGGTTAGGAGATTGAGACCATCCTGGCCAACATGGTGAAACCCCGCCTCTACTAAAAATACAAAAATTAGCTGGGCATGGTGGCATGCGCCTGTAGTCCCAGCTGCTCAGGAGGCTGAGGCAGGAGGATCTCTTGAACCCGGGAGGTGAGGTTGCAGTGAGCCGAGATCGTGCCACTGCACTCCAACCTGGGCAACAGAGCGAGACTCCATCTCAAAAAGAAAAAAAAAAAAGTAAATAGTTGTTATAATGTATTTTTTGTTGTTGTTGTATTATTTTTTAAGCATTTTCCGTCCTTGGTTGGTTGAATCCACAGATGTGGAACTAACCACAGAGGGCCAACTGTAAGTAGAGTATTTAAAATGTGTTCTTACATATTTTGACTTCAGCTGTATTAAATAGGAAACAGAAATAACTGTTTAGATCTAATTGATTTTTCTTTTCTCTTGTTTTTAAGTTTTATATAAATGGTTAGCAGAGCACCAAATGACTGCAATTCTATGATCCATTAAGGTCATGTATACATACATGTTTGTATATGAATATATATACAATATGTATATGACCATATATATTTACTTGTTTTTGTCTGTTTATTTTCCTAATAGTAAGGGCCAGGGCCAGGACTTTAGATGACAGTCGTGTGATTGCACCAGGGTATATAATGCATGGATACACATGGAGACAAGTCCTGGCACCTGGTGCTCCAGAGGTCAGCCATGGCTTATTATGCCTTCGTTTACCCTAGCACATGCCAGGATAAACGTAGAGGAAGAACAGATCCTCCCTGACCTGGTATGTGATCCAGGGAGACTCTACTCAAAGGTTTAGCATTCGATGAAGGAGCCTCCCATAAAATCCAAAAGTGGTGGCAGCAGTGGCTCCTTATGCAATAGCCCAAAAATACTCCTATTAACTCTCTGAGACCTATGGGCTCAGAGTGCAGAAGAAATCTTTGTCTCTTCCAAAAAATAAACAAATGTCAGGAAAATGAGCCCTAGTTTTCATCTCAGCCTCCACAGGAAGGTGTGTTTAAGTTTCTACATTTTAAAAGCTTTCAATTGAGATTTTTCATTTGGAAAAATACACCATATTAATTTTTAAGTTTTTTCCCATTTCCTGTGTCAAGATACAACTTTAAATACATAACTTTACATTCTAGAAGAAGCCATTTACTGAGCTGTATTAAAGTTAAAACTTCCTTGAATAAAAGATGAAATAACTGTATTTCCATCTTAAGACAACATGTAGAATTATTGTCTTCATATATTTTAAAATAATAATTAGTCCATCAAATTTTGGGCTGTGATTTAATGTTAGAATTCAGCAAAGCCCCTATAAAAAGAAATAGTCTAAAAATATTCTTAAAAAGCACAAATTTAGGCTTCAAGTGTGGACTTTTTTCTAATTGTCTGTTGAGCAATAATTACCTCACATAAATGTTGTAATATACAAAAAAGGAACATTGTGAAGCTATGAAATGCCCACTACTTAAATAAAAGATTACAGAAAATTGTTTTTCAATTCATTTTACATAGGCAGAATCTGGTAGATGAGTGACTAGTACCTGTAGGAGTCGTGAGTTGGCATAGGGAACTGTCCACTGCCCCTCATATAACAGAATTATAGCTGAGACCTGAGTGAAGAGACCATAGACTCCCCAGGGTTAGCTTGTTTCAAATGTGTAGTGTTTAACACAGGACCTATATTTGCTTCTCCCAAATTCTAATTGCATTATTGTTTTAATATATGATACCATGGTGCCAACTACATATCAAACCATGGTACAGTCAAACCAATTATCACTGATTTGAGGAACATAAAAAACATACTTACTAAATCGATTTGACTATATATATAGGCTTACAGAAATCTGTCATTTGCTAACAATTCTTGAGCTATGACCTGGGAATTGCTTACTTCTAAGCACTGTGCACCAGGCATATAAACTTTGAAGCTTTCAATGAAGCATTTAGCTCAGGAAATTACTTGTATAAAAATATCAATTTTCTTTTGATATTAAATATTTTCTGCACATTATACATTAGCAAATAGTCTGTCAAAAATAAAACAAAAATAAAAACATTTTTCAAGTACATTAAAATACAGTGTTATTGACCTAACACTTGACCCAACATAAATATTATTAATAAAATGGGAATATTAATATTAACCAGGCACACTGTTATCCCTGCCCATAAGTTTGATGGCGCCATTCAGACTTGCGGCAACTCTGGATCCCCTGAGGTAACTCTCTCATATTCCTTCTTTGGTTCTTTACTTTTTCGATTTCTGTACCTGGAAATATTCACAAACGAAACTGTTAGCACTGCAGTTAATAGCAAAGGAACAAGTGTGTTATATATGGACTCCAAAGGCACATTAGCATAGTGTTTCCAAAATGACAAAGTTGAACAGATTTAGGTTGGACAATGTTAAAAAAAAAAAAAAAAAGAGGGATGAAGAGGTGATGTGCTGTAGTCAAACAATTTTGGAATGAAATGATAAAATACACTTAAAGAGTTTCTCAAAGTCTTTAACGTGATCATGAATATTGTGAAATTCCAAGAGGCGTGTGGCCACATTTAAGTCTGAATTTTAGGTTTTCTTTTTCTGTCTCTCTTTCTTTTTCCTTCCTCCCTTCTAAGGAATGAATATTTACAAATCATGCTACATTAATACACTCTTTCCATCACATTGATATAATGCTATCACTAATCAAAATAAAAATAATATTTATCAGGCACTAATTTGGTGACCTACAATTTTCTAAGTGCTATACATGCATTATTTATTTTACTCTCACATTTGCTGTTACCATCCTCATCTTACAGATGAAGAAAGTGAAATACAAATGGGTTGTATATAATGTGCCCAAGGTCCAAGGTCTCATAGCTAGGATTCATAGATTTATCATAATTTAGAATCTTCTTTCATTTATTCATTAAGCTATTTTCCTAATATTTTTGAGTTTATTTTGTCCCTATTTTGGAAATAAGACATGTAGCTTTGAGGAAACCACATCATGTCTATGTTTACTGTAAGAATATGAATTAGAAAGAATTTGTTCTTCACTCTGGCATTTGTCAACTATATGAGCTGGGATATTTGAATGAACCTCTCTAAACCTCAGTGCCCCATCTATAAAGGAAAGGATTGTGGTCAAAGATTTGCAGGCATATTTCAGTTTTAATAATATTTAGTTCTGTCATGGCAACTTATTAGGAAGGCATTATTATTTGATGGATACTTAGAATCAAATGTGGACAAAATAAATTTAATATTATGAAAGTAGCACACTTTCAGACCTTCAAAATTGGAAGTGCACTACTTTCACAGAAAAATAAAAACGTAAATTCACCTTGAGTAATTTGTAACTGTTTCAAAATATGTTTCATGGAGACATTTTAAAGGGAACTGTTATTAATTAATTCACACTGTTCCCATCCTTTGCTCCTAACCCTTAAAAAAATGCCAAACTATACTTTCAATGTTCACTTTCTATTTTTCTGTTTTCAGCTTGTGACAATAATGCACATGAGGATGAGGTACGACTGTTTTGGGGGACTGACACAAACTATTTTTTAACAACCATTTTTTATAATTGTCTAGAAATAGTTCCACCAGTCTGCCTTAAACTGTAAGATAACCCAAGCTTCTAAGGTTATTAATTTACAAGGTTGTTTTTTATAAAATAAAAAATGTGACTTGAGGAATTAAATTCAGGTGGTTAACTATAACAGTAGCACCTATCCTATGATTTACTTTCACATGAAATATCATATTACATACTAAAAGCAACCACCCTATAACTAATGTAAGATAATAATTTCTGTCCATATTTGATAAAGAAGGGAATTGATACTCTCAATTTGACTTATGTAAGGTCACATAGGTAATAAGTATCAGAGCTGATAATAAAGTTCAATCCAGATGTTCTGCAGCAAAAACATATTTTTAAAAAATAATTTCAAGTTATTTCAGATTCGGGGGTACACATGCAGGTTTCTTAACAGGATATATTGTATGATGCTGAGATTAGGGGTACAGCTGATCCCATCACTCAGGTGTTGGGCATAATACTTAATAGTTTCTCAACTCTTGTAAATATCATTTGTACAGGTTTGATCTTATCTCTCTAATACTTTATCCATATTTTTACCCAGTTTATAGGTCTGCATTATGTAAAAGTAATTTGTAAAAGCAGAGTATAAAACCACACTGACTTACCATCTGCAGAAATAATATGTGGAACCGACGACTGTGATAAGAAACAAAATAATAAGAATCACGGTCAAAGCCACATATTCTTTGCTTAAAGGTTGGTGGACGGTTAAAAAGAAGTGTTCACATCGGACACCAGTATAACCCACTTCACACCTGAAGGAAAATACGGAAGAAAGAAAGATCAGTTACTTAAAAAGGAAATCATGGTTATGAATTAGTTTTATAAGGACTAACATCACACTGTAATGCAAGAAATCAACAAAATTTGCTAAAGATTGTAAAGAGGATTTCAAAGATTGAGTTAGACCAGTAATGATAAAAGGGCTCCACGTAGCTCTTGGACTAAATTGTAGTATTAAAATGACGGTTGTGTTCAGCTGTCATGGTGGCTGACAGTCCACAGTGGTGTTTTGTAAGTTGTACAGGTTTGAGATTCCTTTTGTCTAAATCAGTGGAATCAATTCTTTTTTTGTTTGTTTGTCTGTTTGGTTTTTTTGAGATGGAGTCTCGTTCTGTCGCCCAGGCTGGATAGCAGTGGTGTGATCTCTCGGCTCACTGCAACCTCCGCCTCCCAGGTTCAAGCAATTCTCCTATCTCAGCCTCCTGAGTAGACTACAGTCTTGCGCCACCACGCCTCGCTAATTTTTGTATTTTTAGTAGAGGCGGGGTTTCACCATGTTGGCCAGGCTGGTCAGGAACTCCTGACCTCAAGTGGTCTGCCCGCCTCAGCCTCCCAAAGTGCTGGGGTTACAGGGTTGAGCCACTGCGCCTGGCCTGGAATCAATTCTTTTTTTTTTTTTTTTTTTTTTTTTTGAGACGGAGTCTCGCTGTGTTGCCCAGGCTGGAGTACAGTGGCATGATCTCCGCTCACTGCAAGCTCCACCCCCCGGGTTCATGCCATTCTCCTGCCTCAGCCTCCCGAGTAGCTGGGACTTCAGGCGTCCGCCACTACCCCTGGCTAATTTTTTTTTTTTTTTGTATTTTTAGTAGAGACGGGGTTTCACCGTGTTCGCCAGGATGGTCTTGATCTCCTGACCCCGTGATCCGCCCGCCTCGGCCTCCCAAAGTGCTGGGATTACAGGCATGAGCCAACGCGTCCGGCCTGGAATCAATTCTTAAAACAATACCTGATATAGAAATTGAAGGAAAAGATCCAAAGCAGAGAGACACCATCTTGGCAAGTGTGAGAAGCATCAGAAGTCCTCCCTGCTCTGCACCTCTGACATATGTGTGCAATTTAAAAGCTACTATTTACTACCTAATTTTTAAAAACTCAGAAAAGTTTCTAATAATATATATACTGCATTTAACAGCCCATGGAAATATAGGGTAATTTCAAAATATAAAAATAGAAATACAAAGAGTAAAACTGCATTTGTTTATCACATGTTCTCACAAGTGGGAGCTAAATAATGTGTACACATGGTCATAGAGAGTGGAGTAATAGACTCTGGAGACTTCAAAAGGTAGAAGAGTTTTGGGGGGGTTAAGGGATGAAAAATTACCTAATGGGTTCCATGCACACTATTTGAGGGGTAGGTACTCTAAAAGCTCAGACTTCACCACTACTGAATATATCCACTAGCAAATCTGCACTTGTACCCCTAAATCTATAAAACAAAATTTTACAAACTGTGTTTGTTTATTTCTGACATATTACCTGCAGTAGTTTTGACTCATGTCCACCAGATAGATGCACTGTCCATGCAAACAATAGCCATTCATGTCAGAGCTACACTTTGTTATTGACACTTGAGCCACACGTGGATTGTCTTCTGTCTGAACTGTAAAAGAAGTGGAAAGTTGAATATATTCTGCAGCCTTCATGGAAGAATTTCTCACTCTTTCATAACAGTAACCACTGAACTACTTCTACACAACAAGTCAGATGCCAATCTGTCAAGGAGAATTTTGAGAAGTAGGAAGTCACTCTAGTTGTCACACCCCCTAGACCAATCAATAAACACTTGAATCCAAAGGAAAATGTCCAACAGACTAAACAAAAGAAGATAACATGAAAGGATTTCATTCTCAAAAGACAACCTGTAAGGGTAGAGAAGGCAAATTTAACACACAGGTGTCATTATCCTCCAAGTGGGTGTTATTTCTTCAAGCAAAATTTGTCTAATTTTTCTCAAGTCCCAAAACATTTCTGAAATCTATTACTCCCCAAAGCAGTTGCAAGCTCATACCATTAATTAATTCAAAGGAGCTTAATTCTACAGTGGATTTTTAATCAGTAAGGCTGGCTTTGGTGTATGTTTTCAAGTTGCTGAGGTTACCATTAATGAAATTAACCAGTCTCCCAATATCTCTGATAATGAGGCCTGAATCCAAACTAGACAAACCCTGAGTGAGAAAGGCCTCTGGTAGACAAATAACAGCAATGAAAATAGGAGCCTTTGTGTAAAATTCACTTTAGAAAGCTTTAGATACCAAAATGTGAAAGATGCTTATAAAATTACTTTTAAAATAGCAATTTGATTGTAATACTCTTGCCCAAATAACCAAAGAAGGAAAAAAAAAAAGATGATGCGGAGGAGGCTGACCAAACCTGCGGAGGAGGCTGACCAAACCTCCAGAGAACCTGATGGTGAGGGACAAAAGATAAAGTTGTTATGGAAAATATCCTGCTTCCTCAAAATAACTCAGTTATCTTGATTCAATAACTCAGAATGAAGATAAAGCTGATCCCCCTTGGACCATATCTGGAGTCCACAGTCCTCGAGGGGAAAAAACTGTATTACTTATCTTTGTATCTGTATGCCTTAGCACAGCGTTTGGTGCATACTACATACTCGATAAATGTTTTCTGAATGAACACTGTGCCTAGAAAGAAACGACTATCATTTGTTCTTCTTACAAAGAGAGAGAGAGGGGTAGAAAGAGAGAGATAGAGAACCTATTCTGTACAAAGTTTTCCTGTTTTGCTGTTTTGCCTGGAATCCAGTCAGTGTGGTCTCTGAGGATGTTTCGCAGTAAAGTGCCAGGAGACGGCCAAAGGGAATGCAATTTTTTGTTGTTGTTGTTCCCTATCTCTTCACAATCAAATCTGTGTATATAATTTATCCGGTCCCTCTCCTACCAGTTATTCCTTTATATAATTTTTTCAGAACATTAGTTTATATGGTGATTTAAAAAGTAATATAGCAGCTATTCTTACCCTTTTTTAAAAAATTATCACATACTTATAGTCTTTGAGTTTATATTTCTGTTTAAAAATATGTAGTCTCTTGATGCCACATTGACAAACTTGGGCTTACCTAAAGCTGTGCAGTTATCACTGGACTCTCCTGGGATACATGATGGAATCACAGTTGTACTGAGGACTGCCTGTAGAAGATGGAAACCTATTTATGAAGAAAAATCGAATATATAACTAATGTGTTAAGGAAAGAAATCTTGATCAAATTTCTACATAACTGCAGTACTTATAGAGTTGTTTTGTTTCACAGATTTGGTCCATCAAAACCATAAAACAAAATAATTCATGGAAACAGGCATGTAACAGAAAATACAAACTCCCCCAGCTATTCTGTGGAAGGATAAAAGCCTTGGCATTACATTCACGGTTACAGATTTGACCTGCTCTAAATATTTCACAGTAACATTTTCAAAGATTTGATTTTGAAGTTTGATTTCTTAAGACGCACATCAGTTGGAGAATTTCCACTGTTTTATTCCATCATGTGTTCAGAGAAATGCTCCTAATCAGACCCCATCACAAAAAAAGGCTCTAAATAAAAAATCGGTTTCCACTTACAGTAACAACAAGAAACTCAACCTAAGAAACATTCATTATTGATTTATGTACCTAAGTTACTCTTTGCATTGCATTACACATGAGTATAGATTTTAATTAATACAGTGAAAGCTAGGTAAAATCAGAATATATCTTGTCTAATATGAGGAGGAACAGGCATCCCAGATGAACCATACTGAGCCCTAGAATCCAGTTTCTATCAGCATAGGAAGAGTCTGAATCAGCTGTTTCATCATGTGTATTCAGTGAAAAGATAAAATTTTGGAACATAGATATCAAGAATGACTCAAGTACTTTCTGAATTGTGTAGGAATCATCATAAGAAGAACCCTTGTAATTTCACAGATGTTTAGTTAAGAGCTTTAGCTGCTTCTGTTTAAGCTTTAGGTATTTGCACTTCAAACACTCTTTCCAATTTATTTAAGTAACTGTTATATAGTAAATACTAATGGTGGTGGTAGTAGTAGTAGTAGCAGCAATTAAGCTCCACTAAATTAATTAATGGCTTCAGCTTGCAATTGCTTTGGGGAATAACGAATTTCAGAACTGAGATTTGAAAAAAATTAGACATATTTTGTTTGAAGAAATGAATAATACCTACCGTGGGGGATAATGACATGTGTGTTAAGCTTGCTTTTTCTACACCCTAAAGGTTGTCTTTTGAGAATAAATACCTCCTATGTGATTTTGTTTAGTCGGTTGGACATTTTCGTTTGGATTCCGGTGCTTATTGGCCTAGGGTGCGTGATAACTAGAATGACTTCCTACTCCTGAAAATTCTCCTTGACTGATAGGCAGCTAGGTAAATGTAATCTAGGTAAAATCAGAATATATCCTATCTAATATGAGAAGGAATAGGCATGCCAGATGAACCACACTGAGAATCCAGTTTCTGTAAGCACAGGAAGAGTTTGAATCAACCTGTTTCGTTGAAGTAGCTAAGTAAGTGGTAACTGTTATGAAAGGATGATTAATGCCTCCATAAAGGCAACAAAATATATTCAACTTTCCATTTCTTTCACAGTTCAGACAGAGGACGATCCATCTCTTGAACATGTACTATGTACCAGTGATATAGTTTGGCTCTGTGTCCCCACCCACATCTCATCTGGAATTGCAATCCCCATGTATTGAGAGAGGGACCCGTAATCCCCATGTGTCCAAGGAGGGAGGTGATTGAATCAATGCGGGTAGTTTCCTGCATGCTGTTCTCAGGATAGTGAGTGAGTTCTCATGAGATCTGATGGTTTTATAAGTGTTTGGAAGTTCCTCCTTCCCGCCTCTCTCTCCTGCCACCTTGTGAAAAAGGGGCTTGCTTCCCCTTCGCCTTCGGCCATGATAAGTTTCCTGAGACTTCCCCAGCCATATAGAACTGTGAGTCAATTAAAGTTCTTTCCTTTATAAATTACCCAGTCTCAGGGAAGTCCTTTATAATAGTGTGAAAACAAACTAATACAACCAGGTATGGTCCTATTCACCTTATCTGTATTATATTATTTAGTCCTCTCAGGGCCAATTTGAGGAAGATACTATTATTATCCCCATTAGAGAAAACTAAAGCATAAAGAGTTTAAATAACTTTTCCCAAGGATACATATTGTTAAATGGGCCACTTTATAGAATTTGGAAATAGGCAATAATACTAGAGTATAATGGACATCACAGAGAACAAATTATGATAGCTGTAATTGAAGTAGAGTATTTAACCCAACATAGAGGCCACAAATTATGGTGGAAAGGCAGTCTTGTGAGGAAAACTTGAGCTACGTGATCTTGAAAAAAAATTAATTTACTTTTCTGGGTGTTAATTTTTCCTATCTTATAGATTTTTGGGGAGAATACAGTGAAATAAACTAATGTTTTTTTTTTTTTTTTTCTGAAATGGCTGTCACAGCCCATAAATGTTCCTTGACTCTCAACTTCTAGCCTCTGGTTTTAGCAGTGTATGTGGACAGTGCCCTCTTCTGGTTTATAACAAGTTTGTCTATCTCTGTAATTTGGTACTGTAAAGAAAGATTTAATTCGTGTAATACAAGAATTTTATTTTTTCTCAGTTAGAGAAGGCTTGTATCTGTTAAGCCGATTGTATATTTTTGGGTTCTGAAAAGTAAATTACACATCGGCATCAGCATCATAATGTATAACTTCATATATCAAATTTCACACTTAATTCTGTGAAGTAGTTATTAGTCTCAAATACCCTCAGTGTATTTAAATTAAATGTCTTGTCTAAGATCACTTGTGACCACAGAAGAGAAGAGTTACAAATTTATCTTTTGAAATCAAGTCTCCTGTTCTTCAACAATTTGAAAATTCTGTTGTCTTTAAAGTTCAGAATTATCCCCTCCCCACTCCATGCTTTTTCTACAATATAAATGCTGCTTCAATTGCTCTTGTGGAACTACAAAAAATATATTTTTGTTGAATGACAAAGAAATAGCTAAAGCCTAGATTTCATTGTCAGTTGAACAGAGTTGAAAACTATTTCACTAAGCTTTTTATGGAGGATAAGCTAGATTCTCATTCAAGTCAATTTTGTTTTATATCCCAATAATAATTTCACCATACTTTCACTACTGAAGAATGAAATCCTTTAACTAATACAGTTTCCTCGGTACAAATTGGAGTTTTAGTTGCACGTGCTTACATCCTTGACATTCCTATTCCTACATATTTCTTCAACTGAGGAAAGCTTTGGAGGAGACATTACCAATTCTCCCTCCAGGAAAATGCTAGCCAGGGGGAAAAAAATGCACATTTGAAGCTAGTTTCTCTATCCTTTGCATAAACTAAAGCCTAACCTTTCCTGCTTGGAATTGCCTCCAATTGCAACCTGCAACTATTATAGAATCCAACTTACTTTGGAGTGTTGCTGTTAGTCTTCTTTTTTAAAGGTTTTTAGTAGTTGTTAGTTTTTCCACCGTTGGAAACTTTGTTCCAGTTGTTCAGGCCACAGGTGAAATGTTTGTCTTTGTTAATTAAAGAATGTTCAGCCCAGGGTGTGCCTCCACAAAGACTGGACTTTCCTTACTCGTGACGCTCCCTTGGACACAGTCCATCGCTCAGGATAGTTTCTGTGAGACTTGCTGCATTAATCCTACAGCAGGATATTTTACAGGTGGAATCGTATATAATTTTAAATGTTCCTTTCAAATTAAAGTGTATAACTGCAATTCCATCATGGATGGATGTGGCCAAGAAAACAGCAAAATTAATTCTAAGTCATGTCCATCTGCACAGCACTATTGCTTTAAAATAGTGGTTCTCAAATGTTCCTGCAATATGCGTCTGCTCCCAAACACTTGCAAACTAGGGTAGAAGAGTGAATGCGATCCAATGAATAAAAAATCTATCTCCAGAGAAATATTACATCCACTATCCTGTTAACCTTAAGAATCGCTGGTCAGGCCGGGCGCGGTGGCTCACGCCTGTAATCCCAGCACTTTGGGAGGCCGAGGCGTGCGGATCACGAGGTCAGGATATCGAGACCATCCTGGCTAACACGGTAAAACCCCGTCTCTATTAAAAATACAAAAAAAAAAAAAAAAATTAGCCAGGCATGGTGGCGGGCGCCTGTAGTCCCAGCTACTCAGGCGGCTGAGGCAGGAGAATGGCTTGAACCCAGGAGGCGGAGCTTGCAGGGAGCGGAGATCGCGCCACTGCACTCCAGCCTGGGCGACAGAGGAAGACTCCCTCTCAAAAAAAAAAAAAAAAAAAAAAAAAAAAAAGAATCGCTAGTCATTACTTTAATGAGTCATACAGGGAGGGAATAAATGCTAAAGCATGCATATATTTCCTTAATGTCAGGCTTTTCATGACCTTAGTGTTGTTTGAACATAATTTCTCTATGATTGGACCTCAAATACTATATTTGGCTTTTTCATTCTTGACAGTAGATTCTTCCTAAGCAAATAATTCACTACGATACTAAATATTTTAGATAGTATCTATGTCAAAAAAACAGATCTGGTGGCATTTCTTGTCTGGTGGCATTGGTAACTAAGATACAGAGGAATTTCTTGCCAGGTGATATAACACAGATGATCTGTAAACTCAAAATTGGCAGTTGGCGCTTCTTTTACAATACAGCTGCAAAAATGGAAATGCATTCAGAGGTCATTGTTTCTATCAAATTTCCAAATGGGTTTTAGGAATGTGAACCTCACCTATATATCTCTCTGCCTTCATTTTTCAGATTATGTTTCAGTGAAATCTCAGATGTGCCAGCAGGAAGTGGTGCCAGTGACTCAGAGGATACAAATCGCCTCTTCCCTGTGAGTCAGGACCGAGCCTACACCCTTACACAATATTGGGGACCGCGCGTGGGAGAGGTTGAGTGCCATCATAGGAATGGCAATAGCAGTAAATGTCGTGGGCCCTGGAGCACTAAGAAGTGGTTGCCCAACAGTCAGACAAAATGCCAGATGTAGAAAATGTACTTCCTATTGCATACGGTTTATTTTGACCTTGCTTCATTTTTATTTATATTTATTTTGTTTTTCGAGGCTCTTACTCATTTGCCCAGACTGGAGTGCAGTGGTGCAATCACTGCTCACTGCAGCCTCGAATCCCTGGGCTCAATGATCCTCCCATGTTGGCCTCCAAAAATGCTAGGATTACAGGCTTGAGCCATTGTGCCTGGATTTACCTTGCTTCCTAAGGATTGCACTGAGGGCTCATCCAGAAGGAGGCCAGTACAGAGGAGGCTAGGATTTGGTGACTGGATGACCAAGCCAAGTCAGCAAAATAATTGCAAATCTTAGGGTAAAATGACTATTCTGGAAAACAATCAAGAAAATAAAAATGATCCAAATTAAAATCAGATAGATTACAGAATAAAAGAAATGCATCTCATTTTCCCAGTTTAACCTTTTAGGCTATTTAGACCAGAAAAGCAAACTTGTGCAGAATCATAGCATTTGTCCAGCCCAAACACATAGCAAAATCCTCTTTGTTCACACTTTTGCTGTGGTCACATGCCAACCTACTCAGACTGTTCATTTTCTACCATCTTCCATGGCAGTCTGTGATTTTAGAATTTGTCTATAACGTAATAGGCTTGTTGGATCTTGTGTGCTTTTAAGGAGTGAATATGCCTTCACTGTTTTTGGATGTCTTTTTGTTTTAAATTTAATTCCACTATTTGATAAGCTCTTGCTTCACCTTGGTCAAAATAACTCTAAAACTCATTATCACATCAGATACTGAAAAGACTGTCAGCACCTTCTAGTAGCAACCTACTTTTCAGAGAGTATATATATGTGTGTGTGTGTGTGTGTGTGTATAGATATATATACGCACACGTATATACTTATATATATACATACATATATACTTATAAATATTACTTATATATAAATATATATGAACACATATATACATATATTACTTATATATAAATATATATATACACTCACATATATACACACATATATATAAATCTATAGAAAACTAACCTTGCCTTCTGCCAGTAATAATTCTATTCCTATATATTTTTAATGTTAGCTTTGTAACTGCACTTCATTAAGACCTAAGGTAAAAACGGTCTATAGCAATTTGAGATAAAACATATGAAACCCAAGGTTAATATAACAGGTTAAAAATAAGTAATTATTTTAATTTTGAGTTTTGAAAAATAGCCATAGAATCTTCCTTGACAAGTAGCAAAAATATTAATATGCCATGTGTTTCTAGTCATAAGCATTAAGTTATACTTTCCAATTTAGGTAGTCATTTCTAAATCATACTTCAAATGCTAATATATTTCGCTTACATATTATCATACAATGCTATACTTAAAGCTAGTCAAATAAAGAATCAGTGAGTCAAAATATAAGGGAATTATCTATTTTGCACTAAATATGAATTTAAAGATGTATATCTTGTTCATAACGGAAGTATTTCCAGAATGCAGGAGAATACATACCAACTCTTATGTAAAGAGTACAACCCAGCACTTTGGGAGGCTGAGGCTGGTGGATCATGAGGTCAAGAGATCGAGACCATCCTGGCCAACATGGTGAAACCAAAATACCAAAAAAAAAAAAAAAAAAAAAAAAATTAGCCAGATGTGGTGGTGGGCGCCTGTGGTCCCAACTACTCGGGAGGCTGAGGCAGGAGAATGGCGTGAACCCGGGAAGCAGAGGTTGCAGTGAGCCGAGATCACCCCACTGCACTCCAGCCTGGTGACAGAGCAAGACTCTGTTTCAAAAAAAAAAAAAAAAAAAAAAAAAGTACAATTTAAATTAATCTGAGTGTTTGGAACTCTGTGACTAAAATCTCTAAAGGTGGGACTTGCCTCCCCTAAAAGCCAAAGCTTCATTTATAGAGTATTGTTTCAAATTTTCTGTTGGAAACATATTTTTTTCTCAAGACAATCTTACATAAGAAGAGCTTTTTTATAACCTTTTCTACCTTGACTCCCTTCCATCGGGCTTCTCACTTCTATAAATCCAACTTAAATTATTCTTACATTATTATTCCAAAAGAAACATCTCCTGAAGGCGCAACAGTTTGGACTATAAGTGTCTGCAATTTGCCTTCTTTTCATTATGGCCACATTGTGGCAGGAAGCCTGGATATTTAATGGCATCTTGAGAAGCATATTGACTATATTGTATTCTCTGTAGATGCCTATGGCCAAACATGAATCTGCAAGGATAAAGTTTTAATCAGTGAGAGCACACAAAACAAGAGAAAGGGAATCCATTAAAGATGATTTCAAAAGACTCGAAATTAATTACTTTTTATTCAGAGAACCCACATAATACAACTCACACACTGCAGGCTGCTAAGGAATTCTACTTTCAGATAATATAGTTTATGAAAATATAGTTTGAGTTGACATTGGCGACCTTGACTTCAGTGAGAGCCACATATGCCTCCATAGCATGATAGCTGGTGGGATGGGCTTAGTTACAATCCAATCATCAAAAAGGAGGGCAGCTTACCCCATCCTTGCTTTTAGTAACTACATTTGTCAAATAATGTTTACTCAATAAATATCTATTGAGCGTTGTCTACATGCAAGATATTGAACAAAACACTGGAAAGAAAACTGGTACAAAAGACATTGTTCCTGCCCTAAATAGACTTAAAGAAGTTGGACACCTAAGGGTGGTAAGGAAAGGAGAGAATTTATAGATGATGCCAAGTTTCTAGTCAGAAAAAAAAAAAACAGAGAATGCTGCCATTAAAAAAGGAGGAGACATAGGCAGGACAGCAGGCTTGTGGTGGCATTTGGGCATGAAGGCATGAAGGGAGTGAACATATTTGAGTTTAATGTTTATCTATAGGTATTACCTATTTATATTTTTGAGGCTGTTGGGAATACAGTAAAGGAATAAGAATTTATTTGGAGATTAGGAGAAGTCTATTTGAAAGTCATATGAGGAGATACTGCCTTTAAAGGAATGGAAGACATTTATATGTTCCAAGGAAAACAGTATGAACTGGAAAATAACAGAACTTTGAGAAACAGGTGGTAGAGAGCAGACAGAAGTGGCAAAGAAAAGAGAAAAAGAAATTAGAGAAAAAAGAAAATTAAGTTTGCTGAGAGCTAAGAGAGTAGAGTTGTAAAAGGAAGTAAAGGGTGGTTATCAAAGGAATAATCAGAGACAGTATTCATGATTCCATCGTAAATAAGACTCATCATTATTAGATGTGAACGGTGCTAAAATCAGCAATAAATATTGCCAAGCTGATTTTTTAAACATGAGAATGGGCTTTATATTTGTATCCAGATTATCATTAAAATTAATTTTGTCTTGGTAACTCAAGCACTAATTTTCCAAACTGTGAAGTATGGGTGGCAATGTGTAACAGCAATTAAAAAAAAGTATATTTTATGTTATTGGTTCTAAACCAGGAGCAAAATTGCCAACCAAGGTTGGCAAAATTGTATCCCTCATTGGCAAAATTGCTCCTGGGGACCATTGCTACCATATGGTAATGTCTGGAGACTATGATGGTTGTCACGACTGGGGATGCTACTGACATCTAGTGGGTAGAGACCAGGGTTGCTGCTAAACACCCTGCAATGCATAGGACAGCCTCCCTGCAACAAAGAATTATTTAGTCCCTAATGTCAACTGAGACAAGGTTGAAAAACCCTGCATTAGACTCATGAGAAATGGAATCCAGTTCTAGCTCACATACTTATTTTGTTTCCCTGCAACTGAGCTGCCTTATCTCTGAAAACAGAGAACAAGGAATGAGGTGGGGTAGAGGGTGAAATGAAGTTTGGATTAGATTTCTCTAAGGTTTCTTTAATTTCTAAAACAATGCTTCTCTTTCTGCCACTGGCAGTCATATCACTGCCACTTTATTCAGTCATATCATAGCTCAGTAACCCCTCTCTCTTCCTCTCTTCCTCTCTTTCTGTCTCTCTCTCTCTATCTCTCTCTCTCACACACACACACACACAAATATCTTCAGTTAATACTGAATAATATAATAATATAATAAGAGATAAAAATGTGAAAGAGAGAGAAGAAAACTTATTAGACTTCATCAGAAACAACAACAGAATTGAATTTTCCAAAACTGTTACTTAACCTCTAGGTATTTTGCTTCTCAAAATATCTTTTTTAATATTTTTAAATACATTTTTAAAGTGCAGCTAATTGAGTCTATAACATAGTGGTGATAACTCCAAATAAAGTATCAATGTGATCATCCATCTAGCAAATATTAATTGTGTTTAATATAAGCCTATCACAATAGAAATGATAAAAGATGACTATAGCACCAGCAAGGAGGGATAGAGTTATACACACACTTACAGTGTGATGTGTGGTGTGACAGGGCCATAGGACAAAAGGAATGGGAAAGGTGCAATGGAGGAGGGTCAGGGCTTATCAGAGAAGTGCCTAAGGAAGTGGCTCCTTTTTCAGTCTTAAAGGATGAGTACTTTCACCAAAAGTAAAGAGTGACTTGAGGGCATTGACAGTAAAGGATACAAGCGTATTCAAACCCAAAGCCTTACATGCTGTGTACTCCTGTTTCCTCATTTGTAAAACGGGAACAATAACAACTTTCTGGGCTAAAAAGGCATCCTAAGAACTAAATGAGGCTTTTTTTTTTGTAAGAAACCATTTTTATGATGACAGCTCTAATTTTAAAAGTGCTTTCTATGAATTCATGTATCATCTTATCCATTAAATCTACATACAATTACCTGACAAGGTTATTGTGGACAACCTTTTTTTTTTCGGATGAGAAAACTGAGGCTCAGAGATAAATCACTCTTTCTGAAAGTATGAAAGAAAAAACTGGTGCATGAAATCTGTATTTTATACACTATACACTATGCCTCTTAGTTCAAGACTATAAAACTTACATATATAAAGATGTGTGTGTGTGTGCACGTATCAATCACTTTCATGCCTCAAATTTAAAATTGAGAATTTTTAACCTAAAAGATTAATGTTTAATACTTTTCTTTCTGAATATTACATATATCTCCATGGAATACATCCATATATCCATGGAATACTACTCAGCCATTAAAAGGAATGAAATAATGTCTTTCGCAGCAAATTGGATGGAGCTGGAGGCCATTATTCCAAGTGAAGTAACACAGGAGTGGAAAACCAAAAAACCATATGTTCTCACTTATACATGTACTATGTGTACTATGAGTACTATGTACTATGTACTATGTACTATGAGTACACAAAGGCATACAGAGTGATATAATGGACTTTAGAGACTCAGAAGGGGAAGGGTGGAAGGTGGGCTAGGGATTGAAAAAAAACTACACATTAGGTACAATGTACACTACTCAGGTGATAGGCGCACTAAAATCTCACAATTCACCACTATAGAATTCACCCACGTAACAAAAAACCAATTGTACCCCAAATGCTACTGAAATTTTTAAAAAAGGAGATGGAGGATAAACCTATATATTAAGAGTCTTATGAGATATATTAAAAAATCCATTTTTTTCTGGACAATTATCAAATCATCCTGAGTATTATAAATAGTATCCTAGTAAGTTAAATCATTACTTTAACCTAGAAGGCCACTCAACCTTTATGTGCCCTATAACTAAACACCCAGTCTTAGGTAAACTGCATCTCCAGAAGACGCTGAGTATGTGGCATTACTTCATTTTTTCAAAGGTTCCAGAATTGCCATGTCAAGGCAATGGCTGTCAGACTACTCCTCCCTGAGGATCTCTTCTATTACACCACTGGGAAGTGTTCTCATTGTCTCCCGATGGAATGTTCCCAGCAGCAGTTACAGCCATATTAATTAGACGATTTGTACAGGCCTACACTCAAAGTAAAGATTGACAGATGAGGAAACCCCACCTTAATTTACATTCTCTTTGAAGAGGATTTCTTACTTGACATTTGCATCTTTCACGTGAACATTAACCAGGAAATGGGAGATTCTTTTGCAAAAATAGACAGAAAACATTCAAATTCAGTTTCTCCGAAGTGATTATATGAGTATTGTTATTTTTTTTAAACCAAGGAAATACATTTACGTTCTCACAGTTAACAGGAATGGGCTATAGATCCCAAGTTGATCCCTTATCAATGCTATATCCAATTCACAATAATATACAAAGAATACAAGGAATAAAACAGACATAAGTTACCCTCTTTATTGCTTTACTTAATGTAAACCTTGGAAAATATAAAAATAAGGGCCCCAGTCAACTGACTTCAATGACTGCTTCATAATAAAAATCATATCTTAGGGGAACTGTGTTGATTAGAAATTATGAACATTAAGTAAAAATTCAACATATTTTAGCACAGCTTAAGAGAATAGTCACCTTTTATTTGCCTGATTTTGCACAGAGTCAGAAAGTCCATTTGTACATGTGCTGTGCCTATGAGAGGGTCTGAACCCTGGAGCAGCCCCAGCTACTCTGGAACTTCTCTATTAGAATCTGCTATGTTTATTATGCTCCTGCTAACCCTGAATCTCATTGGCTCTTTCCTCATTATCACAGAGTGACCTGGCCATTTACTATCTCTGAGTCTTTGTAAGGTACTTGACTTCACTGGGCTAATCAAATCTACCTCACACAGTTATTTTAAGAAGTAGAGGTGATGATGTATTTAAAGCACCTAATACACAACATGGCTGCCACACAGTAGGCATTTAGTAACTGTTAGTTTTCTTCTCAACTCCTGGATTTGGGTCTTAGTGCTGAATCAGACACCCCAATTACCCAAGCTGCTCACATGGCAAGACTGTGCAGAAGGTGGTGAGGGTACCTGGTCAAAATCCAGACAGGAAAGGCCTGTCATCACGTTTTCTGACAAGATTTGTCATCTCAGGTTGTGCCAAGACTCAGGTAACTCATAAACTCTCAGAGTCAACAGAAATGATCAAAGACAAGCCTATTGTCTCATTGAGATTTATGCTCCTCATATTTTCAAAAAAGAATATTTCTTCTGCTTAATTCTCTCTCATTGATGAAGTACGACTAAATTATCTTGGAGATGTCATTCAGGAACATATTCAAAAACCCATGTAGGCATGAATAAAAATGTTTGATGTTAAATAGAAAGCCCCTGAACATAACTGCAGAATTCAACATAAAAATTTATCCTCCTCTCTTTAGAAAAATCACAAGATAAAAAAGACAAAATTCTGCTCTAAAATTATAGATTATTTAAAAAAATGTTATCCGGTATTTCAACTCTTCTACTTAATGTTCAGTAGGCCAAAAATGCTAGCAAGCCCAAGTGTGGACTCTCACTTTGTCACTATTTTTCTATGTGAACTTGGGTCACAGTTCCCCAATTTATAAAACAAGAGCCTCAATATTAAACAAGTGTAAAATTTAAAAGTAACCAAATGATTGTGCATAGCAATTTAAATCTGTATGTGTTAAGGGTGGAGGCTGGAACTTTATTCCCTAGTCATAACTACATAAAGCAGTTATAACATGTATGCTAAAATTTAAAATAAATGTCTCGCTCTTTTTTGCTGGGGGAAGGACAAGATTTGGGAAAAGTATTTTTAGGAAATATTTTGTTTGGGGGAAAGAAGGCAATTTCAGAAATAACAGGTGGTCTTGCCAAAATAAGGCTATGGGCTCTGCATAACTGAATAGAGTTTAGAGATATAATACAGAACTTGAAACAGGAACTTTCCTAGTGGCAGAGAAATATCCAAACAAACTGGGAAAACAGAAACTGACCTAACTCATTTGGAAATGGGCTTGGCAGCTGACGAAATAGATGAACTATAATTAAGTAATGCAATGAAGGAGGTAAGCACTTTCATGACAACAAACACACACACAACACACACACTAGTGGGTAGTAACCAGGTTATTCACAGGCTCTGGCTGTCTCAAATTAGAATATTCAATGAAACACCCAGAACAGACATGTGCATTGTTCAGATGCAACCTTACATGTGGGGAAAATAATAAGTGCTAAGTTATTCTGACCTCGAGGTTAATTTCTAACTCTAGGAAGACTGTCACCTTTCTAATTTAATTCTTTTCAAAACAAAGACAGCAAAGCCACATTGTTTACTGAGAATCTTCTAGCAAGTCTTTCTTAGCTCAGTTTTGGCAGAAACCACATATCTAGTTTCCACTTGTGTTCCTGGACTTAGACTTGTAAGTTTCAATTATGCATAGTATGCATTTCATTAGGTCTCTCAACCCCTGAGATAAGGTGTGCCAAAATAATAATTTAACAGTCACATCCTTCACAGGTAGAGTTAGAGTGTCTGGGGAATCAGCCTCATTCCAACTCCAGGGAGAATATGAGACTGGTGGTAACTTTTATTTTTTTATTAAGATATTCATATACGACTTCAAACTCTTTCAAATTCCTTAAACTGAAGTTTAAGGAATTGGAAAGAAGTAATTTTTTTTTAACAGAAAGGCTATTTAGAAAATTTTTCCCCTTGAACTAAATCATCTCAAATAGGAAGACTGGCATTTAAATACCCTCAGCGATCACAGGCTATGGAGTGCAATTAGCAGCAAGTGCAGAACGCTTGCTCCAGAGGCTGCTTGGGAGGCTGCAGGGAAAAACGCAAGCAGCAGGTGTAGGGGCGAAGGGCGGTGGGGAGCGCCAGGACCTGCCCAGGGCCCTTCTGCTCCAGATACCCTCGACCAGTGTTTTATTTCTCTTGTGTCTGGAGCTCAGCCAACTGGCACTGGCGCATACCAGCTCCTCCGGGAAAGCTAAACCAGGCTAGGTTTTAGAAAACTGAGCGCAAGACAGAGGAGAAAAGCTTTTTCCCCCCTCCAAAAAATTTCTTACGCTAGTTTCTATTCCCCACTCTCCAACAAAAAGGAACAAGACATGAAATGTTAACAGTGCGTTCCAGGCCTTTAGATTTCTAGGACTGGCAACTTTTCAAAAAAAAAAAAAAAGCTTTTTCAACAACTTTTTATTTTGTTTAATAAGGAGATATTTCAATCCATGCATAACATATATGCCAATAATTAATTCACCAATAAAAAGCATTTTAACATCGATCCCCAGTCCCCCCCACCCCAGTCCCACCATAGGGGAAGACAGACTCACAAAACAAGACGTAATTTTAAATAGAGCACACTTGAACCTGGAGACAACTCCGTACTTGTCGAATGACAAATGCACAGGAGCCTTCCTTATTTGTCTCCTCTTTGGGGCGGCCGGAAGCCAGAGGGGGAGAACTTACCCAGGCAGAGCAGCAGCGCAGGGACCCTGCCGGCACAGAGCATCTCCATCCTCCTCCCCGCGGTCATCGGCGATGGGAGCGGGCGCTGGGGCTTGGCGGAGGGCGGCTGCGGAGAGTGCACGGGCAGGGCGGGAGCAGACGGGCTCGCGGCAGTGGCTGGAGAGCGGCTGTCAGCCTAGAAGGGACCCCACGTTGGCTGTGTCCCTCTGACACTGGAAATATCAGGCAAGTGAGCTCAACTGTCTGGTGCTGCGAACTTTATACTAGGGAGCCCCTCCCGGGCCCTAACGGGGTGAGGTCAAGAGTGCCCAGAGTTTCATAATTGGCCCGAGGGAGGAGCGGCAGGAGGACCGTCAGGAAGTCATCCTCCCTCCCTGGAGCACCTGAGAGTAGTGGTTGAGGAATGAAAAAATGTCTTTCCGATTGGCCGGGGACTACTCCCGAAACTTTTCCATCTCCCTCCGGGAGGTGGGGAGCGTGGACCAGATGGCTTGGTTTGCTTTGTGGGGTCACCTGCCCTGTAGTGGGTGGTTTTGGTTGCTCAGGGTGACGGACATAACTTGAATCAGTCTTTTAGCCAAGGCTGGCGTTCCCCATACATGCCTTTGGAGAGCTGTGCGTGTGACTTACTAACCTCAGCCACGAAAACTCCCTTAACTTGAAGTCTGTCAGTGATTCAAGCGCCCTCCTTGCATTGAAACGCCACCGCCCAGAAAAGCCTTTCCCATCTGCGCCTTCCTTCTGAGACCCCTGCTTCCAATGTGGCTCAGGCATTTATTACCTCAAAGTCGAGTCATTGTGAAGAAAATTCCTGTTATTTTTTTTCCTTCTGTCGTATTTGCCATTTGTCAGGTTGCTGCTTTTGATATGACTTCCTACTAAGTAGTGCCTTAATCCTGTCGCTCCCCTGCACAAAACCTTTCAACGACTTCCTATTGCTTTTTGGACAAGGCCTGCCACAAACGTGAAGCCAATCGGTCTTTTCAACCTCAGCTCCCACTATTTCCCCAGGCAAATTGTCTGACCCCAGCCAGGCTGGAAAACTCTAAGCCTTTCCTCACTCCCACTTTCCTGCCTATGCTGATGGAGTCGTACTTTGAGGCAATGGCTACTTTTTAAAGGAATTAGTGAAATCCTGCTCAAATTCATGGTTCTCCTCAAGGGCCTGGGCTTCTTAGGCTTGTGGATCTCTTTTCATTCTGATCTCTTATAGCTTTTGTCGTTTATCTTCTCCCTAGCCTCATAGAATTCTAGACCCGGTACTTTACACCTGGGAAAGCTACTTTGTATTCCTTGACTTTTTTTTTGTTTGTAAGTCCTATGTTCAGCTCTGTACTGTGTAAATTGTCTTCCTTTTCACTGCACTCCTCTATAGGACCTAAGAACTGTGAGTCAATTCAGCAGTACTGTATGTAAATATACATATTTGAATAGAAAATGGAATCTAATGGATGTTAACTCCTTACCTTTTTATTTCTACTTTTTAAAAAATTATTATTACTATTCCTTTTTTTTTTCTGGCTTTTTTCTCTCATACTCTAAGGCCCTTTAATGTCCAGAATGCTCTTGTTAGAAACAAATACTTCGGCCGGGCGCGGTGGCTCACGCCTGTAATCCCAGCACTTTGGGAGGCCGAGACGAGCGGATCACGAGGTCAGGAGATCGAGACCATCCTGGATAACACAGTGAAACCCCGTCTCTACTAAAAATACAAAAATTAGCCGGGCATGGTGGCGCGCGCCTGTAGTCCCAGCTACACGGGAGGCTGAGGCAGGAGAATGGCGTGAACCCGGGAGGCGGAGCTTGCAGTGAGTCGAGATCGCGCCACTGCACTCCAGCCTGGGCGACAGAGCGAAACTCCGTCTCAAAAAAAAAAAAAAAAGAAACAAATACTTCATCATGTTATCAGGGGTTAAGATTTAAACTGTCTGTGTGTGAATTCCTGGACAAGTTATTTAATCTGTCTCAATTTCCTCATACGTAAAACAGGGATAATAATAGTATCCAGCGCATAGGAAAATAATGAAAGTGCTTAGTAGAGTGCCTAGTACCGAGTTAGTGCTCACTAAAAATACCTACCATTATATGCAAACGTTGATGCTTAAGATGGTGGTACTTGGTAGTTGGTCAATATTTGTAAGTTAAATGAATCAATGAACAGTAGGATAGAGGTAGGCTGGGTTCCTAAGTCTAGCTTCCAAATCTATCAAGAAAGCAGGCATTGAGTGACTTCTCACTTAATAGCTTATTTTGGAAAAGAAGAAATGGAACCAAGGAAAATGATATTAGAAATGGGTTATAGTTTTATGGAGCATTGGTAGAGATCACAAGTTTCATAAATTAGAAAGAGGTAAAGTGACTTTTATGGTTATATAATGGCTTTTGTCCTACAAATTGGATCTGGAAAAAAAAATAGTCCCAGTGTTTTTGAGGAATGGAAGCAGAATTCAAACGAATGGAATGTCAACTGGGAGCATTTTCTATCAGGTACTTGCAAAGAGTGAGAGGAAGAGTTTTTAATCCTGATTAATGGCTTGTTTCTTTAAATATAGTGTGTTTTATGCTGAAAAGAAAGATGGTGGGGATGTGATGGGGAGAATGGGTCATGCTGACAATAATTGACAACAGTCACTTCTATGGTATTGATATGTGAAGAGGAATTTTTTAACTTTGTAACTAATGCCTGCAAGCATGAGATATCATCACTGTGAAAAAAATCCCTGTGCTTGTCTCAAAATTTTCCACAGCAATGTACTCTTTTGTAGGCTGATTTTATATGATGTGAAGAAATCTTTTCTTTATTAGTTCTATGTTTACTCAATTTTCTAGCCATTAGATATTGAGAATGACTCCACCATGACACATCAGAGGATTTGCACGCACTGCCTCCGCAAAATAGTATTCTTCTTCTTTTTTTTTTTTAAATAATTGGGAACAATTTTCATTAATTGTTCATTTAAATATATATACATAGTATGCGGTATAATCATAATTCCTCTTAAAGGCACAAAGCTTATTTAAAGATAGAATGGTTTGGGAAGAAAATAACCGGGTCATATAGAATTTTCCAATTAGGAAGTCACTTTAATACATCAGCAATGTCAGCAATTCCCAGTTTGAGATGTACTGGGATTCCTTTCCAAGGGGTTGGTAAATCGAATTATCTATAGACTAAAGCGCGCGCACACACACACACACACACACACACACACACACATATATATACTATTTTAAACATACATTAAGTCTCTATGTAATTAGTAACATGTATTCATTTTAAATTGATATTGAATTCATAAACGCTTTGTGGCATGTGTTTTTTCGTTGATATATAACAAACATATAAGCGCCGTTAAATGGGGAAGAAGAGTCTTGCAAAAAATAATCCTTTTAAATTAAAAGGGAGTCCTCTCATGAGAAGAATTAGGAAATCCTAGACTGGGGACATACACACACAGGCCCCAAACTGATATCAGTATTAAACCTATTGTAGCCTGCACTCAGATGAAGCCCTGGGCCCTACCCATAGAACCAGCATTTAGCAACAGACAAGGACATAGAACACGTTACAATTCTTCCATCTCTTCCTCTTTCCCTCAGGTTATTGTTTCTTCTGACTATAACTGGCACTTATTTATTATGAAATTACTGCTTTTCTAACTAAAAAAATGAGCATAGCTACTTGAGTGAATTAGTTTTTACATAACACAAAATGTTTTAAGTCGTTTTTTAGTCCTTAGCAAAAACCACTGAGATAAAATGGTATTGGGTTGCCTTTTTACAATTAAGAACTTGAAAAATTTAGGAACGTGTTCAAGATCAAATTGTTACATTTAATATAAAAAAGACCTTAAATATGAATTCTGTTCTAGCAGATGCTAATTTTTAATTAACATTATAAATTTAATTGTATGTTAATCATACAGGATATTTTTAGCAAGCTCCATGTAAATGAAAAATTTATGCCTTTTATGATATATATATTTTTTCGAGACGGAGTTTCATTCTTGTTGCCCAGGTTGGAGTGCAATGGCACGATCTTGGCTCACTGCAACCTCCGCCTCCTGGGTTCAAGTGATTCTCCTGCCTGAGCCTCTAGGGTAGCTTGGATTACAGGCATGCACCCCGATACCCAACTAATTTTGTATTTTTAGTAGAGACAGGATTTCACCATGTAAGTCAGGCTGGTCTCAAACTCCTGACCTCAGGTGATCCACCTGCCTCAGCCTCCCAAAGTGCTGGGATCACAGGCGTGAGCCACCATGCCCGGCCTGTAATAGCATTTCTACAGAAATATATGTAGATATAGAGAAAGTTGCAATTCTGAACCCCAAAAACAATCCAGTTAGAGACAAAATAGAGAAAAGGAAGAAACATATATTGATGTAGTAATACTCTATTTTACTTAAATAGCTTTTATCATAGATTTTTTAAAAAATATTTTTCCTATGGACTAATCCATTCTTGAATTGGTTTAAGAACTCAAAAAGTAAATTCTCTTGTTTTTCTTTCAATAGAAAATTAGATGTAGAAGAAAACAAGAACTAAGAAAGTTTTAAAGTTTACTGAAATCTAAATCATATTTTCTTATTGATTATCTTGATAATTTGAGAGTTTTTCTGAAATGAAAAATGACTCCAACGCATTTAAAAAATTACATACCATTTGAGTATTGAGTGACTGATATGGATGGCTGATTAGCCAATAGCTGATTAGATGAGAGGATTCATTAAAATACAATTTATTCTATTTATTCAAAACTATAGGTGGAAAGGAACATGCAAGTAATGGATACTTGTTCTTAAATCTAAATGAGATATAACAAATAATAAGAATAATAGCAGCAAATATTTCTACATGATACTTATAACTCACTAAGTGGTTCAAAATATATTTGGTGGCCAGCCACTGTGGCTCATGACTGTAATCTCAGCAATTTGGGAGGCTGAGGCAGGAGGATTACTTGAGCTCAGGAGTTTGATACTAGCCTGGGAAACAGTGAGACTTTGCCTCTACAAAAATGAAAATAAAAAAAATTAGCCAGGCAAAGTAGCACATGCCTGTAGTCCCAGCTACTCCGAGGCTGAGGTGGGAAGATCACTTGAGCCCAGGAGGTCAAGGCTACAGTGAGCCATGATTATACTACTACACTCTAGCCTGGACAACAGAGTAAGACCCTGTCTCAAAAAAGTAAAATAAAATAAAATATAAATATATCTGCTTATTTATTCCTCAAAATAGCCCTATGAAGTCAGTACTCTTTTATTTCATTTTTTAGATTAAAGCAAAAAGGATTAAGAAATTCACCCAAGGTTCTTTAGCTCATAAATCGCAGAGATGGGATTCAAACCAGGCAGCCTGACTACAGCATCTATACTCTTTGCTATCATATTATATTGCTTTAGCGTGTAGCATTAAGTGCACCTAAAGTTCAAAGTTTGTTACACATATGATCCTCTCATTTTTTAAGTTAAAATCTGTGTTTCTGGAGTTTTTTAGTCTCAGATTAATTGCAAAGAACATTCATATTCCTTTGCAGATAGTTTTTAATTTTTTCTGAAAAAGAAATTTATATGTTGTTGTCTTTTTATCAAGAAGAAAATCATGTTTGCCAATCTTTCAGTTTCCATCGCTAAAGCATTTGCTAATTACACTTTTTTATTGCTCATTGTGTTTATGAAAACCATTTTATTCTAAAAATGTCACAGCGAAAATGACATCCGTGAATTTCATCAACATAATTCTCTTGAAAATTACCCAGTAATCACAAAATATTAAAAGGCCAGATAGTATTTGATTTTAGGAACCTAGATGATTCTGAAGCTGCTGCTTGTTATACTTGCCATGAGTTGCGCCCTAATAATAGAAGAACCTCCCCTTCAGCCACTTATGCAAACCCACACAGCAGTAATTTATACACATAGTGATGATGAATTAGGAATGCAGCTATACCTACTTAAAGGACTGCTTTTTCATGTTTTATGTTTAGCTAACACCTAGTTGCATATAATTGTATGTTTCCTTCTCCTTAAGCAACATTTAACAGTTAAAATGCTAACTTTCAAAAAGCCATTCATTCAACATTTTATGTCTCATGCAACCACAAGACAGCCATTTAAATGCATATATTTAATTCGAGGAACTTTGCATTTTACTTGTCAATCATTTACATGATTATTTCATAATCATATGTGGATTTATGTGGTTTTTACAAATATTAATGTTAATGTTCTTCTCAGATGTAGAAAAAGGATAAAACATACATAGTAGACATTTAAACTTGAAATCTTCTTGTCTTTCAATCTCCTTAAAGATATCTGAATTACTTCCTATATCTAAGATTCAATAAGCAGTACCTAATTTATGCAGACTCTGGAGGTAAAATACGCAGATGACTGAGTGCAATGCCAAAAAAACTCCAAGAATTTTTTCATGATTAGTATGTTTTTCTCTGTTTATCACTACCACCAACAGACAGTAAAACATTGCTAGTGAATGCAATAAAACAATAGCCATTAAAGTCTTTATTACTTGTAATATATATTTGAACTTAAATAGCCCCCAATAAAATTACACTTAAGTAAGATTATGTCTTCTAGGGCATCTTACTCTGTAAGGGATTATTTGTGTAAATTATTAAAATTTTATTGTAAGATTTATTGGACTCTGGTTCTCACCTGTGGATACATTTTTAAATCATTTGGTCAGCTTCAAAAATATATAATTATATCTGGGCCTTACCTTTCCAGGATTCTAATTCATTTGGTCCAGAAAGAATCCCAAATCAATGCAGCTTTACAAGCAAACAGCTTTAGTCTTAACTAAAACACGGAAAGATAAAGAATATTGAACTATACATTCTAGATTCAAGCTCTCGTCCTGACTCTGAAAATAAATTGTTACCTGATCTTGCATAGGTTATTTAACCTCTCTGAATCAGACTTTTCTTATCCTTAAAATGTAGGCTTGAACTACATGATCTCTAATCACATAGCTTACTTGGTACCACATTAAGAATATAGAACCACAACTTCATTATTTCTTGACCTGTATGTGCCTTTAAACATTAGGCAACCTTAGGCAAGTGTGCAAAGGTATTGGCTAAAATATTCTAGAGTGATAGCACAGATAATGTCCTCAGGATATGGAAAAATTATACATCTTATAAACAGGTTTCTCCGGTTTTCTAAAATCTTGACTTCATCTCTCCTAAGATTTTTGCTCAGGCTTTTTTTTTTCCTTTTTTTATGTTCCTCCCTTTGCTTAAAACATATGAATCATGAACTCCACAGAACACAATATGAGGATTTAGGAGCTAGAAAATCCAGATCCTGCTGAGGATTAAGAAGTCAATCTTGTTGTATGACCCAAACCACATTCATAAAGAAAGTTTCAATTTTTCTGATGGGAGAAAAGTATATAAATTGAATATTCTAAATACCAGAAAAGAAAATAATCAGTCAAGCCAAAAAGACACCAAATTAATAGTCAGAAGTCCTAGGTTTGAATCCTGTCTCTCACCATTTCTGAGTCCCTTGGCCTTATGACATTGAAACTATATTAGCCTCATCTCTACACCTTGCAGATAGTTGCTTCTGTCCTTCATGGGACTCAAATAAGATTATGTTTAATGAAAGAGTGAGACAAAACTATAAGATATAATCATTGACAATAATACATATCAGATATTTGTTTAGGGCCAGGAGATACAAAAGAGTTAAAAATAGTAAGAGTAGTCATGATAGCGCTGGATTCTCAAAGGAGAAGGAGGTGGGTGTTCCCAAGAGGAAGCATAGGCACCAATAGCAGGTGGAACAATGACGTCAAAACAATAGGAATGGAGGAAAAGATGTGGCAGTAATGAGATCACCGGTAACCTTTCAGGAGAAAGTTCAGAAGCATAGAGAGGATATAAGTCAAATTACAGACGTATAAAATCATGTATTTCTTCTAATTCCAAATAATCCGTAAGTGAGGATGGATATGAGTGAGCTTCAGAATGAGGACATTTACGGCCTGGGCCTCTTGTAAGTTGTCAAAGTGTAAGTGTAAAAATCAGGTAGTAGAGATAAATCATTCTTCCATGTGGGCCTTTGTCTAACCTACGATATATTCAGATGAATGGGATAGAAAAGCTACTTATTGTAAATCTTACTATGACATGCATACTTACATTTTTCTATTTAATTTGAAAGAAACATCAAAAATAATTTTCTCTAATACTACATAGCAATTATAAACATTATTTCTACTTAAGAAAAATATTCTTGCACATTGCAATAATGAGATTAGGAACAACGTGATTCTCTAAGATTCTATACTTAATATTACATTCAATCCTTATTTAAATTTATTGGTCTCTCTTCTTATTCCTTTCCAATCTACCTCAATTTTGGGGGAAAAACTTTTATCTTCAGTGAGGGCTAAAAGGTGAGACTGAGAAACAAATATGAGTCAACGTGCTCAGTGTTAACATGGTGCTATGGAACTTGAACTGATTTGAATCTCAGAATGGCATATCAGAAAAATGATGAAATGAAAGAAAATCATTCTTAAGGCTTCTAGACTCTACTTTCAAGTGTCTATGTCTCTCTCAGACTATAAATCCAGCCTCAGAATCCCTCAAAATGCTTGACATCTCACCAGTCAACCCCACAAACTTCCTGGAACACCATTAATTTTCCTTCCTTTAAAGACATCTTCCAAAACTCACTTACATATAACATCCAGTTAACTTTCCACCTTTGTACCAGAAGAAATAATACTTTAGATCCGTTCTTTCTGACTCAGTGCAACTGTATTCTTAAGAGTATATGAAAAAAATGAAGTTAAATGAAACTCCAAATCTCACCAACAGAATATCTAAGTTTTATGTAAAGTTTAAGCCAATTCCCTAGAGGCCATCTGTGTCCTACCTAGATGACAAGGTGTGTCTTTGGACTTGGAAAACATATATCCCATGTACCGTGGGTCTCCAAAACAAATGGTTGTTCATTTATAGCTACCCTTCTCTATATAGCTACCTGTAACGCCAGTCTCGTGAACATTAGAGCACTCAAAGATGAAACTTTCTGCTCTTTGTTAACACATCTGCTGTACAAAGGTCTCTGGAAGCTCTGAGAAACCCTGACCCTCCAGAATCACAGGTCAATAAAATATATTTAGAAGGAAAAAACTAAATCAAATCAATAGTACAACAACAAGGTAGGATTTTTTTTTAATGTTAGAGGGTAAATTTGAGGGTTGAAGCCTTGGGGTTATATAACATTTCCACTTTTGTGACTTTTGAATTCAAAATATTTTATATGACACTTGAGATCAAGTTAATTGGTACTTTTGCTTATTTCTTGTCCTGGTCAACTCTCAAATTAGTCTCTACTTAAATACCACTTCCTTCAGAAGTCTTCCCTGATCTTCCTGGACCATGTTAGGTTACTTGACTGATAACCTTGCATTACATTTTGGACTTATTCTATCAGAACACTTATCACTTCTTCATATATCTATTTCTTTGCTTCTCCCATTAAAAGGAAAGCTCTAGAAGAAAGAGATAATTCTTTTTTTTATTTATTTTATATTCTTGGTACTTAACATGGTATCTGACACACAATACATGCTCAATAAATATTTGGTAAATAAATTAATTGGTAAATGTCTATTGACCTCACTGATCATTTTGCACCATAAAATAAATATATAAATAAAAAACAGGCCAGGCATGGTGGCTCACGCCATGATCCCAGCACTTTGGGAGGCTGAGGCAGGCGGATCACCTGAGGTTGGGAGTTTGAGGCTAGACTGACCAACATGAAGAAACCCCCATCTCTATTTAAAAAAATAACAGAATTAGGCGGGCATGGTGGCACATGCCTATAATCCCAGCTACTCGAGAGGCTGAGGCAGAAGAATTGCTTGAACCCGGGAGGTGGAGGTTGTGGTGAGCCAAGATTGCGCCAATGCACTCCAGTCTGGGCAACAAGAGTGAAACTCCATCTCAAAAAAATAAATAAATAAACAGTAATTTTGGAGGCATTATTTAAGTACCATGTAAAGAAAGTAAGCTGAGAAATATCTTTTATGAGTACTTTTTGTTCTTAAATCAGAACTTAAGATGTTGTTAAATATAGTAGCTTTTTTCTATATCCTCTGACTTTTTATATTAACTCATTTACCACATTGTTCTTCATTGCCATTTCTTAAAAAGAAGACTCCTTCTTCCTGGTCCCTCTTCATGTATTCTTTATTGACTTGCTTCTTACCTCCTTCTGAGTCTTGTCTGGTTATTATTCTCCCTTAAATCTTTACCAATCTCTTATTCTACTACTTTCTTTTCTTTCTCACCATACTTAAGTCCCATCTTCCCCGAGCCCTCACAAAGTCTTCCACCTTATCACAACCTTTAACAGTTTCACCTTTTCGTCATTGTTAAATATCTCGAAAGACAGGTTATAATTGACTTTCTAAAAATCATAGCGAAAACATTTTCTCCACTCTGTTGACTTCCAGATTTTGTTCCCCTTCTCATTCTAAACTGGTTACCATCATCCCTGTGTTTAGATGTTAAAATCCCAATTATAGTTCAACTTTTATTTGCAAAACCATCCCATTTAAGAAGTCGTGATTTTGCAGTTCGGTGTGTATTTTTACATCTTTAAAAATCCCCATAATGTTTTACATATATAGTTTGTTTTGTATCAGAAAGGCTGCATGGCACACTAGAAGTAAGTGAAGGTTCTTAGATGTCCACCTTTGAATACAGGCTCCACTGTTAAGTAATTGTGTGATATTGAGCAAGTTTCTCATATATAAAATGAGATGATAAGACAGTTGTGAAAATGAAAGTACTAAAGTAAAAAATTTTAGAACATTGCCTGGCACATATAAGTTACTCAATAAGTACTAGCTATTGCTCTTCTTAGTGCTGATTTAAAAGTTGCGTCCTCTTCAATGCCAGGTTTGAATATTCTTGAAGCCACAATGACGCCTTCCTTGTGTTTGGATACCCTGCTGTCTCTAGTGTATTTTTTTGCATGTAGTAGACAGTAAATATATGGTTGTTGAATGAATTTTTTGATTACCAAAGCTGAATTCCATTTGATAGATTTGTAAAAGGAAAATAAATATCCAGACCCCAAATTCACTATGCCAAAAGAGAAAAGTGAAGTGTGGAAGCTGAATCACACACACACACACACAAAACTGCCTTTCCTTTTGTTACTTAACTGATAGATATACATGTAGAATGCCACATGTCTTTGCGGTGGCCTCCCTCACCCTGACTATGTATTCATATATAAACTGCTTATCTTCAGGGTACAGGACAAGAAAAACCAGAAATTGTCCCCTGCACCCTGCCCATCCTGAGCCAAATGTATACTTGACTTCTTCCTCTACTCGATGTTGATTTATGTAAATTGCAGGTGTACTGAGCACGAGATAAATATATAATTGTTTCCTCCACCCCTTCTTTTTACGTGCAACATGTGGATTCAGTAAGGCTAATCAAACTGTCATAACAATGTGATCATACCCTCCATCTTTCTTTTCTTTCCCCTTTCCCTTCCTGCCCACTTTTTCCCCTTTAAATATCAAAGCCCTCAAAATCCTCTTTGAAGAAAGTGCAGGCTACAGATTCTGCTCTGGCTTGTGTTTCTTTATCCGGGGCATATCCTCAACCTTGGCAAAAAGGAAAAAGAAAACCTTCTAAATTGATTGGAATGCACCTCAGTCATTTTATTTGGTTTTACAGGTTATAGGAAGAGATGAAAATTACATTGGAACTAGGTCATTCTATATCTGATAGTAATCAAACACTACAATATTAATAATTATTGCAACTGTGATTCCTGTTACATTAATGATGTGTATGTTATCTCAACTAGCTCCCAGACCAGTTTTGTTAGAGACCTACGATTCAAATTTAGGGCCAATGGTAAGGAAGGGTTGCCCATTAACCAGTCCACATAAGATTACTTCTCAACATTGATCAGTATCACTCACAAGTCACAATGTCATATAATGCGTTTGGTGGAGGCTGTTGAGCAGAAGAAATACTTTAAGAAATCTTCAGAATATGCTGCTTTTTGAAGACTTTATGACATCTCGAATCATGTTAAGAAAAGCTGGTCAGAAATAAGATGCATCATTTTGGAAAAAATACTGTGTAGCTTAAGGAGCCAAGGGACTCCTATTGGCAACTCAGCAATTGGAGTCTAACCAACACAATATCTTTGTGCTCCACATAAAAAGAAACTGATCTCTTTTGGATGTTTATTTGAAAATTAATACAGGAATGATGCTGGAACCTAAAAGACAAATACATCTGCAGTGCTATGAGGAGAAGACACATCACCCAATTCCATGGATTTACCAAGTTATTTGCTATGCCCACTTTTTGCACTTAAAGCATTTGAAATATTTTCACATATGTTTCTCTATAAAGGACTTAGAGTGTAAGAGACAGGCCAAGTTATTCAATAATCTTAGGTTTGAAACCAAAGCACTTTTTAGATAGATACAAAAATAGCATGGAACTTATAATGTTATAAATAAATAAACTGCTAAAAATATCCAGCTACTTTTTTTATTGCTAACAAAATTCTTGCTTCCAACTTCTTCATTGATTGGTCTATACGTGTGTTTAGTTATAACTTTTCTTCTAAATACGCTTTCATTATATTTTATTAGAGTTGGAAGTTTGTCATTTAAAAATCACCTTACCAAAATGTTACCATTTTCATGAGGTTTTCTCAACCTCATGAAGTAGTATGTGGTCTTCTAGACCTAAAATCCTTTTTAAATTATGATGCAGCATACCCAGGAATATATATTCATTTATATCTGAAATAAATATTTAAAAAGAAATTGTTGAGAAGCCACTTTCATCTTTTTAAATTTCATTTGAAAGCTAAAATATAGCTGAGATTTATTAAAATTTATTTAATGACACATTAATTGGTTACAATAAGCAATTTAGAAAAAAAGTGGTTTGATGGTGCTTTAGAACCGTGACTATCTTGTGGATCCTGAAGCCTTAGGAGCTTTCTGAGGGAGCTGGGGGCTAAGAGTCTCTGTAGGGGTCAGACATTGGAGAGAGAATATGTGTTTCTGAAGAAGATAAATTCCAGGTTCTCACTCTCACTATTGCTATTTTTTATTATGTATATAGGTCTTCCACATAACATTTCATTTAAAGAAACATATTATTGGTTTAAAAAGTTTGACAGTTACCTCTGTACATTATAATTTCCCTAACTTATAGGTTAAATCCTGTATGACAAAAACTACTACATCTAAAATTACTGTAAAAAAAGATTTCTCATATGATTTTTCCATTTCAAGGAATACTCTAGGTACAAGTACAGTAAAACTTGTCTGGGCCCTTAGAGTTTCTAATAATGCAATTTCCCTTACATTTTTTAAATATAGCATCATTAATTTTGGAATTAATATTACAGGCTTGTGTGAATTTGTTTAAATGATTTGCTTGTATTTTAATCATGAATTCAATGTTAAGTTTTGCTCAGAATTTGCTCAGAATTTAATGCTAAGTTTTGAGTGCTCATTGTTTTGTTTCTGGTAAGGGAATAAATTTTACCTTCTTAAGGCCAAGATACTTTATTTATTGCTTTACTCTTCATGGCTTTTTGGATAAAGAACATTTCACTTTAGTCGAAAGGAAAATTAGACTTTATCAGTTCGTCAGAATGGGCCATATTGTTCCTAGAGAAATGTGTGATATTTCAAGCACAAAGATAGCATTCCACAGTTTTAAACTAATTAGAAAGAATTGAAAACGGTTATCAGAACTTCTTAAAATCGCTCAGTTTGAGACAGGTAAACAAAACCAGTTTATAAAGATGAATCAAGATTATGGTGCAGTTAGGGGAGGGGTAGAAGACTAGGAAGCAAAGAAAGAGAAAATTTGTATTTATTGAATGTTCAGATTGTGTGAAAAATTAAGCTAGGTACATTAGACATGTTCCTTCTTTTAATCTTCAAAACGATTCATGGACTTGGTATAATAATCTCCAATTTATTAATGAAAACCTGAAAGTTAAATAACATATTCAATATCAGGCAGTGATGAAGCTGGGATTTGAAACTAGGATTATTAGATTTCAAATCCCTGGCCTTTCTGGTGTTCCATTTACATCGCAAGACTGGTCTACTTCTGCCATAGAGTTGACCTCCTAACTACTGCCCAAGCACCAGCTTTTCTCACTGATCATGGTCTGAATATTACACACTGTTCTCCATCAATTCAGTCCTCTAGTCACCAATCCCTTTGTGGCTCTTCCTCCTCCTTTGGAGACTGTCTCACCCTTCAGACTGTCAGCACTCTTCAACTCACTTTTAGCTTAGTTTCTGCTTGATCCCAGTTTGGCTTTACCTTTTGACTACACAGCATCAAACTACGTTGGGTTAATAAGCCTCTTAGTTTAAAGCCATATCACAGGCCAACTTTATAAACCCCCTCCTCCAAGAAAGTCACATCTCCTTAGCTTAAACGGGACTCCAAAAGTAGAGAACACATGCAGACACTTCATCTCACAGTAACCCATGCTCTGGTGAGGAAGCATTAGGTCCAGGATTTGAGGATCATTTGCATGAGAATTACAGGAGCTGGCTGAGAAGTCTAAACAAGTAGACTATTTGAGGCTGACAATTGGCCTCCACTCTCAGAGGCCTGCAGAGCCAAAAATAACATCTTTTCCTAACCTAAATCGTCTATCAGATAGAGAGGAGGGTCACCCAAATGGGAGGATGGTTGGGCAGTATTAGCTTGAAGTGAGCATCACTAGTTGGGGCTGAGTGGATACTGGGCTGAGTGGATACATGAAAGGCAAGCAACCCAGAATGTTTCCTAGCCAGAGGATGAACAGAAAAGGCCAGAATATTGAGTAAACCAATTGAAAAGCTGTAGTGTCTGGTTCTATAGAAAACTGAGGATGTAGGGGCACAGTTTCTTTGTGATATGACAACAGAATATAATGCTGTTGAGGAAAAAGGGATATCTCCTTGTTTTTAAAACCATATGAAAGAAAACAATCAAGAATTTTTTTTTCAAGGGAAATATAGATCAAAGGCACAAGAAAGCAAGCCCATCTATGGAGGTCTGTTGTACCTGGGATCCTACTGATAACCTGGAGAATTCTGGTGTGTGGAGTTTCCCAAAAGACTCTTCTCTCTTCTAGATTAAATAAAGACTTGGGGAGGGAAGATGTATTTCTCTAGGCCATGCTAGAATGGCCTGAGGAACACTTTTTAAATTCTTTCCTTTTCTGGATGGCAAACCATGCCCTATGTCTTGTACTTTTTTGCATATTCTCCAGTGCCTGGCTCTATACATGGAACATTATTGTGTTCTATTAATATTTTTTAAATGAATGAGCGAAGTGATGTTAAATGGAATGATATATGGGAAAGCATTGAAGGGGGTGGGAACTAAAGACATGAACTTGGTGCCAGCTGGGTTCAAATCCTGACTACCCCATTTACTAGTTGTGTGACTTTGGGCAAGTCATTTAATATTTCTGTGCCTGATTTTCTTCCCTTGTATAACAGAAATAATAGGATCACTATCTCCTAAAATGTTGTGGGTCTTAAATAGGCACAAAATATTTAAAACTGTGCCTGGCCCATGGTAAGAGTTCAGTAAAGTTTAGCCATTTTGAACTTTGAAACTGTAAACTAACTTGGAAACTATAAATCATACAAGGTTTTTACTGTTTTTAAAATGACCAAGATTGGATTAAAGACTAATGCAATACAGTAAACTCATGACATTCAAGAGTTTAATACTAAAATTTGACTTTTTATTGTCATTTCTAAAGATTTTATTTTATTTTTTTTCTATTTATTTATTTTTATTATTATACTTTAAGTTTTAGGGTACATGTGCACATTGTGCAGGTTAGTTACATACGTATACATGTGCCATGCTGGTGTGCTGCACCCACTAACTCGTCATCTAGCATTAGGTATGTCTCCCAATGCTATCCCTCCCCCCTCCCCCACCCCACAACAGTCCCCACAGTGTGATGTTCCCCTTCCTGTGTCCATGTGATCTCATTGTTCAATTCCCACCTAGGAGTGAGAATATGCAGTGTTTGGTTTTTTGTTCTTGCGATAGTTTACTGAGAATGATGGTTTCCAATTTCATCCATGTCCCTACAAAGGACATGAACTCATCATTTTTTAATTTGGAATATTTGTAATTTTACTTAGGCTTGAACTTGAATTGCCAGTACTTTTAGGCTTGTATGCAAGATCAGTCTTCATTCTGGAGAAAGTTCCCAAATATTGCCCACAACACCTGGCATTTCTTATCTTTACATATGCAACATCTGTTTTACTAATAAGCACTACGAGGACAAGAAGTATGCGTGTTTTATTTCCAGAGGCTAATAAAGTAATAGAAATGGCTAAAAATGGTGGTGCTTTTACTATGTGCCAACTACTATGCTGAATTTACATAAATACATAACTTAATATCTTAATTCAATACTTACAATAACCATTTGAAGTTGGCAATATTATTGTAATAGATTATTATTCTGAGATATTCACTCTTTTAGCCCCACTTCCATCCATGTGTGGAAGGTACTTCCCTACTTCTTGATTCTGGTTTTGGCCATATGATTTGCTTGAGCCAACGGGTTGTAGGCAGATATGATGCAAGCAAGAGGCTTGAGAAGTATTTGCATGGATGGGCTTGCTTTCTCACACCTTTGACAGCACTGGCAAAACTAATGCCTGGGATAGTCACAGGTCTCAGGGGAAGGAGAGAGTCCTGTAGAGCAGAGCTAAGCCCCCAGATAAAACCAGTCTAGATTAGCCTACCTCCAGCCAAATCCCAGACTCATGGGGAAACCCACCTAAAACCAGCAGAACTTCCCAGGTCTGCATTGACACTGCTTTGTCCGTATCCTGCAAATTTTGGTAAGTTGTATTTTTATTTTCATTTAGTCTAAAATATGTTTAAATTTCACTTGTGACTTCCTTAACTCATGTAGTATTTAGAAGTGTGTTGTTTCATTACAAAATATTTGGGAATTTTCCAGCTATCTTTCTGTTGTTGACTTCAAGTTTAATTCCAATATTGATTTTGAGTGCTCTAAAATCTTATTGTATAATTGTTATTCTTTTAAACTTGAGGTTGTGTTGAGATGTGTTATAAGGGCCAGAATGTACACTATCTTGATGAATGTTCCCTGTGAGCTTCAAAAGAACGTGATTTTTGCTGTTGTTGGACATATTCTATGTCAATTAGATCATATTGATTGATAGTGCTCTTCAGGTCATTTATATCCTTACTGATTTTCTGCCTGCTTGATATATTAACTACTTAATAAGGGGTGTTAAAGTCTCCAAATATTATGGCAGTTTGTCGGTTTCTCCTTTCACATCTACCAATTTTGCCTCGCATTGCTTGTCTCTATGTACTAGGTGTATACAAACTTAGGATTGCTCTATCTTCTTAGAATTAACCCCTTTATCATTATGTATCAGTTATCTTCCAGATCAGAAATGAAAGGTTTTATTTACCTTCACATATTCTTTCTTTGATGTTCTTCCTTCTTTATGTAGATTCAAGTTTTATTTTTATTCTCCCTAAAGAGCTATCTTTAACATTTCTCACAGTGCAAGTCTGCTGGTAATGACTTCCACCAGTTTTTGTCTCAGAAAGTCTTTATTTCTCCTTCACATGTGAAGGGTGATGCCGCTGCATATTGGATTCTAGGTGGTTGTGTTCTGTCCTTCTTTCTTTTAATTATGTCACTTCCCTTTGTTATTGTTTGCATGGTTTCTGACTGGAAGTTTATTACAGTTCTTATTCTTAGCTCTCTATGGGAATGTTCTGCTCTAGTTTATTTCAATATTCTTCTTTTGTCTTTGGTTATCTGCAGTTTGAATATGATATGCCTAGTCCTAGTTTGTTTTGTTATTTACCTTGCTTTGTATTCTCTGAGCTTCCTGAATCTGAATTTTGTTGTCTGTCATAAATTTGGGAAAATTCTTAACCACTATTACTTTACATACTCCTTCTGCCCTGTTTTCTCTTTCCTTTCCTTATAATATTCCCATTATGTAAATGCTACACTTTTGAAATTTTTCCATATGCTTGGATGCTTTGTTCTGTTTTTGTGTATTCTATTTTTTTCATTGAATTTCAGTTTTTAGCAGTTTCTATTGATTTATCTTCAAGTCCACTGATTTGCTTATCACTTGTCCTGACTTATGTCCTGTCTACTCTTGGAGCCCATCAAAAGTAATCTTCAAGTCTGTTATAGTATTATGGTTTCTAGTGTTTCCTTTTAGATATTTCTTAGAGTTTCCATCTCTATGTTTATGTTTACCATCAAGTCTTTCATATTGTCTGCTTTTCCTATTAGAATCTTTAACATAATAATCAGTTATTTTTAATTCCTTATCTCATAATTCCAATATCTTTGTCATATCTGAGTTCTTATGCTTGTTTTATCTCTTCATATAGTGCTCTTTCTTGCCTGTAGGCATGCCTTGTAATTTTTTTGTTGAAAGTAGGAGGGCATGATATATCAGGTAACAGAAAGTTGGGTATATAGGCTTTTAAATTCCTCTAGAATTTTTTTTGGGGGGGTTGGTTTGTTTGTTTTGCATTTTTGTTTCTCATCATTACTTTGGACTTTCCTAAGTATTCCTCCGTGGAGACAGTCTGTACACCTTCCAGCTGCTCTTTTAGCTGTATTCCACTGTTACCATACTGGAGAACCACTGATGTACCAGTGAGGGATATAAAAAGGGAAATGTCCTATAATCTGTAAAACAAAAAATAAAATTTTAAGCCACCCCAACCCACTAAAGAGATCCTCTGTGGGCCTAGGGGATCCCAGAGAAAACTGAAAAACTAAATTCCTGGCCATGTTGGGAAGGGAGGTCAGAAGTGCCTCATTAAACCCCATCCCTTTGGGAATTTAGGCACAACTGACCAGCATTAACATTAAAACAGAGATCATAAGATTGACAGACTCTTTGTGGCAATATCAAATTCTAACCTGACTCAGGTATAGCATCACATGAAAGATAGCAGACCCTGAAGGAAATAAAAATATTTTATCCTAAAATATATTTTTTACATATTTTGAAGTAGCCCTGCAAAGCAATCTTTTATGGGGAAAATTTGCATCAGTAGAGAATCTCCATTAATGCAGCCAGTTCTTTCTCTGATCTAGGAGAGATAAATTGAGTCTCATATCTTTTAATGTCCAAAAGGAGATATTTGCTATCTATTATCTCTGAAGACTGCTACCTATTAGGTTTCATCTCACAGCAAGAACCTCGGTCTCCACAAGCCCCCTTATCTTACTCAAGCATTTCTTTCTACTCCAAGTCCTTAGACAAAATTTAACTCTTTCAACCAATTGCCAATCAGAAAATATTTGAATCCACTTATGACCTTGATATAGTTTAAATAAATGTTCCTGACAAATCTCATGCTGAATTGTCATCCCCAGGGTTGGAGATGGGACCTGGTAAGAATTGTTTGGGTCATAGGGGCAGATCCCTCATGGCTTAGTGCTGTGCACACAATAGAGAATGAGTTCTCAGGAGATACGTTTTAAAAAAAAAAATGTGTGACACCTCCTACCCCACTCTCTCATTCCCATTCCTGCCATGTAATGTGACTGCTGCTGGTTTGCCTTCCACTATAAGTCAAACCTCCCTGAGGCCTTCTCAGAAGCTAAGCAGATGTTGGCACCATGCTTTCTGTACAGCCTGCAGAGTTGTGAGCCAGTTAAAATTATTTTCTTCATTAATTACCCAGTCTCAGATATTCCTTTATAGCAAGGCAAGAATGACCTAACACAGAAAACTGGTACCAAGGTTTGGGGGTATTGCTATAAAGATACCTGAAACTGTGGAAGCAGCTGTGGAACTGGGTAACAGACAGAGATTGGAAGAGTTTGGAGGGCTCAGAAGAAGAGAGGAAGATGAGGGAAAGTTTGGAACTTCTCAGAGACTGGTTAAATTGTTGTGACCAAAATGCTAATAGTGAAATGGACAATGAAGTCCATGCTGATGAGGTATGAGATGGAAATTAAGAACTTATTAGAAACTGAAGCAAAGTTCACCCTTGTTATGCCTTAGCAAATAACTTGACTACATTCTGTTCATGTTCTATGGATCTGTGAAAGTCTGAACTTGAGAGACATGACCTAGGGTATTTGGAGGAAGACCTTTCTTTTTTTTTTTTTTTGAGATGGAATCTTGCTGTTGTTGCCCAGGCTGGAGTGCAATGGTGCGATCTTGGCTCACCGCAACCTCCATCTCCTGGGTTTAAGTAATTCTCCTGCCTCAGCCTCCCAAGTGGCTGGGAATACAGGCGCCCGCCACCACGCCCAGCTAATTTTTTGTATTTTTGATAAAGACAGTGTTTCACATGTTGGCCAGGCTGGTCTTGAACTCCTGATTTTGTAATCCGCCAGCCTCAGCCTCCCAAAGTGCTGGGATTACAGGCATGAGCTACTGTGCCCAGCCTGGAGGAAGAACTTTCTAAGCAGTAACATATTTAAGATGTAACCTGGCTGCTTCTAACAACCTATGCTAAGATGCAAGAGCAAAGAAATGACTTGAAGTTGGAAGTTGTATTTAAAAGGAAAGTAGAGCATAAACGTTTGAAAAATGTGCGGCCTGATCATGTGGCAGAGAAAGAAAAAGTTCTTTTGGGAGAGGAATTCAAGGAGGCTTTGGAGCAACCACTTGCTAAAAAGATTTGCATAACTAAAAGAGAATCGAATGATAATGTCCAAGACAATGAGTAAAAGCCCTTGAAGGCATTTTAAAGATCTCTGAGGTAGCTAGCCCCTTGCAACAGAGACCCAGGAGGACTGAATGTTTTCAGGGCTAATCCAGGGGCACCACTGCCTTGCAACACCTTAGGAAGCTGCTCCTCACATCATGGCCACTCCACCTCTGGTTCCAGTCTCTGTTCAAAGGGGTCCAGCTAAATCAGGCTACTGTTCTAGAGGGAACAAGCTATAAGCCTTACTGGCATCCATGTGGGTTAAGCCTGTAAGTTCACAGAGTGCATGAGTAAAGGAGGCGTGGCATCCTCCACCTAGATTTCAGAGGATACATAAGAAGGCCTGGGCATCCAGGCAGAAGACTGCTGCCAGGGTGGAGCCCACACAGAGAACCTCTACTAGGGCAATGCAGAAGAGAAATGTAGAGTTGGAGGCCCCAAACAGAGTCCCTACTGGGGCACTGCCTAGTGGAGCTATAAGAAGAGAGCTACCATCCTCCATATCCCAGAATGGTAGATCCACCAGCAGCTTGCACCCTGTGCCTGGAAAAGTCACAGGCACTCAACTCCAACATGGGAGAGAAGCCATGAGAGTTGAACCATGCAAAGCCACAGGGGGTGGAGCTGCCCAAGGCCTTGGGAGCCCACCCCTTGCAACAGTGTGCCCTGAATGTGGGACATGGAGTCAAAAAAGATTATTCTGGGGCTGCACAGATGGGTTTTGAACTTGCATGGGGCCTGTAGCCCCTTTCTTTTGGCTGATTTCTCCCTTTTAGAACAGGAATGTTTACCCAATGCCTACACCCCCATTGCATCTTGGAAGTACATAACTTGTTTTTGATTTCATAGGCTCAGAAGTGGAAGGGAATTGCCTTGTCTCAGATGAGACTTTGGACTTTTGAGTTAACACTGGATTGAGTTAAGAATAAATTTCAGGGACTATTGGGAAAGCATGATTGTTTTTGCAATGTGAGAAGGACATGAGATTTGGAGGGCCAGGGGAAGAATAATATAGTTTGAATATACATCCCTGCCAAATCACATGTTGAATTGTAATCCCCAGTGTTGGAAGTGGGGCCTGGTGGGAGGTGTTTGGGTCACTGAGGGGTGGATCCCTCATGGCTTGGTGCTGTCCTTGCAATAGTGGGTGAGTTCTCAGGATATCTGTTTTTCAAAAGTCTGTGGCACCTCTCCTGACACTCTTTCTTTTTCTCATTCTCACCATGTGATATGCCTGCTCCCACTTTATCTTCTGTCATGAGTAAAAGCTCCTTCAGGCATCCCCAGAATTTGAGCAGATGGTGGAACCATGCTTCCTGTATAGCCTGCAGAGTTGTGAGCCAATTAAACCTCTTTTCTTTATAAATTTCCCTGTCTCAGATCTTTCTTTACAGCTATTCAAGAATGACCTAACATCGATCTGTAAGTGCTCCTCCCAATCCCCCTCCTCACTTCAAGATACCCCTCCTCTTTAGGCTGAACAAATGTATACCTTCCATATGCTGATTTGTGATTTTATCTATGATTCCTGTCTCCCTAAAATATATAAACTCAAACTGTAACTGAATTGCCTTGGACACAGTTTCTCATAAGACCGTTCCCTGGGCCATGGTCACTAATACTGGCTCAGAATAAACTTCTTTAAATATTTTACAGAATTCTTTTTGTCAAAAATCTTATGCATAATGTCTTTTAGTAAGTCTGTTTTCCTAGGCTGCAAACTTCACGGGTATTTCTTAGCTTTTTTTCTCCTTCTAATGAGTAAAGAGGACTAGAGGGAGCTGGCGTAGGATAACATCCTTCCATCAGGTGGGATAAGGCTCTGGTAAAGTATTTCTTGTGGAGAGGAGGCCTTTGTTTTGGAGAATGCTCTGTGCATGTTTCAAAGGCTATGCTTTCCCTCATCCTGCCAGGGCCAGGAGGGGCTGTTTCTCACATCTTCATCATGAGAACCTGATGGATTTTCTAGAGATAAATCCCATTAAAGTGTGTTCTTCAAGACTTCTGTCAACAGTTGTCTGTTTCTCATTCTTATGCTACTGCATGCTCAGCCTCCCAATTTACCAATTTACCATTTTTTTCTACCAGTTTTTGACTTCAGCTGCTACTGCTTCAGATAAACATATTTCAGCAGTGACTCTCAAGATTCACTCATCTGCTGGATTTTGGGGTGGTAGTTTGCCCTGTGGCCTCAGTTTTCTGAGAGATCTAAGAAAATTTGTTTATTTTTAGCTTGTTCAGCTTTTTCTTATTGTAAGGATAAGAGTAATAACTTCTAAGATCTTTACATATTGGAGCTGAAACCAAATATTTATCAAATCATACATGTGCAGAACATGCAGGTTTGTTACATAGGTATACGTGTGCCATGATGGTTTACTGCACCCATCAACCTGTCATCTACATTAGGTATTTCTCCTAATGCTATCCCTCCCCTAGCCCCCAACCCCCTGACACGCCCTGGTGTGTGATGTTCCCCTCCCTGTGTAGTGAACTCCCATTCATAATTGCTACAAAGAGAATAAAATACCTAGGGATACAACTTACAAGGGATGTGAAGGACCTCTTCAAGGAGAACTACAAACAACTGCTCAAGGAAATAAGAGAGGACATAAACAAGTGGAAGAATATTCCATCCTCAGGAATAGGAAGAATAAATATCATGAAAATTGACATATTGCCCAAAGTAATTTATAGATTTAATGCTATCCCCATCAAGCTACCATTGACTTCACAGTATTAGAATTCATGGAATTAGAAAAAAACTACTTTAAATTTCATATGGAACCAAAAAATATCCTGTATAACCAAGATAATCCTAAGCAAAAAGAGCAAAGCTGGAGGAATGATGCTACCTGACTTCAAACTATACTACAAGGCTATAGTAACCAAAACAGCATGGTACTGATACCAAAACAGATATATAGACCAGTGGAACAGAACAGAGGCCTCAGAAATAATGCCACACATCTACAACCATCTGATCTTTGACAAACCTGACAAAAACAAGCAATGAGGAAAGGATTCCCTATTTAATAAATGGTGTTGGGAAAACTGGCTAGCCATAGGCAGAAAACTGAAACTGTACCCCTTCCTTACAACTTGTACAAAAATTAACTCAAGATGGATTAAAGACTTAAACATAAGACCTAAAATCATAAAAACCCTAGAAGAAAACCTAGGCAATACCATTCAGGACATAGGCATGGGCAAAGACTTCATGACTAAAACACCAAAAGCAAGGGCAACAAAATCCAAAATAGACAAATGAGATGTAATTAAACTAAAGAGCTTCTGCACAGCAAAAGCAACTATTATCAGAGTGAACAGGCAACCTACAGAATGGGAGAAAATTTTTGTAATCTGTCCATCTGACAAAGGGCTGATCTCCAGAATCTACAAGGAACTTAAACAAATTTACAAGAAAAAAATAAAACAACCCCATCAAAAAGTGGGTGAAGGATATGAACAGACACTTCTCAAAAGAAGACATTTGTGCGGCCAACAAACATATGGAAAAAAGCTCATCATCCCTGGTCATTAAAGAAATGCAAATCAAAACCACAATGAGATACCATTTCACACCAGCTAGAATGGCGATCATTAAAAAGTCAGGAAACAACAGATGCTGGAGAGGATATAGAGAAATAGGAAAAATTTTATACTGTTAGTAGGAGTGTAAATTAGTTTAACCATTGTGGAAGACAGTGTGGTGATTCCTCAAGGATCTAGAACAAGAAATACCATTTGACCCAGCAATCCCATCACTGGGTATATACCCAAAGTATTATAAATTACTCTACTATAAAGACACATGCACACATATGTTTATTGCAGCACTATTCACAATAGCAAACACTTGAAACCAACCCAAATGCTCATCAATGATAGACTGGATAAAGAACATGTGATACATATACACCATGGAATACTATGCAGCCATAAAAAAGGATAAGTTCATGTCCTTTCCAGAGACATGGATGAAGCTAGAAACCATCATTCTCAGCCAACTAACACAGGAACAGAAAACCAAACACTGCATGTTCAATCTCATTCTTAACAGCATTCCCCAAATGATCTTGACTCATGTATTTTCCAATTTGCAAAAAAATCCATCAAAAATCATTATAAGATTTAACAACTTCATCACTGACAATCAGAAGTTTGCATTTATTCAACCTCTGTCTGTGAACTCACCTTCTCTTTGGAGCCTCTCCCATACTTAAAATAGACATGTAAGAATTTGACTGGCTGATAGATTTATATAGTAAAACCAGAGATCTGAAAAAGAAAATACCCAGTGACTAAGTGTCTTGGATCTAATGTCTGTAACTAGAAACAAAGACAATATTAGATATGCAAAGAACCTATATAATAACTATTATTATAATCACCTAAGCACTTAAGAATGAACACTAATTATGTCATAGATATAGTCATAGGAATGTAGTGGTAAAAATATACTTGTTGGATGTTTTAATATAAATGTGCTGGTAAAATAAATACAAACCTCATAGATTTCTTTCACTTATCTATTTTGAAAAATGTGGAGATATTTAAACTTACCCCATTGTTCCTCTTTACCTCCTTGTTGAATTCTCAGTTATGCTGATAGGTAAGATAGCTTGGGTAAGCATGAAGAGATCTAGTCCAACTCAGAGTCATTCCTATTTGAAATAAAAACATGGAAGTATTTGATTAATGTTGACAGAGCTTCTGTTCCAGGAGTTTACTTTATGTTCTGATTTGGTGGCAGGATTGTCCTGGGAACCCCTGGAGAAACCTGAGATGAGAACAGATTCAGATCAGTGTCCCTGCCAGAATCTCTGGGCTGAGCAGACAACCAAGAACAGAAAAAGGAATAGGTGCTTTCAGTACAAAGAGAATTTTCAGTTATGAGTGGTGGTGAACATACTCTCTCTTTCAGCTAAGACAGGACAAACAGGGTGTTCTTAAGGGGTAAAGGGCTTCCAGGATGTACTCTGGCAGTTAAGAATGGAGACTGAAATAGATCACAAAGAATTGGTATAGTGTCATTCTTGAATATTTTGGAGGGTGGAGGGAGGATAGACTGATATCTGTGTTTCGGTGACATTTTATGTAAAGACTAGGTAACTTCTTGGGGTCTTGACTCTGCTAATGCACATACATAACTCTGCCAATGTGCATACGTAACAGTGCTTCTCACTGTTTTTAAACTTCATTTCTGAATCCCAGATCCCACACTTATTAAGTTGGAGTTGTTTAACAGGCTTGAGTGATAGTTTTATCTATAGAATGGAGCTAACAGAACATATACCATGAAATACTTCTGAGATTGAAATAATTTCACATATTCAAAGTGCTGAAGATAATGCCTGGTGAATAGAAGGTACTCAGGACATAATACGTCATTTCTCCCTAAACACAGACACAGGCACATACACACACACATACTCACACTGGCTAAGAAACAATCCTTGTCCATGACAAAGATTTCAGATAAACAGCATATCACTAAATGTTAGAAAGGGTCCTTTATATTATTGCAAAATAAATAAAAGTTTACTGGATATGAATTTCCTCATTTGTGGAGAGTGTTGCAATGTCATGACGGCTAAGCAATGTTTTCACGTATGCACAGTTGTTGGGTAATCACGAAGATACTTAATTATAAACACCAACTCTTCAAAATTTAATGTGGGGAAGATCTTTGTTTTTTACAAAAGAGAATTGAGCAATAAGACATAGTATTTTTTAAATGTCTAAACTTCTTTGTCTGGGGGATAGGTAATAAATAAAAAAGAAGATATTTATTTGTGTTAAAAGTCATCAGGTATAATATGGGAATTAATTTCACTTTTAACTGTTTATAGTTTACTGTGTATCTAAGCTGGAAAACAGAAATAAATAATTTGATTATTCCTTTATCTGGTTTTTGTTTATTGATAAGCATAACATCTTTTTTCATTTTGGTTCTTGAGTTGATATCAATTGTATATTGTAAATGCTGTAAAATAAACTTTATAAGCCTGAGCTTAAGTTTTTCTTTAGAATTTTTTTCAGAAACTATAAATATTACAACATTTTTGGAATGGCTGCATATCTGAAGTCTTATTTTTTCAAGGACACAGCTAAGTTATTAAATGGATTAAATAAAGTCCCAAGAAGACCCTTGAAAGCACACATAATAATAATCTGAGAAAACGTCTGAAAGATTCAGTAATTCGGTAGTTACCTATAAAACTACAAGTCAACTAGTATTTGCTTTAAATACTCATAAAATTATTTATTCACTTAAACATTAGTCACAGAGTATATGATATTATTAGTGGCATTGAAATATAACAAGTTTCACAAACAAATCCTTCCATTCACAGAGCCATTATTTTTTTCATTATTTTAGCATTCCTACTAGCTAAACTAATTCCATTGATTCCACTGATTTGAGTGAGGGTAATTTTGCAGTAGCAGGATAAAAACATTATTGTTTGAAACAGAATGGACAGTGATCTCTTATAAGCTAAATGGTGTTTCTCCAAAATTCATATGTTAAAGTCCTAGCGCTTAGTAGCTCAGAATGTGATTGTATTTTGAGATAAAGTCTTCAAAAAAGTGATTAAGTTTAAAGGAGGTGGTTAGGGTAGGCCAGAATCCAATCTGAATGGTGTCATAAGAAAAAGAAATTTGGGCCTACAAAGAGATACCAGAAACATTAGAACACTCAGAGGAAAGAACAGAGCTAGAAGGCGGCTGTCCACAAGCCAGAAAGAGAAGCCTCAGGAGAAACCAAACTGTCTGACACCTTGATCTTAGCCCTCTAGTCTGCAAAGCTGAGAAAATAACCTTTTGTTTTTCAAGCCGCCTAATCTGTAGTATTTTGTTATGGCAGCTCAAACAACCTAATATAGATTTGATCTTTACAACCCCTTAGGAGGAAAGTAAGACTATTATTCCTTTCTTTTTTCTGAAACAGTCTTGCTCTGTTGCCCAGGCTGTGAGTGCAGTGGCACAATCTTGGCTTGGTGCAACCTCCACCTCTTGGACTCAAGAGATTCTCCTGCCTCAGCCACCTGAGTAGCTGGGATTAGAGGCATGCACCACCACGCCTGGCTAATTTTTTGTATTTTTAGTAGAGATGGAGTTTCACCATGTTGGCCAAGCTGTTCTCAAACTCCTGGGGTCGAGTGATCCTCTTGCCTTGGCCTCCCAAAGTGCTGGGATTATAGGCATGAGCCACCATGTCCAGCCGACTATGTGTATCATGTTGAAGATATGAAAGCATATTTTATAAGGATAAGTTCCTAGAACCAAGGTTGCTGACTCAAAGATGTATTGCTTCTTATATTTAAAATGTGATAATGTTTCCATTTCTTTATCAACCCGAGGGCTACACCATTAAACAGAAGTAAAGCATCATTTATATAAAGAAAATTGGTCCTTTGCTTTAGGGATGTCTTGCCAGTATTTTGTTTGGACTTTGATTTTCTTATGATACTTTTTTGACACCTCTAACGTGTTGTGTGGTTGAATTTATTTGTCTTTTATTTTACAATTTCTGTTTCCTTGTCCACACTCAAGAAGGCTTTCACTTAAATATTATAAAAAAAATTCCCTTGCCTTCTCTAGTACTTTCATAGCTTCATTTTTATGTTTAAATACTTGATTCATCTAAAATTTGTTTTAGTGCAAAGAGTAAGTAAGCAGCTTATTTTTTATATGTCTATCTCAATTTCTCAACATCATTTATGGAATGATCTATGTTCTTATGCACTGATCTGTAATGTTATCTTAGTGTTAAGACTCTACTCTATTGCTTCTTATCTTTTGATTCTGTTTTGCTTTATTGATGCAGCCAGTCTGTTTCACAAATTGACCAGGTGTTGTTTTGTTAATGTTGTATAAAATCTCAAGGCTTTCCTTAGAGAGAATTTACATTATCATGATGCTGAGTGTTTCTATGCAAGAGTGGGTATATTTTCCAATAGATTCAAATGCTCTTTTATCTCCCATAATAGCATTTTAACATTTTGTTCATAGGGCTCTTACACATTTCTTATTAAATTTATTGAAAGATATTAAAAATCATTCTGTGATTACTGTTTTCCATTTTATATTCTAATTGGTTATTGATTCTATATAGGAATGCCATTAAATTGTATATATAAATTTTTTTCAGCCATCTTACTGAAATATCTTTCTGATTGTAATAGTAAGAATAGTAGGAATTGTCTTATTTGTTCTGACAGGAGACTTGAGGCAATGTTAATATCCATAAACTAAATACTGGTTAATCAACATGGTGCATCAAACAAGGCAGTACTCTACAACTCTGGAATAAATGACACAGCCTTGAATACACTGGCACTGAAAAATCTACAAATACATAATATTAGGTTAAAAAAGCCCAAAACTAATGTTTCCAGTATGGTATGACAGCCCCTTGTTCAAAGCAGCTGTCACCTAGGAGGTCTCAAAGGCACTAGGCATGCAATATCATTTTCATTGTGCTTGGAGACCACAATGCTCAGGAATCGTAGAAAAGACAAATGATATTATCAAAAGGCACCTCAGAAAACTGTCTAAAGAGATTCATCTCCCCCTGGATTACTCTTCTTTCCATGGCACTAGTATGTGTTAGAAACAGCTTTCAAAGCTGGGTTTAAGTTCCTTCAAAACGATGTATAGATGGCCTTTTCTCACCAGTGGTTTCTTGCTAAACCAACAAACCCCTGATTTGATTAGACATGTAACTTCTTTGGCCCATTTCCAATAGGAACTGAAACAACTGTCGGAGGACCAATCCCGTGAAGTAGAACCACCTCTATTCAACCCAGGAGACCTAGTACTGGTAAAGGCTCTTCTTTCCTTTTCTCTCTCTGTGGCCTAGATTGGGAGGGGCCTTCAACTGTAATTCTTTCTACTCCTACATCAGTAAAGTTCACTGGAATAGATTCTTGGATTAATTATACTCGAGTAAAGTCTGGGAAACTGATGAAATTACCTCTGTTGACCCAGAAGAGCACCCAAAGCAACAGTGTGAAGAAACAAAACTTAAGTGTCAATAATTAACCTTCAATGGATATCCTCTTTATAATCTCACCTATGCTTGCTGTACTCGCCTTTGTTCTGTTCCTCACCATAAGGCATCTTTGCCAAGACTCCTTATTACTGAATGTCCCTGGGATTATCTACTCTCCTAAACAGCTATCTCTCTTCTAAAGTTTAATTGCCTTCCCCCATACAAGATTTAATTTCCTTCACTGGGGTGAAATATCTGTGGCCACAACATTGTTTTCAGAATGATTAGTCTATTTTACTTCTTATTTCTGTTATCGTTGGCAATAGAGATTTTCCTTTTAGCTCCTCTTTGTATACTACACATATTTGGTCCACGCATATTTAACCTCCTTGTAAAATTTGTTTATTCTCACCTAGAGACCATCAAACTCCAAATGGTCATGCAAATGGAGCCACGGGCAATGGGTCCCATTTCCTGGTCCCATTACCCGGGAAACACTTTGATAGGCCTCTGAGAGATCTGACTGCCGTTTTCCCAAAACAGTGCACCCTGTTAGCATGAAGCAGTTAAGAGCGGTTACTGTTTGTATCCTAACAGCAGTTAGATGTACCTCTTCAGAGGAGGGATTGATAGCAAAAGGAGGCAGACAGATTCCTAGGCAGATAGGGACAGGTCCCCGGTGAAAGCCGACCTTCAAGCCAAAGACAGCCTGAAGCCTGAAAACCCAGCAGACAGTTCTGGATAGCGTCCAAGACCAGAGTGAGAATACCCTCAGCGCATTTTAGCCAGTCAAATGGTGCTTTTTCCACGCCTCCCCATGGACCAGTCAGAATGCACTCTCCTCTTCTGAGCCATTGAAAACCCTGAACTGAGCCATACATTGGATTACTCACTTTCTGGGCCCCCTCTCACGCAGATGACTTCCCTCCCTTGGGTCCCCTCTCCACTGACAGCTTTCCTTCTGTTGCTCAATAAAATTCTTCTCCACGCTGCTTACTCTCCACTGTCTGCGTACCTAATTCCTCTTGGTTGCAGGACAAAAACCCAGAACTCGCCCTGTGGGCAGCGGGAACAAACGAGATATAACACAAATGAACTGTAAAACGAATGATCTGTAACACGCCCCCGTTTGCCATGTTGCAGGCGGCAGGAACGCGAGGGAGCTGTAACATCTCTTGGTGGCTCAGACCTCAGGACTCCTTGGGTGAGAGCCATAACACCACTTGGAGCTCCGCAGTTGCTTGCCACTCCTAGTTTTTGGGCACCACTACATCCCCCTCATCCAGACACCAGTGCCCAAGGTGGAAGCCAGTTGCGACATGCCTGGACCAATAGCAAGCTGAGTGCAGAGCTGCAGCGGGAGCAGGTTCTGGGCTGGTAGCGCGAGCTGAGTGTAGCCCACTGGGTTGAGTGGGCAGAGCAAACCCTGTGGTCATGAGCGAAGCTGGGGCAGAGACGCCACTGGCTATGAGATTTCCGGCTGGCTAAGTACCCCCAAAAAACTCCTGTAACACAGTAACCGCTCCCTCCTGCTGGTGGAGCCACAGGGAAGAAAAGAAGCTGCTTGGGTGCCATTCCCTCTGCATGCTGAACAACAGAATCCTGTGTCACTAGTTTATGCTTAGAAAATATGTGAAGTGATACAAAATAATTTTTATCTCTGAAAAGTATAACTAGTGGTTAGGAAACAATAATGGAAGGAAGTACTACCATTATCTGAATACCCTTTTTATTATCCTTTATATCATGTTCATATACGATCTATTACAAGGGAACTGTTTTTTCCTTTTTGAGACAGTCTCACTCTGTCACCCAGGTTGGAGTGCAGTGACAAGATCTCAGCCCACTGCAACCTCCAACTTCCGGATTCAAGTGATTGTTGTGCCTCAGCCTCTCAAGTAGCCAGGATTGCAGATATGCACCACCACACCTGGCTAATTTTCATATTTTTAGTAGAGATGAGCTCTTGCCATGTTGACCAGGCTCGTCTCAAACTCCTAGGTTCAAGTGATCTACCTGCCTCAGCCTCCCAAAGTGCTGGGATTATGGATGTAAGCCACTGTGCCCGGCTCTGTTTTCTCAGAAGCTTAACAGGCATACAATTTTGAAAATTAAGCTTGATAATAATATTCTAACTTTACCTGAACTCCAAGCATTTTATATAGCTGTACTTATTAAATATATGTATTGGACTGGTTCTAAAAGAGGAAGAGTGAGCAATAAAATAGGACTTGATCTTGTAAATATGAATACAAAGTAAATATATATAGTATACATTTTTTGCCTTACTATATATAATAAATAGATACGTGACAAATGAGTCATGATAAATTTAAAAAGAACTAAAATTTTCATCTTGCTATACACAGAATCTTTAAAAAATAAAATAAGTCAACTTTTTTGTGTGTGAATGGAAAAACTTCTAAAGCAAAAATAACTTGTGGTAAAGATCTTTCTATGTGAAAATATCACTTTTAAAATTATGTATTTCAAAGAGAAATATAGACTAAATAAAAATGGGGAAATGACTTGGAATAAGCATTTGCAACACAAATGTTAAAGGGTTAATATTTGAAGTGTTTTAAATTTTTTATATCTAAATTAAAAAATCATTCAACCTAATAGATAAATAAGCTGTGAAGATGAACCGACATTTTACTAAACTAGAATGACAAATGTCCAAAAAACAAAGGAAAATATTCAATCTTACTTGAAACAGAAGATGCAGCTAATTTTACTCCATTCTGAGATGAGTTTTACCTGTCTTTGTTCATTATGTAACCTTGCAGCACAGATATAAGAAATCATTCTCATAAAGGTTTCAATTTTATGATCAATATTTTTCATGACAGTTTTAAGAGACAGGCAGCTATACTTGGGTATTTCTAGGTGAGCGTCCTCCATTTTTCAACATTCTCCTTAAAATCATTACAGTACTTGGTTATGTTAATATGTTTCTATTTAATCCAAGTGTAATCTGCATTTTATAGGCCTTGACAACTTTTGGGTCACAATAACAGAAATATCTCCCGTCTTTTGCTCTTTGCTGGGTAGTCACCTGAAGTTTTTCTTCCCCTTTTTCCTCCCAGCTTTCTCTCTCCCTCCCTTTCTTTCTTTACTCCTGCCTTTTTTTTTTTTTTGGATAAATTTTAAAAACGTAGAACAGTCCAAAGATTTATCTACTCAAAATTTATATACCCACCTTGTAAATTGTAAATTTTTAATATTTGCTTCCAGTTCTTTTTAACATATGAAATTAGATAATATAGATAAAATACCTAAACTTATATAGTATTTTTTTCTTACTATGCTCTGTTCAATGTGCTTTCCATATATTGAAGTCATAACTCCATATGTAACTAGTATATTAAATCACCTATTAGCTAATCCTTATAACAATTTTATGAGTTAGTTCTACTATTATCCCCATTTTATGAATGAAGAAACTGAGGTGAAGAGAGCTTACATAGCTTTCCCAAGGTTCATGTATTGTAAATGGTGGCACCAAGAAACCCAAGCTTTGTAGCACTGGAGTCCCTGCTTTTAGTTTCTCTCCTATTTTAAAAGTGATACATAGTACTTCTCCTTAAGACATAAATATTTAATGATATTAATAGTTAACTATATCTTTTACAGTCATTCTTAGTTTTTATAATTTTGTAACATGGTCTCTTTTTAGTCAATATCTTTGTTCTTTATTTGAACAAGACAAGAATTTAGCACACCGGAACTCCTTTCTAAATTTTCCCTCCAATCTTCCTTTATTATTGTTGTCTGGTGTTTAAGTTTCACATTGTTAATTTGTAAATGTTGTCACAAATTAATTTTAATTTCTACTCAATTGACAAACACATATCTCTGACTTCCTTGCTCATCACTGATACTTGCATGGTATTTTTTTCTCCTGGGTTCTTGTTTCATCTTGCTGAAATACATTCACTGGCAGTCTTCAGTATCGTTTAGAGGTGATATGGTTTGTCTCTGTCTCCCTACCCAAATCTCATGTTGAATTGCAGTTCTCAATGTTGGGGGAAGGACCTGGTGGCAGGTAATTGGATCATGGGGGTGCATGTCCCCCTTGCTGTTCTCATGATAGTGAGTGAATTCTCGTGGGATCTGGTGGTTTAAAAGTGTGTGGCACTCCCACTTCTCTGTCTCTCTCATGCCACCATGTAAAGACATGCTTGCTTCCCCTTCACCCTTCCACCATGATTGTAACTTTCCTGAGGCCTCCCCAGGCATGCCTCTTGTACAGCCTGTGGAACTGTGAGTTGATTAAATCTCTTTTTATAAGTTACCCAGTTTCAGGTAATTCTTTACACCAGTGTGAGAATGAACCAATACAAGAGATATTAAACTCTTAGTCTTTTGTAGATACAGAATATTATAAGCTCTACGTTCTTCAACTTAGACTTTGCTGGGAAGGACAATAGGAGTTTACAAGCCCTAAGGATGAGTTTAATGGGGAAACTTGAAAAAAATTAGAAGACAACTACCATTAGTCTTTGGAAAGGTAAACCTCTGATTATAACATAGATTATATAGAAAAAAGAAAGTAAGCAAACATTAACCGGTGAATTACTACAAAATTACATTAAATTTATTGTTTGTTTTCTTAGGATCTCACTGTGTCACTGCAGTGGGATAATTTAGGAATCAGAGAGACTGAGGGGCCGGAGAGGATATATATTATTTATTATTTAGGTGCACTGGCCTAGTCAGATTAGCATCCAAAAAGACTGAGCCCCGAACAAAGAGTGAGGTTACCTTTTAAGCATTTCATGGGGCAGCGGGAGATCTTTGCAGGGGGAAGCATATTACAGAAGTGAGAAACAAAGACCGTTATTCAATTGAGACACTCATTACATTATTTCTAACTTTTCAAGGAAAAACATGTTTTACGACTTGAGTTTATCTGCCTAGTAACCTTGCAACTGCACAGTTAGAGAAACAGGATCTTCGCAATGCCTGGGAAAGAGAGAGATAAGACTCACAAGCCACAGACAGAAAAACAGGCGTTAATTTTTAAAGGACTCCACCTCTTTTTCTTTCTCAGGGGGAATTGGGTTTTTTTACATACAACTGAGTTTTCGCTTACACGTTCTTTAATTTCTTTTAATTCCTGTTTCATCACCAGGCTGGAATGTAGTGGTGCAATAACAGCTCACTGTAGCCTCGACCTCCTGGGCTCAAGCCATCCCCAACCTCACCCTCCCGAGTAGCTGGGACCACAGGCGTGTGCCACCACACTCAGCTAATTTATTTAAAACAATTTTTTTTAGAGATGAGGTCTCCCTTTGTTGCCCAGCTGGTCTGAAATTCCTGGTTTCAAGTGACCCTCACACGTCAGCCTCCTAAAGAGGTGAAGTTATAAGCATGAACCATTGTGGTAAGTCTTTGTTTGTTTTTTATATTATCATCATAAAGTTGAGTTTCTCTTTCCATATGTTTGCTAAGAAGAATAAAATAATTTATAAATTTGGTTGATTTATAATCCTGAGTCACAAAATGTTTGTTTAAAAAACTATATCTGTTAAAATATTTGTCCTAGAAAACTTTGCATTTAAACTTTGTCTGTCCTTGAAAAAAATGTGAAATTAACTTGTTGTATAGACCATGGTTGAATTTTTGTAGCTTCAATTATACATAAGTGGTTTGAGTTTACTTGTTAGAAATACCAAGATCCTTTGTGGCTGTGGCTGAATGTCTATTTTTTTGTTTTTACTATCAAAGGTGGTAGAATTCTATGTTAACAGAGATTTCCCCTGAGTATTTTGAACACTTTATTCCATTGTGTTATGGCATCTACTTTCACTGATGAGAAATCTACTGCCATTATAATTAACTAGTTTTCTTTTTTAGTAATATTTCTTTTTGTGTGTATGGCTTTGAAGTTTTTAAACTATGTTTTTTAAACTAAGTTTTAAGACTATGAATACAACTTCAATTTAAAGATTTATATCCTGCTTTCATTCTGAAAGTTCTCAGCCATTATCTCTTAGATATTTCCTCTAACCTAGCCTTTCCTTCTGGAACTCATGTTGGGCTTTTTTTTTTTTTCTGAAATTTTCATGCTTTACATCTCTTTACTTTGTGATGCATTCTAGCTGATTTCTTCAGATCATCTTCCATATTTCTAATCTTCTCTTCAGCTGTGCCTACTGTAGTACTTATTCTACTTACAAGATATGTTTTTAAATACTGAAGACTGTATTTTTAACTGTAGGATTTTTACTTGTCTATTTTATCCATATAATGCTCTTATCTTCTGGGGTGTTTCCTTTCTTGTCTCTGAACATTTTAAGCTCCACTTTTCAAAAGGCCAGTTAGATCATAATTTCTCTAATTACTTTGGTATGAATTCCACACTAGTTGGGTCTATGGACACCCTCTCCTCTGAAATTATCTGTGTGTTTTATAATTTTTATTCATGAGGTCATCTTAAGTTGGAATTTGTTCTCTGGAAGGTCATCACATACCATTTGCTATAGAACTTCTCCATAAGACTGTCTATGTATAACTCTGCTTAGGTGCAGTGAGGGCCACTAGTTCTGAATCTTTCTTTTATTTTACACTGCCATACACACTACTTTTACACTGTATTTTACACTGCCATACACACTTCTTTTATTTTACTATGCCATATGAGTAATGTGATTTCAGGCCCCTGCTTCTTCTTGGTATATATTCAAGTTCTGATTTTTTGGAGTTGACTCTGTTTCTACCCACAGCCTGTGTAATTTTTTCACATTTATTGAAATCTTGACTGTCTGGTGCAGATTTTCTAGTCTTTGATCATAAATAGAATAGAAATTTCCTAGCTCAGGGCTTCATCTTCTCATGAGATCATAACAATCCTAAGGCATCTTAAGGCTAACCATGCCCTGAGGCATCTATCTAATACAATCCCAACCACAATTCCTTTCTCCACATGATGCTTCAACTTCAGCTCTATGACTCCAGAAATCATTCTCTTTTTGACACTTAGAGATTTCTGTCTTTTGAGTTCAGTCACGTAGTAGCAACTTCTGACACTCAAATAGTTTTCCAGGTTAAAATGTATGCAGGAAAATGTTATAACTATGATGATATCAAAAGCCATAGAAAAAGAACTTTACACAATTATGTTATGAATCCCAATGATGGCATCAGCTTCTATTGCTCTGCTAACTAAAAAAAAAAAAAATACAGGAAATCTGTAATACATCGTTTTGTTGTGACAGAGTTGTGTTAGTGTTAAATGAACATTCCTGCTGAAGTGATATGGTTGAGGTTCAAGCTGTCTCATTTTGTACTCCAAGGTTTTCAATAGAGCTGATATTTGAATAGCCATCTGTAATTTTGAAAAGATGCTGTTAGAATCACATAATAGGCAGTGAACAGCAAATTATCAAAATGAGTATGCTGAAGAGAAAGAAAGGATAGCACTTTACTAGTGCCAGCACAGAAAGAGGAGTTGGCATTAATTGACATTTCAGAGCATTTTCAGACATATCCTCACAGGGAACTTTTTCTTTCTCATACATTTTGGTAAGAATGACTCTCATTTTTGTGTGGCAGTCTCTCATTAATAAAAATTCGCATATAAAGAACTTTACATGGATGACACACAGGAAAAGCCATGACACATAACTTTAGCTGGAATAATTTTTTGTGCTTCCTGTTTTATTCACGCTGCTCTTCAACAAGCTATAACAAATTTCCTACGTAAGTTTGAAGCCAAAAAATTTTTATGGCTAAATTTTACATCAACAGTCTATCCACATACTTTGAATAGGATGTTTTGAAAGCAATCTGTTAGAAAATCTCTGGTGCTCAATATTTCAGATTTTTCCCCATCTTTTGAAAGCATAAAGTTTTAAAATGGCAGAGTTAGGAGTAATAGTCTCTTTGCGAAGAAAATGGTTATTTTGTTTGCTTTTCATTTCTACCTTCAAAGATCTTCAACAGGGCGTGCCTATGACTAATTGGGATAGCAAATATATATATTATTTTTGAAAATATAGACTCCTAGGCACTGCTTACTGGAATTCTGATTTTCTTTATTTCTGTTAAAGCCTGGAAATTTTTATTTTATTAAACACCAACTGTACATGATTACTTTTCACATTAAATATTTAGAGCCATTGATATGAGGCGGCATGAAAGAGCATGGCAGTCAACACACCAAGAAAGGTATCCAGAGTATGGAGATTTCTGCATAGGCTCGTCATTCCTTTATTTCAAGGCCACATTCATTTGTAGAACAACTGATACTTAGAATTCAGTGAACAGTTTTATTCTTGCTACACATAGTGAAGGCAAGTGGAATTTAACATATGTCATGTGGCTGGGGGTGGTAGCTCACACCTCTAATCCCAGTATTTTATGAGGCCAAGGTGGGAGAATCACATGAGCCCAGAAGTTCAAGACCAGTGTGGGCAACATAGGGAGACCCCATGCCTACAGAAAATCTAAAAAGTTACCAGGCTTGGTGACACAAGCCTGTGGTCCCAGCTACATGGGAGGTTGAGGCAGGAAAATTGCTTGAACCCAAGAGGTCAAGGCTGCAGTGAATGATGATCATGCCACTGCACTCCAGACTGGGTAACAGAGCAAGATCCTGTCTCTTAAAAAATAAAAAAGTGTGTAAGTGTGTGTATACACATTTTATGAGAGAGATATATATATACACACACACACACGTATCTTTATATATATATATCATGGAATTTGAAATTTATAAACTGGATCTATAGAATTTAATTAAGAAAAGTCCAGGAATGCAGGCAGTTTTTCAAGGAGAGATGGCAACATAGAGGTGATTTAAATATAAATGAATTTAAAGAGTTTAGGACTAATGAGGGGTTTCATTATAAAGTAACCCTAAAATATCTGATGAGAATTGCTTACAATTTTCTCATGAATTGGCTAAGAAATACAAAAATTACTAGAATTTGTAATTTAAGTAATGTGATTACTAGTATATCATTGGTAGAAGTAATCCTAAAATGAATGGCCAAAAGTACACACAGTTAAATTCATCATTTACAAAAGTATTCACATTAGTTCACTGAGCATTGTCTTAAACATATTGCTTGTTTTAGCCAACTTTTAAGCACAATTTTAAAATAAGCCATGGATTTACTGTCATTTTGTAGTTTTATTGTTTAAATTTTTTGTTGTGATGCTGCTATTTTTAATTATTGTTGTTCATATAGAAAATAATTATTCAATTTTTGATTTGAAGACTGATGAGTACCTCCTATGCTCTTCTATACCAGCATATAAGTACAAATTTTCAAAATCTGATTTTATTACATCTTAATTTATTCTTATTTTATTACAGATTTCTCTAAAATAGAACATTCGAACTACTGTAATTTTTGATTTGCTTATTTTAATTTTAACATTTATGCCAATCCATTAGACACGTTGAGAAAATTATCAAGCAAAATCTTTGAAGTGGGGCTTAGAGTCCAATTACAACACACAATAGCTTTGATGTGGGCTATCCCATCAGAAACCTTTGTGCCATAAATTTTACCTAAATGTCTAAATACTGTATCATTTCTTCAATCAATTCCAAGTATGCCAAAAACTCACTTGTCTGCTCTAAAATGTCTTCAGTTGTTTTACATAAAATGGTTAACAAATCTAGGTCATCAGACACCATCCTTATAAAAAAGGCAAATTTAAAAACTACATAAAAGGCAATAACTAAATTATTGGCTCCCATTCAATTTTAAGGTTAAACAAATTTAGATTAAACTCAATCTTCCAATTATTCATTTAATATTCAAATGAGAGTTTTATAAAGTCACGTTTTTCAGCTTGGTTTCAGCTTGTGGTCGTATGATAAAGGTGGGGGTCTCATAAAGTATTCTCCAGTTAGATCCACTTTGCTATCCAAGGTGATTCTGACATTGACATTGAAGGAGGCTTTAAGCCATTTTCAGTTTGGTCCTCTAATTGGATTCTCCATTCTACCTAGTTATTTCTCTTTTTTGAAGTTGCAAAATGGACATGATTTTCTTTCCAATGTGGCTGGTAGTTTTTAAAAGCACAGTGAGACTGATGATTTTTATGAATTTATTTCTTGGGATATTCTCACTAAAGAAACATCAAGATTTTGGGTCATTTGCTTCAAAGCAATAAACTGATCTTTAATCAATTATCTCACTATTTTTTAAAAATTTATAAATCTGCTGTTGCTTGCCACTACTGGTTCACCAAGTGTGGTTAAAAGCCCGCCTTAAATGCTTCATTTTCAAGTTCAGTGCAGTAACGGGCAATTACTTTTTTTCAACATGCCTCATGATTTCAAGTTTTTCTGAATTTTTCTCATCGTAAATACTCTGTATAAGATTATAAACCAAATTTCTTGTTTCAAGTAAGTTAAGAAGGATGTTCTAGAAAAACAGAATTTTCAGTTTATTTGTTATCTGGAGACATTGCAGAACGCTGGAACTCTTTTTGCTATGTATTTAATACGCAAAGTAGGAAAAATATTTGTTATTTACACAAGTCTGGAATATGGTAAAACTGATTTATGGGAACCAGTGGTTTTATGTAATCAAAAATTAAAAATTGCTACTGATTTAGAAGGTTACAAACTAATGTTCGAAAAAGCCTTTCTGTAAAGGACTCATGGATGCATCTAGAAAGCATACTTTATAAACAGCATAACCATGTGGGTTACTAACCGCAATGTTAATATCCAGATCCTCTAAACGTGAAAAAAAAGTGCCATATTTTTTGTTTTTCACTGTATGTGCAAATTTTTTAGTCTTTGAGCTTTTCATTTAAAAAATGAGTTGGGCTTATATGAAAATGTGAGACTGTATATATGTATTAAAGAAGCTCTAAGGAGCACAAATTTCAGAACTTTCTACTTTAATCTTTGAGTAAACATGATCGCCTAGGAAGATGGTTAATGTTTAAGATAATGATGAACCCTAATGGCTAATTTATCTAAAGAAATCCGAAGGCAAAGCTGGAAATTCAAAACATGGCTCAAATCAGGGGCTCAAACAATGTTGTTAGGAACCTGATTATCTTCCCTGCTTCTCTCTGTGGTAGTTTCATTCTCAGGTAGCCTATTGTTCTCTAGTAGCACTGACCAGCTTTAGAAAATCTAAGATGTGATTCTGCTGATTTAACAATGCAATCTGAAAGAGAGAACTCCCCATCACCTCCCAGAGAGGGTATCAATAAAAATCCCAGCACTGATTTTCATTGAACTAGCTTAGGTGGAATGCATGCCACTCAGTTAATGCTAGTAATACCTGTGGGCTGGGGGAAGTTCCCAAATGTTGGTGGGAACTTGAACCGAGCCGGTGCCCAGGTTCTTGACACCTTCACAAGAAAATGTTCAAGGATAAGTCAGAAAATAGGGGAAGTATGGAGATTTATTTCAAAATGAAAAGTACACACTCAAGAAAGGGGAGTGTGGGTGTACTCAGAGTTGTATAGTGGAGTTTGAGACTTCTACCTTTATGGGTTTCTTTAACCAAGGAACAGAATATTCATGAGTGTTCCTTGAAAAAGGTGAAGATTTCTCTAACTTCGATGCCACCCATTTTTACACCAAATAGGTGTGTTCCTGGAACTGTCGTGGCACCTGTGGGTGTGTGATTTAGTGTGTTAATGAGCATATAATGAGGTCCTAGGTAACAGCAAGGTCAAATCCACCATGTTGTGTCCAGTTTTTCTTAGGCAGCTTGGTCCACACCCTGTTTTTCAGGGTCTTATCAGCCCCTAGCCTCTGCAGCTATTTCAACAGTTTCTTTTTGCTAGTTATGTAAAACTGCTGCCTGGAATTTTCTATTCTCTTGCGACCACTCTGTATTGTTCCTGTCTCTATAGCAGTAATACTGGGGGTAATGGAATGCTTTGATTACTTCTGGAATGAGAATTGAGGGATGCACAACTAAACCAGGCGCAATGAAGGTGAAGGAGAATGGTACTCCACAGCAAAATTGGTGTGGTTTTTGGAAGGGGCATGGATGCTGGGAAGGCACAAAAACAAACAAAAAACTTTTAATTTTTACAACATGCAAATACAAACCACTGGAAGATAAATCAATTCTAACCAGGTTTAAGGAGCAGCTGAAGGTATGTTCACCTATCGGAAGCTCTCTAGTTCCTCAAGCAAATGGACTTCAGTCTACCCAAAGCACCAGTATGCAGATGCACCTGTTTGCTTAGCCTACCTAGGCAGACCTAAGCCCTGACAGTAACATGTGTTAGACTCAAAAGGGGGACCCTAATACCTGTATATACCAAGTTTGACTCTCTTATTTCTTATAGATTCCTTTGTTTAATTGTTCCTTTTTTTAATCAAATGTTTCATCAATTCTTAAGCAATTTCTTACTGTAAGATCTGCAGTTTGGGCTAATATACTGCCTAATATAGACTGCTGAAGGAAGCAAAACCGTTTTTCTTCCATGCCATTTAAAGACTTTTGAATAAAAGTAACAGTTTGCTCAGAGGGTAAAACAGAGGGGAATAAGTCTCAAGGAAAAGAAGAAGAATTGGAGCTATTCCTATTAATACAGTAAGTTGATAATGTTAGGATGAAAACCATCTTTGAATGTTAGTTGATTTAAGAAGGAAAATATAGTCATAAAGGTTTCTAATCATTTATAACTTGAAAAAAAGTACAAATAATATGATGAGAACTTGAATCCACAGTAATATGGGGCTTTGGAATTTTGTCCTTGACACTTGTAAATTTAGGTGGAGAAATGAGGGTTATGATAACCCCCAGGTCCCAAGGTCCTGAGTGCCTAATATCAGAATATTTCAAAGGTTTAATAATTATCATGAAGGTTGAGACTGAGATACAAGGGTTGTGATAATTTCAAGGTACAGTCAGTTCTGTTTTAATGCTTGTCTTGAAAGCGTGAGTTTATTCCAACATAAAGAATAATCTGTACATAACAGGAACTTTGTGTTTGCTTAGGTATAATTTCACCTGAGAGAAATGCTAGATGAGGAGAAAACTGTTGAGCAGAGCAGCATAGGAGAGAGCATACATGTGTGCAATTCTCAAATATCTACCAGCGATCTTGGCTCATGTTTGAGTTATAAACCACACTCAACCACATCTGCTGTTATAACTTTCCACCCAATTTTAAAAACCCCTCTTCCATCACTTGATAATAATTCACAAGCTAAACCCTGCCAATACCCACTTCCACAAGCAAACTGCAGGTCTTTTTAAAGACAACGTACCATGTTTATTGTACTGTTTATGTATATTTTAACCACCTAAAATGTATAAAATTGTGTTACCATTTTTAGAGTTTTTTTGGTGTTTTTAATATGTTACTGAAGAAGTTTTTTGAATATTGTTTCTCAAACCCCCATTTTTGAATGAGTCCTGTAGGATATCCTGCTCAATTTTTTAGTGTAATGATTTTTAGGAATACATGTCACCTTGTAACAAAACTTACCGTGTTGAGTGTCATTAAGAGTTTCAATGGGAGTTTTAGATGATTTATAATTATAATAAGTAATATTTATTGAATGAGTGCTATGTTCTATGAATTTTACCTGTATTAGCTATCTGATTTAACTTAACCCTAAAATGATCCTGTGGGTGTGATTATTTTCCCCATTTTATAATGGAGGCAACTATGATTTAGAGGGATAAAATAATTTATTCTCAACCACAAAGCTAATAAACAGCTGGAGTTCAAAACCCAGCTCTCTGAGAATGCAGATCCCACTTCAAAAAACACTGGGCAAACTCAACCATGGCCAAACTGTGCTAAGTGCAGCAGGACTTGTATTCAGAGAGACCAGCAGCCATGTGCTCACCTGCCTGTCACTAATTAAGACCACAAAGCCTGGGAACTGGACAGCCTTGCAGCCAAATCCAGGTTCCACCACTTACTGGGTGCATATCATTGAACGAGTTGCTTAAACTTTCTGAATTTCAGTGTCCTAATGTGAAAAATGGAATTCAATTGTAATACAATAGCTAACATTCATTGAGCACTTATTATTAACCTCAAAACAATCTATGATATAAATATTGTCCCATTTCTACAAATGACAAAACTTGGGCTTAGAAAAGTAAAAAAAAAAAAAAAACTTGATTAAGGTAGCACAGCTAGTAGGAGTGAAGCTGGATTTCAACCTGTCTGTTAAACTCCAGACAATTGTCTTCTTAACCACTGTTGAACACAACCCCTAATAAAACCTTTCACCTGGATGTCTCTGAGGATTGAGGGAGATACTATCTGTAAATCATTTTGCACTGTGCCCAGTCTATGATGTGAATTTAATAAATGAAGTTCATTGTCATTATTACCATTGGAACTTAGCTAAGAACATAAGTAATTATAATACAAGGCAGAATGTAAGTGTTTGAAAAGTACAAAAAAAGAGAAAGATGTCAAGGAAATTCAAAAGAAGGAGAAATGACATTTGTAAATAACACCATTCTTTAAGGAGGGGGCAGCATTTGAAAAAAATAATGTGATCTTGGCAGAGGTGAGGGAGGGTAATACATGTAGCAGGAACAGTAGAGACGGTAAAACACAGAAATGGATTGTGTGGCCCATTTGCAGAGCATAGAGCAGTGGTTGGCCACAGCTGATGATATGCATAGGGCGAGGGGGGATGAGAAAGACAGACCACCTGAGCCTCCCTGGAGAGGGCTTCACAATGCAGGCTGAACAGTCCTTGCTAAACATGGTGCACAATGGGGAGTCAGTGTCAGTTCTCAAGCTGGGAGGCAACATAAGCAAGCTTGTGCACTGAAATGACAGATCTGGCAAGGATTATAGCAGAGAGTGACTGAAGGTGTGGGCAGGGCAGTGCCTGAGTCACCAGATGCCACCCCTGCCGGTTTCCAGGTGAGTGTGGGTTCTCCTAATAAGCACATTCTTGGGCGACTCTTTGATCTGAGACTCCTTTATAATTTATGAGGTTTGCAGTACAATGGGGCCCTCTACAGGCATCTTGATGATTAGACTCAGGAGAATTTAGATGAGGAAAGATTAAAATGAAACCAAAGAAGCAAGTTTGCAGACTTAAAGGCCCATAGGACCCTGTGCTGGCAGCCTAAGCAGCAGCAGCAGTTGGGTATTGAGGCATGCTCCTTCTAACCAAAGTTACAAAAGATATAGAGCGCTGGCACAAACAAAATAGGACCAGAGCTCTATATTTTTTATTTTTCAAAAGAGGCTAGATTTTTAAAAATAGTAAAAGAGCTTGGTTTTTAAATGTGGGCTTGATTTAAAACAAACACCACGAAAGCTAAAGGGAATATGTCTGTGGAATAGATCTGCTTATCGGCATCACATTTCCAATGTACAACTTCCAACCAGGAAGGGAATGTGGAGGTCATCTTCAGAGTCTAACTTCTCCACTTAACAGGCAAGGATATCATATCCAAAGAGTCCCAGTAAAGTTCAGATCACACAGCTGAACTAGAAGACCGGTCATTTTAGTGCCAAACTATTGCACAGATTTTTTAAAATGTTATTTTCCAATTTTTTTCCTAAGCTGGACCACCGCTACTTACTGCTTTTCTGCAAGGTGCATGGGGGGCTGGGGTAGGATTGAGGATAATGTGGAGAGAAGGGGGTTGATGAGATTTTACTGTAGACATGACAATCACTTGGATTCCTCACCCCTCATCTCAAAAACAACCTGAGTCAGGTATGTCTCAATAAAGCTAAAAAAATGTTGGGAAATAGCTTGTAGCCAAGATTAGAATATTTCCAGTATTCTCTAGGAATACTGGCTACAGGTTAGAGTAGAATATTCCCAATATTCCAAGAGAGTGCTCTAAGAGAATACTCCTCATTCCTTGAGTCATGAGGATAAGCCAGAATTCCTTTACAGTATACAGTCTCTCCCCAGACTGTGCACTCAACTGTCAGCAGGCACTTGACGTTGATCTGACCTCACCCTGAGGGTGTTATACATATCTTAATAATTTGCAGACGACAGCAGGGGAATTTTGTGGTTGATCCATGACAAATATTATCATTTTGTGGCCAGGTGTGGTGGCTCACGCCAGTAATCCAGCACTTTGGGAGGCTGAGACGGGCGGATCACAAGGTCAAGAGATTGAGACCATCCTGGCCAACATGGTGAAACCCCGTCTCTACTAAAAATACAAAAATTAGCTGGGCGTGGTGGCGGGCGCCTGTAGTCCCAGCTGCTTGGGAGGCTGAGGCAGAAGAATTGCTTGAACCTGGGAGGTCGAGGTTGCAGTGAGCTGAGATCACACCACTGCACTCCAGCCTGGCGACAGAGCGAGACTCCATCTCAAAAAAAAAATTATTATTTTCTATATTTTAAGAAAATAACTTTTTTCAATTGCATACTAATTACTTGGGCATACTTTTAAGTTCACTAAGAAATTATCCCTCAACAGTAATATTTTTCATAAAATATTGGGAAGCATTATTATATAGAGCTTAGATGTTAGATGAAGAACTCTGACATCAGATGCATCTGGTTCAGGCTGAGGCCCTGTGACCTTGAACAAGTGATTCCCTTCTCTAAGCCTCAATTACACACAAGCATGGATTAACTAAAATAATGCAATTGATGCTTTCAAACATTGCAAGTGCTCATAAATGGTTACTGTATTACATTATTGCTTTAACTTGATTTGTTAAGGAACTTAATATTGAATTAATTTTTAGTGTGATTTTAAAGATCTAGAGATGCCATTTTTTTCTTTTCAGAAAGATGTGAATCCTAATTAATACCATCTTAGGAGATCGAGACTATCCTGGCCAACGTGGTGAAACCCCGTCTCTACTAAAAATACAAAAATTAGCTGGGTGTGGTGGCACACACCTGTAGTCCCAGCTACTCAAGAGGCTGAGTCAGAAGAATCACTTGAACCAGGGAGGCGGGGGTTGCAGTGAGCTGAAATTGTGCTACTGCACTTCAGCCTGGTGACAGAGTGAGACTCCATCTCAAAAAAAAAAAAAACAAAAAAAAAGAAGAATACCCTCTTAAAGATCAGTAATACTGCTAGTTTGACAGCTGGTTGACTGTAGACTTAACCAAATTTTAATCTAGATGACGTATGCCCCAATAATATCTGAGACATAAAAAATGACAAAGAAAGGCCATGAGGTGGTTAGATAAGACCTGACTGAACAATTCAGTTCTTCTTGTTAACACATAATCACATTTCTAATCTTTATGAGATGTTTCTTTGGAAGCTGTGGGTATTGCCGACAATCTGGAACATCCATCATGTTTAGTTTTGGAAGAGAAGTAAAATATAATACTATTTTACTTGTATTCACATGGATATTCTCAAGGGGCCTAGACTTAAAATTCTTAGAAAATTAACTGCTTAAGCTCTTATACTCTGAGCTGGGCACTGATTGATTAAATAATTAATAAAAATTGAATACTTAATAAAAATGCAGAATTTAGAAAAGACATTTCTGAATGTGCTACTGAATAGGTCTGAGCCAAAGATTTGGACAAAAATGTGGGCTCACCCAGATTAGCAGTGCTAGACACTGGCAAATTAAGTTTCAACATTTATAGTTCATCTTGGCAGCTACTCATGTCCTGATGTCATGCAGCCATGATGTAAGCGAGAAAGAGTGATGTTTTGCAATAGACGGATTTTGGTAACCCTTCCCATGAGTGTAGGTAGTAGGATACCAATATTTATATCACTTCACAGAAAGCATGTTACATTTTGTAATGCAGAGACATTAAATGGCTTCCTCATGGTCCTCTGCATAGATGAATTGTCCTCATGTTTAACATCAAAAGCTTAAATTGCTGATGTTTGTTATTTTCTTATGACTTTTTTCTCAATTAGATATAATGAATGGAAATCTTGACATCACCAAAACGAACATGTTAAAATTAAAGGATTAGATTTGTATTGTGCCAGGAAAGACTAAAAGATGAACTATGTTATAATTTCATCCTTTTCAAACTTTATGAAAACACAACTATACAAAAAGCTACCTTGGGGAAAGAGAATATAATGACAAGCATTTTTAATTACTTTTTTTGCAAATTTACTGGCTCCAGGATGGCTGACATTATATTCTGTGCCCCATCCTCATTATACTCTGAAATGCTAAATAATAAAGCACTCATGAATACTGATGACTTAAGGATGTGTTCTCAAATAATTGGAGGATAGACGAAGGGAAGTGACAAAATGGGGAATGAAAGAAATTGATGAACCTCTTGGCTGGTGTAATGTAGTCAAAGATGCCAGAAACATGTTGGCATTTGTTTCCTAAATAATCCACCCTCAATTAATGACACAACTGATTGATAGCTGAAAGTGTAGTTCTGAAGCACAAACTTTACTGAAAGGCTCTTTTTAGGGTCTTCTTACATATAGAAAAAAATGAAACAATTTCCAAATATATTTATGCATTTTCCTCTTAAGTTCTGCTTAGGTACTTAAACATTGACAGATGTGGTTCTAGCTCCATAGGAATGTCAGAGATTCCTTCCTACAAAATTAATGGTAGGAACTACAAGGATCACAAGATTGTTTTATATGAAATATCATAAACAGATGGTTATCATAAGCCACACTCTGAGTTTCCATACAATCTCACAGGGTAGATTTTATGTTGTTAATAAGTACTATTCTATAGGTGAACAAAGTTGAATCTCATGAGTATTTGTTTTGGTTAACATTTTGGTTTTGCAACCTGAGGATTTTAATTCTTTTCCTGATGTTCTAATTTTAATTATATTGTGTTTATAATTTATAAGTATTTATAGACAACAAATATTTATAATCTTTAAGGTTATCACCCCTCCATACTCCAGCATTAATTTCTTTTTCCTTTTATCAGGAGGCAATTCTTAATTAATTAAAGGCAATCCTGTATTGTTTCTTCCCATACTCTCCCCAGCTCTTTTACATCTTTTTGAAATACTCAGGAAGAGAAACGCTTTCTAGGTGTGGTCTGTCACTGGAGTCACTGGGAGGAAACTTCAACTCTCCACTCCTTGGTATGATGTAAGCTTTGCATACTGTGTGAAAACATTCAGAAAGTGCTGACTGCAATCCGTTTGCATTAAATTCCTTCTGAAGGAAAAACAAAACAAGTTAAATACCTTCTACTCAAAGGAAAGCAGAATTTTAAGTTTGGTTTAGGAATGAATGAAAAGTTATAATTTAATGTAAATGAAAGGCTTGTTGCTGGACTGCCATTGCAAGAATAGTCAAGTTTGATCCTCTTTTCACCACTCATGATCAAAATTGTCTTGCTTATCTACATCACAAATGGAAAAAAAAAGAGTCCATTGTTTTAGATTGAATCTTAAAAAATGATAGCTATTATTACTCTTTAATATTTTATATTTCCTTCAAAAATAAATTATTATTTTACAAACTAAACCCTAAAACATACCTAAGATAATATCGAGTAGTGTGTTTCAGGGTTAGAGGTGGGGTTGAGGTCCATCTCAACATGCTGATGTTGAGGATCTCACCGGCAATGCAGATTTGGAAAAACATTTCCTTATTCCACTGTCAAGTTTTAGAGCTAAGAGGGCCTTGTAGAAGATGAAACAAAAGCACAAATAAATTAAGCGACCTGCATATGACTGTTTGAATTAAGTGGCAGAAATATAACTAAGAGGAAGGATACTGATTTTTTTTTTTTTTTTTGAGATGGAGTTTCGCTCTTGTCACCCAGGTTGGAGTGCAGGGTTGCCATCTCGGCTCACTACAACCTCTGCCTCCTGGGTTCAAGTGATTGTCCTGTGTCAGCCTCTGGAGTAGCTGGGATTACAGGCATGCACCACCACGCCCAGCTAATTTTTGTATTTTTAGTAGAGACAGGGTTTCACCATGTTGGCCAGGCTGGTCTCAAACTCCTGACCTCAGGTGCTCCATCCGCCTCGGCCTCCCAAAGTGCTAGGATTACAGGCGTGAACCACCACGCCTGGCCTGGATACTGATTATTATTATTTTGACTGTTACTCCATTTTTTTTCTCTCCCTCTATGTGCAAATCTGTTAACAAGTGTTCAAAAATGATAAAGAAAGTTTCCACATGCTGTGGTCTGGTGAAAAAATTCTATGTCCTGTTTTTCAGTTTCTATTTTAGGGCCAATTGTAGACTTTTATTCAGTAGGAGACTTCCAGGATTTCGGTCCAAATGAATGGTCACCAGGTAATTCCACTGATAACTGGAAGAAGTGATGAACAAAAGCATTAGGGACCAATGAGTCCAACACAAAGTTTTATAATCCATGTAGAAATGGAAATGCTTTGCCTACTCCAGACTTGATATCCAGATAGCTTCAGTCTTCAGAAACTCTTTAGTTTATTCCATTATTTCACATAGAAAGGCTGTATGTTGTTACAAGCTGTGTATGATTTGTATTTGCCTTGGACATTCCCTTCTGTTTTCAGTGGCTTAGATTTAAGACACATGTTTGGTTCACTGGAGGTACCTTAACACTGATTTCATTCTAAAAGCTGACATCACATTCTTTCAGACACCATGAAAACAACAAGTTTGGGATAAGGTTCATTGAGCAAATAGACTTAGAGAGGCCCATCTAGGTGGTAAAAAACGCTGGGTAGTAAGAACATGAAGAACCCAAGCGAGGCATTGCTTTGGCTTGCTGCAAGGTTGATTATTATTCCCATGAAAATTCACATCTGACATAGCCAGGAGCATGAAACTCAGTCTTTCTGTAGTGAGAATAATAACCACACAACAACAAAAAACCCAGAGTGAAACTATGAATTTGACTTGTGTCACTGAGGCTTGTTCACTTGGCTTCCATCACTCCTTAAGGATGGCAAAGTCTAAAGGCCAACGCTGAATTTTATCTTCTCATTTCATTGTGATCCCAACTTTCATTATTTTCGAGTCTAGTCAGCTTGACAAGTTTTGTTGTTTCATCTGAAAACTTTAATTTTGGGCTCACTGATCTCTACAGATGCCTTGATGAAAATTCTTCACAAAGGCCTCACAGTGGTCGTCTTTCTCCAGAACAGACATTGTAAGGCGATTTCAATTTTAGACACCTGAAACAGAGCATTGGTTTCCATATGAATTTGACTGTGGTTCATATAGGTCATTGAAGCTTACATAAATGCACCCTGCAGCAGTTGCTCTTGGTGTCCCACCCAGATCCCCTTTACCCATTGGTCAACCCATCCCTCAGCAGCTGTGGGCATTAACAGGCTCATGGCAGCAGTCTTCTCCCAAGGTCTGCCCATAGCCAACTGAGTGCCCTGCCAGGAGATTGCTGGGAGATTACAAGCCCCTGTTCCTTACCCCACATGAATCCATGATTGAATAATATGGGATATTGAAATCCAGATGCCTCATCTCCTTGGGAGAGGTCTACACTGCTATTCACATTCTAGATCTCCCTGTGGAATCAGGCTGGGGCTACACTTCAGTTAAAGCCACATCTTTGCTTAGCTTCTTCTTGTGCTCCATCTGCTTTCCTTACTTTATTACAGGTTTCACCTAAAATAAAGGTAGAGTACTCCCTCAACTAATCACATGCACAGCAATCTCTATCTGAAGGCTCCGCTTCTAGGAAATCTGACCTCAGAGAGCCACCTTAGTAATGTGGAAAAGTCTTACCTCCTCCTCCTCCCCCTTATTATTATTATATTTTTGGTCTCTTAGGCAAATCTACAACTGATATAATATAGATTTGATTCTCTCTAAGATGCATTTGTTAAGCAAAACAAACTTTTCTAATTTTGAACAGGCAGTTTTGGTCATTTAGAAATGACAACTTATTAGAGTACAGCAAGGGAAATAATGTATTTATATTTTTTGTTAGGGTATCTCACTTTATTTCTTGACTTTATCCTAGTTACATGGATTTAAGGAAAAATTACTCATGTGGAAAAAACAAGAAATAAGAATGAATATGTAAATAATTACAATTATTTGTGATTATCTTCTTAGGTTTTTAGCAGGAGACAGTATCTTCTGAAGATACCCCCAGTTGACGTCTGGGAAGAAATGGCCAATGTTTGTCATACATTTTTATTCAGTTTTTACTTGTTTCTTGATTTTATTTCACTCAACAAATATTTACTCAGTGTGTGTTGTGTGCTAGGCATAGTGTAAGTCACTGAATATACAATTTTGAACAAGACATACTTAGTCCCTACTTTCTTGGGGCCTGCTGTCCTCCTCATTTATAATTTTGATATGGGCAGACAGAGATAGGTTGAAGGGAGACTGTACGTTTGAACTCTCCTATTACAACTGAAGGCAAATTTTTACCACTCGTCTGGGTTTATGAGAAAAGGCATGAAAAATATTACATAGAAACTTTTTGCCAGATTACAGCTCTTTTTTAATTAAAAAAATTTTACATGTCAGTGCCTGACACATTATAGGGCCTGAATAACTATTTGTCAAACGATTGCATATGAAGTGACTTCATATTTTGTCTTTTTCATACCTCTTTCTTATATAGCAGTAAAAAATAACAAGAAAACCACTTAATAGTAATCCAACACCAATCCCAATTGCAATGTATTTTTCATAAGAATCCACAGCATATGAAGTTAAAGTCAAGTGCTCACACCTTTCTCCAGTATAACCAGTAAAACACCTTTAAAAAAAGAAAAAAAGTTTAATTTTAAAACCTACGGTGGTAGAAATACAAATAACCTGTTTCAATAAATTTAAAAAAATAAATGGAAATAAGGAATTTAAATTAAAGAGGCAAATACCAAATGAAAGCCAATCTGTTACGGGCAATGAAGCAGCTATGAATTTTCCAATAATCATTAAGGCCCCATATTTTCCCTTCATTAGTAGAGGGAAAAGGTAGTATGCTTGCATAATTTACTCTAGAAAAATCATTAGCCTATTCTTCCATAGGCGAATACTGAGCAAATCATGATCATAAAAATAGTATCTTAGTTGCTCTAGAACTTCATATTCCTGTAATGTTTTTGCCTTAGTTTGCTTCATTTCATCCTGAAAACAACCCCAAAACTTAAAATCACCTTTGCATGTTGTTAAAAATGCAGATTCTGATTCAATAGTTCTGGGGTAGAGCATAGATCCTGCATTTCTAACAAGCACCCAGGTTCAAGAGATGCTGCTAATCTGGGAACCATGTTTTTAATTAATGAGAATTAAATAGTTTGGACAAAAGACTCCTTAGATATTCAAATATGTAGAGGCCTGTCAAGTCATGTTCAGATTATGCACCCTTTTAAACTAAAGAGAGAAAAGTGTGGAAATGTACTATATGAAACAACAGAGACATAAACTCATCTCCTGTCTCTAGGACTTGGATATTTCTTTGCATTTACCTGCAGATGGCTTTCTCTAGCTCATGGTGGAATGCACAAGCACCGTTGATGCAGTAACTGTTATGATCTTCCAGGCAAAGGTGTGAGAACTTCAAGGCTATGGGTCCTTCTATGTTGTCAGCTAGGAAAAGGAGATACAATGTTAGCAAATGAAATGTGTCTTACTTTTATGGTAAATTTTTAATACATATGTAAATAAATTTTTAATTTTAAGGATATTTGGGGGTGGTGCTGTGTCCTTTAAACTATTGATTCTCTTAGCAGGTTGTATTCACAAGGGCTGGGTTAATATCATCTAGACATATGACATATTATTAATTAATTAGGGGATGGAGGTGGATTGATGATTGTTTCACTTTTTAGAAGCAATGCAGTAAGACAGAAAAGGCAACAAATTCACCAAAAGGTGGCAGCATTGGTTCTAGTCTTAGCAGGTTATTTTGAGCGATGCTTCCCAGACTTGTGTCTGAATACTAATTAACATAGAAGATCTCACATAATATTTCGATTTTCTTCCTTTACACCTGAGAAGTCAGCACTTGCGAAGATTTGAATTTACACTTGTGAGATAATAAACAAGATTCTTATTCCTGATTCTCTCTGATGTACAAAAGACAGACCTATGCCATTCTTGGTGTTTATGCAGTGGGAGTGACCCTTAGGTAAAATTGCCTAATTGAGTCCTTTGGGGCATACTTTATTGATTCTTAAATGTTTCTCAAACAGAATTAATGGGATTTTACTTGTCATTTTTATAAATAAACATATTTCCTCATCATTATGATAAAGGTATACCATATTTGCCTTGCTAAGATTAAGAGAATCTTACTTGTTTGTAGGGAAAAAACAGTTTTAAAAGGCATTCTTTTTTATATTAAAAATGCTAAATCTTTAGATGTTAAGATTACAAACAAAATACTATGTTGTATTACTTTATTTTGGTGAGAACACACATTATCTTCTAATTCACGTTCATTTTGTTGAATAGGATGAATATAATTTATCATTTTAATAATTAATTCTCAGGCAGTGAGAATTTTCCATTATAAACTGTGCTGGGTGCTTTCTATTTCAAGACTAAACAAGTTCGATTAACTAAGCCTGAAACTAGATTTGGTAGAAAAATGTGAGAATTAAGCCATTTCTAAAGAAAAGTTATACCAGAGAGACTCATCTTTCCCCTAAGAATGAGAATGATCATAACTTTATAAAAATTTTTCTAAGATACTAGATTGATATTTTTAAGTTAGATAAAAAACAAAAGGAAAAATTAAAGTTCTCCATCAAGAAAGCAAAGGAAAAATACAGAAATGATATACAGTTGTACCTCTGTATTCATAGGTTCCACATCTGTGGATTCAACCAACCTCATAGGGAAAATATTTGAAAAAAAAGCATCTGTACATAACATGTACTGACTTTTCTTGTCATTATTCCCTAAACAATGCAGTATAACAACTATTTGCATAGCGTTTACAATGTTTTAGGCATAACTAATCAAGGGATGATTTAAAGTACATGGGTGTGTGTCTATAGGTTATATGCAAATATTTCACTATTTTATATAAGGGATTTGAGCATCTGTGGATTTTGGTACCCTCTGGGCAGGAGGAGGAGGTCTTGGAACCAATGTTCAACCAATAACGGAGGATGACTGTATTGGATTCCTTTTTACCATTATTATTACTTGTAACTCAAAATATTTTATTTGCTGTTCACCATTAAGGAAGAAAAAAAAATTTAGTACTGAGCATGCTATTACGAAGTCAGTCATTGAGAGAAAACTATGCTTCTTTAATTTTCTGCAGTATATTATCTTCTTTTTTTTTTTTTTTTTTTTTTTTGAGACGGACTCTCACTCTGTCACCCCGGCTGGAGTGCAATGGCCCCATCTCAGCTCACTGCAGCCTCCACCTCCTGGGTTCAAGCAATTCTCCTTCATCAGCCTCCTGAGTAGCTGGGATTACAGGCATGCGCCACCACGTCCAGCTAATTTTTGTATTTTTAGTAGAGACAGGGTTTCACCATGTTGCCCAGGCTGGTCTCAAACTCCTGACCTCAGGTGATCTGCCCGCCTTGGCCTCCTAAAGTGCTGGGATTACAGGCACGAGCCACTGTGCCAGGCCAGTATAATATAGTACTGAATATAATAATTATAATAAGGTGTTTCCTCTTTGTTTGAAGGCTTAGAAGACAAATAGTTGGCTAAAAGTTATTCTATAACCCACATTGATTTCGTTTTGCAAATCAACAGATATTCAAAAAATCAAATGGGTAAAATATTTCGAGACAATCATTTAAAATTTTAAATTATTGGTGACATGAAGAACACTGAGATATGACAATCTTCCTTTATTTGCCTGACTCTGAGTGCAAGACATTGTTTCCTCTGTCCTAAATCAAATTGCCAGCCTTCACATAGCAATCAGGATGCGATTTGCAGAAGAATCATAACCACTCAGTCACAGGTCTTGGTAAGCAACAAGCTTTCCAAGTTTCACCTCTAAGAGTTTAAACAGATTAGAGAAAGAACGCTGATGCTCAAGAGCATCCAGAAGCCACTGTGATAATAATTAAGTGCAAAAGAAAATATATCATTACCATCAACAACAAAAATTGGGTACAAGTGGTTAGGAAATACAGCATATGCTAAAATAACAACAAAAACTCCAAAGCAAACAAGAAAAAAAGGTCATTCCAAAGATGAGGGAAAGTGCTGTTCATCTTGTAGCCATAATGTCTTTGGCATCAAAGCTTATAATCACAGATCAAAATATAATGCTGCTCATCAAGAATGCCAAAATGGGGACAAACTGTCTCTGTACACACAGGGGTTATTGGGAACCAAGCAGAAATGAAGCAGAAAATGTGGCCTGTTTCACATTCAAGACAGTAACTGAAGACAGCTTTTGTCTCATTTGCTTAACTTCCTCCTTTTAAAAAGGCAATTATTTCCTGGCACATTTATCTGTCACTTCAATTTAACAGCATCCTGCTAAAAGAGCTGATTATCTAATAATAAAATATATATTAAAAATGGCCAATATTGCTTTTATCACAATCCAAATTTCTCTCCCAAGTTTTAGAAAAGTCTTGTGAAATATGAAAATGGGAAGAAAATACCTTCTGTTTTGTTAACTGTCCAGTTACCTTGCTGGGCTGTGATTGGAGGTGTTACAGTCACGGCTGCCTCTTCGGTCAGTGCTGTCATTGCTGTATTAAGGGGGCAAAAGCATCTTTAACAGAGAGCCTCCTTCTATGTACAAGCAACAGATGGAAAGTATTCTTATTCTGTTTATTCCAATTTCTATTTTTTTAATTTATTACAGTTGAAATCCATAACGTGACTAGGGCAACATACTTACAGTTTCTCATCCATTCCATTGACTATATTAGGATTAAAGCAAATAAAAACCCAATATTTAAGACCATTGATACATTTACATATTAATTAAAAAATAAGAACCCTATAGTATAGTAGCTAAATGTATCAATTACTCTTCAATTGTATAAAGCAAACATTCTGGAGGTCTCAAAAAAGGTGTCAAAATATATTAGGAAAGGAACATACAGGACATAAGAAACTAAATTAATCCACAGATTCATTACTCTGATCTTTGTCATAAAGAACAACTGTTAGAAGCCAACTTCTCTCTAATGCAGAGAAAATAAATTCTATTCACATTTTACACTGATATAAAGTTAACAAAACAAAAGGAAATTACCTACCGTTGAATAAAAGATAGACTGATATTGGAACTCCCAAAGCCATTTCCTGTAGTTGCTTAACTTTCTTTCTCTTATCCTTCTAGACTGACGGGTGGAAGGTTTTTATTGAGCTCTCTGAGTCTTTGTTGCATTTATATTTCATGAAGCGTCATCTGGCAGTTCTTACCAATCAAAAAAATATGTACTTCTGGCAGCAGCAGAAAGCCTCTGGGCGCTCACGCACTTGGTTAGGATACCTGTATTATCTAGCAATGTGATCAAGTTTTCTTTTGAAACACTGGTTTCCTGTTACCTGTGGGCATAATCATGTATGTAAAAGTACTTAAAACAACAAGAACAAAATGTAATTTCAGGAAAGGCTCCCATTGGTGTGAAGAGAACTATACCAGCTCAAACTATGCTAGAAACCTATACGGGAGTTCAACAAACATAACTGCAAATTAGGAAGCAGCATAACCTGTTTCTAAAAGAAATATACCTGAAACTATAGTTGGTTATACCACCTTTTATTACAGACTATAAGTTCCATTTCAAATCAAGATAATTTGTTAATTTAGTTGCAGAGAACAGTTAAATTTGTGAAAACACAGAGGTTTCATATTCCATTTTAGTGTTTGTTTCTTAGTGTTACTATGACAAGTGCTGTAAATAAAATTATTTTTAATAGTATAATATTCACCTTTCTGTCATCCTGCTATTTAACATTTTTCTGAGTAAATGAAATGGGCTGCCATATTCCAGGAACAACAATGCTTAAATCTGCATCCCAATGATTAAGCTACAGAGAACCAGTAAAGTACCAACATAATGATAATAGCAATAATAATAATATTAAAATTCTCCATTAAGAGAAAATTAAGATGACATTTAGTTTGGATACATCCAATGAATAGAAAGTTTCTAAGTTAATACAACATTCAAATTATTTCTCAAGTTCATCTAGTTGTAATTATTAAAGTGGCACTTTAAAGGCCAAAATATGTCATTACAGCTACTATATTTTACAACTACAGAAATTTTCACTTGCCCCAAATTAATATAAATGATTTATAAATATATCTTCCTGAGGCATTGAGTCTTTCTGTCTGGAATTTCAATTCCTTGTATTTTCTTGAAACTTGAAACCTCAAAACCCTAAAAACATATTCAAGTCAAGATAGGTTATCTTTTGCATCATGTCCACTCAGCAAATTAGATTTACCAGAAAGGAGCCCTTTCACTATTCAAATATAAATGTGGTGTTAGAAATCACACAAGAACAAGCTTGTTGAACTCATTATAACTTGGGCAATCACTTGCCACAGGAGTCATCATTTTAAAGTTAAAATAATATAATAGTACTTGGCTCGCTTTAAATGTGTCTACATTTTGCATTTCTACTTTTGTAGGTTTTTAAAAAACTGTTGATTACTAAGTCGATTTCTAGATAATATATTTCCCAGGCAAATAACATTTGAATTATAAATTGAACAATCGTCTTTGCACCATTGCTGAGAATTTAAAAAGAAATCATTTACAAAAGATTAAATAAACCATCACAATTCTTTTTGTAGTTTCTGGAGGGAGATGTTAGGACTCATATTAAATACTTTCTTTTTTTTTTTTTTTGAGATGTTTTCTCACTCTGTCACTCAGGCTGGAGTGCAGTGGTGCGATCTCAGCTCACTGCAAGCTCCTCCTCCTGAGTTCATGCCATTCTCCTGCCTCAGCCTCCCGAGTAGCTGGGACTGCAGGTGCCTGCCACTAGGCGCTGCTAAGTTTTTGTATTTTTAGTAGAGACGGGGTTTCACTGTGTTAGCCAGGATGGTCTCGATCTCCTGACCTCATGATCCACCCACCTTGGCCTCCCAAAGTGCTGGGATTAAATAGTTTATTTCTAAGACTGAGACATCAAAGTACAAAGATTATCTTTGTAAAAACTCTTAACTGTAGCTAGTGCAGTCCTTTGCACTTTACAGGTTTCCCTACACATCTCAATTCTTTCTTCAGTAACCCTGGCCCAAACAAATCCAGTGCCTAACATCTAGTAAATACTCAATGAATCTGTCTTCAGAGAATAAGGAAATAAATAGGCATTATTTCTATTCTCACATGACAAATGACAAATTGAGGCCCAAAAGAATTAAGTGACTTGCCAAAGGACATGCCTAGAGTCAGCACTTCAATCCTGGCCAGGTGCAGTGGCTCATACCTGTAATCTCAGCACTTTCAGAGGCTGAGGGAGGAGGATTGCTTGAACCCAGGAGTTTGAGACCAGCCTGGGCAACAGAGCAAGACCCCGACTCTACAAAAAATAAATTAGCTGGGCATGAGTTACTTGAGAGGCAGAGGTAGGAGGATCACTTGAGCCTGGGAGGTCAAGGCTGCAATGAGCCATGATTACACCATTGCACCCCAGCCTGGGCTACAGACCCTGTCTCAAACAAACAAAACAAAACAAAACGAACAAAAAAAAGGACTTCAATTCTATATTTACAGATTCTAAATCGTATGCTCTTTCCATTTACCTAGCTGTGTTCTCTTGTAGTAGTTGTTGTACTGATCTCAAAAGAATTCCCTCAATTATCTCCTAAAATCAAGCTTTAAATAAATTACCTTTATTAGAAAAAAAACTAAATATTTAATTAACTGTGATTTTCACTCACATCTGTGCTGAGAGATGGAACTGAAGCCTCTCTGGTAAACTGGGCCACTTAATATAGAAACCCATCTTCTGCTTTAGCTTATGGAGTATACCAGAAAGTAACTTTAAGTCATCAAACATGTTGCCTTTCCTCTGGGGCCCATACTCATGGCTCCCACTTAACAATCTTTACAGGAAAGTCCACTCCCTTCACATCTTCAATCCTCTCACCCAAAAGTCCTTTCTCCAAATCCTAAAGAATGGGGGGCAGATGGATACTGTAAGGTGGTTTTTCTGATATCTTTATTCATTCTTAATATGCATTAAAGCAGGTTAGGGTGAGAAAGGAGAAGGAAATGAGAGGCTAAGAGCTCCACTACTACTTTTCTCTCATGCCATGTTTCCAGTCTTTTCAATTTACTTATCTCTCTTCTTCTAGAAGTTTATGCTAGAAGAGAGAATCTCTGAAAGTTTATTCTTCCCTCCCCTTTCTATCTTTTTTTCCTGGCTGTTTCACTAACTTAACCAAAATTTATTACTGGTCATTGGCAGAGAATGGTGATCAGTTCATTGATTCTCTCTCTAAGTTTATTCTATCACTTTCATGGATTCAGTTGCATTCATTCATAAAATATTGAATGACTACTATATCCATGGCACTAGGCTGGGTGAGATGATATTTGTAAGACAAATAGAGAAATCATGCATGGATTCTGACTTCAAGGAACTAAAGGGTTCTAGGCAAAGTACATACATAACTGCAGTACTGGGTAGGGAGTGACAACTGCCATGAATGTGTGCATAAAAGCTCTGAGAGCTAAGGGCTGACATTTTTCATGGACAAGTTTCATTTGAAGTGAATCTTAAATAGCAAGTAGGATTTAGACACCTAGTAATAAGAGAAAGGACTTCGGGGTGAGGGCAGGATCTGAGGGAAGGCAGAGTGGAGTAGTAAAAGGAGTGGCTTCTGACTCACATCATCCCAACAGACTTTGTTGTGAATTCAGATTCCACCTTTTCTATCTATTTGGCCTTGGCTGAGGCTTTTTAATAACCAGGAGGGTCAATAATTTTCTCATCTATCAAGTGGAGATTGTCAATAATGAGCAAAGACAAAAAAAAAAGGCACTTTGGGAGGCCAAGTCAGAAGAATTGCTTGATCCCAGGAGTTTGAGACCAGTTTAAGCAATATAGTGAGACCCTTCTCTACAAAAAATGAAAAACTTAGCTGGGCATGGTGGCACTCGCCTGCGGTCCCAGCTACTCCAGAGGCTGAGGTGGGAGGATTGCTTGAGCCTTGGAGGTAGAGGCTGCAGTGAGCAGTGACCACACCACTGTACTCCAGCCTGGGAAACAGAGTGAGACCCTGTCTCAAAAAAAGAAAGAAAGAAAAGAACAAAAGAGGAAAGTATTTAGCACATGCTACGTGCTCAGTTAAGGATAGTTGTTACTATTGAACAAGTGTGGAAAGACACAGAGTGTGTATAATGGTTACCAAGGCCAGGAATTTAGTGTGTCCGTATATGCTGACGAGTCCTAAATTCTTATCAGTAACTATGAATTCTTATCCTCTTCCTAGACTGATATTACTTCAGAATTCTTATCTATGTATTATGTCATCACCTCAAACTTAACATATTTTAATCTGAACATATTATCTCTACTCCAAAGTCAGCTCCCTTTTACAATTTCCTCATGTTAGTCAATGATAACATCTTCTGACCTCTAACTACAATTCTCGTAACTTGCTAAATACTGCCAAATTCTGATTTATCCACTCCTCTAATTTATTTTTGCATACTTATCCAGCTGTACCACTTTCCAAAACAAACCTTTCATTTTTGTCTAATTGCAACTCTTGCTTTCATACATATATGGTAAGCTCATAATCATTTCTGTAACTTTATTATGTTCTTTAGGGCGCTCTTTACAGATACTTTACAGATACAGATATGGTAGGAGAAGAAAACCATCTCTATGCTCCTCCACAAGGCCAACATGTCTATCTTTTAAGGACTTCAAATACTTGTAAAGTTATGGTTCCAATACATTGACTTTACCTCTGTAATATGTTGACTCTTTCACCGAATCTTAGTCAGGCTCCTCTGAGCTCTCTCCCTGATCAGGTCTTGATCTAGACCCATCGAGCCCAGTTTTAGCAAAGAATCCTGTTAAGTCAGTTTATGGAGGGTCCCTCACCATTGCTATTTTATCTAGTTTCTAATCCTCTTCCTTTGATATCTAAGTCTTTGGCCTGCTGTTATCAAGCATCCTGACAAGCCAGTTTAACAAGAATCCCCCTACCCTGAATATCTAAAGGTCCTCTTAGTAATTTTTCATCCACCAACCCCCTAGCTCTGCTCATTGGCTATAAATCTCTAGCTGTCTATGTTGTATTCATAGTTAGTTCAATCTCCTTCATCCACTGCAATAGTCTTAACATCTTCTTGACTGTTTTAAACAAGTGTCAGAGTAATTTTTCTTCTACAGCATTTTAATTAGTTTATGGGAAGTCTAAATTCTGAATGTTATTCCAAAGGTACCCTTCCTGCACCTCTGTTGAGGTAGAGCTCAAAATTACAGTCTTCACATTTTCCACATACATGTATTTTAGTCACTTTATTTGTTTTGGGAGTTAGGAACCCTTAAAAATTAAAGAGGCCCTTTCTGAATGTTTGCTTGGAAACTTTAAATTTAAACTTCCATCAGGGTTATCAGACAACAATTGATCTGAACTGACTGTGGAATATGCTATATAAACTTTTCTTTCACATTTTAGAAACTTGTACATTTCTCCAGGATGTAGTAAGGAAATGGGTAAGAAATTTATATCTACAGAAAAAAAGAATACAGCTTTTCTTCAAATTGCTTTTATTATACAGTTGTAATGGTATTAATTATAAACATCAAGTCTATTTTCACACAAATCGTCACGAGTACACACTGATAAAGACATGCGCTGGGTAAGAGTCATTATTGGTACATAAACATACTGGGATTTGGGCATAAAAACACAGTATCAATTAATAGCTTTAGCAGTCTCAAAATAGACTTCAACGACATTCATATATATTTCCTAATTTAAATTGTGTTAGAAACATTGCATCTACTTTGAGGAACAAATTCTGTAACAGAAGAGGGAAGACAGGTAGGCAAGAAGGCAGGAGATTTTTAGTTGTATACTAAGGTTTAGTTTTGGCACATTGAAAGTATCATGTTTTCCTATTAGATTTCTGAATTTGTGAACAAACATTAACAGTTGCTGTTCTTTAATATGACCTCATTCATACTATATTTGTGGGAAAATACAACTTTAGTTTTTTCTGTTTACTTATTTTTTTATTTTTCCACTATTGCTCAGTGAAGGTACTAACCAAATATTTTTTAGAAGAAAGAAACGACGTTTAAACCTAACACATTCTTCATGTATTTTTACTGTGGCAAGTAGTCATTCACAATGTGATATAATCATTACTCTTAGTAGTCATTCACCATGTGATAAAATCATTACACTTCCAAACAGCACTGCATTTTTTGCCTTCCCGGAATATTTTCCTTTCCTTAAATAGAACATCATTTCTCATTAGGATGGACTTATAGGATGCATTTGGGGGATAGTTGAGATCAAGATTTTATTTTCAATAATAATATTTTCAATATTTTCAATATTTCAATATTTTTCTTGTAGTAAGCAAGCTCTTTTTTAATATATGACATAGATCATAAAATACATTAAAAATGTTAGCATGCAAGTAGCAAAACCTAAATTACATTTTATATGGGTAACCATTTGGCTGACAGGATATTTGTTGTAAACATACTCTATGTAATATTTAATTGTGTCAAAAATATATTTATTTATTATGAGCCCTTTATTGTTTTAATGTTATGAACAAATACCCTCAAAATAAACAATTGTTACTAAAATTTTCATTGGAATTGTTTTGGTTGTTTTCTTAAAACTCAAAATAAATTAGCAGGAAATGCATAAAACTATGTGAATCAATTGATTCACAATGATTTCACCCATGAAAAAATAAATACCATGTAGAAATAAATAGCTTTGTAGTAAAATATAAAGGTTTTACCCTTTGTCAAATAAACAAATAGCATGACTTCAGTTTGCTTTATCCTTTCATGTGATCTAGTAAATGATTTTTTTAGCTGCCAGAAGGGTGTTCTTCAGAAGCATTGCCACTGTCATGGGTCCCACACCTCCTGGAACTGGAGTGATAAAGCCAGCTTTCTTTTTAACAGCTGATGAGGAAAAAAAACAAACAGATATTCTTTATTTTAAAATATCTGAGATTTTAATATTTTTAAACATGCTGAATATAGTGATTCTTCATTATATATACAAATCATTTTTAGAATCAAGTAGGCTGTAATAAACAGACACACACACACACACACACACACACGCTCACACTCACTTAGACGAATACTTCTGTGGATGATATCTAAGGTGGACAGAAAGACCAAAATGGACCGACACCTAGGTTCAAGCTCCATGCAGCTCAGTTTGTTTTACATAATGAAACCCATGATTGACCCAGTTACCTGTAATTCTAGTTAACTAATTCTAAAATACATGATACTGGTCACAAAAGGGACACAGGGACATAGAATATAGAAAGTTGAGCACATACCATTTATTAAATAGAATTATTCCTGTTATAACAATATCACAATGTATGTGTGGATAATACATTTCAATTCAAGTCTAGTAAGTATCACTAAATATACTTGAATTATGAACACATACATAGTCCTGTTCAGAGGTATGGGAACTTATTCAGTGAATACAGATGGTCCCCAGCTTGCAATGGTTTCACTTATAATTTTTTGATTTTTCAACTGTGTAAAAGCCATACAGATTCAGTGGGAACTATACTTCAAATTTTGAATTGTGACCTTTCTCCCAGCTAGTGATATGTGATACGATACTTCTCAAGATGCTGAGTAGTGGTAATAAGCCAAAGCTCCCAGTCAGCCATGAGATCACAAAGGTGAACAACCATGATCAACCAATACTCTACAATGTACTGCATTATGAGATTATTTGTCCAAATATAGGCTAATGTAAGTGTTCTGAGCATGTTTATGGTAGCCTAGACTAAGGTATGATCTTTGGTGTATTAAATGCATTTCTGACCTAATGATATTTTCAACTTAGGATTACCGGGATGTAACCCCATCATAAGTCATGGAGAATCTGTATACTTAAAGAAAATGGCAGATAACTCTCAGCAAGTTTTATTTAAGAATGTTTTCACACCCACAGTATGAAAGGTGAATGACTTACTGCATTCATTTACTTGATGGTATGGTGGTTTACTGTGTGAATAAGAGCAATGAAGTTTTTCCAAATAACTTTTAGTAAAAAGTTAGCATAGACAATATTTCTTTAATGCATAATCTGACATTATTAACCACATGCTATTTAGATGTATTGCCTTTTACAATTAGCTCATATAGACTTCTGCATGAATCAAAATAAATAGATGTTGTCTATATCTTTAGTATTATTTTTGCACAACTTATGTCGCCCTTTTGAAGGATGATTTGTGGGATTTACCTTTACTTTATTTGAAGTGAATAGTACATTGGAATAATTTTTTAAATCTGAGGAAAAGCAAAGGAATAACATTGTTTTACTTGAAGAAAGGTCCAGTAAGCTTAAATACATCACAAAATATATATAGTTAACATGTGTTATGAATTTTCTGATGGGATGCTATAAAGAAAATATAAGAATACTATGATTTGGAAGGTAATATTTCAGTTTTCCAAACAGCGTCTCTATACAGAAAGCACAACCTTTCCATTGCCACATTTCCATCTAATGCATTCTATTCTATAGAAACATTAGAATGGGTCAATAGCCATTCAATAAACAGCTATGAATTTTTAGTCCTTTCTTCCTTTGCTCTAACTGTTCCTTCTACCTGGATCATTATTCCATCTTATCCAAACAAGAAACTCATTATTTCCTGAAAGCCAATGAAATGTCACCTGTCTACAATTTTTCTGAAAAACTCATTCCTCCAGTGTTGAATTGAAAGCCCCACCATCTATATTTCCAATAATTTTATACCTACCTCCATTATGGAACTTAAGACACTGTGCACTGTCTGTTCCCTTAACTAGACATCAGCATCTAGAAGGCAGAAGCCAAGTCATTGTGGTGGTTGTTTTTAATCTTAGAATATCTCCATACACAGGTTAGGCACTAAGCAGATTTTGAGAAAGTGAACTTAAATTGCCCTTACTTAAAATCTAAAATCAATTTGCAGAAATGTGTCAGTGCTTTTCACTGGATGTAAACAATATCAATTTAGTTTAAGCTAATTTACTGAAAAACTTGAGCTACTCATTTTGCTTTAGGGTGATAAACTGCATTTTCCACTTTTCAATAAGCTGACTTAATGGCCTGAGAAATGCCTTCCAGGACCTTTTCTCAAGCACTGGAGAAGCAATGCGTTTAAAACTTGGCAGGTCTTTAGAAGTAACATTTATGCTACTGCTACTGCTACTGCTACTGCTACTGCTGCTGCTGCTGCTGCTACTACTACTTACAGTACTACTACTATTTACACTACTACTACCATTTATACTAATAGAACACAAAGTCATATATTTGTAAAGCACTAACTTTGAAATATTAATATATAAAAATAAAATTCTGCTAAATAATATGGGAAAGTAAAAATCAAGTGCAAATTGAATCTTCAATGGAAAACAAAATGATTTATTTCAAAATTTAAAAGTGGCATACAATTTGTTATATCAGAAAACCTATTGTGGGTATAAAATTATTTTTATATAGTTTGGTTTCTAACTTTGAAAGGTAAAGCAGCTTTGATATTATTTGTCTATGAAAAAAATAGTAAAAACCATAGCTACTATCAATTGAGTACTTATTAATTACTTGCCAAGAATTATGCTGTTTTAATAATTAATATTTAATTATTTCATTTTAATAGATGAGGAAACTGTGGCTCAGTGAAGTTACAGTGACTTATCACTCTCCTATATGTACAGACATTATTCACAGCCAGGTTTGAAATGCTCTATAATCCCATAATTTCACCCCATTCCAATGCAACTGTATTATCATGACCTAAACGAGTAGAAAAGTCCAAAGAATGGCTCAAGTGCCAAAAATTAACTCAGTTTTCTCAAAGTGTTAGCAGGATATTCTGGAAAAAAGAAATGAAGAGGAAAAGATTCTAATATATTAATTTTCCAACATTTTGACTATAAGTTCTCATAGCTCATCATCTCTGAACTACATATTACACTTCAAATTACACAGCTGGCTTAGCAGTCTGAGTTGCTTTATTCCTGGTGTCAGATCAGATAAACCACTGGTATGCTCAGGTATCATTATCTTCCTCTTCCAAATTATGTTTTTCAGACAACATGCTTACTATTGCATTCTTTTGCTCAAAAAGTGAGGTTTGGGTGGAGGAGGAGGGAATGGGAATGAGATACTACATGAAATAATATCCGCCGGAAATTTTTTAGCTCAGTGTCTGCATTTTTGCATACTTCGCTGGTGGAAACCAACACATATTCACCCTGTCCTGCCTATCAGTTTTCATAGAATCAGGCTATGTAAGGGGTAATAGGTCTTCACCTGATCTGGGCTAGGGCTTCTCTGAACATTAATAAACATTTAGTAGCATCAATAGAGATCTGAAAATTATTCACGAGGCAGAAGATTATAATATCATTGTAAACACACCTGGTTATTAAAATACTTGCTTAAATCTTTTTTGTTTTTGAAATAAAGTATATGGATATGAAGATAAACCCTGTATATGGTCATGAGAGACAGAGTGATTAATTTGACTTTGGAAAACACATATTAGGTTTCTATTCCTTTTGATTTGATTTTCATGAGTATCTGTGTCTGAGAAGGAAATAATAAGCTTATCTGCTGCTGGCTAGTGTTAATATATTCTTTGCCCATTTACGTAAGGATCAGGATACAGAAGTAAGTGATCTCTCAAGAAAGGTGGGGAGCTATTGGCAAGTGCCAGTGGATACAGATGTCAATGCTTAACAAAAATTCTCTACTCTAATGATTTTGCATAACTATTTCAGGGCGATCTTAAGCAACACATTTATGAAATACTGCAGGTGGCTTATGTGCTAAAATTAGTCATGTGAGAAAGAGTTAAATTCTATTCATGTTTGATGTTCTGAAAAGCATCTTCCCCAATCATGCCTGAAAGAGAGCAAGGTAACAAGCATTACATCACCAGAATAACCTCTCATTGGCTAGTCTTTCCCTGAGGGCAGACAAAGGTTTGCACTTGGCTGAAGATGATGCTTTTAAATATTAATCCTATTATGTGTAGGGAAAAGGTGTTCTACATGCTCCATTAAAGAGAAATACAGAAGCATTATATGATAGTAATTTCCTTCAGCGACTTAATTTACTGTGGGTGTAGGTGTGAGGGCATATTTGTGTCTGTTTAAGGGAATACCAGAAGTTTGGTATATATGGGAATGAGGTATGAGATCTTGATTGATATCAGCCCTTTCATATGAGATTAATGAAGACACATGGCAAAACCAGGGTTAGATTCAATTTCACAAAGTCAACATGATTTTAGACCTACTGAAACTATTTGACAATTGAGACAAATAAACAATCACCAAATCTTATTGTCCGCATTAAACTTGCTCTGGAGAATGAGACTTAGATGAAGATGACATGGAAATGTTTAAAGTAAGTTCCTGAAAATAAGAATGTTTTGAGGAAAGTTAATAATTATCATAATAATTTATTTGGATGACCTCTCTGCAAACTTTAGACTCTGCAAAGTAATTCCATATATTTCCTTGAAAGTGCTATAGCTTTGCCAGCATAATTAAGAATGTTAGGGTGTGTGTTCAGTTGTACAAAAATAAAAGAGATTTAAAAACAGTCATTTTGGATGTAAGATTTGCCTTTGTACATACTATTCTCTTTGTCTAACGTGCCCTTCTCTCACTTCTCCAGCTGATGAATATTTATTCTTCCTTCTCAGGTCCAGCATAAATGTCACTTTCTTTGTGGAGCCTGTTAACTCCCCAGGCTAAGTTAACTGTTCATTCATTCATCAGTGAGACTTAGTAGAGTGACTTTCAATTTGCATTCATAGAGCATAGTGGAATCTCTTGTGAGATTAAGTCATACTGCATATGCCTCCTCCTATCCCAATATTGCACATTGTCAATACGCACCACTGAGAACTAATGTTTGAAGTGAGAGATATTTCTAACGGTGGGAAAGGAATGTTATACATATAAACGGAATGGAGAAAATTTAAAATCTGGTTGGAATTCACTGCTGTAGTATGGCTACTTTACACGATGGCCTCAGGTTCCCAGGCAAGTACCAGGCAAACCCCAATGTGCAAACGGTTTTCACACTTCTGCTTACATAAGAGTTGCTAATGTGCCATTGACCAAAGGAAGGCACACGATCAAGTTGAAATTCAAAGACTTGGAGTAACAAGAGTGGCCAAGTCACCCTGCAAAGGGGATGTACACATGGGGACAAAATAAATGTGTGGCCATTTTTTATAATCTACTACAGTAGCCTCTTGGCTCCCAGTCCACCATGTCAGCCATATAATTTGCTGCCAGAGTTATTCTTTAAAACACAGATTTGATTATCTCAGCTTATAAACATTTGATGGATCTTCATTGTCTCTAGGATAAAATATAAATTCTTTGTTATGGCAATCAAGGTCTTTTATCTTCTGGCCCAACATCTTTATTTTGCATCATGTTCTAGCCCTATATTCAATTAGTCACTGTTCCCACACATGCCATAAACTGGACCAGATAGATTCGTAACAATTATTCCTTGAGCAAGACAGACATAGATACTGCCTCATGGAGCTTTTAGTCTAGTTGGGAAGATGGACATTAAAAAGGCAATTGCCTAAATAATAATTGAGCCACGGCAGTGATATGTGCTACACATGAAATTTGTGCTGCACTGTGAAGGTGTCAAGAGGATCTGGGCCTGAACAGCACTGTGTATTAATGTGGCATATCCATGCCGAGTTTTTCCATGTGGAATAGAGAGGTGTAGAATAGACAGTGTAGGGGAGACAATGTGATAAAGGTGGCAAGAAGCTTCCCTCAGGTAGAAAGCAGCCTGAACTCTTGGAAACACTGTAAGAAGGCCAGTATGGCTGAGATGCAGGAGTAAAGACAGAGTTGAAGGAGGTGACATGGAAGAGGTAGGCAGTGTCTGGTTATGTAGAGGCTCATAGAAAATATCAAGTATTTTGTATATTAATTTAAAAGAAATGATTAAAGTATTTTTAACATTTGGGAAAACATTTCAGGCAGCATAAAATCAAATGAAGAAACTGTTCTGTGTTTGCACATTTCTCTAATGAAGTGAGTTTAATATCTGGGGTGAAAGGAAAGGAAATAAACACAAAAATTACAAAGTAAATTGAGATTCACTAAGGTGGGAATGAATTCAGGCACTTATGGGAGTACCTCAAGAGAAAACATAAATCCGATATGGGGATCAGAGAAAGATTTGTAAAGCTGCAGAAAAGCTGCAAGATTGATGGACACCTGAGCAGGGAAGAAAGGGAAAGAGAAAGCAATGCAGACACAGGGAAGAGTAAAAGCAAAGGTGGGTTGGATCTGACAATAAATTTAATATAATGGAGGAGGTGAAATGACTTCATTATGACCAAAGCACATGATGAAAACAGCGAGAAGAAAGAGAGGAGGCCGGGGAGGTGATCATGGGCTATATGGGGTCAAGAAACTGAGGTTGGGTGATGGTAGCTGTAGTTACTGTGTTCAGGGTGAATAAGCTTTTAAAAGAGTCTTTCATGAATAAACTTGGCTATTTACATATTTAGGAGTGATCATTTTTGTAATATGAAAAACTTGTGAGAAAAATGTATACTACTAAATAATTTTAGAAGAAAGTAGTGAAGGAGAAATTCATCTTGCATTTTCATGAAGTTTCAGGCTATTGCATCCCAGTAAATCATTACTCAAGAAATTCTTTTTCAGCCTGCCATGCATGTCTAATCTTCCGTGTTCTCTCTTCTCCCCTATGTGGCTGATGACTTTCCCCCCTATGTTATTGGCTTCAGATTTCTAAAAGGAAGAACTAAAACTTGGCTTGGCATCATTTACTTGATTCTAACTTGAAGACAACCATCTTTCAATGTCAGTATAAGAACAATAGGTACAGTGCAGAGGTTCTTTCATATTTAAAATTTGAGGTGATGATAGAGATGATGGAAGAAACTAATCATCCAGTTTATATGGACGCCTCCAAAAAAATCCAAGGGTGGCATAGATGACAGGGTGCATAAATTGTACTCATGAAGGATACCAATAGCAACATAAAGGACACTAAAATGCCCTTTAAAAACTTAAGTAAGAATAAAACAGAAAGTACGTGGTCATGAATCTTCTGGCACCATCAATCCATCCTTCATGACAGGGTGTCTCCAGCTGGTGTGTTCTGTCATTGCTTCATTTGGAAACTTTATGTTCCCAGGTTCCCAGGGCCAAGAATTGAACAATTCAGATTCTTATTTAAGATACTTTGTTGGAATACTCTCTAATTCCTTGGCAAATAGTAAATTTCTACTTCAGTACATTATATATACTCCAAAGGTCCCAAATAATGGCATTTCCAGATGTATCTAAGCAGAATTAATTTTGCTAGTATATTTTGGAAATTGTATATTCTGGCAAAGTTAAAGAATATATTTGTTCTCTATAAATTTATTTTTGGAGTGGAGAAAGAAGAACTGATGTCTCACGTTCCTATAGTATTGTGTTGTCTTTCTATTTTGTCTGTTTCACTGTCTCTTTTAAAGAAGTACTCTATGGCCCATGTCAGTTCTCCACAATGCTATAATTATTTTTTAAAGTCAACTCCCTCCCCCAAAAAGAAGAAGGATGATTCCTTATCTGTGGCAAGGCAGCAGAACAAAAATTTCTTGCTTCTCTCATGTGAATTTCATCCTCCTGGTATACATATGTAATTGTCTAAATTAAATGCTTGAAGTATTTTCCCATGCTTCTAAATGCAAGCCACTTAAGCGTGGCCTCTCAAACATCCACTCTAATGAAGGGGAGACAAGCTTCAGGAAAATGAAGTACAGGAATAACAACCAGAAAAACCTGAATGACATAGGACTGTAGAAATAGTATGACTCAGGAGATAATACAGAAAACACTCCACTTTCTCATATGGTTGATAGAAAAATGACACTTAAGAGCATGGTGAACCAGGGAGCAGAGGGCTCCTTAACAAGTTAGTAGCTTGCCATTGAACTTGGAAGGCAACCAGGAATCAAGTGCTCCGGAGGGAATTTACTATATTTCTTCTTACATTCATCTGGTTGCTGAATCTTGAGGTTTCCACAAGTTTTCTAAATATATTGAGATGTTCATTATCGTGGCATCCTGTGGTCAGTAATGAAATAGAGAGGATTATTGTCCTAATGTGGTAGAAATGTATTTACTTTGCAATTTGTATTTGTAGGGTGGCTAAGTTTTATTTTCCTTTACATTAAATTAAATCTGTATATATCTGGTCATCTGTATTATAGATGTAAACCATCATTCTCAGCAAACTAACACAAGAACAGAAAACCAAACACTGCATGCTCTCACTTATAAGTGGGAGTTGAACAATGAGAACACATGGACACAGGGAGGGGAACATCACACACTGGGGCCTGTCGGGGGTGGAGGGCAAGGGAAGGAATAGCATTAGGAGAAATACTTAATGTAGACAATGGGTTGATGGGTGCAGCCAACCACCATGACACTTGTATACCTATGTAACAAACCTGGACGTTCTGCACATGTACCCTAGAGCTTAAAGTATAATAATTTAAAAACCTATTCAAAAAACCATAAAAAACAAAATAAATACCACTCATACCACTTAGAAAAAAATACCACTCATACCACTTAGAAGACAATTAGTGGAACCAAATAGCATGTCAGTCACCTGGAGAAAGTTTGAGATTGCTTTCTGAAACCTGCACATTGTGCACATGTACCCTAAAACTTAAAGTATAATAATAATAAAATAAAATAAAAAAGATATTTCTACTAAAAAAAAATTGCTTTCTGTGAACTCCAGCTATGACCTATCAGTGAAACCTTCTTTCTGACCATGGATGCTGTCAGCTGTCATTGCCAGATTCCATTTCAGTAGGCAGGAGTAACAATACTGCTATGATATTTCTGGTAGTTCTATTAAGAGCTGGGAAAATTACTAAAAATATCTCCCTTTCATCATGTCTTTAAAAATACAAGATCATCATACACTCTTGTCATTGTCTCCAATCCTTTCCCTCCCCCACCCAATCCCTTTTGCCTGAAGTCACTGAATATTTGTATCAGAGTGGCAAATCTGTAAACTAGATAAAGCTTTCTGGAGTACTCTCCAAATCTCTTGGCAGGGCCTTAATCTCTGTAGTCTGAGATAGGAGCAGATAAAATCTCCCTTCCATAGGTATTTGTGTTTTAATATGGATCACTGAGAAACAACTATAAAAAAAAACTCATCACAGTTCAAGCAAAGAAAAACTTGCAGAAGCATTAGTCACTTCTCTTGTTCCTGTGAATGTATTTTTTGTTTCAACTTTAACTCTGCTCTATAAAGGTAGATGATCCAATGTCAAAGACATCTACTAAATAGAAGTCTCTAGAAGTTGATTTGATTTCAAAGGCCTAGACTTCACAGTAACCATTCTGTCCATGTTGTAAGCCACAATGGAGGCAGTTGACTTACTAATGATAGGAATCTCATAGTGACCATCAGTGGTTCTACCTGTTTCGTGAAATGCTCAGTGTGGGTTCTGTGATCACAGCGTTAATAACAGTCTCACAGAGGGGCTTTTATAATGTTCATCAACTTTTCTAAAGGATTGGAACAAGTTACCTCTGGGTTAAAGTATAAGATCTTCTCTTATAGTAAAAGCTGGAGCTTTGAACTACTTTATAATTATCTAATGCAAAATGTAGATATTTTGAGTCAGACTGATTAGCCATATCATCAAATTAAATGATTGACACTGAAAACTGAAGTGGTTGGGAGTCACTTTAATTTGATTCTTTGTAATCACAGATTAATAATAGTTTTGTAAAAATGATACAGTTAAAAACCATCCCTGTTTACTTAGAAACTGATTATATACACTTACTTTCCCATGTTGTAGAACACACACTTGGGAGTAAGCAGTGCCAAACTACTTTCCAAATAAGCTTACTTTGCATAATCTGGAAAACATAAATTCCAGGCACTTTATTTATCATGTGCACAGATATACCCAGGACCTCAAATAGTGCCTAGTATGAAGCAGCACTCACAAAATATGTGCTGAGTAAATAAACGAAGAATCAATGGATGTATCATTAATGAATATGTGTTGTTGAATTAATGACATAGTTGCTATTACTCTGCATGAAAGCTTTTGTTCCCATTAAGTTAACTTGAGGGGAGTATTTCTGTAATGTAAGAATGATACCACTGGTTTTTAAATACAGAGAATGTTCATACAAATAAACAGTGGTCTGAATAAGAAGGCTGAAATTTGGTGTGGGACAGAGATATAAAAGAAATGGGCCAGGCACGAAGGCTCATGCCTGTAATCCCAGCACTTTGGGAGGCCGAGCTGGGCAAATCACGAGGTCAGGAGATCAAGACCATCCTGGTCAACATGGTGAAACCCTATCTCTACTAAAAATGCAAAAATTACCTGGGTGTGGCACGTGCGTCTGTAGTCCCAGCTACTCAGAAGGCTGAGGCAGGAGAATTGCTTGAACCCAGGAGGTGGAGGCTGCAGTGAGCCAAGATCGCACCACTGCACTCCAGCCTGGGCAACAGAGCAAGACTCCATCTCAAAAAAAAAAAAAAAAAAAAAAAAAAAAAAAAGAAAAGGAAAAATAAATGTAAGACAGGAAGCTAATCTTACAGAGGCATCCAATCTAGTTAGGAACAACTAAGTAAAAGTGCAACGCAGTATAGCATTAAGAGCAAAATGAGTAAGGCAAATTAAACCTGTAAGGAGAGTCAGGAGAAGATGGGAATAAGCATGAGTGCTTTAAAGTTGATTCATATGAGAGTTGGGCAAAGAGAACAGACTACACTGGAAGAGAGTTTAGGCCAGAAAAGTAATGAGGAGGATGGTGGTAACTGAAGCGTGAAGTTGTATACTTCTGGGTTAATACTTTCGTGGGAATGGAGAGAAAACGTGAGCAATGTACCCTCGCGCGTACACACACACACACACACACAGTCTTTCACCAGGCATTATGCTTGGCAATTCACCTACATTAACTAGCTTATGTAAGGTGATTATTTCATTTAATCTTCACAACAACTTTATAAGATGGAAATTATTATCACAATCTTTCAGATGATATAATTGAGTCTCAGAGTGGTGAAATGATTTACTTAAGATCATAATTGTTTTAAGCAGTAGAGTTGGGATTCAAACCCAAGTTAGCTTGACTCCAAAGCATAGTCTTTTATGAAAGGTTGGACATAATACAAAAAGAGCAGGGAGTGAAAGATGAATCCAAACTTTCAAATACAAAGCATTAAAAGAAAACATAGAAAGCTGCTTACAAAGCACTCCAGGGGTTTTCACCTCATCTCTAGTAGTTTCTTAGGATAATGATACTGAGCTTCTATGTAATTCCAAACCCTTTCCTGACCTTATGCTTGACTATTGGGTTGGAATTTTGAGGAATGGTTTCGCCAGATGGAGTCTCAAATTAAAAGGTCCCTTTATAGGGGAGATTTCCTGCCTGGTGGAGATTCTTTTGAAAAATTCAAAATAAGGCACCAGATATTTGGGGAAAATTCACAATTGTATACAATATCATACTTCCTTCTTTCAACAGCCCATGTTGGGTCTGCTATTGAGTGCATAAAACCTTTTGTAATGTTGCCTCCTTTCCTTTGATTCTTTGTTCCCTCTACCAGGAAAGAGCCCCTTCCTCTCTTTTGCCCATTATCTACCCTAAATACACATACTTGAGTAAAATTCATTGAACCTTTAAGATTCATCTCAAGAGGATTCCAGAACTGGCACCTCCACTCTTGCTTATTCCAAAATCCTTTGAGTCACACTTGATTGATTCTTCTCTTTCCCTCATATCTACTTGTTTAACCAATCATTCCAACTCTCCTTTAAAATTATATCTACCATCTAACCACCTCTTAACATCTTCACCCATTACAACCTGGTCCACGCCCCATCAGTTCTTACTTGGATAATTACAATAGCCTCTTAACAGGTATCCCTATTTACACCTTTACCTCTATACGGCCTATGTGTCATTCAGTAGCCAGAGTGACACTGTTAAAATACAAGTCAAATGTGATTTCTTTGCCCCACATCCTCCAATGGATTTCCACTGCGTTAGAGTATAATCCAAATATCCTTCCTTGGTCTATAAGATGGGATTGCTGCTACCTCTTTGACTTTATTCTCTATCACTCACTTCCTTACTTACTGTTTCAGTTACAATGGCCCCCTTGCAGCTCATAAAAACCGCCAGCCAGGCCCCCCTCAAGGTCTTGCATTTGCTGCTCCACTTGCCTGGAATGCTGCTCCCTCATCTGTCCACGACTCCCTTCTTCATTTATTCAGGTTAGCATAAGCCTTCCCTGACCACCTTTTCTAAGAAACTCCATGCCACCATTCTCTAGCCCTCTTATCTTGTTTTATTTTTGTATCACTAAGACACTGCCTTGTTATATAGATATGTATTTGTTTATTATCTGTCTCCTATAACCAAAATGGAAGCTACTGGTGAGTAAGTACTTTGTCTTTTTAGGTCACTGTTGTATCCCAAGTGACTATAAAAATGCCTGACACATAGCAGATGCTCAATAGCATTGAACAACTAAATGAATGAACCTAATTTGAAGAATCTGAAGGGCTACACTAAAAACAGTAATAATCAAGAGACTGAAAATAAGCCAGTGAAGATAGAGATATAAAAAATGAAAGTCACAAAAGGGACCTGACACAATTTTCAAAATTGTATAACATGGTCAAAAAGTATCAAATCTATATCAATGATTGAATAATAAACAGTTTAGTTAGAATTAAAGACATTTAGGTGAGGTTGTATTACCTGCACAAATGTTATTGCAAATCTGTGTATCTAAGATCCATGGAAAGCTCAGGGTAAGATCTGAGCCAAGATATGTCTTCAGTGACACTAGGATTTCACCAAAACCTCAGAAAAAAGTTAGTAAGTGGAGCATGCTTTGAAACCAATTAGAAAGCAATCAGACAATGACGAGATTGTCCCCTGAGGTTTTTCAGAACAAAATGAATTCTGGATAGGTAAGCTGAATGATATGTGGATGTTAGATAAATAAATATCTTTCTTTTCTACCCTAAGTAAGAGATTAGTCTTCAAGTTCTTATGTAAAGGGTAGATTATTATTTACCAAAGTGTAGCCTCCCATTCAGAGACTATGGATTCCACATCCCTTGTACTCCACACATGACTATATTCAGGTCAGTAGAAAGCTAGCAGATGTGATGCATGCACCTTCTAGTTCAATTTTATTAAAGATGGATTTTATTGTTCTGGGCTCTCTCTTTCACTTTTCCTTAGAAGAGAACATAAATGAGGAGGCAATTCAACTTCAACCATGTGGATAAGGACAACACTCAGGTGGAACGGTGTTATGGGATGAATTGTGTCCCCTCTAAATTCAGATGTTGAAGTCTTAACCCCAGTACCTCAGAATGACTGTTTCAGGAGACAAAGTCTTTAAAAATAAAATTAAGTTAAAATGAGGTTATTAGCATAGGGTCTAATCCAACCTTCTAAGAAGAGGAAATTTGGACATGGACACATACAGAGGTAAGACAATGAGAAGACACAGGGAGAAAATGGCCATCTACCTGGCAAGGTTGACTCAGCAGAAACATCCTTATCAATCCCCTGATCCTGGACTTCCAGCCTCCAGAATTGTAAGAAGTAAATTTCTGTTTAAACCATTCTGTCTGTGGTACTTTGTTATGGCATTTCTGGAAAACTAATATAAACAGTGGGATAGGAGAAAACAGTATCCCTGAATGAAGCATAGCTGCCTAACTCCATTGACTGTCTCCCTAATTCCAGACTTTTATGGGAAAGAGCCAAATTATCTTATTTTTTGAGACAGAGTCTCACTGTGTCGCCTAGGCTAGAGTGCAGTGGCACGATCTCGGCTCACTGCAACCTCTGCCTCCCAGGTTCAAGCAATTCTCCTTCATCAGCCTCCTGAGTAGCTGGGATTACAGGAGTGCACCACCACACCTAGCGAATTTTTGTATTTTTAGTAGAGACGGGGTTTCACCACATTGGCCAGACTGGTCCTGAACTCCTGACCTCAAGTGATCCACACTCCTCGGTCTCCCAACATGCTGGGATTACAGGTGTGAGCCACCATGCCTGGCTAGCCAAATTATCTTGAGTCATTGCATTTTGGTTCCCCTTTGTTATAGTCCTTCACCTATACTCAAGTATAATACTTAAAAGGAAAAAATGGAAACAACCTAAGAGTTTCACAATAGAAAAAGGATGAACCAAATAATGATACATGCACTGAACATAACCACAAACCAGAATTTCAGCATGGCAAATCAGTAAAACAAGTTTAAGTGCATAAGTCACATATATTCCTCAAACTATATAGTTGATGCATACATAAAATATCTGGAAGCAACTCTAGTACAAAATACAATGATAATGTCAGTTGCGCTAGAGGAGTAGACATTCTTTTCCATAAAGTGTGACTTCTTTATTTTTTGTAATTTAAACCAGTTTCATCAACAATATAATGTACCTTTACATTAGACTTATCACCTTTACAAAGACTTACCACTTTAAATTTTACTATCCAATTATGTTAAGACAGTAGAGAGAGGAAAGTCACTCTTAAACATTAACCTCATTTATTTTTACTTTAACAAAAATGCCTACACATCATTTCTCTTTCCTGTCTCTTTCATTTCTTTACAACACCAATTCTTTCCTGTCTGTTTCATTCCTTGTTTTAGTATAAACCAATAAGTGGAAAGGCATTGTCAGAGTTGGAATACAGGGAGGAGAGATGGCAGGCAACAGGGAATAGACACTCCAGTTCTTATTCCACCTCAATCCCTGCAGGAAGCATCATAAAATTGAAGCAAAGCTACTAAAGCTTCAAAAGGGTAGAGAAATGTCTTTGCGTTAGCTATGAGAAGTAAATGAGGCCCAAGAATTCACCCATAAGAGCATGGTTAATTGAATTAACAGCATGGAAGTCATTAATTAGACTGTTTAGCTGATCAAATCCATTTGATGAATTAAGAACGGTATAATTAAGAGTTTTTGAGTCTAGGACTACATACTGTTTTCCAATGTGTTATTTACAAGAAGCTATTTACTACTCATGGCACATAATCTCATTTCTATCTTTTGAGAATAAAGCCTTCTTTGTCAGAAATGTATGAAGTTTCTTTCTAAGCTACAATAGAAAATGGTTTAAAAAAATTGCCTGTGAAAGTAGGTATACCTAAGTGTAAAAAAGTAATAATCTATATAGCAAACATAAACTTATAAATGAATAATTATTTGCTGCATGATTATTAGTAATGAAAAATAATTCTTAGACATGCAAAATAATGTTATCACAGATGGTTTTAAATACTGTTTCTTCTTTTAATGACATAAGTTAGGAGGGAGGAAGTATGTTCAAGTAATAGAAGAGGAATGTTAAGCATTTGTCAGAAGCTGGACATATTGATGAACTGTCAAGTTCTGTAACTGGAAATCAATACAAAACAAAATAGCACTTCAATTTAGTAATAACTTTAAGGTCCTATTTATTTCCCAAAACATCCAGAGAGGCATGGCATTGCAGGAAAGGCCTAACTTCAATGTATGTTGAGGAAAAGAACATAATGGTTGGCAAGGTGCTTAGCAAACATTACCTTCCACAGTGAACAACCTACCTAGACAGTAATAGTAACAGTGAGAAACTGTAACCAAACAACTGAATAATCATGTAGAAGTGATTATGGCATTGGATATGAATTTGAACTATATGATCACTAATTTCATGAGATTTAATTAGACACAGAGAAAAATACAAGCAGTGCTCAGTTTTCACAGTAGTGTAAGACCACAAAGATGACTGTTGAAACAGTGCAAAGCAATTTTAGTAGTCAATGGGAGAAATTATATTTGTTTAGTGACCTTTAAAAATTTTTTGTCAAAACATTAAAAGTTCTCTTACTGTGGTCTATAAATGTATAGGGGATTAAAAATAGTAGTAAAATTAATATTACTGATAATAGTAAAACAAATATTACTATTTACTAGTAGTAAAATTAATAGTAAAACTACTACTAACTACTAGCAAAATTAAACTAATATTTAAAAAAACGAATGCAATTTAAAATTTTGGAAACATTGAGAACTGAAGTGTTTTATTTCTCTGTAAACATTTTGCAAAGAATAGTTTGAATGGTGCTTGCCTTCTTTTGGTCATACAACTGATGATTAGGAGCAAACATCTTTTTTTAAGTCTTTTTTTAAATTATACTTTAAGTTTTAGGGTACATGTGCTCAACGTGCAGTCTTGTTACATATGTATACATGTGCCATGTGGGTGTGCTGCACCCATTAACTCGTCATTTACAGTAGGTATATCTCGTAATGCTATCCCTCCCCCATCCCCCTCACCCCACAACAGGCCCCGGTGTGTGATGTTTCCCTTCCTGTGTCCAAGTGTTCTCATTGTTCAGTTCCCACCTATGAATGAGAACATGCAGTGTTTGGTTTTTTGTCCTTGCGATAGTTTGCTGAGAATGATGGTTTCCAGATTCATCCATGTCCCTACAAAGGACATGAAGTCATCCTTTTTTATGGCTGCATAGTATTCAATGGTGTATATGTGCCACATTTTCTTAATCCAGTCTAACATTGATGGACATTTGGGTTGGTTCCAAGTCTTTGCTATTGTGAATAGTACTGAAATAAACATACGTGTGCATGTGTCTTTATAGCAGCATGATTTATAGTCCTTTGGGTATATACCCAGCAATGGCATGGCTGGGTCAATTGGTATTTCTAGTTCTAGATCCCTGAGGAATCGCCACACTGACTTCCACAATGGTTGAACTAGTTTACAGTCCCACCGTGTAAAAGTGTTCCTATTTCTCCATATCCTCTCCAGCACCTGTTGTTTCCTGATTTTTAGAGCTTCTGCACAGCAAAAGAAACTCCCATCAGAGTGAACAGGCAATGTACAGAATGGGAGAAAATTTTTGCATCTACTTATATGATAAAGGGCTAATATCCAGAATCTACAAAGAACTCAAACAAATTTACAAGAAAAAAAAAAACAAACAACCCCATCAACAAGTGGGCGAAGGATATTAACGGACACTTCTCAAAAGAAGACATTTATGCAGCCAAAAGACACATGAATAAATGCTCATCATCACTGGCCATCAGAGAAATGCAAATCAAAACCACAATGAGATACCATCTCACACCAGTTAGAAGGAGCAAGCATCTTTTCTATGCCTTGGTGAACTGGCAGATTCCTTTCTAAGTATGAATCAGCTTCCAACATTTTATCCTTTGCCCTTTCAATGGCATGAAATATCACTGCAGATTCCTTTAATGTGAAGTTTTTTACATCCTCTGGGACATTGTCATCCTTTCTGTCACAGCCATTTTGTTTATTTATGTGGATAAATCATTCCCATCAATGTTACCTACTTTTAACGGGGTCATCCAGTTTTCTTTACTAATGAAACAAAGATTTCTGCAAGGACGATTTACTTCAACGATTGATTTTATCTACATCTGTTTTGTTTATCTTGGCTATAGTTATAGTGAAACTTTTCACCGATACTCACAAAGCAGCCACCACACTTTCCCTGTGGCAATTTGAAGCCAAATGTTACTTATGAGTTTTGTGGCATAACCCATCTTAAAATTCCTCCCTCTCAGTTGGGGGATCATCCTTCACCTCAGGTTAAGTCCTGATGAACAACTTGAAGAGCAACATGTCAAAACCTATCACTTGCCTGCTCCTGTGGGTGGCTGAGTCATGGCCTCACTGGCAAAGCCTTCTTTACCAAGTCCAGGTCCTCATTAGTACTCTTGCTCCATGAATCAGCAGGCTGGCAAGCTAGATACAACTAATCATATGGGTGTCTTTTATGAGAGGATTAGAAAAGCTCGACCTTCCAGGTGAAAGTTTCTGTGCTTTTACACGATCATTTGGTAATGCTCTGTTGGATGTCCAAGATATGCCAAACAGTAGAGCTGAATGGAGCCACTAATATAATTGCTATCATTTAACTGATATCACTGACAGCTAGTGAGGTGGCAAAACTATAGGGCAACAGGCTAGGTCTCCCAGCCCTGTTCATCTCATATCTTTGTCTCTTTTCCATCTCCTTTTAAAATTTTTATATATACTTAGATACACAGAACTACAATTTGATTTAATAATCATTAACAAGTTAGACTTCATGTGACATGAAGTGAGTATATGTGCTACTAAGCATATACACCCACCAAAAATGCTCATGTAAAAATTGCTTTCAGAATACTTTTTACTTTCAGTAAAAAACATTCTTACTTAAAAAAGAAGAAAGCATGGAAGTGACATGAGACCAAAAAAATACTCTATGAGAGAAGAGTCTTGTAAAATGTGCTGGACTGAACTGCTGGGTAAGCTTGCCTTACAGGCAGTCAAGGCTGTGAACTGCAAACATCCCTGCTTTTCTTGCCTCAAGCTGGTTATCTCATGTTGTCAGTGCCATCTGGGTGCATCACAAATGTGGTAATTTTGCAATGAATGCATAACTATAATGTTATCAAGAAACAGAATGACAGTAAAGAAAATAAATAAGCCAGGTTTTAAAATAAAATGCACTTTACTCTTTCAAGTTGAGAAATTCAAATAAGTTACTCATATCTGGCCTAAGTGATTGAACATGGAAGATTAAATAAATAAATGAGGTCATTCCCTAGTGATTTCAGCATGTACACAACACACACACAGACATATGTATATACGTACAGATAGACATGTTCATGTCAAGAGCCAGCCTTGCTAGAATAGAGTTCCAACCATGTCAGAGACCCTGTGTATTAGAGCCAATGAGGGCAGCAGTGTTTTCTTTGGTACGGTACATCTGTACTTTGCTCTTATTTACACCATTTTGTCTCTAGAACGCATTGTTGCACATATGTGTCCTTACAGTTTTCTTTTTCTTTTAGGCTCAAATGGCTTACTTGGATCTGGTCCCTGATGTATCTTAGAATCTCACATATATAGGGCCAGTACCCTAGGACACTTCTAACTATCTGCATTTTCTATTTTATTCAACAATATGCTAGAACTTGGGTAAACCATCACCTGATGACCAGGTTCTAAGTGAAAAAACAAAATCTAAATTATTTTTAAAATGGCATCACCTATTCTTTTCAGTTTCTCTGTAAGAAGGACACACCTATAACTAACAAAGTTCTTGATGTGGCACTGTATTTTTTGGCCAGAATAATCACTCTTATACAAAAAATATTTCTAACATAAAAATGTCACCACTTAACTTTACTATATTCATGCCTTCATAGACATCTAAGACTCCTAGGCACACTGAAAATCTGAATGCAGGTAAATATATGACAAAGATAACGGAAGTAAAATCAGATTAGAGGGTCAGGCATCTAGAAGTACTGGGGCCCAGTTTCCCCTATTGTAAAGAGAAGACTGGGTTAGAATTTTTTTTTTACTACTACATATTTGTTGCCTTGTATCTTTCATCGACCACAAAAACTTTAGCTTAGTTCCTTTTCTTTATTCTCTCTAAAACACAAGTGAAAAACACTGACTTCAACTATCTAGATAACTACCTAGATCTGAAATGTAGTTAGGGTTGGCAGACACACCCTAAGGTGCCTTCTGGCTCTAAGAGTGAATGGCTGAGCATAGAGCATATTTGACTAAGCGTAGAGTAAGATGTCAACTCCCAAAATTCAAAACTATGCCCAGGTCTATAAAAGGCCAGCTGTATTCTATCAATAAAAACTGTACTATAAGAAATTTGATCCCTAAACCAAATATTAATGATACAATTAGAAGAGAGGGAGAAAAGGAAGAAAGGAAGGATGAAAGGGAGGGAAAGAGAGAGGAAGGGAGAAAGTAAATATTTAAGTCTGATTAAAATCTTTTCCCTCAGAAGAAAGAGGTGATGATTAATAAGTTAATAATTCCTCCATAAATGAAACTTCTCTATTTTTAAAATACGTAAGGTGGAATTTTTTTATCTTCTTCACCTATCAAAAGATATTGGTTTATTACCTTCGAAGTCCACATCTCCAACTAATTTTGTCTTTCCTGTCACTGGATCGTGGACATAGTTGATACCCACATCAATTACAGCAGCACCTTCTTTAACCATATCAGACGTAATCAACTTTGGAATACCTGAAAACAAAAAGAGTTGTTTGTCCTTCAGCATAACAAAGGTGTACATATCTGTTTTGGTAGGCTTTAAAAATACACACACACACACACACACACACACGTATGTGTAATACATTGTTCCTTAAAAAACAGGCCATTGATGATTTCTGATCCGAGAGAATAACAAAGATGATTAAGGCAGCACATCAGGACTTCTGAGGATGAAATCCTGCAGGAGCTAGCCTCTCACTTCAGAGATGGCTCACCTGACATCACAGGGATACCTGCTTGAGCAGCATCCTTTTGTATGTCACATACTATGAATGGCATGGGGAGACTGCGGACATGAGACAGGCTCCTGCTGAGGTGTGGTGGAGTGGAGCACAGTGAAAGCAACTTGGAAATCGGAAGGAGGGAAAGAAAAAAGGGAGGAAGGGAGGGAGGAAGGGAGAGAGATAGAAAGGAAGGGAGGGGGAAAGAAAGAATGAAGATAATAATAATTCATATTCCCCAGGGTTGTCATAAACAGTAAAGTGCCATACTCATAATGGCATCTCATCAACTCCAAATGTGCAGTGCTAAGTGCTACCTTGAGCTTTCTTTTTATTTTTTCTTGGTTTCTTTGAATCACGATGTCCGTATATGATTCTGAAAGGTGTCATGTATAGTAAGCTCTCCTCACTATTGGTCTTATGCAACATTATACAGAGATCTTATGCAACCATCTATTTCCTGCAATTATTTTCAAATTTTGTTTCAAATACAACAGTACCAGCTAACAATGGTTAATGTTCCAGTTTTTTAAAAAAAAAAAACATTGAACAATCCAATCACAAATTTAATAGATTAAAGCAACAATTTATTATTATGTCTTATGGTTCTGTGGGTTGACTGAGTTCATCTGGATGCATCTGGCTTAGGATCTTTCATGTAATTGGAGTCAGATAGTGTCTGAAGCTAGAGTCATCTAAAGACATGACCAGGCTAAAAGGACTCACTCACATGGTTGCAGTGGATGCTTGTGATTGGCTGGGAGCATAGCTAAGGCTGTCAACTGGAACACATATGCATGAACTCTTCATGGGGCTTGGTTTCTCACAGCTTGGCAGCTGGCTTCCAAGAGTGAGTGTTCCAGGAGACAAGAAGTATTAGTTACCAGCCTCTTAATGCTTGGACTGGGAAACCAGCATAATGTCACTTCTGTCATATACTATTGGTCAAGAAGTAACACAGTCCACTCAGATCACGAGGAGGAACAGAGACTCCACTTCTCAATGGGAGGAGAATCAAAGACTCTGTGATCATCTTTATTATTCTATCACAATGCTTCTAGTGGACATGGTGTCGGTAGGTGATGTTCTCACATTCGTATTCTAGATCTCTTGCAGGAAAAGCCTATCCACTGCATTGTTAGAGACATTCTAGCACCTGTACTATCCATTTAAGCATTACGGGTGGCTTAAATGTCACCTTGTAACATGATTTTTACTGCTAGCAAGAGTTTAAAGGCTATAAACAAATGGTCAGTGTCAACATAGATATAGCTGTAGGATAGCTTCCTTAGTCTCATAATGATGTAACAGAAGAGTCACCAATGTTTGAGATATATTTTTCCCTTGCTTTCCTATCCTGTGATATAGAACTTATCTTTTTTATTGGTTCTGACATAGGTACTATGCATTGCTCCAGATAGTCATAAAATCCTGTTTCTTCTTGGCATCCAATAGAAAAAGAAGACATACATTGAGTATAGCTGCAGAAAAAAGTTCAAGATAAAAATATTCATAAAATAGTTATTACAGTCCAGCTACTATGCTAATGGCAAAGATCCCAATCTCCCTCTGATTATTATAACATCTCAGAGAATATTAAATGGCAATGAACAAATGGCAAAATTTTCAAAATAGAGGAAAGTGTGAGCTTGATTTTAATTCCCAGGAAAATTACAAAATGGAAAAAAACTTTAAATATTTGTCTGTTTTGGATAATGACGCTTTATATATCCACTGTAGAAAATTTGGAAAATATATAAAAATTTAACATGAAAATAAAAATCACTGTTATCTTACTATCCAAAGAAAATAAGTATTAGTATTTTTAGTGTATTTCTTTCTCGGATTTCAAAATATTTATATATTAAATATAAAATATGAAACCTGTATTTCCTTAATGTTGTGTCTCACTATGTATCTTACCACTCTGTCATTAAATTAAAATGTGAGCATTTTCCCATTTCATTTGAAAATTAGGAGCCATATGAACTAATTAATTGTATGGATTACCATAAAAATGTATTCATTCCTGCAGTGTTTCTAATATTTTGCTATTATAAATAATACAGTGATGGTCATTTGTGTTCAGAAAACGATAGGTAATTTCTTAATTACAGCATCAAATTTTAGAAAACTTTTCACTGAACTGTTATGAATGGAAAAATGTAGGTTAGATGAAAGCATCTATTGGTAGAGTCATAGGTAGCTAAATAACATATTAGAAAACTGTCGACCAATGCATTTGTAAGGTCTATTGAGGTCTTCTGTGAAAAGCATTTGTCAATACCATGTTCAAATTTTTAATGAATAATTTGGAAGGACACATTGGCATTGTGATGGTTTTATCTTTGTTCTCCTCCAGATGCATTTTCACCTTTTTTCTGCTTTACTCTAGGCCAGCGGTGGGACTGATCCTTACAAAGGTCTTGTGTGCTTCTTATCTCTCTTGGAACCACGTCATGGCCATGAAAACAAGCTCAAGCTAGCCTACTGAAGGATACAAGAACCATAGAGGAAAGCTGAGTCACTTTAGCTGAGGCCATAATAGACTGATCAGCCCCCTGCCAACAACCAGTGATGGCAGATGCTTGATCGGGCCCCAGAAAGTTCATCAGAAATGAGTGAGTCAAGGTCACAATAACTGATCAGCTGAACCATGGACTCAGGAAAAATTTTTTTTAAAGGTAGTTGTTTGTTTTGTTTTTTAACATACCAGTAGCTACATAGCCCATATTGCAAATGACATCAAATTGGACAGAATGGTTACTGGGTTGTAATTTTGGAATGACGGATTCTAAGTATCAAGAAGAATCTGAATGGGAACAAATGTATAATTCTCATGAAGTGCTGTACTTGATTAAAAACTCAATACAAAACTAAGATGGTCTCCAGATACAAGGATGTAATATTTTCCAATATATTTTTAGCAAACTCTCTGGAATAGTTGGTTGTACTTCGGAGGCTGGTCTAGGGAAGAATGGTTAGAATCAGTCTAGAAATCATGTCAAATTCTTATCACTTGCTATCAAACTAGCTGGTTCAATTCCTTATTAGTGATCTGCAATAAGATAAAATCTTGTGCTACAACATAAAGCAACTATCTCAATAAACACAGTTTAATTCAGCTAACTTTATTTTTTTTTGTAGCAAGAATTTTTCAGTGAAATAAGTGGTGTGTTGATTTATAGTTTGGTGCAAGCTCCCTATCTTCTTGCAGACCTATAACATATGTGCAGAGGGTAAGAAATAGTCACAGACCATCACCAGTGCACTGACCACACAGTGAAACCCTCTGCACTAGAGGAATGGTTAAATGAACCTAGGCTACCTATCTCAGAAACAAACAAACAAACAAACAAACAAACAAATGCATACACCTAAAAACAAAACGAGAAAACCCCAATAACTATAGTAGTTTCTTCAATATGTTAAACTGCAAATCAGGAAGATTTTACTCTATATGGTTTTGGAGAGAAGAAAGGAAAAAACACAAAGGGAGGGAGTATCTTTTAGCTCAGTATAAAGAATATTCTAAGGATAATATAATATACCACAAAGAGAAACTGTATATTGTCCTTATTCCTTATTAGCAATATTCAAAATAAAGAAGGGATTGAACTGGGAAGGTTAGTTGTAGGAGGACAAATCCCCAGATGACCTTGGCTGCCCCAGCTCTTTCCCCTGCCACTTAACAGTGACTTTCTCTTTATCCCATTGTAGTTCTAGAATGGGGCATCCTAGTAACTACAATGGGGCATCTTGAGATAAAGAGAAAGTGTTGGGTACAACCTAGGCTATGTCCTCCTCCCTCTTAGAACGGGATGTTCCTCAGTGCTTCAGCTCAGCAATTCAAGTGGTATCTAGGGTGTATTGAGTTCCCTCAGCTGTGTCACAATGGGGCAAGCACAGATAAGACTCCATTCGCCCTCAGCAGTTTCCTGAGCCTTGGGAAGCTGGCTCACCAAGGATTCTAGGCTTCTGTTTATTCTTGCTGCATATCTGTGAAAAAAAAAAAAAAATCTGCTTTGGCTGATTTGTGTGAGTGTTCTGTCTCACCATTCTTATGCAAGCAATAGAGGTACTGGGACCCATTTTGCTCCTCCATGCTGTCCTCATGGTGTTTGGACTGCAGAAGCATCTAGGTCTTCTCTAAGCTTCTGCCAGACTTACAAACTTCTGTATTAGTTATGCCTTTCAATTCTATGATTTAAACATTCTCCTTTGTCCTTTCAAATTAAAAAAAAAATCCTCTTTCTTTCCCCAAGTAATTCATTTCTGAAGTTGTGTTGACCTTTGACTCTATCATTCATTCTACTTAAGAAGATAATTATATAAATTATATTTAATGGTTGGAATTATGACAAACATACAAAATCTCTATTTTAGTTACGCTAAATACACTAAGTAGTCTACTTACACTGCTGTCTTGCAGAGGCAAATGATCGGAAGCATATAGTTGCTCAATCAGTGTATTTTTATAGATATTGGAAAGAAAGTTCTTAGACTTGATGTGTTTAATTCCCCAAGTATACAAATGCAATATAAATTCTTGTCATTGGATAAAACAGAATCAAAATCGATTTAAATATTAGATAAATAAAAGACATATACCATTAGGATGCACAGTCCGGATATTTTTCTTTTTGTTAGAGTTGAAAATGAATGATTTCAAGTGAATTATTCCTATGAGCTTTACTTTTTCTGTTGTTGCTATCATAATTCCATAGAACCAATCCTTAATTTTTATACATAATTTGAGGGCTCAAGCATTATATGTGAGAACCAAAACCATCTATGCTCACATAGCTTATATATTAAAAGCTGTAATATTAACATTATTTTATTATTCAGCTGTCCTCATCTACATAACTTTCTTACTCCAGGAAACTCTTGCTCAGAAAGATGAAAGATGAAAGTGATTTTGTCGCATGAACTTAAGAAAAACTCATTTAATGAATATCAAATCTTTTGATGTTTCAGTAGGTAGCATCAAACAGCTGATTCTGTAGAATGTTTTGAAACCCTTGCTTCAAAACCCTCTCTTTGTATCCACCAATCCTAAACTTTCATATTATAATCATCCAATTCTAAGCAAGCCTCCATAAGGCATGTTAAAAGACTTGCTTTGCAATACCACTCAGGACATAGGCATGGACAAAGACTTACAATGAAATCACCAAAAGCAATTGCAACAAAAGCTAAAAACGACAAATGGGATGTAAATAAACTAAAGTGCTTCTGCACAGCAAAAGAAACTATCATCAGAGTGAACAGGCAACATACAGAATAGGAGAAAATTTTTGCAATCTACCATATGACAAAGGTCTAATATCCAGAATTTACAAGGAATTTTAAAAAATTTACAAGAAAAGAACAAACAACCCCATCAAAAAGTGGGCAAAGGATATGAACAGGTGCTCCTCAAAAGAAGACATTTATGTGGCCAACATACACATAAAAAAAAAAAGCTCAACATCACTGATCATTAGAGAAACGCAAATCAAAAGCAGAATGAGATACCATCTCACACCAGGCAGAAAGGCAATTACTAAAAAGTCAAGAAGCAACATGCTGGTGAGGCAGTGGAGAAATAGGAACCCTTTTATATTATTAGTGGGAATATAAATTAGTTCAACCATTGTGGAAGACAGTGTGGTGATTCCTCAAGGATCTAGAATCAGAAATACCATTTGACCCAGCAATCCCATTACTGGGTATATATCCAAGGGATTATAAATCATTCTATCATAAAGACACATGCACACATATATTTATCGCAGCGCTATTTACAATAACAAAGACTTGGAACCAAACCAAATGCCCATCAATGATGGACTGGATAAAGAAAATGTGGTAAATATACACTGTGGAATACTATGCAGCCACAAAAGGGAACGAGATCATGTCCTTTGCAGGGACATGGATGAAGCTGGAAGCCATTATCCTCAGCAAACTAGCACAGGAACAGAAAACCAAACACCGCATGTTCTCATTCATAAGTGGGAGTTGAACAATGAGAACACATGGACACAGGAAAGGCAACAACAGACATTGGGGCCTGTTGGGGGTGGGGTGAGCATCAGGACAAATAGCTAACCTATGCAGGGCTTAAAACCTAGGTGATGCGTTGATAGGTGCAGCAAACCACCATGGCATACGGATACCTATGTAATAAACCTGCACATTCTGCACATGTATCCTGGAACTTAAAGTAGAAAAATTAAAAAATAAAGACTTGCTTTGAAACAAACTCTAACATCTTATAAATATTTCAACTTTGCCCCCACACCCTAACATGTTACTAAGTTTAACTGGCTCTCCAGGAGAAAAACTATCTCTGATGTGTAGAATTTGATGATTTCTACAACATAAATAGTCCTACCATGGCTGACTTCAAGCTACTAATGTGACCTCACTGAACATGGATTGGGGAAGAGATGCTCAGAATCAATCTCACAGGCTGGTGGAGCAAGCTTCAGCATACCACTGCTACTAAGGCTCTGTCAATGCAGTTCTCACCCATGCTACAGTAACCATAAACTAAGATTTGTCATATCATTGAATTGTTTCGGTGATATTTTTGGGGAACCAGCATTCAATAATCTTAAAGATCCACAAAGATCTAGTCAAGAACTTCTGTTGTAAATGATCCAAGACTTGAGTCAAAAAGCAGGAGTGCCTTGTGGCATTTTGAACTTCCTGCTAGGATAAGGAGTTGTTGGTCTCTCCTACTGTTACAATGAGGTATGGCTCACATTGAGTCTGACCTCTTATACATTTTGTTATTTAAAGTTCCCCATGAACTGCATTTATTTTGTCTTCTATGAATAAGAAGCCCTTTTTAAGGAATCCTTTGATTGACCAGATTTGAATAACTTTTATCCTTGGTAGAAATCAGTTTTATTATTAACTACACTATATATCTCTATCCCTATCATTTTTTTGTATCTCTATAAAAGCAAAGTTCACAGAAAGGGAATGGGTATAAACCAGATAAATCCATCCTCAAACTGATTTTGACAGGCTGGGTGTAGTGGCTTATGCCTGTAATCCCAGCACTTTGGGAAGCTGAAGGAGGTGTATCACTTGAGGTCAGGAGTTTGAGACCAGCCTGGCCAACATGGTGAAACCCCATCTCTACTTGAAAAAAGAAAAAAAAAATCAAACTGTTCTTGAGGACTGAGAAATTCAGAAAGTTCCTCTGAACTATGGAAAACTCTGGAAAAATTTTGCCTGAGGTCACTTACCAAAATCTTATGAGTGCTTTTCCCAGTCTGTCTCGTGAAATCTCTCCAAACTTTACTATCTGTGAAAACTGCACGTGTGAGGTTTGCACCTGGAGAAGGCCCAGCCATCAGGCCATGGGGGGCTGAGGCAGGAGGTACACAGCAGTACTTTCACCTGATAGTTCCTAGACTCTGCTGGACTTGGCTCAGTTTAAACCGAAGACCATTCCCCCTCTGACAGACTCTTTCTTTGTACATGTATTTGTACCATAACACAAATTCTTATATTTATTATCTTTCTAAATGGCTTAGTTTCACTAAAGATAATTTAGAATTATAATAGACATTTTCAAGGCGTTTTGATATGAACAGAAGTGTACATTTGAGAGGTGCCTTAGAACATAAAGGAATAAAATTTCAAACGTCCAATGATTTGCATTGTTAATGTGTTTGAGGAAGTATTCAAAATTATTCAGACTTCAAAATTATTCCCTTAAAAGATTCCTTTGTTGAGGCAAAAAAATAAAAGTGAAATACTTAATCTCTTTTAGATTCCTTCAAACTTCAACACAAACTTAATGGCCTTTATCCTATTATTCTTCTTCTCCCAGAGTGTTTCTCCATCTCCTTCTGACTTGTTCCCCCTTTCTTCTGGCTGTCCAGAAACTCCTAAAGTGCATTATTTTATAAAGTTAAGCCCCTGTCAGAACAGAAAAAAACTCTTATTGTTAATTTTAAGACTTCATCTCATTCTGAGCTAAAAGCCATTATTAAAATGTACCCAAAGCCTCACCACGATAAAATTTGCAGGGACATCAGGAATAGTTTTAGGAATGTAAAACCCATACTCCTCAAATCGATATCTATTACTTCATATGCTCAGATACAAAAGAACTGGATAAAAAGGCGTAATACAAAGATTCCTAATTGCATAAGAAATCAGAGGGATTTTGCAAGCTGTAGATTTTGAATGTCTTTTGGAAGCTATCCCCCAAATCTTTCCTGTAAACATAGATTGGACTCTGATTCAGTCCTATAAGCAAAGAAAGAATAAGTTCATTAGGGAGTTCAAGGATAGGTTATTTGACACCTTTTGACAGAATTCAGAAGTAAACACTGATTCAGATGAAGCCTCACTTTCTGCTCATTTTCTTGTGAATGACCTTAAGCCAGAAATAAAAGAGTTAAAACACAAGAAAAAGCAGAAACGGGAAACAGCCTATTGCCAGACCTCTAGCACCCTGTTGAACATTTTGAAAGGGACTTGGCACAAAAATCAAATAAGTCTTAAATCAAATTCAGGCCCCTACAGATAAAACAATCCGGTATTACCAATCATTAAACACTCCCTGAACAGGGAGTTACTCGGTAAAGCCAGTTGCAGATACTGTAAACAGAAAGAACACTGACAAAAAAGTTAATATATTAAAAATAAAGGGAAAAAATGAAGGATGTAAAAATGGAAGTGCTTTAAAGGAAATCAAATGCCCAGTTTCTCATTTTACCCTTAAATTCACAAGGAGAAATTTCTTATAATGTTAAAAGAACAACCTTTTGATTGATATAGGTATGACCATATTAGCCTTAAACTCTTCTATTCTTATTCAACAGTCCCCTTGGAATAAACATACTATGCAGGTGGTGGGCATTTCCAATAACTCCTAAACATTCCTTATGTCCAGGCTTAGAACAGAAATACAGTCTTTCCTCCTCCGTGATCCCACACCTGTTAATTTGATACTCTGAAAGGGGAGTTGCCAGATTAAATGATGTCCTGATTTATCTCTTTCTTAAAATCCCTTAGGATGCCCTATTCATAGCTAGTTTCGATAGCGACGTAGACTTACCAATACCTTTGTATCCAAATCAAGCCCAAATTGAAGATATCAAAGCGATGCCAGAATTTTTGTGGGTAAAACTTTGGTATTATCATCAACATTATTGGGGCTACATCTATCCAGCTTCAGATTGACTTCTGTCTGAACTTACATAATACCCTCTTAAAACTACTAGCTATACTTCAAAGAGAATAAAATACCTAGGAATCCAACTTACAAGGGATGTGAAAGACCTCTTCAAGGACAACTACAAACCACTGCTCAATGAAATAAAAGAGGATACAAACAAATGAAAGAACATTCCATGCTCATGGATAGGAAGAATCAATATTGTGAAAATGGCCATACTGCCCAAGGTAATTTATAGATTCAATGCCATCCCCATCAAGCTACCAATGACTTTCTTCACAGAATTGGAAAAAACTACTTTAAAGTTCATATGGAACCAAAAAAGAGCCCGCACTGCCAAGACAATCCTAAGCCAAAAGAACAAGCTGGAGGCATCATGCTACCTGACTTCAAACTATACTACAAGGCTACAGTAACCAAAACAGCATGGTACTGGTACCAAAATAGAGATATAGACCAATGGAACAGAACAGAGCCCTCAGAAATAATACCACACATCTACAACCATCAGATCTTTGACAAACGTGACAAAAACAAGAAATGGGGAAAGGATTCCCTATTTAATAAATGGTGCTGGGAAAACTGGCTAGCCATATGTAGAAAGCTGAAACTGGATCCCTTCCTTACACCTTATACAAAAATTAATTCAAGATGGATTAAAGACTTAAATATTAGACCTAAAACCATAAAAACTCTAGAAGAAAACCTAGGTAATACCATTCAAGGCATAGGCATGGGCAAGGACTTCATGTCTAAAACACCAAAAGCAATGGCAATAAAAGCCAAATTGACAAATGGAATCTAATTAAACTAAAGAGCTTCTGCACAGCAAAAGAAACTACAATTAGAGTGAACAGGCAACCTACAGAATGGGAGAATATTTTTGCAGTCTACTCATCTGACAAAGGGCTAATATTCAGAATCTACAAATAACTCAGACAAATTTACAAGAAAAAAACAAACAACCCCATCAACAAGTGGGCGAAGGATATGAACAGACACTTCTCAAAAGAAGACATTTATGCAGCCAACAGACACATGAAAAAATGCTCATCCTCACTGGCCATCAGAGAAATGCAAATCAAAACCACAATGAGATACCATCTCACACCAGTTAGAATGGCAATCATTAAAAAGTCAGGAAACAACAGGTGCTGGAGAGGATGTGGAGAAATAGGAACACTTTGACACTGTTGGTGGGACTGTAAACTAGTTCAACCACTGTGGAAGACAGTGTGGCTATTCCTCAGGTATCTAGAACTAGAAATACCATTTGACTCAGCCGTCCCATTACTGGGTATATACCCAAAGGATTATAAATCATGCTGCTATAAAGACACATGCAGATGTATGTTTATTGCGGCACTACTCACAATAGCAAAGACTTGGAACCAACCCAAATGTCCATTAATGATAGACTGGATTAAGAAAATGTGGCACATATACACCATGGAATACTATGTAGCCATAAAAAATGATGAGTTCATGTCCTTTGTAGGGACATGGATGAAGCTGGAAACCATCATTCTCAGCAAACTGTTGCAAGAACAAAAAACCAAACACTGCATGTTCTCACTCATAGGTGGGAATTGAACAATGAGAACACTTGGACACAGGAAGGGGAACATCGCACACCGGGGCCTGTTGTGGGGTGAGGGAAGGGGGGAGGGAAAACATTATGAGATATACCTAATGTTAAATGACGAGTTAATGGGTGCAGCACACCCACATGGCACATGTATACATACGTAACAAACCTGCATGTTGTGCACATGTACTCTAGAAGTTAAAGTATAATAATAATAATAATAAAAAGAAAAAAATAAAATGAATTTTGGACAAAAAGAAAACCACTAGCTAATGACTAAAACTAACCTTTATCTTTCTATTTAAAAAAAGAATACCTAAAAACCCCATTGTGTAGGGATACAGATTCATTCAGGACCTTAGGTCCGTAAATAGAATATTTATTCTCCATGGTAGCAAATTTGAATTCTATTTTATCTTTGTGCATCCTAAGGCTACATGTTTTACAGTTTTAGATCTGTATTTTGTTTTCTTTAGTGTCTCCTTGGATCAAAATAATCTATACTTATCTGCCTTCTTCTGGAAATATCAAATAATACACCTCTGCTATTATGCCTTAGAGTTTACTAAGGCACTATCACACTTTTGACAAGTCTTCCGCCTGGACCTAAATAATTTCAAATTTCTGTGTAATTCTACTCATATCATACTGGTGAGGATTTGAGGCAGAAAATATATTTCAGAAGATAGAAAATCAGACTCTGAATTTGAAGTTTCAAACAGTTCAAAGTGCTTTTATGTTATGCTGGTCCATCAGCAGACATATCCCTGAAGTACATAGGTAATGAAAGTAGACATAATTTATTCATACATTATTTATACATTATTTATTATTATATATAATGTATTTGTTATGCATTACAAGTATAAAAAACAAGCTACTAGATTTTATAGAAACATTTCCTGCTGTAAACTCCCATTATGATATTTAGCAGTTTTCAAAACTCCCATATTAGTTATCTGAGTTTTCAATAAACTATATTAACTCCAAATTCTGAGTCATTCAGTAGCATATGAAATTGAATTGTTACATACCTATAATATTATCATTTAGAAAATTCTGTCTAACAAAGATAATTATACACTAACGCACAAAGAAGGCTTATGGAGAAAAACTTGTGTTTTTTCCCCCCAAGCTAATTAATCCTTTTATCAACTTATTTCTGGCAAAAGAAAGGGTTTCTTACTAATGCAGAATTTCAAAAGTAATTGAGATGATAATATTAGAGTAAAACAGTCTCCTTGGGAAACTTAGTAAGAAGATTTCTGATTTATCTAAGATTTTTCTGTTTCAGGTGAAAATCTCTTTGATAAGTAAATGAACCAATGGATCATCTATATAGATTCACACTACTTTAAAGCTTATGTCTTTCTCATCAAGGGATTGTAAATATGCTATTTTGTGATTCATTATATGACAAATATAAAATAAATCACCAATGTTGCCTAGGCAAAAAAATACCGAATAAAGGTAACATAGAAAAAAATGATAGCAATACCTAAAGCAAACAGAGCACTAGTCTACACCCTAGGAGCTAAGCTTTCCCTAATGTGAAGGTGTGACCATTAGCTCTTCAGCTAGTGGGAGGCTATATCCTTATTCTCCCTAATTACAGCCGCAACTGGATATTTTCATATGTGTATTTGATAATCTCAGAATTGAGTTTACATGAATTAAAAAAAATTAATCACTTCCCTATGGATACTCCTATCATAGTCATCTGTAACTCTTCATGAAATGGCTCAGTCAAGCCATCCTGATAAAAGGAAGCGCCATATTTACACATCACTTTAATTAGTAGAGTTCAAAGGACTGTGTAAACATTATCTAATTAAACTTCACAACAATTCAGTGAAGCAAGAAAAGGTTTACCCATTATCCTCATTCACAGAAGAAAGATTTTGAGGTGCTGAGAGGCTAAATGATTTCTTGGTTTCACAATGATGAGTCAGAGGTAAGGCTGGGAACAAAACCAGAACTCTAACTCAGATATAAAAGGAACACCATGGAAATGCTTACTCAGGTGGATCACTTCTTCAGCTGGAAATTGTCCTACTACATAAATAAAGATAATAATTAGAGTGGAATTTGTGTGAATGTATGCTTCTTTCTAGATTAGAAAAACTTTCTTCAGCATTATTTGCTTTGCAGACAGTAATATAATGGCTAAATGCATCCTAGATAAATAGAGCCTACATTAGTAATACAAAAACCTCAGTGTCTTCTCCCAGGTATCCTCCTGTTATTTCTAGAAATCCTCAAAAAGTGTTTACAACCCAGTGAGTCAGTGGCAGTGACCACAGAACATTTCCTGTTCTTTTTCTTTTCTCTGGCTTCTTTGGTTCCTATCTGAACAGATATGCCTATCATGCCTGTCATGAGAATAATATTCATGCCAAGGACAATATCTGAATGCCCCCAAAGCTTCTATTCCTTGTGGTACCAGGATGGTGCTAGGTTCCTTACAGAGCTCAGGGCCAGTAGGGCTCTGCTCTGTGCCATATTGGATCGTCTAGGGCTTTGGAATCCTCTTATATTCAGAAATTCATAGGATCATTCAAGTAGTTCCATCACCTTCTGCCTTGGACCATATTTCTGCAAAGTCAATGGACCTGTGGGGTCCAAATGTGTGCTTCTCTTTTCTTCCTCCCATCAATCAAACCTTATTCTCTGAGGGCACCTGTAATCCCAGAACTTTAAGAGGCCAAGGTGGGAGGATCGCCAGAGCCCAGGAGTTCAAAACCAGCCTGGGCAACATAGGGAAACCTTGTCACTACAAACAGCAACAAACAAACAAGCAAACAAACAAAGCTGGACATGGTGGTGCATGGCTGTGGTCCCAGCTACTTGGGAGGGTGAGGTGGGAAGATTGCTTAAGCCCGGGTGGGCAGGGGTGGGCGGTGGATTGAGGCTACAGTGAGCCACGATGGCGCCACCAGCCTAGGCAACAAAGTGATATGCTGTCAAAGAAAGAAGAAAGAAAGAAAAGAAAGAAAGAAAAGAAAGAAAGAAAGAAAGAAAAAAGAGAAAGGAAGAAAGAAAGGAGAAAGAAAGGAAGAAAGAAAGAGAGAAAGAGAAAGAAAGAAAAGAAAAGAAAAGAAAAGAATAGAATAGAAAAAAGAAATGTATTTCCTGCAAACAGACACCAATGCACTTGGGGAATGAGGAGAGACTGCAGGCCAGTAGGGACAATAGGCAAGGGTCTATATTACCAACTGTCATGTTATTCACAGAGTATTAAAGTCGAATGGAATGGGTTTCAAACATTTTAGAAACATTTATTTAAAGGAAAATTGTTTACCAAGCTCAGTGTGTAAAAGGATCAAAGCAAGGAGAGGTATATTAGTTGAAAAGAGGTAGAGGGGAGCTCTGCTACCAGCCAAATCCCTTTAGGTTCCCCAGAGCTCAACTTGAAAAACCAATTAGTCCAATTTCTTTCTTTTAAAGATGTACCTCCTGAAAGCCAGATAGTCTAGATAATACAAAGAAATGAGGCCTGATATTTAGAAAACAAATTACTTTTTTACAATCCCTAGTATTCCCCTCTTATGCAGTCTTAGATTTTCCCTTCTCCTACAACCTTTAAGCATTCTAGCAGCAGCTAAGGCATTCAGTGCTGATTGACTCAGAAAAGTGATAGACAGGAGAGAAGTGGAGACCTTACTTCTTAGCTTCAAGATTTCAAAAGCCTAGCACTTTAGAAGAACAGAGAGACTCAAACAAGAAAATGGAAGGGTTGAGTTCGAAAAGTCAGGAGAGTTGGAGAAGTGGTGAGAGCTTAGACTTCAGAGGTTCCCAGGGAGATGTTGCTAGTCAATGCTCCCTGGGCTGTGTCTTGGAGAACTGGCAAAATCCCTAGTTTTGGTTTTGGAAATCCAAAAACAAAAATATATTTTTCCTATAGCCTGTGTAGTGGTTGGAAAGGTGGTATGGTCCCAAATAATTAAATAGATGGAAGGATGGCTAAAGCAGATGCCTTAGACACTGTCTTAGCATTTCCTGTGTACCTAAGGATGACAGGGTAATAGAGAGATTAAAGCAATTGGGCAAAAAGGAGCACTTCTGCAAGTGCATGTGTAGGCAGTTGGACAAGGACCAAATCAGATGATGACTAGCTCATTTGATGAGAGTTTAGAAACATAATAGTGAAAACTAAATGCCCCTACCATGTCTTGATACTTATATGAAACCTCTGGAACAACATAAGAGTCCACATAGATGAAGCTTGAGTTTCTGCTATGTTCCAGTAACTTTCAAAGGTTGTAATGAAAAAGTCAATAAAGTTTGAGAAAGGAGTGCTTAATGGATGTGTACAGATACAATGGTCTGAATCATTGGTTATCAAATTACTGAACTGTTCTAAAAATTAAATCAGATATACAAATATCAGAATCTAACACATAAATAATTGACTTCAACATATTTAAAGCACTTTGAAAGAAAAATTAAATGGTGCTTTGTTTGTTAAAAGAAAAAAAGTAATGACGTCTCCACATCTGCAAATTAGGCAAACTGCATTTCTTCTTCACCCATCATACAAAGTATTGCTCTCGAAATCTTGCTGGACAAATGTTGATATAGAGAATATTAAGCTTAGCAAATCATATGATATACCAAAGTACTATTTTACAATGTATTTTAATATTATTCATGACAAAAATAGTATGCATGACAAAAATACTAGCCATGGCAATTTTAAGTGCTTGTCTAGGTACCTTTGTTCCTTGGCTAAAATCTAAGGCTCAAGTTCAGATTTCAGGTTTTCCAGCTTAATAACTCAATAACCTTGGACAAGTGTCCATGTAATCCTGTTTCCTTCCCTGTATAATTGCGATAATAGTAGTCCTTCATAAGACTGGATAGAGAAGTAAATGAATAATGTATATAAAGTGTGTAGCACATTGCCTGGCACATCAAAAATATCATAGCCAATCCACACTGAGAGTATGCCACAGTTATTCACACATTATTAAGAGGTCTTGCACGTTTCCACTTACCCTCTGCCATTTCTGCCATGGCCATGAGAAGGTCATATCTGGGCCTGTATGCTGGTCTCTGGATAAGGATGAGACACGTGTGGAGCAGCTACAGTGCATCACACAAACCCACATTAGAGCAGAGCCCTGGCAGACTTGCAGACACATAAATAAGCCAGTTGAATTACAAACAAATGAATGAATCAATCTGAGATTAGCTGAGCTCAGCCTAGTGTGTCAATCCCCCACCAAACCATAGATGTGTGGGTTAGAATAATGATGACTATTGTTTTAAGCCACTGAGTTTTGACATGATTTCTTCCACAGCAATAGCATGAAGTAAAAAAAAAAGTTCTTACTCTCAGTTATAACTAAAATACTTGAAATACGGGTTATAAATTGATATATACTCATCAATTGAAATGTGTTACACATGTACAGTGAATTTGTTTTCCAATAGATCTTAATATCTCCACATGTGATAATATGGAAGGTTTCTTATTACTCCTTCAAATCACTGTACACAAGAACTTCTCATTCATAATCCCAAATAAATCAATTTACTTTTTGTTTCTAGAAAATTAAATAACATATTAAGGTATAGAAACAAATAACAGAAAGTAGTAAAAAAAGAAAAGAAATCCATTAATATTAACGCTGCTGAAACTCAACCAATAATAAGCACTTTGGAATATTTACCTCAAGTCTTTTTTTTTAAGTTTGTACTTAAAAATATTAAAACAATTGAACTATAAATTCACTGCCCTTAAAAATATTAGAATAACAGATATAGATAAAGCATCTCTCAAACTTAATCCTCATTCTTATCTCTTACTAAGTGGATATATATTCTAACACTCTAATTTTTTCTCATTCCTTTATCTATATTATGCATCCATGAAATATAATATATATATGAAATATTGAAATGTTTTTAAAGCATGGTAATCGAATAAGGGAGAAGCACACACTAGATGTAAGTTACTTGGAATAGTCTAGTTCTTGGGTTGGAGGGGTTGAGTACATAGGTATTCATAATTATGTCATTATGTTGACCATATATTCTGTAAGCTTGCTAATTTATAATTTTAGTAGGTTTTTCATAGATTACATTAGATTTTCTAAATAGATAATCATATATGAAAACAAAGACAGTTTTACTTCCTCCTTCCTAGTCTGTATACATTATATTACTTTTCTTTACCTGATGGTATAGAATAGGACTGCCAATACAATGCTGATAGATGTGGTGGGAAGGAAAATCTTTGTTTTATTCCTGATCTTAGGGGGAAGCATTCATTCTTTCACCATTAAGTATGAAAACTGTAAGGTTTTCACAGATGCCCTTCATCAGGTTGGGAAGTCCCCTTCTATTCCCAGTTTGCTGATAATTTTTTTTTATCAGGAATGGATGATAGATCTTGTCAAATGTGATTTCTGAGATTATTAAGGTATTTTTATTTTTGTTTGTTTTAGTTTGCTAATATGGTAAATTACATGGACAGATTTTCAAAGGTTAGACTAATCTTAGATTTCTGGGATAAACCTTATTTGGTCATGATGCATTGCCCTTTTAATATACTGAATTATGCAGGCAAGAGAAAGAAATAAAGGCATCTAAATAGGAAGTCAAACTATCCCTGTTTGCAGATGACATGATCCTATATTTAGAAAACCCCACAGTCTCAGCCAGAAAGCTTATTAAGCTGAAAAACAACTTCCTCAAAGTCTCAAAATACAAAATTAATATGCAAAAATCACTAGCATTCCTATATAACAACACCAGTCAAGAGCCAAATCAGGAATGAACTCCCATTCACAATTACCACAAAAAGAGTAAAATATAATACCTCAGAATACAGCTAATTAGGGAGGTGAAAGATCTCTACAAGGAGAACTACTAACCATTGCTCAAAGAAATCAGAGATGACACAAAAAAAATGGAAAAACATTCCATGTTCATGGATAGAAAGAATCAATATCATTAAAATGGCCATACTGCCCAAAGCAATTTATAGATTCAATTTATAGATTTTAGAATGTTGACATTCTTCACAGAACTAGAGAGAACAATTGTAAAATTCATATGGAACCAAAAAAGAGCTCAAATAGCCAAGGCAATCTTAAGCAAAAAGAACAAAACTGGAGGCATCATGCTACCCGACTTCAAATTATATTTACAGGGTTACATTAACCAAAACAACGTGGTACTGGTACAAAAACAGACACACAGACCAATGGAACAGAATAGAGAACGTAGAAATAAGACAGCACACACACACACATAAATATACATACATATGTATACATATATACACATATATATATAGGATTACATTTGGATTAAAATTTTGAAACTACTAAGGTGTAACTGACATACAGAAAGCTGTCCATATTTAATGTAAACAACTTGGTGAGTTGAGAGATAAGTACACACTCTATTCCTCTATTGGTGAATGTTTTAGCTGCTTTCAATTATTTACTATCACCAACGAGCTGTAATACAGATTTCTGAATATACAGGTCAGGTATTTTTAGATATGTGGAAAAATAATGGAATCTCTAGGTCATATGAAGTGCACATTTTCAGATTTCATAACATTGTCAAATTACCTTCTAGAGGGACTATAATAAAGCATAACTTCATCAGCAGCATATGCAAGTATGTGCTTCCCTGGATCCTTGCCAACATTTGATATCATCAAGCTTTTCATTTTTTGCCAATCTGATGTGTGCAAACAGTGTCTTGTTTTGCTTTAATTTGCAATTGTCTGATTATCAGTGACATTGAGCAATTTTTACATGTGTATTAGCCATTTAAATATCCTTTCCTATAAATTGTTCTTTTAAAAGTTAGGTTTTTGTATTTTCAACCATATTTTTAAAAACATATTTATATATGCTGCATACTAATTCTTTGTTATGTATAATGCAAATATTTTCTCCCAATAAAATGCTAAAATTTTAACTCTAAGAGGCACTTGTTCCATAGATTTTAGGAATTATATATATATACCTCCAGCTTTTCTGTTTATTTTTACTCACATATTTGTCTGTATATTTGTGTGTATCTTTTCTAAGAAAATCCTACCTGCTCTAAATTTATGACCAAGTTCTATTAAGTTCTCCAATAATTTTTATTTTTGTTGTTTTTAATTTATGTTCTTTATCTCATCTGAAATATATTTGTATGTATGGGGTGAGTAGGAGTTTAACTAGATTTTTTTCCTAAATGGGAAGTCAAATGTTTTAATACTATTGATTGAAGTATTTAGTTTTTCCCCAGTGTTTAATGACACTACCCTATTTACATAGATTCACACATACGAATGTGTGTTTGTTTTTTCATCCTTCCCCATTATTTGTCTTTTCTTATGCCTATGCTTTAATTTTAATTACCAGTTCTTTATAATATGATTTGAGACAGAATAAAATACTACTCTGTTCATAATAATTAACATTTGTTGAGTCAGTCAGCGTTCTAAGTGCTTTACACGTATTATCTCTATTTGACCTTAGAACAATATATGATGTAGATGTTATTATCCCTACTTCGGAGGTAAGGAAACTGAGGAACAGAGAGCTTGAGTAACTTATAACTTAGGTAGCAAGCTCACACAACTTGCAAGTGGGAAAGCTAAGAAGCAGAAGGAAAAAGTCTTCTTACGCTTTTTCTTCCAATTAATCTTTATTCTTATAAATATGTGGATGCTAATAATAATTACAAGTTGCTAGGCATAATTTTGAACTATTTCAAATAAATCATGACATATGGTCACATTATTTATAAGATAATGCTTTTGTGGAATAAATCTTTCCACTCCTGTGCAAAATCATGAGCCTTTGGATGGTATGGAATTTATTGCTTTATTTGGCAATAATAGCATTCTTACGTGAATAAATTCTCCCACGCAAAAACATGGGTTAGAGCTCTACTTGCTCAGACTTTTCCCTTTGATTATATATTTGAAAAGTTCTTTCTATATTCTTGTTTCTGTTTAGTTTTATTCCAATGAATTTTATAGTTTTATTACTACTGTGAGTGGAATATATTTTCTATTACATTTTCTAATTATATATTATTGATATCTGTAGATACTACCTACATTTACGTTGTTATTGTATTCAGCAACCTTGCTGAACTTTCTCATTAGTTCTAATATTTTATCAGTTGATTATCTTGAGCTTTATGGATAAACTATCATACCTTCAAAGAACACCACCTCGTCTCCTCTTAGAAGTCTTTGTCTCCTAACTCATGTCTGTCAACTTGTTGCATTAGCCAGGAACACCAACAATACAATGCTGGAAAATATAAGTAATAGTTGTTATCTTTGTCCCACCTTTATATAAATGGGAATAATTCTAGTGTTTTACAACAGAGTATATATATATATATTTTTTTCTATTTATTTTCAGTTGATACCCTTTATTAGATTTTTTTAAAGCACCAAATATTGATAGCTTAAAATGAGATTTTTAATTGTTTCTTTGTTTTTTTTAAAAAAACACAAATGGGTATACACTTTTAATAACTGCTTTTTTCTGCATTTATAGAAGGTTATGAGTAATATTTTTAAAATTTTGAATTCTTGTCTTGTATTCTTTTCATACACTATGGTTTAAATTTGCTAATATTTGTAATAAGACTAGAACAAAGGTTTTTAAATTCTCCTGATGTCCTTGTCTTGTTTTGATATGACTATCGTAGTTTTATAAATTGAATGAAATAATGTTTCTGTTCCTCCTCCTCCTTCTTCACTTCTCATGAATCACACTTCACAAGACACAAATGATTTATTGTTTGAAGACTCAATAGAAATGATCTTGAAACTATCTAGTATTTATGTCATTAACATAAAGTATTCTGCTTACTATTTTAATTCATTCTATAGTGAGTGCCTTAATAGCTTTTGTACTGTTTGGGCCAAATTTGGTAACATTTTCTAGGCTTTAATATTTAACCTAGAGATCAGAGAGCCAAGGTGGCTGACTAGACAGACAGGAAGAGCTTCTTGCACCAAGAGAGACAAGACCATCAAGTAGGTCAGCATACTCCAAACAGATCTTCAGAAAGAAGGCATTGAGAGTGGATACAGGGAGGATTCACAGCCGGGGGCTGACAGTGTAGAAAACTGGGAACTCCCAATCAAGTTGCCTAACACCAAGACTCATTCCTGGCCCCAACTGGCTCCAAGAGAAGTGGTGAGTAAAACAGACATAGAGTGGCCCACTCTTGCCACAGACCTGTGGGATGCTAGCTATAGGAGGCCCCACAATCTCCACAGGCAATTGAGTTGACACAGAGAACTTCCAGGAGAGTTGGCAGAGCCAGAACTACAGTCTGCCTAGAGCCCAGAGGGTTTGGCATGGCAATGGCTGTAGTGGAGCATGATCATAAGTGCCCATTCCCCAAGGCTCATCATACTCCTCTAGGTGGCTTTATCTTTCCCTGTCTCTCTGTAAGATGCTACTCTACCTCTATTGGTATCACACCTAATTTTAGGCTCCATTGTCAATTGATTGCTCTACTGTTTCAACAATACCTTAGGGGATTAATGGCTCCAATGTCTAATCAATTATATTCAAGCCTCCTTGTAGGGCAATCTTTGAGGCCAGTATTTTGTTCTAACCCAAAGAGAGTTTTTCTTGGCTTTTTCATTCCCTACTTCTCTCTGTTAAACATATAGCTGATCTATGGTTTAGCTTGTTGCGTTCATGGACTACCAGTCTCCTCCAAATTATCTTATATCAAAATTGTCATTGTTTTTGACAGGGTCCTCAGGTTTGAATGTACCTATGGTCTGTTTCAAATAAACTTCTCTTAGGAAGAACTATGGGGCTCTCTGTTTTTGCAGACTACCTGTTTTTCAAAGCAAAACTCTTAGACATTTCTCCAGATCTGTGCCTCAGGGGCAGGTGCAGTGGCCCAGTGCTGCTAGAATGATAATCCTGTTACTAGTTCATGCTGGTGGTGGGGAGGAGTGGAGTGAGGATGAATGGTGGTATCCCCTGGTCTTCCCAGCTTCTGTCTTCTGGAACAAAACCTTTACCCTGTGCTGAGATGAGGATGAATTAGACCCAACATGATTGACTTGCAACATGTAACGTATAACTTCTACCCTATGAGTGGGTGCTGGGTGGGAAAATGGAGTGCTACATTTAGCTGCTTTGTTTAAATAGGAACTTCTGTAATATAGGCTTGGGGAGATAAAAAGTTCTGGCAGCCTGCTCCTTCTGGAGAGATGCCAGACTGGGATCTGAGAGAGAGCCTTGTGTTCTTAGCTGCAACTTCCTGGAATAAAGTTTTTGTCATACTGTGCTGGTAGAGGATAGGTGGAAAAAAGTAGTGGGTCATGGCTCAAATGCCACAGACTTGCATTTCTCTTACAGAGATTTAGTAGAATTTCTTGAGTAAATGTTTATGCATTTGCTATATGACCATGATGAATTTCTAAAGTCTTAAAATGATTTTAAAATATTTTTCACAAGTTATTTATTTATTTTTTTTACTGGGGACTGGGTTCACAGACTGGTTACACCACCATTCTGGAAGTATCTCCCTGTCCATAGTTTTCCTGACTTAATAAAAAATATTGTTCTGCACTGATACTTATGTTCATATTGTCGCCATAGAACTAATTATTTCATTTTTAATGATGAATGTTTAAATCAAATTTGCTATAATCTATATGATGTTAGATGTTTCATATTTTATAAATAAAATTCTAAAAACTTTGTATCGATTCCATAAATTTTATGTGTGTGTATATACAGTCATCCCTTGAAATACATCTGATATTTGTTCTAGAACTCCCTACATATACCAAAATCCTCATATACTCAAGTCCTGCAGTTAGTCCTGAAAAACTCATATAAAGTCAGCCCTTGTTGGTTTCACATCCAAGAATACCGTATTTTCAATCTTCATTTGGTTAAAAAAAATCTGTGTATAAATGGACCTGTGCAGTTCAAAACCATGTTGTTTAAGGATCAACTGTGTGTTTGTGTGTGTGTGTGTGTGTGTTATGTGCCTATCTTCTAGCTATCTCATATTTTCTTTATACATTCATCCATCAATGAATGCCTAAGTTGATTCCATATCTTGGCTATTGTGAATCATGCTGCAAGTTATCAGGACTGCAGTTATCTCTTCAAGATACTGATTTCAATTCCATAGGCTACGTACTTAGAAGGGTGATTACTAGTTAATATGGTAGTTCTATTTTTAATTTTTTTAGGAACCTCCATACTGTTTTCCATGATGGCTTAACCAATTTACATTTAAACTAACAGAACAAGGATTTCTTTTCTCCACATCCTTGCTAACATTTGTAACCTTTTTTTTTTCCAGCATAGCCAACCTAACAGTTGTGAGGTAATATCTCATTACAGTTTTGATCTGCATTTCCTTGATTACTGATGTCGAGCTTTTTCATATACCCAATGGCCATTTGTATGCCTTTTTTAGAGAAATGTCTAGTCAAGTCTTTTGCTCACTAAGAAAATCACATCATGTATGTGTGTGTGTATGTGGACTTTTTGCTAATGAGTTGTATGACTTACTTATATATTTTGGGTATTAACCTCTTATCAGATATGTGATTTGAAAATCTCTCATTCTGAGTGTCTTCTTTGCTGTGAAGAAGCTTTTCAAGTTGATAAAATCCCATTTGTCTATTTTTACTTTTGTTGCCTGTGCTTTGGCGGTCATATCCCAAAAACTAATGCCCAAACCAAAGTCCAGAAGCTTTTTCCCAAAGTATATTTCTCCATTCAGTTCTGTTAATATTTGCTTTATATTACATATTTAGGTTTGCTAAAGTTTGATACACACATAGTTATAACTGTTATATCCTCTAATTAATGGAATCCTAATTCTTGATATAATTAACTGAAGTTTTTGACTTAAAGTCTATTTTGTCTGTTATTAAGATAGTCCCTTCTGTTCCCTTTTGGGTACAATTTTCATGAAATATCTTTCTTCATCACTTCATTTTCAGCCTCTGTGTGTCCTTAAAGATAAAGCGAGTCACCTGTAGACAGAATATAGTTGAACTTACTTTTTTATTTTTTCATCCGCCTTATGTCTTTTGATTGGATTAAGTCATTTATATTTAAAGTAATTTTTATAGGTAAAAACTTACTATTACATTCAAGCTGAGAACCAAGTCAGGAATGCAATCCCATTTACAATAGCCAAGCACATACAAAATACCTAGAAATACATATAAACAAGAGGTGAAAGAGCTCTACAAAGAGAATTACAAAATACTGCTGAAAGAAATCAGAGGTGACACAAACAAATGGGAAAAAGTTCTGTGCTCATGGATTGGAAATATCATTATCATTAAAAGGGCCATACTGCCTAAAACAATCTACAGATTCATTGCTATTCCTATGAAACTACCAATGTCATCTTTTCACATAATTAGAAAAAAAAATTCTAAAATCCATGTGGAACCAATAAAGAGCCCAAATAGCCAAATAAATCCTAAGCAAAAAGAACAAAGCTGGAAGCATCACATTATCTGATTTCAAACTCTACATTACCCAACTTCAACCTATACAGCCATAGTAACCCAAACAGCATGATGCTGGTACAAAAACAGAGACCAATGGAACAGAATAGAGAACCCAGAAATAAAACTGCACATATATAACTATTTGATTATAGCAAATAGTTATACGTTTCCCCACTGACAATCATTTGATTATGACAAATGGTTATAGGTGTCCCCATTGACAAAAATAGCAATGGGGAAAGGACTTTCTATTCCATAAATGGTGCTGAGATAGCTGGCTAGCCATATGCAGAAGGATGAAATTGGCTACCTTTTGCCATATTCAAAATTAACTCAAGATGGATTGAAGATTTAAATATAAGGCCTCAAACTATAAGAATCGTAGAAGAAAATCTAGGAAACACCATTCTGAACATCAGCCTTGGGAAGGAATTTATGACTAAGTCCTCAAAAGCAATCGCAACAAAAATAAACATTGAGGCTGGGCATGGTGGCTCACACCTGTAATCCCAGCCCTTTGGGAGGTACCGAGACAGGCAGATCACTTGAGGTCAGGAGTTCAAGACCAGCCTGGCCAACATGATGAAACCCCATCTCTATTAAAAATATATAAAAATAGCTGGGTGTGGTGGCATGCGCCTGTAGTCCCAGCTACTCAGGAGGCTAAGAGAGGAAAGAGATACCATCTTATACCAGACAGAATGGCTATTATGAAAAAATCAAGACAACAGATGCTGGTGAGGCTGGGGGAAAAAAGAATACTTATATACTGTTGGTGGGAATGTAAATTAGTTTAGCCACTGTGGAAAGCAGCTTGGAGATTTCTCAAATAACTTAAAACAGAAACAGAACTACCATTTGACCCAGCAGTCCCATTACTGGGTATTATCCAAAAGGAAACAAATCATTCTAGTAAAAAGACATATACTCATATGTCCACTGCAGCACTCTTTATAGTAGCAGACATAGCATCAACCTAGATGTCCATAAAGAATGGACTGGATAAAGAAAACATACTACATATACACCATGGAATGGTACACAGCCACAAAAAAAGGATGAAACAGTGTCCTTTGCAGCAATATGGATAGAGCTTTAGGCCATTATCTTAAGTGAATTAACTCAAGAACAGGAAAGCAAATACCACATGTTCTTATTTATTAATAAAAGGGGGAGCTAAACATTAGGTAATCATGAACATAAAGATGGCAACAGTAGACACTGGAGACTACTAGAAGTGGAAGAGAGGGGGGAAACAAGGCCTGAAAAAATAACTATTGGTACTATGCTCACTAGCTGACCAATGGAATCATTTCATACCCCAAACCTCAGCAGCATACAATATACCCTTGTAAAAAACCTGGACATGTATCCCCTGAATCTAAAAGTTAAAATTATTTAAAAAAGAACTTACTATTTAAAAAAATATTTTCTTACTGTTTTCTAGTTCCTTTCTTCTTTCTCCATTTTCCTCTGTGACTAATGATATTTGTAGTATTATGCTTTGATTCCTTTAACTTTTATATATCTACTTACTACATGTTTTTTTCTTTGTGGTTACCATGAAGCTCACATAAAATATCTTACAGTTACAACTGTATTCAAGCTGATAACAGCTTAACTTTAGCTATATACAAAACCTCTACACTTTAACTTCTCCTTCCCCCACAAATTATGTTACTGATGTCACAATTTACATTTTTTTATACTGTATACCCATTAACTAATTCTTTTTTTTTTTTTTTTTTTTTTTTTGGAGATGGAGTCTCGCTCTTTTTGCCTAGGGTAGAGTGCAATGACATGATCTCAGCTCACTGTAACCTCCGCCTCCCTGGTTCAAGCGATTCTCCTGCCTCAGCCTCCCGAGTAGCTGGGATTACAGGCACCTGCCACCATGCTTGGCTAATTTTTGTATTCTTAGTAGAGATGGGGTTTTACCACATTGGCCAGGCTGGTCTCGAACTCCTGCCCTCAGGTGATCCGCCCACCTCGGCCTCCCAAAGTGCTAGGATTACAGGCAGGAGCCACTGCGCCCAGCCAATTAACTAATTCTTGCAGCTAATTACTTTTACTTTTTTAATACCGTTCTCTTTTAATCTTCATACTAAAGTTAAAAGTGATTTACACACCACTGTTAGAGTATTAGAGTATGTTGAACTTGACTATATTCTTACCTTCACAATGAGTTTTATACCTGTTTTTATGTTCTTAGTATACTTTCATTTCAACTTGAAGAACTCAATTTAGCATTTCTTTTAAGGCATGTCCAGTGGTGATAAACTCCCTCAGCATTTTTTTTTTTTTGGAGGTGGGGGAGTTTTTTCTTTCTTTTATTGTTTAAGGACAGTTTTGCTGATATATTATACTTAGTTGATAGTTCTATTTGTTTGTTTTTATTTAGCACTTTGAATATACCATGACACTCTCTTGGCCTTCAAGGTTTGCTGAGAAATCCACTGCTGAGAAATCTTATGCGGGTTCTCTTGTTTAAGATGATTCACTTTTGTGGCTTTCAAGATTTTCTTTTTTGCATTTGACATTTGAAATTTTTATTTTAATGCGTTTTGGTATATACCTCTTTTGGTTCAATCTATTTGGAGTTTTTTAGGGCTTCATGAAGCTGAATGCCCATTTCCCTCTGCAGATTTGAAAATTTTTCAGCCAATATTTATGTTTAATTTATTTGGGGTTCTTTGGGATTCATGGATCTTGATATTCATTTCCCTCTGCAGATTTTAGAAGTTGTCTGTTAATATTTCTTTAATTAAGCTTTCTGCCCACATTTTGTTCTCTGTTTCTTCTAGACGTCCCCAAATGCATTTATTGGTTTTCTGTAAGGCAGTCCTGGTGCCTGGATCTGAAGGCATGGACCTCATCCTGAGTCCATGGACCCTGTCCTGCTACTGGGGTCCACTGAGGAAGTCTTGGCATTTGGGTTCACAAGGCAGATCTGGTGCCTGTCACTATGGGGACAGGCCTAGAGTCTGGATATATAGAGGTAAGCAAGGGGCTTGGGTCCATGGAGCCAGGCTGGTGGTGAGGTAGACCTGGGGCCTGAGTCTGCATGGGCAGGCCTGGGTCCTGGTGTTCTGGTGCTGGCCTCCAGCCTAGAGCCATGGGGTAGTTTGAAGCCTAGGTCGACAGGAGCTAGCCTGGTTCTGCGGTGGGCATGAAACCTGTGTCAGCATGAGCAAGCCTGGGTTATGGTCCTCTGGTGCTTGCCTGGAGCCTGGGGCCATGGTGGTGGCCTGAAGCCTGATGCTTGTGGGAGGTGGCCTAGCTTTGGGATTCACTGGGGTGAGGTTGGTGCTGCGATTTGCAGTGAAGTTGAGGGCTCACTTCACTCTCCCTCTTCCATAGAGCAGGAGGCTTGAGGAAGGTGTGAAGTGGGAAATGTAAAAATGTCCTTCCTATACTCTCTAATTTGCCTTTTCTTATTTGTATGTTCCACTGATGTGCTATAACATCTTACCCACATTCCTTAGCTCTTATAAAGATATTTTCTTGCAATGGATGTTTGTTCAAATTCATGTTTCTGTGAGGAAGCAAGTGCTAGAAACTCCTATCTTGCAATCTTGCAGATGTCACCCCAAATATAATTATTAATGTTATTTTACAAGTCAGCACTCAGATGAACATATATATTTTGGTGGGGGAGTGGCTCACTTTTGCATCTTCTCTTCTACTACTGCTTACTAGAATCATTGTAAAGGAAATCAGATTTCTGGTTCCTTATATAGCTGGAAATTTCTTCATTGCACCATTCTACTGAGTGACAGTTTAGCTGGGTGTAAAATTCTAAATTAATTTTTTTCCTCAAAATTTTGAAACTATTACTCTATCATCTTCTAACATCTAAAACCACCAATCAGTAAGTAATTAGGTTTCACTTAGATCTTAGTTTATTTGTAGGTATTCTCCTTACCCCTTATAAATTCTAGGATTGTTAATGTTCTGAAATTTTAATATATGTATCTAAAAATAATTATTTTAATATTTCTCAGAAATAAATTTTTTAAACTCAGGACTCACATCTTTTAGCTTTGTGATCAGTGATTTCCCTTAAAATGTTATGTCTATATTCATCTTAATAATCTCTAGTATCACCTTCTGAAACTCTTAAGCAGAATTTCTTATGTTCCATATCACAAGCCATGTTTTCTAGATACTTATTTCTCTGTGCTGAATTCTGGGATGAGTTCAGTTTATTACTCCAGAAGATTTATTTTCTGTTGTGTTCATATTGCTATTTAGTGTTAAAGTTTTATTTTTTAACTTCAAAATATTTTTCATTTTAAATATTTCTAATTAATTCATTTTCATAATTATCAATTTTATATAACCCCATATTCTTGTTTTATAAACTGTTATTCTCTCATTACTATAATCCCTTTTTTATCTTCATAATGCCATAAAAATACTTAAAATCCATTTTGTTTGCACTTGTATGCCTATTTTCCTCACCCTCAGGTTTTCTGTTTGTCAAGTCTGTTGTTTGTCCTTGTCTTTGTTAAGTGCCTATGTTGTTATGACCCCCGAGATATCTCATCCTACAGGATCCTGGTCTCTTGCCGTAAGTTTGCAGTGGCCTTAGCCAAGGCTCCAATAATAGTCTGGTACAGAACAGGCCTTGCAGTCACGGCTGCCAGTCTTCAAAGATTCATTTCTAGACTTGTTCTTGCTTAGCTTTAGACTCCCATAACTGTATAAAATTTGCTGCAGGAGCCGCAAGCTATATGGCAGAAGGTGCTGCTATTCCAAGTAGCCAAGAGTAGAGAAAGAGGTGGCATCTTTCCCAGCACCCAGCACCATACAAGTTGTGCAGACATGGCTCTCAGCTATATGCCCAACTTGTGTGGGCATAAAGAATGCTTTTTCCAAGCATTCACCTGGGTCCCATCACCCACCTTGCCTGTGGACTAGCTTCACAGCTTCAGGGTGTTCCGAACTCATTTGTTCCCCACTGCTTTTTATTAAGGTGACATCCTTATTCTAGTCTACAGAGACCTCTCTTTCTTGTTTTCTAGAACAACTATGCTGATTAATTTTAAAAATAGTTTTGTTTGCTACTGGAAATTCAGAAATTGAGAAAATTACATGGTCTGTTTAGGAGCTCATTGTCACAAAAGAGAGTCAGATAGCTATAATAGAATATGGCACTATGATATAGGAATGTCCAGGGTATGGAGGAAATCAAGCACAATGGGGTTTAGGGAGGGGGATACTTAGCCTGGCTTGTGGCAGTGAGGGCATGTTTTTCAGGCATATTTGTGGAAGTGAGGGCATGAGCTGATTCTTGAGAGCTATAAGTACATCAGGTGAATGAGTGAAAAAACTACTCTGAACAGAAGAATCTGACTACACAACAAAGCAGGGATTTCCAATAAACTTGGAAAGATTTAGGAAGCTAAAAAGAGTTTGGGATAATTAGAGTATAGGATGTATGTTGAAGACAACGGTTGGTGATGAAGCTGGAGTACAATCACAACCACCAAATGATAGAAAACATTTCATTCTCATCATGTACTTAGGAGAAGAGAAAGGCTGATTCATGTGCAAATGACCACATTACAGTTCAGGTACATCCACTATTTACAAGAGACTTGGTTTATCCATTGAAAATGTCAAGAACCGCAAGTTTTGCATTACACTGAATTCTTGTAAAAAACCATGACTGAATGTATCTAATGATTTTGGAGAAATGAACATGACAGAAATCTACATGATAGGCTTAACCCAGCATACTATTTATTGTTAGAGGAGAGATGAGTCTGAGTTCATCTTAGATCTTAGAGTTCATCACTCAGATTGGACTCTATTCTGGGCTCCTAGGGAGTCAATCTGAAGTCGTGGAGAAGGAGAAGCCATAAATAAAAAATACAAGGGATATTTCCCTAAAATTCTGTAATATGCTGGTGCAACTCTGAGAGGGAATAACATAAGGGAGAGGCATTTTTCCCATTTTGCCACAGAACTCCAGGCAGCTCCACTTAAAGGGCTTCAGCATATCTAAAATGGAGTGCGCAGTTGGGAGACTGTGTCTGCTGTGGCAGCTGTTCTTGGCAAGAATAATAGAACCTCATCTTAACACACACATACAGATGTGTGTTGTAGGCAAACAGTTATGAAGGGGTTGAAGCAAGAGAAGAGAACACCATATAATAACTGACTGGATTTGCTAGGGAGTATAACAACCTATTAGAAGCTCTCAAAAATATCATTAGCAAAGGTGCAAGGCATAATTAAGAGGAACTGCACGCAGAACCTTTAAAGTTTTAGCACTATCCAGGAAATAGTAGAACAATATCCAGATAGAAAAATATTTCCAATATTTCAATAGAAATTTGCTGAATAGCTACTATGTGCTAGGTGGTATAGTAGGTGTGAGGGATAAAACCATGAACAAGGCAGCCAAAAATTCCTTCCCTAATGGAGTCTACATTTTCACAGGGAAGATGGCCAGTAACCATACAAATAAATAGATACATAATAAAATGTTGGGTAATGATAAGTGTTAGAAAAAAAAAGACTGCTATTTTTAAATAGGCCTCTCTACACATCTACCATTTAAACAGAGACATGAATTAAATTAGAGAGTGTGATTATGCAAGTTAGTGATTTTCAAACTTTTTTGTTTCAGAACTCCTTTATGTTCTTAAAAATTATTGAAAATCCGAAGCAAGAAGGGAAGTTTAGAGAAAAAAGAATAAAAAGAAATGAACAAAGCCTCCAAGAAATATGGGACTACGTGAAAAGACCAAATCTGCGTCTGATTGGTGTACCTGAAAGTGACGGGGAGAATGGAACCAAGTTGGAAAACACTCTGCAGGATATTATCCAGGAGAACTTTCCCAATCTAGCAAGGCAGGCAACATTCAGATTCAGGAAATACACAGAACGCCACAAAGATACTCCTCGAGAAGAGCAACTCCAAGACACATAATTGTCATATTCACCAAAGTTGAAATGAAGGAAAAATGTTAAGGGCAGCCAGAAAGAAAGGTCGGGTTACCTACAAAGGGAAGCCCATCAGACTAACAGTGGATCTCTCAGCAGAAACTCTACGAGCCAGAAGAGAGTGGGGGCCAATATTCAACATTCTTAAAGAAAAGAATTTTCAACCCAGAATTTCATATCCAGTCAAACTAAGCTTCATAAGTGAAGGAGAAATAAAATACTTTACAGACAAGCAAGTGCTGAGAGATTTTGTCACCACCAGGCCTGCCCTAAAAGAGCTCCTGAAGGAAGCACTAAACATGGAAAGGCACAACAGGTACCAACTGCTGCAAAATCATGCCAAAATGTAAAGACCATCAAGATTAGGAAGAAACTGCATCAACTAACGAGCAAAATAACCAGCTAACATCATAATGACAGGATCAAATCACACATAACAATATTAACTTTAAATGTAAATGGACTAAATGCTCCAACTAAAAGACACAGACTGGCAAATTGGATAAAGAGTCAAGACCCATCAGTGTGCTGTATTCAGGAAACCCATTTCATGTGCAGAGACACACATAGGCTCAAAATAAAAGGATGGAGGAAGATCTTCCAAGCAAATGGAAAACAAAAAAAGGCAGGGGTTGCAATCCTAGTCTCTGATAAAACAGACTTTAAACCAACAAAGATCAAAAGAGACAAAGAAGGCCATTACATAATGGTAAAGGGATCAATTCAACAAGAAGAGCTAACTATCCTAAATATATATGCACCCAATACAGGAGCACCCAGATTCATAAAGCAAGTCCTGAGTGACTTACAAAGAGACTTAGACTCCCACACATTAATAATGGGAGACTTTAACACCCCACTGTTAACATTAGACAGATCAACAAGACAGAAAGTTAACAAGGATACCCAGGAATTGAACTCAGCTCTGCACCAAGCAGACCTAATACACATCTACAGAACTCTCCACCCCAAATCAACAGAATATACATTTTTTTCAGCACCACACCACACCTATTCCAAAATTGACCACATACTTGGAAGTAAAGCTCTCCTCAGCAAATGTAAAAGAACAGAAATTATAACAAACTGTCTCTCAGACCACAGTGCAATCAAATTAGAACTCAGGATTAAGAAACTCACTCAAAACCGCTCAACTACATGGAAACTGAACAACCTGCTCCTGAATGACTACTGGGTACATAACGAAATGAAGGCAGAAATAAAGATGTTCTTTGAAACCAATGAGAACAAAGACACAACATACCAGAATCTCTGGGACACATTCAAAGCAGTGTGTAGAGGGAAATTTATAGCACTAAATGCCCACAAGAGAAAGCAGGAAAGATCCAAAATTGACACCCTAACATCACAATTAAAAGAACTAGAAAAGCAAGAGCAAACACATTCAAAAGCTAGCAGAAGGCAAGAAATAACTAAAATCAGAGCAGAACTGAAGGAAATAGAGACACAAAAAACCCTTCAAAAAATTAATGAATCCGGGAGCTGGTTTTTTGAAAGGATCAACAAAATTGATAGACTGCTAGCAAGACTAATAAAGAATAAAAGAGAGAAGAATCAAATAGACGCAATAAAAAATGATACAGGGGATATCACCACTGATCCCACAGAAATACAAACTACCATCAGAGAATACTACAAACACCTCTATGCAAATAAACTAGAAAATCTAGAAGAAATGCATAAATTCCTTGACACATACACTCTCCCAAGACTAAACCAGGAAGAAGTTGAATCTCTGAATAGACCAGTAACAGGCTCTGAAATTGTGGCAATAATCAATAGCTTACCAACCAAAAAGAGTCCAGGACCAGATGGATTCACAGCCGAATTCTACCAGAGGTACAAGGAGGAACTGGTACCATTCCTTCTGAAACTATTCCATTCAATAGAAAAAGAGGGAATCCTCCCTAACTCATTTTATGAGGCCAGCATCATCCTGACACCAAAGCCGGGCAGAGACACAACCAAAAAAGAGAATTTTAGACCAATATCCTTGATGAACATTGATGCAAAAATTCTCAATAAAATACTGGCAAACCGAATCCAGCAGCACATCAAAAAGCTTATCCACCATGATCAAGTGGGCTTCATCCCTGGGATGCAAGGCTGGTTCAATATATGCAAATCATTAAATGTAATCCAGCATATCAAGAGAACCAAAGACAAAAACCACATGATTATCTCAATAGATGAAGAAAAGACCTTTGACAAAATTCAACATCCCTTCATGCTAAAAACTCTCAATAAATTAGGTATTGATGGGACGTATCTCAAAATAATAAGCGCTATCTATGACAAACCCACAGCCAATATCATACTGAATGGGCAAAACCTGGAAGCATTCCCTTTGAAAACTGGCACAAGACAGGGATGCCCTCTCTCACCACTCCTATACAACATAGTGTTGGAAGTTCTGGCCAGGGCAATTAGGCAGGAGAAGGAAATAAAGGGCATTCAATTAGGAAAAGAGGAAGTCAAATTGTCCCTGTTTGCAGATGACATGATTGTATATCTAGAAAACCCCATTGTCTCAGCCCAAAATCTCCTTCAGCTGATAAGCAAATTCAGCAAAGTCTCAGGATACAAAATCAATGTATAAAAATCACAAGCATTCTTATAAACCAATAACAGACAAACAGAGAGCCAAATCATGAGTGAACTCCCATTCACAATTGCTTCAAAGAGAATAAAATACCTAGGAATCCAACTTACAAGGGACATGAAGGACCCCTTCAAGGAGAACTACAAACCACTGCTCAATGAAATAAAAGAGGATACAAACAAATGGAAGAACATTCCATGCTCATGGGTAGGAAGAATCAATATTGTGAAAATGGCCATACTGCCCAAGGTAATTTATAGATTCAATGCCATCCCCATCAAGCTACCAATGACTTTCTTCACAGAATTGGAAAAAACTACTTGAAAGTTCATATGGAACCAAAAAAGAGGCCGCATCGCCAAGTCAATCCTAAGCCAAAGGAACAAAGCTGGAGACATCATGCTACCTGACTTCAAACTATACTACAAGGCTACAGTAACCAAAACAGCATGTTACTGGTACCAAAACAGAGATACAGATCAATGGAACAGAGCAGAGCCCTCAGAAATAATGCCGCATATCTACTCCTATCTGATCTTTGACAAACCTGAGAAAAACAAGCAATGGGGAAAGGATTCCCTATTTAATAAATGGTGCTGGGAAAACTGGCTGGCCATATGTAGAAAGCTGAAACTGGATCCCTTCCTTACACCTTATACAAATATTAATTCGAGATGGATTAAAGACTTAAATGTTAGACCTAAAACTGTAAAAACCCTAGAAGAAAACCTAGGCATTACCATTCAGGACATAGGCATGGGCAAGGACTTCATGTCTATAACACCAAAAGCATTGGCAAAAAAAGCTAAAATTGACAAATGGGATCTAATTAAACTAAAGAGCTTCTGCACAGCAAAAGAAACTACCATCAGAGTGAACAGGCAACCTACAAAATGGGAGAAAATTTTCGCAACCTACTCATCTGACAAAGGGCCAATATCCAGAATCTACAATGAACTCAAACAAATTTACAAGAAAAAAACAAACAACCCCATCAAAAAGTGGGCAAAGGACATGAACAGACACTTCTCAAAAGAAGACATTTATGCAGCCAAAAGACACACGAAAAAATGCTCATCATCACTGGCCATCAGAGAAATGCAAATCAAAACCACAATGAGATACCATCTCACACCAGTTAGAATGGCAATCATTAAAAAGTCAGGAAACAACAGGTGCTGGAGAGGATGTGGAGAAATAGGAACACTTTTACACTGTTGGTGGGACTGTAAACTAGTTCAACCATTGTGGAAGTCACTGTGGTGATTCCTCAGGGATCTAGAACTAGAAATACCATTTGACCCAGCCATCCCATTACTGGGTATATACCCAAAGGACTATAAATCATGCTGCTATAAAGGTACATGCACACGTATGTTTATTGCGGCACTATTCACAATAGCAAAGACTTGGAACCAACCCAAATGTCCAACAATGATAGACTGGATTAAGAAAATGTGGCACATATACACCATGGAATACTATGCAGCCATAAAAAAGGATGAGTTCATGTCCTTTGTAGGGACATGGATGAAACTGGAAATCATCATTCTCAGTAAACTATCACAAGGACAAAAAACCAAACACCACGTGTTCTCACTCATAGATGGGAACTGAACAATGAGAACACATGGACACAGGAAGGGGAACATCACACTCTGGGGACTGTTGTGGGGTAGGGGGAGGAGGGAGGGATAGCATTAGGAGATATACCTAATGCTAAATGACGAGTTAATGGGTGCAGCACACCAGCATGGCACATGTATACATATGTAACTAACCTGCACATTGTGAATATGTACCCTAAAACTTAAAGTATAATAAAAAAAATTATTGAAAATCCAATAATTATATCTAATGATATTAACATATAATTACTTAATGACTTATATTTAATGATATTATATAAGCAATTAAAATTGATGAATTAAATGTTTATTTTGAAAAACAATATGTCTATTACATGTTAAAATAAATAACATATTTCAACTAACTATATATTCCAAAATTTTTAAAAAATAAGAATAAAAGGCACTATCTTACAATTTTGAAAATCTTTAAGGTCCAACCTAACAGAAAGACAGCTGGATTCTTTTTTTTTTTTTTTTTTTTTTTTTGAGACTGAGTCTCACTCTGTTGCCCGGGCTAAAGTGCAGTGGCGCGATCTCAGCTCACTGCAAGCTCTGCCTCCCGGGTTCATGCCATTCTCCTGCCTCAGCCTCCAGAGTAGCTGGGACTACAGGCGCCTGCCACGACGCCTCGCTAATTTTTTTGTATTTTTAGTAGAGACGGGGTTTCACTGTGTTAGGCAGGATGGTCTCGAGCTCTTGACCTTGTGATCCGCCCGCCTCGGCCTCCCAAAGTGCTGGGATTATAGCCGCGAGCCACTGCACCCGGCCAACAACTAGATTCTTAAATCTTCTTCTGTATTCAGCTTCATATGCATATGTAGTTGGAAAAGGCAGGAGTGTTTTACTAGCCTTTTATGATAATTGTGGATATCTTTCTTTGATTCTATACCAAAACTTGACAAGTGATAGTTTCTTAAACGTTAATTGCAATGTAGAATTTGAAGCCACTTCAATGAACTCTGTAATATTCATACTCCATAATCTGTAATGCTAAAATCCACTGGTCTGTCTTGCATTTTGAGTGGATTCCATGACATTATGTATTGCTTATTTGGAAAATAGCATTTCATTGAGTTTTGTGGATATTCCACATTGCCACATATCATTATACAATATAAAAATTACATTCATTAGTAGCACTATTGATCTCATGAGAAAAAAACATATAAGTATTACAAAGCTGTCAAGCTCACAGTGGGGATACTGCTTTTGCTTGAAATCAAACTATGGCTTAGTACAGAGGGCTAGTATAAATTCACTAAAACTCACCTGGGTGACTTTGGAACCTATTACTAGACTTTGCTTTTATATCTTCCTTCCCATTGACAAAAGCAGATGATTCAGCACTCTGACCCATTTCCTGCAAAGCCAATAGATGGTTCTATCTCTACCCCCAAGTGAAGACTACCCACTCATCTATCTTTCTGATCTGAGGATTATACCACTTCCCAGAAGACTGGAAAGATTGTGGTGATGAATGTAACAAATAAATAGATGGTTCTATCTCTACCACCAAGCAAAGACTACCCACTCATCTATCTTTCTGATCAGAAGACTGGAAAGATTGTGGTCATGAATGTAACAAATGACTTCACTCTTCATTTGAGAACCCACCCCCAACAAACAGGGAGTGGCATTTTCTCCCACAGGCCCAACCTTAAACATGTAATAATCACATAACAACAGTAGGAACAAATAGTAACAAGAGATTGTTCCGTCACACCTACCAACAGATTGAGCAGTGTTATTTATAATTTTGATCCTCCACAAAGCATAAAAACAACAGTGTTTTGGGCCAAATTTCACAGAGCCCACTATTATAGGTGAGGTCTGTGTACAAGCCAAAGTCAAGAAAGAACCGGTGCTTTGAGAGAATAAAAATGCTCTCTTTACTCCTAGGGATTTAATGCGTGGCTCTGTTACCTTGCCTGCAAGCTTTGTTTTGGGAGAATTTATAGGTGCTTATGATATACTTGTGATGTAAGGACCAAACAAAAAATAAAACAACATATTCATATTCATTTAGCAACATGAAAAACATGCAGAGAAAGAAACTCTGAACAGGCCTGAGATGGAATCTTGTAAATCAAAGGAATAATTTTTTAAAGTAAAAAAAAAAAGTTTATTAAAATCAAACAAATAAAACAACAAAATATCAAAATAAACCAAATATTTGTTTTTAAAAATCAGCAAAGTCCAGAAATGTGGATTTAAGAAAGCTTCAAGACTTTGCCTCAAATAGGTCAAAGGTCTTCACGGCAGAGTTTTTATGCTACCATAACAATCCCACCCCATTTAGCCAAATAGGAATGTGATGAGACAGTATCCTCACATTTGGGAGTACAAAGATAACCTGCAGAGTTCCTGTACTCAGGGAGCTTGAAACATAGTATTTGGAAGATGACTGGCATAACTGAAATGCGCTGTGATAAAAATATATCCGATTTATGCATAGTTAAAACAGGTAAAAGAAAACTACAAAAGTCTTTCTTGGCTACTAATCATAAACCCTTAAAAAGCATATGGCAGCTGAGAGGCCACATCCTTTGGGAGGCCTTCTGTGCCACAGCAATCCTAACACTTGACCAAGTCCCCTTCTATAGGTACCTATAGCATCCTGCACCTCTCTCTCTCATCAATTTTCAAATTTTGCTGTTACATTTGTATGTTGTCATTTGATTAGTGTCTATTAGAGTAGACTATAAGCTCCATTTAAAAATATGAATGTGAAATGTTATACATTAGGAGAGAGTTATAGAATTGTAGTTAGAACTTGGCAAACTTTTTGTAAATTTAAACACATGTTGGTTTTTTGTTTTCTTTAAATATGCCCTTTCAGTTCTATCAAAAAGTACTGCCAAGGAAAAGAGACATGTGACCAACATAACTATAAATTCCTGAGCAACAGCTATCTAAGGCTGATGCCCACTCTTTCAAATATGTTAACACTTACACTTGATATAAAGCAAATAAACAAGGAAAATTAAAAGCACATCCCACTGTCCAAAATCGTGGCAGCCATAGCCAAAAACAGAATAAAGAATCAATATCAGGAGCTTTAGAGTAAGACAGACTTGGTTTCCAATCCTAATTCAGCTAGTTTATTGTACGATCATAAGCAAATCAATTCACTTTAAGCCTCAACTTTTTGCATCTATAATATAGAAATAATAACCTTACTGACCTCATAAGAATGTTGGAAGATTTAAATAAGATGTTTCAGAAATGCTCAAAAAATATTAGTTATTATAATAAACATTGTAAACACTGATATTTAAATAAAGAAATGATAAGCCTATACTAAAACTCTATACTGAAAGATTACATTAAAATCTGTTTGCTACCAACCACTAAGTTTTTAAAAATAATGTACCATGATACTCAGAAATATGAGAATATTTTAATTATTTAATCATACAGAAAAGATTAAATGTCCACATACATGCTTTTTTGACCATTTTTGTAGTCTGTTTTTATTTTTTTACTTATTTACTATATGCTTTAATTAAATTGTCATTTTTTGATAATTATAGATTCACATCCATTGTAAGAAATAATACAAGATACTATACAATGATAATATCTTGCCAAACTACAGGACAATATTATACCCAGGATATTGACATTGATACAGTTAAGATATAGAACATTTCCATCATCAAAAGGGTCCCTCATGTTGCCTTATTACAGCCACACCCAGTTCCCTCCCACATCAACCTGTCCTTGACTCCCGGAAACCGCTAATTTTGTCACTTTCAAGAATGCTATATAAATGGAATCATATATTCTATGATTGAACAAAGAACATGTGAGATTGCCTTTTTTACTTCATAATTTGCTGGAAATTCATTCAGGTTGCTGTATCAATAGTTCATTCCTTTTCACTGCTGAGGAATATTGCATGAATGGATATACATGCTTCTTTTTTTAGCAATGTCAAGAAAATTAATAAGACAAATTTAAAACTAGATAGGTTTTTCTAAGGTCTAAAATACTTATATAGTGCCGGGTGTGGTGGCTCATGCCTGTAATCTCAGCACTTTGGGAAGCTGAGGCAGGTGGATCGCTTGAGTTCAGGAGTTGGAGAGGTCCTGGGCAAAATGGTGAAATCTCTCTACAAAAAATACAAAAATTAGCTACGCATGGTGGTGTGCACCTACTTAGGAGGCTGAGGTGGGAGGATCACTTGGGCCCAGGAGGTCAAGGCTACAGTGAGCCATGATTGCGCCACTGCACTCCAGCATGGGAAATAGAGAGAGACCCTATAAATAAAACAAAAAATTAAAAATTAAATAATGATATTGGGGAAAAATGGATCTGCACCTATTTATTACAAAACATGCTTCAGTTAAAATATGGATTTATCTTTGGCAGACCATAATATTATAGAACAAGTTATTAATGTCATCTGGATAATTCGACGGGCTTGAGGAAAGAGCTCAGCAATAAGGAATGTTCAAGACAGAATAGAAGAAATCATTTGATAATGGTAAAAGTAAGGAACTCAATTGAGAGCAGGTAGAGGGGTTTCTTTTCTATCTCTTTCCCTCATATTCTTGCCCCACTCCTTCCTCTTGGCGCTAATTAAGAACTAGATGACTTCTTTATACTACATATATGGAAATGAATTTGAAAGCCGAAATTATCCTCTATTTTAGTATCCCTAGGGCTTCCAGTCTCCCCTGTCTTTTTAAAAAAGCTTTATTGAGGAATAATTCACATACTACATGATTTATCCATTTAATTCACATTACTTTGTCCCAGGAAAAGCCAAATAATTAAAGGTGTTTGGTAGTTTGTAGGAGACAAGCAATTTCAGTTTAATACATTGTTTCCATGCTCCTCTATATTAAAAAGTAACAGCTGCAGAAAACAACATGACAGCAGGCAGAATCTTGCCAGTGATTGGAAATGGGTCATCTAAATATTCTTTATTTTGCTTTATAATATGAAATCAATACATTTTAGAAAATTCATTTAGAGAATTCAGAAAATGATAAAAAGGAATATATATTTATCTACCAGAGATAACGTCTCAAGTTGTATTTTTTAATTCTATCTTTGTTTTCTGTTTGTGAGTGTGTATGCATGACTGTGTGTGGTCATATCTCTTTCTGTAATGAATATAATCGAATACAAATGTTTTTTAAAATATAATTTCATTGCATCTATAGAATTCCTATAGATATACACCATCATCCATCACCCATTAAATGTTCCAACACTGTTGAATGTTTAGAGTGTTTCCACTTTTTGCGATCATAAATAAATTTATAACAGATACCTTTGTATGTTATCTCTGTAAGCCTCAATATGATTCTTTAGGATAAATTTCTAAAGGTAGTATTTTGGGAACCGAGATAATGTTAGTTAACAAGCTTGTCTCCCAAAAAAGTTTTAAAAAATATTTATTTGTATTTGTAGAAATTTACTTATGTTTACTATCTAATTCTGTAGCTAGGCTGCAGTAAAACTAACGCCATTTCCCGAGTTCTTTCCAAACTGCTCAAAACCCTTTGCAGAGCTTCCACTATAACGTCATAAAATTTATCATTAAGTAGAGGAGGGGGAACCCCTTCAAATGTTTTTTTATTCAAGAGAAGTAAATTTGGGGGTGGTATCTTAGTGACCTACAAGAATGTATGTTACTCTTAGTACACATGGAGGGATTCTCACTCCTTTTGATATGGTGCACCACATTATTTTTAAGTATATCCTGACCAACTACCCTGGGAAGGATGTATATGGTAATGTGGATTTGGGAGTGTATGTGTCTGTGTATTTTACAGAGACAAGGAATCTTTCTGACTTTTGTTAAAATAAATATTAAGCAGGAATTATGAAACACATAATAGAAACTCAACAAAAACATTACTGCAATGCACTTGCCCCTTTTTACAATGTAATATCTGATTCTTATATTGATTATTATCTTCATCTGAAAGGCACATATTAATAAAATTCTAAGTGAATTGCCTGCAATCTGCACACTCAGAGAAAAACTATGAGTTATTTGAATTTGTTCCAACCACAATCATAAAGCCCACACTTCTGCACAGTACTCGTTAATTCTCACATTTTGTAACAAAGGTAAGTCATTTTTAAAATGAGCAATTATGAATTAAACAAAAATAAATGTGGGGGAAATGTGCTTCAGTAAAAGACAGATCCAGAAGCCTTTTTTTTTTTTAAAATTATACTTTAACTTCTAGGGTACATGTGCACAATATGCAGGTTTGTTACATAGGTATACATGGGCCATTTTGGTTTGCTGCACCCATTAACTTGTCATTTATATTAGGTATATATCTCCTAATGCTATCTCTCCCTCTGCCCCCCCAAACTACGACAGGCCTGGGGGTGTGATGTTCCCCACCCTGTGTCCAAGTGTTCTCATTGTTCAGTTCCCACCTATGAGTGAGAACATGCAGTGTTTGGTTTTCTGTCCTTGTGACAGTTTGCTCAGAATGACGGTTTCCAGCTGCATCCATGTCCTTGCAAAGGACATGAACTCATCCTTTTCTGTGGCTGCATAGTATTCCATGGTGTATATGTGCCACATTTTCTTAATCCAGTCTATCACTGATGGACATTGGGGTTGGTTCCAAGTTTTTGCTATTGTGAATAGTGCCACAATGAACATACATGTGCATGTGTCTTTATAGTAGCATGATTTATAAGCCTTTGGGTGTATACCCAGTAATGGGATCGCTGGGTCAAATGGTATTTCTAGTTCTAGATCCTTGAGGAACCACCATACTGTCTTCCACAATGGTTGAACTAGTTTACACTCCCAACAATGTAAACGTGTTCCTATTTCTCCACATCCTCTCCAGCATCTGTTGTTTCCTGACTTTTTAACGATCGCCATTCTAACTGGCGTGAGATGGTATCTCATTGTGGTTTTGATTTGCACTTCTCTGATGACCAATAACGATGAGCATTTTTTCTTGTGTTTGTTGGCTGCATAAATGTCTTCTTTTGAGAACTGTCTGTTCATATCCTTTGCCCACTTTTTGATGGGGTTGTTTTTTTCTTGTAACTTTGTTTAAGTTTCTTGTAGATTCTGGATATTAGCCCTTTGTCAGATGGGTAGATTGCAAAAATTTTCTCCCATTCTGTAGGTTGCCTGTTCATTCTGATGACAGTGTCTTTCGCTGTGCAGAAGCTCTTTAATTAGATCCCATTTGTCTCTTTTGGCTTTTGTTGCCATTGCTTTTGATGTTTTAGTCATGAAGTCCTTGCCCATGCCTATGTCCTGAATGGTATTGCCTAGGTTTTCTTCTAGGGTTTTTATGGTTTCAGTCTAACATTTATGTCTTTAACTACATAAATGAGTAAAAAGAAAGGACTTTCATAGAAAGTTGCCTTAGAACGCACCACAGATATATACCAATACACATTCCTTCCTTCTCAGAACTGCTCTATTTCAGAACCAAAGCCACACCTAAAGCAGGTAACCAGGTGCTCCGTCAGAGTCTCCATAGTACATTTCAAACACCACCTCTGTATGGATTATTACATAAGCACTGACATGTAACATTTTGATCACTACATTTTTTAAATATCAATTTTCCTAGGTATTAATTAGATATGCTGATGCTATTAAAATGACACAATTAATAATGACTATAGATCTAATAAAATTGTTTCACTTTCTGATAGTCAACACATTGTCTGCAACAGACATTCAGTAACACCATGCTCTGAATACACCATTGGAATGACGACTTCACCTACAGAAAGGCTTATATTCCTACCCACAGTAGAAAGTAAAGCAATGGTATTTTCTAGTTTTTTCATTGAAGACAGTAATTTCTCAGTTAATTCTTTGCCTCTCCCCTACCTTTTTTTGAACTCTGCAGGTGCAAGCTCTGAGTCAGTGGTGCTGATGCAATGCCATATTAAGCTTTCATGAAGTGGAACAGTCCCAAACAAGGTATGAAAGAGAATCTAAGGCTGAATGAGTCCTGAAAGGATCATCTTCCCCTATGAAGAGCTTCCTTACCTTCTAGGAAAAAAGCTTAAACCAAGATCAAGATAAGCACTTGACTTCTTCTTTTTTTTCAGACAGAGTCTGTCTCTGTCACCCAGGCAGGAGTGCAGTGATGCGATCTCAGCTCACTGCCACAGCCTCTAAAGTAGCTGAGATTACAGGTGTGCACCACCACGCCCAGCTAATTTTTGTATTTTTAGTGAAGACTGGGTTTTACCATGTTGGTCAGGCTGGTGTTGAACTCCTGACCTCAAATGATCTGCCCACCTTGGCCTCCCAAAGTGTTGGGATTATAGGCTTGAGCCACCGTGCCTAACCGGTTAAGCACTTGACTTCTAAAGAAAGGAATTCATTCATTGAACAGGGAGTTTTCTAGTCCTAAAAGCAAGGTTCTTCACCAGGTACAAGAAACACAAATATAAATAAGACATGGTCCTGGCTGCTGGAGGTCACAGAACAGTGGATTTCACTCCAGTGCTGTCCCACTATAATTCTTACTATTCCCTACTCATCACATATGTCATGTAGATCCTTTCTTTGTATTTCCTTTCTCCTTCTCCTCTTTATTATTTTGTTATACTTCACAATATGATTGAGAGAGGACTTTTATCCTTTATACGAAAGCACCCTTGTCATCCCATGTTACCACAACATATTTAAATTTTACAAAATGTAAAGGCATATTTTATGCCTGATATGGGTGTTATTAAACCACTTTTTTACAACTATAAAGTACAACTTCATATAATCCCATAAAAGTAAGGTTTATTTAAAAAAAAACCTAAAAAGAGATAAATCCACTGAAAGTATAGTGGGGAAAAATGCCTTATACCTCCTCCTCAGTGTAACTTCAGATAGCATTTATTGGAGTCTCTTGATGAAGTGAGTGATAATATTCATGGGACATATCCAAAAAGGCACATAAAAGTTAAAATATGATTTTTAATCATCTACTGACACACTAGGAAAAATATATGTGCGTTACGCACCACTCTCTATTAGATATGTGAAGCCTATCCTGTTTTTCATGCAGAGATAATCATTTACTGGCATGACTGAGCTAGAGACAGAAAGCTTTCAATCCATACTAGCAATGTAGACCCTGGCGTGTCATAAGTTGCCTTGACCTGAGCCCCAGGGAAGTTGAATGGATACCACAAGTGTGAAGGAATAAAGGACAAGGTGAGACCATAGAGAATACACTGGATGGCTAGAAAAAACTAGCGAGCACATCCATTGCATGTAGAACTTTCGTTTTCAGGTCCTAGTTTTTAAAGAATAACAGTGAATAAGTCAATAGATGTTTCAAGCAAAATTTAGGCAATCTAGTTTAGAAATCAAAAAATCAAGCCATAAGGAATTGAGAAAACAATTTATTTGTGTTTTAGAAAGCATTAACATAATCAAATAATGGACATGGGAAATCCAGAGTTACTAAAACCAGGCTGTTGGTCACAGAAAAAAGTGCTGTGAAGATATAATAGGCTGTGAGCAATAAAACTGTAAAAATCAGATCAAGCTGGTAACCTGGACAAGTCAGATAATAGAAATTAACTGAGCATTAGATGGTCACAATAAATCCAGTATGCAAAGACTACAAATGCAAGCAAAAACAAAAAATTCTGCCTGCTGGGAACATTTATTAAAGAAGTTTACATTACATTAAAGAAGTTTAAATTTAATCTTTTACATGTAAAAAATTAAACATTTATGAAGTAAAGTCCATCATTTTATTTTTAGGACACAATTTTGTCTCCACTATATGGCACATTTTGGTTTATCAAATACATTCTCTCATGTTACTCAAACAATGCTTTCAAGCCGATAAAGGTCGGGGTAACAAAAGAACAACAGGTATGAAACAACAAAGCTTCATAAAAATACCAGTTTTTTTCTTATACGATCAATTGAAGTAGATGCTGGAATAAGAATAGGCTATCTTTCATTGGCACTAGGTATACAGAAGCAAGAAGGCAATGTTATAGAAGTAACCATATCAACCAACACACTTCAAAGATGTCTGAAATAGAAATTCAGTCCATGCACTATAAACAGACTTATTCTAGATGGTTTTATCCATGAATTCGTGTCCAATATCCCTGATATTAATGACTTCCAAAATTATCACTCCAGAACAGAGCTCTCTCCCAAACCCCACACCCACATATCTCAACCCTCTCCTGGACTTTTCCACCTGAATATAACACCTAGTGTCATCAACTCAACACATTCACATTGAATTAATTATCTCCTCCCACTCACTCATCTTTACTTCTCTCAAACTTTGCTTCCTTTCTATATACCTTCCTTGTTAATGGCAACACCATATACTTAGTCTCTAAAGCCAGTAAGCCTTTCTAGTCTACTTCCTGTTTTTCCTTCTCACTTTCATCTACTCCTGTATTAGTGTAGAACTACATCAATGCTACTTCCAGTTTTATCCCTGCACAGGGGCTATCCAAGTGATCTTTCTAAAATTCAAATATGATGTTATTTCAGTGCTTCTAATTATTTAAAGGTTGCCTATGACCTACAGGATAAAATTAAAATTTCTTAATTTATTATGATATCTGGTTTTTCCTAAATGTTATGCTTCATCTTTCACAACTCACAGACAGGCACCTGTCATTTTGAAAGAGTAAATATTTTCTTTGCTATATGCATAGCATTTTATAGCTCTAAGCTGCCAGAAGTCTCATTGCCTTTTATTCTGCCTAGTGAATTTCTGTTCATTCTGTGGGATGAAACCCGACTCATTCATGTACTTTTCAGAGTCAGAGGAAAAGAGCTATTACTTCCTCTCCAATGATGCTCTCTCTCTCTGTTTTTATTTTTCAATCTATCTGTGTCTCTTACACACGTAAACACACACACACACACACACACACTGTCTCCTTTTCTAAACAGATAGACATGTACATATACATACATACATGTATCTAATATTGCACTAGCAAGCTGTATTACACTAATTTGTTTGCACATCTTTCTCCTCCACTAGTGTCTGGACTTCTCAAGAGCTGAACCAAGTTTATATATATATATTTTTCTAATGCCTGCTATATGGCTTAATATGTACCAGTGGCAAAATTAGTGTTTGCTGGATGGATGAATGAATGAGTCTCCAAGAAAATATGTATAAACTTAAACATTACAGAACTGTTCATAATAGCAATATATTGGAAATAGCATACATATTCATCAACAGAAAATGGATACTCAGCAATTGAGTATTATAGAAATAGTGCTACATCTATTAGCATGGGCAAACTTGAAAGTCATAGCATTAGTCAAAACAAAGCAAGTTATAGAAATATAAAACAGGTAGATTGAAAATATACATAATATTCACATCTGTCAAATTTAGGTATTGATAACATAAGTGTTAACGTTTTAATTAACATTATTCTTATACACTTTTGGGTATATTTAAGTATTTCCTAACATAAACCTTTTAAAGACCTGGACATAAAAATATAACAAAGTGATAATATCAAAGGCTACAGACATAACTTGAAAGGAAGAACCTCACTTCTTCCCAAGCCCATGATATACATGCATGGACCCAAATAGAATTAAGTTTAAATGATGTATCATTTGACCATCTAAAGTATATTTCCAAGGAAGTCTGTGATTCTCCACAGTGAAGAAAGATCTTTGATATAAATTGTTCTTTACTGAAGCTTTTTTGGATATTGCTATCAATGCTTGTTTTACTCATGAAAAATCAGAAATAGTACATATATATGTGTTGAGAGAAGAGCCTCAAAAGAAAAAAAATCAACCTCAGCTAACCATGTACTAATACCATAGATTGAAAAAACCTAGAGATGAAAAGATTCCCCCTTTTCAAAAGTCCCTGTAATTAGAACAAGTTGAGGAGAAAAACACAAGGGTCTCAGTCAAATGAAGAAAAAAAAATAAAACTTTGTGATGGTTCTGAGGTGATCGATCTTGGAAAAATGTTTTTGCTTATTTGAGGCTAACGAGCAAGGAAACATATAAAAGTTTGTACATGTTTTTGTACAGTCTATATTACCAAAGTATTAGAAAGTTAAAGTCTTTTCATAATAGATAATAAATTTTCATATATTTTCATTTAAAACATGTTGTAATTTTAGTGATTGGCTCACCACACAATAGGAGCTCACCACACAATAGGAGAATGAAGGGAAGGGAAACTACCTTCACTTAGTAGCCATTATGTGCTAAGGATGTAATTCTCATGACAGTTTATAAACACTAGTATTACTACCTCCATTTTGCGATAGCTGAAAATAAAGCCCAGAGAGTTAGATGTGATTTTTAAAGTTAAAATTGAATTTAAAACCAAACCCTCTTTACTTTAAAGACCACGTTTCTTTTGATACTACACCCCACTTCATATTTGAGTCCCCTTCCCCACACACTAGGCTTCTATCTTCTCTTGTGGAAAGATAAGGATCTAAAGCTTCATAGTATACTGATTGGTAATGGTAACAGGCCTGGAGAATGGGTTACAAACGAGACACAGCTATCTCCTCTCTCTGTTAAAACTTTACATAAATGCACAGGTAAGGTATGAAATATGCTTTAATATTAAACACACGTGTAAGCCTTTATTATACACCAAGCTTAAATGTTCATTTGTTTTTAGAATATAAGTAATAATTACTAAGAAAATAAACTTAAGACCAATACGATAAATATTATGGGTTACGATGCAAATAATCTAAGATGTTTACAGCTGTTTGCTGCATTATTCATAACAGTAAAACTCAGGGAACTATCTAAATGTCCAATAGTCAAGAACTGAATAAATAAAATTTAGTATATCCATAGCACTCAATACTATAGAGTCATTAGAAGTCTGTTTTGGAAGAAAGCATTTTATGAAGAAGCACGTACATGGTGTAGAGCTGCTAAATACAAATAGTATATACAAGGCAAAAGAATTGTTTAAATATTTAGATCTATGTATAAATATAAAACAGTACAAGGTCAAACATCAAATTGTTTACCTTATTTCACTTTGGTTGGGATTAAGGTTCTTTCCCTCCCTCTCTATTGTCCAAGTTTTCTAAGTTTTTGCAGTAAGGATGTATTACTGACACCAAGAAAAATATCAGTAGTCAGGCTGCCCTCTCAGGTATTGACAAAGCTCACTGCAGGCCAGGGAAGCTTTGCTTACTTAGTAACTTAGGCTTTGGGCATGGGTTGTGAGGGCCAGAATAGCCTGAGGTGGGAAGATGAGGTAGAAACAGAGAGAGAGGGAGACTGGGACGGTGGATAAAGGCCTGAGAGAAAAAAATCCCTTTCATCTAAGTGCCTCGGCCTTCCCTATCTCCCCTCTCAAAGTCAGGTTGTTCCAAAGGAGGGAGAGGCAATAAGGAATTCATCCAGGGAACAACATAATACACATCTATGAACAAGTGCTGATGTCATCCTGAGAAGGCATACATCTTAAGTATAAAAATAAAGTTTCCATAAAGTTGGTCCCTCATGTGTAAGTCACTTCTTAATTTATTTATGCTTATAAGAACTACTCTACTCTGATACTGTATTAGTATCAAAAGCAACCAAGAAGTATATTCTTTTAGTTATGCTAAGTTGTAGCTTAATAATCAACTGATTTATCATTTCTAAATTGTTTAAATATTCACATGCAATGCCTAACATAGAATACATTAACACATAACACTTATTGAATATTTGCAATATACTGGGCACTGTGCTATGCTCTTTACATGGATTGGCTAGCTTGATTACACTATGCAAAAGGTTTTTTTTTGAGAAGTGTTAAATATTCTTTATTTGGTATTACACATAAACCACACTAAAATGCCTTTCAATAAGTAAAAGGCATCATTTTAGATATGGGAAATTCTACTTAGATCAGCATAGTTAAGATCAAAAATATAAAGTAGACATCGCTATGAAAGGTTACTTTTATTATTATCATTTAAATCACATCAATGAACAGATTGAGATTCAGAAATGAGACCAAGCTCACAATCAGCAAGTCTCAGAGCTGGAATTTAAATCCTGGAATTCTTACTTTAGAAAGGCCTGTGCATTTTCACTACTCTGTACCATGAAAATAATGACAACTTTTAGGAAGGAGGGAAGGAACCCTTAAGTGGAGTAGCAGAGGCTAGCAAAAGAGGACAAGCTGGACAATAACAAATAAGAAATGAGATATGGAAAGGACTATAGTATGAGTGAAGCCATGAAATGTGCTGGCATCACTCAGGAAGCACTCAGGGCCGTAAGTGAGCAAGTTGTACTCCCGGGTTGCATGAGCTGTGGGGATGGTGGAGCTATTTCCTTGCCCCACCCCTTGGAACTTCTCCATGTCCTGGTTTCCTGAAAATTACGAACCCTGTTTCAAGGAGGAGGAAATACACCCGGGGGAAAACCCTATTGAGCCCTAGGATAATGTTTGATGGGAGTGTTTCTAAGACTTGATAATATGATTGGAGAAGTGGTGAAAGGAAATTCGTTGGTCACTTTGTACTTTATGACAAGTAAGTATGAATATTCTGAGTTACTAAATTGCCCATTTATCCTGTTTTATATCATGGTATCTGTCATTAAAAGTGTTGCAATAGACACTCTAAAGTTACAACTGTGAAGGTTCATTCGTCATGCTGGAAGGGATGGCTTAGTGGCCAAAAATGCCAGCTTTCACCACCGTGACACTGCATCCAGAGCTTGACATGCAAGTGGCATTGACTCAGCAGCTCATTTCCTGAATATAGTTTCAGAGTTTACTCAGATGGGTGGAGGGTAATGTGGACAATGTCTAAAAAAACTTGCCTATCCTGCTGAATAATGAAGATTCCTAGAATTTTACAGACTTAGGATAGCCTACAGTTTCCTTAAAGCAGATACGAGAAAGCCCAATGATCTCCAACATGATCTTAGAATTGATACTGGCTAGCTTTCCCTTCTTTATCAGTAGCTTGTGCAAAGCTGATTTAGCCTTTCCCTAAACTGCTCCTCCCCTTTCAACCATCCAGTACTCTTACTGTTCTTTAGATGTAATAGTCTCCTTACTCTTTCTTCACCTTTCCCATAATTTCTTTTTTTCTTTTTTCTTTTTTTTTTTTTTCTGAGACAGAGTCTTGCTCTGTTGCCCAGGCTGGAGTGCAGTGGTGTGATCTCGGCTCACTGCAACCTCCGCCTCCCGGGTTCAAGTGATTCTCCTGCCTCAGCCTCTTGAGTAGCTGGGATTACAGGCACCCACCACCACACCTGGCTAATTTTTGTATTTTTAGTAGAGACAGGGTTTCACCATGTTGGACAGGCTGGTCTCAAACTCCTGACCACAGGTGATCCACCCACCTGAGCCTCCCAAAGTGCTAGGATTACAGATGTAAGCCACTGCACCCGGCCACCTTTCCCATCATTTCTTAATCTTAACATTTACACCTAAATCACTCCATTCATACACTTAATGACATGAACTACTCTTTCATGAATAAATATTTCACTTTTTATTGCTTTAGCAACTACTTTATGATGACAAACTGGAATAATTTGGTAGTTCCCAAAAATAATGCTACAGTGTGTAAATCCAACAACTAGAATAATTCCATCTTAAAAAATTAGATTATATCGGCTAAATATGTATCAATTTGAAAAAGTTCTTATTGTAGTTATAATCTCAAAATCAACACAGCTCACATTTACTGGGCAACCACTATGTGTTAGATATTGTTCTAAGCACTTACCTAGCAAGCTTAAAAAAAAATACCACGCCTTTACCTGCTGTAGTCTAATGAAGATAACAACTATAAACAGGTACTATGTGCTATAACCATGGTACATTAAAGTACTCTAGAAACTTGTTAACTCTCTCTGTGAACTCAGAGATTTGGCTTTGAGTAGGGACTTGAAGCTACTTACTTCTAATTGCATAGTGTGACAGGGTCTGATTCTGCAGATCTAAGCTTCTAACTGAGTCTAAATCTCAATTTTGGGGGCAATTTTAAAAAGGTGAGTGATATATAAGCCAGTAGGAGTAGTACTATGAGAAACTGGAGGGATGACATTAATATTAAATAAGCTAATATTCATGTCTCAGGATCTTCACACAGGATTTCCTCTTTTACTTTCTTCAAGCTTGTGTCAAGATTTCATTACCACATTCTTCACTCTCATCTCTCAGACATTATCATTCTTTCTGATATATATCACGCAATCCTCCTCCTTCTACCCTGAGTTCTCCTAGATGAGGTTGTTTCCATATATGCTGACATTCTCATTATGACAGTGATCTAGCCCTCCCCGTTCTGGCTACCTCTGCCATTAGATCACTATTTCCTTTAAATACCCACTGCTATTTGTATTTGTTTAGTTCCCACACACAATGCATGATATGGTCATTCTGGCAATACTTTATTCCTATTGTCTGGTTATATGGGATTTATTTTTTATATTCACTCACATTCTTTCTATAATTTATAAATGCCTACATGTTTTATCCCTAACTTCTCCAGGTGATTATTAATTAACTGGAAATGTAGCAATCTTTAGTTGTTTCTTATAAATTCTCAATTTTCTTCCCCTAAATTTCCCATTGGCTAAATATTTATTTCTTCAAGAAGACTGCAGAACTACATACAAATCTGTCTTCTACATTCAACATACTTTTGTATTTAGTAAGAGGCATTAAAGGTGAAATAAAAAAGCAAGGAACAGGACTTCTTCCCACTGTCTTTGTTTAAAATGTCTTCTAACTAGTATTAGCATGGTGTATGGCCAACTTGGCTACATCTGAAGTAGCTGCTCACCTGACTGGCGCCCTCTGGTGGTAAGAAAATACCCTCAGCGGGATGCTTGTGGGACAGCCTCAACACCCACCACACCTAAAGCTTGAGTACCTCCTGGCTCCTGTCTTGTTTATTTTATATAGGCTTGAGTCTTCCTTGTCCTTCTGTTCCTTTATTTTCCTTTTCTTTTTCTTTTCCTGTCTTCTTTTTAAATATCTGTACTCAAGGCTGATTTAGGCCTTTACAAAGAAAGCTAGAGAGGATAAACTCAAGGAGGACAACAGTGTTGGCATTATGGCATAAGCTTTGACTTAGTTACAAGAGAATATCAGTGTTTCTTGCAAGTGGATTGTGATCACCCATGTGCCATTTGTCATAATAATAAAACAAACCACGAGTAGGAAGGCATGATGAGAGATTTTCCTCCACTAGAATAAAATACTCATTCAATATAATATTTGATAAATGTTATCTAAGGACAATAGTCAAATATTCTGTACAAGCTGTTAACATTAGTCAAATAATACCTTTTAAGGATAATGTAAACTTCATTCTTCCTAAGGTTAGAAACGGACAAAGATGAGCATTCAAATTCCTCTTTATTCAACAAATTCTGTGTCTTGTGTGTGAACAGAAGTGTCTCTAAAAAGAAGTCAGTATAATACTTATCTGCCATGAAGGTATCAGTGGCTGAAGCAGTATTTCACTTAATGCTGATCTGTGGTCTGAAAAAGTTTACTAACTCTCTAAACATGCCTGACTTCTGTCAATGCAGTTCAAAAATTTGCATTTGATATCACCCAAATGTAATTTTTTGGAAAAACAGGCAATGTGGTATGGTTATCTGTACCAGCTTACTGATTTTTTTTCTGGGAAAAAGAACATTTCTATTTTTACTCTATGAGGAGCCAACTACTGTTCCTGCAGTCATGTATATGTTCTAGGTTCCAGAAAAGGGCCTATAGAAGAATCAGATATTTTATTAAATTTGATTGAAACTATGTGTTCAAATACAAAACAAATTAGAGCAAAATCTAGACCCATTAAATGAAATTGCAATACCTCTCCTCTCTGTTTCTACTTTTACACCTCTAAAGTCAGTTTTTGACACAACTGCAGACATGAGGTCTGATATGTTTTTAAAGGTGTGATCAGTCCTTTAAAACCTAAGTCAGACCATGTTGATCTGCTGTCAGCCATTCTTGGCTTATATCAAAATCCTAACCATGGCCGACAACGTCCTTCATGAGTTAACCCTGGCTACCTTCCCAACAACATTTCTTACTAGTATCCTCATAATTTATTAATATTTTATTAAAATCAGAGTAATATAATAAGCCGTCAAAGACCTGTGTTCTGGAATACATCAAGCATGCTCCTGCCTAAGGACTTTGGTATCTGCTGTTTCCTCTGCTCGGGATGCTCTTCCCCCAGGAATGGTTCTTGATTTGTGCCTTTACTTCATACAGATCTGCTTCTGTCGGTATCTCCATGGGAAACAGAATCCACCCCATATAGTAATGAAATAATTTTTACAGCGATATATTCAGGCTAAGATAAAAACAAAAGCTGTTGCAGCTCTTAGAGATTAGAAACTGGAGGAAGCTTGTACCATTCCTAGGTCTGTAGGGGTGAGGAAATGGTGTTACTGCAGCCCAGTGAGAGCCTTAGCTGTCGGGGAAAGGATGCTGAGCAAAAGCTATCGATGCAGGAGGAAGAGAAAGACAGTAGAAGTGGAAAAGAGTAGAGAAGAAACACCATGACTTGACATTTCTCTTCTTCTCCTTCAGATATCCTACTAGTGCCAAACCTTGCTGGGAGCCAGTGTCAGAGGAACACAGGTGAGGCCATCTTCATTAGTCAGCCTCTCAGGGCCAGACCAGGGCAGGGAAGGGCAGACACTGGGGCTGGTGGACAAATGGAGAATGGCCAGGACAAGAACTCTACTCAAAAGGTCACCTCCCAAGAAAGATCTTCACCAATCAATCAATCTAAAACAGTATCCCCAAAACACTATTCCTTCATCCAGTTTCATTATAGCACTTATCATTATCTGGCATTATATTTTACTGTTTATTTGCTCTCTCTCCCACTAAGATGTAAGTTCTACGAGGGCTGGCATTTCATCATTTGTATCCATTGCTGTATTCCTAAAATTTAAAACAGATACTGCTGCATAGGAAGGGTCCAATATTTATTGAATAAATAATATTCAATTGAATGAATTTAGTATTCAATTGAATGAATTTAGTACTATCTTTGCTATTCAAAAGTACACGTTTAATTAAAATCAGAGTAAATGATAAACTCTCAAATATCTGTAAGTGAATTATCCATACACAAGCCCCATATTCCAGCCTTTTCTATGTTCTAAAATATCTTTCTTGTTAACTTACCCTGTAGGAAAACACAAACAAATTTAAAGAAATTTAATCTTATGAAATATAATAAGTATACATATACATATATTCCATAAAGCTTTCTTTTGTATATTAAAATAGAGAATTAAAGAGTCTCATCATTGAAGGAAGTATTAAAACACAATGAACCCAACCTAGTACTCAGTAGACAGACATTCTCTGCAATGGTCCTTTAAATGGTAGGGAGTAAAGAAAGAATGTGATTCCTTCCCCAAAGAACATATGCTCAAAATAATTACAACTGTTTACATGCATTTTTAGCTATGTTGTTTAATTTATTGAAATATTTTGATAATGTTGAAAGGGGATTTTTTTTTTGTCAACCAAAATGGGGCAAAATCCAATAAACGTTGACAAATAATGCTCTATGAAATGCCACTTATGTTTTTATCTATTTTGCTAATCACTGTAGTGATAAGGAACTTACTATCTCAAGAACTGGTGACTTTGAGGCAGCTTTTATTATTATAAAAGTTTGGGCTTGGGTTTTTTCTTTATGTTAAAAAAAAAGTTGTTGTATCTCTTTAGGTCATACTTTCTTCCAGACCAAACATCCTCAGTTCATCAGACCAAATTTCATATGTCATCTTTTTTGGAAAGATTCTTATCCTAGATACTCTCCTTTGGACATGGTCTCATCCATCAACTTTTCCCCTAAAGTCTAGACTTCAGAACATAATTCTTCAGCCTGGCTGTGTTTAGGGCAGCATAGTGACTATCTTTTCCCCTCACCTGAACATTCTATGTTCCTTGATACAACTTGAAAATACAAGTTTTATTGTTCTCCATAGCTACAATGTATTATTTACCTGCACCAACCTTTTTCCGTAAATGCTGTTAAACCATGTTCGTCAAAGCAATTAGCAAAGTGCACATTGTTCTTGTGCTTAATCTGTCATCCCAAAAGCTGTTTGGGTTTTCCATAATGAAGTAACAAATGCTAACATAGGCACAATGGACTGATATAATGATTGCCAAGAGACAGAATCCAATCAACAGAAGTTAGTCATACATAAAGCTAACTCTCTCAAAAAGCTTTCAAACATGTCAGCATTTAGGGCAGGAATTATTCTGCTGATGACATTCCAAAAAATAACAGTCACTAAGGACTTACCTGCAGCAACTATGATAATATCTGCCAGCTGCGTATGAATCTTCAGTTGCTCTTTGGGGGTGTATCTGTGAGCTATTGTCACAGTTGCATCACCTGGAATACAGAAGAATTTCTATCAGTGATTACTGAACTTTTAAAAATTTTATAAATGCTCTAAATCCAGAAGAGTTTCACTTATTTCCTAAGAATAGAAAGGCTACTTTGACATGACTAAATCACTTTGAGCACAAAAGCTATACAAGAAAACCAAGAGGAACCAAAATATTGTACCCTTCAATTAAATGAAAGGAAAATCAATGAGACCAAATTAGGGTAAGTGCCGATCATCACAGGAGAGCTATAAGTAGAGTCCCTGAAATACAGAATTTGAAAATTCTGTGTTGACTGCTTAATACATTAGTATACAGGATACTCATTGTCTTCATAATGACAAGCAAACAAATAATAAAAGCAATAAGGTAAGTGAACAAAAAATGGGACAATATATTGTGGGAGCATAACTGAGAGATTAATTCTGTCTTGAGAAGGTGTCTAGGAGGGATTCCTAAAGGAGGAAATACATTTTTTTAGGTCTTAATGCATGAGCAGAAGTGTTCTAATCAGGTAAGGAAGAAAAAGGCATTCCAAGCTAAAAGAATAGCAGGAAAAAACTAACCAACTTTGAAAGTGGGTATTTGGAAAATAGCAAAATTTTTTTGTCACAGGTTATGGTACATCACAGGAAGATTTTATATGAAAGCCTTAAGGGAGGGTTGAAAGAACAAGAGAGGCAAGAGATTCCAATATTTAAAGTGTGAGCCATGAAAGGAGAGTGAGGGAAAGTTGGTGATAAAGTGCAGTCAAGAGGATTTCTGGTAAGAATACGGCTAAGACTGCATCTTGTCTTCTCCTGGAAGATGTGCAAATGTTACACAGTTAACCAAAACAACAAAAGTTACATGATCACCATTTTTAGAAAAACTGGAAGACCTAATTTCTACAGACTCCAAAAACATGTTAAGAGTTACCAAAAGCAGCAATTAGTAGATACCATACAGGGAGAAAGGCAGCAAAGAAATGCGGAGAATGACAACATGGCCGGCAGCGGCAGATCTCTGAAATTGACTGCAAAAATACACTTCTGTGAAAAGTTTATCCCAAAGTGCAAAAAAATATAGCTTTCCTAATTGGGGCAGTGAGAATAGAAATAAAGGCAGAAGAGCCTTCCGGGACCCAGTATAGTTTAGAGTGGGTGGGAACACACTTACATAGAGGGGCTATTTTAGAAGAAAGCAATCTGACTCTGTGAAAGTAATAAAGGAGTCAGAAGGCTGCACAGGACCTCCTCTAACCCCCAGCAGAAGTGTCCTGTAAACAGTAGATCTAAAAAATCCAACTCATTCAATGATGAGTAATAAAAATGGATGTGACACAGCATCAATAAAAGGATATTATGCAAGAGCAAACCCAGGGGAATTTGGGGAGTGATGAAGCTGTTCTGATTCTAGTGGTGTTAGACTAATTAACTTAATAGATGACTACATGCATTTGTCTAAATTAATGAAACTGCACACCAAAAAGAGTAAATTTTACCATATGCAAATTTTTAAAAATTCAATAGAAAGATACATTTAAAAAGTGTCAGAACCAAAACAAAAGGCAAAACAAAGGCAAAAAAAATTTAAGAACTTAGCAATGTACCAATAAACTCAACAAAAAATGTCATGGAAAAGTTGAACATTATGACCAAATATTATACAAAAATATTTATTTATTTTTATTTGTTTTTAAGTTTTATTTTAAGTTCAAGGGTACATGTGCAGGTTTGCTATATAGGTAAGCTCATGTCACGAGGGTTTATTGTACAGATTATTTCATCACTTAAGTATGAAGCCTAGTACCCATTAATTAGTTTTCCTAATTCCCTCCCTCCTCCCAACCTCCACCCACCGGTAAGCTTCAGTGTCTGTTGTTCCCCTCTCTGTGTCCATTTGCCCTCATCATTTAGCTCCTACTTATAAGTGAGAGCATGCAGTATTTGGATTTCTGTTCCTGTATTAATTTGCTAAAGATAATGGCCTCCAGCTCCATGTTCCTGTAAAGGATGTGATCTCATTCTTTTTTATAGCTGCATAGTATTCCATGGTGTGTGTATGTGTGTGTGTGTATGTAGTGTGTGTGTATATATACACACACACACCACATTTTCTTTATCTAGTCTACCATTAATGGGCATTTAGGTTGATTTCATATCTTTGTGACTGTGAATAGTGCTGCAATGAACGTTTGCATGTGTCTATGATAGAACAATTTATATTCCTTTGGGTGTATACCCAGTAATGGGATTGCTGGGTCGAATGGCAGCTCTGTTTTTAGGTCTCTGAGGAATTACCCTGCTGTTTTCCACAATGGTTGAACTAATTTACACTCCCACCAATGATGTATAAACATTCTTTTTCCTCTGCAACCTCGCCAGAATCTGTTATTTTTTGACTTTTTAATAATAGTCATTCTGACTGTGGTGTGAGATGATGGTATCTCATTGTGTATCTACAAATGATTCATGTAAAAAAATGAGAGTAAAGGATTTTATAGCCAGTCAAATCTGCCTCCAAGATTAAAAGTTGCAAACAATTTTGAAAATGCAAGAATTCAGGAAATATTGTTCCCATAAGTCTTTCCTAAGGAACATGCTAAAAGACACAGTTTACTTAATCAAAGTATGTCTGAGGAAACTAGCAAAAGGACTGCTAAAAGTTTTGATTATGATTATAGGATCAAGACTTTAAAAAAGTGTGAGGATTGGGGTAACAAACAGCTATGGTTTGAATGTTTGTCCTCTCCCAAACTTATGTTGAAATGGAATTGCAATTGTAACAATATTAAGAGGTGGAACCTTTAACAGGTGATTAGGACACCAGTCCTCTGCCCTCATGAATGGATTCATGCTGTTATTGCAGGAGTGGGTTCCTTCTAAATGAACAAGTTCAGCCCACTTCTGTCTTGCTCTTGCCCTCTCTTTCCATTCTGCCTTCCATCATGAGATGATGCAGTAAGAAGGCCCTCACCAGATGCTGGCACCTTGATCTTGGACTTTCAACCTCTGTAACTGTTCAGAAATAAATTTCTATTCTTTATAAATTACCCAGTCTGTGATATTCTGCTATAGCAGAACAAAACAGACTAAAACGCAGACAAATGTAAATGGTCTTTGCTTTTACTATGCAGAAATAACGCAACTACCAAAATTAGAATGAGAAAGGGCAAAGATGAGAAAGTTTGTTGACTGCCTAATATGTAATAACAGGAATCAACAAATGTTTAAAAGCTGACCAACCAGATAATCAAAGTATAAGAACATTTAAAAGTATAAAGTAAAAAATAAAAAAATATATATTTTTCAAATAATTTTTACTGGCAAATAGCAGGTCGGAGACAAAAGGAATGAGGGGAGAAAATAAAAACATTTTATCATTTATTTATTGTACTAGAGTATCAGTAGCCACCCTATAAATAAATAGAGAATTAAGAGTACTATATAATGTTGTAATTATTAAGGTAATAAAAACCTTCTTAAATATTTTTTTAATGCACAAAGAAAAAACTGTAAAAAATAAAAACAATAAACAGAACAGAAAATAATATGATAGTTTTACCATATATATTTATCATAAAAACAAATATAAATTTCCTTGTCATTTATTTAAATGAACAATATTTTCAAATTGACTTACAAAGCAAAATCTAATTATATGTTTTGCTAATTCTATACAGCATACATTATACACATAAAACAAAGTTATTCAGAATTTAGAAATGTTGAAAGCAAACATGTAGCAGGAAAATGCCAGAAAATAATGCTTTCTGTCAAACAAAAATTCAGCACTAAATAAAACAAAGAGGCACACATTATAAAGTAAAAGAGTGATTCAAATAAAGATAGAAAAATAATATATACATAAGAAAAAGAAATAGAATTCCTTTAAGCTGAAATTACAGGAGATATATATAGAAACAAAATATATTGTATTTGTTTAATTTATTTTTGAATAACTTTCTCAGTTCATGACAGATCAAGGATACAGAAAATGTCAATAACTTAACTAATGTTATATATATGACTATATCAAACTCAGAAAATAAATAATACATTTTCTTCTCATGTGCAAATGGTATAAACTTGGTTACAAAGAAAATTTTAATTAATACCAAAAAGTAAATAATTAGATAGACTATAATTTTATTTGATTACAACTCAGTAAAATTATAATTATTGACAAAATCGGAAAAAAAAAGATCCTTCATAAGGAGACCCTTCTATTGGAAGTTTTTAAAAATTCTTTTAAATAATTCTTGGGTCAAAATAAAACAAAACAACATTGCAAAATTTTTAGAAAGATTTATAATGAAAACACTTCATATTAGATCCTATAAAATAAATATAAAGCAATGTTAAAAAAATTGTGGACAAATTATTATATCAATAAAACAGAAATAAGAAAATGAATCATTTAACTGTAGAAATTGAACAATAAACAAATGAAACTAGAAAAAAAACCATAAAAGTTAAAATGTACTTGATAAATCTGAAAAACCAGACTACAATAAGAAACATTGAGATAATTCAATAAATTAATCAAGTAAAAATAAAATATACAGATGTAAATAGCTTTCATATATAACATCTTAGAAAATACATTGTAAGAAGAGGCCCCATTATAATAGCAGTACAAAAGATAAAATACTTAAAATAAGCATAACAAAAAATGTGCAAAATCTATGTAGTAAAAGAAAATCTCCAGAATAACACCAAAAGATATAAATAAGACCAAGAAACTAGAAAGATAAACTATGCCCTTGGATAGGAATGTTTAATATCATAAAGATTAGAATTCCACCTATATTCATTAAAAATATAATCAAAGTCCAATAAAAATGAACTTTTTGGAAGTATGTAATTTGATACTAAGGTTAATATAGAAAAATCAAAGATAATTAGGAAAACTTTGAAAAGGAAGAACAATGAGAGGCAACTAGCAGCCTTTTTTATTTTAGTTGGTACCACCTTCTGCCCAGTTATTTACAGTAAAAGTCTAAAAGTCTCCCTTGGTTATTCTCTTTCTTTCACTCACTATAAACCCTCAAGAATGTTGAGTATATATTTATAACCATCCCAAGGTTATCAAAATTATAAAGCACCCACCCATCTCTGTTTTAGTCCTGGCCTCCTACATTTGAAAATGTTCCTTAATACCTTAACAACCCACTCAAGTGTTCTCTGATTCCAAATGAGAGCCTCCCAAATCCCTACCAAAAAAAAAAATCAAAACCAAAATGAAACTGAAACTTCCCATTTCCATCAGTACTGATTATTTCATCAAGAATTTGACAGAGACATGAAATCCAGTGATTTGTACACACATATAAGTAACAATCTGTAAAGTTGCAGGCAAAAGAAAAGTATATCAGGATAAATTTCAATCTGCGTGGAAAACCCTTGTAGGTAATTTCACTCCTTTTTCAATACTATCAGGTTAACTTGATATTCCTCAGTCAGTTTGGTTGTTGATGTCCGTAGAAACTATCCAAGTCATATTTGAACTTGATTGATCAGAGTTTATGACTATACCAATATTAACCATGGAAAGGCATTCAGCCTGTTATTCGGAAGACCTGATGTTGAAGAGAGGTGAACCAAACAGCTAAAAGCAAATGTGTTCAAATAATGCCTCAGACTCTTCTGACCTTTGCTGGTGAGCACCTGGATGCCTGTTCCTGGTCCTGACACCTAGCTTTCCTCTTAAACCTATTCTTATTTAACTCATCTTCCTTGGCATGTGAAAATTCTTGTCATTCCTATATTCAATTCTTATCGTCCATTAATTGTCTTCAACTAATCCTCTGGCTTGCTGCACCTAATTTTTTTCTGTCTTCTCAGCTTTTTCCAAAGGGCAGCTAGTACTAGCAAGTCGCAGCAGGTACTCAAGAGTGATGCATATCTCTGACCTTCAGATGACTTTTTCCCACACTCACAGTTGTATCCTTCTAGAGTGCATATGAGAACACTGTGGGCTAGGGCCTCATTTTCTATCACACAGAACTAGATAAGCAGAGTCTATAAGTAACTATTTTGTGCCTAGTGTTTTATAATATGTTTCTAAGACATAGGAAGAATAAAATACAGTTGTCCCTCAGTATCTGTCAGTATCTGGGAGGGACTGGTTCCAGGGCACCTGCCGCACTGGCAGATACTAAAATCCACAAATGCTCGAGTTTCTGATATAAAATAATATAGTATTTGCATATAACCTATGCATATACTCCTACACACTTTAAATCATCTTTAGATTACTTATTACTTAGGTATTATAAGTAATACCTAATACAATGTAAATGCTATGTAAATAGTTTTATACTATTTTTATATTATTTTTGTTGTTATTTATATTTTTTCTAATATTTTTAATCATAGATAGTTGAATCCACAGATGTGGAACCCACAGATACAGAGGGCTTCTGTACTTAGACTCTATCTTCTAGAATCTTAGAGTTTTCTTAGAAATCAGTAATTAATAGGTAGACAAGATATGTTTTTTATTGTGTAAAAATCTAGATTCAACCAAGAATTATCAACTAGGACCCACCTGAGCAGTTTTCTAACTAGCAAACAGTTGTTAGTCATTAGCACAGAATGCCAATTTGAAGCAAATAATATTTGCTATTTATAAAAAAACAAAGCTAGAACAAACAGCACAATGTGCTTCATTTGTTAGTATCATTTTTTTGGTGGTGGGGGGGGGGCTTGAAATTACCTTAATGAGGAATTCACTGTTCTTGGACATTTCCGGGCCATTCCCTACCTTCATTTATTCAATAATCAATAAATGATCCTATAAATCCCTTAAACAGGATTCTCTGGTTGTGTCTTGGCCGCGCCCTTGCAAAACTTGCATATACTTTTTCAGTGGCTCTCTAGCCTCACTCTGAGCAGAATGAAATAGTTATTTGCTGAGTAAGCTAAAAAACCAGACCCTATGGAATGTTCCCGGTAAGACTGGCAATGAGTAGCACTGTCCATGTGCCAGCTTTCAACTCTGGATTCTGTGTCTTTTACTCCTATAGTAAGATGTTTTCCTATGCAACTCTACAGCCATCACTGAAAACATGATTCTTCTGTTTTACTTATAGAAAGATTTCACAAGCATTCTAACTATTGTCTCTGGAAAATAATTCATTTTATTGAAGAATAAAGAACTAAAAATCATGACTAAAAAAAAAATGTATAGAAAACATACCAGAATCATGCTAGGCAATGAGAATACACAATTCTCTATTCTCATATGGAAAGCAGGTACACAAATAAGAATCACAATACAGTGTGCTAGGTTCCATGTTAGAAGGAGGTAGAAGTTACAGTGTTGTCAAGAGCATCATTATTTACTCCATCTGAGAAGGGCATGGGGCAGGTGAAGGTGTCAGGGAAGACAGATTGTTAATGTGAGTACAAATTTCTTTCACTTCTGCTTCAATTCCCCTTTAAATATGCTTTTTGTATCCTTTCCCACTGATAAACCACTTTCCAAAAAAATATGAGGAGAGCATATTACTTAGTCTTGACTGTAAGAAATTTCATGATAAGAGCTAAAGTCTACCTTTTTGCTGCTTCTACCATGATTCTAGATCTGTCTTCAACAGAAACACAAAATAAGTCTCAACTTCCTTTCCCATGAGGCAAATCTTCAAACATCTGCCTGATCCTGAATCAGCAGGTAAAGCAAAATGGCAAACCAATCTGAGCTAGAACCTCACATATAGAGTTTTGCTTTGTCACTTTCTCGGGATACGGAAAATCTGAGTCATTCCCAATATATTAGTTCATGTCACGGTGTGGTTTAAAGGAGAAATCACTGAGAGAAAATCACAGGAAGGAAAACTCAGTAATCATGCACAGAACAGCAATGGAAAAAAAGAAGCCTGAGATCTCTTTTAGACAAATGAAGCCAAAAGATTCTAGATTTGAATATTTCTTTATCTCTGCAAGCTACTATTGCATCTTTAAGCAATGAATACATAAATTATAAAAACAAACTAAAAATAACCTTTCTACAGAGAAACTCTATAGACACTAAATGCAATTTTGGTAAGGTGGTCAGGGGCAACCCTAGGTAACATTTGGACAAAAACCTGAAGGAAGTGAGGAAATACATTATGTAAGTAACTTGAGGAAAAAAAGCATTTCAGGAAGAAAGGAAACCAGGTGAAAAGACACTGAGAAATAAGCACATAAGACATATTCCAGGAAAGCAGATATGGCTAGGGCAGGGGTCAGTGATGGGGCATGAGAATGGTAGGAAGTGAGTTAGGAGATACAGCCCAGGGACAGATCATATAAGGTCTTGCATATCGTGGTAAGGAACCTGGATGTTATTCTGGTGTCATGTTGTCATGGGTGTTACAGGAAGACATGGGTGATCAAGACCTATGATGTGGAAAACAGACTGTGAATGAAAGATGGGACAAGGGTGGATGCAGGGAAACTAGTTCATAAATATTTCAGTGTTCCAAGTGAGAAATAGAAGTTGTCTTAACTAGGATCTTATTAGTCCAGGTGGTGATATCATAGGCATATTTTACACAGATTGCTAATATTAGACAAAGGATGTAAGAGAAAGAGAGAAGTCAAGGATTGACTGATCAATCAGAAAAACTGATGGTACCACTCAACTAAGATGGGGAAAACTAAGGGGAGTAAAATTAGGAGTGAAGGTTTGCATATAAGATTGAGATGGGTATTAGACATGCAACTGGAGTTCTCAAGTGCATAGTGGTTATATGGTCTAAAGTATACAGGAGATAGAAATGATATTTAAAGCTATAGGGCTGCAAAGGCCCACTGAGGGACTGGCTATGAATAAAAAAGTCCTGGTGTCATTCCAATGTTTCCTTGAGAAATCATTCTCAACACTGACCACACTGGGATTTTTCCATGGAGCCTTCTAAAATATACTTGCTGACACTCAAGTTCTACTTCTAATGATTCTGATTTAATTTTTATCTGTGTTGGGCATAGGTAGCTCTATTTTTAAAGCCTCCTGATGATTCTAGTGGGCAGCTAAAGTTGAGAACTGCTGGTTTAAAAGTTGGGAGGAAAAGAATGTCCCAGAAACAGAGAATGAGAAGAAATGTTTAGGGAAGGAAGAGTAATGTTGCCAATGGTAGCTTTAATCTGTGCTTAAATGATAAAGGAAATTGCCCTATAAAATGTGGCCCTTTTGTTAACAAGCATTTTATGAATATTATTCAATTTATTTTATAGTTTTCTGTTTATAAAATCCCTTAGGAGAAATACTTTAGTTTTAATATTAGAAAAATGTTTTATTTTTATTGAGCACATGTTTCTTTTTAATCTTAAAGACAATTCATTGGATAACTGTCATTTTTTTTTTTCCTGCTAACAAGCTCTCAGGATAAAATTAGTGACCCAATCATAGCACATCTAGTTCAAACTCAATTAAATAAATTCACCAAACGTACATTCAGCACCATTATATAAAATGCAGTATGCTTGACAGTAGGAATGTATCTATGCAGACCTAATAATATGCCTATATTTAGTAAAAGTCTTTGGCTCTATTTTTAGTTCCAGCCCTCTCCTCCCCTTTTTCTTCACTATTCTCATTTGCATTGTGTTTTATACATTGCTATCTGCTCGTGAGGGTGGAATTTTTAGTTTTAAGTTAAGAATAGTAACAAGAAGGTGACTGGCAAGATGGCCAAATAGGAGCAGCTCCAGTCTGCAGCTCCCAGCGAGATCAATGCAGAAGGTGGGTGATTTCTGCATTTCCAACTAAGGTACTTGGCTCATCTCATTGGGACTGGTTAGACAGTGGGTACAGCCTACAGAGGGCGAACTGAAGCAGGGTGGGGCATCACCTCACCCAGGAAGAACAAGGGGTAGAGGAATTCCCTCCCCTAGCCAAGGAAAGCTGTGAGAAACTGTGATGTGAGGGACGATGCATTCCAGCCCAGATACTACGCTTTTCCCACAGTCTTCGCAACCTGCAGACCAGGAGATTCCCTCGGGTGCCTACGCCACTAGGGCCCTGGGTTTCAAGCACAAAATTGGGTGGCTGTTTGGACAGACACCAAGCTAGCTGCAGGAGTTTTTTTCTCATATCCCAGTGTCGCTTGGAACATCAGTGAGACAGAACCGTTCACTCTGGGGGGCTGAAGCCAGGGAGCCAAGTGGTCTAGTTCAGCGGATCCCACCCTACAGAGCCCAGCAAGCTAAGACCCACTAGCTTGAAATTCTCACTGCCAGCATAGCAGTCTGAAGTCGGCCTGGGATGCTTGAGCTTGTTCAGGGTGGCAGGGGGGCAGTCCACCATTTACTGAGGCTTGAGTAGGCAGTTTTCCCCTCACAGTGTAAACAAAGCCACCAGGAAGTTTGAAGGAGGCGGAGCCAACAAAGCTGCTGTAGCCAGACTGTCTCACTAGATTCCTCCTCACTGGGCAGGGCACCTCTGAAAGAAAGGCAGCAGCCCCTGTCAGGGGCTTATAGATAAAACTCTCATTCCCTAGGACAGAGCACCTGGGGGAAGGGGCGGCTGTGGGCGCAGCTTCAGCAGACAAACATTCCTGCTTGCCAGCTCTTAAGAGAGCAGTGGATCTCCCAGCACAGCATTCGAGCTCTGCTAAGGGACAGACTGCCTCCTCAAGTGGATCCCTGACCCCTGTGCCTCCTGACTGGGAGACACCTTGCAGCAGGGGTCAATAGACACCTCATACAGGAGAGCTGTGGCTGGCATCTGGCGGGGGCCCCTCTGGGATGAAGCTTCCAGAGGAAAGAACAGGCAGAAATCTTTGCTGTTCTGCAGCCTCCACTGGTGATACCTAGGCAAAGAAGGATTGGAGTGGACCTCCAGCAAACTCCAGCAGACCTGCAGCAGAGGGGCCTGTTAGAAGGAAAACTACCAAACAGAAAGGAGTAGCATCAACACCAACAAACAGGACGTCCACACAAAAACCCCATCCGAAGGACACCAACATCAAAGACCAAAGGTAAATAAATCCACGAAGATGAGGAAAAACCAGCACAAAAAGGCTGAAAATTCCAAAAACCAGAACGCCTCTTCTACTCCAAAGGATCACAATTCCTCACCACCAAGGGAACAAAACTAGATGAAGGATGAGTTTGATGAATTGACAGAAGTAGGCTTCAGAAGGTGGGTAATAACAAACTCTTCTGAGATAAAGGAGCATGTTCTGACCCAATGCAAGGAAGATAAGAACCTTGAAAAGAGGTTACAGGAATTGCTAACTAGAATAACCAGTTTAGAGACAAACATAAATGACCTGATGGAGCTGAAAAACACAGCACGAGAACTTTGTGAACCATACACAAGAATCAATAGCAGAATTGATCAAGTGGAAGAAAGGATATCAGACATTGAAGATCAACTTAATTAAATAAAGAAAGAAGACAAGATTAGAGAAAAAAGAATGAAAAGGAAGGAACAAAGCCTCCAAGAAATATGGGACTATGTGAAAAGACCAAAACCTATGTTTGACTGGTGTACCTAAAAGTGACAGGGAGAATGGAACCAAGTTGGAAAACACTCTTCAGGATATTATCCAGGAGAACTTCCCCAACCTAGCAAGACAGGCCAACATTCAAATTCAGGAAACACAGAGAACACCACAAAGATACTCCATGAGAAGAGCAACAACAAGACACATAACCGTCACATTCACCAAGGTTAAAATGAAGGAAAAAATGTTAAGGGCAGCCAGAGAGAAAGGTCAGGTTACCCACAAAGGCACAAAGGGAAGCCCATCAGACTAACAACAGATCTCTCTGCAGAAACACTACAGGCCAGAAGAGAGTAGGGGCAAATATTCAACATTCTTAGAGAAAAAAATTTTCAATCCAGAATTTCATATCCAGCCAAACTAAGCTTCATAAGAGAAGGAAAAATAAAATCCTTTACAGATAAGCAAATGCTGAGAGATTTTGTCACCACCAGGCCCGCCTTACAAGAGCTCCTGAAGAAAGCACTAAATATGGAAAGTAAAAACTGATATCACCCACTGCAAAAACATACCAAATTGTAAAGACCATGGAAACTATGAAGAAACTGCATCAACTAATGGGGCAAAATAACCAGCTAGCATCATAATGACAGGATCAAATTCACACATAACAATATTAAACTTAAATGTAAACAGGCTAAATGCCCCAATTAAAAGGCACAGACTGGCAAATTGGATAAAGAGTCAAGACCCATCAGTGTGCTGTATTCAGGAGACCCATCTCACGTGCAAAGACACACATAGACTCAAAATAAAAGGATGGAGGAATATTTACCAAGCAAATGGAAAGCAAAAAAAAAAAGCAGGGGTTGCAATCCTAGTCTCTGATAAAACAGACTTTAAACCAACAAAGATCACAAAAGACAAAGAAGGGCATTACATAATAGCAAAGGGATCAATGAAATAGGAAGAGCTAACTATCCTAAATATATATGCACCCAATACAGGAGCACCCAGATTCATAAGCAAGTTTTTAGAGACCTACAGAGAGAGTTAGACTCCCACACAATAATAGTGGGAGAATTTAACACCACACTGTCAATATTAGACAGATCAATGAGACAAAAAATTAACAAGGATGTTCAGGACTTGAACTCAGCTCTGGAGCAAGCGGACCTAATAGACATCTACAAAACTTTCCACCCCAGATCAACAGAATATACATTCTTCTCGACACCACATCACACTTATTCTAAAATTGAGCACATAATTGGAAGTAAAACACTCCTCAGCAAATATAAAAGAATGGAAATCATAAAAAACTGTATCTCAGACCCCAGTGCAATCAAATTGGAGCTCAGGATTAAGAAACTCACTCAAAAACACACAACTACATGAAAACTGAACAATCTGCTCCTGAATGACTACTGGGTAAATAACGAAATAAAGGCAGAAATAAATAAGTTATTTGAAACCAATGAGAACAAAGACACAATGTAACAGAATCTCTGGGACACAGCTAATGTGGTCTTTAGAGGAAAATTTATAGCACTAAATACCCACAGGAGAAAGTGGGACAGATCTAAAATCGACACCCTAACATCACAATTAAAATAACTAGAGAAGCAACAATAAACAAATTCAAAAGCTAGCAGAAGACAAGAAATAACTAAGATCAGGGCAGAACTGAAGGAGATAGAGACAAAAAACCCTTCAAAAAATCAAGGAATGCAGGAGTATTAAAAAATGCTATTTTTTTTAAGATTAACAAAATAAATTGACCACTAGCCAGACTAATAAAGAAGCAAAGAGAGAAGAATCAAATAGATACAACAAAAAATGATAAAGGGGATATTGCCACTGATCCCACAGAAATACAAACTACCAGAAGAATATACTATAAACACCTCTACACAAATAAACTAGAAAATCTAGAAGAAATGGATACATTCCTGGACACATACACCCTCCCAACACTAAACCAGGAAGAAGCCAAATCCCTCAATAGACCAATAACAAGTTCTGAAATTAAGGCAGTGATTAATAGCCTACCAACCCAAAAAAAAAACAGGACCAGATGGATTCACAGCCCAATTCTACCATAAGTACAAAGAGCAGCTGGTATCATTCCTTCTGAAACTATTCCACACAATAGAAAAAGAGGGACTCCCCCTTAACTCATTTTATGAGGCCAGCATCATCCTGATACCAAAACCTGGCAGAGACACAACAAAAAAAGAAAATTTCAGGCCAACATCCCTGATTAACATCAATGTGAAAGTCCTCAGTAAAATACTGGCAAACAAAATCCAGCAGCACATGAAAAAGCTTAACTGGCACAATCAAGTTGGCTTCCTCCCTGGGATGCAAGGCTGGTTCAATACATGCAAATCAACAAACGGAATCCATCACATAAACAGAACCAAAGACAAAAACCACATGATTATCTCAATAGATGCGGAAAAGGCCTTCAATAAAATTCAACACCCCTTCATACTAAACACTCTCAATAAACTAGATATTGATGGAACGTATCTCAAAATAATAAGAGCTATTTATGACAAACCCATAGCCAATATCATAGTGATTGGGCAAAAGCTGGAAACCTTCCCTTTGAAAACCAGCACAAGACAAGGATCCCCTCCTCTCACCATTCCTATTCAATATAATATTGCAAGTTCTGGCCAGGGCAATCAGGCAAGAGAAAAAAATAAAGGGTATTCAAATAGGGAGAGAGGAAGTCATATTGTCTCTGTTTGCAGATGACATGATTGTATATTTAGAAAACCCTGTCACCACAGCCCAAAATCTCCTTAAGCTGATGAGCAACTTCAGCAAAGTCTCAGGACACAAAATCAATGTGTAAAAATAACAAGCATTCCTATACACCAATAACAGAAAAACAGCCAAATCATGAGTGAACTCCCATTGACAATTGCTTCAAAGAGAATAAAATACCTAGGAATACAACTTAAAGGGATATGAAGGACCTCTTCAAGGAGAACTACAAACCACTGCTCAAGGAAATAAGAGAGGACACAAACAAATGGAAAAATATTCCATGCTCATGGACAGGAAGAATCAATATCATGAAAATGGCCATACTGCCCAAAGTAATTTAAAGAGTCAATGCTATCCCCATCAAGCTACCACTGACTTTTTTCACAAAATTAGAAAAAAATATATTTCATATGGAACCAACAAAAAGCCCGTATAGCCAAGACAATCCTAAACAAAAAGAACAAAGCTAGAGGCATCATGCTACCTGTCTTCAAACTATACTACAAGGCCACAGTAATAAAAACAGCATGGTACTGGTACCGAAACAGATATATAGACCAATGGAATAGAACAGAGGCCTCAGAAATACCACCACACATCTACAACCATCTGATCTATGACAAACCTGACACAAAAAAAAGTAATGGGGAAAGGATTCCCTATTTAATCAATGGTGTTGGGAAAACTGGCTAGCCATATGCAGAAAACTGAAACTGGAACCTTTCCTTACATCTCATACAAAAATTAACTCAAGATGGATTAAAGCCTTAAACAAAAGGCCTAAAACCATAAAAGCCATAGAAGAAAACCTAGGCAATACCATTTGGGACATAGGCATGGGCAATATCTTCGTGACTGAAACATCAAAAGCAATGGCAACAAAAGCCAAAATTGATAAATGGGATGTAATTAAACTAAAGAGCTTCGCACAGCAAAAGAAAATATCATCAGAATGAACAGCAACCTACAGAATGGGAGAAAAAATTTGCAATCTATCCATCTGGCAAAGGGCTAATATCTGGAATCTACAAGAAACTTAAATTTAAAAGAAAGAAAAAACAAGCCCATCAAAAAGTGGGTGAAGGATATGAACAGACACTTTTTAAAAGAAGACATTTATGCAGCCAACAAACATATTTAAAAAAGCTCATCATCACTGGTCATTAGAGAAATGCAAATCAAAACCACAATGAGATACCAATCTCATGCCAGTTAGAATGGAGATCATTAAAAAGTCAGGAAACAACAGATGCTGGAGAAGATGTGGAGAAATAGGAATGCTTTTACACTGTTGGTGGGAGTGTAAATTAGTTCAACCATTGTGGAAGACAGCATGGCAATTCCTCAAGGATCTAGGACCAGAAATATCATTTGACCCAGCAATCCCATTACTGGGTATATACCCAAAGAATTATAAATCATTCTATTATAAAGACACATGCACACATATGTTTATTGCAGCACTATTCACAACAGCAAAGACTTGGAACCAACCCAAATGCCCATCAATAATATACTGGATTAAGAAAATGTAGCACATATACACCATGGAATACTATGCCCCCATAAAAAAGAATGAGTTCATGCTCTTTGCAGGGACATGGATGAAGCTAGAAACCATCATTGTCAGCAAACTAACACAGGAACGGAAAACCAAACACCACATGTTCCCATTCATAAGTGGGAGTTGAACAACGAGAACACATGGACACAGGGAGGGGAACATCACACACACCTGGGCCTGTTGGGTGGTGGGGAGCAAGGGGAGGGATAACATTAGGAGAAATACCTACGGTAGATGACAGGTTGATGGGTGCAGCAAACCACCATGGCCCATGTATACCTATGTAACAAACCTGCACGTTCTGCACATGTATCCCAGAACTTAAACGTTTTTCTTGTTTTGTTTTGTTTTTTTGTTTTTTAACCAGTCAGGCTTTTGGCCTCACTCTCCCTGTGCAAACTGGTAAAAGGTCTAGGATTTTTGAGCTGTCCTTGCCCCAACTTGTTTTGTTTTGATACATGTTTTCTAATAATCCAGTTTGTCTCTTCTCACCTGCAGGCCATCATACTCCAAATGGTCAAGCAACTGGAGCCTCAGACAATGACCCCTTCTGCCGGGGACCCTTAGATAGGCTTCTGAGGGAGACTGGACTGACATTTCCCCAAAACAGCACCCTCTGTCAGCAGCAAGCAGTTAAGATTGGTCTTTGTCCTTATCACAATCCTTATTCTAATGGCAGTTAGATGTACTTCTTTAGAGGGCGAAATGAGACAGCCAAGCAAAAAGGGCTCCTCAGAGAACTTCTGACTGGGTGGCGCTCTGAGAGAATGGGTTGGAGCCATGGAAATTCATGCCATTTGCCATGGTAGGAGCCTGGCCTTTCCTGTTCCTGGGTGGTAATCTGGGATTCAGTTGGTGAGATTTGGGCCTGTTAACCGGAATCCTTCTCACTTTACTGAGTTTTTCCTTTTCACCCAATAAATTCCATTTTTCTCACCCTTTTATGTGTCCACAAACCTAATTTTTCCTGGTTGTATGACAAGAACTCGGCTTTTAGCTGAACTTAGAAAAATGTCCTACAACACTATGAGGTCATGGAGAAAGAGAGGAATTGAAAGAAAAAGATTCGGACTTCACTCTCCATTTAAAATAAGCTTTACTGTTCTTTTCAACAGTGTGATAGTGCCAGTTGTCTGATAATAATGTATAATTTCCAAGTGCAGTGCTGTGCAGATACTAAATGGCTGAATTTAGAAGACACTGAAAATGAAATTTAGAATTTAGAAGACACTGAATTTAGAAGACACTGAAAATGAAACAGTGCTCCTATTATTCAATTTAGAAAATGAGAATAGAACTATCATTTGCTCTTTTCTACAGTCTTCCACTACCCAAATTCAAATATGTAATTCAGTAAAGTCTAATCAATGTAGAGACATCACAAAACATAATATCCCCAACATCTTTTCCTTCTAAGCTGGGGGTAGTGGGATGAGAGTGGCAGAGACTAAATACCTGCCATCCCCTGTCCCAGTTAGACAATGGTTCCTTCCCCAGAGGCAGCAAACATCCCAAGCCACTCCACTGCCAATAAGACTAAGAGTGTCAGTCTCAGTGGTGTGATCACTTTGCATGACTCCTGCATTCCTAGGCGTTCCTATTTGGCTCCTCTCTTTGAAACCTAAAAGAGCTTGGCTCAACCTGCCACCAGGCTGAGCTTAATCACACATACCACTCACATCACGTTGCACTGCCTCAAGCATCCACTACTGTGTTATTATGTCCTGTAGGTGGGAGATAAAACTTCCAGGCTGGCAAAAAAAAAAAAAAAAGTTCTTTTTCACAACTGGGGTTAATTCTCACAAAGGGAAGGCATTCAACTGGCAAAAATCATTGTCATTTTCCATTTAGATAGGGTGCCTCTTGAAGAAAAACTACCTGAGATACAGTAAGTTGCTGCAGCAGCACAGCTTGAGTGTGAAAACTGAATGCCAATGCAGAGGCAGTGCCTTCGGAAAACACCCACTGCAAAGATGAATCCTGATGATTCAGACTGTCAACTTTTGGAGAGACAGGACTAAGTCTTTTTCTGTGGGATGCAGTAGTATCCCACAGTGTTTCCCAGATAATAAGTACTAGATGAGTATTGGCTGAATGAAATCAAGAAAAACACCAGACCCACTGGACTCTAAGCAAAACCAGCTGGTTGCTGGCCCTGTCAAAATACTCTTTAAAAATCAGCCAGCATCAATATTACTCCAATGATGCCAGAACCTTTTAGTCAAAGGAGCGGCATACAACTCCATGTTGTGGCTGATTAGGGAAATCTCACCTAATTAGAAGATATGTCCTACTTAGAAATAAAAGTATGCCAAGAGAAACTTACTCTAAGAATATGAGGCTGGGTGCAGTGGCTCACGTCTGTAATCTCAACATTTTGAGAGGTGGAGGCAGGCAGATTGCTTGAGCTCAGGAGTTCGAGACCAGCCTGGGCAACATAAGGAGACCCCCATCTCTACGAAAAATACAAAAAATTATCTGGGTGTGGTGGTGTGTGCCTGTGGTCCCAACAACCGTGCTCCCAACAGGAGGATCACCTGTGTCCAGGAAGTTGAGGCTGCAGTGAGCCGTGATCATGCCACTGAACTCTAGTCTGGGTGACAGCGTGAGGCCCTGTCTCAAAAGTAAAAATTCAAAATTAAAATAAAAGAATATGAAATAAAATCTGATTCTATATCCTCTTATGACAGTTAGTAACCATAATGCCTTAGTCATTATGACAATTTGTAATCTTGAAGGAAAAATAAATGTTTTAGAGAAATTGGAAACTTTACTTCCTCATTGTAAATCTAAAAATAAAGACACTATGCTAAAACCAATGGTATTCAGTTTTCATTCTGAAAGAAAGTGAAACTGGTAGATGACTACATACAAATAAGTAAAAAAAAAAATGTAACTGGGCAGCTTAACTTCAAAATGCATTTTCAACTTTTTTTTTCTTTCTCTTGGGTTTCAAGATACAACCTTGAGGCAAATTACAGAAGACTTTCCTTAGCCTTAAAAAAGACTCCACATCTCTCCCTTTCTCACAGTATATACTCCCCTCATATCTATCTAACCGTATGCTAGTATCTAATTATGTGCCTTCTTAGAAGTTCCAGGAGCTAATCTTGAGACAGACAGACTAAGTCTGGAGACCCAGCCACAAAATTCCAGAGATTACTTCAAGGCCCCTGGTTAACAACCCAGCCGTTGTTGAGATGACATCAGCCCACACTCCAGCTGGACTGCGACCCAAGTTAGCCACCAGAACAAGACACACAGACATTTACTCCACCCAATTCTTACATGCCTTCTTTATCAAGTTTTCCCTTTTTAAACCTCTGCCTTCCACCACCACCCTGCCCCAAATCAAAGGAGTTACTTTGGATAGAAATCTGGCTGCTTCCCTTTTTTTTTTTTTTACTAGTTTTGGTTAATAAAGTTACTGTCTTTCTACCAGGCCTTGCTCTTGTTGAACTACACAAGCAGAGAGCATCTGGACTCGTGTTTGGTTACAAATATACAATGATCTACAGGTGGTCACAATGGTACTCAAACATTCTAATAATTAGTGGAGCTCATTCTCTTCATGTCACCTCAATTAGCCATGAGTTTTGAGAAGCATATAGAATGTTTATTTAGGGATACCAAATTTTATTTTGTGCCACTGACTATTTAAAATTTAAATTACCCATACTTGTATATCATATCCCCTTGTTCCCCCATCACCACCACCAAGACTATAGCTCTGGGAGGACAGGAACCATCTCTCACCTACTCTTTATAAACTACATAGCAGCTAAAGTGCTATATCCTCTGCAAAGCCTTCTGTGATGGTCTGTTCTCACCAGAAGGTAACTCCTTCCTTGCTTCCTTGTTGTATTGAGTGTCAGCACTATCCCTTTACTTTAAGATTTTAGCACATTCTCATTCCTCTAAATATTTCAAGCCCTTGGGGAATTAAAAAAAATACTCAAGAAACAGCTAGGATCCATGTCCTTAATAACAAAACTAAAAGCTAGCCATAGGTAGACACATATTAATCAAGCTAAATTACAGTATGGTCATTTTTCTTCTAGTACAATTATCTTTGGCTTTAAGACAAAAACGAATCACTAGGGTTCTGCATGTCTTCTGGAAAAGAAATAAATACACGGCATGAGCTGAATGCTCAACATTGAGTGTCATTAGAACAAGTTCTATAGATATGCATTTGCCGAGTTAGTCCTCCTTCATTATCTTCATTAGCTAACAATGCACATGGAGTCACTGCCCATAATTATTGCCCTAACAGACACGCATGTTTGAAATATTAACTTTCCCACAGACTCCAAACCTTCAGTAAGCAGCTCTCAATGATTCATTATATTAATAATACATGTCATCATACTCCTCTTAAATATGCATGAGACTAAAAACCACCCATGTTGCAAATCTTCCAATATCATTTTTAGTATAATTTGTTACCTTTTAGTTACTGTAATTCTAACGGCACCCAGGTACCACTATAATAAAGGTAAGTTTAATTATCTGGTTTCTAAGTAACCAGTATTATAACTTATTCTACTTTTATTCCATTTTAACATGCATTCAAATGAGAATATTTCATAACACGAAGTATACTTTTTAAAGTATATATGTTTTTGTTTTTATCCTATAATTCTTTCCCCAGAGGTCACTGCCACCATCAATTTGTGTTTATCTTTCTCATGCTTCCTTTACTGCTTTTACTGCATATGTATGCATCTATAAATAAATCATACATGATAAAAAATAAATTAAAATGTTTAATTCACAGGATAACCTAGTTTAAAATTGCATATAAAAGAGGTAAATAAATTTTGATAGGTATTTTATAGACAAATATATAATTCAAGATTGAAATTTATCAAGAAATTAGCATGCAATATATTGATACCTATTAAAAATATATTGTAAAGTACTATTTGGAGAATTATGATGTCCTATTTCTAATCAAATACTTTATAAACTTTTATAAATTCTGAGTTTATTCAAATTTTTACAGAAAAGATCAGATATGATCCAAAAAATGCAAAAACAAAATCCACCAGAAGAAAATAAAATCCAAATAAAGGTAAAAATCACATCATTAATCTCAGATCATGTTACTTCACACATGATAGTTAGAATGGCTACAGATTATTATTGACTTAAGTGTAATAATGCCACAGCTACATGCACCAATAGCTTACTTAACTTACTATATGTTAGGCACAGTAATTAGTGATTTACATTAATATTTCATTTACTTTTCACAATAACCAAGTTGAGGAGATATTAATATTATTGTCATTTTAGAGATGAGGAAAGCGGAGGCCTACACAGATTAAATGACTTGCCCGAGATCACAGGGCTTGGTAATGGAGGGGGCCTGACTCCATGTCTATCCTCTTAACCACAAAGTCAGAACCCAGCTCCCCAGAATGCCTGTTTCCTTGCATGGCCTTAGATGAGTCCTCTGAAGTCTCTAAAGCTCATTTCCTTTAGCTGTAAAATGGGAATAACATTAATATATGCTAGGATTACTGAGAATTAATGAGGATGGTTTAAGAGAAAGTACTGAGCAAATCACGGAGCAATACACTGTTGCTTGTTATGTTACAGATAAAAACAACATTGCAAATGAAAAAAAAAAAAACTGCAAATTGGCTCTTGGTCAAAATTTTCCAAGAAGAAATAGTATACTTAGGTAAACATTACTGATTGTTTTATCTTGTGATATGGCTGGAACAGGAATCTCACCTAAATCTCACTTTCAATTGTAATCCCCAGTGTTGGAGGTGGGGCCTGGTGGGAGGTAACTGGATCATGGGAGCACTTTCTCATGATTTAACACCATCTCCCTTGGTGCTATTGTTGCAACAGTGAGTTCTCATGATATCTGGTTGTTTAAAAGTGTATGGCACCTCCCCCATCTCTTCTTCCTGCTCCAGCCATGAGAAATGCTGGCTCCACCTTTGCCTTCTGCCACAATTATACATTTCCTGAGGCCTTCGTAAAGGCCTAGGAGATGCCTCCATGCTTCTAGTACAGCCCGCAGAACCGTGAGCAAATTAAGCCTCTTTTCTTTAGAAATTACCCAGTCTTAGGTATTTCTTTACAGCAATGCAAGAACAGACTAATACACCTTGCTTAGGTAAGACACAGAAATTATTACATAAAGGCAAATAAGAATCACTATCTTTATTTACAGAGAGAGAGAGAAAGAGATAAGCAGCAATAGACTAAGCTAGAAGTGAACAGTGAAACTAGGAATGCAACTTTGGAGATGGGTACCATGAAAACTGTCATACCACTGGATTTGGGCTAAGAGCTCTTCAAAACTAAGGCTTTTTAAAGTTATCTGGAGTCATTATCAAGTCTTAATTTACTGTGATTCACATATATATATGTATTGATTTCTGGCAATATTTAATTCTTTAGGCATAGAAAGGGAAAATATTATTCAAAAGTGTCATCATTCATCATTTTAGATAAGTTAATACTGGGATTATTTTTCCATAGAGCTTTGTGTTTTAAAAATTATGTCATAAGTATCATGTCAATCAAGATCCTAAAACAAGTATTATTGAAAGTTTGAGATCAGGAAACTCGAATTCAACAAGGTTAATAATAAGAAATCTATATATATATGCTGTGTGTGTGCATGCATGTGTGCATGTGTGCGTGTGCTGTACATGATGAGCACATAGGTGTCTATCATTCTGGTTAAATATTAGAAAGCAAGCAGCAAAGTAGCCCATCCTCTTCTTTGGAATTAGAGAAACCAATGAAGTACTGTATCAAAAATTAGGGGGAGAAAGATTAGAAGTAATAAATGGTAAACAAAGTACAACACGTCTCTAACACATAGATAAACCAATAACTACTTCTATTAAGAACATGAAAACTTGGTGTTTTACCTAGATTAGAACAAGATGCAGAATTTAGCAGACAGTGATACGCTGAATAACCCTTGTGCCCTCCTCCCACAGCACTGGCTCAGACAACCACGAACAATGCCCCATCACCCCTTTGCTGTATTTCCTTTTCATTCCATCTCCATTTCCATTTCTGTGGTGGTTCAGTCAGGCTGGTGGGAAAAATTTTAGTTTTAATAGCCACAAACCTTGTTGGAAGGTCTGAGGGTTTGCATAACTTCAGTAATAAATCAGTCTGAAGGCAGCCTAGTCCCCTTATCTTTAGTTAAATAAACTAGAGTAGAAATAAAGGAATGTGGAGAGTTTACCTAACTAGCTTGTTTACTCGTGTGGTCCTAAGACTAACCTTTGATCTACCATGGGTGCTTAATTGCTTTCTACTTGGGAAGTCCACAATGTCAATTACACTCTAGTGGTGTTGACCCAAGCCTTTGTCAATTAATCTTTACTGAATAAACATAAGTCTTGCTGACTGATTGAGACCATAGTCGCAACTGTTTACAGCACTGTGCGTGGAGTCTGTAAGCGGCCCAGATGCTCAGCTGGACTGGTAAAGCAGAATATCTGTGTGTCAGTGTACTTTATTCATCCATCGTTGGGTCAGGGTCTGTGGGACAGACCCCTGCAAATTTCTGGGGAGCTATTCTGTATCTAGCTATTAGACTGCTGAAGAAACCAAGGTCTTGGGATGATGTTCAGATGACCAACACCTGGAATGGCTGCATGTTCTCTAAGGCTAACACATCTTCCTGGGCTTTGTCAGTGACTTGGAGTGTCACTACTACTCATAGGACAATGACTATTTGTTTAACCTATATAATCAGATAACAACTCTAAGCCTCAGCTTTCTTGTCTGTAAAATAAACTAACTAGCTGATTTCTAAAGTGCTAAGACCTTGCCACTACAGGAATTCTACATCCAAGAGATGTCTTGTTTTGTATTTCCTGAGGGCATGTGAATCTTTTGTATCTAGTAGCTTTGCACCTTTCTTAATGTCTAATTGTTAATTATTTAAACAAAGTGCATATAGCCAAAAAAAAAAAAAATAGAGAAAATGGCCACATATTTTCAGTAATTCCTACAGTCACTTTCAAGACTCTCACATCACTAAATGAGGAATAAAGGAGACTTTGAACTGCATAAACCCACAAATATAATAAGCTGCATTATCAAAAGTGTTTACTTGATGATGTAAGAAGTAAGAATACTGCGAGAGAGTGTAGAATCTGCAAGGTTCTACCTACCTCCTGGCCGTTCATGCTCTCCATCAGTGTGTAAAAGCATGGCAATAGGCATCCCTACGTTCTTGGATCTTCCAGCCACAACCACATTTTTTCCAAATGTTTGAATTCCTTAAAATACAGAGTTCGGTTTAAATGCAGAATTGACAACAAGAAGTAAATTAAACATTTGTACAGCCAACTGAAACATTCTTTTAAAAATTTCTAATTAAATCTGAATTATTATGTGGCTTATCTATAATATGAGCACATTCATTATTTATAAATAATTCATTTTATGCTTCTTTGATTTGTCACTTCTTCTCTGATTATGTACTCATTAAAAACCACAGACATTCTTAAGTTGACATTAAGTTGCTTTTAAACATTGAGAGTCACATTAAGAGTTAGAAGAGTAGAGTTTTAACATATATTAACTGCTTATAAAAAAAGCAAAGTACAACAATGTCGAACTTAATTGGCAATCAAATTTTGAGCAACGCTGGAACAAAACAAGTAAGAAAAGAGGCATTTTTCACAAAGCTCATGCATTTTACTCCATAGGAAAGAAGCACTAAACTTACAGACTTAGAAAGATGTAAAAAAATAAAGCCTGTAGAACCTTCTACTTCTTTTGGACTCAGTTTCTTCATAAGTAAAGCAAAGAAGTTAGAACTAAGGATTTTCCAATACTAACAGTGTAGGAGTATGATTCTAGGATCTGTTTTCCCTTGGAAGTTTTTCTTTCTCAGAAAGAAAACTTCTTTTGTAAGAGTCTGTGAGAGCATTACCGTATCCAGTACAGTACAAGGGTAAATGTTTAAAATTAAAACCCAAGCCAATAGAAATGATAACTATGTGATCAGAACATATTTTTAAAGGTACAGAAAAATATATTTTAGAAAAGTTTTCATCAAAATGCATGAAGTTTACATTTTAAAGGCCGACATATACCACTACTATGTGGAAAATTCACTTCCTATAAGTTGCAACTGCAGTTATCTATAATCTGGCTAATGCTCTTCGTTTCATTTTATTTTGGATTTTTTTTTCTGTTTGTTTTGTTTGTTTTGTTTTGTTTTTGAGACAGAGTCTTGCTCTGTCGCCCAGGCTGAAGTGCAGTGGCATGATCTCGGCTCACTGCAAGCTCCGCCTCCCAGGTTCATGCCATTCTCCTTCCTCAGCCTCCGAGGTAGCTGGGACTACAGGTGCCCGCCACCACACCTGGCTAATTTTTTGTATTTTTAGTAGAGACAGGGTTTTACTGTGTTAGCCAGGATTGTATTATGTTTTGACTTCTACAATTTTATATCTCTCTGTACACTGACGTTTTATGGATTATGATTTTCTGTCACTCTATAGGACTGAGGTAGTCCCATCAAGTCTCAGTGCACAAAGGCTCAGCTCAGCACCTAGCATCCATGTCCTGCAGACCACAAATTACCAACCTGTTCTTTTTATTATTTCCCAAACAGCACTGGCAGTGGCAGGTATGAGAGAATGCTGATCAAGGCACAATCTTCCAATATTGATAATATGAAATCCATCTACATCTTTTTCTGGGGCAATTCCATTGCATATTGTTCGCTCATCAACGTGGTCTGAAAAATAAATAAAATTTGTCTAATTTTAAAATTGTTATTTATTTGGTAGCCTGAAAAATGAAATCTGAGAATCTAAAGCCACATCACTTATAATTCGGCTCTAAAAAAGGTGTAAAGTCATTATTATTATTATTATTATTATTTGCCACCAAAATAGTAAGCCAAAGTGCTCTTGACTGATGGCTGTAATGAACTGCAGTTGGAGTATATGCTATTCCAGAGCCAAAAGTGGCTGGACCGGTGAAAGAAAAAAAATTGTGAATTAAACAATACCAATGAGATCTGGTAATAGCCAGGTGTCATGTCTTTGTTTCAGTAAGTTTGTATATTTACAGGGTTTGAATCCACATTTCTATGACACAAGACAGTTCTCCTAATAGGCTTCTATTAAATACTTCGAATATTGGAGATTAAAAGGGGTTTGTTAGTGTTAAGAATAGTCATAACATCATGAGTTCTTAGCTTCCTCTTAAATGACATAACAAAAAATCTAATATAAAACACACACGCACACACACACATCTTTTCTCTAAAGCATTGTCACAGTGAAATAAAAAATATTACTATGATTTGCTATATGGAAGAAAAAGAACACAACCTGAGTAATAAAGTAATCAAATGAAATATGGGATGCCAATCATCTCATTTTTTAAAAGTAAGTATAGAAATATAAAATAGGCTCCTATTACTCTATGCAGAGTAGTTTAAATTATCACTAACCTAACAATTAACCCATATGCCTAATATACTAAAAGTATATTTTCTATGTAAAAGTTTATTCGGCCATTATATAATGCGATTTAGACATAATTCTTTAAAACATTATAAAAGTCCAAGTTCAAACTTTTCAGAAAGCTATGCCTTGGGTTTTATATCTTTTGTATTCTAAAAGTGTGCTACTGCTACCTTAAGTCAAGCTAATTAACCATAATTAGATTACAAAAGTCCTTGAAATATATAAAAGTATTCATCTGAATCATATTCAAATAGAAACTGAGTCTTTGGAAAGTCTCTCCATTCAATAGTTTTTCACTTTTAATAACTGCATTCAGTCTAGAATGTTTTAGCAGGGCCTCCATCTATTTTCTCTATAGCTTGGAGATCATCATATAGATTCTAGTCAAACTTTTAAAAGAATACATATTTAACTTATTACATGAGGGTAAAAATACTGGTTCTTTTTTAAAAAAAATCTAGGTGATGATGATGATAAGTCATTTTTAAATCACCTACCACTCACGCGGAAGCTTCATGACATGGATATTTTTTACAATGAAATGAAAAGCTTTATAGATGAAAAGAAAAACAACTATATTTGGAGTATCTATTTTTAGCTAGGACTCAAATTAGTTTATTTCTAAGTTCAAAACTGGCTAATATATGCATGGGCTGGGCTACTGATTAAAAAGAACTCAACAAGGACTCTTTGTAGATTTTAAGAACCATTCTCCAAACAATAAGCCTCAATTACACTGTATGTTGCCATCTACCATTTTTTGCGCTCCCATTCACTGAAAATAACATTAAAGCTGTAACAAATATTTCAGTTCACACACCAGCTGAAATACTTGAGAAGAAATGTAAGCATCTGAAAATCTGGAAGCCAGAACTAGAGACTGGTGGTTACAGATCTGTCCTCTTGCATATGCCAACTTCAACTCAGATCATAATTCAGATCACCATTTTGGTTTGTCTTAAATATTTAAGTATTACTAGTTTAAAAGACAGATGAATGGACATACAAAATGTATAGCAGATTCATAAAACCTGAATCTAAAAGGAAAAGAGCTCCATATGAGTAGATGAAAAAAGTGAAGATCATAAAAATCCAGAAAACCAATTCATTTATCATTTTTATGTAACTCTGCTATCTCAGCAGTGTATTAAATCTAACATATATCTTTTTCCAGGAGAGATCTACCTATTACTATGTAGTATACAGTATATAGCAATAATGTGAACTACTCTATCTACATTTAAAAAGTGCTTTACAATGATTATATTACCTTTACATCAATTTCCTTTTAATCTTCATAGTTACTGGGGATAAAAGTAGGAAAGGTATGATCATGCCCATTTTAAAGACAAGTTCAAGGAGTTAGAGTCAATCTCAAATCACTACTAAGAATCCAGAATTTAAATCCATATCTTTTTGTTCTAAGATCAGTTTTTCCTTTTGTATCATACAGAAGTCATAATAAATATTAATCATTTTAAATACCATTAAAAATTAAAATCACAGAGGCCTCCCTCCCAACTCCTAATAAGACATTTGATAACTCTAAAATATCCCAAGAAATGTATTGTTTCTCCTAGGGCTCCAAATATAACACTATTCCTAGATTAAGTAATACTTGTCTAAGCACATGCAAAAAAGCATCAAACATTTTACATTTAGGATTACAGGTAATCCTACTTCCTTTTGTTATATGAGTAAGAGAAATAAATACATTTCCTGTTTGTGACTGACTGCTACTAAAAGTCTCCCAAAATCTCACCCTTGGGGCACATAACTTGAACAGAAAAAACAATCGTGAGACTTAATAGCATCAATTTTCTCACAGCAGTTATACAACATGTTTGATTCACAGGATACATTGGTAAACAACCAACCATTTAATATCTTACCCAAATGAATGATAAAACTGGTTTTATTCACTTTGTGTTTTCCCCCCTTCTATTTAAAGTTATGAGAAGTCATTAAATCATGCTAGGAAAAACAGAAGTCATCAAATCAAAATCTGAACCACTGTAATAAAACAGCTCAGATAATGCCTTTAGGACACTGTAGATTTACTATATTGAATGAATATATGTTTTGTATGGGTTTTTTTTTTTTTTTTTTGAGACAGAGTCTCATTCTGTTCCCCAGGCTGGAGTGCAGTGGTATGATCTCAGGTCACTGCAACCTCCGCCTCCTGGGTTCAGTAGATTCTTCTGCCTCAGCCTCCCCAGTAGCTGGGACTATAGGCATGTGCCACCATGCCTGGTTAATTTTTGTATTTTTAGTACAGATGGGGTTTCACCATATTGGCCAGGCTGGTCTCAAACTCCTGACCTCGTGATCCACCACCTCGGCCTCCCAAAGTGCTGGGATTACAGGCATGAGCCACTGAGCCTGGCCACTGAATACATATTTTTGCGATGTATTTATAATATGCTTAATTGTCTTTGGACAATGAACAGAAAAAAAAAGGAACAAACAAATTACTGGCTTATTTTCCACCTATAGATTTTTACAACATTACTGTTTAAAAATGCCACCTTCCACTTCCCCCACATCTGTTGGATAAGTGCAAGCTCATCCGTATAGTAAACATTGTGTCCTTTAGCTTATTTTTCCTATAGTCTCTTCTCTGTGTGTTCCATACCTTTACCAACCATCATCATCACATGCCCTCCACTCTAGTCACACCAAACCATGTCCTTTCCCCAAGCCCTTAGCATTAACTTCTGCATTGCTATTGCTCATGATGATTTTTTTCACTACTAATCCTTTCTTCTCAGTTTTTTTCACATCCTATTCATTCTTCAATGCATTGATCAATTGCCCCCTGTTGAAATGATCACAAATTGAAACAATATTTTTTTCCTCTGCTTTCCCATGGAACTGCTATAAAAAATACTTAGCACACTAGTTCAGTTAATGATATTAGTTGTTTAATTATCTCTATCATTTATGAATGTGAGCCTTTTAGGACACAGTCTGTCTTAAACTGATTCACTTATAACTACTCCATCTCAGTTGATGGTGTGAAAAAAAAAATCTTGGGCCCCCAAAATCACTAAGCTAAAGGGAAAATTCAAGCTGGGAACTGCTCAGAGCAAATCTGCCTCCCATTCTATTCAAAGTCATCCTTCTGCTCACTGAGATAGAGGAATGTTCTGATTGCCTCTTTTGGAAAGGCTTATCAGAAACTCAAAAGAATACAACCATTTGTCTCTCACCTACCTGTGACCTGGAAGACTCCTCCCCTGCTTCAAGTTGTCCCCGCCTTTCTGGATGGAACCAGTGTACTTCTTACATATGTTGATTGATGTCTCACGACTCCCTAAAATGTATAAAACCAAGCTGTGGCCCAACTACCTTGGGCACATGTTTTCAGGACTCTGAGGCTGTCTAATGGGTGCATGTCTTCAACCTTGGCAAAATAAACTGACATTTGTCTCAGATTTTCAGGGTTCATAATGGGAAACCCATCCTTCTGTGCTACTTGCCAAGAAAACCTGGAGTCATCTTAAATATCCCTCTTTCTCTCACACCTAACATCCAAACCATTGGAAAATCTGTTGACTTTCTTCATAATAATATATCTAGCACTTTATCAGTCTCACCATGTTCATGATACTACTCTACTTTGAGTGAACATTATTCTTCCTGTCAATTCTTGAAACAGCCTCCTAATTAGTTTCCTTCTTCTATATGTGCAACCATACAATTTATTCACAAAACAGCAATAGAGTTATACCTTTGAAGTACATATTTGATCACATTGCTTTTCTCAAAACCCTGCAATGTTATTACCTTAAAAATTGCAAACAAGGCTCTACATGATTTTTACTGCACCAAAACCATAGCTATGTGTCTAATCCCATCACTGGTTACTCTCGTCTTCTCTCAATCTGTGAGCATCAAGCTGGTCCCCTTGATGTTCCTTGAAAACATGAGGCATTTTGCCACCTTAGCTATAGCTTTCTATCTGCCTGGAAGGCTTTCCTAAAAAAGAACTGTCACCTAGGCTAAATCCCTACCTTCTTTCAAATGTTTTCTTAAATACCACATTCTCACTGTTAAAAGAAAAACTTCAGCCAAATTAAATTTAAAGATGTTTAATTGAGCAATGAACAATTAACGAATTGGGCAGCCCCCCAGAATCACAGCAGATTCAGAGAGACTCCAGAACAGCCACGTGGTAGAAGAAGATTTGTAGACAAAAAAAGGGACACAACACACAGAAATCAGAAGTGAGGTACAGAAACAACTGGATTGGTTACAGCTCAGTGTTTGCCTTATTTGAACATGGTTCGAGCAGCTGGCTACACTTGATTGGCCAAAACTCAGTGATTGGCACAGGTGTGGGCCACGATTGGTTTACACCTCTACTTGTTATAGTTCACAATATACAGAAAAACCTTTAGGCTAATCTTAAATATGTAAGGAGGCAGCTTTAGGCTAAACTTGATTAACATCAGTGAGGACAATTCTGACCACACTATTTAAAAATGTAGGTTCAGTTTCTAGTGATTGTGAAGTAGCTTATATTGGACTAAACTTCTTACAGAAAACAACTGCAAACTTCAGTAAAATCATTTGAAAAAATACAAAAACAACTATCTGAAAAAAATGGAAAGTCACTAAAAACAAACAGATGTAGAGGAAAGTAGATAGCTTAAAGAAAAAAAAATCACTGAAAGAGTTCTCCACTTTAAAAGCTTTTCTAGCCACAGGACAGCTAGAATTTGGATAGAAATATTCAGTCCTACTTGCTTAAGAGATCAAAAGATGAAGTTTGGGGCTAACACCGTAGTTGAAAATTGAAGCGATATATCCAGGAAAGGAGAAAGCCACAGAAAGGAGTCCCATACATTGTATACAAATTCTGTATCTCTGAATGACCCCTGAACAAACACACAGGAAACAAACCCCAAGAAGCTCATCTAAGGATAAGATAACTTACCAGAGATTGTACCTGTGGTTCACCAGAGGAGAAGCAAATCTTTAAGTCCCCAATCTGATACAGGCATTTATAAAAAACTTTACAATTAACATCCTACTTAATAGTGAAATACTGAACCTTTTCCCTCAAGATCTGAATAAGGTCCACTCCCACAATTTCTAGTTAATGCTTTGTTGGCAGGCCTAGTGGGTGTAATAAGATAACAAAAAAATAAAGAGGCATAGAGATCAGAATAGAATAAGTAAAATTCTCTGATCACAGATGGCATAGTTGTTTATGCAGAGCATGCTTAAAAATTTATAAAACAATTAATAGAACTAATAAAGTGAATTAAGCAAGATTACAAAGTCAATATAAGAAAACAATTGAATTCCTGATACAAGTAGTAACTATCAGAAAAATGAAATTTTACAAATACTCTTTACAATAGCTGACAAATCATAAAATGCTTAGGAGTAAATTGTTTAAAATTTGAGAATAACATCTATAATAAGAACTACAAAAGACTGCTGACAAATGACGTAAATAAATAAAAGGCATACCATGTTCATAGATTGGAAGACTCAATGATGGTAAGATGTCAATTCCCAAACTGATTTATAGAGTCATTGCAATCATCTCAATCATAATCCTATGTCGTTTTTTGTTAGATTCTTAAATGTATATGAAGATTTAAAGGACTTAGAATATCCAAAGCAATCTTGAAAACAGAGTTAGAAGATTTATAATACCTGACTTCAAGACTTGCTACAAAGCTACAGTAATCTAGACAGTGTGATACAGGCATAAGAACAGACAAATAGATCAATGGAACAAGAAAAGAGAGCCCAGCTTTAGAGTCACACTTATAGAATGTGAATGCCACAAAAATGCCATAGTAATTCAATGCGAAAGCAAAGTGTTTTCAACAAATAGTACTTGAACAGCTAGGCAGCTATATTGTAGGGGGTGGGGTGGCAAAACTTACTATGATGACTATTTCATACTACACAGAAAAATTAACTAGAAATCAATTAGAAATCTAAACATAAAAGTTAAAATTATATAGTTTCTAGGTGAAAATTTAGAAGAATATCATTGTATGCTGGGTGTAAGAAAAGGTTTCTTAAAAATAACACAAAACACATAAAGCATAAAATAAAAATACCACCAATTAAACTTAAGAAAAATTAAAATCTTATGCTCATCAAAAGGCACCATTAAGAAAATGTACAGGTAAGCCAAAGACTGGGAGAAAATATTTGCAAAACACCTATCAGTTAAAGAACTTGTAACCAGATATATAAAAAAAAGCACTCAAAGTTAAATCATTAAAAGATAAATAATATTTTTAATAAATAACATTTTAAAATAACATTTTAAACATTTTAAACAGCCACTTTACAAAGTAAGATATTGAAATGGAATATGTATACGAAAAAAATCAGAACAGTGGTTACCTGAGTGTGAGGATGAAAGAGATAGCGACTGTCTGGGAAGGGGCATGAAGAAACTCAGTTGACAAAAATGTTCCATAATATGATAGGGGTTTAGATTACATGAGAGTTTGCATTTTTCAAAACTTATGGAATAATACATATAAGATGTGTACATTTCAATGCATGTAAATTTCACATAACATAAATAATGAACCTTAATGATGTATACACTAAAGTTTTAGGGGTATATTAAGTGTTCTTACCTTTAAATGCTTCAAAAATAAAATGGACGGGTGAAGGAACAAATGGATAGGTATGTGACAAAACAAATATAGCATAATGTTAACAACTACAGAATCTAGTTTGAAGGCATATGAGTGTTCATTGTACCAGTCTTTTAGTTTTCCTGTATGTTTGAATTTTTTATAACAATATGTTGGGAGGCGGTCAGATAAAAATACAACCTGTCCTCCAACATCCTATCCCTCCTACCATGATCTACTTCTTCCTTTTTCCGATAGCATATCAACATCTAGTAAATATATTTGTTTATTTATTATATATATTTTTTAACCGCCTCCTCTGCTACTCAAAAGGACAGAAATTTCTGTCTTTTTCTTTTTCACTGATCCACAGTACAAATAATAGTGCCTGGACCATAGAGGCACTCAATAAATATTTATTGAATAAATGGCTACTATTAACCCTAATTTATAGATGAAGAAACTGAGACAAAATTAGTGGGCAGCTGGACACAGTAAGAAGAACAGGCTGCCATAAGGAAAATATGTCTGATCCTTCCATATCCTCTAACATCCTCCTTTTAAAAATACAAAGAGGTCAGGCACGGTGGCTCATGCCTGTAATCCTAGCACTTTGGGAGGCTGAGGCAGGTGAATCATGAGGTCAGGAGTTTGAGACCAGCCTGGCCAACATGGTGAAACCCTAAAAATACAAAACCCTAAAAATACAAAAAATTACCTGGGCGTGGTGGCAGGTGCCTGTAATCCCAGCTACTCGGGAGGCTGAGGCAGGAGAACTGCTTGAACCCGGGAAGCGAAGGTTGCAGTGAGCTGAGATCAAGCCAATGCACTCCAGCCCAGGCAACAGTGCAAGACTCCATCTCAAAATAAATTAATAAATAAATAAAAATAAAAATATAAAGAAAAACCAAAGGTGGCTTATGTTAAAAATCATAATTTTTCATATTGTTGCATCTACCTTATTGACTATCTGGTACTATTACATCCTCCAACATAAATTTAAGGTGAAAGATTCATGTTTCTTGTTTTTCATTTACTTCTTCCTTTCTGGACATGAAAAAAAAAAACGACCAGGTAAAGTTTTATGCTAATAGATCAAAGTCCACATCCTGAGTGTGTATACAATGCCCTTGAAAATTCAATCATTTATTTACTCAACAAATATTTACTGAATGTCTACCATATTACCAGTAGGGGTTTAGAATATATAAGTGAGGACCAGGCACAGTGGCTCACGTCAACACTTCAGGAAGCTGTAATCCCAACACTTCAGGAGGCTGAGGTTGAAGGATCACCTGGGGTTAGAAGTTTGAGACCAGTCTGGCCAACATGGTGAAACCCCATCTCTAGTAAAAATACTAAAATTAGATGGGCATGGTGGCCGGCACCTGTACTCCCAGCTACTCAGGAAGCTGAGTCAGGAGAATCACTTGAACCCAGGAGGCAGAGGTTACAGTGAGCCAAGATCACACCACTGCACTCCAGCCTGGGCAATACAGCGAGACTCTGTCTCAAAAAAACAAAAAACAAAAATGAATATATAAGTGAGGCAAACAGACAAAATTCTTGCCTCTGGAATTTATATTTTAATGGAATAAATGTCTGCCTACTCAAACTACCTATAGTCTCTCAATGATTTATTTTCTAAGAGTAAATAAGAGATACTTTTGGAAACTGTGTTCACTGTTCTCAAGCCAATAAATATTTAAGTTACACCCTCTGGGATCTACATCAAGATTTCAAGACAGCAAATACTTATCAGATGCCTACCACTTTCCCAATATTATTTAAGAGTTGTTTCAACATCAAGGGACAAGGGGACAGAAAAGGAATGGGAACACACTCTAACCTCGCTGAGCTACTCCACCCCAAATTCTGAGAACACAGTGGAGCTTGGAGGTAGACTGGAAGGAGTTCTCTAGGCCGGAAAAAGGTGGGTCTGGTTCTCCACCCTTCTGAGCCTCTCCTACAGCCACGAAAACTGCCCCAGGATGTCCTCAGGCAGGCTTACTTCATAGGATGTAAAAAAATAAAAAATAAAAATTAATGAAGTTGGAACCTACACATCACGCAAAGGTTGCTAACCTTTACCCTATATAATTATCTTAAGTGACCTGAAGAGTATATGGAGATCCTAAAATTACCTTGTTCTTGTAAGCAATGTTAAGGACACCTTGGTTTATTGAGCCCTTGGTAACTTCTGTCAAATATACAGTACTGTCCTTGAAATAGTGTATTCTATAGAAGAAAACACTTAGATTAGTGAACAGGCCAATTCTAATAAGCTTCTTTTAAACACACAAGGAGAAAGAAAAGATGTTTTTTTGGGAATCTTGCTTGCAAACTTTTCAAGGACAATGATTTATTCTCAAATTGCTTTCTGACTATTTGGTCAGTACCCTGACTAAAAGGTACCTTTTCCCCGGGTACCTAGTACAGAGTTACATAAATTCTAGGTAAATATTCGTTGACCTGGTAAATGAATGATGAGGGTCAGAAAACTATCATATAACTAGATATTTTAAAATACTTTCCACAGAGAAATATCCATCTTCCATAGGGCCTTTTGATTTTGGTAAATGCTTTGTCATCATTTCAAGCTGAATACACTCAAAAACAGATGAGGATATAATGGTAAAGAAAAAAATAAAAAAGTAACTTGTTCAAAAAATTCATGATTTTGAAGATATTGTGAAAAGCAAATCATCTCAAGTTAGATGATATAACAAATTTTTGATAATAACTGTTCAAAAAGATGTAATTCTATAGATTTGAGCCACTAAAAATCTCTGGGCATGGTTTCCACATGAATATGAATGAGAGAGAGAGACATAAGTGGCTATAGACACCAACCAATCCCACTGCTATGTAAATTATATCTCAGTGATTTACTCACCTTCCAGTGTAAACCATTAATCTTTAAAAAAAAAAAAAAAAAAAAAAAAAGGAAGAAAAACACTGCTTGCTCAATGCTGCCATCATGTGGTTAACATACTTTACATGCAAGAGAGTGGTCTTCACTTTTCTTCCCCTTGCTCATAAGCTCTTTGATATAAACCTCCCTCTGAGAAAGTTTTTCTTTTTAAGTTGGATAAATAATATTGTGTGAGGATGGCTTTGCTTCTATGTGACTAAACAAATAATGTCAAAAAGAATTTGAAACAAAATATTGGGTATTTTTTCTTTGAATGAACTTCAAGTGCAGAAATTGGATTAATCATAATTCATGGGCTTGTGACACAACCTCAATATTGGTCCAAACACAATGCAATTTAAATTAGTTTTTCATAATAAATTAGGCATATGCAAATCTACTACCCCAAACAAAAGTTATCGCCTTGATCTATATTTAACCTTAATCTATATTTAACCTTATAGTCTACCCAATTAGTCCATTCTCCGTCCTGCTCCAAACAGATGTAAATTTCATCCTGAGTCCTGTGCCTGTCATTCTTTTGAGTCCTTTACTATATAGTTTTATTGTATTTTTTCTATTTCTAGTAGATTTGCATTTTTGATAAACAGCTTTATTGAAGAATATTTGAATATAATAGACGGCATACATTTAGAGAGTACAATTTGATAGGTTTTGATATATATATACCCATATATATACATATGTATACACATATATATATACCCATATATATATACATATGTATACACATATATATATACCCATATATATATACATATGTATACACATATATATATACCCATATATATACATATGCATACACATATATATATATACCTATAAAACCAGAATCCTAGTCAAGATAATGAACATATTTACCATTCTGAAAACTTTCCTCCTACTCTCTTCATAATCCTTTCCTCTCTTTCCTATCCCCTCAGCTCCAACTATCTATAAACATTTGTTATGGACTGAATTATGTCCCCCCGAAATTCATATATTAAAGCTGTAACACTTAATGTGATTGTATTTAGAGATAGGACTTCTGAGGCCAATTAGATTTAGATGAGTTCATGAGGGTAGGGCCCTTGTGATATGATTTAGTGTCCTTATAAGAAGAGAAACCAGAAAACTTGCTTTCTTCATCATGTGAGGACACAATGAGAAGGCTCTGTCTGCAAGCTAGGAAGAAACTTCTCACTAGAACCCAACCATGCTGGCACCGTGATTGCACACTTTCAGCCTCCAGACTGTGAGAAAATACATTTCTGCTGTTTAAGCCTCTCATTCCATGGTATTTTCTTATGATAGATGAAGCAGACTAATACACCACGGATATGCTGTCAATTCATTAGTTTTCATTTCATATAATTTTATTTAAATGAAATCACAGAGTATATACTCTTGTCTAGATACTTTCACTCAGCATAATTACTTTGAGATTAATCTATATTGTAATATGCATCAATATTTTGTTCCTTAATATTGCTGAGTAGTATTCTATTGTATGGAATATCACAGTTTATTTATCCATTGACCTGCTAATGAACATTTGGGTTGTTTCTAGTTTTTAGTTATCACAAATAAAGGTTCTATGAACATTCATATACAAATACTTGTATGGACATATGTTTCATTTTCTTTTGGGGAAATACACAGGCACGGAATGGCTGGACCAATGTGTGTGTGTGTGTGTGTGTGTGTGTGTGTGTGTAAATACACAGGCACAGAATGGCTGGACCAGTGTGTGTGTGTGTGTGTGTGTGTGTGTGTGTGTGTGTATTTAACGTTTTAAGATACTGCCAAACTATTTTCCAGTTTTCCAAAATGTACCATTTTGCATCTCCACTACAGGAGAACATGATGGTTACTATCCCTCCACATCATCACCAACACATAGTATAGTCAGTTGATATTTTAATTTCAGCCATTCTAATGGGTTTGCAGTAGTATCTTGTTAATACTTTTCATTTGAATTTCCCTAATGACTAATGATGTTGAACATCTATTCATATGCTTATTTACCATTTGTATTTCTTCTTTGAAGTGTCTGTTCAAATACTTTTACCATTTTTGCTCTTGCTATTCTCTCTGTCATTATTTTTAGAAAGTTTCAGCAATGATTATTTCAAAAGTTTTTTCTGTCCTGTTTTCTCTTCTCCTGCTATTCCAAATGCATGTACCTTTTGAAAATATCCCACAGTTCTTTGACATTCTATTCTGGAGCGGTTTGGGTTTTTTTCCTCTTTGTGTTTTATTTTGAGAAATTTCTACTGGCATAACTTCAAGCTTACTGATTCTTTTCCTGGCCATTTCCAGTCTACAGTTGAGCCCATCAAAGCATTCTTCATTTCTGTTAGAGTGTTTTTAATTTCTAGCATTTCTTTTCTAGATATTCTTTTGCATTTGAATATCTGATTGTTCCAGCCAGTACTATGTGTTGAAAATCGCATTCTTTTCTGTACTTATTTGCCTTTCCACTTTTGTCAGAAATCAGTTATCAATATAAGTGTGAATCTCTTTCTGGACTTTCTATTTTGTTTCATTGATCTGATTTTCTATCTTGATTCCAATACTACATTGCTTTGCTTACTGTAGCTTTATAACTCATTTTGACATCAGGCAATGTTAATCCTCCATGTTACTCATTTTCAAAATTGTTTGGACCATTTTAGGTCATTTGCAGTTCCATATGAATTTTATTCAGTTTCTCCCAAGTTTTTACCAAAGGTCACCTTGAACCTACAAATCAGTTGGAGGAAAATTGGTATTTTAACAGTATTTAGTCTTCTGATCCATAAACATGGTTTATTAATCCATTTATTTAGGCCTCCTTTAGTTTGTCTCAGAAATGTTCTGTAGTTTTTAATATATATAGGTTTTCCCCATCTTTTGTCAAATTTATGCCTAAGGATTTCATATTTTTGATGCTATTATAAATGTATATTTAAAATTTCAATATCTGGTTGAAAGTATACAGAATAAAAATCGATTCCTCTATATTAAGCTTGTATCCTTCAATCTTGCTAAACTCACTTATTAGTACTAGTAGCTGTTTTTTTTTTTTTTTTTTTTTCATGGATTCCCTTGAATTTTCCATGGGACAATCATGTCATCTGCTTTTCTTGTCTTATTGTGCTAGTTAGAATTTCCAGTGAAATGTTAAATAGACATGGTAATAGTGGACATCCTTGACTTTCTTGATTGTAAGAGGAAAACACTCAGTGTTTCATAATCAATTATGATGTTGCCTATAGATTTTTCATACATTCCCTTTATCAGCTTGAAAGAGTTCTCTTCTATTATTAGTTACTTGAAAGTTTCTCATCAGGAATTAATGATGAAATTTATCCAATACTTTATCTGTATCTATGGAAATGATTATATGATTTTCATTTTTAGCTTGTTAATATGGTAAAATACATTGTTTACTGTTCTAATGTTAAATTGTATTGGATTCCTGAAAGAAAACACATTTGGTCATGATGAATTGTTTTCTAAATTGTTGGATTTGATTTGTTAATGTTTTGTTAATACCTTTTGAATCTATCTTCATGAAGGATACCGACTCATAATTCTCCTTTCTTGTAATGTCTTTGCAAGGTTTTTAGTAACAGAGTAATGCTGGCTTCAAATGTGTTAGAAAGCATTCCCTCTTCTTTATCACTATTCTTCCTTAAATATTTGGTAAAATTCACCAGGGATGCCATCTGGACATAGAGCTTTCATTGTGGAATGGATTTGAACTACAAAGTCAATTGCTTAACAGAGCTATTAAGACATTTCTTTTTGAGTGAGCTTTGGTAATGTATATCTTTCAAGGAAGTTGTCCATTTCATTTAACTTGTCAAATTGGGATAATGTTACTGAGAATATTCCCTTACTGCCCTTTTAATATCTGTAGAATCTGTAGTGATATTACCACCCTAAGTCCTGGTATTGGTCAGTTGTATCTATTCTTTTCCTTGATATGTCTAGCTTTGGTTTTACTGATTTTTATGAATTTTCTATTTTACATTTCATTAATTTCTACTCTGTTCTTTATTATTTCTTTTTTTGTTTTTATGTTGTGTTTAATTTGCTCTGATGTTCCTACCATCTTAAAGTATAAGATGAGATTACTGATTTCTGACCTTTTTTTCTTTTCTAAGATATGTGTTTAGTGCTGTGTATTTCCCTTAAGTACTGCTTTAATAGAATCCCACAAACTTTGATGTGTTACATTTTCACAAAAAGTTCAAAACAATTTCAAATTTCTCTTTCATTTTCTTATTTGACACAGGGGTTATTTAGAGGTATGCTATTTACTTTTCAAATATTTAGGGATTTTCCAGATTTTTTTTTTTTTTTTTTTTTTTTTTTTGAGATGGAGTCTCGCTCTGTCGCCCAGGCTAGAGTGCAGTGGCTTAATCTCGGCTCACTGCAAGCTCCGCCTCCCAGGTTCAGGACATTCTCCTGCCTCAGCCTCCCGAGTAGCTGGGCCTACAGGCATCTGCTACCACGCCCAGCTAATTTTTTTTTGTATTTTTAGTAGAGACGGGGTTTCACCGTGTTAGCCAGGACGGTCTCGATCTACTAATCTCCTGATCTGCCCATCTTGGCCTCCTAAAGTTCTGGGATTATAGGCATGAGCCACTGTGCACAGCCTTCCAGAAGGTTTTGTTACTCATTTTTAATTTAATTCCATTGTGGTCAGAGAACATGTTTTGTGTGACATGAATTCTCTTAAAATTGAGATTAGTTTTATGGCCTAGCATGTGGTATATACTGGTAAATATTCTACATTAACTTGAAGAAAGGGTATTATCTGCCATTTGGGGGAGAGTATTCTATAAATTTTAATTATGTCAAATTGGTTGATATCATACTACAAGTATTCTATATTCTTTACTGATTTTCTGTCTACTTGTTTTCTCCATTATTAAGAAGTTTTGAAACATGGCTATAATTTTTTATTTGATTATTTTTCCTTGCAATTATATTAGCTTTTGGTTCATGTAATTTGAAGTTTTCTTATTAGGTATATAAGATATTAAGGTTGTTATTTACTTTTGATAAACCAACTCTTTAATTATTATGAAATGACCTCTTTATCCCAAGTAATATTTTCTGCTCTGAAATATACTTTCATATTAAATAGCTCTTCCAGCTTTCATTTGATTCATGTTAGAATGGCATATATTTCCCAATCTTTTGCTTTAACCTCCCTGTGTCCTTATAGTTAAGGTGTAGTTTCATGTAAGCAACATACAGTTGGGACTTGATTTTTAACCAATTTGACAACCTCTGATGTTTAATTGGATTATTTACATTACATTTTCTAGGAATAAATTTAACATCTTTGTCGTCTTTTCTCCATTGTTCTATATTCCTTTAGATTAACTGAATATCTGTGATCATTCTACTTTTTCTTATCTGTTGGCTTATTAGCTATAACTCTTTGTTGTGTTATTTTCATGGTTGCTTTCGGTTTCATATTATACATGTTTAACTTATCACAGGCTAACTTTAAGTAATATTATGTCATTTCACATATATTACAGGAATCAAACGATAATATTCCACCATTTCTTCCATACAAACTTTTGTGCTATTGTTGCCATACATTTTAATTGTATGTTACAAACCACAAACTACATTGTTTTTGGCTTTGGTTAAACATTAATTATCTTCTAAAATAATCTGAATAATAAGAATAAGAACAATATATTATAACATATATATACATGAATAATATATATTTATTCAGGTAGTTACCACTTCCAGAGCTCTTAATTCCTTGGACAGATCCATATTTCCATCTAGTATCATTTCCATCTAGGTGAAGGACTTCCTTTAATATCTCTTTTTTGTTGTGGTTGTTGAGATGGAGTCTTGCTCTGTTGCCCAGGCTGGAGTCCAGTGGCATGATCTTGGCTCACTCCAACCTCCACTTCCCAGGTCCAAGCAATCCTCCTGTCTCAACCTCCTGAGTAGCTGTGATTACAGGTGTGCACCACAATGCCCAGCTGATTTTTGTATTTTCAGTAGAGATGGGGTTTCCCGATGTTGGCCAGGCTGGTCTTGAACTCCTGACCTCAAGTGATCCACCCACAAGGGCAGGGATTACAGGCATGAGCCACCACACCCGGGCCTTTTAGTATTTCTTAGATCATAGGTCTGCTAGTAAATAATTGTTTTTAGTTTTGAGCTCTCTTCCTCACATGTCTCATAAAAGACTTTTTGCCTTTGTTTTTGAAGGTATTTTCACTAGGTATAGAAATTTGGGTTTACAGGTGTTTTTTTTCCTCTTAATACTTAAAGATATTGTTCTATTGTCTTCTTGCTTGCATTGTTTCTATCAATAAATATTCTGTCACTGTCCTCTTTGTTCCTTTGTATGTAATGCCCTCCCCCAACCCCCTTATTGCTTTTAAGATTTTTTTCTATCAGTGGTTTTGAATAATTTGATTATGGTGTTCTTTGGCATAGTTTTCTTCATGTTTCATGAGCTTGAGAGTTTGGTGAGCTTCTTTGATCTGTGAGTTTATAGGTTTAAAAAAATCTGAAATCCCAGTCATTTATAAAAGGGTATTTATTTCTTATTCATGTCAAGTCCAATAAGAATTCTACTGCCCTACTTTTTGTAATTTACAACCATCTGTAATACCTAGTTTCCAAGAACAATGCAACAGAAACAGAAGTGAAGGAGGAGGGCACAACAGCTTTTAACCATCTCAGTCTGGAAGTGGTTCCAAAAATGTCTCTTCCTTTTACAATCTATTGTCCAGTAGTCACATGGGCTCAATCTAATTGCAAAGAGAAGCCCCAAAATATAAGAGGACATGTGGATATTTGGAGAACTTAAATTGTCTCTGTCACAGAAAAAAAGGAGGTTCCAAATAGAGAACAACAGAATGAAAACAACTTAGGGGCATGGGCTGGAAAAGCTTCCCCAAAGCAGTGACATTTACGCTAAGATCTAAAGGGAGAAAGAACTCAGCCCTTGTATGTTTGAAAGGTAACCAATATAGTGAAGAGGTAAGAGGCTAACACATTATTCAAGTTATAAAATATGCATTCCTAACGTGGCCTGTATACAATAGATACTATATAGCTATAGAAAACTTTCATGGGTGCGGGCACAAGATCTTCACCAATCTTGATCAGTTAAATTGTTTATGCACTAATCTCTTACATGTAGAAACATATGCAGAAGGATGAGACTTAACACACAAAAAAGTGGTGCTGAAAAACTACAGGATTCACTCATTTCTTCAACAGCATTCACTAATTGTCTAACAGATACAAGGCAGATTACAGGGTTATAATGTTTACTGCAATTCTCCCTATGTGGAATTATTCTATACACTCAAACACAGAACTGGGGTTTCTCCCATAGAGAAAGGAAATATAAATTCTAAAACAAAGTAAAATTAAAATTTAGAAACCATCTTGAATTAAACAGAATAAAATAGGAAAGAGTTCAGAATGATAAAAAAAAATTCCCACTCTGGTCAAACATTTTAATAATAATCAGTGTTCTGGATACATAAATTTGATAATTTCTCATGAAAAGTAATTATAGCAATACTTTTTTTCCCCAAATGAAGAAATGAGTTTTAGACAAATACACATATCTCCATGCTTACTAGTTAGGTCGATATCCACCTTTTTATGCCTACTAATTATTCGATTATTTTATGTTAAATCTGCGCCATGAACTCAAACTCTTCTAACTCACCTTCTTTAGTTTTATCCTTTAATCCTATAGTTCATTCTCATTTCTTTGTCCAATTCCCTTGAATAAACTGGAAGGTGCTAATCCTCAAAGGCTTCAAACTAGACAACTGAAGAGAACATTTGAAATAGATAGAGTTTACCTAATTGTGTTCCAGAAATAAATGAGAAGTAGACTTCTCAGAGAGCAAGTAAATACAAAGCGGGTAAGCAAGCATCTCTCTTGATGCTCTCTTAAATTTCTGCTGTAGGACTGTGACTATGGTACGAAGGATGCTACACTTGGTTCTCTTGACAACGCTCTGGTACTTACTCACTGAGTGAACTCACACCAGTTACTCAGTTCACTCTTTTTCCTTAACCACAAACCTCAGATAGAAATAGCATCTACTGGTAAGGATTGCTGTGAGTAATAAATGATTTATTGTATATAAAGCACTTCTGTACAGTGTTGGCATTAGTAAATAGTACATATTTACCATTCCTGACACTTGTAACAGCTGTCATGAAGTCACAGTTGTGAAATACCATATTAAAATTTCATTGAGTTGATAATTGTTTTCAGCCTTAGATCTAAATGTTTTCACACAGTTCATATAATTTAAACCCTCTTAAATCAAATTCACCCTGCACCAAATTCTATTCTATAACAAACATTTATAGCAGAATTCCAGTGTGCTTCAAGTTTGTGAATATTATAATTTCCCTTTTATTATTCTAGTTTGAAAAGGATGCCACTGGTTCCCAGTTTTAAAAGACTATTTTTCTAATTACTTTACTCTATACAAAGATACATACTCCAAAAATTTAACTTTTAATATGATATCAGTTTAATACAGATAACTCAATAAAAGCTAAAAAAAAATAAAATAAAATGCCTACTTAGAAGAAAAAAAGAATATAACATAAATAACAGACCCCTTTCTTACCTCGACAAAGTGACCACTTATTGATAAGAATCTCTGCACGGTCAGGACAGGAGTAGGAAAGCATCTGCATTCGGTCATTTTTATTTCTCCTTAGCTTTAGGGTCAGCTACTGGACAAAGAGCAAGCCTGTGTACTCTTATATCCCGAGCATTTCAAATCCTGAACAAAGTTGCACAGCTTCTGAACATAAACAAGGCTTAGCTTGTGACAGTCCCAGTACCATTAAACAGGACAGAATTCTATCTCATTTCTTTGCTTGTTGCTCAAATGAGATGCATGGAAACTCCCTGCACATTCTGTTTAATTCTTATGCAAACCTGTCTTCAAACATTAGAATTATAATTCTAACTTGGAATTTATTTTACTCAAGACATTGCCATAATTGTGAGAAATCTCAGATTTCTAATGATAAAATAATTTGAAATACACATTTACTAACCAAATTATAGAAAATAATTTTATATTATTAAGCTTGAAGGTGTAATCAACTAGACTCATTCATTTTTTCATTTGCTTATTGTTTAATTTGTTCATTATAACAGTCTTATGAGATATACATAGGAGAGGCTGTATTCATCTACTTCTATACAGCCAATCTATCAAAATAACTAATGAGCTCCATTTATTCTGTAAAACATGAAGGCTGATGTCCAGCCCTTGCTGGACATATCAGAGAATAGTTAATAAACTATTCCTAACCCTATCAGTTGAGTTTCATAACCAAGAGACAATTTTTGTATTTCCCAGCCTGTCTTTGCCAGTTTTTTCATAGTAAATTCTATAACATAGGTAAAAATGATATAAATAAATGACAATGGAGTGCAAAAGGGAACAGTTCTTATTTGTAAGAAAACTAAGCTGAATGATCTGGAAAGACTCTCAAGAACTAAAAAGCATTAGTATGACTTAGGTAACAGCAAGGCGACTTTGAAGACTGGGAGACATTTTGAAAATCTAGATGAATTTTCACTGTTACACCGCAACCTGAAAATTACAGGCAATGAATTATAAGTATTATTAATGCCAGAAGATGATGCAGAAGTCCAATCAGTGGGCTCCAGAAAGCTTTTAATCTATGTTAAAGATTGATGAATGAATATTTAAATTATTTATTACATAACACAATGTTTAAGGTACATATGCATTGTTTTACAATTTTCTACTTTAACCAACTTTTTCTATTAACTAACAAACTATATGTTCCCAATATGTAGTATAAAAGATCGATTTTCAATTCTCTTTTTATGAGGAAAGTAAGACTCATCAAAGTTAAGTAACGGTCAGTAAATCACAAAGCCACATTATAAATTCAGACTGTATATACCCATATTTGAATAATATCTTCTGCTAGCAAAAATGTACCAAAGTGCAATTACTAAAATGGAGGCTACTTTGAAAGGAATAGTATATTTAATATGTCTTTAATCCCATTGCTATCATTTTTAAACCTTACCAAAAAGAAATTATGAATAAAAATAGGAATACCATTATTGAGCAAGGTAAAAATCGTAAAAAATATAGGTTATAAGTATGGAAACAGGGAAACCAAACGATCAGCAACTTGGTGGTTACATGTGCTAGGAACTTGTATGTGAATGTTTGAAATATATGTGCTTACGTTATGCCTTACTATGTTCTGAGAGACAGTAAAACGTAACAAGAAGTTTAAAAGGCAGGCTCTGAAATCAGTTGATCTGGGTTTGGGTCTTGGCTCTACCATTTACTAACAGGTAATACTGGTCAATTCACTTAACCTCCCTGTGTCTCAGTCTCTTTAACTATAAAATGAAGAAGTTAATTCTTATCATATAAGGGTGTTTGTAGGATTCAATAAAATAATCCAGGTAAGGGAGTGCCTGCCACATAGTAAGCACACATGACTCACTAGATAACACTGATGTGCCAGTGAGGGTGCTAACATAATCGGTAAGAGTATTCTTGGCATGGGGGCCAGTCTGCCCGGATTCAAATCCCAACTCAGTTACTTAGCAACTCTATGAACTTGGAAGAAGTTACTTACCCTCTTCACGCCTCAAATTTCTCATCAGTAAAAAATATATAATAGCTCCAGCTTCACAGGATTATTGTGAGGATCCAATGGGTTAATAAATACAAAGTGCCATTTGTAATATAAATGGCATACAAAAGTGTCATAATGTAATAAATGTTAGCCACAATTTTGGCATTATTGGCTTTTTGGCTACATAGAAAACTGCCCTTTCTCAGAACATCCAGATTTTTTTTTTTAATCACTGTGGTCACTTTAGCTCTATGCTTCTCACACTCTCTGTTTGAGACACTCAAACAATTTAGTCTCTAGCACAGGACTCAGGCAATTTAGTATTTAATACAGACAAATCACCAGTGCCATCTAGCAGCGAGCTGCTAATAAATTCACCAAATAAGGAATGTTGCTCAAAAGGGGTAAAATTTCTACAGATATAAAATCCAACGTAGTTAGAAATCTGTGACAAACTAAATGTAATGTACTTTGAAAACTATGACTATTTTAATACTTTTAAATTAACAAAGAAAAATTTGTAGATATGTGTGGTGTACAATGTTTTGACATATGTATACATTATGAAACAGCTAAGTCAAGATATGTATTTTTGTGGTGAGAACATTTAAAATCTACTTTCTCAGCAATTTGCAAGTATATAGTATGTTGTTATTAGCTAAGTCACCATGTTGTACAATAGACCTCCACAACTTATTCCTGTCTAACTAAAATTTTGTATCCTTTAACCAACATCTCCACAATCCCCTCTCCAGTCCTCAGTCCCTGGTAACCACCATTAACTCTATGTTTCCATGAGTTTACTTTTAAAAATTCTACAGGTAAGATCATGCAGGTTTTTCTTTTTGTGCCTAGCTCATTCTACTTAGTATAATACACTTCAGGTTCCATGTTATAGCAAATGACAGGATTTCATTCTTTTAAAAAGTTGATTCTTATTTCATAGTGTATATATACAACAACATTTACTTTATCCATTCAGCCACTGATAGACACTAAAGTTGATTATGTATCTTAAAGTAATGCTGCAATGTGCAGCATTACTTTAGGAGTGCAGATATCTCTTTGACATACTGATATCATGACATTTGGATATATATACAGAAATGGAATTTTTTGATCATACGGTATTCTATTTTTAATTTTTTGAGGAACTGTCATGCTGTTTTCTAAAATGACTGTACCAATTTACATTCTAAACAGCAGTGAGCAAGGGTTCCTTTTCTCTACATCCTTGACACTTACCTCATTTTCTTGATAACAGCCATCCTAACAGGTGTGAGGTGATATCTCATTGTGGTTTTAATTTGCCTTTCCCTGATAATTAGTGAAGTTTATCATTTTCATATACCTGTTGGCCATTTGTATGTCTTCTCTTAAGAAATGTCTTTTCAGGTCATTTTGTGTAGAATGGACATTTTAAGAATTAATGTTGTGACATGTTTATACAGTTATTGAAATGTCGTAGAAATGCCAAGTAGAGAAAATTTCAAAAACTGCAAACTATAAGAAGATTGCTTGATAAATACAGTACCAACAGGAGATTCATTGTGAGTGAGTCAAACAATTGAGAAACACTGTTAAAATTTTTTGGACAGATTTGTGATGTTAATAAACTCCTGATCTTCTCTAGATCTCATTTTCCTATGATATAAGAGTGCTGCACGTGTTGAATTTTTTTTCTAGTTTTAAAGGTAAGTGATACTATCACTATACTAACTTTAACATCATTAATGTAAGCATTATCTGCCAGAGCATTTTTCTCAGGGGGAAAACTGATAGCTTCTGAGATTCTTATTAACTTGATGATTTTTGTCAGTGCAGCTATATTGGAGGAAAAGAATTAGAAGTATGAATTTTTGATATAATGTAAACAGCACAAAAGCTATAACATATGCTAAGTAAGATATTACATTATATTGCTGGATAAAGAAAAATATTAATACCACATAAAGATCCCATATAATAGCATTATATAGCTTTACTTTTTGCACATCACGATTGTTAATCAAAGCTTACAGAACTCAAAACTACAAAGCTACTGTAACCTATACTATACCTGCAGTCCTCATTTTGCGCAGTTTAAATATGCACAAATTTCAGAACAACAATTCAGTTAAATAATACTAGTCCTCCAATAACACATTTCAAATTTCATAGTAATTATACAAGAGCTGCTAGCTCTTTAGTCCACAGATCACTACAGAAATAACAGATGAGATGATGATCAGTGACCAGTCATAGCACTTCTTTCAAATGATTGGTCACTGCACATTTACAATCATCAAACATCGATGGCAAAGTGTTGTTTTCTCCATGTTTCCCAGAGATAAACCCACATGATATTTTACAAAAGTGGATAACAGACAGAGGGGATTAGCCTATAAAAGTGAAAGTATAGCAAAGAAACAAAATGTGATAATGCTGGGATGGAAACTGGATGTAAGTAGAAGATCTGAACAACAGCAAACAAAGACAAGAGAAACCTAGGCCCGCATGAAGCGAAGGTAAGTCTTATGTTGAAAAAGCCTGATAAACATAAAAAACAAAGTCATTTCAATAGGAATCTAATTTAATGTAAATGGAGTTGTAGGAGAAATAGCTGACCATAGAATGCTGACACTGAATCCTTTGGAGAGACGTAGTTACGCAGCCAGAGGAACTTAATGAGGGTGAATCCATCACACAAACGAGGAAAGTGATCGTAATAAAAAAGACAACAACATCTCAGATGAAGTGACGCCAATGTGAAACTTCATACTGAAATTCCTTTAAATGTTAAGGAACTCTCAGAGAAATTTCACAACATTGAAAGTAGAATAGACAAAATACTGGGAGCTAATCTAAACTTTGAAAGGAATATAACAGTTCAATTCACCAAGACATAGAAAAGATGCCCATTCCATATGATAAGTTATAGAATTAGACAGAAGACAAACACTGCTCCAACTACTTTTGACGAGCTTTTGCAAAGATATCATACACTTTCTCAATGTTTCTAATGTTTTAAATTAGAGTGTACTAAAAAACATTAGCTTAGTTTTACTAATTATTCATTTCCCTATACATTTATGAACCACAGTAGGAGAGTTTTCAATGCTTGGATAAGAAGTTTTAAAGGCCACAGAAAAATTGTTATTTTTACCTTTGATTATTAAGATCACATTACCTGGTTTCATCTTACATCGTCATTTTTAGAGACCCATACTACTGTGCAAAGCAAGGAGTGTATGTATTGCCAATGCTTATATTTCACTTTCAAGGATTTTGTCCATGTAAGCACAAATCATTCAGAAATCACTATTACACCTATTACTAGTAAAATAGCTAGTCTCCTTCTGAATGTATTTTATAAATTACTTGCAGTATCATAATATGATGTTGAAAGATGCCCTTTGTTTCACTTTTAACAAAATCAGATAAATAAGAGGAGCATTATGTACCTGGTAGTGGTAACTGAACTAATATACCGCTGACTCTTGGGTCCATATTCAATTGATCAGTTACGTCCAAAAGTTCTTCCTGAGAAACATCCTTAGGTTTTAGAATGAGCTCACTACAAATACCTAGAAGAAAAACAGGTAGAGAAGGTCACTTGACTAACTGAATATGGTTTTTCATCAATAGTGTCTGACACAGTGTGGGACTGTTCCTACTGCCGTGAAAGGTTCTGATGTTCCATGCATCATCAGGAAGGATTTCTCCAATAGTACAGGTGTTTCCTCTTGATCCACATGTATTCTTTGGCCTGGAATGCCAGGTGACAATTTGTACTTGTTTGAGATAAGCTACTGTTAGTAGATTTGAAGAGAATAAAAATATCACTACCATGCAACTATTAGGCCAAGTTTAACAGAGTGAACAAGCCAGGTTTATTATTTGATTAAAGCAAATATAATGAAAGCAGGCCTTTTAGATGCAAACTATCCTTTGCATATCTTGCCATAGAATATAAAACACACTGAATTAACCCTATAAGAAATTTGAAGAAAAATCATATGAAATTAACATAAGCTTTGGTAACTGAATAATCTTTAATAATAATACATGCAATTCAAATGGCACTTATTTGATAATTATCATTCATAATTATCACAATTTGAAGTAAAAACAGAAAACATATTTAGTAGTAATTACAACTAAAACACACACCCACCTACAGCAGAGGCAGCTCTTATCTTATTCCTGACATATGTATGGCTTGCTGGGTTATCTCCCACTAAAATTATACTGAGGTGAGGTCTTCTGTTTCCAAGGGAAACCCATGATTCCACACCTCGCTGTATTTCTTTCTGGATATGCTTGGCCATTTCGGTTCCTGATATAATAATGGCTTCATGTCTGTGGAAAGCAAAACAATAAATACTAAAAAGAAAATAAGAAACACTCAACTGCACAAATTTAAGGTACAAAACTCAATAAAACCACCATGATTCTCCAAGCACCCAAAATTTGATTTTTTTTTCAATTATAGTGACACCTACTCTTCAGGTTCATAAATATTTTATAATTTTGTGAAGGATTCCAACTCTGTTATTTAGTTCTACAGTATAATCTATCTGCTATAAAATGAATGTGTATGTCTCTTCAAAATTCCTATGTTGAAATCCTAACCCCAAATGTTATGGTATTAGGAGGTAGGTCCTTTGGGTGGTGATTACACCATGAGGATAGAGCCCTCATAAGTGGTATTAGTGTCCTTTTAAGAAATTCCAGAGATCTCCCTTGTGCCTTCTGCCATGTGAGGACATAGCACGAAGACAGCTATCTATTAACCAAAAAGCAGGCCCACACCAGACACTGAACCTTCTGGTGTACTGACCTTGGACTTCCCAGTCTACAAAACTATAAGAAATTCATTTGTTTTTGTATAAGCCAACCAGTGTACAGTATTCTGTTATAGCAGCTCAAATAGACTAAGATGCTAACGACAGTGTACATTTCTTCACAACTTTCACATACATATATAAAACATATATATTATATACACATATGCATACATATGTATATACATATACACACATTTATGTATTCATATAAATTATCAAACCACATACTCAAGATCTGGACTATAATATTGCCTAAATTTAAAGTTCTGCTATTTTTTCTAAAGAGGCAGATCAATCAGCACAGCCTAGTTAAAACTGGCAACCATCTTGAAGACTGGACTCCACTATGTATACACGTAGCCCCACAATCTTGTGACCCTAAGGCGAAATCAGTTCGTTTTTGGTTAGCATATCCAGCACAAGACTCTGAAGTCATGAGCTTCATACTACACAACTCTTTTAACTTACTCAAAGAAAAATGTTATTCCATGGCCCCAGGCATGGCCCCGGACAACAGCTGTGAGTCTTGCCATGCTTGTCACTGATTATGGTGGGGATCAGGTCAGTAAACCGATAGTTTAGTTCCTTCCCAATGCAATGGCATCATTTCTAATGGAGTAAGTTTCCACAGAAGATTACTTCCTGGCAGTTTATAAGTATTTCAGAAGGTAAGAAGTGCCATAATTTGATAGATGATATAAACTATCTCTGGAAAGGCACAAAGAAATACTTTCTAGAAAGGCTTTTCTGCTCTCCATGACCTCAAACTTGAAAGTGGTGAATTACATTGCTCTTACTGTGTGTTTATTTTTTTAAAGGTATCTGATAAAGTAGAAGGTGGTCCCTTCTTCCTTCTGCCCCTGTCCTTTCATTATTGAATGGCCCGGTAAAAACATGATTACTACAAAAAACATCAAATGTAGGTAAATAAATATTATGAAAAGGAGGAAAAGGGAAAGAGTAAGAAGCAGAAGAGAAAGAGGAGGAGGAAAGGAAGCCCTTATAAACCTTAATTCTTTGTGGTATCTGTACACTTTTAATTTTCTAATGAGGGCGGGTGCTATAAATATCCGACAACACACAAAATGCAAACTTTGTGCTCCTTCCAAATAAGTCAACTGCTCTCTCTAGCAGGTTTGTGGACGTATAGGTAGAACTTGATCGAAAATACACCATTATAGCATGGCACCAGTCTTCCACTGCATTCATCTCAGTTCATGCAATTTTGATGTAAACAATGTTCTGCTAAGAAGCAATTCCAAGCGTGGTCTATGGATACACACATCAAAAACTGCCTGAAATTGCAGATTCCCAGACCCCACAATCCACATCTACAATTCAGAATTCCTGGGGGCAGGGGAAAAACCTGGAAATCTGCATGTCTAATAATTTCCTACATGTGATTCTTGTGTATGACCATGTTTGAAAACCACTTTAGTTTACCATAAAAGTGTATTTTAATAACAATCATAATTTATGAGTAAATAACTGAGCAAATTGGTTAGACAATACAATCACAACTAGACATTCTAAGTAAACTCTACTTTTGATTCTAATTTTGTCTACTCTTCATTAAAATTTTAATAGCTTTCAAGACATGAAATGTCATGATGAATTCAATATAATAATCTTGTTCTGCTGTCTTATTTCTGTAAAAGATTTATTCAGTATAATTGTCATATAATAAACTGGACATATTTAACATGTACAAGTTTAAGTTTTAATATATGTATATACCTGAGAAACCATCACTATAGTCAAGAAAATGAACATGTCTATCATTCCCAAAACTTTCCAGGTGCACCTTTAAAATTTTGCCATTCCACCTGTCTCTGCCAGATTCCACTCCTCAATTCACCATTCCAGGCAACCATTGACCTCTTTTGTTCAGTATATATTGGTTTGTATTATGAATAATTTTATAAAAATTGAATCAAATACTACATACTCTTTTTTGGCCAGCTATTTCCACTCAGCATAATTATTTTTTAATTGATTCACATAGTTGCATGTTTGAATGGTTCATTTCTTTTTTATTGCTGAGTAGTATTACATTGTATGGATATACCAATATTTGTTTATCCATTCGATTGTAATTAATGGATATTCGGGTTCTTTCCAGTTTTTGATCATGACAAATACAGCTGTTACAAACATTTTATAACACATATGCTTTAATATATTTTGTACACATATGCTTTAAAATATTTTTTTTGTGGGGGACAGGGTCTCCATCACCCAGGCTGCAGTTCAGTGGCAAGATCTCGGCTCACTACAACCTCCGCCTCCTGGGTTCAAATGATTCTGATGCCTCAGCCTCCAGAGTAGCTGGAATTACAGACATATGCCACCATGCCTGACTAATTTTTGTATATTTAGTAGAGACGGGGTTTCGCTATGTTGGCCAGGCTGGTCTCGAACTCCTGGCTGCAAGTGATCTGCCCCTCTTGGCCTCCCAAAATGCTGGGACTACAGGTGTGAGCCACCACTCCTGGCCGCTTTAATTTCTTTTGAGCAAATATCTCAAAGGGGAATGGCTAGGTCACATCGTAAGTGTATGTTTAAATACGTTAAAAACTGTTACGTTACAAAAACACTGTACCACTTTGCAACTTTGCATTCCTTCAAACACTATATGAGTTCTGGTTGCTCCATATACTTGTCATCACTTCAGATGGTCAGGTTTTAAAACTGTTGACATTTTAGTGGACATATGGTGGTATGTCACTGTGCTTTAAATTTGCATTCCCTTAACGAATACTGATGTTGAACATCTTTTCATATGCTTATTTGCCATCTGTGATCTTCTTTAGTGAATTAAATAATTAAGTCTTTTGCCCATTGTTTAGTAGGTTGTTTCCTATTTTGAATTTTTTTAATTTTATTATTATTATACTTTAAGTTTTAGGGTACATGTGCACAATGTGCAGGTTTATTACATATGTATACATGTGCCATGTTGGTGTGCTCCACCCATTAACTTGTCATTTAGCATTAGGTATATCTCCTAATGCTATCCCTCCCCCCTCCCCCCACCCCACAACAGTCCCCGAAGTGTGATGTTCCCCTTCCTGTGTGCATGTGTTCTTATTGTTCAATTCCCACCTATGAGTGAGAACATGCAGTGTTTGGTTTTTTGTCCTTGCGATAGTTTGCTGAGAATGATGGTTTCCAGTTTCATCCATGTCCCTACAAAGGACATGAACTCATCATTTTTTATGGCTGCATAGTAGCCCATGGTGTATATGTGCTACATTTTCTTAATCCAGTCTTTCGTTGTTGGACATTTGGGTTTTTTTAAAGTTCTTTGTGTATCCTAGATTCATGTCCTTTATCAGATATGGGGTTTGAAATATTGTCTCCCAGTCTGTGCTTTGCCTTTTTATTCTCATGTTTTTAGAACAGTTCTTAATTTTAATGTACTCCAATTTATTATTTTTTCCTTTTATGGACCATGCTTTTAGTGTTGTATAAAAGAAATCTTTGCCTAATTCAAGGTCACAAAGGTTTTCTCCAGCGTTTTCTTCTAGATGTTTTATGGGCCTAAGTTATACATTCAGTTTATGATTTATGTCTATTTTTAGTTTGGTGAGAATTTGTATGAGGCTACTGCCAAGTGTTTTTTATGTCTATTGAGATGATCATATGTTTTTCTCGAGTGTTAGTCTGTTAATATGGTAACTGATCAATTTTCAAATGTTAAATCAAACTTGCATTCCTGGGATACATCCCAGTTGGTTATTATGTATCTATCCTTTCCAGACTATCATGGATTTCATCTGAAATTTTGTTAAAATTGTTGCATCTACATGCATAAGAGGTGTTTGTAGTTTTCTTTTCTTATAATGTTATCATGTAGCTTTGATACCAGGATGATGCTAGCTTCATAGAATGAGTTAGGAAGAATTCTATCCTCTTCAAATTTCCGGAAGAGTGTGTAAAGAATTGGCATTTTTTTCTCGCTTAAATGTTTGGTAGGATTCACCCATGAAGCTATCTGATTCTGGGGTTTTCTTTCTGGGAAGGTTTAAACCTACAAACTTAAATTCCTTAATATAGAGGGCAATTCAGGTTATCTAATATTTCTTGAGTGATTTTTGTAGCTTGTGCTTTGTACCTTCCAATACTTTGTATGTAATTATAAGCAAATCAAGTTAAAATAAAATAAAACTTTTGAGGTTTTTATTTTTCAAAGTAAAGTAACAAACTTTTTTCACTGTTTCCTATGAATTTCTGGTAAGGATATTTTATGAATTCATTTAAGTAGCCTTTTGGCACTAAGATAACAAGGATCTTTTATATTAGCAAATACTAAGAACTGCAGATACAGCAACAAATTCCAGCACAACTCATTTATAGGTAGTAGCAAATAAAACTTTCCATAAATCAATTTGTGTCAGCAATATTTTCTTGGGGTAGAACACTATTATAGAAGCAGATTCATCTGTTAAAAAAACTAGTAATCACCTAACACAGTAAGGAATATACATTCTATTTTAAAATATAAAAACATCTGAACTCTGTCTTGCATTTTATAGCATGTGAGTAGTGATGCTACTGCTGACACATTATTGATTCACTCACATTAAACAAAATAATTTGTTCACAGGCCACTGTGAAGCTGGCAATCACTGAGTATAATCTAGGCTAATTATGTCCTAGACAGTACAAATCTGCGTGACCTGGAGATTGTCAGAGAAGACCAATAGCATAAACTGATTCCCAGACTCCAAAGAGACAACCTGTATACAGATTAAACTTAACTGTACCGTGCATACTCAAGTCTAAGACTGTTCAGGGTTTACTTTAAATTATAGCACTGAGGTGCTAAGTCAGCTCGCTAACTAATTACAGCAGACATGATACAGCCTGGCTAGCTGGTGTTTATGGGTAAATTAGGAGTTAGGTCTCTGAGCATTTTCAGTAGCAACTGGCCCCTCCAACTGACTCCATCAGTCACCGTAGAGACTCAGCAAGCCTAGCTCTGTAGGAGTCACTGTAAGAGGCAAAATGAAGCAACCTCAAATTAATGCAGGTCCAATGAGAGAGTGCCTGTATTGGTCCATGTGCTGGAAGAACTAGTCAACTCACACATTCTCATTACTTTAGTGCATAAACAAATTAGATTTTTCAACATGAAAATTCTTGAAAAGCTAAAAAGGTTAAACATCAGCAACAATTCAAATGTTCAGCCCCTGAATAATACATCTCCTAAAATTTCTCTCCGGCTTGTCTTGATCTCCTCTAATCCATTTTCCATACTGCAGCCAGAGTGATTGTTTTCTAATTTAATTACAGCACCTCCCTGGTTAAAACTCCCCACCACATGCTCATTGTTTATTCACTTAACAAATATATATTGAAAGTCTCCTATGTGCTGAAAACTATTTTGGGCACTGGGAATATAAATAATAGGGCACAAAACAATTACCTACTTTTATGGAAACTATATTCTAGTTGAAGAAGATATAAGCAAATTGAAAAACAACAAGTATTTAATATGTGTAACATGAGGCAGAGAAAGGACTTATCTGAGGGCCAGAGTTATTTTACATAGGTGGGTTAAGATATCACTTCTCTGATAAATCAGGTGACACGTGGGCAGAAATGAATGAAATGAGTCATGTAGATTTCTGGAAGAAAAGCATTCTAGGCCAAGGGAAGGGAAGAACAAGTATGGAGGCCTTTAGCAAGGAGCATACCTGAAATCTTTGAGGAATAGCAAGAGGCCAATGGTTGCAGTGGAAAGAACAAGTGAACTAGGGTAAGACATGAAGTCAGAGAAGGAATGGGACATCAGATTATATAAGGCCCTGCAGGCCTTTGAAAGGATGTTGGCTTTTACTGTGAGACACGAAGCCATTTAGAGATTTTGACGTGACTTTCACTTTTAAAATAACTGGTGAAAATATGAAGGATAGACTCTATGAGATCAAGGGGAGAAGTGGAGACTCCAGCTAAGAAGCTAGTGTAGTATAACAAACAAGGGATCATGGGGAGTTAGGCAAAGGGGTAGCCATGGAGGTGCTAAGTAGTCTGATTCTGAATCTATTTTGAGAGTGGAACCCTTGGGAGTTACTGAGATTGGGTGTAGGATATGAAAAAAAGAAAAACAGAAGGCAAACATGACTCTAACATTTCTGACCTGAGAAATTGGGGGAAAAAGTTAACTAAAATCCCAATCCCCTATGGGTTACACACTTCTGCATGAGCTACTTTAGCCTCACTGTTAAAGAACACTGTGCTTAGTGAGTCGCGCACTACACACCAGTCATATTTTAATTCATGAACTGCACCATGTTCTCTCCAGATCTTCAGATATAATATTCCCTCTGCCTGAAACACTCTTCCTTCCCTTTCTCACCTCTCCAACCACTTTGCCAAGTCTGTCCCACACATTGCTCAAGTCTCAGCTTATAAAACACTCTTGTGATGTTTTCCCAACCCTGTACCCTGGGAATCTGCTGTGAGCTCCCACAGTACCTGGTTTTTACCCTTTTGTAGTATTTTAAATCACTGATATTGTCTAGTTGTCTACCTGTGTTCTCTGGATAGGCAGCCTGTAGCTCTCCATTTCTTTATGTCAATTATTGTTAATTTTGTTCTTTTTGTGGTGCCAGGTTTCCCTAATGGTTCACAAGCCTGTGGCCTTTCATTGCTGTCTATCGCTTGAAGAAGTAGGCGCCTATTCCAGTCTTTCTAAACTGGCTTCAGCAGGGAAAGCCCTTCACCAGTCAGTGGATCTAGAGATTCTTGATGGGCCATCCGGCATGGCCCATGGGTGGGCTTGCTGCTAAAGCCCTTGGATTAGTTGGCAGGTGATGCCTAGGTCAGCAGGTGGTGGGCCTAATGCTTCAACTCACAGGGGGCTAATCCGGTGCATGGGTCCACTGGGGTGGGCTGTCAACTGGGTATATAGGAGTAGTCCTGGAGCCTTGGTCTGCAAATACAGACCTGAAGCCTAGGTTCATAGGGGCCATCCTGGCACTGGGGTAGGTCTTGAGCCTGAGTCCATGGGGACCAGCCTGGCATTGGAATGGGTCTGGTCCCAAGTCTGTGGGGACTAGGCTTGCCCAGGGTCCTCTGGAATGGCCCTGGTACCTAGATCTGCAGGGGAAGACCTGGTACCTAGAACCATGGGGTTGGGTGCAGAGTTTGGGTCCCTGGGGATAGGCTTGGACCTGAATTAATGGAAGCTGACCTGGTACTGGGGCAGGCTTACAGTGTGGGTCCATGAGTTTCTACCTGATGCCTAAGTCTGCAGAGGCTCAGCTGGAATCTTTGGATGCTGCCCTGGCATTAGTGCAGGCCTAGAGCCTGGGTCTGCAAGGACTGGCCTACAAGCTGTGTCTGTGGGGGCTGGCCTGGCACTGGGATGGGCAACACTTGTTGCATTTTTTTCAAAAGTTGTTGGTCATTATTAATCAACATATTCAACAAACAGACCAAATGGGAGTAGGGACACCTTCAGATTTAAAGTTTTTAGTGAATTGTAATCAGTGAAACCAAAGCTTACAAACAGAAACCTTATCTCTTCAAAAGGAAGGGAAGAAGTAAACTAATTTAAAAAATCATAGCTCAAACAATGCACAAGTAATTTTAATTTCTGTCCTTACAAGAGAAGACACAGAGACACATAAAAAGGGAAGTGAAGACAGAGAGGGAAGACAACCATTTAACAACAGAGGCAAAGACTGGAGTTATGCAGCTGCAAACTCCTTAGGAACACCAAGGACTGCTGGCAATAACCAGAAGCTAGTCGACAGAGTGTGGGCCTACAGATACTTTGATTTCAGACTTCCAGCCTCCTTCCACTGTTTCCAGTGTGAAAACAGATTTCTGCTGTTTCAAGCTAGCTAGTTTGTGGAACTTTGTATACAGCAGAATTAGTAAATAAATACATCTATAATAGCAATTTTAAATAGTTCAATGTCTGAGAATAATCTTCTGATGGAACTCATATTTTTTGTTGAATAAAATTTCCTGGAATAAATTACCATTTTGTAAAACATTGGAATACAATTGAGAAAAACTTTAATTTTCCCCTATCTAAATATGGTAAACTATTTTTAAAATCATACACAAAAACAACTTATTTCTTTTATCTAAATATTTGTCAAAGAAAAGTACTTTGAAAAGATACACCAACATAGCACCTGTGAAAATATTTAGGCTAAAATATCTTCCCATTTCAATGTGCAAAATGTAGAATTAAGACTGTTCCATTTAGCAGTTTATGTGGTGTTTCAGCATCTATAGAGACAGTACCTTTAAAACTAAAATAACCATTGTCTAAAGCAAAGATTCTATTTGCAACTGTTAAGAAAATTGCAGAAAATTTAATTTTAAAATTAAGCACAAGGGCCGGGCCTAGTGGCTCACGCCTGTAATTCCAGCACTTTGAGGGGCCGAGGCGGGTGGATCACGAGGTCAGGAGTTCAAGACCAGCCTGACCAATATGGTGAAACCCCGTCTCTACTAAAAATAGAAAAATTAGCTGGGCGTGGTGGCATGCACCTGTAGTCCCAGCTACTCGGGAGGTTGAGGCAGGAGAATCACTTGAACCCAGGAGGCGGAGGTTGCAGTGAGCCAAGATCACACCATTGCACTCAGCCTGGGTGACAGAGAAAGACTCTGTCTCAAAAAAAATAAACAAAGCATAAGATCTTATTAACTTTTTTCAGAAAATTATCAGGATCAAGGTGTTAAAAGATACAGCTAAGAAACTGATTCAAGCATGTGAATATGCACCAGGAATAATTGTTCATGCTGAATGTTCATGTAATATAAATTTTTATTTTAACACATAAGGATATAAATTATCTTTTAAAATGTTAATTTTGAAAATGGTCTGAAACTATTCTATAAGTTCACTAATATATTTGTAAGCCAATAGATATTCCAAATATATAATTTTCATTACATTCGTGCCCCTTTTTACTCTAAAAAATGTGCTAGTTTGGCCAAAAAAATTACATAGTGACCTTGCCATTAATGCATATCAAAAATAAAATCCATTTGACCCCTTAGATATTGTTTACATGATGTGCCCTGTCATTACTTGCTCAGGTGGTTTCCCACAAAGGCAGAAATGACCTTCCCCTAAAGGCAAGAAAAGGTGCCCTCCCTTCCAAAAGCCCAGCCTACTGCTGGGCTAGCCACGAAATGTGGCTTCATCAGGAGGCAAAAATTAAAGAAGGGAGGTGGTGGCTAGTGAGTAGCAGGGCAGCACTATGTAGTACAAACTACTCACCTGAAATTAGAAGTCCTGAGCATCAGAGCTCTGGGTTACCATTAGTAGCAATAATAAAGTTAGGCAAGTCACTTAGCTTCTCTCAACGGCATGCAATTTCTTCATCTATATAATGGGAATACTCTCTTGTTGACCTTACATTACATAAGAGGATTTGGCTAAAAGTTCATGGGCTGGTTTGCAAAAGTGGCTCTTTCTCTTAGTTTCTGCTAAATTACAGATGGAGACATATTTCGATAACCAGAAACATTATGAGAGCAGAAAGTCTTCAGCACTTAGTGCTGTTTCCATGGGCTTGTTTACTTGTACTTCCAGAAAATAAACTAACCACCTTATCTACGCTTATTAGAATCAAATGATTTATTTAATAAACTAGAGCAAAATAACAAAGGGGGAGGATTATTTCTATGTATCAAAATACTCTTCCACAAAAAAGTAGCTTACCAACAAATAAAACCTAGTCAAGATCAAGAGTTTATTTAATTCGTATACTTGGCAAATCCATATCTTAGTTTCAATCTCATCTTTATTCACGACTTCAACTAGAGCTGCAATGAACCATTTTATCTCTATAATGTTGAAAAAACCTGGCCAGGCATGGTGGCTCACGCCTGTAATCCCAGCACTTTGGGAGGCTGAGGCGGGCGGATCACGAAGTCAGGAGATCAAGACGCATCCTGGCTAACACGGTGAAACCCCGTCCCTACTAAAAATACAAAAAATTAGCCGGGCGTGGTGGCGGGCGCCTGTAGTCCCAGCTACTTGGGAGACTGAGGCAGGAGAATGGCATGAACCCGGGAGGCAGAGTTTGCAGTGAGCCAAGATCGTGCTATTGCACTCCAGCCTGGGTGACAGAGCAAGACTCTGCCTCAAACAAAAAACAAAACAAACAAACAAAAAAAGACGAAAAATCCTAATAGAATGATTAACAATTCCAAGCTCTACCCAGGCCCTAACATACAGTTTAATTGCTTTATATCTTAGGGCATATCTTCGATGTCTTGAGTTTGTACAATAGAAATGAAACCCCCCAAAAACAGGGCAAAATTCCATAGGGAATAAAACCAATCACCAGTATAGGGAGTCTTTTGAAGTGTGTTATTAAAATAAATGAATACCTGCAAGTGTTAAGTTTATGACCTCTTTAAAAAAATTTGTTTCATACCCCAAGTACCCTATTCACATCTTGAAGTAATTTTACTAGAAATTACATCTGCAAATCAATAAAAAGTAAAATACCTTTTCATTATATATGACTCTTCTTCGTATCCAGTTTTTTAACTAGTTAACTTTCTGACTCTGTACTAAACAATATCCATTGTTTTCAAACTAACTTTGTCAGAAAGAACCTTAGATGCTAAGCTTTGTGCCACAAAAGCTCTTGGCCTATCTGCTGAAACCTGTGGACTCTTTCTCAGAACAATCCTTTTAAACATTCAATATAAAATACAGATTACAAGGAAAACCAGTTTTACTGAAATATTATCAAATGCTTTTTTTTAAAAGTATTAAATAACAGGATCTAGTGGTAGGTCTAACTACCATAACAAAATAGTGATGTGCAGATGATGTTTTGTGGTATCTGCCTCAACTTTGTGATACTGAAATATCTGTAAATTATATTAGCAAGTCACATGTACTGATGATATTATGTATTTGTTGCCAACACTAACAATGGAAAAAAAAAAATGCTCAATTTATCAGAAGTTAGTAACCTCCAATCCAAGTTTATGGATCCTCTGAATTCTATCCATAAGGTCCCAGGTTAAGAACATCTCAAACTGAGGGAATCTAACAAAATAATTTTAAAATTTACATGCAAAATTAGCTTTCTAGATTCACAAAAGTTGTATGAGATTTAATATTAATAAATGTTTCAAAAAGAAGAAAAAGTAAGATAAGTCAATAATTATAAACTGCTTGTAGAGAAGAACACCGGAAAGATGATGTGGGTTCAAGCCTTGTCTTCACCATGTATTTACTGTGTCAACTTGACAAGTTTAATTTCTTTAAGCCTCAATTTCTCAATCTGTTAACTGGGAATAGTAATAGTGTCTATCTACTTCCTTTAGTTGTTGTGAGGATCGAAGGACATACTGTATATGCAAAATCTCAGCAAAGTGCTTACCACTGACTAAGAGCTCCTTAGATATTAAGAAAATTGTATTTTTCAACAATACAACTGAATTCCTTAAAAGCATGATGGCATTCATTGCAGTTCCAGTTAATCACAAACAGCAAAAAAAAAAAAAAAAAAAAGTGGGGAGAGAACATCTGTTGTAAACTATACACACACCCTCACTTTAGAATTATGAATCTTTAGATCTTTAGATAGTCTTTGGATCTAGGAACACTCTAATGAGCCTAATTATAGAAACCTACATAGCGTTCAGATGATGCAGTGAACAAACCTGGTTGGTATGACATTGACAAGGACATGACCTCAATCTGAGAGTAAATTATTACATATTTTCCAAGAACTAGACAATAAAAAGCAGCAAGATGGTTAGGTAAGTTAGAGCCAATTGATTTAATGTAATATGACACAGTCATTGAAATGCTAATAAAAACAATAGCAACACAGAAACCACTTGTGATGTAACATTAAGTGGAGCAGCTGGCTAGGCCTTCTTGGATAATATCCCGCCCTGAATTCTTTAACACTACTGTTAATTTAGGTTCAGACTGTGTTCTGTTCTGACCATAAAGTTTTCTACATTGTATGTAAAATGTTGTCTCAGATCCAAAGTGAATTTCTTAATAGCAAATCTCATTTATTACTAATCATTTCTTTAATTTAGCATACTCATTTACAGCTCAAATTTCACCTAAGCTCCTCTCTTAAACCTCCTTCCACAACTTAATTATCTCTAAGCCAAAGTGTAATTTCACTGAGCTCCATGGGATTCCTTGAAAGAGTACGTGCCCATGAAAAGATCATCTGGTGCTGCTCCTTTCTGCTGTTTTCATCCTCCCATCAGGGTACTAATAGGAAAGAATAACAACTTCAAGGCATTTGAAATACAAAGATTTGGCTCATTAAAGAACTTGCCAAATTATTAGTAAGACCATGATTAACTAACAAGATCTAAAATTAATACTAGTCCCTCTTTTTCATGTACTGATCCATTTTAGTCAAAAATCTTGATTGTGGAGATATTAGAACACACTATCTCTGAACAGCTGGAACAAAGAAAATAAAACTTAAGATATGAGAGACCAAATGTTGAAACACTTAGTTTTTGAATTTAAAATGACATAAGAACTTCTTAGAAATCAAAATTGTAGCCAGATGGCTATTATATCTCATTTCAGTAGAACACATACAGCAGGAAGGTAGGAACACTACCCACATTATCACATTTGCCAACTAAATAGAAGATGATTTTGAGAAACTGCCTTTCCTAGTCATTAGAAGAGACAGAAATACAGAGTAAGTAGTAGAGGGAAGAGTCTGAAAAATAAAATGAACATTGTTACTGATAAAATGTGTCTTTTTAAATTATTAAACTTAACTACCCACGGTAAAAGACGTGAATACTTAAATAACACAAATAAGTATCTTTTACTAGTTCCAAAAATGTAGATTTTTTTAAAATGTGGTCTAGCTGCAAAAATTATACAGCCGATGCCAGTGCGACACAAAGAAAGGTGAAACTTCCATAAAGACCTGTAGGCAGTACACAATTTTTTTAAAAGCTAAAAGAAATAATAGTATGAAGACAAAAAAGAGAATCTACCAAATTAACGATTTGAGGATTCACTGAGCAACAGGATAAACATGGAATGCTTGGGATATCCATTTAGTTAATTAAAATAAGTAGTTCAGGTAGAATAAGCCAAAGCGGGTTTTGTGAAAGTCCCTGTGTTGCAGGATACCTGCAAATCTGCTTTGAGCATGGCATTAATGTGCAAGGTCTATAACCTTCCCACCCAAATGGGATGGGCTGCTATCAGACTCCTCACACTGAAAAGCAATGGGCACAAACTCATGTGATGCCTTTTAACCCAGGACATTTTGATTTGTAAACTCCTCAAATACCACAACAAAATGGGAAAAATTTAGTTACAAAGACTTTTTTTTTCATTTTTAACCTTTTGCCTGGATAGTTAATTCATTTCAAGAAACAATAAGCTGCAACAAGGGCTTATTTATTACTTTAACATTAATTTCCCCCAATTAATAAGACCTAAATTCTCATGCATAAACAGGAAAACAAATTCACTGCAAATTTTAAAGGAAAACTCATTGAGAGAAGAATGTTAAACGATACTTCAAAATACGGTAACTTCCAAACTCCATCAAACATTAATTATTGAAATTCTACTTAAAAAAGTTCTCCACTAAAAAGTACTGTAAATATTCCATTATTATAGGCATGTGGCCAAAATGTGAAAAAATAATCAAAGATACTTTTTCAATTAAGGCCCTACACAGCTCAGAAATGGTGATAAATCTGTTAATTTAAAACAGTCAATATCACTGGGATAAGAGTTTATCAAACTCAAAGGCAATTTTCAGTGAGAATAACACTAAGGTGTAAATTTCATGGCAAAAGAAAAGATGTCAGACTTAAACCACATTAACTATGAAGAACTAGACAACTAATGTGTCATTATATATATAAAAAAGATGACTGTGGATGGGGACAAGTGGGGAGGCAGACAGTGGCAACCTCTGGAAGATGGAATCTCTTCTCTCTGCTGGTCCTAGAAGAGAAAAGAGACACCAATAAGCATCAACACACTGTCCGAATTCCTCCCCACCCGAGACCCACCAGTCCACAGGTGTTTCTCAACCTTGGGGCCAACCTCACCTTCAGAGATGGTATTCAGTACAAAGAGGGCGTCAAAACCCCCGCCTTATCTTAACTTGCCTAGTGCCCTCTTTAAAAAATAAAAACTATCAAAATATATTACTTTTTTTATAACTATAATCTGCATCAAGTGGAACTGAAAGCAGCCGGGCTGAAATTAGTAACTCTTACAGTGCATAGGGATAATAGCTTTCCAAAACCTTTGCACTCAACTATTTTAAATTATAAAGAGGTCATTATGTGTAACTTAAAAGTTTTGAATTCTACATGAGTTGGTGTGTGTGTACAAAGCAAGGGGCTACAACCAAATTTTGGGGTTGTAACTGTTGTTTGTAATGACTTCCATTCAATGTATGCAGGTCATGGAGAAGATGGGGAGATGGAGTTGTTTACAGCAAGCTGACAGGGAAATTAATCAAGTTGTACTATTTGAAACAAGTTATCCTCACCCTGAAAAGCACCCCTAAAACAACTGAAATTCAAAAAATAATGATACAAACAAGTAATTTAGAGTGACGGCAAATAATTTCCTCAATTCTTTAAAACAAATAGAATTCTACAGAATCTGCTTTTCCTAGGTAGTAGATCTAGCTGGTAGTTCCAAACTAAGTGGAACATTCTTACCCAACCTACTACAGCTTACACAACTCTGATTCACTGTTATTTTCTCACATATCCTTGTGGAAGACCTAGTCACAAGAAATTATGTCCAAAGCAAATCCTATAGGAAGTAATTTTTAAATTCAGACACTCGAGACTAAGATCTAAATGTACACAATAGGGAGTTAACTGATTTAAATTAAATAAACAGTATCTAAGTTTCCACGTTACCAGTCATTGCTTTTCTAGGGATTGTGCTGGGCACTGGCGGATACAAAAACTCGAGTGAGACACAATTTTGGACGTAAAATGGCAATGAAAGCGCATTTCTGGAAGCCCTGAAAGTCTGAAAACAGAGGCTCTTCTGGACTCACAAGCTCTGGGTCAAGAAGATATATTTTCATCTTGTTAAGACGGATTTTGCAACTAAGACTGGTAAAGCATAAGATAGAAGAGTGCGTACCCTGTTGTATTTGCATGGTTCTTGCCAGCAACCAAGACATGTAATGAATCTAAGTCTCATCACCTGACAGAGGTTTAGGGAGGGAGAGCCATACATGAAAAGACTGAGAAATCTGGATTGATATTTGGTTTTGTGAAACCATAAATAATTTTAGAGTTGGAAAAGACTTAGACAACACTATTAACAAAGGAATTCAGAAACGCAAACATTAGTAAGTCATCTGCACAACGCCTACTCCTTTATTTACGAAACACTAAAATAACCAAAGTAAAAACAAATGTTTGACCAAGCCGACCACGTGTTTTTATACTACCTTTTCTTAGTGCCTCAAATGTCTTCCTAAATCAAGTGCACCTGCTGCAAAGATGGAACATTCTGGTGCGAGAGCCCAGAGCAGAGCACGTTTTCGTTCCCCAAGCTGAGGCAACTGCGACTCGCCCGCGCGACCGGCAAGGCCACCTCACAGACAAGGCTGTCCTCGACCCAGCCCGCCGCCGCGCGGCCGCCCACGAGCCTTGGGCCCCACGCGCGCGAGCGCCGCCCGCGCCCCCGCCGACCTCCCACCGCCAGCGGCTCCGCACCCGGCGCCCGCAGCCCTCGTACCTCACACCGCTGCTCCGAAAGCCCCGGAACGCACTCCCGGGCTCTCCCGGTGCCCTTACGGAGGGTGCTGTGCTTCTGCCCAACGCCGGCGCTCGGCCAAGGCGGCCGCGGAGCAGCGAGAAGCCGCGGACCGGCACCGTCATGGCCGCGGATCCCCGGCTTCCGGACTGGGGCTCCACCTCCCGCGACTCCAGTCCTCGCGGCTGGAGGCCTGGCTCCGCCCTCACCCGGGCTGGCAGGGCAGCAAGTAGCGCTTCCCAGCCAGGTTCCGGCAGACACGCAGAGTGGGGTAAAGAGCGGTTCCCAGGACCGGGGACGGAACTGACAGAGTGCCGGGTCCGCAGGGGGCGGGGCCAGGACCCAAGTCCCGGGCCCTCTGAGGATGTGGAAGCGTGCAGTGTGGCCTGGCGACTGGGCCCCGCACCCAGCCAACATATAGCTGGCATTCCCATAGCGACGGCACAGAGAAGGCCTCCAAACTATCACTTTAGGCAGCACGCCCCACTTTCCACCAAGCCAGAGATCCTGCCCAACAGTCTCCGTGACTACGTGGAATTGGATTTAAAGCAGGAAAGAAGTAATAGGTTCATTGTTTCCCACTTCCTTTGTGAGATTCCTTGGAAGTTGGAGAAAAGAACAAAGGTGTGTGGAGAAGGAGCAAAACCTGGCTGAACAAGGAAGGTCTGGACTTTAGGATTTCTATACTTCTACTTTATCATCTCCACTTTTGGAAGGAAATATTGACCAATATCTGTCTTTTCCTGAGTTATGATCAAGTCGATGCAGGCTAAGAACCCTGCATTGTGTGGTGAGCTTGTGTGGTGAGGAAGCAAAATATCTGCTCCCTCTGAAAAAGTAAAACATTAGACTGTCCATTCATTTTGCAAATTAAGACAGACACACAAAAAACAGTCACAGATAAAACCAGCTGGGAAGTTAACAGGAAACAACTTTTCTCCCAAGGTCAGGCTGCTGCTGTTGAGTCAGAACAACGTCTTTCATAGCTGCACTTTTACTGAGAAAACTTGTTTTTTAAAATCATAGACTGTCAGAAAATATGCTCTTTAAAATCATATCAATAAGAATGGGATACCCTACTCTTTCCTGGCTGATCTAAATCCATTTGACACAAATAAGCAGCCTAGAAGAAAATACAGGAAAAAATCTAGGTGACCTTGGGTTTGGCAATGAGACTTTAGATAAAACACTTAAATCACAATTCATAAAAGAAAAAAACAATTTAAACTTCTGCCATGCAAAAGACACTGTTAATAAAGAAACAAATCACATACTGGGAGAAAATATTCGCAAAACATTTTTACAAGACTTACACCCAAAATATACGAAGAACTCTTGAAACTCAACAATTAAAGAAAAAAGAAAAGCAACTCAGTTAAAAGTGAGCAAAAGATCTGAAAACACCCACCAAAAAAGGCATACAGAGGTCAAAAAAAATGGAAAAATATTCAATATCATTTATCATTAAGGAAATACAAATTAAAACAACAGTGAGATACCACTACACTCCCATTAGAACCGCTGAAGTCCAAAAAATTGATAATACGAAATGCTGGCAAGGATGTGTGGCAACAGGAACTCTCATTCATTGTTGGTGAATAAAAAAATGATTCAGTCACTTTGGAAGACAGTTTGGCAGATTCTTACAAAGCTAAATATCATTTAACCATGCAATCCAGCAACCATGTTCCTATGTATTTACCCAACTGATTTTAAAATATGTCTGCAATAAACCACCATATGAATGTTTATAGCATCTTTATTCATATTCTCCAGAAACCAAGATGTTCTTAAATAAGCGGTGAAATATTCATACAATGGGATATTATTCATCAGTGAAAAGGAGCAAGCTACCAAGCCATAAAAAGACGTAGATGAATCTTAAATACATACTGATAAGTGAAGGAAGGTAGTCTGAAAAGGCTACATACTGCATGATTTTTATTATATGGCATTCTATAAAAGGCAAAATTATAGAGTCAGTTAAAAGATCAGTGGTTGCCAAAGGTTAAGAAGATAGGGTGGAGGTTTGAATAGTGTGTAGCACAGAGGGTTTTTAGGACAGTGAAACTATTTTGTATGATACTGTAATGTTAGACACGTGACACTATGCATTTGTCAAAACCTACAGAACTTTACAACAGGAAGAGGGAAACAAAGTATACCATATTAAAAAATATTATTCACATTGGAAAATTATGTTTTCTGCAGTGTTATCAGAATCAAGACTCTGTTTATTCTCCACAAGACTTGCATAGAAAAATAAGATATTAAATTTTGTTTGTATGTTCTAAATACATACAAACATTTTACACATTTTATCTAGATGTGTAAAAGTGTTTTTTTTTTTTTTTAAATCACATGGAATGGCTTTTTCAGTACTAAAAAGTGGAGGGACATTTGTTTAAACAAGTATTTCAAAAAGAAATATGTACATCATCCTGAAAATTATTTGTGGTAAGGAAATATTCTTTACTCCTGTTGCATTTCTCAGACAATAAAGGGGTGAATCCATGCTACCTCATATTTTATCAACAAAGATTCTATTTACCCTTTATATTTTTGTATGATAATAGATTTTAAAAATCTAATGTTCTTTATTGCAGACATTCATTTGTTAACAGATTTGTTTCTTTTTTAATGTTTTACCTAAAGTTTGACATGCTTTCAGGACAGATTTGCCTATTACTTTATTTAACATTGTAGAAATGTAATTAACAAACAATTCTCACTACACAATTTAGAATAGACATTATTTTATATCTTCCAAATTTGATCAGTTAGCAAAACTTAATACACCAATTAAAATATTTCTACATATGATGAGAATGTTTACAGTGTAAAGTTTAGAACTTGTTTTGGATGTGATTATATGCATGAAAATCATGTAACACTGTACTCATGCTAAGAACCGACATAACAAAATTACTGAAATAAATGTGCTGTGAGGAATGGAAAAAATACATTATTTAGCAGGTTGGTGGTTTCCAGGAAGGAATGAAGGTTGTGACAAGATAATCTAACTGTATTACACTTATATGAAACAATCTCACGGGAAAGACTGCGGAAAAGGTGCTGACCTAAATAACTGGAATTGCAAGGTTAAAAATCTAACAATAGAAGAAACTGCACATAGGCACTGTGCTCTAGTTAATAAAGTTGTTGATTTACATTACCAATTCTGATATGACTATACATGTATACCAGAATTAAACAGTTATTTAAATGGAAGTGGATGATAGGAGCCAGGTTCCTCATTTTTGGAGTGGCAATTTACAGATAAGCAATGGGAGGAGGCTAGAATAATCCATATGATAATGGATTAGAGTTGGGAACATCAGTTTTAGCTTAATACAAATACAGATGGTTACATATACAAATATTTATAGATGTATGAATATTCAGGAGTTAGTTTACATACATATATTTATTTGCTTTGCCAGCTGAGAATGCCTAAAACAACACCCGAAAGCAATAAGCACACCTTCAGCCCAGATATTGGTTTCTAATGTCATTCTACAATAACAGGAACCAGGACTCCTTGGAAAAATTGCTGATTCTAGGCTCAGGAAATATATTAGATGATCCTAGAGCATCGTGTAATTCTGGAAAGTAAGGAACTCAAATAAATCCCACATTGATGGGGATATGTCAGGGACAGGAGCCAACTGAAAGGGTTCCTCATGCCCAAAGATGGAACAATTTGAGTAGTAAAATAAAGTAGTGTTGGATTATAACCCGAAGTATAAAATTAATATCCATGAGCCCATAATCATATAAATAAATATGTGATTGAATAAATAAATAAATATGGGAGAGAAGAAACATGATGCAGAATTCCTAAAATTTATGTAGATACTCCACTCTGAAGGAGGAGTAGAATTCTTCACTTCTTAAATGGGAACTGATGATAGTGACTTCCTTTCAGAGTTCAGTTTAGAAAATGGGAAAAGAGAGTAACTTACCTATGGAGAAACCTGACAAACACTACCTCAGACAGTGATCAGGATTAACATCAACACCAATATATCATACTGATAGGATGGATACTTGATATAATGTGGCGAGAATTGTACTTTACCTCTGCAATCTTCCTGCAAAACCTGTAACCCCAGTCTGATCGTGAGAAAAACAATTAAATCCCAACAGAGGGACATCCTACAATATACCCGAAGAGTATGTCTCAAAACTGTAAAGACAATCAAAAACAAGGAAAGTCTAAGAAACTGTCACAAGTAAGAAGAACCTAGAAAAACATGACAACTAAATATAATGTGATATCTTGGATTGGATCCTGGAACAGAGAAACAGCATTACAGAAAAACGAAGAAGATCTAAATAAAGTATAAACTTTTGTTAATAGTAATGTATCAATATAGATTCATTTTATCATATAATGTAAGATGTTAATAATCGGAAAAACTAGATGTGTGACATATGGGAAACTCAGTACTATTTTCTGAATTTTTCCGTAAATTTAAAACTGTTCTATAAAATAAAGTCTATTTTTTAAAATGTCTATCTAGCCAGGGTAGGTATATATTAGAATCAATACCAGAAGAGAATCTTTAAAGGTGGACTTTATCCAAGTTTTATTTATTGCTCTATTTGTAGTTATTAATTTATTTATTAATATTTCCTCCTGAACTGAAAAAGGTAAAGCTGATATATTTTCCCTGTTTTAATCCTCAATGTGCTTCTAATACCTACTCAACAAATATTGAATTCCTTTGAGTTAAATCAGGGATGATTAAAAATTACAGAGAAAGAAAGCTAGTTGCTAATGTGGAATAAAAACTTTCTCCCATGATTATTTTAAGTGTTCCAATGAAAATTTTGGAAGTTGCTTTAAAGAGTACAATACATTTTTATGCCACAGAGATATATGCGTCCATGTAATTATTTGTAGTGTCCATGACATTGCTTGGGGCATCTTATTTAATAGGCTCCATTTATATCGTCAGTTATCTTTTCACTATATAGCATTCATTGTTGTAACAAAATGTTTCAAAATGATTATCAGAATGTGAACAGTTAGCACTGGCATCAAAAGCCACCAAAGTTGGAGTAGGTTGCTGTGAGGCAACCAGAGTTGGTACTGCATAATGACAGACAGATGCATAGCTTACTCCAGAGAATAGCAAAGAAGCCCATTCATAAGATAAGCTTACTAAGAAACTGAGATGTCAAGGGAAAATCACAGCCAAGGAATAAACAAGGATCCAGAAAACCAGGAGTGGAGCCAAAGCAATAAACAACATGGGTAGCTACTGCCTGAGATGAAGCAGAAGCTAATGAGCTGAAGAAGCTTAGCTTGGCAGCATCAGCTAGAAGAGGCAAGTTCCCTAGGATATTTTAAGATCATTATATTTTCTGTCCCAGAGTGTTTTCTTTTTGTTTTTGTTTTAAATTAAACTAAGAGATTGATGTATCCTGCTTGTCACTAGCTGCTCTTAAAGAAGTTTGTACTTCAGGAACAGAAAACCAAACACTGCATGTTCTCATGCATAAGCGCGAGTTGAACGATCAGAACACATGGATACAGGGAGGGGAACATCACACACTGGGGCCTGTCAGGGGGTGGAGACAAGGGAAGGGAGAGCATTAGGATAAATACCTAATGCATGCAGGACTTAAAATCTAGATGATGGGTTGATAGGTGCAGCAAACTACCATGGTGTATGTATACCTATATAACAAACCTGCATGTTCTGCACATGTATCCCAGAACTTAAAGTAAAAAAAAAAGTATTGTGCTTGTCTGTCAAAGAAAATTTTCCATGAGCTCTTCCAAATCATATTTTCTGTAAGGGAATTCTCAATAAAAATATAAACAACTTTACAGCATATGTGTTTTAAAAACCTGATATTTATATAAATTATTAAAATTGATTCATGAAGTAGAAAACCAAAACAGACAGAAATGGAAAAGAAGCTACTAATCAAATACAACTATAAAGCTTCCTAAAGCAGAGTTTTTTTATGCCCTCAAAATATGATAAGTCATACTAAAAATCTTTCCAAATCATAGAGAAGGAATTTCCCAGGTATTTTTATTATATTCAAACCCAATTTAAAAGAATACAAAAAAAGAAAACTATTGAACAATATAACTGATAAATGTAATTATTAGGATATGAAAGAAAACATTGTTGATATAATTTGATGGTATTATAAAAGGAAAAACTTTACCACAACTAAACGATAATACAAAGATGGGTTAATTAGGATAATATTGGAAGTGTGTCAGTTCATATATCACATAAATATGGAAAATAAGAGAAAGAGTATTTGATAAAATTCAATAACCTTTCCTAATAACATTTAATAAACTAGATATAAAAATATTTCAGATCAACAGCTAATAGCATTCCTAACAATGAACCTGTAGGGACATTCCAATAAAAATTTGGAAAACCTATGAAGGAAACATTAAGACTGTGATGAGTAATGTATGCAAAGACTTGAATTAATAGAAAGACCAAGATGCTTAATATTGTAAATATGTCGACTTTCACTAAAATAATCTATTAATCCAATACCCAATAAAATATCTCAGTTTTTTAGTCAAATGGGGGAAGATTTAATATAATAATAACAGCATATGTTTCCCTGAATTTGCTATGTGCCAAGGCTGTGCTGAACACTTTTCAGAAGTTATTCTTTTAACCCTTACCACAATGAAGCTATGAGGAAACAGGTAAAATAGGCTAGATAACTTGCCAAGACCTACAGCTATCAAGTGATGAAAGTGGAGTTCAAGTCTCAGGTAGTGTGAAACCAGTGCCCACACTTCTAACTGCAGTGCTTTTCTAAATCTAAGGTTCTCCTGGAAAAGTTTGCATGCTACATCGCTAAGGTACAGAGAACTCATCCCAATGTCTGCATTTTAGTCATTTATACAATCTTCTGTAACTATAAAATTGATTTTTGATTTGAATCTGTGTAATAAGGAGAAAATAATTTTTAATTTTCCAATGAATGGTGGATTCTATTGAAAAATTGATTACCAAGTTTTATTTCATGATAATTAATGTGACTACCAGTTTCATATTTTAATAACTTATTGATAGTTTATTTGTGGTCTTATAATACCATTAACTGTATAAAAAGTGCACCTGGTTTAGAATATAATGTTAACTATATATACTGTATATATCTATATACATGTCAATATATAACCAATGTTACAATGATTGTCTTTTTTCTAATTCCTCTGTTCAACTTTTTAAAGACTAAGAATGATGTAAAGAACCCAATTTTTCTTTATTTTTTACTACATATTATAGCATTATTTCATCAGTGAATATGGGATAATGATTATTACAGATTCCATATAGTTTATCTATTATCATTATATAATGGCCTTCTTTATTTTGTTAAGCCTTCTTGTTTTCCATGGTAATTGTTAGACATTGCTACTCCTATCCTTGTTTAGTTTTAATATGAAAAGTGTCACATGTATATATTTATATATATATACACACACACACGTATACATATACACATGTATACCTGTATCTTTTTACATTTAAATTTTGTTTCACTTTGTTTTGATGTGTGTCATTTAAAACAACATATGTTAATTTTTTTAAGTTATGGGATAATGTTTGGAGCAGAAAATAATATGCAAATAATATATATGCATTGGCTTTTGATTGCTGCTATAATAAATTATCACAAATTTAGTGGTTTAAATAATACAAACTTGGCCAGGCACGGTGGCTTACGCCTGTAATCCCAGGACTTTGGGAAGCCTAGGCGGGCGGATCACCCGAGGTCGGCAGTTTGAGACCAGCCTGACCAACATAGAGAAACACCGTCTCTACTAAAAAATACAAAATTAGCTGGGCATGGTGGCGCATGCCTGTAATCCCAGCTACTCAGGAGGCTAAGGCAGGAGAATCGCTTGAACCTGGGAAGTGGAAGTTGCAGTGAGCTGAGATCGCACCATTGCACTCCAGCCTGGGCAAAAAGAGCAAAACTCTGTCTCAAAAACAAACAACAACAACAAAAACTTATGGTGTTACATTTCTTTAAGATAGAAGTCTGGTGTGAGTCTCACAGGGCTATAGTCAATTAGGGTTGTATTCCTTCTGGAGGCTCTAAGGAGAATCCATCTCCTTCCTTTTTGCGTGTTCTGTAGACAACCTACCCACTTTCTTTGGCTTGTTGGCACCCTTCCCCCATCTTCAAAGCCAAGAATGTCGAAATCCCTCTCTTACTCTTCTTCCATTATTTCTCTCTCTTTCTCTGTCTCTCTCTTTTACTTACTACAGCCAGGGGAGGGTCTCTATTCTAAAGGCCTCATGATTTGATTGAGCCCACTAGGTTAATTCAAGATAATATCCATATCTCAAAGTTACAAACCATAATCACATCTGTAATAGTACCATTTGCCATGTAAGGTGATATATTCACAAGTTTTGAAACCTAGGATATAAACATTTTTTGGGGGGAGCACTCTTCTACCTACCACAACACATAACACCCTTGCAAATTATGAAGCATAACAACAAGAAGAATATTCCTGAACCTACCACACAACGTGGGAATTAGAACCTTTCTGATATCAATGAATAAATCTAGGTGCTTCTTTCATATCCCAAATTTTTTATCAGAGGTAATCATTGTCTTGAATTTTGTAGTTTAATCGTTTTGATTTAAAAATAATTTAATCACAAATACATCTTTTAACAACATAATGCTCAGTCTTCCTTGGTTTTTGTTTTGTTATTTGAGTTTAACATATGATATTGAGCTGGATGCAGTCTTCAAGCACTTGCTTTTTCCCTTTTACTCCGTGTTTCCAAAACATATTTATTTTGTTGCATGTAGCTATAATTCATTCATTTTTTTCTGCTAAATATTATTAAATAGGGGCATTTAGTTTTTCAGCAGCCTATTAACAGATGTCTGAGTTTGTATTAGGCAGAATCTAGGAGGAAACAGAAAACACTGTAGGTATTTCAAATAAAGGAAATTTAATATAGGGATTTAATTAAGTAGATAATGGAAGAACTTAGAAGCCAAAAAGGATACAAAATAACCCAACAGCAGGAAACCACTGAAACTGCTAAATCTGGAGAGACAACTGGATGGAGCAAGTGGCACTATCAGAATTGAGAAGATAAAACTATCTAATGAGAGCTGGAATCATGGCAAAGTCTTCCTTGCAGGACCTGGAACTATCTAAGCAATGATTGATCAGAGGAAGCTATGTCCACAAGGGAGACAGCAGAAAGATAAGAAGAAAAATACACTGGGTTTCCCCTTCTCTCACACTCCAAAATTTGGCTATTGTTTCCCATTGGTCAAACCTACCTGGAAACCAAAAAGCAAAGGGGCCTAAGAAATATAGCCTTTTGGGATACAGAAAAGACTAAGTAAGGGAAAGGCAATGGGATAAATCTAAATGTAAACAAGCCAGACCCAGTGATTTCTCCGTTTATTTATGATAGTAAAAATAAAAATGTGGCTGTGAGCATTCATGTTTATGACTCTCGATGCACTTATTCAAGAGTTTCTCTGTAAGTAGATTTGTAGGGTCATAAGATACGTGCATATTCAATTTTAAAAGTTAGTAGCACTCTCCTAAAATTCATATGGAATATTAAGGGACTATAATGCTAGCACTTTGGGAGGCTGAGGTGGATGAATCGCTTGAGCCCAAGAATTTCAAACCCTATCTCTACAAAAAATACAAAAATTGGCTGGGTATGGTGGCATGTTCCTGTAGTCTCAGCTACTGGGGAGACTGAGACAGGAGAATCACTTGAACCTGGGAGGTAGAGGTTGCAGTAAGCAGAAACCACGCCACTGCACTCCAGCCTGGGCAACAGAGCAAAACTCTGTCTAAATAGATAGATAGATAAATAAATAAATAAATAAATAAATAAATAAATAAATAAATAAAATGTGTGGGAAAAGGCAATAAAAAAGGGGGGGACCACAAATAGCCAAAACCATCATGAAAAGAACAATGTTGGAGGTCTCACACTTTATGATTTCAAACTTATCAGAAAGCTACCCTATACAAAAGTAGAAGCTGACTTACAGACCAAAGAGCTTAAAAATAAAGCTTTGCATATATGATTAATTGATTTTTGACATGGTGCCAATATCATTCGATGTGGAAAAGGTAGTCTTTTCAATAAATGGTGTTAGGAAAACTGGATATCCATAACCAAAAGAACGAAGTTGGACCCTTATGCCATACCAAAATCAACTTAAAATGGATCAAAGAAATGGATTATAAGAAACTTCTGTGCAGCAGAGGACATAATCAACAGAGTGAAAAAGCAATCAAGAGAACAGGAAAAAATATTTGCAAATTATATATTTGATAAAAGGTTAATATTCAGAATATATTAAAAAGAAAACTCCTATAGCTCAACAAAAACCAAACAACTCAATTAAAATTGGGCAAAGGACTTACATCGACATTTTTCCAAATGGCCAATAAAAAAAAGATGCTCAACATCGCTAATTATTAAGGAAATGCAAATCCAAAGCGCAATGTTATACCACCTCATGTCCGTTAGGATGGCTACTACAAAAACAAACAAACAAACAAACAAAATAACAAGTGTTGGGAGGATGTGGAGAAATTGGAAAGATGAGATTGAGGTAGACAACCAGATTTTTCTCCATCTTGGATTCCCTGGCAGGACACATGTCCCTGACTTAACCTGCAGGAAGCATTATGAATGCCTGAATGGAGAAATATCCCTGAGGACAGCCAAAGACAAAAGGGGAGAAGTAGAAACTCTGCTCTGTAACTCGCCCAAAGGAGATGCCAAATTAGAGTGGCTGTTCAGCACCACCAAGCTGTAGAAGATTCTTCACACACATCCCCTAGACAAGAACCCCTAGCCAGCCTTCCCACACTGCCAGGATATAACCTTCTGGAATCCTTCTATTAGACAGGAGCAGGGCTCTGAGTTTGTTAGAGCCAAGGGGAACCTGGGCTTAAAGAGCCGACCTAGAACCAAAAAGGAGACAATGACTTACTGGTAAAGAACCTCTACCCAGGTGAGCATGGGAGAAAAAAAAGAAAAGAACTTCCAAGCAAATATATCCAACACAAACCCAAAGAAATCAGACAGAGAAGACTGGAATAAATAACTAATCCTTCAATGCAAATACATAGATGTACATCCACAAGAAACAACAGCAAACAGGGAACCGTTTTTAAGGAAACTCAGTATTCTCCAAGATAGCACAGAAAAGCAATTCAGAAATGTATTAAAGAAAATTAACAAAGAGATTGAAATTTAAAAATCCTAAAACTGAGAGATCCACTTGCTGAACTGAAGAATTCATTAGAAGTTCTCAACAGCAGAATAGGTCAAGCAGAAGAAATAATAAATGAGCTCAAAGACAGACTATTGGAAAAAACACAGTCAGAGGAGGAAAAAGAAAATAGAATGAAAAGCAATGAAGATTGCCTATAAGATATAAAAAATTACCTCAAAAGACCGAATCTGGAATTACAGCTGTTCAAGCAAAAGTTGCGCAAGAGAAAGGGGTAGAAAGCTTATCAAAAGAAATAACAGAAACTTTTCAAATATGAGAAAGATTAAATATCCAGATATAGGAATATCAGAGAACACCAAACGAATTTGACCAAAATAAGACTACCCCAAGGTGTATAAAAAGACAAATATGGTATGATTTAATTTTACAAGGTAGTTAAATTCATAAAGAAAGTAGAATGGTGGCTCCCAGGTTCTTGGGAAGAGGGGCATGGGGATTTATTGTTAATGTGTATATAGTGTTTCAGTTTTGCAAGATGAAAAGAGTTCTGGAGATTGATTACAAATTAATTTGAATGTGCATAACAGTATTAAACTAAATTCTTAAAAGGGATATGATGGTGAATTTTATTTTATGTACAACTTATCACAATTTAAAAAATTTAAAAATTAGTAATAATTTTTTAATAACTTAGGAGTCATAGACCACCCTGAACACACCAGATCTTGTCTGATAATATCTTAGAAATGTTTACTCCTAGTGGCAAGAAATAAATTATTGAGTCACATCTTTAGCAATATTTTGATTTGTCAATCTTTTTAAATTTTAGCCAATTTAATGAAGAACAAATAGTATTTGCAGAAATCGTAATTTAAATTTTCCTGACTACTAATGTGTGAAGCATCTTTCTCTCTGTTTATTAACCATTTTAGTTTTTTGTTCTATGAAATATGTGTCTTTTTCAATGGGTTTGTGTATTAGTACATTCTCCCACTCTTATAAAGCGATACCTGAGACTGGGTAATTTATGAAGAAAAGAGGTTTACTTGGCTCAAGGTTCTGCAGGCTGTATAGGGAGCATAGCAGCTTCGACTTCTCGGGAGGCCTCAGAGAGCATTTACTTATGGTGGAAGGCAAAGCAGGAGGAGAAGCAGGACCAAGAGAGCAGGGGAAAAGGTGCTGCAAACTTTCAAACAACCAGATCTTGTGAGAACTCACTATACTGTACTAAGTGGGGGATGGTGCTAATCCATTCATGAGAACTCTGCCCCCATGATCCAGTTACCTCCCACCAGGCCTGATCTTCAACATTGGGAGTAACAATTTGACATGAGATTTGGGTGGGGACAGAAACCCAAACCATATCAGTTTGTAACTTTGTTATTGCTATAGGAATTATTTATGTCCAAATGTCAATATATTGTTAGGTGCATGTGTAACAAGTATTTTTTTCTTAGTTTATTTTTATTTACCTTTCAGGTCTCTAATAAATAGAGTTTCCTAATTGGAAAGTGTAGCCATCCCTTGGTATTCTGGGAGACTGGCTCCAGGACATCACCTCCCTGCCTCCCCGACAGATACCAAATCTCAAGGATACTAAAGTCTTTTTATATAAAATGGTGAAGTATTTGCATAGAACTTATGCACATCCTCCTGTATATTTTAAATCATCTCTAGATTACTTATAATATCAATACAATGTATATGCTATGTAAATAGTTGTACAGTATTTTTTATTTGTATTATTTTGATTGCCTTTTTAAAATATTTTCAACCCCTAGTTGGTTGAATTCGAGGATGCAAACCTGCAAATACAGAATGATTTGGGTTTTTTTTTTTTCAAATATGGAATGTTGACTGTAGTCTAGTTTATCAGTCTTTTATGGTTGGAACCTACTGCAATGTTGAAGCAATCTTTCTCTATTTCAAGATTATATCGATATATTCTTATTAATTTAGTCTAGAGCTTTTAAAGTTTTGACTTTCTTATTTAAATCTCTAATTAATGATTCCAATGCACAGTGTGAGGTGAGGATCAGATATCTTTGCTGTTAGCTATGGATAATCAAAATTATACCACTTACAGCACTTACTATTAATTCATTCATTTCTTCTTATCTACAATTCTACTTCTTTCTTATAGGAAGTCTCTATATAGGTATTGATCTGCTACTGTGCTTGCAGATTCACATGACAGAAATAAAGATTAATGAACTTGTAGACATAGAAATTATAAAAAATGAAATGTACAGAGAAAAAACAAAGCCAACAGTGAGCCATGGGACATCTCCAAGACACCAAATATCATGTAACTAAAGTTATTAAAAGTGGGGAGGTGGAAACCAAAAAATTTTTGGAAGAAAAAATAGTAAAGTATTTTCCAGATTTGATGAAAAGTACAAACCTACAGATCTAAGAATCTCAATGAATGCCAAGCACAAGAAACATAAAGAGAACTATACCAAAGCATATCATAATCAAATTACCCAGCACCACTAATAGAGTGAACAATTATTTTTGTTTGTTAGCTTGTTTTTTTGTTTTTTTGTTTTTTGAGACAGTCTCACCTTGTCATTCAGGCTGGAGCGCAGTGGCACAATCTCAGCTCATTGCAACCTCTGCCTCCTGGGTTCAAGCAATTCTCCTGTCTCAGCCTCCCGAGCAGCTGGGACTACAGGCGCCTGCCACCATGCCCAGCTAATTTTTGCATTTTTAGTAGAGACAGGGTTTCACCATATTGGTCAGGCTGGTCTCGAACTCCTGACCTCAGGTTATCCACCTGCCTCAGCCTCCCAAAATGCTGGGATTACAGGTGTGAGCCACTGCACCCAGCCATCTAACAATTCTTAAAAGCAACCAGAGAGAATAAAAAATCTTATGTACTGAGGAATACAGATAAGGACAGCAGATTTATTGATAGTTTAGCATAATGGCAGGATACAGAGCAGTATACACAAATCCATGTACTCATGGCATATGGCCAGCTTATTCTGCCATACCTCTCCAGGAATGATTCTTAGATTTAGTCTTTTCCAATTGCTACCTTCTCATTTCATTTCATACTCAAAAACAAAATTCTAGGCACAGCTTCTAACTTGGTGCTGAAATTACATACTAGAAGTTTAAAAATATATTCATATAAATGTTTCTCCTTATCCTATCTGAACATAATGCTTTTCTCTTTCTTCTCATAAGTTATATATTATTGAGCACAAAACAATATTAAGATATTCTTCTAGGGCTCAAAATTTTTGACTCTCCTCTTGCTTATCTTATTTTCCACAACCCAAAAAATTTCTTCTCTATCCATTTTCTTACCAATGTTCTAGTATGATAACTTTTAAATGATTTTCTTTTCTAAGCAGCAAAATTCATTTTTCAAACCAAATTTGACATGAAAAATCTTACTTCAAATGTATAAAAGGAAAGTAGGAAAATAGAAAATGGAGCTGCTTTGGCTGACATGGGTTCCAGGGAACCGTGCTTGTTTAGTCTTCTGCCCCTTCCATCCATGGCCCCTGAGACAGTTCCACATACCCTCTAGGACCCTTCCAAACTCAGCGTGAAAATTGGAGTAATGAGCTCAAATCCGTGTTTCCATGCTGCACCAGCCTAGACAAAAAGAATAAGGTCACAAATATTTTTCTCAAAGAGTATATTTCTTTGCCTTCACTGTCACCAGCCATATGAAAACTCCATTCTACACTCAAATTCTAGCCAGATCGTTCTGAAGGCTGTGAGGAATCAGTGCACGTATGCTTTCCAGCTCCTCTTGGTCACCATTAAGCTCCTATAATTTTTCCTACATTCTTTCCCAACTTACTGTGATACCCCCTGTTGATGCTTGTTTTTTTTGTTTGTTTGTTTTTGTTTTGTATTTGAAGAGGTCCTTAATGCTGGTAATATATAGACAGTGTGGACATCTACACCAAAGACATCATCTCCTATCACCACCTTAACCCCTGAAACCATACAAAAGCTGTTAGAATCAGTAACACATGCATCCATCCTCCATGATCATTGGTGATTTCAGACAACACCTTTTTCAGGTATTGATACTTTTTAAATTTTCAAGACCTATGTCATTGGTTGGAACAGAAAGATTACTCGAGTGGCAGAGTGTACCAAGAATCTACTAAGAATCTTTACTAAGATTCAGGGGATTTTTTTGTCCAAGACTGACCCATTATCCTTGAATAATACCTTGAAGAAGCCTCTTGGCTCTCCCATTCTGCAGGACCATGTCATTGCTTCTAAAACTGGAGTGCACGTAGGGGTTGCAGAAATGTGAAAGGAGGTACTTGGAGCCATGGAATAAGTATGTTGTTATCTTGATACATCAGTTTCCCATAATACATGTCAATTATTTCATAGTAAATATTTTAACATATTAAATGTCTTAGTTTGTGCTGCTAAAACAAATTATGACAGACTGGGTGGCTTAAATAACAAGCATTTATTTCTCACAGTTATAAAGGCTGAAAATCTGAAGTCAGGTTGCCAGCGTAGTTAGGCTTTGGTGAGAGTCCTCTTCTAGGTTACAGACTTCTGACTTCTTGTTGTATTCTCACATAGTGGAAAGAGGGCAAGCTAGCCCACTGGTCTGTTCTTAGAGGAAAACTAATCGCATTTATGAGAGCTCCACTCTCATAGCCTAATTACCTCCCAAAGGCCCCACTTCAAAATACTGTTACAATAAGGATTAGATTTCAATGTATGAATTTTGGGGGAACACAAATATTCAGCTCATAACATTAACTAGCATTTTTTAAAATGTGTAAAATTTGGGATATTTTAAAAGGTAAAACATAAGACTTCAAGGAAATTTTGTAGTGCAGCTATGCTCTCCAATCAAACATTCTTAGCCAATGACCTCACTTCCTCACCCAGTTCAGCCTTTTGGGATATTACGGTGAGTTTTTCATAGGAGAATCGTTGGTTCTTTATGCAGAGACTCCATGAATTTTAGACATACCTGAATTCTAATGTGAGCCCAGCTTAGGCTCAAGCTGAGACTCTCCCATTTACATATTTCATTTCACATCTAAGTTGATTTTTTTTCATAATGAAAGCCAACACACATCATTTCATTACATATTTATTTAACTGTGTAACTGCTTTCCTAATTAAGCTATAATGGATGGGATAATCCCATAAAACAACTTTGTTCTTTTTTTCCACTGTCCTCCAAGTTCTTTTTAGGGGCAGCCTTATTTCCTTCTGCTCCATGAAATCTTGAACTTGTCCTAAAACTTCTTGGTCCCCTTTAGTTACAAGAATAATATTATTTCAAAAATTATCCTATTTTATGGATGAGGAAACTAAAACACTAAAAGGTTAGGTAATTTACTTGAGATCAAGTGAGTGACAAGAGAGTAGAGCCAGAAATTTTGTGTCAAGTCAGTGTTTCTCAATGAATGAATGAGTAAATGGACTAAAGGAAGGAAGACCTTGGAGGGTTAGAAGACTGTTTTAGTAATCAAAGCGAGAAACAAGAAGCATCAGAACTAAGGCTATGTCACTGTGAATGGCAAGGAGGAGACAGATTAAACTCATTAAGGAGGTAAGAGCAATAGAATCTAGTGACACACTGAATGTGAGAACTCACATTTGGCAGCAGGCCTGACTTTCTCTAGCATTCGTACCTCAGCCTTTGAAAGTGAATTTTGCTTGGACTACTACTTCATCTGTTATCTCATGTTATCCTATGGATAATTATTTAGCTCTAATCCTTTCTACAGTAGTAATCAACCCTGCTTAAGCCAATTATCTCGATTCTTGCTGAGCAACTTTGGCCTTCTTGAAAATGCCATATTTCAGTTATTACTTAGAGCACCAGTAAACTACCCTAATAAGATGAGAAAATTTGTCACATAATGAAGTTTGGTTTTCATCTTTGAAGTTAGGGCAAAAACAAGCTACACTAAGTACATTCATAAAATATTATAAAAACTAGCATAAAAATTTGAGAATATGAGTACTGTCATATTTGGTAAGGTAATCTAACAATATAAATTTAAAAACCCACAAATATCTTCATGCCTGATGTGGTTTGGCTGCGTTCCCACTCAAATCTCATTTTGTAATTCCCATAATCCCCATGTTTTGTGGGAGGAACCAGGAAAAGAAAATTGAATCGTGGGGGCAGTTTACCCCATCCTGTTCTCATGATAGTGAGTTAGCTTCATGAGAGCTAATGGTTTTATAAGGGGCTTCCCCCTTCACTGGGCACTCATTCTTCTTCCTGCTGCCATGTGAAGAAGGACACTTTTGCTTCCCCTTCTGCCATGATTGTAAGTTTCCTGAGGCCTCCCGGCCCTGTGGAACTGTGGGTCAATTAAACCTCTTTCCTTTATAAATTACCCAGTCTCTGGTATGTCCTTATAGCAGTGTGAGAATGGACTAATAAAATGTCCTTGAATTATATTGCCTTTTTTGTAGTATAGCCTAAATGAATAATGCACAACATGAAAAAGGTGTGCACAAAGTGAAAAATATATAATTGAGAAAATTAAAATAATTTAAATACTAAAAAAACAGGAGTATTTGTGTGGATTAAGTTAATTAATTACATAAAATTAAAACTAATAAAATTACCAATAATAATAGCAGTTTCTGTAGGTTTGCTTTATGCCAGACACTCTTCTATGTGCTTTACATAGATTACTTCATTTTTTTATCTTTTATATTTTTCTCTTTTGAGACAGGATCTCACTCTGTTGCCCAGGCTGGAGTGTAGTGGCGTAATCATGACTCACTACAGTCTTGACTTGCCTGAGCTCAGGTGACTTTCCCACCTCTGCCTCCTGAGTAGCTAGGACTACAGGCATGTGCCACCATGTCAGCTATTTTTTTTTTTAATTTTTTGTAGATGTTGCCCAGGCTGGTCTCAAACTCCTGAGCTCAATCCATCCACCCACCTGGGCCTCCTAAAGTGTTAGAATTATGGGCATGAGCCACCACATCTGGCTGATTACTTCATTTAATCTCCTTAATTGCCCTGGAAGATAGAGTCCCTTATTACTATTTTACCTGTGATAAAACTGAACTTCAAAGACATTAAGGAGCTTGACCCAAGTTACAAATCTAGTAAGTGGTATAGCCAAAATTCTGAGAAAGGCAGTTTAATTTTGTACCTAAAAATGACAACAAACATTTACTAATCTAGGAAATGAAAAAGACATGAAAAGAGAAATTAGAAACTATTTTTGACCCAAAGGAAAATTAAAAGAGAACATGTCAAAATTGGGGGAGTGCAGCAGAAGCAGTGCTTTATCACCAACAATATCCCAGAATTCAAATATGAGAATGAGTTAGTTCCCAGGTCCACAAAGAAGTGAAAAAAACTTTGAGCAGACAGTAAGAGACTCAAGTTTCCATTTCCAAGACTGCTTTCCTCCCAGTCTGCCTGGAACCAAGTTTGTGGAACATTTCCCCCAACTCATGGGAAGAGTGAGATGGAGGTGGACTACCAGCTTTTCCACCATCTTGGGCTCTCTGGCAGGAGATCAGTTACTGCTTCAACCTACAGGAAGCATCACAAGTGTCTGAAGGGAGAAATACCCCTGAGGACAGCCAGACACAAACGGAGAAGGCAGCACTACCATCCCTAGCCCTGGATACTCTGCTGTGCAACTTGGCCAAAGGAGATGCCAAATCAGAGTAGCTATTCATCAGCACCATGCTGTAAGAAGTACCATCCATAGGTTCCCTCCTTATGAATCCCCACTAGCCATCCCCTAGGGTATCACCTTTGGGACCTTCCCAGGTCCTCCTAATCTTTTTCTAGAGCTAGGGCAAACCTGGGCTTCAGACACATTCTACTGCCAAATAAGAGACAGTGACCTAGTGGAAAAACAAATAAGAAATTCTACAGGTAAATTACAAAGACTGTCTATGCAAACATACCCAATAAACACCAAAACAAGCTGAGAGACAGGACTAGCTGGATTTCCTAGGCCAACTAAGAATTCCTAATCCTGGCTGGGGAAGGTGACTGCACCTACCTTTAAACACTGGGCTTATAACTCAGCTCACACTCAACCAATCAGGTAGTAAAGACGGCTCACTAAAATACAAATTAGGCTAAAGTAGGAGGTAAAGAAATAGTCAAATCTATATCGCCTGAGAGCACAGAGGGAGGGACAATGATTGGGATATAAACCCAGGCATTTGAGCAGGGAGCGGCAACCCGCTTTGGGTCCCCTCCCATTGTATGGGAGCTCTGTTTTCACTCCATTAAATCTTGCTACTGAACACTCTTCTGGTCCATGTTTCTTACACTCGAGCTGAGCTTTTGCTCACCATCCACCACTGCTGTTTGCTGCCCTCCCAGACCCTCCATTGACTTCCACTCCTCCGGATCCAGCAGGGTGTCTGCTGCGCTCCTGATCCAGCGAGGTTCCCATTGCCGCTCTGGATCGGGCTAAAGGCTCGCCATTGTTCCTGCATGGTTAAGTGCCCAGGTTTGTCCTAATTGAGCTTAACACTAGTCGCTGGGTTCCACAGTTCTCTACCATGACCCATGACTTCTAATAGAGTTGTAACACTCACCGCATGGCCCAAGGTTCCATTCCTTGGAATCCGTGAGGCCAAGAACCCCAGGTCAGAGGACAAAAGGTTTGCTGCCGTATTGGGAGCAGCCCGCCCCCATCTTGGGAGCTGCCTGCCACATCTTGGGAGCTCTAACAACAAAGACCCGCCTGTAACAAAGCCAGACAGAGAAGACTGGAATATTTGATACTTCAATGCAAAGACATAGATGTACATCGAAAAGAAATAATAGCAAAGGAGGAGCCATGACCAACCCAAACAGACAAAGCAAGGAACCATTGTCTAACCCTAACAAGACAGAGATATGTCAACTTTTTTTTGAAAGGTAAGGCCGAATTTACTTATTTATTTATTTTTCTTAAAATAAAAAAGTGTATGTGTATATATATATATATAAAATTTATGTATAAAATTTACCATTGTTAAGTGTAAAGCTCATTGGTAATAAATATATTTATATTATTTTTCCCCCCTCTCTTATTTCCCTCATTCCCACTGCCATTCTTGGTCTCTGGTAACCATCAATCTGTATCTTCATGATATCCACTTTTTTTAGCTCCCACACAAGAGCAAGAACATGCCATATTTGTTTGTCTGTGCTTGGCTTATTTCTCTTAACATAGTGATCTCAAGTTCCATCCATGTTGCTGAACATGACAGGCTTTCATACGTCTTATGATTGAATAATATTCCATTGTGTATATGTACCACGTTTTCTTTATCCATTCCTCCATTTATGGGCACTTAAATTGATTCTATATTTTGCCTATTGTGAATAATGCAGCAGTAAACATGGGAATGCAGATATCTTCTTGATATATTGATTTTTTAAATGTATATACCCAGTAGTGAAATAGCTAGATCATATGGTAGTTCTATTTTCAGTTTTTTGAAGAACCTCTGTACAATCTTCTGTACTGGCTGTACTAATTCCCACCAACTGTGTATGAGAATTCCCCTTTCTCCACATCCTTGCCGGCATCTGTTATTATCTATCTTTTTGATACAAGCCATTTTAACTGGGATGGGATGATATCTCATTGTGGTTTTAATTTGCATTTCTCTGATATATAGTACTGTTGAGCATTACTTTAATATAGCTGTTAGTCATTTGTATATTTCCTTTTGAGAGGTGTCTATTCAGACATGTTGTCCATTTTTAAATTAAGGTTTACATTTTTTTCCTATTGAATTGTTTGAGATTTCTATATACTCTAGTTATTAATCCCTTGTCAGATAAATAGCTTGCAATTGTTTTTTCCCATTCTGGGTTGTTTCTTCACTCTGTTGATTGTTTCCTTTGCTATTCAAAAGTTTTATAGTTTGATGTAATCCCAATTGTCTATTTTTGCTTTGGTTGCCTGTGCTTTAGAGGTTACACAAGAAATCTTTGTCCAGATCATTGTCCTGAAGTATTTCCTCAGAGTTTTATTCTAGTAGTTCATGGTTTTAGGTCTTAGATTCAAGTCTTTAATTCATTTTGATTTAATTTTTGTGTATGGTGAGAGATAGGGGTCTAGTTTCTTTCTTCTGCATATAGTTATCCAATTTTCTCAGCACCACCTATTGAAAAGGCTGACCTTTCCCCATTTTAGGCTCTTAATGCCTTTGCTGAAGATGAATTGGCTGCAAATGCATGGATTTATTTCCAGATTATTATTCTGTTTTATTTATCTGTCTGTTTTTATGCCAGTACCATACTGTTTTGGTTACTATAGCTTTGTAATAGATTTGAAGTCAGGTAGTGTGATGTATACAGCTTTGTTCTTTTTGTTCAGGATTGCTTTGGCTATTTAGGATCTTTTGCAGTTCCATATGAATTTCAGATTTTTAAAACATTTCTGTGAAGAATGTCATTGGAATTTTGATGGGGATTGCAGTGAGTCTGGAAATTGTTTGGGGTAGTATTGTCATATTAACAATATTAAGTCTTCCAATCCATGAGCGGAGAATATTTTTCCAATTTTTTGGTGCTTTCTTCTATTTCTTTCACCAGAGTTTTATAGTTTTTCTTGTGTAGGTCTTTCACATCTTTGGTTTCAATTGATTCCCAGGTATTGCATATTCTTTGTAGTTTTAAATGAGATTGCCTTCTTGACTTCATTTTTGGCTAGATCAGTCTTGGTGTGTAGAAACACTACTAATTTTTGTACATTGATTTTGTATCCTACAACTTTACTAAATTCCTGTATGAGTTATAACAGTTTTTTTTGGTAGAGTCTTTAGGTTTTTCTGCATATAAGATGAACAAAGCTAATTTGACTTCTACCTTTCCAATTTGGTTTTCCTTCATTTCTTTTTCTTACCTAATTGCTCTGGCCAGGACTTCCAGTATTATATTGAATAACAGCAAAATAATAGTGAAAGTGGGCATTCTTATCTTGGTCTAGCCTTTAGAGGAAAGGCCTTCAATTTTTCCTTGTTAAGTGTGTTGTTAGCTATGGGTTTGTCATAGATGGCTTTTATTATTTTCAGGTATGTTTCTTCTATGCCCAGTTTGTTGAGGATTTTTATCATAAAGGAATGTTGAATTTTATCAAATGCCTTTACCTTTATGGCATCTATTGAAATAATTATATGATTCTCATTCTCGATTCTGTTAATGTCGTGTATAACATGTATTGATTTGCATATGTTGAACCATCCTGTATCTCTGGAATGAATTCTACTTGACAATGGTAAATGAGTATTTTGCTGAAGATTTTTACATCTGTGTTCACTGGTGATATTGGCCTCTAGCTTCTTTAAAAAAAAAATGTGTCCTTGTCTGGTTTTGGTATCACAGTAACACTGGCCTTGTAGAATGAGTTTGAAAGTATTCCCTCTCTCCTCTTTAATCGTTTTGAAGTATTTGAATAGAATTGGTATTAGTTCTTTAAATGTTTGGTAGAACTTAGCAGTGAAGTTATCAGGCCGTGAGCTTTTCTTTGATGGGAGACTTTTTATTATGGCTTTGATTTCATAACTCATTATTGGCTTATTGAGGTTTTCTATTTGTTGATGGTTCAATATTGGTAGGTTGCATGTGTCCAGGAATTTATCCATTTCTTCTATATTTTCCAATTTGTTGGCATGTAATGGTTCCTAATTGTTTCTAATGATTCTTAGTATTTCTGAGGTCTCAGTTGTCATGTGTCCATTTTTGTTCCTACTTTTATTTATTTGGGTCTTCTCTCTTTTTTTCTTATTCTGGCTAAAGATGATTTGGAGCTCCTTTATATGCTGCTTGCTTCTTTTCTCTTGCTGCCATTACAGTTTTATCTTTATGCTTGATCTTTGACAGTTTGATTAGTAAATACCTTCATTAGTCTTATTTGACTAATGTGATGCTCTAAGGCCTTCCTGTACCTGAATATTTATATCTTTCTCATGTTTTGGAAAGTATTCTCTTATTATTTCTTTGAATAAGCTTTCTACCCTTGCTCCTGCTCTGCTCTCTCTTGAACATCAATAATTTTTAGATTTTGTCTTTGAGGTAATTTTCTATATCTTGTAAGTGGCCTTCTCTCATTTTCATTCTTTTTTTCTTTTCTCTCCTCTGTTTATTTTTTAACAGCCAGTCTTTGAGCTCATTGATTCTCTTCTCTGCTTGACCTATTCTGTGGTTGAGATCCCCTGAAGAGTTTCTTAGTTCAGCAAATGTAGTTCTTAGTTACAAGATTTCTGCTTATCATTATTTCAATTTCCTTGTTAAATTTCTCTGATAAATATCTGAGTTGCTTTTCTGTGTTATCTTAGAGATAACAAAGTTTCCTTAAAACAGCTGTTTTGAATTCTTGGTCAGAGAGTTCACAAATCGCCATCTCAGGAGGGTCAGTCGCTGGAACTTTGCTTTGTCTAGAAGGTTATGGTTCCATGTTTGCTGTTGTTTCTTGTGGGTATACATCTATGTATTTGTATTAATAATTATTTAGTCCAGCTTTATCTGTCTAGTTTGGTTTGGTTTTTATTGAATACAGTTGCTTATGAATCTTAACTGCCAGCTTGCTGCCTTGTTTTCGGCTCTAGATGGCGCCATAAGCCTATGTTTACCTTGACTTTTGCAAATGGCCATGGCACTGCCTGTCCCATAAGGAGGAGGACCAAAGGGATTACCCTAGCACTGTGGGAAGGCCGGCCACGGGTGTGTTCCCAGGGGACTTGTGGAACATACTTGCTACATGATTTCTACTGATTTGGCATCTCCTTTGGTCAAGTTACAAGGAGTTTTTACGGCTGAGGATGGTAGTCCTGGCTTCCCTATTTGTCTTTGCCAGCCTTCACAGACATTTCTCCCTCCAGGCAGTCACAGTGCTACCTGTGGTTTAAGGCAAAGGCAGGTCTCCTGGCAGGAAACCGAAGAAGATGGGAAAGCTGGTTGACAATCTCAATTTCACGTTTTTCAGTGCAGAAACCATGAGTTGAGGGCAGATTTTTCATACTGCTGATGCCTGGTGTAATGCAGGGAAGAGGCCTCATGGATGTAGAATCTGGTTCTCCTACCATCTGCTCAGAATGTTTCCACTTCTCTGTACCTACAGGAACTGTCTCATCCTCATACAGGATCTCTGGGTTGCTGCTGGTGAAGATCTTGCTGCTGTGTATTTCTTTTTGGTTTCTGGTGGAGGGGAGAGAAGCAAGCTTGCTTCTATGCTGCCATTTTGGGATTAGAAAACCGATATGTGAACTTTATAACTAAGAATTCAAAATAGCAATTTTAAGGAAACTCAGTGACCTACAAGATAACATAGAAAAACAATTCAGATACTTATCAGAGAAATTTAACAAGAAAATTGAAATAATAATTTAAAAATGAAACAGAAATCTTGGAACGGAGAACCACATTTGCTGAATTGAAACACTCTTTAGAGGATCTCAATAACAGAATGGGTTAGAGAAAAGAATCAGTGAGCTCAAAGACTGGCTATTAAGAAAATACAGTCCAAAGAAAGAAAAGAAAAAAACAATAAAAAGAAATGAAGGCCACCTTTAAAATATAGAAAATTACCTCAAAAGACCAAATCTAAAAATTATTGGTGTTTAAGGGGGAGCTGAGCAAGAGCAAGGGGAGAAAAGCTTATCCTAAGAAATAATAACAGAGCACTTTCCAAAACTCATGAAAGACAGAAATATCTAGATATAGAAAGGTCAGGGAACACCAAACAGATTCAACCCAAGTAACACTAACCAAGGCATATAATAATTGAACTTTCAAATATCAAAGACAAAGAGAAGATCCAGAAAGCAGCAAAAGAGTAAAATAACAAAGCAACTCCAGTTCATCTGGCAACAGACTTCACAATGGAAACCATGTAGGCCAGAAGGAAATAGGGCAGCATTAACAAAGAGAAATTGTCTTTCACAGACAAAAGCTAAGAGAATTCACCACTACTAGACCCGTCTTGCAAGAAATGCTAAAGGGAATTCTTCAACCTGAAATTAAAAAATGCTAACATATTAGTGTACTAACTAAAAGAAAATATTTCAAGGTATAAAACCCACTGGTAAAATTAAGTATGAACACAACCCCAGAATATGCTAATAATTTAATTGTGGTGTGCAATCCAATCATAACTCTAGTAAGAAGCTTATAAAGACAAATCTATCAAAAACAATAATAGCGACAACAACCTGTTCAAAATAGATATTTTTAAAATATGCGAACTGATATAATAAAAATTCAAAGTGTTTGTGGGAGGTGTGGAGTTAAAGTGTAGAGCATTTTTTTCATTATTATTATACTTTAAGTTCTGAGATACATGTGCAGAATGTGCAGGTTTGTTACATAGGTATACATGTGCTATGGTGGTTTGCTGCACCCATCAACCCGTCATCTACATTAGGTACTTCTCCTAATGGTGTCCCTCCCTTAGCGCCCCACCCTCTGACAGGCCCTGGTGTGTGATGTTCCCCTCCCTGTGTCCATGTGTTCTCATTGTTCAACTCCCACTTATGAGTGAGAACATGTGGTGTTTGGTTTTCTGTTCTTGTGTTAGTTTGCTGAGAATGATGGTTTCTAGCTTCACCCATGTCTCTGCAAAGGATGTGAACTCATCCTTTTTTATGGCTGCATAGTATTCCATGGTGTATATGTGCCACATTTTCTTTATCCAATCTATCATTGATGGGTATTTGGGTTGGTTTGACATCTTTGCTATTGCTATAGTGCTGCAAGAAACATACCTGTGCATGTGTGATTATAGTAGAATGATTTATAATCCTTTGGGTATATATCCAGTAATGAGATTGCTGGTCAAATGGTATTTCTGGTTCTAGATCCTTGAGGAATCGCTACATTGTCTTCCATAATGGCTGAACTAATTTATTCTCCCACCAACAATATAAAAGCATCCCTATTTCTCCACTTCCTCTTCAGTATCTGTTGTTTCCTGACTTTTTAATGATTGCCATTCTAACTAGTGTGAGATGGTATCTCATTGTGGTTTTGATTTGCATTTCTCTAATGACCAGTGATAATGAGCTTTCTTTTTATATATGTTTTTTTGGCCGCATAAATGTCTTCTTTTAAGAAGTGTCTGTTCACATCCTTCACCCACTTTTTGATGGGCATGTTTGTTTGTTTTTCTTGTAAATTTGTTTAAGTTCTTTGTAGATCCTGGATATTAGCCCTTTGTCAGATGGATAGATTGCAAAATTTTTCTCTCATTCTATAGGTTGCCTGTTCACTCTGATGATAGTTTCTTTTGCTGTGCAGAAGCTCCTTAGGTTAATTAGATCCCATTTGTCAATTTTGGCTTTTGCTGCCATTGCTTTTGGTGTTTTAGTCATGAAGACTTTGCCCATGCCTGTGTCCTGAATGGTACTGCCTAGGTTTTCTTCTTGGGCATTTATAGCTTTAGGCCTTATGTTTAAGTATTTAATCCATCTTGAGTTAATTTTTGTTTAAGGTGTGAGGAAGGGGTCCAGTTTCAGTTTTCTGCATATGGCTAGCCAGTTTTCCTAACACCACTTATTAAATAAGGAATCCTTTCCCTATTGCTTATTTTTATCGTTTGTCAAAGATCAGATGGTTGTAGATGAGTGGTGTTATTTCTGAGGCCTATGTTCTGTTCCATTGGTCTGTATATCTATTTTGTTACCAGTACCATGCTGTTTTGATTACTGTGGACTTGTAATATAGTTTGAAGTCAGGTAGCATGATGCTTGCAGCATTTTTCTGTTTGTTTAGGATTGTCTGGGCTATATGGGCTCTTTTTTGTTTCCACATGAAATTTAAAGTAGCTTTTTCTAATTCTGTGAAGAAAGTCAATGGTAGCTTGATGGGATAGCATTGAATCTATAAATTACTTTGGGCAGTATGGCCTTTTTCACAATATTGATTCTTCCTATCAATGAGCATAGAATGTTTTTCCATTTGTTTGTGTCCTCTCATTTCCTTGAGCAGCGGTTTGTAGTTCTTCTTGAAGGGTCCTTCACATCCCTTGTAAGTTGTATTCCTAGGTATTTTATTCTTTTTGTAGCAATTGTGAATGGGAGTTCACTCAGGATTTAGTTCTCTGTTTGTCTATTATTGGTGTATAGGAATGCTTGTGATTTTCGCACATTGATTTTGTATCCTGAGACTTTGCTGAAGTTGCTGATAAAGCTTAAGGAGATTTTGGGCTGATATGATGGGGTTTTCTGAATATATAATCATGTCATTTGCAAATAGAGACAATTTGACTCCCTCTATTCCTATTTGAATACCCTTTATTTCTTTCTCTTGCCTGATTGCCCTGGCCAGAACTTCCAATACTATGTTGAATAGGAGTGGTGAGAGAGGGCATCCTTGTCTTGTGCCGGTTTTCAAAGGGAATGCTTCCAGCTTTTGCCCAATCAGTATGATATTGGCTGTGGGTTTGTCATAAATAGCTCTTATTGTTTTTAAATTTGTTCCATCAAGACCTAGTGTATTGAGAGTTTTTAGCAGGAAGGGTGCAGAATTTTATTGAAGGCCTTTTCTGCATCTATTGAGATAATCGTGTGGTTTTTGTCATTGGTTCTGTTTATGTGATGAATTACATTTATTTTTTTGCATATCTTGAACCAGCCTTGCATCTCAGGAATGAAGCGGACATGATCATGGTGGATAAGCTTTTTCATGTGCTGCTGGATTAGGTTTGCCAGTATTTTATGGAGGATTTTCGCATCAATGTTCATCAGGGATATTGGCCTGAAGTTTTCTTTTTTTTGTTGTGTCTCTGCCAGGTTTTGGTATCAGGGTGATGATGACCTCATAAAATGAGTTAGGGAGGAGTCTCTCTTTTTCTATTGTTTGGAATAGTTTCAGAAGGAATGGTACCATCTCCTCTTTGTACCTCTGGTAGAATTCGGCTGTGAATTTGTCTGGTCCTGGGCTTTTCTTGGTTGGTAGGCTATTAATTACTGCCTCAATTTCAGAACTTGTTATTGGTCTATTCAGGGATTCGACTTCTTCCTGGTTTAGTCTTGGGAGGGTGTATGTGTCCAGGAATTTGTCCATTTCTTCTAGATTTTCTATTTTATTTGTGTAGAGGTGTTTATAGTATTCTCTGATGGTAGTTTGTATTTCTGTGGGATCAGTGGTGATATCCCCTTGGTCATTTTTTATTGTGTCTATTTGATTCTTCTTTCTTTTCTTCTTTATTAGTCAGGCTAGTGGTCTATCTATTTTGTTAATCTTTTCAAAAAAAACAGCTCCAGGATTCATTCATTTTTTTGAAGGGTTTTTCGTGTCTCTGTCTCCTTCAGTTCTATTCTGATCTTAGTTATTTCTTGTCTTCTGCTAGCTTTTGAATTTGTTTACTGTTGCTTCTCCAGTTCTCTTAATTGTAATGTTAGGATGTCGATTTTAGATCTTTCCCACTTTCTCCTGTGGGCATTTAGTGCTATAAATTTTCCTCTAAACACTTCTTTAGCTGTGTCCCAGAGATTCTGGTATGTTGTGTCTTTCTTCTAATTGGTTTTAAATAACTTATTTATTTATGCCTTTGTTTCATTTAGTTATCCGGGAGCAGATTGTTCAGTTTCCATGTAGTTGTGTGGTTTTGAGTGAGTTTCTTAATCCTGAGTTCTAATTTGATTGCACTGTGGTCCAAGAGTCTGTTTATTATGATTACTGTTCTTTTGCATTTGCTGAAGAGTGTTTTATTCCAATTATGTGGTCAATTTTAGAATAAGGATGATGTGGGGCTGAGAAGAATGTGTATTCTGTTGATTTTGGGTGGAGAGTTCTGTGGATGTCTATTAGGTCTGCTTGAGCCAGAGCTGAGTTCAAGTCCTGAATATTCTTGTGAACAGTTTTGTTTTTTAGTTTTCTCTTTTATTTCTATTTCATTTGTGATCTAAGTTGTCATCTCCTTAAAATAACTTGTTATATTTAAAAGATGTTTATTGTAAGCCTCAAGGTAACCACAATGCAAAAACCTATAATATTACAGTAAAAATAAAAAAACAATGAATTAAAAGCTTACTGTCAGAGAAAATCACTTAACCACTAAGGAAGATGGTAATAAAGGAAGAGAAGAGTCTCAGAACAACCAGAAAACAAGAAACAAATTGTCAGTAGTAAGTCCTTACTTGTCAATGATAGCACTGAATACAAATGGTCTCAATTCTCCAATTGAAAGTTATAGAGGTGCTGAATGGATAAAGAAACAAGACCCAAGTACATGCTGCCTTCAAGAATGACAAGCAATTTAGAGATTCAATGCAATCCCTGTCAAAATTCTGACTTTCTTCCCATAAATAGAAAAAAATTCTCAAATTTACATAGAACCACACACTAAAAAATTCCCTGAATAGCCAAAGCAATCCTGAGTAAAAAACACAAAGCTGGAAGCATCACACTATCCAACTTTAAAACATACTACAAAGGTATGGTAACCAAATTAGCATGGTTGGTAGAAAAACAGACATGTACACTAATGGAATAGAATAGAGAACCCAGATATCAATAAACACATTTATAGCCAAGTCATTTTTTACAAAGACACCAAGAATAGACAATGGGGGAAGGGCAGTCTCTTTCATAAATGGTGCTGGGAAAACTGGATAACCATATGCATAGAGTGAAATTAGACCCCTATGTCTCAGGCTATACAAAAATGTAATCAAAATGAATTAAAGACTTAAATCTAAGACCTGAAACTATGAAGCTACTAGAAGAAAACATTGGGGAAACATTCTAGGACATTGGGCTGGGCAAAGCACAGGCAATAAGAACAAAAATTGACAATTGAGATTACATAAAGCTAAAAAGCTTCTGCACAGCAAGAAAAACAATCACCAAAGTAAAGAGACAGAATGGGAGAAAATTTTTATAAACTATCCATTTCACAAGTATTAGTAACAAGAATATATAAGGAGCTCCAACAATTCAATAGCGCAAAACAAAATAATCTGATTTTAAAACGGACAACAGATCTGAACAGACATTTCTCAAATGAAGGCATACAAATGGCCAACAGTTATATGAAAAAAATACTCAACATCACTAGTCACCAGAAAAATGCAAATCCAAACCACAATGAGATATCATCTAACCCCACTTACAATGGCCTTTATCAAAATGACAGGTAATAACAGATGCTGGCGAGGATGGAGAGAAAGGGAAACCCTCATACATGTTGGTGGGAAAGTAAATTAAAATGACCACTATGAAAAACGGTATGGAGGTTCCTCCAAAAACTGAAAATAGAACTACACATGACCCAGCAATTAACTACTGGGTATATATCCAAAAGAAAGAAAATCGGTATATCAAAGAGGTATCTGCAATCCCATATTTATTGCAGCACTATTCACAATAGACAAAATATGTAATCAACCTAAGTGTCCATCAATGGATGAGTGTATAAAGAAACTGTGGTATATATACATAATTGAATATTTTTCAGCCACAACAACTAATGCAATCCTGTCATTTGCAGCAACATAGATGGAACTGGAGGTCATTATGTTAAGTGAAATAAGCCAAGCACAGAGAGACAAATATGGCCTATTCTCACTCATATGTGGGAGACACAAAAGTAGATATCATGAAGATAGAGAGTAGATTGATGGTTACCAAGGCCAAGAATTGTTGGAAGTGAGGAGGAAGAACAGAGATTGAATAGTGAGGACAACTATACAGTTAATTGAAAGAAATAAGACATTGTGTTCCATAGTTCAGTAGGGTAAGTCAATCTATTGTACATTTCAAAATAGCTAGAAGAGAATAATTCAAATGTTCCTGGCACAAAGAAAAGTATTTAAGGTGATGTACATCCCAATTACCCTGATTTGATTGTATTAATTCAGTCTCACACTGCTATAAAAAACTGCCCCCAAACTGGGCAATTTATAAAGAAAAGAGGCATAATTGACTCACAGTTCGGCAGGGCCGGGGAGGCCTCAGGAAACTTACAATCATGGCAGAATGCACCTCTTCACGGAGCGGCAGGACAGAGAATGAGTGCCAAGTCAAAGGGGAAGCCTCTTGTAAAACCATCAGACCTCATGATAACTCATTCACTATCAGGAGAACGACATGGGGGAAATCGCCCCCATGATTCAATTACCTCCCACCGGGTCCCTTCCTCGACACATGGGGATTATGGGAACTGAAATTCAAGATGAGATTTGGATGGGGAAACAGCCAAACCATATCATGAATGTATCAGATTATCACAAGTATCCCCAAAATATGTACATCTATTATGTATTAATGAAAAAATAAAAAAATATAAAGTATACAATAATCATACAAGTACATGACAATAAAAGATATCGTATGAGCTCAGGGAGGGCACCATATTTTTTATGTTTGTTTTTGAATTATATACTGGTAGGGGGTGCTTCTTACATATTCATTCCCTGACTTAACTTTGTTGTAATAAACTTTAAAGTTGCACTATCCACCTCTTCTTACGTCTATGGCCACACACACACACACCAGAGAAAAAGTGTGACATTAGAAACAAAACTAGATATTTTAAGAGATTTGATGATGGACAGCAAGGTGTGGATATTGGAAGACTCATGTTTACTCCTCACTAGGATAAGGAGTAAACATCCCTCCCCACATCACCCACCACTACTATGACCTTTGTCACTCACAGATTCACCAAAAATTGAGTAATTATCTTCTTTTTATTAATCTTTCCGAAATGTATATATAGTTCACATATATTTCAGTGTTTAATATTAGAATTATTTTGATCTTTATTTGGCAGTTTGATGATGTTTTGTGACTAGAAATATGCCTTAGAAACTTAACTATTATTTCTATCAAATAAGTTATAATAAAATCTGTTTTGCTATTCATTTCATTTAAAGTCACAGTTTCCAAGAATTTATTGATGAGGTTAAGTGAGGACTTACAGTACACTGCTTTAGTGGGTCATTAGTTAAAGACTGCGCCCAAGGCCATTAATTTTCCAATATTTCCAACCTGGGCCTTGCTAGTATAGTGGACGCTGGTAACCAGAGAAAGCCCTTGGAAGACAAAACAGTGAGCATTGAAGTGGTGCAGATCAGATGATATGGGTGGGTATCCAATAGCATAGGCTATAGCTCTAACTTTTATTCACTTCGAGTTTTGTTAACATATTTAATAAGAAATTCTTGGAAACCATGGAAGAATGCTCTTTAATTTTTTCTTATTCATTTTTCCTTATTTCTAAATACAAGTAAAATTTTTAAAACCATAAATTAAAAGAGAATAAACAAATTTTGTTATGCTTTTGTTTTGAGAAATCAATACTCTTTGAGGTTTGCTATATTGCTCTACATTTTCCATTATTAAAAAAGCAAATTACTATCGCTAGCATTTTTTCTATCATTGAAAAAAAAGCTTTTAAATAGAAGCAAAAAAATAAATAAAAGTGAGATTCCATTAGGTAAAACTCTTAAACTGACATTTGTGAATCTTTCCTATTAGTTTCATGACAAATGAAATTTGAGAAATTTGAGAAAGTGGGAAAAACTAACTCACCTCCTTCAGACTATCTGCACAACCTTCTTAAATTTGCTGTATGTTCAGGCAGAGGTCTCTTCATGAATAAGCTTCACACTAAAGAGTGAAAAAGACTACTTAGGTAAATTACTTATCTGGTTTTAGATATCCCTTTGCAGTTGGAAATCATGGTCATTTGGCTCAGTGGTAAATGGAAATGATCCCAACAGGATTTTTTCACAATTTTCTGGGAGCTGCAGGAACCCCACTTACTTTTCCAAAGGCCACTGATTGCAGCTTTCACAGTGAAAGGAATTCCCAGGATACCTGGAGTCATATTACTTGGGTTAATCAACATGTACCTGGAGTTGCTTCACTCATGCTAATTCCTATTTCAAATTTAATTATCATTTTCGAAACTTTCTTGTGCTTCTCTAATTACTTTAACTCTGCAAAATGTCAGATTATCTACCTCCCCACAATGTGTTTTAGAATTTGCTTATATCAAAAAATGAAAGTATTGCTCTGGAATTCAGAAGCAAGGGAGACACAATAGCTAAAACTAACCAGATGTCAGTACCATGTTATTTGTAAAGACAGAATTTTTTTTTTTTGCTGTTCTGTTTACCATTGTACTCTCAGCACCTAAACAGTCTACATGTACAGAAGCAAAATAACTAAGAACTTTTGAAAGTACTTACATGATTTCTTAATTTTTATAATATAATCCACTCTGAATAATTCTGAGTTCTTTAATAAATTTGGGATGCAAAGGTATAAAATGTGTCCTCATGCACTGGCATTGTGGTACTGTACTAATACTTGGCACAATGGAAGCAGTGAACATAGCAAGGAAGTAAGGACTGCTTTCATCAAAGGGCACAACTCTGCTAGATACCCTTTAAATTTGAATATGATGATTTTTAGGACCATGAGAAATGTCTTAACGAAACAGGTTGCTACAAATAGAAAGACTAGTTTTAGACCAACCCTTGAAATTAATTTCCTTTCTTTCAAAATGATTCTCACTGACTATTTTGAATGTCAATATAAAAACTAATATATAAATATATAAATACATAAAACTATAAATTTATTAAAATTAATATTTTATATCCATATGGCCATTCTTCTATTTGATTTTGCAGTATTCTTCATGATGCTATAATGTTATTTATAGGAGATAAACAATGATCTTATCAACAGATATATCACCTTCAGAAAGAATAAACAGAAACATGACTATTTTACAGAGATGACTTGTATTTTTTTTAAAAAAAAACTTTTAATGCTGATAAAACGAAAAAGCAAATACAGAAAACGCATGCTAAAAACACACTATTTGTTATATAGCAGGATCTTAAGATGGTCTAGGGCCCATCAAAACTCTTCAAAGCAGGCAGAAAATGATTACTGTCTAAGCCTTTGTCAGCAGAACACTGAGTAAAAATACGTGGTTACCTAGTTCAATTTTAACAGGCAATATTAACCAACTGTGCCCCCCAATGGAATATAATATAAATTATAAATGAATATAAGTATATATAGTGATATATGTGTTATAGGACAAGTTGTGAATTTTAGCAACTAAATGTCTACATCAATGCAAATATTACACTTTTCTGAGAGGTATAGAGATAGAACCTAAATAATTCCAAATTTAATGCAAATTAGGGGTAACTTATGCATTAGGGCCAGTAGGCATAGTGCCTAGGGCCCACAATAATTTTAGAAGCCCATGAAATTGTTTTAATTGCCTTTAAAGTCGGAAGAAAAACATGAAGTTTTAGAATCTAAGAAAGTGTTATTTTTTTCTCACAACAGAAATAAAGAAATTTTTAGGGCCCATAAAAATCCCCTAAATTTTACCTAAAACAGAAAAAATGTTGAAGCATTCTAAGTTACATAAAAAAATTTTAAGTATTGATATTATGATGGCTGAAGAGTCCCACAAAGGTAAAAATGTCTAAGGCCCACAAAAGTTATTTTGTACTCATGACAACATCAAATGAATGCAAATGGGGATTTTTTTTTGTTTTAATAAGCAAATCTCAAAGCATTTTGGATAGCCTTGCTTTCGGAGAATCATATTTAGACAAAAGAAAACTCTATTGATTAGAAAGATGAGCCTACCTTCACACAGTGCTACAGAAAGCATGCAACTGCCAAGAAAGCAGTAGAGCAACAGCCAGCTTAGAAGTCATATTTACACTGGATTGTTTCTTTCCAGTTTCCCACAGTCCCTAGACACTGGAGTGCTTAGCTGTCCCTGGGGACTTGTTGTGCTGGCTGGAGTGCTCCTGAGGCTTTTTATATTATTGCAACACTAAATGTGTGTGGCTACTCATCCTTGCACTATGTTACTGGAAATTACACAAAATTCAATATGCCACTATGCACTTTGAAACTAACACTGGCAGAAACAAACACTCCCAGGTCTCAGCAAATTTTCAGCATGCTTAAAATTTAACCTGATTTAATATAACTGTTTTGTTAAATGTACACACCTCTCAATTTGATTATTTTTGTTTGAATTCCTAATTTTATAGCATTCATACTTTGAAATAAACTTAAAACTTATATGGAAAAGTTGAAAGAAGAGTCTAAAGAATTCCAGAATTTTTTTGCCCAGATTATCCAGTATTTCCTAAGAACAAGAAAATTCTCTTATAAAAGCAGAATACAACTATCAAAACTAGGAAATTAATGGTGATGTAATGCTAATACCTAATCTATAGATTTTATTCAAATTATGACAATTATCCCAATAATATCCTTTACCGTTATGGGTGGATAAATGGATGGATAGATAGATAAAACTGTTTCAGGATCCAATGCAGATTCAAGTATTGCATTTAGTTGTCATGTTGCTTTAGTCTTGTTTATTCTGGAACAATTCCTCAATTTGAATTTATCTGATGTTTCCTTATGATTAGGTCCATTTTTGGCAGCAATATTCCAGGGTGCTGTTGTGTACCTCTCAGTACGTTTTATTATAATATATCCCTGTTATGGTTGGCTCTGTGTCCCCACCCAAATCCCAAGTTGAATTGTAATTCCCAGTGTTGGGGGAGGTACCTGGTGTGAGGTGATTAAGTCATGGGGATGGATTTCCCCCTTGCTCTTCTCATGACAGTGAATTATCATGAGATCTGGTGGTGTAAAAGTGTGTGGCACTTCCCCATTCACTCTCTCTCTCTCCTGTCACCATGTGAAGATGTGCTTGTTTCCCCTTCACCTTCTACCATGATTATAAGTTTCCTGTGGCTTTCCAGCCATGCTTCCTGTACAGCCTGCAGAATTGTGAGTCAATTAAACCTCTTTTCCTTATAAATTACCCAGCCTCAGGTAGTTCTTTATGGTAGACTACAATTTGGAATACAACCCCTATTTCCAAATACACAAAAATAATTAAAAGGATTTCTCCCCAGGAAGTAGGACATTAAAATATGTTTATGTCCTAGAAAAAAAAAAGAATTGCTGAATATATTAGTTTGCTAGGGCTGCTGTAACAAAATGCCACAGACTGGGTGGCTTACACAACAGGAATTTATTTTCTCACAGTTCTAGAGGCTGGAAGTCCAAGATCAAGGTTTCAACAGGTTTGATATTTTTCTGAGGACTCTCTCCTTGGCTTGAAGATAGTTGCCTTCTCATTGTGTCCTCACATGCAATGGCCCCCAACCTTTTTGGCACCAGGGACCAATTTCATAGAAGACTATTTTTCTGTGGATTGGGATAAGGGGATGCTTTAGGGATAATTCAAGTGCATTTACATTTATTGTATACTTTATTTCTATTATTATTACATTTATAATATATAATTATACAACTCGCCATATATATAATTAAATAATTATATATTTTTATATATTATATAATTAAATATATATTTAATTATATATAATTATATATGTATAATTAAATAATTAATTATATATAATTAAATAATTAATTATATATAATTAAATAATTATACAACTCACCATAATGTAGAATCAGTGAGAGCCCTAAGCTTGTTTTCCTGCAACTAGATAGTCCCATGTGCAGGTGATGGGAGGCAGTGACACCTGCAGTATATTGCTTATGTCCAGTCTACTCCATAATCTCATTGTGGTTGCTGTCGCTGCAGAAAACCCTACTTCACAAAGATAGGATATTGGAAATGGAAGCAGGATTTTCAGTACTTTTGTGGCAATCTCAGGATATTCCACCTTGACTTTAATCCAGAATGTATGGAGATTTGAAGTTGTCTCAAACATACTTTTAAGGGCATTGTCATTTGCCATCTCAAGCAGTTGATCCTCTTCTAGGATGGACAAAGTCAGTTCACTTGGCTTATTCACAAATGGGTCACAGATTCATTCCTTCCCAGTTCTAGGGTCTTTTGTAGTTAGAAAATAATGCTTAAACTCTTTTGAAAGCTGAGACAGGTGATCATGCACTAGCTGGGAGAAAGAAGGCCATGGCTCAGTCTTTTTCAAAATCTTTGCTAATTTTGGAACATGTCAAAAATCTCACTGTTCACTTGTTGCCCCCATAATTCCACTTTGGCTTTGAATGCAGCCCCTCTATCTGCCAACTTGAACACAGCTGTCATTTTCCTCTGAAGTGAAAGATTGAATTCCCTGAACAGGTTGAATATGTCACACAAGTAAGCAAGTTTTTTAACCCATTCTGTGTCACTGAAATGTGCTGCCAGTGGTGTCTGTTTTTCTAAAAGAAGTCTCTGGAGTGGCTCTCATAACTCAAACACTCTGGCCAGTGATCTACCTTTAGAAAGCCATCTCACTTATGTATATAAGAGAAGACTGTGTGCTCTGTGTCCATCTCCTTGCAGAGCTGTGTGAACAGATATGAGTTAAGGGCATGCACTTTAATGTGGTTAATAATTTTAATCACACCTTGCAAAACATTGTTAAATTTAGGTGACATTTTTTGGCTAGCCGACATTTCTCTACGGATGACACAGTGTGAAGAGTTACATTCAGAAGTGACCTCATTGACCCAAGTAGTGAAACCAGAAAGCTGTCCAGTCATGGCAGTCGGTCCGTCCATGCATATACTGACACAAAATGACCAATTGAGTTTTCCTGATATGCAATCATTCAAAGACTTGAATAGTTCTGCAGCTATGGTATTAGTTGGCAACAAAAGTGCACATAACATATCCTCATGCACATCTTCTGAAAAATATATTGCACAAAAGTAAGCATTGTTGCCTTACCAACATTGGTAGACTCATCAACCTGAATCATGTACTGCGGTGGCTCATTAACTCTCTGTAACAATTGTACCTCAACATTCTCTGCTATTTCATCTAATCATTTAGTTATGTGCTAGCCAAATGAGAAACACATGCCACCTTTTGAACTGCAGCCTCTCCTGAAAGTTCATGACATATACCCTTAGCAGCAGGCAAAATCAACTCTTCACCAATAGCAAAGGGCTTCTTAACTTTAGCAATGTGGTTAGCCACTACGAATGATATGATGCTGTCAGTACAGACACATTTGATAAAATGGTGGCCTTCAATAATTGCTTCTGTTCTTCTTGTTCATCTTTTTTTTTTCTTTTGAAAAACTCCAAAGTCTTGTTTAACACAGGGTGCTTGGTTTCCATGCAGTGAAGCAGTTCTGAAGGTTTCATGGCTTCATTGCATAGCCAACCACCACATATTATAAAAAGAGGGCTTGGAGAATGTGAATTATCTGGTGCAATGACCCTGTAATTTAAGTAGGACTCATGGTATTTTGTTTTTTTTGTTTTTTTTTGAGATGGAGTCTCGCTCTGTCACCCAGGCTGGAGTGCAGTGGCACGATCTCGGCTCACTGGAAGCTCTGCCTCTCAGGTTCACGCCATTCTCCTGCTTCAGCCTCCTGAGTAGCTGGGACTACAGACACCCGCCACCATGCCCGGCTAATTTTTTGTATTTTTAGTAGAGACGGGGTTTCACCTTGTTAGCCAGGATGGTCTCAATCTCCTGACCTCGTGATCCGCCCGCCTCGGCCTCCCAAAGTCCTGGGATTACAGGCATGAGCCACCGCGCCCGGCCAGTATTTTCTTTTAAATGCAGCTTTCTTTTTGTTGGCAGTCTTAGAGTCTTCTGCTGTCTCATCATTGGTTCTTTCCCACTTTTCAAAGAAACTCTCCAGTGATGATTGTTTTTATTCATTTTGGCTAGGGTTAGCTTGTGGGCTTACCAAAACTGATTGAGACAAGTGTGCAGTGCAGGAAAGAGGTGCGGATGGAAGTGACAAATAAAATAATGGGCAGGACACACATGGACTAAAATAAGTGTCAGATTCTGACTTAAAGCCTGCCACCAGATGCAGCTGTACAGTTGAAGTACATCAACTCACTTGCCACTATAAAGCCAGCAACCAGATGCAGCTGTACAGTTGAAGTACATCAACGCACTTGCCACTATAAAGCCAGCCACCAGATGCAGCTGAATTATCACCTGCCACTCACTGACAGGGTTTTGATATGCGTCTGCAGGCAACTGATTTATTATGGTCTCTGGGCAGTCAAACCTCTCTGCTAATGTTAATCTGTGTTTGCAACCACTCCTCAGAGCTAGCATCACCACCTCAGCTCCACCTCAGATCATCAGGCATTAGACTTTATAAGGAGCATGCAATCTAGATCCCTCTCATGCGCAGTTCACAATAGGGTGTGCACTCCTATGAGAATCTAATGCCACCACTGATCCGACAGGAGGCAGAGCTCAGGAGGTAATGTGAGCAATGGGGAGCGGCTATAAATACAGATGAAGCTTTGCTCCCTTGCCTTTGGCTCACCTCCTGCTGTGTGGCATGGTTCCTAACAAGCCATGGACCACTGTCAGTTCTTGGCTCAGGGTTTGGGGATCCCTGCTCACATGACCTTTTCTCTGTGTGGTTGCATCTCTGGTGTCTTCTCCTCTTCTTATAATGACACCAGTCATCTTAGATTAAGACCAATCCACATGATCTCATTTAATCTTAACTACCTCTTTAAAGGCCCTATTTCTAAATACAGTTATATTCTGAGGTGTACTGAGAGTTCAGACTTTAACACATTTACAGGGAATGCAATTCAGTCCATAATACTTAATGAAATGCCTTTGCTCTGTTTCTACTGATATTTATTTTGTTTTATAAGAAAAGTTTCAGTTCCTGGTATACTGTGCACTGTTGAAGAGCCTTTGCAGTAATTACAATTAAAAAGTACTTTATTTTTATCTGGCACCAATGAACAGCTGAGGCCTATGTATTTTTTCGTGTGAATCAGGAGAGGACAAAAGAGGGTTAAAATCTGTATTAATGTGCTCACTAGACAAGAAAAGCAAACTTTTATTCTATAAGTGTTTAGTTTTTGATATCTTTAACTTTTGATATTTTACTAAGCTTAATTATTTGTTCATTAACTTAATAATGTTATTTAATAGAATCAGTGTTATTCATAATTTCATAAATACTTTTTCAACACCCTATGTACCAAGCACGGTTGTAGGAGTTGTAAGTACAACAGTAAATAGGATATATGGGAAAGATATATAAGAAAGATATATAAATAAGATATCTCTTCCCTTATAGGTCTTTCAGTCTAGTGAGGATATGAAGTGGCAAGTAAAATGTAGTCAGCAGAGTATTATATCATCGATAAGTACAGAGTTCATGGAAGCAAATGGACAGGACTTTGCATCTGTTTGGTGGGAATTGATATAGAGACTGAGAATTAGGGTTGAGCATAGAGTTCTTAAGACAAAAGTGATGGGTGAAAAGAAGAGGTGACAGTCCTCAGAACCACAGAGTGTTTACATCTGTGTGCTCTCTCCTTTAGAAACCCTGGGCCTGCTGCGGAAGCAGCTCTCATGAGGGAAGTTGCTGCATGGACTTTCAGGCCACTGAGTGACTCTTCTTGCAAAGAAATGACCCCAAATGTTTGAACCTTTGAACATGTGCTCAGGGAAGCTATTGATCTATATATAGATCCTGCATATAACCTATGCATTCTTTAAAATTCAATCCAAGCAGCAGCCCTACTTGAACGCTTCCTGAAAGATCATTCTTTCACCCTCCACCTCCCTGTACAGATTAAGATCTGAAGGTTTGTTCTCCAGGCCTGGGAACATTTCTGTACCCTGCAGCCTGAAAACCCACTGTACCTTTTCTTAACTGACTTCCTGGTTGATTTCCTCTTAACAATAGTAGCTGAATCTGAATCCCAGGAACCTCACACATAGTAAACACTCAAGAAAAATCTGCTAAACAGTGTTAGTCTTTCACAGTCATTCTGGGTCAGCAGCCAAAAGATTCTGTGTCCGAGGCCAGGTTCCTTCTGTTGGCTCCATTCTAAGCTCAGCATGCCATGACTCACTGTTTCCTAGACAATGTCATTTGTTGTCATGGCTATGAAGCCCCGTCCACTTGTGGACTTTCCCAAGGACTTCAGAATCTCCCTTTAAAATCCCTTTCTCCAAGCATTTCCATCACAGAGGCCTCAAGATCAAAGGAGTTATAGAATATTGTTACCCTGAGGATAAATCAGCTATTGCCAAACATTTCCCACATGAACTTTGCTTTCAGCATCTACAAAAGAGAAAACGATATGTGGTTTACTTTATAAACTTGGTGAAATAAAACCTAACAAGCTAATTTTAATGTAGCAGACATGAGTGTCATTTAAGTGGAGAACCAGAAAGATAGAACGGTATCTATATGCCTAGTGCAAACTACCACTTTAGTGTCAAGGAAAGAAAAATCTCTTTGAACCAAAGCCAAGGAAAACTTTTCATAAAATCATGTAGGTCTGTTTCATCGTTTTGGCCATACAAGAGCATCTTCTTTCATTTGTTACTGTTACTAGTCACTAGGGTCACAGTTGCTAACCTAAAAATAAGGATGAACACTTTTAGATAATTTAAAAAACAATGCCAATCAGATAAATCAAGACATAACCACAATCATAGGTAAGTGTATCATTAAGCTAATTAGAGCCCCTCCCTAGTTCAGGCTTTTTTCAGGGCCTTGGGAGGGCCTAGGAATGTGCTCATGTGGTCATATAGTTTTATGCAATTTGCTGTGAAGTCATATATTTAATCAAGTTGATTAGGACTGCTTTTTTTTCTCTCACTCTGACTTTATTTCTTTACAGTTCTCCTTATATTGGGTGATGTTGGAGTAGCTAGTCATGTTTTTGAGATGTGGCTGGGGGAAGTTGAGTTGAGGGTACTCGAATTTAGTTTAGCTTTAGTGATATGTATTTTATTGGTTGACAGTTATGTTATGAATGGTTCTGTTTTTACTAGCCATCCTGGTGTGAGACTGGCTCCCAGGTATACTCCTTTGCTTACTGTGCACACTCACTCAGCGTTCTGATGCAGAAATCAGAATGTGTCCTAATATACACAATACCAAAATGATGCAGGTATGGAAGAGACAAGGTTGAAATGCACAGATCCAGGAGCTAGTGTGGAGAATATTATTCCAATAATCAGAGTGAAAAATCATAAGCAGATAATTCACTTTATATCAATCCTAGACAAAACAAACCCCTCCCCTTCAGGAATATACTCAACAATACAGGGTCTTTGATTACAAATACTTTATATTTTTTCCCCTTATTTGATTGGAATGATCATGTTCAATTGGAATTTAATAATGTTTCATAGAATATCAGAATTTCTGTGTTTGTAGAGCATGTACCTGTAGTAGCACGACAAACGGTGAGTTCATCCGTATGTGATGCTGCATACTTTATGCATTCAGCTATCGATAATAGCTATTTTTATTGATAAATGTAATTTAATTTAATCACTTATATTTACATTGCTAATATACACGAGTATTTCTTTCAAACCACAGGTTAACACACACTAAAGGGCAATGCCATTAAAGGAGAAGAGGAACTTTGGAAACTGCTGTCTGAAAGGAAAGCAAAGCACTCTTCATTAACAGCTAGTGGGCTCCTAATTTCTGCCCATGAAGGCATGTTCATACTGACAGAGCACCCCCTCAAGGGGAAGAACCATCCGCGCTAATTCTTGTTGTCCTCTTCTGAGCTAGTGTGCTCATTGTTCATACAAACTAGTGTGTCAACATTAAAACAAAAAGGGAGTTGAATCAATAAATGACTTGGGAGGCTGTCATACTTGTAACAACTATGGCGACAGAAGAACACTGGCTGTAGTATTTGGTATTAGCATTGGTGTCTGGATCTATAACTAAAAAAGCTTCTTCATTTCTCCAAACTAATAGATATGACAGATATTGCCACACTTAGCTCTACTTAAATAAATATTCTAAACTCAATCTCAAATCCACTAATGGAATTTCTGTCGCAGTCTCTCCTATGGTCAAAAAATAATTAGAGTAACAGAATAGTAGTTTTATACCAGATAGATATTTGAAGAAGAAATAGTCATCATATATACTTAAATATTCTCAAAATGTCTCCCTTGCCCTCCCCCTAATACCATCATTTCTTTGTTTCAGGGAAATGGCATTTTAATAAAACACTTACTGTGATGTACCATTTACTGGGCAAGGGCAGCTGCCTGGCCAAGGTGAAAGAGCACAGAAGCAAAGACTTAATGCTTTGATCTAGAATCCTGGCTCCACAACTTCTCTGAGTCCCAGTTACCTCATCTATCAAGGGCTAATAATCCTTCTTTTTGAGGTTGGTGTGAGAATCAAATGAATTAATCCATAGAAAAAGCCAGCACACTGCCTATCCTGGAGCATGTATTTTAATTCCCATGCTCTTTGCAGCTTTGCCCATGACCTCCACTGAAGCCTCAAGACCCACAAACCTAGACATTAATTTGTATGCTAATAATCTCCTATGTTTGTGAGAGAGTTTGGAGCTTTCATAGTCATCTACCATTGGTAAGAGAGAGGTTAGCCAGCTTACCTGAGGTCCCACAGCTGGTCAATTACAGGGCTGAAATGGTGAACTGTAGGTCCGGTAGGCTACCTGCTCTCCACTCTCTCCTACACAGCCTCTCACATAGCTTTGAGGGGGAACAAGCAGTGCTTTTCAACAAAGGAAAGTGTGCTGAATCCATGAATCATTACTTTGGCCTAGAACATTTCAAAAGAAGAGCTTAAGGCAAAATTTAAAATTATAAGAGAAAATAACTTCTACTTCTCTGACCTGTTTTTTTATCCCAGTGATGGTGACTCACCTCCTTTGCTTCAGGCATCTTGCTTGAGTGCTATAGTGCATCATAGGATATGCTCATCATGGAAAAACAAACCCAGTACCCAAGGAAAAAAACCAAGCCCCCACTAGAATGTCAGCTCCATAAGGGCAGGGATTTTTCTATTTTGTTTAGTGATGTCTCCCAAGTTCTTATGATACCACCTGGAACATAGTAGGTGCTCTGGTGAACGAGTCAGTTCTATTGAATAAGAATGAGAATGTGAATTCTAACATCACAATGGAATCTCAGGCAACGGTGATCTGGCCCTTAGTCTGAATTCCCATAGTGCTTAGGAAAGTTGGCCTGGAATTGCTATCAGGGATCAGGTGAGGTGTCAGGTGGTCTCCATCTACACTGCAAACTCTTCTAGGGCAAGGGCAGGACCTTGTCTTTCAGCTCAATGCTAATCCCCAGCAGGTGTATTTTAAACAGACACATACACATGCATGCATATATATATATATATACGCTTTGAGAAACTGATATTTGTACAAATTTGAAAGTAGTTTTATAGGCATATTTCTACATAATAGATTCAATTTGGCGTAAACCACAGTAATATGGGTACTTAAAAAACAATTCAAAATGCCAATGATCTGCAATCTAGTCACCTATGTGTTGGTATCTTTTAACCAAAAGGCTAAGTACCTGTATTGGGCCATTTATGAGTCACTATAAAGGACTATAAAGCACTATAAAGGAATAACCATGACTGGGTAACTTATAAAGGAAAGAGGTTTAATTGGCTCATGGTTCTGCAGGCTATGCAAGCATGACTTCAGCAACTGCTTCTGGTGAGGGCCTCAGGAAACTTACAATCACGGCAAAAGAAAAAGGGAGAGCAGTGATTGTCACATGGTGAGAGAGAGATCAAAAGAGAGAAGAGGGAAGGTCCCAGACTCTACAACCAGATCTCACATGAGCTAACTGAGCAAGAACTCACTTATCACCAAGGGGAATGGTGCTAAGCGATTCATAAGGAATCTGTCCCCAAGATCCATTCCCCTCCCACCAGACCCCACCTCCAACATTGGGAATCACATTTCCACATGAGATTTGGAGTGGACAAACATCCAAACTATATCAGTATCTAAATTAGAAGATTGTACAGAATTAAAGTCAAAGGAGATGGAGAGTTTTGAGGGCTCTTTCATCAAGGTATGGTGAGGCTTACCAGAGGCCACCTCCTGGTCAACAGTTCAGGGTCCCTCCTCCCCATTCCACCACTTGGCTATTTTTATGTTTGTGGTAACTATATTTCATGTTGTGGATAGTAGTTTAAATAGGATGGCATTCTATAAAAAAAATTTGAAAAAATGGTGACAAACTTTAAGCAAATAAATAATAAGAATGTTTTTCTAAATTACATAAAAACAAAACTTTTCCATCTAGTTTGGGATAACATTCTTCTATGGCTTCCTGGGTTGTTCCTCCAATGACTCTTTTTGGTGTGTGTGCCTTCTGAGTCACCTACCCTTGCCTTCTCCTATGAATTTGGACACCATACTTTCAAAATAGAGGGCAAGATATCCAGTCCTTGCGATGTATTGGAGAATAAAATTTTTAAAATCAAAATGTCACAGAAAACAGAGAATGAGAATTTACCAAGTTTGTAGACTAACATACTGTTACAGGACTCCTTCAGTGCTGCTTCACCAGCTGGAAATCTCTGTGGCTGCTGTGACCTCTGCCTGTAGTCTTGCCAAGGCCTGCTGGGCTCACTCTTCCCACTCAGCCTGATGGGCTGTACTCAGCTTGTGCTACCTGCTTGGATCCCACATCTGAACAGGGACTCTGTGTTTTGCCTGTGGCTAAACTTGGCATGCCACAGGCAGCTTTTGCATTGGGAGCCGGAGTCTAGATGAGGGGAATGCAGTGGCACCTGAAAACTCAGAGATGCCAGCAACTGTGGAGCCCCAGGTGATGTTACAGCTCTCGCCTGGGGAATCCTGAGGTCTAAGCTCCCAAGAAATGTTGCAGCTTTTGTAGTTCAGCAAGCTGGCCAGGAGGGAATAGTGCCTAACTGCTTCACTTCTTTGAGCCTGCAGCTCGGAGGATGGAGGCATGTTACAGCTCTCCCTGCTGCCTGCAGCTTGGAGGATGGGGGTGTGTTGTGTTACAGCTCATTTGTACCTGCTAAATAGGGGCATGCGGCACCCAGTGGTTTTTTTCACTCCTGTAACTCAGTGAGCAGGAGTATGTGTTACACCCTTTTGGCATGTTCCGGGTTCTTGTCCTGTGACCAAGAAGAATGACGTACACAGACACCGGAGAGTGAGCAAAGCAGAGAAGAATTTTCCTGAGTGGCAGAAAAGCTCTCAACACAAGAGGGGACTTGAAGTGGATGGTCCTCTGTGTGAGAGGAGGCCCAAAAGCAGGTGGCTGTCTGTAAGGCTGAGTTTGGGGTTTTTATGGGTTCAGAATGGGGGAGTGTATGCTGATTGGTCCATGGGTGGGCCTGGAAAAAGCATCATTATATTGGCTAAAAGGCATCGAGGAAATTCTCACTCTGGTCATGGGCTCTACCCCGAACTGGCAGCTCAGTTTTCAGTCTTCAGGCTGTCTTTGGCTTGGAGATCAGGTTTTACCAGGGACGCATCCCTGTCTGCCTAAGAATTTGTCTATCTCCTGTTGCTATCAATATAGCCAATGTGACCAGCTATTTCCAGGTCAAATTATGTCACTACATAGTGTGGCATGTGAAGATCCTAACTATACCCAGATAGATTATTATAAGTATCACCTTCCCCATTCTTATGTTCTAGTCTCCAATAGAACATATCAACTGCCAATTCATCAGAAATACTACCAACAACAACAACAAAAAACCCCTTCAATCAGGAAACGTTAAATTTATTAGAATTACTCAACAGGAGGAACAATGCTCTGACAGCATTTTAGTGTCTCAGAAGGAGGATGTTCAGAGAATTGGACTCAAAATGTTTAAAACTGATCTGACAAGGTAGGGAATGGACTGGAATTGGGCACAGTTGTTGACATAATAGAGTTAGTGGACAAAACAGGTGAGGGTCTTGCTAGAAAAAGCGAACTTGTCTGAGGAGTGATCTGCTGGCTCAGATGTGCAAACTGATGTCCTGAATAAACTGACTTAGAAGAATTTCCTCAAGCAAATGGCAAAGTTCTCCATGAGCTTAGTTTTATTTTCTATGTAAGAATTTCCTGGAACAAAGAGTTAAGTCATACTAATACAAATAATGTTAGTTCTCAAAAGAATGCTCTAAAAAGTAGAGAACTTCTTGGTAGTCTCAACTCCTGGAACAGTACCTAGTATAAAATAAGTGCACATAGAAATATATCTGGTAGTCAAAAAATATTTGTTGAGTTGAATGAAGATTATCTTGGTCCTAATTATAATGTTAATTAAGATAGACATTGTTGCAGATTTGAAAATGCCCAGAAGAGGAAGCCAGGGATCTGAATTCTAGTACTGATTCTACCACTAACTGCTAATCTGTCTGAAACTCTGTTTACTCACCAGACTAATGAGCAAATTAGACTACATTATTTCTAAGATCCCTTGAATTCCAAAATACACTACCACTTCCCACATTCACTTAGGAATATTTAAACCTCCTGCAGATACACATTTAACTGCTAGTGCACACAGGCTTCAGTTGTTGCTTAGAAAAGATAATGCATTCTGAGATTAGGGCTGATGGGAAGAGATACCAAATTTTCACTTGGTATCTATTAATAGCAATTTGGGGATCAATAGAATGCCTCATGAGTCCCAGAACATGTAGGCATGGGATGCCCAGATTTATGATCCAGAAGAAAAAAATCCTTCATCTTCTAGTATTTCATTCCTAGAGCCTTTGCTTGTTTCAAAATAATAATAATAATAATAATAATAAATAAAAGTGGTATTGCTATCAGTCTAGTGAGAACAACTCCCAAGAATTTTCTGTGCGTGAGAGTTGCCTAGATGATGAAACCCAGGACAAATCAATGAGTGAAAGAGAAAACCAGCTAAAGGGGAAAAAATATTCAAGAGATCCCAGCAGAGGATAATGAGGGCAGAGGACAGAGGCTATAGTAAGGGGAGGAAAAAGAGGATAAAGTTGATACAGATTATGTTTATGCAGAGCTATAAGCCGCGGTGTGTTGGTAAAACAGCTTTCAAATTTAAAAAAAAATCAGATTTGTAGCATTTGCTGATTTCCATAAACACTCCCACTGTGGTCAAATTTATGCTTCCAACAATGAATAACTGGCTATCAAAATTCCTGACCATTTAATAACCTGCTCTTGTAAGCCTGTATGAGCTGGCCAGAGCAATGAGGTAAGTGAGGCTGACTGAGTAGTTCTCACCGACCAAGGGTGAGCTCCTATAGGACCCTCGGGATGGTGACTCTTCAATTACTGAATACTTTTTCTGGGGTTTTCGTTTCTTTTCTTTTACTGAAATTCTCACTATGCTTTGCTTTAGGGAATTGGTATTCATATCCTGTAAGTCAAGGAGAGTTTTTTTGAGTGGGAGCTTGAATAAATTGAAGTGGGTCAACTCTCAAGTGCCAGACACCCCTGTTATGAGGTTTAGATGACAATTACTATTTCTTCAGTGATCCTTGGCCACTCTGAGATGGGAGTGGTCAGGGAGAGAAAGGAATGGAATGTCAGTGAAACCGCTTCCTGTTCTCAGCCTGCCCTGGGGCCTCACTCAATCCCAGCCTTGCATATCAGACCTTGGCCATCCTGTGAAATGAACATTCCTCAGCCCTAGCTTCCAGGAATATTGGATACTAGACTCGAAAATAAACTGATACCATTCACAGGCCAAACCAGAAGAAAACCAGGAAACATATGGCAAAAGAAGTTTTCTTCAAGAAATTATTTTCCATGTCATATTTGCGTAAATTTGTCATGGGCCTGTCACTTCCATGAAGGGGGAAACCAGCATGACTCTAGCATGCTGGCATCCTGGTGCCCTTTGCAGCTAAGGTCAGACTGTTTCTCCTCTTGCTTCTTTTCTGCATTTCTTAGTGGACTCATGACCAGCACATTTGAAGCTATAGATGATTATATTCAACACTGTATGTGCTATGAGTGAGCACCCTGAATTGCACAACAATATTTCATTTGGCTAATATTTCAGTTTGTTGAGTCATAAACCTGACAAGTAGCTACAGCCTACAAAATAGCATTTTCTGACTCAGTGCATGTGAGAGAGAAGTGGGAGCTAAAGGTTCTGCACAGCAGACACTGTTGGCACAACCATCTGACTTCACAGCCTTGTTCTATAATCTAGATTCTTCTCTACTTGACTCAATGGCATTGCTTTATAAATTCAGTGTAAATCTCAGACCTTCAAGAACATATCCCAAAATACATGATGAACAGCATCTGGTGTTCAGCCTTCTTTTCCTCTAACTATGAAAGTTTCCCACCAGGAAATGACAATAGCTGTCAACCTATTAACTCATGAGCAATTTGATGCCTTTTGTGTGAAGAATACAAGTTGAGAAATGAATTTCCTGTTGCTGAAATTCTAATACTTAGAAACTCTTCAATGAACAAACACAAGTATATTCTTTGTATTAGTAGCAGGGATAAAAAGGAGTTTCTTTAAACCAAACAATTTAAGTGTTTTGACAAATGTCAGCATAGTGGGATAGGATCTTAGACCATCAAACAGTGGGTTTTCCTTGTGTTGTAGTTTTTCAAGTGTCTATTGAAGAATCAAGAAATGCTGATTCTTCATTTTTCTTAATCATCTTCCATTGTCTATGTTATCATAAAATGACTAATTAAAATGGTAATTTTAACTAAAATTAATGGCTTTCTCACCTGATGTCTTAACTATTGAAGCGTATTATCTATACTCTCTTTCCCAAGAACATCCTATTCAATTCATTAAGCTCTGTTGGGTTCCAAGCACTTATAAAATGAACTCTGTGTGTAGATAAAAACAGAAATAATTCTTGTTTCAAAAACATAAAAATTCCTCTGAGGGGGTGTCAAAATTAGTACAAATTAAAATATGTTATAATAACCTAGATTTTTTCCAAAATTCATCTTTTCAGTCATCTGTTCTAGGATAATTTTTCATAATTTTCCTCCATATGCACTCTTCAATGCTTCATGAGGCCATATCTAACAATTGTGGGGTCTTGAGAGAGAGTTCAGAGAAGCCCATGATTCTCTGTCTAAATATTTACGGTTTTCTTAACTAGCTAACAAAATGTTAAATAAAATGAGTCTGAGGATCTTCCTGTCTTCACAGATATACAGTCATGCACTACATAATGACATTTTGGACAACTACAGTTGGAATACACAATGGTGAGGACATAGGATTACAGTACTATTAATATATATATTTACTGTATCCTTTGTGTGTTTAGATACACAAATACTGTTGTGTTACAATTGCCTAAGTATTCAGTACAGCAACATGATGTACAGCCTTGTAGCCTGGGAGAATAGAATAGAGCATATAGCATAGGTGTGGAGTAGGCTACACCATCTGGGTTTGCATAAGTGGACTCTAAGATGTTCACACAAGGAGGAAACAGCCTAATGCCAGATTTTGCAGAATGCGTTCTGATCTTCATGTGACACATGACCATATATTAATAACATTTTAAAAATATATAAAGTTATGGAATTTGTATGATGAGAATCAGCAAAATATCAGAGAAAAGTGAATTTGTAATTCCATATCTGGGTATTCTGTTATTGTGTAGGCAATGTCTGGATGCATACAAAATAAAATCATGCATAATTTAAGATTTATTCTATTATTCTATATTTATTATATAAAATTTATTTTTCTTCACTTCAGCAAAATTAGTAATTACATTTTTATAATTGAAATGGTCACATAATTTTTGTTCTATAGACAATAGTGCCATTTTAGATGATGCTTCAATCATTTCTTACATTTATTTATAATTAATTTAAATTTGGAGACATTTTACTCTTCTAATGCAGTGACAATAAGATTCCTAAAGCACTACTTGGATGCAGAAACAAAGCATACATTTGATGCTATATTCACACATTGTAATATGTCAGCTGTGGTAAGTTACCTAGACACTGAGCTTTCAGAATAAATTAAAAAGCATCTGGTGGACTGATTCCTTAGGGTTATGCTTATTAACTGATCTCAGAAAAAGATGTGGAAAATGTGGAAATAGTCGGCAGTAAGGATACATGGTCCTCTTGACTTTTTCCAAGCTTCTTCGGCCAAGTTCCCTGTGAAAATTTTGGTTTGTAAATATGCTTTGAGCTCCTCATAGTCATTCCAGAGCCAAAGAGAACAGAAGGGAGCTCAACCACCATGATCATTATTCTTTAGGCTCCCCACTGTGTCCCTCTGGGATCTCAGCCTTGGGCTTGAACTTCGTTAATCAAGAAAGTAAGTATCTAGTGTTAAGGAAGTTTAGGAGGTTAAGGGTCATTTGGCGCCCACTCTAGGCTCTGGTTCCTCAGGTGGCAGAAGTGCCCCCCGGGGTTCTCTAATACATTTGTGGTTTTTTTGCAAGGTTGTGCTAGTGAGATCTTCTGAAGCTTAGGCTCAGGACAGGGGGACCTTCTTTCCTGAGTCTAAGAGCAGTAATGGACCCCATATGGAACTGACCATAACATAATACATTTTTTTAAAAAAATTGTTTATTCTACATTTTAGAATTTAAGCACTTTAAGGACAAATTCAGTATTTTGCCCTTCTTTTTATCCCCAGTTCCTTACATATGTAATCATACACAATGCCTAGCATAAACACTGGGTTATTACCACCTGTTGACATCCCTGTCTGCTCAACCAGAGTGTGGCTCTTGTGAGGGAAGGAATAGACACTTTGATTTCTGGATCTCAGTGGCTCCCTCAATCCTGGAAATATGGTTGCTGTTTAATAAATAAGTCCAGTGGTTGAGTATATGTGTAGCCTTAGAACTGCACTGAGGAAGAGGAGAGACAGTGTAGTCAATGTCCTACATGGCCTGAATGTTAGTTTGGCAAACATCTGAATAAGGCAAGAAGAAAATATAGAACCAGAAGGGCACTGGAGCACAGAAGTAGCTCCTAGTCTCCATTCCACCTTTTCAGCTACTTTAACTTTATTTCTCATTTCAAAATCCTCATTCCTGAATCTTGGACTACCAGTTGGCAAAACTTTCAAAGTTAGCTAAGTAACCTCAAATCCCTTGGATGTGCCTCTCTTTTCCCTCTCTTGAGAATCATTCATTATTTTATTTTTCTTACCACTCTCAAATCTCCCCTTCTTTTTGAACTCACGAACTATCCTTCATCTGCTTCCTGGCTGTGTGCCACAGGGAGGGAGGAGTGGGAAGGGAAAAGGGGCCATCACAGTGTTTCACACACTGCCAAAATTAACGGTTTTGTTTCTCCTTGCTGCTCTCTCCTTCCAGGGAGGTGGCAGGACTCTGGAAGAAAGACTGTACTTTGTACTTAAGAGATTACCAAGCACTGTTATTACCAACCTTAGCAAAGATTTCTGTGCTACAGAATGGATAAGAGCTGGACAGTGCTGCACTTAAAATGACCATATCAATGTTTGTCCTTTTATGGAAAACAAGTATAAGTCAAAGTACAGATGGACAGCCCTGAATATTTTGCTTGGATAAATCCCTTGGGACCTTTTGTACTTTCAGTGTGGTCTGGGAGCTACAATAATGACTGAGATTGAATAGTTTTCTCCTTGGTGGAATGAAGGCATATAGTCAAATTTAATCTGATTTAAAGGAAATGAGTTTAAGGACCGTAGAGATTAGACTTTTATACGGGACTGTTGGGACCTTAAAATTTAAAATATAGCCACCGTTATTGTTTTGTTCCAAGTGTAATTGTTGCAGGTATACAAGAGAGCTAACAATGTTTTATCTCACAAAACTGTATTTTCTACCTATTTTTATCATGGATATGCACGCAAAGTAGAGAAAAAAATGACAGTAAAGATGTAACAGAAAAGGATTACATCCCAGATAAATATATTATTACAGAAACTCCTCTGTAGTCCAAAGACTTTCAATTTGTATCCAACAAATAATTTATGTATTATAAATTAATAATATATGTATTAAATTCAATAAAATTCTATAATAGAAACAAAGAATGTGGTTACATTGTTAGCATATAAAATTCATATTGGTCTTGAAAAAGTCAAAGCATGCTTCAGGCTCAAATATGGAGTTTTCAGAAAGGTATTGCCTCAATACCTTCTGTGGGTCAAATTAATCCAAAACTAAGGGGTATTGTGGACCCACAATAATAAATCTTAGAAACAATTTTGGAAAATATCAAAATGATCCCAGGTAACCTAAATATTTCCCCTGCATTTTACCTTCAATGCCACAAAAGTTATTTTGCTAAAATACAAATACAACCATGTCACTCACATACGTATAAACATTCAAAGTTTCTCTTTCACCCATATTTTGAGTTCCAATTTTGTTAGTATGGCAGATACCTTGGTTTCATAATGTGAAAAATGGGCATATTTTGAGTATCTATCTCTTGAGTTTGTGTCTACATGTAAGGAGATATTATACACATACACACACACACACATGCACACACATATGCACATGCATGCAAAATCTCAGCCCTCTTCCAGATATAAAAAGTACAAAAGAGCATTTTTGTTATTATTAGTTATTATTCATAATTATAATTTTCATATTAGTATATTGTTATTTGTGTACTGTCATAGATAATTTGGTAGGTTGAGTTAGACACTTAGAAAAGACAAAGATTTTGGCAAAAATAAACAAAGAATGTTAAAATTGAACAGGTACTTCCACTGATTTTTTTTGAAAAATTAACACACCAGGAAGTAGGGTGACAATGGTAAAGTATTAAGGTTTAATATTTTCTTTATTTCCCTTTTGTACCTGCCACAAGCAACATTCATAGCTGGATATAATAATTCGTCGGTGTGGCCCAAATGACCAAGGGACTGAAACAAATTCTGCTAAGCGAACCAATACTGGTACTATGTTAATCTTTCAACTCTGCTGAGAACACTGCCAAGTGGCCACCCTTATCAGCAGGAACATCCGAACCTGGCATTCCTGCTGGGAAAAGCTCAGCAATTTACTGGAACTCCCTGTTGTGCAAACTTTTAGGGAGTGATGACATTAAAATGGAATATGCTTCAACTTTTTTTTCCTGATTGGAAATTCTCAGGAGATAATGTCTACAAACTGGGAACTTATTATATAGTCACAGCCTTGATCAATATAATAACGTCTCTGAAGGGATATTTTCACTCCTGGGAGTTCTGTTTTTGCATCTTGTGCATCAAATGTTTAGTTTTACACAGTTACCTATCTATATAAGACACAAAAGTGTCATAAAATAACAGTTAAACTAACAATATGTGATGCATTATGGCACATGCATTTTAAAATTCTATCCTATTTTATTCATATATATATGTGTATGTATATATACAATTATATTTTTTTTAGGTGGAGTCTCGCTCTGTTGCCAGGCTGGAGTGCAGAGGTGCAATCTCAGCTCACTGCAACCTCTTCCTCCCAGGTTCAAGCTATTCTCCTGCCTCAGCCTCCCAAGTAGCTGGGACTACAGGCACCTGCCACTATGCCCGGCTAATTTTTTTTTTTGTATTTTTAGTAGAGACAGGGTTTTACCATGTTGGCCAGGATGGTCTCAATCTCTTGGCCTCCTGATCTGCCCGCCTTGGCCTCCCAAAGTTCTGGGATTACAGGCATGAGCCACTGCCCCTTTATATTTTTAAATACTGGTTACAACCCACAAAACTGACTTTATGACCCTCCAGTGGATCATGACTTGTAGTTTATACATATTGAAATATTGCTCTAGTCTCTTGATGACAGACCAACCTTTAACAGTTTATAGTGGTATCTACCTTCTTATTAGTGCCTTCTAAGATACTTTAAGAGCTGCTAGAGGTAAGATGCTTAGCTAGATCCTTTACCTACGCTACCATCTGCCTTCAATTTTTTTTTTTCCATAAAGACAGGGTCTCACTATCTTGCTCAGGCTGGTTTTGAACTCCTGGCCTCAAGTGATCCTACTGTCTTGGCTTCCCAGAGTGCTGGAATTACAGGTGTGAGACACCACTCCCAGCCTGCCTTCAATCATAATATCAGATTCTGATATGGTGTTGGGAGTTGCTGGGAACTTCATGGAATGAATTTGGGGGCTGACGGCACAATAAGCAGGAGATTCTCTGGGCTGCTGGGACTCTGGAGGCTACTAGTTGTCATCACTTCTACATGTCTGTTTGGTTCCTAATCAAAACTGTATTAAATATTTTAATAAATGCATTGTTTTCTGGTAGGGTTGAAAAATAATAAAATATCCTCCATAGACTTAATTAAGATTCTTTTACATGTCCTCTTCTTCTCCTGTCACTTCCTTTCTTGTCTAGAGAAAGACTGGCTATGAGCTTCTGAGTCAGACAGTCTTGGGTTTGAATTTAATTCCACTTCTAAGACCTTGTACTCCAGTTTCCTTACCTATAAAATAAGACTCATGATACCAGCCTCCCAGCATTCTTGAAATTATTAAAATGACAGTACACTGAAAAACTCAGGCACTGCATCTAATCAAGAATTGGAATCTAATAAATAAATATTACTTCCCTTCTTTTCCTTTGGCGCTTTATCTCCAGAGCACATGTTTCGATGAGTGGTGGCCACAATCCCTGAGCTAACAAGCAATCCACTAAAGAACCACAGACAAGGAAGAATGTTTCTTCCGCAGGACCACAACCCAAAGCCGGGGTGCCAGAGCCAGTAAGGAAAACTTTAGCACAATGAATATAAACCACAGTTTTCAAAAAATCACAAAAGCCCCACAGAACATGTCAATTGCAATGTTTATAATACTAGGAAGTATTCCTAGGCTCTGGTCATTGAGAGACTGCCTTAATTCTTTAGTGAAAAAAATAACAAGAAATACACATAGTATGTAACTAAGTCAATTATGTATTTCTTCATGCAGTCAGACACAACAAAGGGGTTGTACCACTGTCCACTTTGTATGCGTGGCAGCAAAACCTGAAAGCAAAGGAGTCACTAAGCATAAACAGTGTGAGGACTAACAAGTCTTATCATGAACCATGTTATCTGTCTTCTATTCTGTAATTCCAGAGCCCCATATCTCAACCTCCATCAGATCTATCTCTAAAATCAGTTGTACTTCTTTATTTATTTTCTAGTCTGTTCCTCTAGAGGAGCAAGCTATATGTTGGAGGTTATATCAGCAAAGTCTTCAAGGCAATTCACGGTAAAGCAGAGCCACACCACTCATTTTGCTGCCCAAGTAACAAGAATGTCAGTGGTCGGCATGGAGCAGCAAGCCTACATTTTGCAGGTATATTAGATTGTACTAGTCAAATCTGAAAAATACAATAAAAATTAAAGGGGAGAATGGAATTTAGGAAACTGTACTTCCATTTTAGAGATAGCATCTTTGAGTTAGTAATTGCATGGGTTTACAACTTGTGCCTGTAACAGTGGCACTCAACTCATATTAAGACAAGAAGGAATTTATTATGGTAAGTTTCATAACACTGGTACCCTTAAAAACTTCAGAAGCTTGGTCTGGGGCTGTCATAAGTTAAATCATGGAAAGTGGTATATTAAGAAAAGAAAAAGGAATTCTACTTCCCTTCCTAAAGCAAATAATTTTTAGTAAACAAATTCTAGGAATAACGTACATAATTTTACAAATGATGGGCTGATTCTTGAAATTTCTCATCTTTTTGAGGGACTGTTACTGTAGATAATAGAAATTTTACTCTTTCTATTTACTCACATCAATACTTTGGGATGAGTCTGGCAATCATTATAAGCTGATGTTTTCTATTGTTCTTTAGTTCTTTAGCACAAAATAAAGAAGTTTGGGCAGCTAGCTGTTAATGCCCAAGGCAGAGTCATTTCATAAATCTTTTCTAATAAATGGATAGGGTAGAATTTTACTCTTATTCTCATTTTATGTGGAAAGTGATTGAAACTAAAATTTCAAACAAACAATGGATCAAAAAATTATTGTAAGATCCCATAAGGATAGAAATGCACCCTCCTTTAAAATTTCTGATGCTGAAAAATTTTAAAGGTAAATTAGAAGATGTTTCTTTGAAAATATTTCTTTCTTTGTGCGTGTGTGTGTTCATAAGGCTTTATCAGAGTGCTTCTGTTTAGTTAAGTGTCTTAGTCAGTTTGAGCTGCTATAACAGAATGCCATAGGCTAGGGGGCTTAAACAACAATTATTTCACAGTTCTGGAGGCTGGGGAGTCCAAGATTAAGATCCTGGCAGATTTCATGCTTGGTGAGGGCCCTCTTCTCAGTTTGCAGATGGTGGCCTTCTTGCTGTGTCCTCACAATGCAGAAAGGGAGAGAGAGCCAGAGATCGAAAGCTCACTGATCTCTTGCTGTAATGGCACTTATCCCATCATGGGGGCCATACCTTCATAACCTCACCTAAACCTAATTACTTCCCATGGTCCTGTCTTCTAATATTAGCACATAAGGGAGTCAGGGCTTCATCATCTGAATTTGAAAGAGACACAAACATCCAGCCTATATCAGTAAGGTTGTGAAACACCACTTCTATTTTGTTATTTAACAAATATTTACATAACACTTTACATGCACTGATGGTTTACACATATTAACAATCAATACTTCTAACAACCCCGTGAGGCAGGCACTATTATAAGCTCTTCTACAGGGGAGAAACATGAGCAAATAAAGCATAAATTACCAAGGGTCATGAAGCAAGTTAGTGGTATGGCTGAAACTTCAGCCCTGACATCCTTATCAAGTGATCTCTACAGCTGCAGCATCCAGGGAACACTCTATTCCTAAGGTAGTCCCACTTCTTCATCCTCGTGCCACTCCCAGCCCTTCTCATAGCAGTGGCAGAATATCTCCATATCCCTGAAGTCTGCATCCACCAGGAAGAATTAAGACAGAGTATTGTAGGCCTACAGCTTAATTTTTAAAGAGAGGGGGTCATTGAAATTGATGATGAAAAGTCAGTAATCCAGTGAGAAGGCATCAGCTAAACAGGCTTGGAAATGCTTTATTGACATTCCTCTAGAACTAAAATTTCCTCGATAGCTGTTTCTCTAGAGGGAACCAATCCCAGGATGCTGGTAAATACATATGGCATGGAAATGCAATTATGTTAGCAATCTAGTATGTATATATCAGACATGTCTGCTTGTGCTTAGAGTAGTAAACAAGCGGAGTCTCATTCCCTGCTCCTTTTCTGGTGGTGTCTATGGCCTTTTCTGCCCAGGGACAGCACTAGAAAAGGCAGACCTCCTGAGCCCAACAGGCCCCTCGCAGCTCCCAGTGACTTCCATGGATCAAAACACAGACTTCCATACAACAAAAAATTGATGCTACTGGAATTACTAGAGTTCGAGATGTTCCAAGATTTCAAAGAGAGAAAGGATGGGGGATTGCAACACTGTTAACTAAAATAAACACTGAATTGACCCTTGGCAATGGTCTGTTCCCGCACCCAACACCTGGCTCCACTACGTTGAAACACACACACACACACACACACACACACACACACACACACACACACGTGATATTTGCTTTTAAGATCATAAAACACCAGGAAGGAGACAAAAGCTCTTATGCGTCATCTGAGATGACACATGTACTGTTAAAGCGTGCGTTTATTTCAAACATTAATGAAATTTGCAGAACCCAAACTAAAGAGAGAGGATAGATAAGACATGCTGCAGTTCTTGCCCTAACTTTCAATCCCAACAACTGAAATGTCTTCCAGAGAAGTAACTCCCCCCGGTAAGGATGTAGCGCGGTCCCTACGTGGGTCTAAGGGATCTGACCCACGACGCACTGCACTGGGTTCACGAAGCGCCTCCTCGCAGGCGGTTATCTCGGTATCTCTGAGAGCGGCGGGCTCTCGCTCCCGCTCCAGGGATTCGGGGCAGAAAGAGAACATCCCACAGTTGGCGGGAGTTACGCAAGACAGTCAGACCCGGACGTCACTCGTGAGTGCCCCGACCCCCCTCCACCCCAGAGGCGGGGCCATCGCCTTCCTTCCGAACTCGGGATCGATCTGGAGCTCCGGGAATTTCCCTGGCCCGGGACTCCGGGCTTTCCAGCCCCAACCATGCATAAAAGGGGTTCGCCGTTCTCGGAGAGCCACAGAGCCCGGGCCACAGGCAGCTCCTTGCCAGCTCTCCTCCTCGCACAGCCGCTCGAACCGCCTGCTGAGCCCCATGGCCCGCGCCACGCTCTCCGCCGCCCCCAGCAATCCCCGGCTCCTGCGGGTGGCGCTGCTGCTCCTGCTCCTGGTGGCCGCCAGCCGGCGCGCAGCAGGTGGGTCCCGGCGCCCTGGGGTCCCCGGGCCGGACGCGGCTGGGGTGGGCGCCCCGCGCCGACAGCCCCGCTCAATCAGCGAGTCTCTTCTTCCCTAGGAGCGCCCCTGGCCACTGAACTGCGCTGCCAGTGCTTGCAGACCCTGCAGGGAATTCACCTCAAGAACATCCAAAGTGTGAAGGTGAAGTCCCCCGGACCCCACTGCGCCCAAACCGAAGTCATGTAAGTCTCGCCCATCGCTGCCGCTGCCACTGCTGGGGTCCCCGACTCTCCCGCTGCCCCAAACCCTGTCCTCAGCCCGACCTCCTGTCTCACGAGATTCCCTTCTCTCTGCAGAGCCACACTCAAGAATGGGCAGAAAGCTTGTCTCAACCCCGCATCGCCCATGGTTAAGAAAATCATCGAAAAGATGCTGAAAAAGTAAGTTATAATTTCCATGTACACAGGCGACTGGAGCTGTTGGTCAGAAATACTGGCGTCTGCCCCCTAAAAAGTAAATCAGGAAAACCCAGGGTTAGCTGCAGGACTGAAAAAATTATTATTTTCACAAAGTTGCCATTAAGGTTATTAATCTGTTCTGGTGCCAGAGGATATTCCCAGTGCCCAGGGTCACCACCCAGGTTCTTCCCTCCTGCCAGTGAATGTAGGTAAAACTGCTTTCATGTAAGGTCTCATTGGAGTTTGCCAGTTGTGCTGAAGTGTTTTCCACCTGTTAAAAAACACAAGCTTCATTTCCCCTAGTTCCTACTGACTTTCAGACCTGAAAAGCAGACCCCCTGGTTTTTTGTAAAAGTTTAGGGTTGAAGTGCAGAGATTTCACAATAATATTGCACTGGGTATATAACTGGTTGCCACCACCTATTAGCCATGTCACTCAGAGACAATATTATTTAGTTTATCTGAGACTCAGCAAAACAGGGAAAATAATGGTAGCTACATCATGAGGTTGCTTTGAGGCTCAAGTGAGGCCCAGTATGACAAAGAGCAATAGGCTCTGGCTGTTTTAGCCAGTAAAACAGTGTAGACTGCCACTCCTCCACCCCACGTCACCCCCATTCCTAAAAGAGCATCCCAAGCCTAGAGGTCCTTGCCACACAGCACAGCTGTCACAGGCAGTACCCACTTGGGTGCCAGGCTGGGGAAACTGCATTCAGAAAACTCTAGAGCCTGGGGAAACAGGACAGGAGAAGACTGTTGTGCAGTCAGCTTTCCTGAGCACCTACTCAGGGCACCCATTTTCTCATTACAGTGGCAAATCCAACTGACCAGAAGGAAGGAGGAAGCTTATTGGTGGCTGTTCCTGAAGGAGGCCCTGCCCTTACAGGAACAGAAGAGGAAAGAGAGACACAGCTGCAGAGGCCACCTGGATTGCGCCTAATGTGTTTGAGCATCACTTAGGAGAAGTCTTCTATTTATTTATTTATTTATTTATTTGTTTGTTTTAGAAGATTCTATGTTAATATTTTATGTGTAAAATAAGGTTATGATTGAATCTACTTGCACACTCTCCCATTATATTTATTGTTTATTTTAGGTCAAACCCAAGTTAGTTCAATCCTGATTCATATTTAATTTGAAGATAGAAGGTTTGCAGATATTCTCTAGTCATTTGTTAATATTTCTTCGTGATGACATATCACATGTCAGCCACTGTGATAGAGGCTGAGGAATCCAAGAAAATGGCCAGTGAGATCAATGTGACGGCAGGGAAATGTATGTGTGTCTATTTTGTAACTGTAAAGATGAATGTCAGTTGTTATTTATTGAAATGATTTCACAGTGTGTGGTCAACATTTCTCATGTTGAAGCTTTAAGAACTAAAATGTTCTAAATATCCCTTGGACATTTTATGTCTTTCTTGTAAGGCATACTGCCTTGTTTAATGTTAATTATGCAGTGTTTCCCTCTGTGTTAGAGCAGAGAGGTTTCGATATTTATTGATGTTTTCACAAAGAACAGGAAAATAAAATATTTAAAAATATAAAATGTTTGTTTTATTTTGGGGGAAACAAGGACTATATTTGCTGAAAAATCTGATGATTTACATCAATATTTATTTCTCAATTTTTTTCTGGGTTTTCAATCTGCTATACAGATAAACTATGAATTATGCCTAATTTCATGTGGTGATTGCTGTCACTCCCCTTGGCTCTCACCTAGTAAAGAATGTGCCTTACCAAACTATGGTCTTGCCCCTGATGGGAGAATCACTGATACATATTGCCATTTTTACAAGAAGTTCCTTACTACCTTGCTACTCAAATTTACCTCCTTAAAAATATGGAGGGGGGAAATATGGCAGAGACGTTTTAACCAGAGCAACTCCATCTTGAATAGGGGCTAGGCAAAATGGGGCTGAGGTTTACTGGGCTGGGCTGCATTCCCAGTAGGTTAGGCATTCGAAGTCACAGGATGAGATAGGAGATTGGCACAAGATACAGGTCATAAAGACCTTGCTGATAAAACAGGTTACAGTAAAGAAGCCAGCTAAAACCCACCAAAGCCAAGATGGAGACGAGAGTGACCTCTGTCGTTCTCACTCGTCATTATACACTAATTATAATATATTAGCATGCTAAAAGACACTCTTACCAGCCCCATGACAGTTTACAAGTGTCATGGCAACATCAGGAAGTTACCCTGTATGGTCTAAAAAAGAGAGGAACCCTCAGTTCTAGGAAATTGCCCACCCCTTTCCTAGAAAACTCATGAATAGTCCACCCCTTGTTTAGCATATAATCAAGAAATAACCATAAAAATGGCCAACCAGCAGCTCAGGCTGCTGCTTTGCCTATGGAATAGCCACTCTTTATTGCTTTACTTTCTTAATAAACTTGTTTTCATTTAAAAAAAATTAAATTCTTGTAGTTATCTTAACAAGGGATCGCATTTGTTTGCTTTTGCTAAATAATTTTTCATATAATTGTTGACAATTTAATGAAGCTGTCAATAAAATGGTGGCTAAAATATTTTGTTTTTCAAAACTCAAGTAGTTTGTGTCATAACAGAACCATAAAAAGTGAGTGGCTGAATACTTCACTTGTGGAAACTTCTGATTGAAATTTGGACCCAATGTTCTAACCTTCAAATATAAGTAACTAGCACTAAGTTTAATGTTGTTTCAATCCTTTATAGCAATATACCAAACACAATGCTTCTAAGATTTGACTGCATTAGTTTGCATCCTTCCTAGTGGAATTTTGATGGGACCTCATATAGCGTTTGCCCTCTGGGGAACTTTGTATTCAGTGCTGCCCCAGGATGACAGCAGCACACCAGGTTTTCAGGACAGAAACACAATTGTCATGTCAAAGGAAGAAAGACCTCAATAATCTAAAAGAAACCACACTCCAAACCTGAAAAGGAAGGACAATGGTGCATGCATGAGGTATCTACTTGTCTCTGATTCAGGACTCATTCAGGAATTCTGAACCTTGGGTAACTGCCTCTAGCACAGGCAAGAAGGTGAGGCTGGCAGCCCCAGTACTTGAGATCAAGTTCTGGATTGTCCCAAGTAGCTGGGTAAATAAGGGAACAACCTTTAAGTAGCAAGAAACAACCTCTGTGAGCCTTTCTCACAGCTAAATAGGTTAAAAACAACAATCTCTTAATAATTCCAAGGTTATTAGTTAATTATAAATGAGATGAGAAAGAAGAATATTTGTAAACTATACATAAGTAAATAAATGCAGCCGGGTGTGGTGGCTCACACCTGTAATCTCAGCACTTTGGGAGGCCGAGGTGGGTGGATCACGAGGTCAGGAGATCAAGACCATCCTGGCTAACATGGTGAAACCCCGTCTCTACTAAAAATACAAAAAAAATTAGCTGGCGTGGTGGTGGGCCCCTGTAGTCCCAGCTACTAGCGAGGCTGAGGCAGGAGAATGGTGTGAACCTGGGAGACAGAGCTTGCAGTGAGCCGAGATCGTGCCACTGCACTCCAGCCTGGGTGACAGAGTGAGACTCCGTCTCAAAAAAAGAAAAAAAAAATGCAACCTATTCGAGAAGCTCCATAAATGGTAGTCTTCACTCCCTAACCCCAAGTTAGAGGACACTGGAAAATGTTTACAAGTGGCACCCAAGGGTTCAATAAAACCAAGCCATAAACCTAAGACAAAGTCCTCATCCTATAACATTGGAGCTTGCTGTACTGGCTACTTAACTCTTGCTAATATGGAACAGGGAATGTAAAAAGAATAAAAGAGATGATTTTATTCACATGGTGGTTAAAGACAGGTTTCAAAGGATCACACTGACATTGGAGTAAATTCCAGCTCTGTCACTGTGATCTTGGGCAAGTTTCTTTACTTCACTCAACCTCATTTCCCCTTCTATAGATGAAGATAATAACAGAAGGAGCCTTCTGAAGTGTTGCAGGGATTAAATGTTATGGAGGCTTTGGAAACATGGTCCTTGTCATTGGTCCTCAGGCCAACTCCATGGACATTGTCTGGGTCTCCATCTTAGATCAAGTAGATGTGAAAATTGTGCTTTTCACACCAAATTGCCAAGAAGTTGCAAGTACCACGCAGTCTCCTATAGAACGTGTTATGGCAGGAAGTGGGACACAAGCCTATTTGAGGTGGTGGTCACAGGGTGAAGGAAGTAGGGGAAGAATGCTACATGATACATCACAGTTTTGAGAGGCCATCAGCAGGAAACAGCAATGACCACAGTGACTGCAGTTTCCTGACCAATGTTACCGGAAAAAAGTCTGGATCCAGACCCAAGAGAGGGTTTTTGGATCTCACACAAGAAAGAGTTCAGAGCACGTCCACAATGCAAAGCAAAAGCAAGTTTATTAAGAAACAAAACATAGTCACATCCACGTAATCTTATTGCTTAAATGCTAAATCTCCATCAGCAATTTTAGAGATGGAACCTTCAATGTTTTTCTTCCCGATGTTTCACAAGCAAATGGATGTAAATCAGGAGACACACAGGGGAACAGAAAGTTAAAATCTCTAAGACCAATTAAATGAAATCTCCTGAAAATGACAGTGAAGCAGAGATAGCGACCAAAAAATTGATGCATGCAGCAAAGAGGACAAGGCAGATAAATGCAAACAGCATAGCAGTTAACATCCCCTGGTGCCAAACCTATTCTTAGCCAAGAGGAACTTTACTGAAAGGGTCCTCTAATCCCATAAATCTTAGGAAGGACTCTAACCTTCCAAAGTTGGGCCTGGAACCCAGGTTCAGTCAAGTGTCCTTGCCTTTTACAAGAGGGGTCTTTAACTCTCTCTGTTGGGGGGACTCTAACTCCCCTAAGTTGGGCCTCTAACCCAATCCCATCCTTTACCCAGGTACCCAACCACTTACCCAATCAGCTAGTTGGTACTGCAGTCTATTTCCTTTGGGTTGGGGGTCTCCTCAGTATTTTCCCTTCATGGTCACCAGAAAAATGTTACCAGAAGGGTGCCCCAATTTAGACCCTAAATGAGGGTTCTTGGATCTCAACAGAAAGAATTCAGGGTGGGTCAACAATGCAAAGCGAAAGTAAGTTTGTTAAGAGAGTAAAGTGGTGAAAGAACAGCTACTCCATAGACAGAGTAGGACGTTCCTGAAAGTAAGAGGAGGAACGTGTTCACCCTAGGTACAATGCTTGTTTATGTATAAGACAAAAATAGATCAAGGGGAGATATGCTCTGCTACAAGAGTTTGCGAGGAAGGTTTAATTTTCTTAATTACTATATTTTGCAAGAATTGATATTAGTATCTTTAAAGCAAAATTAGGAATGCTTCTGTTCTCTAGATATTGGGATACCAGGAAACTCCTAAGTCTGGGTCTGTTTAGTACATGTTATCAATCTGTTCCCTTAACTGTAAACTTCTAGAGGCTAGGAATACCTAACTTTCTGGGAATGCAGCCCAGCAAGTCCCAGCCTTATGTTTTCTTAACCCTTCACTTAAGGTGGAGTTACTCTAGTTTGAATACCTCTGACATATTTCCCCACTTCCTTTATAAGAGGACCCTTAATCCTAAGGGTGGCAGATAGACAAAGATCAGTCTTTTGTAACTTCCTTAGGCTGAACAGGGGCGATGATATTCCTGCCTAATTATTAGAGTCTCTTTTATTCAAGGTAGAGAGGAACTCAGTCAGAAAGCCTCGGTATGGTGAGGGTTGTTCATAAATTAGTCCCAGCAAAAGGCGAAATCTGGAAAATTAATGTATCCAACTTAAGAAAGTATTGAGTAAGCTTGTCTTGCGTTCCCACATAAAGAGTACAATTGTATATATTCCACAACAGCAAAGCAAAATAAGTAAAATCATCCTAAGTAAACTAAAAAGGAAGGCTTTCCAAGAACTGGGTAGTGGTTGGAACCAAGTTGATATAGGGTCAACTGGCAGTGCATCAGTGGCAAAGATATGAGTATCTAGAGCTTTCATAGCCCGGGTAATATTATGGGAATAGTCTGGAGCATACACACAACACTTGTGTTTTGTTTGTTCATTTGTTTGTTTGAGACGGAGTTTCACTCTTATTGCCCAGGCTGTAATGCAATGGTGTGATCTCGGCTCACCACAAACTCCGCCTCCTGGGTTCAAGCGATTCTCCTGCCTCAGCCTCCCGAGTAGCTGGGATTACAAGCATGCACCATCACGCCTGGCTAATTTTGTGTTTTTAGTAGAGATGGGGTTTCTCTATGTTGGTCAGGCTGGCCTCAAAGTCCAACCTCAGGTGATCCGCCTACCATGGCCTCCCAAAGTGCTGGGATTACAGGCCTGAGCCACTGCGCCTAGCCCAACATTCAGTTTTGATCAAAGCACAGGTTCCCCCTTGGACTGCTATTAAAATGTTCAAAGTCACATGGTTTTGTAAGGCCACCTGCCTAATCTGAGAAGTTTCCTCAGTTAGGAGGGTAAGGGCATGGCGTGTATTATTGAAAGCTGCAGCCATGTGCTTGGCTAAGGCTTTAACTTGTAACTTGATATTGATTATGGCTGCCTGTGGGGAAAATACAGCATCAGATAGAACCACCAAGAAGCCTGTTTTTGTTGCCCTATGGCGAGCCTTTACAGTATCCCAGTTAGACAGGAGAGAGTCCAATTTGTTGAGGGTAAGTCCCAGGAGATAAGGACAACTTTCAAGTCCAACTATAAAGTAAATACAACCAGCCATGAGTTCCACAAGCCCATAACCATCCCCAAGGGGAAGGGTGGGCATCTATTTTTTGCAAATTGTGTTGCCATCCTACCCACATTTGGTCTGTTAAAAGAAGGGTCTGATTACATTGTTGAGGTGGCAACCATCCCATATTGCGGGTTTCAGTCTGGTGGTGACTATTAATGCATCTTTCAAAACATAGAGGTGTTTTGCCTGATACCTGTGCTTGAACAACTGTCATCCACCCAAGTCTATTGTGTACAGTGTAACCTAAAGTCGAGGTGCCATTTAGCTGTTTCCTAATTAGATGAAAAAGGTGCCTTCTTGTCTCTCCATAAGTGAGGAAGGGCCTAAGGCCTGTGTGGCTATGGTACATGAGAAAAGAGGGACTATATTTATAATGCTCAGTTTCCCAATCATAATAAAATCCCCATAAACTTAGGTTTGCTGGTTGAATATGCCAGGGCAACCTGGAAGTGAAGGAAAATGGCAATTCTCTACATAGTCCAACAAACTGTTGGATTATGTAGAGAGGCTACAGTCTGCCCACTTAGCAAATAAGTTACTCTTTGTGTGATTCCAGCTTATACCCAAAAATAGAATGCCAATCCATATCTTTATGTTACCCATTCCTTTTGTTTCTTTTGAACAGGAGCTGGAGGTCATGGGTTGGCCCACAGGAATAAGTGGGATCAGTCTTTTGTGTTTTGTTGGCCTGTGGGACTTTATAAGAGACAGGTTTCATTCGAGATAAGTGAACCCAGCTGTTTATTCCTAGAAATTTAACTGCAGTTGGGGTACTAAGGAGAACTTGATAGGATCCCTTTCATTTTGGGTGAAAGTTGATCTGCTGGGGATCCTTCCTTCCAATTTTTAATAGGACCCGGTCTCCTGGCTGGGTTGTAACAATATTCTCTTCCTTAGTAGGGGAAGGGAGTCTTTGATTTCCATATTCAAGGAGCACCTTTTGCATTTGTCCTAAGTTGATTACATAATTTTGTACTTGAAAGTATCTATGTCAATCAGGAAGTCTGTAGTTAAGAAAGGCCTTCCATACATCATTTCTAAAGTGTTGCACTATAGATTTCTCTTGGGAACAGCTTAAACCCATAACAAGGCTACAGGCAATATAGATAGTCCGGTTTCTGGTGTTTCCTGGCATAGTACTTTTTAGTTTGATTAGCTCTTTCCACTTTTTCTGAAGATGGTGGCATCCATACTAAATGAAGGAGGTACTTAATTCCTAGGGCCGAAGTTATGTTTTGGCTAATTGTCACTGTGAAAGATGGGCCATTATTGTTTTGCAAGCTATTAGACAGCCTAAATCTAGGAATTATTGCCTTTCATAGGAGGTTAGAAACCTTGTCTTTTCAGACCAGGTAGGAAAAGCCTCAGTCCAACCAGTAAAGGATTGATGAATACTAATAAATATTTAAATCCTTTACATGGGGACATCTGAGCATAATCTACTAGTCAATCTTCACTGGCATACATTCCACTATGCTGAACAGACCTTACTAAAGGAGAAGGAAAAGGTTGGTTATTTGGGTTATTCTGGGCACAGAGTTCACAGGACTGAGTTACCTGCTTTACTGTTCTAAGTAAGTAAGCCTTTTCCTATAAAAAGACGAGACATTGGCTGGGAGCGGTGGTTCATGCCTGTAATCCTAGCACTTTGGGAGGCTGAGGCGCATGGATCACCTGAGGTGAGGAGTTTGAGACCAGCCTGACCAACACAGAGAAACCCTGTCTCTACTAAAAATACAAAATTAGCCAGACGTGGTGGCGCATGCCTGTAATCCCAGCTACTCAGGAGGCTGAGGCAGGAGAATCACTTGAACACAGGAGGTGGAGGTTGTGGTGAGCTGAGATTGTGCCATTGCACTACAGCCTGGGCAACAAGAGTGAAACTCTGTCTCAAAAATAAAAAAAAAGAGAGAGAGAGACATTAATTGAAAGAAGGAATCTCTTCCCAAATGAGTAGAGTCATGCAAATGCTTAACTATTTTCCACTGATTAGCACCTGGTATCAATAATTTGTTGTCATTGATAAGTCAGCCAGAAGGATCTTGAATTAAACCCTGACCTTTAGCCCATTCTTATTCCTCTTTAGTATATCTTGGTTCTGTCATTACCAGGGCAGAGGGCACTAACATGCCTACAAGTCCAACTGGCTGCTTTAATGCAGCTGCCTTAGCTCCTGCATCTGCAAAGGAGTTTCCCTTAGCCACACTAGAGTCTCCTTTTGGATGCCCTCTGCAATGGATTATAGCTACTTCCTTGGTCAGCAAAACAGCATCTAATAGATTTAAAATGTTTAAGTGATGTTTCACAGGGGAACCCTCAGCAATTAGGAGTCCTCATTCTCCCCATTCCTTCCATGAGCATGAAGCACCAGAATGGCATACATAGAATCAGTACAAATGTTAATTACTAAGTCATTTCCCAATTGCAGGGCTATTAATATGAGCTATTAATAATTGCAGGGCTATTAGCAAGAGCTATTCATTCTGCCTTTTGAGCTGAGGTAGAAGTTGGTGAGGCCTGAGACTTAATTACCTTGTGTTGACTGACAACAGCATACCCAGCTTTTCTGTGTCCCTGGCGCACAAAGCTACTTCTATCTATAAAACATTCTACTTCAGGATTATCTAGAGGCTCATCATTTAAATCCAGCCAGCTGGAATAAACTTGGTGCATTACTTGTATACGAGAATGATACAGGGTGCCAGTGGGTTCAGGCAGATAGGTAGCTGGATTTAAAGTCTGGCGTATCTTAAGGGTTGCATGAGGAATGTTTAGCAACAAAGCCTGATATTTCAATAAGTACCTCCTGTCATCTACTGGTGTCCTTTAGCTTCTAGGACTCCTTGTACTTGATGTGGGGTTAAAACTTCCAGATGTTGTCCTAAAGCCATTTTATTGACTTCATCTCCTAAAAGAGCAGTTGCTGCAACTGCCCTGAGGCATTCAGGTCATCCTGAAGTGACATGGTCTAATTGTTTAAAAAAAATATATCACTGGTTCGGGGATATCTCCTAGTTTCTGGATAAGGACACCCAGCGTGGTTCCTTGTTTCTTAGCCACATAAGAGAAAAATGGCTTATCAAAATTAGGGATCCGTAGGACTGGAGCTGATCCCAATTTTTCCTTGAAAGCATTAAAAGCTTGTTTACAATTGCTATTCCATTCTAAAGAATCTACATTCGCTCCTTTCAGGGCATCATATAAAGGCTTGACCATATGCCCCAATCCTGACACTGCTAGAAAAGCTCGCAGCTGCTTTCTAGTTTGGGGTTTTGGAATGCCCAAGATAGCTTCCTTTTGTTCTGGTACTATTGCCTGGGTGCCAGGGGTTAGGACATATCCTAAGTATTTAGCCTCTTGAGTTGAAATCTGGGCCCTCTGCTGTGAGACCCTATACACATTAGCTCCCAGAAAATTTAGCAACTTAAAGGTATTTTCGTCCAAGTTTCTTTTGGTTGGGCTAGCAACCAACACATCATCCACATATTGGATAATAATGCCCCTATTTAAGTGTAACATCCTTAATTCTCTAGCCAATGCATTTCCAAACAGATAAGGGCTGCCCCTAAATACCTGGGGAAGAACTGTCCAAGTTCATTGATAAACCAAATGACTGTCAGGATCAATCCATTCAAAAGCCAAGATGAATTGTGAATCAGGGAGTACTGCAATGCCAAAAAAAACAAAAAACAAAAAAAAAAAAAACAAAAAGACATCTTTAAGATCTAACTCTGTAAACAAATTGGCATCCCCAGGGATGGGACCCAGGCTAACAGCACGTAGGGATTGGGCACTATAGGATGTATGGGAATGACAGCCTCATTGAAAGCTTGAAGTTCTTGACCAAATCTATGGTGTCCATTTGGTTTTTTAACTGGTACGATTGGTGTATTACAACGAGACTCACAGAGGTTTAACAACCCGAATTGCAAAAACTTAGCTATTAATGGTTGGATCCCTCTTTGTGCCTCTAGCTTTAAGGGGTATTGTCTCTTCCAGGGGTACAGGACATCAGGTTTAAGTTGGATACAAATCAGGAGAACATTTAACACTTTGCCTGAAACCTCAGTGTCCCATACTATAGGATTTACTTGGGAAGTAGATGTCTCCCATTGTCTTTCCTCCCTTATCACAGGAAAGCAGAAGGAACAAACCCTCATCTGCCTTGTGATTTCCAAGAGATACCACTGTTTGCAGCTGAGCCATCAAATCCCTTCCCAACAAGGGGCATTCCCAACAAGGGGCATTCCCAACAAGGGGCATTTCCAACAAGGAGCATTCAGGCATGAAAAGAAAGGCATGTGAGGAAACTAAAGTCTCTGAAGAGCAGCTTAAAGGATAGGTAAAATGGCATGTATGGGCTTGTTCATCTATCCCTGTGACCATACAGTTTTGGGGTGATGGAAGCCCACTATAATGGGTCAAAACAGAGTAAGCAATTCCATGTCCAAAAGGAAGTTAATATTCTTTTTCTTTCTTTCTTTCTTTCTTTTTTTTTTTTTTTTTTTGAGACTGAGTCTCACTCTGTCCCCCAGGCTGGAGTGCAGTGATGCAATCTTGGCTCACTGCAACCTCCGACTCCCAGGTTCAAGTGATTCTCCTGCCTCAGCCTCCTGAATAGCTGGAATTACAGGCACCTGCCACCATACCCAGCTAGTTTTTGTATTTTTAGTAGAGAGAGTTTCACCATGTTGGCCAGGCTGGTCTTGAACTCCTGACCTCAGGTGATTCACCCACCTTGGCCTCCCAATGTGCTGGAATTACAGGCATGAGCCACTGCACCCAACCCAAAAGTTAATATTCTTACCTGCCACTTCAAGGGTTACCTGTGGCTCTTCTGGAGATATATTCCATTGTCCAATAGGAGATGTGGCAGAATGCCTCTTGGGCTTGCTTGGCTATTTCAGCCACCATTGATTCAGGTGCCAATGGCTCCCTTTCGAGTACTGGGCATTTCCTCTTCCAATGTCCAGTTTTTTTTTACAATGCACACACTGATTTATGCCAAAGCCATCGTGACGTGGATGCCCAGTTTTATGTTTTCCACCTTTTCGCTTCCCTTGTTCAGGCTAAGAACCAGGAGGGCAATCCCACGTGGGAGGTGAGCTTAAGGCTGCAGCTAATAGCTGCACCTTTTGGGAGGTCCTTTTTGCTCTTTCTGCTTCCTTTGTTCTGCCCCTGTTATTAAAAACTAAAAATGCCATATTCAAAAGCCTGCAGAGAGACTTCTTCAGCACCACAACCAAGGAGGGATATGATAGGCTGCCAGTGGATATAACTCCTTTAGAAGAAAGGAAATTAACTTTTGATACCCATGCGTTGGTTCAGGACTTGGAAACTCTTGGATTTGACAAAACACAAGCAGAAACAACAGTATCAGCATTAACTACTTTATCAAATGTCAGCCCGGATACTACCTATAAAGAGACGGTCACTCAAGCTCAACAGAAAATAACAGTACAACAGCTAATGGCTCATTTGGACTCTATCAGGAAAAACATGGTCAGCCTAGAGAAAAGTGAATTCGCAAATCTCAGAGCAGAGAATGAGAAAATGAAAATTGAATTAGACCAAGTTAAGCAACAACTAATACATGAAACCAGTTGAATCAGAGCAAATAATAAACTGGATATCAACCTAGAAAGGAGCAGAGTAACAGATATGTTTACAGATCAAGAAAAGCAACTTATGGAAGCAACTACAGAATTTACAAAAAAGGATACCCAAACCAAAAGTATTACTTCAGAGACCAGTAATAAAATTGACGCAGAAATTGCTTCCTTAAAAACACTGATGGAGTCTAACAAACTTGAGACAATTCGTTATCTTGCAGCCTTGGTGTTTATTTGCCTGGCAATAGCATTGGGATTTTATAGATTCTGGAAGTAGTATTAATGCTCTTACTGTTATGTCTATTGGCTTCTTAGAACACCAAACCAGGAGAGATTGACTTTGAACATTGTTGTAGCAAAGATTTACTACACGAGATTATTCAAAGTATATATGGACTAAAAGAGGAAGTGTTTTAGAATGAGAAGAGATATTTTGTCTTTATTGTGTGTGTGTGAGTGTGTGTGCGTGTCTTTTTTATATTGAAAAGCTATCATTCAAACCTGGTTTATTTGAGATAGAAGAGCATTTTCTTCGTTTGATAGTTCATAGAAATTAAACCAGAGTTTTCTTGTGTTTGCTTGATCAGTTCTGTAAATCATACAGGATTTTGTTGGTATTGACTGAATATTTGAAAACTATTCTCTAGCCTACATACTTATTACTGAATTAACTTCCCTGATAACCATTGCATAATTACATTTTTCTATAAAATAAAAAATTATTACAAAACAACAACAATAGCTGATCCATAGGGGTCTAGGGACCCATAGCTGCTTTTTGTAGTTTCATACAGATATCAGTGTCAGACTGGGTTATAAAATGTACTCCCAAAAGGGTTTGTCCTTTTTTTTTGAGTCAGAATTAGTGTTAGTACACTTCCGAATTGCCTCAACTAAACACCCGTGAAGCAAAGCTGGATACTTATCTTTTCCCTGAGAAACTTCCTCAATCTTTTCATAGTTAATACGCTTTTTCATACACTTCTTCATCCCTTCCAACAAACAAGGAACCATATGAGTGCTCCTCCCCAAGTCCTCACTGCCCCTTTGATGATAGTTCCATTCCAGATCTTGATCCGGAACTGCTGCATCTCCCGCCTGATATATATTATGGTTAGGGCTATGAGTCAATATCTCATCTGTGTGGGTCCTAGCTGTCCCCAAAATGCAATGTTTCTCTCCCACTGTACAACACAGAGACAACCAACATGCAGATTCTGCCAAGTCAAACTATAGGTCAGAGTTAATTTCTCAAACTCATTTATGAATTTTCCTGGATCTTCAGAGAAATGACCAAACTTTTTTTTACACAGAGTCAAATCAGACATAGAAAAGGGGACATGTACTCTTACAATGCCTTCTTCCCCATTTGTCACCTCTCTAAGTGGACAAACATTTCCCTTTGGAGGTTGATAAGAGGCTCCACTACAAGTAGTACCCACAGGGCTAGGTTACTCAGGGATTGGTGGGTATAGAGTGGGACTAGACAGGTAAGGAGGAAGGGACTAAGGGGTCTCAGCAGAACTTTCAGGTGGACAGAGGGGAGAATGGGCTGACACACCTGAACCTTCATAGCTGAGAGAAGGAGGTTCTGCTCCACCAAAAAGTGTCTGCTGGCCTGTGGGGGCTTGCATCAAGAGATTGTCTAGTATGTCTAGTTCTTTTTCTTCCTTTCCTTTCATCAAACATGCACATGCCTGTTGCAGGGTTTTATCCTGACTGAGCAGCAAAAATGCTTGAACGCATGGTATTTCATCCCATGTTTCATCCCACTTACAAAGCAAATCAGGTTGAATTATACTATAATATTATACTTATATTATTATAGTATATTATATACTATAATATTAAATATTACATATTTAATTATATACTATATTATTAAAGGCTGTACTTCCAATAGGAGACCATTTCTTTTGTTTTTCCAAATAATACTGAGGCCAAACAGTATTACATAGAAACAGTAATTCACCAATTTTCTCCTTAATCCCATTTATTTTAAACAGATCTCAGTGTTCAAGGATACATCCTAGTGATAAGTCCTTTGGGATCAATGTCATGGTTCCCATGAAGGAGGCAGGTGATGTTGAAAGAAAAGTTCCAAACCAGTGAGATTGTATTGCCACTGGCCAAGTTCCACTAAAAAGGATAGGAGAGGTTTTTGAGGCCAGCTGCATTAATGAGATCGCTGCTGAAAATTGAATTATCTTATCCACACTAGCCAAATAATGTAAATGAGCTGAGCCATGAATCTTAGATAAACCACCACATAGTACCCAATGAAAGAAATGTCAAATAAGGCAAAGGAAATGAAGGGGATTTAGATGGAAATGACCAGAGCAAGTAGGCTCTGGGCAATAGTTGTAGTGTGGATTGGACAAGCAAAACTGATTTGTCCAAATTTTGAAAAGATAAGAAGTGTTTTTAGTGTGCAAATGAAACAAAACAGCAAGGAGAAAGGTCCCCTGATTTCCATCCTAGTGCTTCTCGATCACGCCTAGTGATTGCAACAAAACATAACCACATTTATGTAATCTTATTGCTTAAATACCAAATCTTCATCAGCAATTTTAGAGAAAGTTAAAATCTCTAAGATCAGTTAAATGAAGTCTCCTGAAAATGACAGTGAAACAGAGACAGTGCCCAAAAAATGGATTCATGCAGCAAAGAGGACAAGGCAGATAAATACAAACAGCATAGCAGTTAACATCCCCTGATGCCAAACCTATTCTTAGCCAAGAGGAACTTTACTGAGGGCCCTCTAACCCCATAAATCTTAGGAAGGACTCTAGCCTCCAAAGTTGGGCCTGAAACCCAGGTTCAGTCAAGTGTCCTTGCCTTTTATTAAGAGGAAACTTTAATCCTCTCTGTCAAGAGAGACTCTAACTCCCCTAAATTGGGCCTCTAATCTAATCCCATCCTTTAGCTGGGCACTCCACTGCTTACCCAAAGTCAGCTAATTGGTACTGCAGTCTATTTCCTTTGGGTCAAGGTTCTCCTCAGTATTGTCCCTTCATGGTCACCAGAAAGATGTTACCAGAAAGGGGTCTCAACCCAGACCCCAAGAGAGGGTTCCTGGATCTTGGGCAGAGAGAATTCAGGGTGAGTCCACAGAGCAAAGTGAAAGCAAGTTTTGTAAGAAAGTGGTATAAGAACAGCTACTCCACAGGCAGAGTAGGGTGTTCCCAAAAGAAAGAGGAGGAACGTGTTCACCCTAGGTACAATGCTTGTTTATGTATAGGAGAAAAAGAGATCATGGGTAAATGTGCTCTGCTACAAGAGTTTGTGATAAAGAATTAATATTCTTAATTACTATATTTTGCAAGAATTGATATTGGCATCTTTAAAGCAAAATTAGGAATGCTTCTGTTCTCAAGATAATGGGATATCAGGAAACTCCTAACTCTAATCTGTTTAGTAAATATTATCAATCTGTTCTCTTAACTGTGAACATCTAGAGGCTAGGAATCCCTAACTTTCTGGAAATGCAGTCCAGCCTTATTTTTCCTAGCCCTCAGTTAAGACAGAGTCACTTCGTTCCAACGCCTCTGACAATGTTACTGTGGGAGCTAGAGAAGGAGAGGAGGAGACATGTCTAACACTAATTCTGTCATCGTGAGTCCTTCTTTGTGAGTCCTCCTGAGTCACCATGTCAGGTGTTCCAGAAGTAACTGGAGAGACGTTGAGGGATGGTTGAGATGTCAGACCCACAATAGCACAGTGGGGGCAATCCAGAAAAACATCACATTGTTTGTCTTTCCTGGCTACCTATATAAATAATAAAGAAAAAGGCCTATCCTGTCTTCGCCAGTGATGCTCCACTGCATATCTCCTCCACTCACCAATGAGTTCAATAGTTGCAATGGACAACGGCTTTGCAATTTTAGCTGCCTGTTATAATGCCTCTCTACCTGAGGGCTTTCTCCAACTGGTGTTGGGAAAGCAGGCTTGGCAGACAGCTCACAGGCAGGATGGCCTGTGATTTCATACCCTTAGAGGATGGACAGAAGTTAATGGATGAATATTCAATTTTCCCAGTCTCTCGGTTAGATAATTCTAGAAGTTTCTTTCTCTTTTTCTCTCTTCATACATTTCTACATAAATTTTAAATATTTTATATTAGAATAAAATAGAATAAAAATAGAATAAAATAAATATATAAATATATAAAATATTCCACTTCTCTCTTCATTATGATTATACCTTCTTTTAATCCCCTGAGCATATTTGTAATAACTATTTTATTGTTGTTCTATATTGTTCTATATTGACTTGATTTTGTTTTACTTATTATGGCTTATGCTGATTTCTGCAGGAAATTTTGAATCTTAAGTTGCTGAGTGTCAATATTTGTTTTCCTTCTTTGGAGTCTCGGGTTTTGTTCTGTCAAGTGGTTAAGTAACTAGGGCATCAGCTTTATCTATTTGAGGCTTGTTGAGCTTTGTTAGGGTGGTCTGGAAACGTTCTTCACTCTAGGGTTTGTTTAGCTGTACTACTAAGTCATGTCCTTCCCGTGCCTTTAGTGATGCCCTGAGTGCTCATGAGTTCTCTTCTTTCTGATAGGCCAGACCTCAAATATTTCCCCACTCCATGTTAGGTCTGAGATTTGCTCAGCTGACAATTTTCTGGTTACTCTTTGCTTAACTTACGGAGTTTCATCCTATGCATGAGTGACTTAATATTGATCAAACAGATCCAATGGGACCTCAGTGCAGATTTCTGGAGCTCAGGTTTCCTTCACAGATCTCTCCTTCCTCAAACTCTTTTCCTAAACTTCTAGACACCCTAGTTATCCTCTACTCAAATCTGAGCTCCCTCAACTCAGCAAGACTACCATGGTCTACTTTGGATCTCTCCTCCTGCACAGTGGTCCAGAATTGCACCAGCAAAAAATCCAGGGTGTTCATCGATCTCATCTCGTTTATTTCCTTTACTCAGGGATTGTAATCTTTCCCTGTTTGTTGTCTAATGTGTAAAAGGAGTTGCTTCATATATTCTTTGGGTTTTCTAGTTCTTTAAGACAGGAAGTTAAAACTTCTGTTTTACTTCAATATGACTCGAAATTGAAGTCTTAGGGACAATTCTGAGGAACATTTTACAAGGTTTGTGTAAGACTCCAGGCAAGGTTGAGCTCTGATTGCCCACAGTGATATCTCATTCATTACATACCCTTTATTAGATTTTTTTCTCTTTCCTATTCCACATTCCCCCACTTCCTCACTCCTTTCTATAATCATCTCCAAGACAAACTGCACTTAAGTCTTTGTGTCAGACTCACTTTTAGGGGAGCCTGAAATAGACAATTGGGCCCCCCAGAAATTATACCTCACAGCAAAGGCTTATGACTACTATTTTATTATTTATTTATTTATATTTTTATTACACTTTAAGTTCTGCAGTACATGTGCAGAACGTGCAGGTTTGTTACATAGGTATACGTGTGCCATGGTGGTTTGCTGCACCCATCAACCCATCATCTACATTAGGTATTTCTCCTAATGCTATCCCTCCCCCAGCCCCAACCCCCAACAGGCCCCAGTGTGTGATGTCCCCCCTCCCCCATGTCCATGTGTTCTCATTTTTCAACTACCACTTATGAGTGAGAACATGCGGTGTTTGGTTTTCTGTTCTTGTGTCAGTTTGCTGAGAATGATGGTCTCCAGCTTCATCCATGTCCCTGCAAAGGACATGAACTCATCCTTTTTTATGGCTGCATAGTATTCTATGCTGTATATGTGCCACATTTTCTTTATCCAGTCTATCATTGATGGGCATTTGGGTTGGTTCCAAGTCTTTGCTATTGTGAACAGCAATAAACATACTTATGCATGTGTCTTTATAGTAGAATGATTTATAATCCTTTGGGTATATACCCAGTAATGGGGTTGCTGGGCCAAATGCGACTACTATTTTACTAAGGAGAACCAGGAGGAAAGAAAATGGGAAATGAGGCAGAAAAAAGTGAAAGCCCATAATAGGAGAGAGCATAACCACACTGGCCATTGCTGCACACAACTGAGTTCTTGACCTCACAAAGGGGCTGTTGTGAGTGTGAATTCTTCTGCAGAAACTGTATAACCAACTCAAACCAAGGAATTATAGTTGCTGTGTTTACAGGAGAGCCATAAATCACCCAAATAGCAGGGCATCAGCCTCTGATTTGTATTCCTTGGCTATACTTAATATTAAAACCTGGAATCTAAATTCATAAGGCCCTCAAGTGAGGGGAAGAAAGTCTACCAAACTACATGCTGGACCTCATGTTGACCTGTGAAGAGGTTAGTACTCCTACCATCATTTTTGTCCTCCACATTAGAAGTGGCAATTTTTTTCTTTTATAGGTGTAAGTTAGTTATAATTGTTACTGCTGCTTTCAACAAGCCCCTAAAAAGGAAGCCAGATTGTATGGAGAGGAACAAACCAATCAAAGGTTAAGGCCAGACACTGATCCCTTGATAGCCAGACAGGAATTTGGTCCAAAACTTGAGATCACACATGAAAAAACAGCCTTCTCCTTTTATAAATGGAACTGTGAAGGCTCAGAGACCATTAAGGAGTTACCAAATGTCACAGAACTATTTTATTACAAAATTGGGCTAGAACTCAGTTTTCTGATGTTTAATACAGGGAGATTTTCATTAAAAGTAGATTATTTTCGTGACTGCTAAAGATTGTTAGCTTGAATTTTGGTTGTAGGATTGGCTTTCTAAAATTTGTAGAACCAGTGTCAGGGTACTAATTAATAGCTAACAGCCATTCATACCATGAGCTCCTTTAGGACGGTCTAAAGAAAATAATGCACATTGTAGTCAAACAACTCAAGGATAAAATGCGTTAGGCCACTTGATATGGTTTGGCTCTGTTTTCTCTCCTAAATCTCATGTCGAGTTGTGATCCTCAGTGTTGGAAGAGGCTCCTAATGGGAGGTGTTTGGATCATGGAGGCAGAGTTCCCCCTTGCTGTCCTCATGATAGTGAGTGAGTTCTCATGAGATCTGGTGGTTTAAAAGGGTGTGTCCCTTCTCCCTTCACTCTCCCACTTCCTCCTGCTCTTACCACGTAAGACATGCTTGCTTCCCCTTTGCCTTTTGCCATGATTGTAGCTTTCCTGAGGCCTCCCCCACCATGCCTCCTGTACAGCCTGTGGAACTGTGAGTCAATTAAACCTCTTTTCTTCATAAATTATCTAGTCTCAGGTAGTTCTTTACAGCAGTGTGAGAACAGACTAATACACCACTTTATTTGACTTGCTACTTTATTAGTTATCTATTGTCTCTCCAAAATGCAGTCTGTTAAAACAACCACCATTTTATTCTGACTCATGACTCTGAAGGTCATCAGTTTGGGCTAGGTGACGAAACAACCTTGGGATCACCTGAGTGGTTCTTCTGATGGTGTCTCCTGGGGTCACTCATGGGGCTGTAGTCAGTTTCTTGGTGACTTGCTTGGAGCTGCCTCACTCACATGTCTGGTTGTTGGTATTACCCATTTCCTGGTCCTAGTGTCTCTAGCGGATCAGCTTGGCAGCAGCATTCTAACAGGGTAGGAGAGAAGCTCCTAGGCTTCTTGCCTTGTTCACCTGGAACATCTACAACATCACTTTTAAAGTATCCTAGTGCCAAAGCAAGTCATAAAGTCAGCACAGAATCAAGGGGGTTGGAAAATAGATTCTCCCTCTTAAAGTGAGGAGCTGCTAAGAATGCATAGCTATTTTTAATCTTTCATCTTTCTCATATTTTATTGTCTTGTTTGTAAGTTAGAAACACCCCTTGCAAAATTTCCAGATAACTTACAAAAAGTCATAGAGCAATGTTAGCACAAAGGAAAGTACAATAAAAAAATTGTTATTATGATTGGGTCTCAGTATAGATAAATATTTTAAAGAATAAAACATCTTTATTTACTTTTTATTATCATGGTAGTACATGTACACAGTGTTAGCACAAAATTCTATTACCTTTACTTTGTACAGAAGGAAAATGAGATTCAATGGAATCAGGGCTGTCTCTGAGTAATATTTCTAGCTTATTTTCTACTTCTCGATTTGTACAAAGGCCAAGATCTGATCAGTCAATTGAATGTTGTCAGGTTATTACAACATCTCCTTTTCAGACTGAAATAGATTGTTTTCCCTTCTTAACATGTCTGGATCTTCTTTGTGCCACTTTGTGCATTTCTTTATCTCAAATTCATATCAACCTTTTTAATAAAAATAATAATGAGTTTCTTGTTGTCTTTTCACAAGTTCAGTGTTACCTCTCCAGTAAAGTCTTCCCTGACTCCCCTGGGGAAGTTCTTCCTCCTCCTTCCCTCCACAGTGTCTCAGATATACACCTATTATAATACAGATTACCTCTAGATTAATCTGTTGACCTGTCGGTCTCTCAATACAGTCAACAGCAGAAATTCAACTTTTTTTTATCTTCAAATACCTAGCATCAAGCAAAAGCTCTGGCAAGAAATAAATGCACAATGAGAATTAGCCAAAAAAAAAAAAAAGTTACCATTTAGGCTAGTTTTACCTTTAGACTGTATCAACCCTCTAGTTATCACCAATTCTTCAGTTAAATGCTGTTATGGGCTGAATTATGTCCCACTCAAATTTATACGCTGAGATCCTAACCCCCAGTACATCAGAATGTGACCTTATATGGAAGGAGGTCCTTAAAGAGGGAATCCAGTTAAATTGAGGTTATTAGGGTAAACTGCTAATTCAATATGATGGGTGCTCCTATTAAAAGAGGAAATTTGGAGACAGACACGCATACAAGAAGAACATTATGTAAACATAAAGATGACCACCTACTAAGCAAGTAGAGATGCCTGGATCAACTCCTTCTCTCACAGTCCTAAGAAAGAAACAACTGTCAAACCTTGATTTTGAAATTCCAGCTTCCAGACCTGTAAGATAAAAAAGTTCTGTTATTTAAGCCACTCACTCTGTGGTACTTTGTTATGGTAGCACTAGAAAACTAGTTCAAATATTTGACTGTTTGATTTGTTAATGCCAAAAAAATTGTACTCACTATGGAATAATTAAGTTCATTTATGAAACTGTTTAAAAAATAAAATCAAAGCTCATAGTTCACTGTTAGTTAATTAAGCTTGAAGCCCATGGAAACTGCTATCTTCAAACAATAAGTAAATTGTAGTTTGCAAGTCTTGACAGGAAAAAAGTTATACTCTGAACTCAATTTTTTCTGCAGTATATCTAGGCTGTGCATGTAGACTTAGTTTGAAAAATTCTATTAAGACTTTAAATGGAATTACGCAAATAGGTACAAAATTCAAAAGCAAATAATTGCTGAGGAAAAGCATCTTAATTCCCTATTTTGTATGAACATGTCCTTGGTAAAGATGCATAGACATTCTCAAGACTCCATTCTGTAAGTCACCATTAACTGCAACTAAGATTGACTCTTTCACAGTTTCGCAGTTTCATGGCAGGAAATAATAGATTCATTTCTCTATTTAACAAGTTCATCTCATTGTGCCCCAAAAGCCCCAATTAAAACAAAGTTTGAAAAACAAACTCAGCTTCTTTATTGGCTTGTGAGCAAAAAGTATACCACTTGATAAACTTCACCTTTTATTCTTTAGAGGGGACAGAGAATACAAGGAGAGCAATAAAACATTCTCTGGGTTACAGAGAGCACATGCAAGTGGGCTGCAGTATTGATTCCACCATCCAGAACAGGATCAAGATTAAGGACAGACATGGGTACTCAGAACTCACCAGCACTCCTCCTTCTGACTGTCCTTGTCCTCTGCATGTTTGGTAAGCCAACTATGGCTTTTATCTTTTCCTTCTAGGGACTGGAAAAACTCAGAAAGGGTTCCAGATGTAATGAGATTATATTTAACATTAAGCAAAATATAGAAACTGTGAAATTAAAAGGTAAGCAGATCTGTATGGTATTTAGATTGTGGAGTGTCAAAAATTTATTGTTGAGTCAAATAAAAACATGTTTACGGCCAGGCGCGGTGGCTCACGCCTGCAATCCCAGCACTTTGGGAAGCCGAGGTGGGTGGATCACCTGAGGTCAGGATTTCGAGACCAACCTGGCTAACATGGTGAAACCCCGTTTCTACTAAAAATACACAAAATTAGTTGGGCGTTGTGGCGCACGCCTGTAATCCCAGCTACTGGGGTGGCTGAGGCAGGAGAATCGCTTGAACGCGGGAGGCGCAAGTTACGGTGAGCTGAGATCGTGCCATTGCACTCCAGCTTGGGCAACAAGAGAAAAACTCCGTCTAAAAAAAAAAAAAAAAAGATGTTTACCTTCCTAGAAATATCTGGCTGCGCGGCCGGGCGCGGTGGCTCACGCTTGTAATCCCAGCAATTTGGGAGGCCGAGGCGGGTGGATCACCTGAGGTTAGGAGTTTGAGAGCAGCCTGACCAACATGGTGAAACCCCATCTCTACTAAAAATACAAAAATTAGTCAGGCATGGTTGCGCATGCCTGTAATCCCAGCTACTCCGGAGGCTGAGGCAGGAGAATCGCTTGAACCTAGGAGGCGGAGGATGCAGTGAGCCTACATCTCGTCATTGCACTCCAGACTGGGCAACAAGAGGGAAACTCTGTCTCAAAAAAAATAAATAAATAAATAAAAGAAAAAGAAAATAAATATCTGGCTGCAAGAGTTGTGCTTTTCTTGTTATAGGCGATAGTAGGAAGATTACTGAAAGTAGGTTTAGGGTGTTTGCTTTAATGATGGTAGGCAGATAGAAATTGCTACATTCAATTGATAAAATTTACATATAATCTTTATTTTTACAACTTTTCATAGAAAGGATCAAGTTAATTTTTGCCATTAAGAAAGTTATTGACCGTGCATATTAATACTTTTAAGCAATTAATTATTGGTTTAGTATATCTACCAGTTTTTCAAATATAACAGATGCTCAGTAAGTATTTGTTGATCAGGATAATAGCATATAATTAGGTTTGTGTAACCTTCTCCCTCAATATTTCTGAATTTGTAAATCCAGTTGAGTGTCCTGCTACATTGATTTCAAATTTCAAGTAAGTGTTATGGCTACCTTTGTTCTCACTCAGGGCTTTTCTATTCCTTTCTCACACAACTGATTCCTCTGAGAGTCAAGAATTGTGATGTGAGTGTATTCAGATATATTCTGACTTTATTTCTTCCCAATTTATTAAAAATGTTCAGTTGATACCTGAAGGTGCTTTGTACAGCAGAAAATAAATCCTGTAAGTAGCGAAGATGTCGGGGAGTGTGGAAGCCTCTAGGACTGTGATTTTCAAAGCTGGCATTTCTTTACAAAGAATGCCAAGCTGAGAGTGTAGGAAACCTAGCCTCTAGATATGATTCCTGCACAATGTGGGAAAATAATTGCCCAGTATTTTTGCTTCCATTCCTGAAAACATCCTGCACTCTCTCCAAAAAAAAAAAAAAAAAAAAAAAAAAAAAAAAAAAAAGGTGGAGGGGGGCTTTCAAATGGAAACATAGGGGGTGAATTCTTCTGAATGGAGTTAACCTTGTAGTAAGTGAACATGTACAATAAGAAAAGATACACATTCATCAGTAAGAATACATGGATAATTCAATAAATTCAATATGGCCTGATGGCCCTGGAGACAAATTTACTGAGGCATAAGCCTACAAGTATAGAGCTTAGAGACTACAGGAAACAATTCTGCATTTCATTAAACTATTTTTACTGTAAACTATGTAATACAGACTGTTTCAATTGTTCATTGCTAGGTAACAAATTACCACAACGTAGTGGTTTAAAATTAACCCATGTAATATTTCACAGTTTTGTAGATTAGCTGTCTAGGTGACTTGACCAGGTTCTCTGCTTGGCATTTCATAAAGCTAAAATCGAGGTGTCAGTAGGGCCAAGCTCTCATTTGAAGGCTCTAGGGATGAATCCACTCCCAATTCAGATTGTTGGTAGAATTCAGTTCTTTACAGCATAGGACTGGGGTCCTGATATTCTTCCTGGCTGTTGGCTTGGGGTCACTCAGCACTCCCAGAGGCTGCTCTCACTTCCTTCCATGTGGCTCCTTCCATATAAGCAATGAACAACCTGCCTTGCATTGAGCTGAGCTCACCCTTCAAATCTCTCTTACTTCCTCTTCTGCTACCTGCCAGAGAAAACTCTCTGCTTTTAGGGTTCAAGTTATTACATTAGGCTCACTTGAATAATCACTCTTGATTTATTTAGTCTACTCATTAATAACCTTAATTACATCTGCAAAATCTTTTTGCTGTGTAAGATAACGTAATGATGTTTGTAATATCTCATCATATTCACACTCCTAGGGAAGTGGGTGGGAAGCTTGATGGGCTTGTTTTAGGATTCTGCCTGCCACAAATACAAAAGAGAAGACGATTACATATATATAGTTTGGAGAGCAGTAATATAGTAAACACCCACTCTCTTGTTATGCAGGCTAAATTTTAGAACTAACTAATACACCAGAAGCCTCTGTGTATGAACCTCTTGTTATAGGCTGAACTGTGCATTTCCTAAATTCATATGTTGAATCCCTAATCCCTAGTACCTCAGAATAAGACTGTATGTGGAAATGAAGTCTTTACAGAGGTAACCAGGTTAAGTGGAGTTCATTAGCATGGTCCTGAATTCAATTTGACTGGTGTCTTCCTAAAAAGAAATTAGAGCACAGACAACACACAGACTGTGGGGTAACCATGTGAAGACAGTGAGAAGATAGCCATCTGCAAGCCAGGAAGGGAGGTCTTAGGAGAAACCAAACCTTCCAGGACCTTAACCTTGGATGTTCAGCCTTCAGAACTGTGAGAAAATATACTTCTGTTGTTTAAGCCACCCAGTATGTGGTATACTATTATGGCAGACATAACAAACAAATACATCTCTCAAATCATAGACCCATCCCTTTCCAAGAATTAATCACTATTTTGAATTGTGTTGTTTCTTGCTTTTCTTTGTAGTTTTACCATCTAGGTATGAATCCTTAAACAATTATGTATTTTGCCTGCTCTTAAACTTCAGATCAATGGAATAATGCTGAATGTATTGTTCTGTGACTTGATTCTATTATTTAACATTATGTTTTGCAACCCATGATTTCGATATGTTTAGCTGTTCATTTAATTTTAGTAATTCCACTGTAGGAATATGAAGTAAGTAAATGCAAAATTCATTTATCCAATCCTTTGTTGGAGCGCACTTGAGTTCTTTTCAGATTTTGACTATTGCTGACATTCTTTATGTGTTTCCTGGTTCATGTTATGTAAGAGTTTCTCTAGGAATTACTTGCTGTGTTTAGGCTTTGCATGTCATAAATCTTACCAGTTAATGCCATGTGGTATCACAAAGAAGCTGTACCAATTGACACTACTTCCTGCATAAAATTATCTGTTGTTGCACATACTGGTCACTACCTAGTATTGTCAATCTGATGAGTATGTAATGGTACCATGCTATTCTTTTAATTTTCATCTCTTTATTATTAATTAGATTGAATATTTTTATATGCTTAGGAGCATTTGTGTTCTCTATTTTGTAAAATTTGTATTCTTTTTTTTACTTTTCTTATTTGTATATTATCTTGTTCCCATTGGCACACAGGTGTTCTTTATATATTCTGGATGTTAGAACCTTGTCAATTTTATAAGTAAAAAACTAGTTTTCCAATTTACAACTCATATAGTCTTTCTTTTTATAGTGTCTCCAGTGAACGTAAGTTTGTATTATTATTCTACTTGAATTTAGCAATATGCTCTTTTCTGATTAGCAACTTTGGTGTCTTCTTTCAAAAAGAAAAAAAAACTTCCCTTTACAGTTCATAAAAATATTCTTCTATATTATCTTCTAAAGTTTTCATAATTTTTTCTTTGTGTTTAAGACATGACTGTTTATGGAATCTATTTTTGTATTATGTGATGGAATTATCCAATTTTATTTTATTTTTCCACATGACTCATTAATTGTTACAGCCCTATTTAATAAAACATCATTTCCCTACTGATCGACAATGCTATTTCTGCCATAAATTGAGTTTTGCAACTGAAGTCCTGCAAGTGAAGGAATGTTTCTAATGTCTCTTTTCTGTCCCATTGATCAATTTGTCTATACATATACACAGTCTTCATTATTAATATTTTATAATAATTTTTAATATCTGGGATGGAAAATTCTTTCATGTTGTTCAAGAGTAGCCTGTCTTTTCTTAGACTTCTGCTCTTTCATATAAATCTAAGAAATAGCTTGCAAATTTGCACTGAATTAAATTATAATTTTGAATGGAATTTCTTTGAAGTTATAAATTAATTTTTAAATTATTGACATCTTTATCCTGCTGAGTTTTCCATTTTAAGAATACAAACTAACTGCCAATTTGTTGAGGCCTTATTTAATGTCTTTAAAGTTTCATGATTTTCTCCATAAAGTCATTCCATATTTTTTATTATAAAAAAAGATTTCTTGCCACTCTATATTGTTTGATGTTATTGTAAAGGGTATCTTTATAAAATATAACTTTCCATCTATTAGTGTTTAAACATAAAATTTTGTAGTAGTTTTGTAACCAACATTTAACTAGAGTAGTCATATCACCTGAGGATAATGACAGTTTAGTTTCCTTTTTTGGAAAACTTATGCCTTTTATTTATCTCTTTAGCTTTGCTGAGATGTCTGCAATAATAATATACACTCTTTTCTTGTTTTGGCCTTTAAAGGGATTACTTTCAAGATTTCATCATGTATGATATTTTGTGGCTATCCTTGTATTGGTTATTTGCTAAGGATTTATCATTGTATTATTATTAATTTTTATAATTGAATCTTGTTGTTTTCTTAAACCCTGGAATGTTCACCCCTGGCTCAGAGTGTGCTAAGATGATACAATCCTGGAGATGCTGGTGAAATTTTTTTTTTTAAAGATTTGGAAAAAAACAAAGGTTCCTATGGTTCAAAGTCAGCTTCATTAAAAATCTATATCCAAGCTATACGTATGTTTTAACAGCCTTTATGCTTATTCTTTTCTTACATCTTGTTCTTTTGAGAACAATCATTTTTGTTTCCTCTCAATCATCAGAATCGTTTCTCCAGTCTTTCTTCTTTCCACTGCTGATGCCCACAAGAGAGGATCTAAGGTAATTTCCGACAGCCTGGGACTTCTTGGGAAAAACCGAGGAGGAGCCACAGACCCAGTTTTGGGAAAACCCTCTGTTTTATCCTCATGGAACTCTAGGAATTGTAAGCAGATAGGTTTCTCTCAAAAATCTAAAGCTTTGCTCTATTTTACATTGTTACCCGACCTTTTGACTTTTAGGGGTGTCAGAGATTACTTTGCATTTTTGGAAAACTTTTAGCCTTGGTGTGTAACAGCTAGGATGTGCTTTTAGGGATGGCTAATGGCAGTTGCTTACAGTGAGTGGTTAATACTACAGGCCAATACTTCTTTCTTCTCACATTGAAATAAAAAAGCACGCTATTGGACATCTAAAAGGTATGGAATGGGGGATGGGCTGATTGCAGAATGGGCTAATTGGCTTTGGGCTGACCACCAGCCTTGGAGGAATGCCACTGCAGTGAAATCCATGGTAAAAGCATTGCACTGTCTGGTCGCACAGTGTTCCCCTCTTTTTGGGAATCCAGGATTGAGTACAAAAATGGGATCTTAATTTTTGGGAGTCTATTTTGCCTTCCAGCTGTGCTTGCTTCTTTGGCCCTAGAAACTGCATGCTTTAAAGAGAAACTTAAATACTGGCAAACGAAGAATCTTGTAACTACTGGTTCTTCTTCAGTCTGTGTATTTATATATGTTTTGTGTGTGATGTTTATGTAAAAGAGCTTTAATCCTTGGCTTAAAGAAAATAAGCACTTAAATAGTTTGTAAGAAAAAACCTTTCATGCCTTTTAGTTCACATGCCTCAAATAATCTTTTTAAAATAAAGACAATTTAAAGATTACCAGTAAAATAAAATAAAAATGTCTTCAAGATTTGGACATTTGATCTAAATTATATGGGTCAGACACTAGGCTTGCTAAATGCTTTAAAGTCATAAATTTTCTTTGATGACTTTTGATAATTGTTCAACTTACCTGCTTTGGAGCCATTAGATTGTAGATAAGGCCTGGGGACATACAGAATTTCCCATGACACCTAGCTATGCTGGAAAGAGCATGACTTTGCAGCTCTGTCCTGTATCCTAGGCTCTGCACCTGGTCCACAATTAAAATTGATTACATTATGTTGGGAATAGGCCCTCAAAATCTGGCCATAAACTGGCCCCAAAACTGGCCATAAACAAAATCTCTGCAGCACTGTGACATGTCCGTGATGGCCATGACGCCCATGCTGGAAGGTTGTGGGTTTACTGGAATGAGGGCAAGGAACACCTGGCCCACCCAGGGCAGACAACCACTTAAAGTCATTCTTAAACCACAAACAATAGCATGAGCGATCTGTGCCTTAAGGACATGCTCCTGCTGCAGATAACTAGCCAAAACCATCCCTTTATTTCAGCCCATCCCTTTGTTTCCCATAAGGAATACTTTTAGTTAATCTATAATCTATAGAAACAATGTTTATCACTGGCTTGCTGTCAATAAATACGTGGGTTAATCTCTGTTTGAGGCTCTCAGCTCTGAAGGCTGTGAGATCCCTGATTTCCCACTCCATACCTCTATATTTCTGTATATGTGTCTTTCATTCCTCTAGCACCACTGGGTTAGGGTCTCTCCAGGTGAGCTGGTCTCGGCAACATTAAAAAATAAAAATTATATGTTCTTGGTAGAAAGGCATGAGAATGTGTTTTTTTAAAAAAGAAAGTCATTTAGTCTAATTTAGAGGATTTAAGAAATAGGATAAAACTGAAGGTTTAAGCAAGTTGTAGAAGGTTTGTGAAACATTAACCTTGTAAAGAATTCTGTGTGTAAGTAAGTTGACCAAAATTATGAGTATTATTTATTTTTTCCATAAACTGAATATTAAAATAAAAGCACCCTGATGCAGGATAAGAATATTGGCCCCTGTGTCAGAATAACAGGGTTTTTTGAAACGTTGATCTGCTGTTTCATACAAAATTATAAAAGATTACAAAAGGTTTATGGAAATCTTACCTTATGGTCAAACAAATGAAAATTGGGTAATAGATAAGTTGATAAGGGTTTTATTAAAACTTAGCTTTAGCATTAATGATGAACTAATGCAAAAGTGAAATTCAATTTTCCTTTTTGAACAAGATTTTTGAATAATGAGAGACAATGAAATATTTTTGTTTGCCTTTTGAATAATTATATAAAAAATAAGGGAGAGAAAAGAGACACAGACTTTGGAAAGTAAGTATCCTCTTTATCAAGGAGTAAAGCTTTTTGCCTTTTTCAAATATCTGAGTTATCATTATGGCTAAATAAATGACTTACGATGTCCTGGAGTCCTATTTTATAATATCAAGTATCTTAAGCCATTGATGTTTGACAAGCTTTGCAAAATCAAATACTACATTAAATCTTTTTCTGACCTGATTAATCATTTTAGATATCAGGTCCCCTAAAGTCCAAAAATGGCATATTTGGCTTATTTGGTATATTAACATCATACAGGAAGCATTGCCAGATATAGAATGATATTTGGCTTCCTTTAGGCTGTATTTGTCTAAATGTGTTACTGGTATGTGTTCTAAAATTATGCAAAACTCCAATAATTCCGATATAACTTAGTGTACATTATCAGTAATAATTATAAATACTATATACAATTATTGTGTGCCACAGAGTAAATCATATTTCCTTGTCAATTGTGTCTTTAACTGTGGATGTCCTAAGACTTTTTTCATCCACAGACAATTTTTGTCTTGTTTTGATCCTCTTCAAAAGGTGGTTGGTAATCAGCTATAGGATTCTGATGAGTACTCTTAAGTGAAGGTCAGTGATAACTTTGGACAGTGTTCCATTAAAGTAGAGAGGAATAAAACCTTCCAGGACTCTCACAGAAAGCTAATATATCCATAAGGACTGTTGGTCCAATATCAGGCAAAACAAGAGTTAATAGCATGGACAAAACTGATAAAAGACCAAAATAATCTTTTAATAATTTTATTGCTTTAAACATTGATGAGCCTTTCTGCTTTATTTTTCAGAGTCAAGAACATTTTTCTTTTGACCTATTCATAGCTTTTAGCAATTAAGTAAGGTGTATACTCCTCTGAGCAAACTTTGGAGCACATTTCTTTTTCCCTACCTGATTTCTCCAGAATTTGGAAACGATTTGTGAGTATTCTTAACTTACGGCAATATATTTATCTGTATAAGTGCAATAAGAATCTGTTTCTTTTGTAGCAGGACACAGTTGGAGACACTGGTTATTTTACTTAAGGTGTTGACTGGAATGGCATGCTTTCAAATATGAATACACTGCTTTAAGGAATCAAAGTTGACTTACATAAACTATAAAAGCCCCTTGGGAAGCTGGCCTCATACCTTGTCTATGCAGTTACTGTATGGGTTCCTGATTTGTGGTAAATAAAAAATATCTCATTCTGACAGGCCCAGAAACCTCAAGTCATTCTGTGACCTCAAGAAGAGAGGAATTCACCCAACTCTTACAAATACAATTATTTGAAGGCACAGGTAAATCTGTGGCTGGACTCAGGGCTTTAAAATGTCTAATATGGGATTCCTTATAGAACAAAGTTTCATCAAAGCCAAATCAAACAAAGCCTACATGGCAAATAATTATTCTTCTTGCACTTTATACAAATAATCAGGCCAAGTATAACAATAAAACTAAAACTTATTTTGCAAACAAATCAGTCCTGCCATGATTTGTGTTTGGTAAAAATGGGAGTCTAAAGAGAGAACAATTATATTTCCAAAAAACTAGAATACACCTGTTGTTAGATTCTAGTCTTGTTTGTTGTTTGTGAGATTTTATCATTTTTTATGCAATTTAAACTGACAAGTCCCCAAACTAATGTCTTCAAATTTATCTTCTCTTTTTCCAACTAAACTAAATAAAATTATTACTATCTTTTCTTGAGGCTCTGTAAGCTAAAGCTTATTCCTTGTGAGACAGGTGAGAAAAATGTGTCAGACTGCCACCACCTTCCGCCTCTATAACTAAAGATGTTTTGAGACTAACATATGGATAGATTGTGTCACCATGAATCTTTGTTTTTCTTCTGTTCTCATAAAAATGTCTTTTATTGAAAATCTGTTTTGCTTTGTATTTCATATATCAGAAGACTGGTTTTCCAGTCTATTTACTAGATTCCAAATGGCATCTACACTTCTTATAAGCATTGTTCAACTGGACTTAAACATTTAATTATCACTAGGTGTTATTGGATTTTCCTGTTAAATAATTATTTGTTATGTTCAAGGGGGTTCAAATAGTTAAAGTTTATGTTTTCCTGACTAAAACTCTTCCAGAAAAATATGCCCAAGGGTATTTTCCCAAGGGTTCTAGCCTGTGCCACTGTGGGAAAGACCAAGTCTCTATAAATTATTACATCAGGTAGTGAGAGATTTCTGTATCTCCAGAGCAGATAGGCGTGACAGTCCCTGTTCAGAATGAAATCGTTATAGATGGTGAAACCTCTGTCCTTTTCCAATCCCTTAAGATTAAGGGGGTGTATTTAATCTCTGAGGTGGGGATGAGATAAGAGTTTGGCAGGACTGCTTTCACAAGGTACAGGTCACAAAGATCCTACTGGTAAAAGAGGTTGTGGTAAAGAAGCTGGTCAAAATTCCCCAAAACCAAGAAGGCAAAGAAAGCAACCTTTGGTTGTCCTCACTGCTCATTATACACTACCACCAGCACCATGACAGTTTACAACTGCCATGGAAATGCCTGGAAGTTACCCTGTATAGTCTGAATAGGGGTGGAACCCTGAGTTCTAAATTCCTGGGCCCTGTCCTGGAAAACTCATGAATAATCCATCCCTTGTTTAGCATATGATCAATAAATAACCATAAAAGTAGGCAACTAGGAGCACTCGGGGCTGCTCTGCCTGTAGGTAGTCACCCTTTTATTCCTTCCTTTTCTTAATAAACTTGCGTCCATTTTACTCTGTCAGGTTGCTCTCAAATTCCTTCCTGCATGAAGCCAAGAACTCATGAGGTCTCCCAGGCTGAACCCCAATTTTGGGGTTCTCCCTGTGACCCAGATTTTCTAAAGTCTTAGCACTATCTCTTGTACATAAGTCCAATAACGTGTGCTGACTGGTTGATATCTGAAAAGATTCTAAAAAAGACATTATTATTTAATTGATTAAAAATATAGCTGTGCACACTCATGTGCCTAAAAGTCATACTCTAAACATATTATAAACACAGTTTGAGAAATCGAAGTATTCATTTTCAGCATATGCATTTCATGTTTCAAAAATTTGAATGAATAAATGTAAAGCATTGTTAAATTAAGTATAGTTGTTATTTAGCCAGGATACTTTCTTCTTTTCAGAGTCAGACTGAAAGATGGGAAATTAATTTGTTTGGATCCTGAGGCTACATGGGTGATGACTAACTATTATCAAAGAGATTATGGACAGGTATAATTAATGCCAAAAATTATCATATTCACTTTCTTTTTCTCTTTCTTTTCTTTTAATTAAGGATATATTTATAATATATACAGACTCTGTTTTAGGTTAGAATAAAATTAAAATAAGATTAGAATAAGTCCCTTCCAGAGAATCCAAAGAGTAGTCCCAAGAACAGCGTCAACTGGGAACTTCATAGAAATGCAAATTCTCAGGTCTCACCTCAGAGCTATTCAATCATAGATCGTGGGGTTGAGCCAAAAAGTCAGTGTTCTAAGAAGCCCTCAAGATGACTCTAGTGCACTCTCAAGTTTAAAACCATTATCAGTCCACACCTTCCACTTAACATGATATCCAGGTTGAACTGTGTTTAAAATATCCCCACTGAAGATGTAAACATGAAAGTATCTGAGACAGGTCTTCATCAATTTAGAAGTTTATTTTGCCAAGGTTAATGTCACTCATCTGTGGGACAGGTCCGTGCATTTTTCCAAAGATGATTTTGAGGGCTTTAATGTTTAAAGGCGAGAGAGCCTGGAGGGGTCAGAGAGAAGGCACGGTCACATTACTGACCCCACATATTGCAAGAGAAAAGTAGCAGTTACGGAAATAGTCAACTTTGTATTGGTCTGATGCTCTTTATAAGATAAAGTAAACATAGAGTAGCTACCCATGGTGGTATTTAACTTTTTATTTGTACCTTTCTGCTTAGGAACAAAAGGAAAGGCAGCTTCTTGCATGACTCACCTTTCAGCTTAATTTTCTTTTCTTTTGGCAGAGTAAATTGGGGTCCCAAGATTTCATTTTCCATTCACATTTTCCCCTCTTTTTACAATTTTTCTGAGAAAGCATTTTGGAAGAAAATTAGTATCTAATCTTGGGTTTTGTCTGATCTCTCGTTGCTAGGATGATTTATTCCTAGACAAATAGGCCCAACATTGTTAGAAAAGCTCATTTTCAGCAGTTTTTGAAGTCTCACGTCCTACAAATAAAAAATAGGAGGAGGGAGGAAAAAAGAAACAACAAACAAACATAAAAAAGAAAACAATCTTGGAAAACTGATATAGGCCATACTACTTTGAAACCCATACATCAGTAGACAGGTATGAAAGCAATTTATGTATACAAATAGGTTGTTGATATTTTCTTCTGAGGTTTAAGTTGTCTAGTTTCAGTTCACAGGGCTTTAAGAGAAGCACAGTGATTTCAAATCAGGAAAAATCAGAAAAAAAGGAAAAGAAGGAAAAAATTGAAAACATTATTTTGGAGATTCACAGACAGGAAATATTTTAGAATTATGTCCAAATAACAGGTGCACTGTATATTACTCTGAAACATGGTTTTACTCTAATTCCCCAATTTTACTAAAGATAAAATCATAGTAGGAACAATGTATTGCAAAATAAGGTTTAGTCTTATTATACTTGGCCTGATTATTTGCATAAAATGCAGGAAGAATAATTATTTGCCACATAGGCTCTTTTAAGATAGGCTTTTATGAATCTTCGTTCCATAAGGAATCTTAGACTAGATTTTTTAAGCCTGGAGTCCAGCTATGGATTTATCTGTCCCTGCAAACATCTGTATGAATTGGATGAAATTCCTCTTCTTTCAAGGACCCAAGATAATTTGGGGCTCCAGGACCTTTCATAAAGTGACGTTGTTTACTTACTACAGGTCAGGAATCCTGTACAGGGATTGCACAGACAATGTATGAGGCCAGTTTGCCAAGGGGCTATTACTGGTTCTGTAAATAAACTTTGATTCCTTAAAGGAGTGTATTCATAGTTGAAAGCCTCTCATTCCAGTCAATGCATTTGTAAAAATTACTAGTGTCTCCAATTTTGTCCTAAAACAGATTCTTGTTGTATTTATGCTGATAGCTATATTGCCTTAAGAATACTCTAATAGTTTCCAAATTCTGGAGCAATCATGTAGAGAGAAAGAAACGTGCTCCAAATTTTGCTCATAGGAATATATCTTACTCAATTGCTGAAATCTATGTATACCTCAAAAGAAAAAAAGTTTTACTGACTCTGAAAAAGAAAGCATAAAGGATCAGCAACATTTTAGGCAAAAACAAAAAAAATCACAAAATGATTATTTAGGTTGTTTTAATCACTTTAGTCCATGTTACTAACTTTTGTTTGGCCTGATATTTGACCACCAGTCCTTATGAATGTATTAGCTTTCTATGAAGTCCTGAAAGTGTTTTTTTTCTCTATTCCAACGGCACAATCTCTAAATTCATTAGAAACCTATATTTAAGGTACTTCTCAGAGCTCTATAGCTGATTATAAACTGCCACATAAAAGTATCAAAGTGAAACAACAATAGTGGATGACCAAAGTCTTAGAACAATCATGACTGAAGACACAATTTACAAGAAAATTTGATTATTTCTGTGACATAAAACAAATTTGCATAATAATTGTAATTACTACTTATAACATATACTAAAGACATATGAGAATCACAGGAATCTCAATTTTGAAAAACATACAATAACACATTTATAGAAATAGAAATCAGAGGATGTTAAGCACCATTTTATATGTGACAATGCTCCCTGCATGATTTTATTACACCAAATAAGCTAAATATATCTCCTTTGGACTTTGGACTTCAGGGGCCCTAACATCAAAAAGTTGGCAGTGAAATGGTGAGTAAAATGTTTTCTTTTTCAAAACTCATATCAATAGAGGCAGAAAAAGTGAGTGGCTAGATAACTACTACTAAGTTTCATGTTGTTTCAATCCTTTTTACCAATATACAAAATATAATGGTTTTAAAATTTGGCTGCATTAGTTAGCATTCTTCCTATTGGAATTTTCATGGGACCTGATAAGAGTGTTTATCTTGAGAAAGCCCTCTGGGGAACTCTGTATTCAATGCTGTCCCAGGAAGACAGTAGCACCCCAGGTTCTTAGGACAGAAACAAAATTGTCACATCAAAGAAAGTATTAAGGACTATAATACCAGAGGAAGAAAAATGGGAAAGGAGGCAGAAATAAATGAAAGCTCATAATAGGAGAATGCCTAACCACACTGGCCAATTGCTGTGCACAAATCAGTTCTTGACCTCACAAAGGGGCTGTTTTGAGTGTTTGCTTTCTTCTTCTGCAGAAATTGTGAAACCAACTCAAACCAAGAAATTGGAGTTGTTGTGTTTAAAGTAGAGAAATAAATCACCCCAACAGCAGGGCATCAGCCTCTGACTTCTCTTCCTCTGCTATGCTTAAAATTAAAACCTGGAATCTGGATCCATCGGCTCTAAAGCTGAAGAGTCTACTATACCACATCCAGGACCTCATGTTCACCTGTGAAGAGGTTAGTACTACTACTGACATTTTTGTCCTTCACATTAAAAGTGATAAATCTTTCCTTTTTTAGTGTAAGTTAGTTGGAATTGTTGCTGTTGCTTTAAAAAATTCCCTAAAAAATGAAGCCAGATCACATGGAGAGGAAATAACAAATCAAATGTTGAGACTGGGGACTAACCCCTTGGCAGCCAGACAGGAATTTGGTTCAAAACTTGAGAGCTCACACACAAAAAAAACAGTCTTCTCATTTTATAGATGGGACTGTGAAGGCTCAGAGACCATCGCAGAGTTGTCAAATATCACAAAACTATTTTATTATGAAAATGGGTTAGAATTCAGTTTTCTGATATTTAATATAGGGTGATTTTCATTAAAGTAGATTATTTTCAGACTGCTGAGGAGTGTTGGCTTGTATCTTGGTCATAAGATTAGCTTTGTAAAATTTGTATAACCAATCTCAGGGTACTAATTAATAACTAGCAACCATTCATGTTATGAGCCACTTTATGATAGTCTAAAGATAATATTGTGCATTTTTAGATAATATTGTGCATATTTAGCCAACTAACTAAAATTATTTAGATAACTTTAAAGATAATATTGTGCATATTTAGCCAAATAACTAAAGTATAAAATGTGTTCAGCCACTTTATGTAGCCTGCTGAGTTACTCTGTCAGTTACCTGTTGTCTCCCCAAAATGCAGTGAGTTAAAATAAACCACCATTTTATTCTGGTTCATGTCTCTAAGGGTCATTAATTTGGGCTATGTGGTACTACAACTTGGGCTGGGCTCAGTTGGTTGGTTCTTCTGATGGTGTCTCTTTGGGTCACTCATGGGGTATAGTTAGTCTCCTGGTGACTGAGTGGGCCTTTCTCATTCATGTGTCTGGTTGGTGGCTGGGCCTAGTGCCTTTAGCAGGTGAGCTTGGCTGTCTTCATATGGTGGCAGAAGCATTCCAAGAGGGCAGGAGTAGAAGCTCCTAGGCTCCTTGCCTTTTTGACCTGGAACATCTACAACATCACTTTTATCACATCCTATTGGCCAAAGCAAGTCATACGGTCAACATAGAATCAAGGGGCCTGGAAAATAGATTCTACCTTTTAAAATGAGGAGCTGCTAGGAATGTTTGACTATTTTAAATTATTCACCATTCTGATATTCTGATAGTTCTATATCTTGTTTATAAGTTAGAAATACCCTTTGTAAAGTTTCTGGATAACAAACAAAAATTCATAGAGCAATGTTGACACAAAGCACAGTACAATAAACAATTGTTATGATTATAGCACATTGGATCTCAGTGTAAGTAAATATTTTATATAATAAAACATATTTATGTACTTTCTTTTTATCATCATAATGCCGTATGCATTGATAGCACAACATTTTATTACCTTTATTTGGTACGGAGGGAAAATGAGATTCAAGGAAATCAAGGTTGTCTCTGAATAATACTTATAGCTTATTTGCAGCTTTTTGATTTGCACAAAGGCGAAGTTGTGATCAGTCAATTAAATGTTTTCAGGTTATTAATACATCTCATTTTAAAATTGAAATAGCTTTTCTCCCCTTCCTTAACATACTTAGATCTTCTTTGTGCCACTTTATGCATTTCTCTGTCTCAAATGCATATCAGCCTTTTTTTTTTTTAAAGTGATGAGTTTTCTTTTACCTTTTCACCAGTTCAATGTTATGTGCCCTATAAGGTCTCCCCTGACTGCCATGGGGAAAGTCTTCCTTCCTCATAGCCTCCATAATGTCTCTGGTATACAACTATTATAACACAGATCACCTTCTAGTTTAACGTGTTTACATGTCTGTCTCTTAAAATAGACTGTGAACATCTCAAAAGCAGAAACTCAATTGTTATTATCTTCAAATACTTAGTGTCAAGCAAGGGCCCTGGCAGGTAATAGATGCTCAATGAGAATTAGCAAAAGAAAGATGTTATTATTTGGGCAAGTTTTGCTTTCAGAGTGTATCAACTCTCCAGTAATCACCAGTTCTTCAGTTAAATGCTGTTTTGAGTTGAATTATACCTCAAATTTATACATTGAAATCCTAACTCCCAATACTCCAGAATGTGATCTTGTTTGGACACAGGATCCTTAAAGAGGTAATCCAGTTAAATGAGGTTATTATGGTGAGCCCCTAATTCAATATGGCCTGTAACTTTATCAAAAGAGAAAATTTGGAGACAGATATGCATACAAGGAAAACACCATGTAAACATAAAGATGACCATCTACTAAGCAGGTAGACATACCTGGAACAACTTCTTCTCTCATAGTCCTCAGAAAGAAACAACCTGTCAAACCTTGATTTTGGACTTCCAAGCTCCAGAACCTTAAGATAAAAAAAAATTCTGTTGTTTAAACCATCTAGTCTATGATACTTTGTTATGGTAGCCCTAGAAAACCAATTAAAATGTTTTGTTGTTTGATTTTTTTAATGCAAAAATTAAAATGTGGTCACTATGGGATAAGTAAGGTCACTTATGAAACTGCTTAAGAAACAAAATCACAGCTCATAGGTCACTCTTAATTAATTAAACTTCAAGCCCATGGAAACAGCTGTCTTGAAACAACAAGTAAATGGTAGTTTGCAGTTTTTGACAGGAAAAAAGTCATAGTCTGAACTTGAATTCTCTGCAGCATATCTAAGCTGTACATATACTTTTAGTTTGACAAATTCTATTAATAGTTTAAATGGGATTATGCAAATAGGTACAAAATACAAAAGCAAGTACTCTCTGAGGAAGTGTGTCTTAATTCCCTGCTTTGTACAAACATGTCATTGGTAAAGTTGCATAGATATTCTCAAGACTCCATTTTGTAAGTCACCATTAACCACAACTGGCATTGACTCCTTCTCAATTATGCAGTTTCACCCCCAGGACGTAATAGACTCGTTTCTCTATTCAACAAACTCATCTCATCATGTCCCTAAAACCCCAATTAAAACAATGATTGAAAAACAAACTCAGTGTCTTTATTGGCTTATAAGTGACAAGCAAGCTACTTGATAAACTGTAACTTTTGTTCTTTAGTGGGGAGAGAGTAGGAGGAGAGCAATAAACCATTCTCAGGGTTGTAGAGAGCACATGCAGGTGGGCTGCAGTATTGATTCCACCATTTAGACCAGGATCAAGATCAAGTACAGACATGGGTATTCAGAACTCACCAGCACTCCTCCTGATGGCTGTCATTGTGTTTGGCACATTTGGTAAGCCAGCTATGGCTCTTATCTTTTCCTTCTAGGCACTGGAAAAACTCAGAAAAGTTTCCAGATGTAAAGAGATTGTATTTAGAATTAATCAAAGTGTATAAACTGTGAAATTAAAATGTAAGTAGACCTATATAGTATTTAGATTGTGGAGTGTCAAATAACTTTTTGTTGAATCAAATGAAAATATCTGTTTAACTTCCTAGAAATATCTGGCTCTAAGAGTCTATACTTTTCTTATTAGAGATGATAGAAAGAACATTACTAAAAATAAGTTTCATATAAAATATCTCATCTTAGGAAAAGTAAGAAAAGGAAAGAAAGACTAACCCTATTAGTATGTATATACATACACTCAAACTGCAGTTGGATTAATGTTATATATATTTATATTAGTATGGATTTGCAAAAGTTAGTATAAGCTATGAGTCTTTACAACAAAGCACTGTTAAATGTATACTTTGTATATGTTTTCTGTCAGTTACATAGGTACTACCAAAATGTATGATGTATTTTCCTTCATATAAACATTCATCAATCAAATATTTATTGATATTAATTAATAATCTTGTTATATATCTGACCCTGTGCAGAATCCTTATCATCTAGAAATTACAAAGATAAGAGCTTTAGGTCTAAGTTAAGATCTTTTTGCAGAAAATATACTCCATTTTCACACAGAAACTAAAGATTTTTCAGTAAGGGAAAGGGATCAAAAAAGGGGAGGAGAAGTGAGAAGGGCTAGAAGACAGAAGAGAGGAGAGAAGGAAGAGAGGAGGAGGGAGTTGGAGGGGCTTATGTTGTCTTTTTTTTCTTTCTAATTTGTTACTGCTTTCCTTTTCCTTCTTTTCTCTCTCCTTCTCTTATCTTTTCTCCTTCCTTCCCACCATGCCTTATTTCTGTTTATTCATGGAAGTAAAATAATTGTACTTAAAAAAGAGGCGGAGAAGGACCCAAGTACCCCAGGGGAAATCTCAGCCAACAGCCAACACCAACCACCTCCCATGTGAATGAGGCCATTTTTTATTTTTAACCATTTCAGTTGCTTCCGACTGCGCTCACTGAAGTGAGCTTAACCGAAGAACCTCACATTAACATGCAGATATATCAGAAATAATATATTTATTTTAAGCCACAGAAAGTAAGGTTGACTTATTACAAATAAAAGAGGATTAATGGTACTTGGTAACAATTGAATGTGTTTGCAGGCTCTAGAACAACATTATGCTAGAATTTCCTCAAATGAATGAGTATGTAGAGAAACTGTGTACCTTTCATACATTTGAGATTCAATAAATGGCATTTATCAACATAATTTAAAGTATAAATTCTGAAGCCTGCAAAACTTTGAAGTACTTGTATGTAATAGTACCCAGAAAGATACTTCCCCCTCAACTCCTTCACCCTCCCCACTCTCCTCCCACTTTCAGCCCATGCTTCACCTGTGGGCAGTAGACAGTAAAACCTCAATTAACTTGAGTGCCAGAGTAATTGACATCTGAACAATTCTTATCAACTAACAGTTACACAGAAAGCACGTTTGGTTTCAGCACTTATAGAAAATCTTTTGCTGGTTAATATTTTAATTTATTGATTAAGATACTTTAACAAACTTATAGAAAATTGTACTATCCCTAAGCATTTTCTGAAGCAATTGTTTTTGTGATTAATTTGCATTTGCAGGTGGCAGTCTATTTCCTTCATACTTGAAAGGATTTGGGAAAAGTGTGTTAAGAATGTGCTGTGTGAGGCAGAAAAGAGCTAGTCTATGTCTGAATTTTATGAATAGTGGTCCTGCAGTGTCTCTAGATAATTTTGTTTTAAAATAGCTAACATAAGATGTGCTTTAGGTCTTAGATAACTTGCTTGTTTCCTGAATGACTCTGCATTTATATGACTTAAAGCGAAAAGAGATAAAATAACTTACCTCCTGCAATATACACACATACACAAAGCCACAGTGACAATGCAAGATTTATAAAAAGGCTGTGAAGTTATTTTAAAACCAAAAAACCTGACTTTTTTTCTACTTCTAGCATTTATTTAAATCATAATTTTGTATAAGCTAATTGCTTTCAACTGAATTACTCATTTAAAAAATATCTTTTAACCATTTTTGTACAGTTTATCACTGTGTGTATAGTGTTTCTGATCTTGGAAATTGAAGGGAATGATGCAAATGATAGTAATAGCAGTTAACAGTAGCAGTTGTCATCATTGTCGTAATAGTAGAGTATGACTCATAGCCCATTACTTTGCACAAAGTTTTTAGGCCTCGCTTTTAAAAAAGAAATAGTTAAAATGACTAAGTCATGCAAAGAAGCGAACTTCATAAAGCCTGGCACATAATTGATGCTTAATCAATATTTTTTGAGTTAATGAAAATTAGCAAAAAGTTGTTTTATATTAAAAGCTGACTAATAGGCTTATACAATTTTGATGACTCATGAAATTTGTTACTACTTCCTCATGACCCTTGCTGATGATGTGTCTTTTGTGACAAGCCACATTTGCTGATTAAGGCAATTACTCAAAGATACTGTGATCCATGCCTACCTCTTTCCTACTGTCAACTCACTCAAAAACATCATTACTTCAGGAGACTTTTCCTGTAGTTTCCTCAAAAGGATTAGGAACTTTTTGGAAATCTTACTAATGAACGAGGAAAGAAATCTGCATAGGGTTAGTATGGAAAGAAAAAAAGTGTCCAGTGAAGCTAATAAATATTCTCAACAATGTGTTTAAGGGGTTGAACAGAAAATGAAAGATACTATGAATAGTGCTAAAGACCTTTATATCTTGCTCTGGAGATAGCTTTGATTTTATGATTGAATGAAAATGTATCTGACTTGAGAATTCACAATATCTCAATCTCAATAACAAGAAAAGGTTGTAAAGTCATCCTGCAGGAGGAGCTAGAAAGAAGCCTGTTCTCCTCATTCTGTGTCCTGCTGAGCTTCTCTTTGCTATTGACTCCATATCTCAGCTCTCAGAAGAAGCCAAACTCTCAGCTTGTGCCCTTCTTTTAAGCTTGCTTAAGACTAGACAGTTCTGTGTTGAGATGGGAAGAAAAATTATTTTAGTTCAATATTTTCTACTGCTAAACTCTAATTTATAAGAAAAAATTAAGTAGGGTGGAAAAAATAAGAAATACATTTATCTACTGAAATTATTTCTGTGGAGGCATAAATAATTTTAGAAAAGTTTATTGAAAGCCAAATGGGAAGACAGACCTGGAAAGACACATCAACAAAGTTGGGGGTGTTCTAGAGTCTTTCATAAGCTAAAAGGGCTTTATGGGAAAGTTTAGAAGAAGAGAGGAAGGCTCCTCATACCAGAGTTGTCCTCTTTTTCATCGGAGGATAAAATAAAGGAGTTACAATCATTAGATTACTACATACAGGCTAAATGTCTACGTGCAAAACAATCAGAAAACTTCTTGTTTCAGTGTAACTTAGAAATAAATCATGGTCCTATTCAGTGTCATCAGGTTCTACATTAATCAGTACGTCAACAATCTGAGGAACTCATAATAAAATGCTTTACTCAGAGATAGAATGTCAACATCAAGTCACCAAACCTTTCCAAGGTGGGTTAATTTGGAAGTCTGCTTACTTATAATGTAAACTGTAAAATGTGACCTGTAGGTTATCACACTTAAAAACAGTTCCAAATAACTTCAGTAGGCATAGTGAATAATTGTTCAACAATAAGAAAAATTGGCTTGAAAACTAAAAAAAAAAAAAAAAACAAAAGAGAGAATGAGTTTTGTTTGTAGTTTCTTGATAAAATTATAAAATTTATTTCTAAGGCAGAAAGAATTCAGTAAGCTAAAATCCAAAGTAAGCCTCTGATGATAATTGGCTCTTATTTTATCCATACGGTCCCAAAGAACATCTGCTGTCTTTGGCGCAGGGCCATATATTTGTGGTTTCAGGTGCCCCTAAAGTGTCTATAGGAGCCTATAAACAAAGCCTATAAACTGTGTTGTAGGAAAGACAGCACATATTGTTACAGGCTCATACAAAGAAAATATATGTAGTGTTTCAGTCTAGTTCTTACCTTCCTAAGTAGAGTCCTTACACATGTGTAAGGGAGATAGGTATTGAGAAAGGGAGAGTGGGAATGTGAAGTGATGCATAACATGCAACTTAGTAGGAATTTTGACCTGTGTTGGGCACAGCTTGACAAGCTTGTGTGTGTGTATCACCACATACCCTCACTTCCCCCTTCCCTACCTCTTTCTCCTTACTGACTTCAAGGGAGAGCATATAAATGACATCAAGGGGTATGAAAAGCCACTTAACTGCAGACTTGTAGGCAGCAACTCACCCTCAAGAGGAAGTCTTCAGGCTCTAGAAACATCTTTAACTTCGGCTTCTGCACCATAAGCCTCAGACTCAATGCCACCCTGCAGCTGTGCCAGATCACTTTGTGCCCTGCAGGTGCTGCTGTTGACTGTTCTGGGTTCCTCCACCAATGGACAAACTAAGAGAAACATAGGGAAAAGGAAATGTAGAGATCTGTTCCTTGCACCTGTTGCTGCTTCTGCTATACCTGTATCTGGGAGAAAGACTGGCTTGGTGCTCCTGGGGCTGGAGAGTGCCATTATAACAACAAATCCAAGTGGAGGGGTCACAGAGAGGGGGCACTTCACATTTGCTGGGCATTCTGCTGGGCACTTTACTAAAGCTTTACAGATCATATTCACAATGGCTTTATGAGAGAGGTACAATTACCTTCAATTTACAATTGAGAGAACTGAGAAAAATATTCACGACCACTAATAGATCACTTTTTACCCCAGCTGTAAGTGTAGACAGTGACTTGTACACTGAACTGCGCTGCGTGTATGTGAAGTCAACCTTTGTACTTCATCCCAGAAACATCCACAATTTGGAGTTGGTCTCAGCAGGACCCCATTGCAGCAAAGACGAAGTAATGTAAGCCACTGCTTCTGTGCTATCGCCTCATCAGGGAAGCCCTCTACCTCCATCCCCATCTGCATTCATTTCCTCCAGTCTCACAGATCCTTTCTGATATTCAGGCCAGGACACCCACAGATAATTCTATTCTCTCTTGCAGAGCCACTCTGTAAGATGGGAGAAAAAATCTGCCTGGACCCAGATGCTCCCAGAATCAATAAAATTGTACAGAAAATGTTGAAAGTTGATGAATTCATCTGGTTAATTTGTTAACTTTCTGCTAACGCTTTTCACTGGAAGGGGAGGATTTTGAAGTCTTGACTTTCTCAGATTCTTATTTATCCAGGATACTTATTCTTACTGTATTAAAATTTTGATCTAAGTTCTATTCTGTTTCAAAAATCTCATTTTATTCTGAGAATGCTGGATAAAAGATAACAGAAAGAAGGTGAAAATAAGCAAGCCATGCTTCAATATATAATATATGTTTTACCCCCAATCCTTGGCTAAACATTGTAGTGCACTTTCCCTTTATTTATTTGAAAATTTCTATTGAAACACATCTTTGTTGATTTTTCCAACCCCACTCTACTGTAAGACTAGACATGCTGATGATAATAAACAGATTTAATAATGGTTAATGATATTAGGAATCACACAGAGCCCAGCGCAAAATACTTGCTCAATAAATTTTTGTTAGTATGTTCAGGAACTTAATAGGGTCTTTTAGTGTCTTAGTGCTATTATGTCTTGCTTAAAACATCTTCTGAAAGTTTCTTCTGATGTTTGTTTTAGCCTTCAAACCCTAAAAATAATAAAGTTGTAGAATGTAAGTCTTGTGAACTCTGCTTTTTTACTTTAAAGTGTATATATTTACCCCTGGTAGAATAAAAAATAGATGATGGAAATGAATTAATGTATCCCATTAAAAAACCTGTGATATTTTTTGAAACAAGAAAGAAAGAAAGGAAAAAAAATTCTTGAGGTTAAATGTTTTACCCTGACATGTTTGTATATATTAGCATTTAGTTAACATCTACATGGTTACAATTCTAGCATTAGTATTGACCTTGTAAGTAAGTACAATGTAGAACTTAACCTTTACTAGACTACTAATTCTTTTTTTAATCAACAAAATTTCCATTCATTTCTTAACCCCTAAAATTTATACCTACAAAATTTTCATTAACAAAATTAATTTTGTTACTACAAAAGTATTAACATAAGAATAACAATTTCTATTTATTTGTTGTTATATATTATTAATTTGAACATAATTGCTGTGGATAAAAGCTTTACTTCTTCCCTTCTCGTTTTGTTTCACACTTTGGTATTTCACAATATGGCCAACAAAATTCACAAGTTATGATCTGTATCATTCTTTATATAGCATGATAATAGTTCAAATTTATTAATCACTTTTAATATGCCAAGCATATAAAGTGTTTTGCATGCAGGAATAAACAATTTTATGAGATAGTTATGACCCAGCTAAAAGCACATCCTCTCCAGTCAGAATAATGGGCTAACCTGGCTCCACCACTTGCAAGTTCCGCAACAGCTATTGGGTTGGATGCAGATGCTCAAAAATGCAGTACTTAATAATAGGACTACATTCTGAGAAATGCCTCATTAGGTGATTTTGTCATTGTTCGAACACCGTAGTATGCACTTACATAAATCTAGATGGTATAACCTATTGTACACCTAGTGTAGTATAGGGGACATTACAGATACAACTAATGATGTTTACAGCCAAAGTAATCACACAGACTATGGTACTCCATGCACCCAGAATCAAAGCCAAAGTACTTGACCCACCAAACACCATAAATACATCTTCAGAAAAAAGTTATCCCCTACTAAAGAAAATTCCAAAATAGGAAAATTTCCTTTTATACCACATACCCAGAAATCAATATAAGGATACAGGAAACATAAAAAAGCAAGAAAATATAACACCTCAAAAGGAAAACATTAATTCTCTAGCATATATCTTGATCAAAAAGAAATTTTCAAAGTTCCAAATAAGGAATTCAAAATATTGATTTTTTAAGGATACTCAGTGATATTTTCGAGAATTCTGAAAGACAATAGAAATAAATTTTTAAAAATCAGAATGCAAATGATAAATTTACTGAAAAGGTAGATATTTTTAATACAAACCAAATAAAAAGCTTAGAACTTAAGAATTCATTAAAGGAAATATAAAATACGTTTAAAAGTGTCAATAATAGGCTAGCTCAAGCAGAAGAAAAAATGTTAAAATTTGAAGACAGGCCTTTTGAAATAATTCAGTTAGATAAAAATAAAGAAAACATAATAAAGAAAGAGCAAAGGCTTTGTGATATTTGAGACAATATAAAATGAAAAAATAAACAAATTATCAGTATACCTGAGGGTGAAGAAACAAAGAAAAGATTAGAAAATCTATTCAATGCAAAAATAGATGAAAATTTCCAAATCTAGCAAGAGATTTAGACATTCAGATTCAGGTGGTTCAATGTGCCCAGACAGATAAAATGCAAACAGGTTTTCCCTATGGGTGTCTAAAGTCAAAGTTAAAAACAAATTCTAGAAACAGCAAGAGAAAAGTGTTCAGCTACCTATAAAGAAAACCCCATCAGACTAACAGTGGATTTCTCAACATAATACTTCCACATCAGAAGAGAATGGGAAGATATACTCAAAATGTTGGAGGAAAAAATCTTCCACCCAAGAATACTACATCTAGCAAAATTTTCCTTTATAAATGAAGGTGAGATAAAGTCATTCACAGAGAAACAAATGCTGAAGGATTTCATTACCACTAGACTAGCTCTGAAAGAAATACTCAAAGGAATTCTAAAGCTAGAAGTGAAAGGGTGACATTTACCATCATGAAAACACACTAAACTATAAAACTCACTGGTGAAGCAATCATACACAAGAGGAAGGGAAAGGATGCAAATGATAACACTACAGAAATCCACCAATCCACAAGAGAAAACTATAAGACAAAAAGAAAGGAACAAAGAATATATAAAACAAGCAAAAAATAGTTAACAATATGACAGGAACATAGCCTCATATATCAATAACAACCTTGAACATAAATGGATTAAATTCTGCTCTTAAAATATATAGAATGGCAGAATAAATTTAAAAAACATGATTCAGCTATATACTGCTTACGTGAAACTCACCTTGCCAGTAAAGCCACATACAGACTGAAAGTAAAGAGATAGAAAAGCATATTACACGCAAGTGAAAACCAAAATCAAGCAGAAGTAGCTATACTTATATAACAGAGACTTTAAGTGAAGAACAGTAAAAAAGACAGAGAAGATTATTATTATTATTTTTGAATTCTGTTTATTTGTACAAACATAATGTAGTATTTATCTATATAAACGTGTTCCATTTTATTATAGTCTCTGAGGGTCCTAAAGAACAAACACTTAAAAAATGTTTGGACAGTTTGTTATCTATAGTCACTCAACTCAAATGTAAATAATTGCCATTTGTTTGGGTGCTTAAATAGCACTTAATTTTGATTGGTAATGAATAACTCAATACTTAGTTAATTGTGTATCCACTGGCAATTCTGAACTTTCATTGGTCTGTGGTTTTTTTTTTATTATTATTATACTTTAAGTTCTAGGGTACATGTGCACAACGTGCAGGTTTGTTGCATAGGTATACATGTGCCGTGTTGGTTTGCTGCACTCATTAACTCATCATTTACATTAGGTATTTCTCCTAATGCTATCCCTCCCCCCTCCCCCTACCCCACGACAGGCCCTGGTGTGTGATGTTCCGCTCCCTGTGTCCAAGTGTTCTCATTGTTCAATTCCCACCTATGAGTGAGAACATGCAGTGTTTGGTTTTCTGTCCTTGCAATAGTTTGCTGAGAATGATGGTTTCCAGCTTCATCCATGTCGCTGCAAAGGACATGAACTCATCCTTTTTTATGACTGCATAGTAGTACTCCATGGTTTATATGTGCCACATTTTCTTAATCCAGTCTATCATTGATGGACATTTAGGTTGGTTCCAAGTCTTTGCTATTGTGTGAATAGTCCTGCAATAAACATACGTGTGCATGTGTCTGTATAGTAGCATGATTTATAATCTTTTGGGTATATACCTAGTAATGGGATGGCTGGGTCAAATGGTATTTCTAGTTCTAGATTCTTGAGGAATTGCCACACTGTCTTCCACAATGGTTGAACTAGTTTACACTCCCACCAACAGTGTAAAAGCATTCCTATTTCTCCACATCCTCTCCAGCACCTGTTGTTTCCTGACTTTTTAATGATCGCCGTTCTAACTGGTGTGAGATGGTATCTCATTGTGGTTTTGATTTGCATTTCTCTGATGGCCAGTGATGATGAGCATTTTTTCATGTGTCTGTTGGCTGCATAAATGTCTTCTTTTGAGAAGTGTCTGTTCATATGCTTTGTCCACTTTTTGATGGGGTTGTTTGATTTTTTTCTTGTAAATTTGTTTAAGTTCACTGTGGATTCTGGATATTAGCCCTTTGTCAGATGGGTAGATTGCAAAAATTTTCTCCGATTCTGTAGGTTTCCTATTCACTCTGATGGCAGTTTCAACAAAGAAGATTACTATACAATGACAAAGGGATCAATCCAGCAAGAGAATGTAACAATTCTTACTATATATGCATCCGGTACTGGAGCACTCAGCTACACAAAGCAAATATTACTAGATCAAAACAAAGAAAGACTGCAATACAATAAAGTAGGGGACGTCAACACCCTTTCCCAGCATTAAACAGATCATCTTGATGAAAATAAACAAGGAAACATTGGGTTTAAACTGGACTTTAGACCAAATAGACCTAAGAGACATTAATGGAACATTTTATCCAGTAACAGCAGAATATATCTTCTTTCTATAAAATCATGGACTATTATCCAGAATAGAACATATGTAAGGCCACAAAACAAGTCTCAACAAATTTTTAAAAATCAAAATTATATTAAGAATGTTCTCAAATCAAAATGAAATAAAATGAAAAATCAATACCAACAGGAACACTGGAAATAATAGAAAATCATGGAAATTAAAGAACATGCTCTTGAATGATGATTGGGAGAAGAAAGGAATTAAAATGGAAATTTAAAAATTCCTTAAAAAGAAGAAAATGGAAATACAACATACTAAAACCTGTGGGATACACAGTGCTAAGAGGGAAGATTACAGGAATAAAAGCCTACATTAATAGGAGAATAATCACAAACTAACAATCTAGCAATGCACCTGTAGGAACCAGAAAATCAAGAACAAACCAAAGCCAAATATAATAGAAGAAAACAAATAAAGATCAGAGCAGAACTAAAGGTAATAGGGACAAAAAAATACAAAGGATCAACAAAAGAGTTGGTTATTAAAAAAGATAAACAAAATTGAAAATCCCTAACTGATTAACCAAGAAGAGAGAAGAGAAAATCTGAATAAACAAAATTAGAAATGAAAAAGGAGATATTGCAACTGATACCATAGAAATACAAAAGATAATCACAGAGTATTATGAATAACTATAGACCGACCATCAGGGAAACCTATAGGAAATGAATAAATTCTTGGAAACACACAACCTACCAAGACTGAATCGGGAAGGAATAGAAAATACAAACAGACCAAAAATGAGTAGCTAGATTGAATCAGTAATAAAAAGTATCCCCAAAAAGGAAAACCCAGAACCAGATGGATAAACAGCCAAATTCTACCAAATGTACAAAGGAGAACTAATACCAATCCACTTGAAACTATTCCAAATACTTAAAGAGGAGGAAATTACCCATATTCTATGAAGCCGGCATTACTCTGACAATAAAACCAGACAAGGATACAACATAAAAAGAAAACTACAAGCCAATATACCCGATGAACAGAGATGTCAAATCCTCAACAAAACACTAGCAAACTGAATAAAACAGTACATCAAAAAGATAATACACTATAATCAGGTGAGATTCATACCAGGGATGCCAAAATGGTTTGATATACACAAATCAATAAATGTGATATATTACTTCAACAGAATGAAGTATAAAAACGATATGATAATCTCAATGAGTGCAGAAAAATCATTTGATAAAATGAAGTGTCCTATCATGATAAATACTGTTTACAAATATGCATAGAAGAAACATACCTTAAAATAACAAAAGCCATATATGACAAACTCAGAGCCAACATAATGCTGAATGGAGAAAAAGAGAATGCCTTTTCTCTAAGATCTAAAACAAGACAAAGATGACCATTTTCGTTACTCCTCTTCAACATAGTAATGTAAGCCCCACCCAGGGGAATCAGGCAAGAGAAATAAATAAAAGCCATCCAGATTGGAAAAGAGGAAGTCAAATTGTCCCTCTTTACAGATGATATGGTCTTATATGTAGAAAAACCTAATGACTACAACAAAAAAAGCCTTAGATGTGATAAATGAACTCAGTAAAATTATAGGATTCAAAATCAATGTACAAAAATTAGTAGCCTTCTATACACAAATACTGATCTAGCTAAGAATGAAATAAAGATGGCAATCCCATTTACGATAGTTATCAACAACAGCAACAAAATTAAAGTACCTAGGAATAAATTTAACCAAGGAGGTGAAAGTTCTTGACAAGGAAATCTATAGAACACTGATGAAATAAATTGAAGATGACAGAAACAAATGGAAAGACACTTTATATGCTTATGGATCAGAAGTATTAATATTATTTAAATGACCATGTTGCCCCAAAAAATCTACAGATTCAAAGCAATACTGATGCCATTCTTCACAGAACTTAAAAAATTACTAAAACGTATATGGAATGAAAAAAGACCCTCAATACCCTAAGAAATCCTGAACAAAAAGAACAAAGTAGGAGGCATCACATTATCTGACTTCAAAATATATTACCAGGTTATAATAACCAAAACAGCATGGCATTGGCATAAAAATAGACACATTGAGCAATGGAATAGAATAGAGAAGCCAGAAATGAAGCCACATATTTACAGCCTATTGATCATTGACAAAGCTGACAAAAATATACATTTAGGGGAGGATACACTGTTCAATAAATAGTGTTAGGAAAACTGGATGGCCACATGCAGAAAAATGAAACTGGACCCCTATCTCTCACCATATACAAAAAAACTACACAAAATTAATTAAAGACTTAAATATAAGAGCTGAAACTATAAAAATACTAGAAGAAAATCTAGGCAAAACTCTCCTGTACATTGGTTTAGGCAAATAATTTATGACTAAGATTCAAAAGCACAGGCAACAAAAATAAAATAAACACACTGCACTTACTTGAAATAAATGCTTCTGCACAGCAAAAGAAATACTCAACAGAGAGAAGAAGCAACCTGCCAAATGGAAGAAAATATTTGTGAATTATTCTTCCAAAAGGTACCAATAACCAGAATATTCAAGCAACTAAAACAACTCAACAGGACAAAAATGAAAAAAACTCCACAAATAATCCCATTAAAAAGTGGGCAAAAGAGATGACAGAAATTTCTCAAAAGAAGACATAAATGGCCAACAGGTATGTGAGAATATGTTCAACATCACTAATCATCAGAGAAATGCAAATAAAGCTCACGATGAGGTATAATCTTACCCCAGTCAGAATGGCTATTATTAAAAAAGACAAAAAAATGACAATGTTGGTGAGGATGCAGAGAAAAGAGAACTTTTTTTTTTTTTGAGATGGAGCCTTGCTCTGTCACCCAGGCTGGAGTGCACTGGCGCGATCTCGGCTTACTGCAAGCTCCGCCTCTCAGGTTTCCGCCGTTCTCCTGCCTCAGCCTCCCAAGTAGCTGGGACTGCAGGCGCCTGCCACCACGCCCGGCTGATTTTTTGTATTTTTAGTAGAGACGGGGTTTCACCATGTTAGCCGGGATGGTCTCCATCTCCTGACCTCATGATCCGCCTGCCTCAGCCTCCCAAAGTGCTGGGACTACAGGCGTCAGCCACCATACCTGGCCGAGAACTTTTATACACTGTTCTTGGGAATGTAAACTAGTACAGCCACTATGGAAATGTCTCACAACACTAAAAATAGGATTACCATTTGATCCAGCAACCCCACTTCTGTGTATCTACCAAAAGGAAAATAATATATCAAATGAATACCAGCACTTACGTATTTATTACAGGACTATTCACAATAGCAAAGATGTGGAATCAACCTAATTGTCCATCAATGGAAGAATGGATAAAGCAAGTATGTATATATACAACTGGAATACTATTCAGCCGTAAAAAGAATGAAATTATGTCATTTACAACAACATGGGTGGAATGTGAGGTCATTGTCTTAAGTGAAATGAGCTAGACACTAAAAAACAAACATCACATGTTCTAACTTATATGTGGAAGCTAACAATTTGAACACATGGAGGCAGAGAGAGGAAAAATAGATAAGAGACTGAGAAGGGTAAAAGGGAGGGAAGGGAAAGGATGAAGAAAAGTGAGTTAAAGGGTATAAATGTACAGTAGGATAAATGGAATAAATTTAATGTTTGATAGCAGCATAGGATGACTGTACTTAATAAAAATGTATTGTACTCTGGTGATGGACATTCTGAATATCCTGATGTGATCACTATGCATTACATACATGTAACAAAATTTCTCATGCACCCCATAAGTTTACAGAAATTAAAAATCCCACAGTTTGTCAACCAGTGTGTCTATAAGATTATAAAACATACAGGACATGTGGTGATGGACAGCCTGTTTTAATTGTCTTCCTAGTAAAGGAAAGAAGAAAAGTAAATACATCTTGGATGTAAATGTTCCAAATATTTATTTCTTCACTGAGTCAGACACAACATGGGGATTATATCATTATCCAGAGGCCGTAATTAGAGGCAATAAAAACTGAAAGTAGAGCGGACAACAAGCAGAGTTGGAAAAAATCCGTTTTACCTATCAGCTGTGTTGGAAAATCAGTCTTTTTTTCAATCTAAGGATGACTATAGAAACTACTAGGAAACAAGGCATAAAGAAATTTGTACTTATGTCCATCAGAATACCTATTAAGTTGCACTGTGATTATTCATTTATCTGACTGTTTTTCTACTTTAAAACAGGGAGTAAGTGTCAAGCTTTTTTCATCTCTTCATTCCGGATCTCAGAAAAATGCCAGGTAGAGTAGGTGCTAAATAAATGTTTGTCAAATATTTATTACATGAAGAGGAATAATACCGCAGTTAGTGCTGTAATGTAACAGCGCAGGTGGGTACTGAGGATAAGGCACCCAGCTAACAGAAAGTTGATTGAACATTAAAGACACCATTTTCCCAACTCCTGATCTTGTTAGGCTCACAGGTCTCACCAAGTTAGTCATAGACATTCCAACGGCCTTATGCTATTTTTCCTGTCAGTGACTTGTTTGATATTTTAATTAGACTCACATTTGAAACTATTAGGGATTCTGTTAAGAACCTGTCCACCCACATGCTCCAGTCATACACAGATACTAATATGAGCACATTAAACATTATTTGATTGAAGACATTTACTTCTATGTATAACATACAGTAGTAATGACACACAACCAAGCTCTTGTTTCCCCATTTTCACTATAATTTCCACCATGTCTAATTGGATCCCGTATTTTTTGTCTTTAACTACTTCAAAAATGTCAATCAATGAACTAGCTCAGTAACACACCAGTAGAGCAACTCTGAAACCAGCATTGTATAGAAGTCTTTACTGAATATAAGGACAGAACCCAGAAGGAAAAAATCAAAACAAAAATATTTCTGACCAAAAAATTGGACAATAAATAACCTTGACAAATACTATGGATTGGCCAAGCGCAATGGCTCATGCCTGTAATCCCAGCACTTTGAGAGGCTGGGGTGGGTGGATCACGAGGTCAGGAGTTCGAGACCAGCCTGACCAGCATGGTGAAACCCTGTCTCTACTAAAAATACAAAAATTAGCTGGGCGTGGTGGCGTGCACCTCTAATCCCAGCTACTCAGGAGGCTGAGGCAGGAGAATCCCTTGAATCTGGGAGGCGGAGTTTACAGTGAGCCAAGATTGCACCACTGCACTCCAGCCTGGGCAACAGAGCAAGAGCAAGACTCTGCATAAAAAAAAAAAAAAAAAGTTATGGTTAGGACACTTAAGATCAAGTTTTTATGATGACTCAAACTTTTCTTAGATGAAATCTGTGTTTTTATGCTATGCATGCTATTTTCATTTGTGGTTTATACATTCATCTTCTAACTTCCTAAATTTTGTTTCCAGAATACTAAAGTCATAAGGATGTTTTAATCTTCAAAACAAACTTCTTATGTAATTATTTCCAAGGGACATTTTCTCATTTCCTTATTCTTTTGCAATTTTGGCAATCCTATGTTTTGTTGTTTTCATAATATATGATCATGATGTTATTTATTTAATGAATCCCACTTCCAGAAAGTTTAGGAAACAATCTTAACAAAATGAAGAGGCAAAACAATTTATAAAAACACTTTTAAATACAAATAATTGCCCATTCTTCCACCCCCCACCCAAGAAAACCGACCAAAGCTAAAATATTGAATGATTCTCAGTGTTACATGAATGATTTTAAGTACTTGCATATTGATCATATCACGAGATTATTATACCAGGAACAGAAAAATAAATGATCTGGCATTACAAAAGAAAGTAGACAGATTAAATGAAGAATTTTGTGTTAGAAGTCGGATTTGATCCAACTTTGTCTCTTCTACTAAACCTATCACTGTGCCTTATATGCATAGATTAATTTTAAGTGTACCGGAAGAAAGAGAAGCTGCCAGACAAGCAGTCTCCAGGAGGCTAAATAGAGAGGACCATGAATTCAGCACGCACCATGGCCTTGGACTGTGGAGGTGGACTGATTCAGGAATCTAATGTCATGTTCACACATCTTCATTCTTCTCTGCTCTGAGCCAGAGTCATTACATTGGAAGAGATGAGTATAGGGAAATAGGGATAGCAATTGTGAGGAAGAAGTTCCTAAATCAGTCTGGGGCAGAGCAGGGTTGCCCTCCTTATTTGAGCATGGTTATTTCTCAGGATGGAGCAGTGCCTAAGTTTAGGCTCCTCCAAAATGCAGAATTTGAGTCATGAGCCTGCCATGCAGGTAATTTATTTGGGGACATATTACCAATGCAGAGGACTTGAAAGCTGGGAAGAACAAACTAGGAAAAGAGGACATGGGCAACTGGAGTTCAATTCTACTGGGGACCCTCTGAGAAATGGTGTAGAATTTCTGCCCAAAACATGCAAAAGAGGGAAACATTTATCCATTGACCCCAGTTCCTCTTGTGAAAGGGATGTTTCCTGGCAGCAACAGAGAAACACTGGGCCACAAAGTGAAAGATACCTGATTCAGCTGAGGCCAGGAGTTTCCAGGTGACATCTGCAGGCAGCTAGTGTTGTAGCAGTGACTGGAGAACAGGTGGCCTAGGAGATGTGAGCACCGAGATTTGACCGTCTGCCAGTTTTGTAAGGTTCCATAATGATTACAGGGCAAATGGAATTTGGCCACCAAAGCTTCCATTTTTAAAGATTCTTCCATTTCTTTAAGAATTTTTGCTTGAATAAGTTTAAAGACTGCATAAAATTCTGGCATTCAACTGTTGAAAAGAAAATAGGCTTGGAGAAACACTTGCTCTAACAAGACAATTTATTTTTGTAGTCAACAGCATTATAAGCTTTGGCTTATGAAGATCTCATTGATACAAGCGGCATGTTAGGGAAAAACACCACCACCACCAACAACAACGAATCCTCTCCTTTATACTTCATTTACAAAAACAAGTGATTCTGATGACATTTTCCTCAGGAGTCAAGTTCTGCATAACCTGCAAATGTCCACGGCCTCTTGACATGTTTCATTTGCATTATTCTCTTGGCACTCTCCTTGTGTTGGGTCTGGAGAGCATGATAGCAAACACTTTCTGATTTTCTTCAGTTATAAGAACTAAATGAGAGATCTGGAAAACATAATGCTGAAGGCAAAGTATTTAACACTATGAAGCATGATGAACTGCCCAAACTGCGGCAACAGATATTTTGAATTTTCATATTTGAGCAAATATGTACTAAATCAAAATTCAATTTCCTGTCTAGAAAGCTAGCAGGTAAAACATGCACATGCCCTGATTTCATTTTGGTGGTATTCTAAATGGATTTAGAAAAATAAACTTAGAAAAAAATGAACTTAATTGGGACAATTTTCAATTTACAAACATTGCAAAGATAATACAGTGTCTGTGTGCCCTTCATCCTTTTTCCCTGACAGTGAACATTTTACAACAGCACGGAACGTCTGTTAAAGCTAATAAACCACCAATGACACGTTACTTTTAACTAAACTCCAGACTAAGTTGTGTTTCACCAGCTTTTCCATTAATATCATCTTTCTGTCCCAGGATCCTATCCAAACTACCACACTGCAATGAGTTGTCACTTCTCCAGTTTCCTCTGGACTGTGATGGTTTTTCAGTCTTTTATTGTTTTCATGACCTTGACAGTTTTGAAGAGTACTGATTAGCTTTAGGAGTCTTCAGTATGAGTTTGAAGAATGTTTTTTATCATAACTAGATTTGGGTGATGAATTTTTGGAAGTGGTACCAAAGAGGCATCCTGCTTATGCCATTCTTATGACATCATATCAAGTGGGTACATGATATCCATATGACATCACACTGAAGACGTTTATCTTCACCATTTTTTTAAAGAAGTAGTTTGTCAGCTTTCTCCATGGAAAAGTGCCTATTTTATTCTTCAGAATTGGGCACCTTAAGGAAAGATAATGAGCTACATCAATGCCACAGGAGAGAGTTATGCTGTTAGTGAAACAAAACTACAAAGATATATTATCGTTTTGATGTATTTTCATTTTAAAATATGTAAATTTAAGCTATTCAACTAGGTCAAGAACAAATACATTTTTAAAAATCCTTCCTCCCCTTAAAGTACTAATTATATATCACAGTGCATTTTTACCATAGTTTAATGGTTAAGAGCCATTTTCTCTGGGTTTGATTTCCAGCCTCAAGGATGTATGAAGTTAAGCAAGTGACTTAATCTCTCTGTACCTCAGTTCCTTTGTTTGTAACCATTAAGTCCCATAAAGATAACAATTAATATCTACTTCACAGTATTGTTTGGAAGATTGAATGAGTCAATATTTGTAAAATGCTTAGAAGAGCATTAAATAAATTCTCTGCCCCTTGTCTCTGGTGCAGAGGTTTAACTTGCCCATAGCATGAAGTTATTAAATAAAAAAGCAGCATGTTCCACATTTACCCAGAATCTTGTAAGCTCTTATCATTTACCTTATGTTTGCTGAAGAAAAACAAGCAAATTTTTAATGACCTCCCATCTATGTGCATCTCCTGGTAAAGTACAGATGTGTCTTCCTTTCTGAAAGCCTTCCTAAATTAAAAACATTTAACTTTTTTGTTTTTTATAAATTCCCAATTGAACTTTATTTTTCATTTATAAGTTTGCAGCATTTATTACAGCTTGAAACTGCAGAAGACATTTGGGACACTATTTTGGCCTCCATTGGGTCAATGTTTTTTCTGTATCTATCCTTTCTTTCAAGGAATTTAAGTAGTCAGGGAGATGTGAGAGAGGAAATTATTGAAAAAGAATGGAGCATATATATTACCTATAGTGTCTATTTTAAAGTAACAGGACATTCTAGCACACCTTTCTATCCCTTGTCCAAGATTATTGTAATGACATCACAGATACCCGTGAGCACCAGTAACTACAAGACCATTTTGGAAACTGGGATTGTGGTGTTTATATGAACATTCTTCTTTCTAGGATGTGCTTTGATTTCTTAAGGACTCACACTGCTTTATATCAGTTAGAGACAGGGAGAGTTGGGTGGCAGTAAGGGATACAGAAAATTTTAAATGTGAAAAACACTGGGGAGTAAAACTTTCCATTAGATTCTTCTTTTTTCCTTTACAGAATTCATAGCAGGCTGAGTTTTTGTTCAGGCAATGTCGGGAAAGAAATAGCCTTTTAAAAATGGAAATAGTCCATTTTATTTATTTAACAACCATTAATAAGGCACTTAATCCATGTTGTCTCTTACAAATGTTAACTCATTTCTCATAACCACCTTGGGCTAGGCACAGAGAGGCTTAACAACTTGCAAGTGATACTCTGCAACTAAATACAGGCAGCACAGTTGCACGCTCTGTGTTTGGTTAGGGGCAAGGACTCTTATCCCTTGAGCTGGGTTGTGTAGAGCCCTGTGCTTCAGGCAGATGCCATTCCTTTCTCCTCTCCTCCATCCTACTCCACGTCTCAAAGAGGTCTGAGACCAACTTGTAGAATCACACTTAAACCCTCTAAAACCTAATGACAAATCAAAATACATTATCTAAAACTAGAAAAAGGGACAAAGGTGTCAGGTTAAAAGACTGAAAATCCAGACGAGAAAAAAAAGTGCCCTGTTAATGTTTCCAGAGAAAGATCCCCCAGTGCTGAATACCAGAAAATTCTATAGTAAATGAAATGTGATTTTATGTGTGATCTGGTGTTTAAATGTCATCAGCAGGCAGCTGTTTGCTCCTTCAGTGGGAATGGTGTTTGCACACCAGGTACCTACTCTCTAGTGTCATTCGCAAAGACAGAACCAGAAACATTGAGCCCATGATCCTGCTGGACCCAGCCCCTCCACAGCTTCAGAGTGACAGCCAGTGTCATATTTCTAGATCAAATCTGAATCCCTCCCACTGGGAGAAGGTCTCCAGGGGATTTAGGAAGTTCCAACATTTCAGAGGGAGGAAGGACGTTATGCAGGATACAAAAGAAGAGGTCATGTTATACAGCCCTGGCTTCCACGGACACTAACACTGAATTCAAATTTTGACACTGATAATCTGTTGCCACCAAATGGAAAACGTAAACAAGGTATTCTAAGTGTGATTAGAGAATATGCAAAACAAGGAACAAGTAGAACATTCTTCTCTGGAATCCGAGACGATGGCTGTACTTTCACAGAGAGCATGATGTTAGATGTACATGAAATAACGCTAAACCGAAAATGAGAGAGGCAGAGACCGGGAGGTTAACATAGAGGATAGACTATATAGAGAGAGGATAGCTGAGGGAAAACTCGCCTGTCTCCGGGTCCCCAGCAAATCTGATAACTAAGGAGACAAAGCTCTCTTCCTCTAAAGAAGTCGTGCCTTTCCTGTCCTGGTTCTCACGGGTCCCCCCAGCTCTTTCCTCCAACCCTACCCCGTACGCGGGGGGTCATCGGGGACCTAAGGTCCCCCCTCACAGGCTGTATCTTCAGCGAGGTGGACTCACTGCCTCTCCAGGAATTTGGGGCAGAAAATGAATATCCCAAAGTCCCAGAGTGCACGGGGGTTACTCTGGAGGGCGAGGCGTAGGCGTCACCAGTGGGCTCCCCCTACCCGTATCCGACTCCACCCCGGGGGCGGGGCCGTCGCCTTCCTTCGGGACTCCGGATCGATCTGGAGCTCCGGGAATTTCCCTGGCCCGGCCGCTCCGGGCTTTCCAGTCTCAACCATGCATAAAAAGGGTTCGCCGATCTTGGGGAGCCACACAGCCCGGGTCGCAGGCACCTCCCCGCCAGCTCTCCCGCTTCTCGCACAGCTTCCCGACGCGTCTGCTGAGCCCCATGGCCCACGCCACGCTCTCCGCCGCCCCCAGCAATCCCCGGCTCCTGCGGGTGGCGCTGCTGCTCCTGCTCCTGGTGGCCGCCAGCCGGCGCGCAGCAGGTGGGTCCCGGCGCCCTGGGGTCCCCGGGCCGGACGCGGCTGGGGTGGGCGCCCCGCGCCGACAGCCCCGCTCAATCAGCGAGTCTATTCTTCCCTAGGAGCGTCCGTGGTCACTGAACTGCGCTGCCAGTGCTTGCAGACACTGCAGGGAATTCACCTCAAGAACATCCAAAGTGTGAATGTAAGGTCCCCCGGACCCCACTGCGCCCAAACCGAAGTCATGTAAGTCCCGCCCCGCGCTTCCGCTGCCACCGCTGGGGTCCCCGACTCTCCCGCTGCCCCAACCCTGTCCCCAGCCCGACCTCCTGTCTCACGGAATTCCCTTCTCTCTGCAGAGCCACACTCAAGAATGGGAAGAAAGCTTGTCTCAACCCCGCATCCCCCATGGTTCAGAAAATCATCGAAAAGATACTGAACAAGTGAGTTGTAATTTCCATATACACAGGCGACTGGAGCCGTTGGTCAGAAATACTGGCATCTGCCCCCTAAAAATAAAATCAGGGAACCCCAAGAGTTAGCTGAAGGACTAGAAATTGTGATTATTATTTTCACAATTAAAGTTGCCATTAAGGTTATTAATCTGCTCTGGTGCCAGAGGATATTTCAGTATTTCAGTGTCTTCCATTTCCAGGCCTAACCCCTGGGAGGGTAAATGTGGGTTTCTAGAATACTAAGTAAATTTGACTAACAATGCCAAAATGCCCCCTGCCTGTTTTGGGACGTTTACCTCAGTCCCTAATGGGCTTCAGACCTGAAAAATGCAATGTCTGGTTTGGGCACTTTGGGCCTGTAAGCCTTCTTGGTGAAGAGCAGAAACTTTGCAGTAACACCTTCAGTGAGTTCAAGGCTAGGATCCCTGTCAACGTTATTTAATCTCTTTGAGCTTTAGCAAAATAGGGTAGATAATGGTAGTTATTTCATAGGGTTGTGTGCAGCTTAAGGGAGATCATGAATGGACATTTCTAACCCAATGTGACAATCAGTGACCAATATGTTTTGGCTTTTTCAAACCAAGAATCTAGTTGAGTCCACAGCCACTTCTTTCTTGAAAAAAAAAAAAAAAGCATTCAGGAGTGCAAGTTTTCTGCTATAGAAGGCAGTGGGTACAGACAGACCTTCCCTGAGTGGAGGGCTGGGAGAGAGTCTGCATGGGGACATCCCTCCAAGCAACTTCAGAGTGACAGAAGAGCAGCCTTCCTTAGCACCTGCAACAGTAACCCTTTTCTCATCACAGGGGGAGCACCAACTGACAGGAGAGAAGTAAGAAGCTTATCAGCGTATCATTGACACTTCCTGCAGGGTGGTCCCTGCCCTTACCAGAGCTGAAAATGAAAAAGAGAACAGCAGCTTTCTAGGGACAGCTGGAAAGGACTTAATGTGTTTGACTATTTCTTACGAGGGTTCTACTTATTTATGTATTTATTTTTGAAAGCTTGTATTTTAATATTTTACATGCTGTTATTTAAAGATGTGAGTGTGTTTCATCAAACATAGCTCAGTCCTGATTATTTAATTGGAATATGATGGGTTTTAAATGTGTCATTAAACTAATATTTAGTGGGAGACCATAATGTGTCAGCCACCTTGATAAATGACAGGGTGGGGAACTGGAGGGTGGGGGGATTGAAATGCAAGCAATTAGTGGATCACTGTTAGGGTAAGGGAATGTATGTACACATCTATTTTTTATACTTTTTTTTTAAAAAAAGAATGTCAGTTGTTATTTATTCAAATTATCTCACATTATGTGTTCAACATTTTTATGCTGAAGTTTCCCTTAGACATTTTATGTCTTGCTTGTAGGGCATAATGCCTTGTTTAATGTCCATTCTGCAGCGTTTCTCTTTCCCTTGGAAAAGAGAATTTATCATTACTGTTACATTTGTACAAATGACATGATAATAAAAGTTTTATGAAAAAAAAGGCTTATGTGGTTTTTCAAAAAATTCTTCTTGACTTTTAGTTCTTCCCAGGCACCCAAGGTGTTATACAGTTAGGCTGCAGGTTCTATCTAAATCTGTGCCTGCTTCTAGCTGTCACTTCCCTTATATTTCTCTTATTCAAAACGGACTATCCGATGCTTTTAGAAAGTACATACTACCCCCCAACCACTTTGATAATTCTAATTTTGTATAACATTTAGCTGTTTTTCACATTGACCAATTTGTTATTCAAAACTAGTTCTTTACAAATTTTTGAATGTTATTGATATTTTAACATGGGCGTCTGCTAGATCTGCTAGATGCTTTTGGTAAACGGTTTCTCAAATACTTATGCAATTCTTTCCCGTTTAACAAGGTTGGGAGCAAAAGGTAGAAAAGTTGATTCTGCCTTAGAACTAAAAAGAATTGTGATATTAAAAAAAATGACCTATTGAGATACTGTAATGTAAAATATATGACAAAAATAGCACAAAAGACAGGTTGGGAGATAAGTGGGTTTAGACTATAACATATCTCTTCAATTGTTAGAGAAAGTATTAAGAAAAAAATTGTAGCAAGAACAAATGTTGTAATTTGTAGGGCAACAACTAAAAGGAAAATGCAAAATTTTGGACTTAATCTAAAAAGGACATAAAATAGTGTAATAGAAAATACCCGACTAATACAAAAGAAGACAGAAATGGAGGAATAAACCAACACATGGATCAAAGGCAGAAGAGACACATCTTTACAGAAGAATTGCTGATAATATGAGTATAGTCTCCTCCTTCCCGAAGGTGAAGCTTAATTCCCCTCTCCAGGTGCGTGTAGCTAGACTTAGTGACTGGCTTCCAAAGAAAAGACTAAGAAAAAGGAAAAAAAAATTACAGTGGAGAAATTTGGCAGACAATCTTAACCAAGTGATCAAGGTTACTGTCACCAATTATGGCATGTGAATATTACGCACCCCCTCATATAATGTGATGGAAGGACACTTCCACTCCATTTATATTCTTCCAGAAAATGCATAACCTTTGTATAATCACAACAAGGACATCATAAAAATCTGAACTGATTTTTATGGTGGTAAAACTGATGGACGTTTTACAAAACTCCTCATAAGTACTCTTCAACCTGTCAAGGTCATGAAAAACAAGACAAAATCAATAAATTGTCACAGATTAAAGGAGACAAAAGTGATATGGGGACTAAATACAATGTGGTATGTTGAATTGGATCCTGGAATAGAAAAAAGGACATTATTGGAAAATTGATGAAATCTGAATAAAGACAAGAGTTTAGTTAACAGCAATGTACCAATGTTAATTTCTTAGTTTTGTCAAATATACTACAAGTATGTAAGATGTCAACATTACGGGACACTGAGCTAAAGGTCAGATATAGAAACTCTCTGTGCCCACACAAATTTTTTGTGAGTCTAAAATTATTCCAAATTTAAAAGTTTATTTTTCAAAAGATAGGACAAATATAATAGCAGATAGTAGACTTAGATACAACTATATTAAGAATTATAGTAAATTTAAGCAGAATAAACACTCCAATTAAAAGTCAAAGATTATCAGACTACATAAATATGACATGTTTATGCTTCTTAAAAGAGACACACTTTAAATTATATCTAGATAGGAGGAACAAATTCTAGTGTTTTATACCACTGTAGGATGCCTATAGTTAAAAGTAATAGTTTCAAACAGCTAGAAGGATATCAAATGTTCCCACACAAATAAATGATAAATATTTGAAATGACGGATATGCTAATTACCCTGATCTCTTCACTATACATTATATATAGAAACATTACTATGTACCCCATCAATATGCACAGTAATTATGTGTCAATTATAAAAATACAATAAAAGTAAAAACAAATTGGGCACCAGGTTGCTTGAAATTAAAAGAATTAATAGTGTTATATCACATACAAATGGGCTGACATGGATATATTACTATATTGAAACCTGACCTGGATATATTAATATATTTATTACTTAACTATTAATATGCTATTCATATAAATTATATTTATTAAAAATTGATATACTAATGAAGGCCTAATTAATATATTATGCCTTAAGGAAAGAAATAGTCTTGGAGATAAAAAAGACTGTTAAAAATAAAAAGGGGTTAACTAAACAAGAGACAAAACATTCCTAAGCTTTTATGAACTTAGAAACACATTATCAAATTATATAAACTATTTGTGAGGCTGAGGTGGGAGAATCAACTGAGCCCATGAGTCTGAAGCTGCAGTGAGCTATGATCATGCCACCGCACTGCAGCCTGGGTGACAGAGCAAGGCCTTGTCTCTAAAGAAAAAAAAAATTCACACACACACATAAAGCAAAATGAAGAGATCAAAAAAGAGCAATAGACAGATATATAATCATAGTTACAGATTCTAACAAACTCTTTCAACACTTAATATGTAAAGCAGCACAAATTTAGTAGCAGTATAGAAGTGTTAAGCAACATAAGCAACCAACTTGGTTTGACTGACATATATTGGCAATTTACCCAGCAATTGCATAAATCACATTTGTCTTTCCAAAGAGAACATAGATGAGTCATAAAAAATGTATCAATACATTTCAAAATGTTAAAACATTACAGAAGACCTTTTCTGATCATCAAAGTTTTTTAGGATGATTTGTAACTGTCTTAGTTGAACTATGTATTCATACACTGTGTGTGATATGTTTGCTGTGGTTTATAACTCATCTCAACTTCCTACATTGTGCTTCCATAATACCAGAGTCATCATGATGACCAATATAATCATCTAGTATGATAAAAATGTTTCCATAGAGATGTTTGCTTATTTCCTGTATTTTTTCTGACATATTCTTTTGTAATTTTGGCATTCCTATATTTCTTGGATTACATGATATGAGCATAATGTAATTTAATTACTCAATACCTTCCACAAAAGTTTAAACAACAATCTCAAGAAAAGGCAAATATAAAGCTTATACTAAAAGCTAATTTTTAAAAGTTTTGGAATGATGTTCACATCTATATATTAGATGGTGTTTGGTGTTATTTCCAATAAAGTTAAATAATTATAGTTTGTTGAAATCATCAGTATGTCTTTACTGCAGAATTAGAAGACTAGCAATGTTGCAGAAGGAAGTGTGCAAGTTAAGAATCAAAGAAGAATTTCATGTTTAAGTTTTGGCTTTATCCACTATCTTTTACAAAACTCACCACAATCCCTTTTGTGTTGTATGCATCTAGTAAATGTCTTTTGAATTTAATATCCACCATTCCTCATTTTCTACACATACATTGAACCTATAGGTTACTCTTGCCTTCCCACTCTCCCTGTGGTAGATAGTCAATAAAGGAATCTGTCCACAAGGGACATGGAAGCACCATGAGACACACGTAAAAGCTGCACAGCTATGGTAACATCCAAACTGACAGAGAAGCAGGATCCTACAGGCACATGGCCTCCCATGTGGAATCCTGATCGCCCCTCCTGCCTCACTTGCTCTCCTCTCCCTGCCCACAGGATGAACTCCATCTACCTGAGTCACTTGCTGCTTCTAGGACTTCCATGGACTTTCCAATCTTCATGCCTTTGATTACTTGGTTGTCTCCTACTGGAGCGTTTTCCATTCCTCAGTGTTGTCCCATCTACTTGGAAAACTCTCCATCCTTTAAAACTCACATAAGTAACGATTTCTTGTAGGAAAACCTCTGTAACACCTCTCAGAAACCCACTCATTAACCCATAAGAGTTGTATGAGATATTCATCCTTACTCCTAATACTTTGTGCATAGTTTGTCATGGTATTTACCAGGCCCTTCTAAAATCTTCTATTTGTACATTCATCTCCTGTATTGTGTTGAGAGTTAGAAGGTAGCAGATTCTATATTAATTGTCTTTGTATCTATGGCACCTAATTTCATTCCTATGTTACAATGCTGGGAAAATGATCAATACAAATGCTGAATCAAATGAAGAGAGGAATTAAATTCAAGTTGAAATGCCCTTCTGGTTAGAAAGATAACTCAAGCAGTCAGTACAGACAGTTAAAAAAACCAACTCAAATTGGCTTACTGAAAATGGGAATTATTTCATTTCCTTATGAAATATATTGGTGTTTTATAAATATTGACACATTCATCATAACAACCCTTTGAAATAGAGAGTAGCATTACTTTATTTGACTGCTGTGTAGATGAGATAAACCTGGATCCTAGAGTCCAAAAATTCTCTTTAATAACCAGTCTCACTGCAGGTCTAACTGCCTTTCTCTGTGCTGGCTTTACTTTATGCAAAGCACTGGCAAAGCTCCAAGCTATAATCCAGCAGGAAGCAAGGGATGATTTTTCCAGCCATTTCCTGCCAAAGTGGTCTCAGGGGATTTTTCTGACTTGGCCAGGCTTATTAGATCACTTGTCCACCTCTGAGTTATCAGGGTGGCTCAGGGTTGAAAGGAATGGCCAATACTACTTTGGGATGTCAGCTCACTTCTGGAGCTTTAGGGTAGAGTCAACCTATCTGAACCACCCAGACTGGAAGGATGGGGAGATGGTTTCCGAAGGAAAGCCAGGATTCTGTTATCAGAAGGTAGAAGGGACTCAAACCAGGCAGAGAGGACAAATGTACTAAAGACTGGGCCAAGTGGATGACATTTTCACTTGATGAAATGTTCTGAAATGACTAAGTGGATGCATCCAGAGATTTAATGCCACCTTCAGACATCTGCATTATAGTAGTAGTAATGGCAACAAAATAGAGTTGAGCCCAGCTCCTCAAGGCACAGTTCCCCAAAGCAAGTTCCCCAAGGCACAATTCCCCAAGGCACAGTTGTAAGGCACAGTTCCCCAAGGCAAGCATGGTTAGAGCAACACTACACTGCCTGCCCATTCCTGCTGTTTCATTTGTACTTAGGATACAGAAGCAACTCTGGATTTTAAAGGCATATTAGATACTGCCAATCAAAGCTGCAGGATACAGTAAATATGTTAGTTCAAAATGGAATTTAGAAACCAATACTTTTATTTTAGCAATGACTCTATTCATTTAAAACTGGAGTTTCCATAAGTTTAATGTTTGGGCATATAGAGCTGCCATTCAGCTCATAAGATGAGTATTTGGCTGGGGGAGGCACTCATTAAAACAAGAAAGGACTGGATTATGTTGGTAGAACATCATTGCTTTCTTAATGTTCTGAAAAATAAATATAGGGCTATTATAAATTGAATTATAAGAACAGATATATTAAAGGTGGGAAAAATCTGTTTTTACACTTCATTACATAAGCAACTAATGTTTATTATGAAAGTCTTGGGCATAGCTATAGGTCATTCTACAAAGCGGATTCTTGAAATATTTTATCCCTTTGGCTACTACTGTAAATTTTTGGAAGGTCTATTTATCCTAAGTATTTGCATAAGCCGTTATTTTGGTTTGATCTGGAAGTCATTATAGCAAATATCTTATTTTTTCTTAAGTTATAAGGAGAGTAAAAGCCTGGACAGCTTCCTATTAATGCTGAAGGAAAAGTATTTTATTTATTAAAACATGATAAAGTGTCCAAACTGGGTCAGCAGAAAACTATAATCCTTATCTCAGCAACTAAGAGCCAACTAAGATGCCTATTTCCACTTCTTGCAAGCTCCTAAGGTACAGTATTAATTTCCACTGACATGATTTTGGAGGTGAAATACATTGACTTGGAATAGTGAACAGATAGATAAATAGATGTAGATTTCATTAACTTTAAGTATATCATGTTAGTGGCACAACAATTCTTGCCATTAGTGAAATAAAACACTGGAAACTTGAGCAATTTCCTATTTTTTAGGAAAGATAAAGTTGAGCTATTTAACCATAAGAATAACAAACCTTAAAAAAATGCTCTCCTAAAGCTCTCAATCACCTATCTCAGAAAAATTTTTTAATTGTGTAGTGGTTAAAGCCATACTGCTTGGAGCTCAAATTCTGAAATATTAGCTGTGAAACAGACAAATTGCATAAATTCCCTGCCCATTCATTTCCTTGTAACTGTATTATGGGGGAAAACCTGGTAACCACTTCCTTGGGTGTTTGAAAGGATTAAGTGCATTTTATATATACATAAAGGACTTTGAACATTGCCTGTTACATCAGAGTTATTTATCATAACTATGTTCACTCATCATCTTGTAAATACATAAAATGTGTCAGTTATACATTGAACAGAATGTTGAAGAAAGAAGAAAATATCTGCTAAAGTTTTTTTCTTGGACTCACCTTAAAAGAACTTAAATAATCTCTTAATCTTTTCTGCACTTAGTAATTTTTCTCCATTAAGTAGGTATGCAGGTGTACATCCATAATTAGAAAATTGAAGCCATATTTTTTATGTTAAAGGAATTGCTGTTGTATTTCTGAGCCACTGATTATTTCAAGAAAACAAAGTATTTCCAACTGAGAATCTCAGAAAAAACAAATAACAAGTTCTCAATTACCAATGAGTTAGTAATATATTTTATAAACTTGAGATTATCTTTCATTTCTTACTTCCTTTTTAAAACAAATTAATTTTCCTTCAAATTTCTGTGTTTTTTTTTTGCCACAAATTTCTGTGGTTTTTTTTTTTACTGATGATCAATAGGTGAAAAACAAAAAGTAAATTCAGAAATTTGGTCATTTATAAATCTTTTATCATAACCAAGATGAGGCATCTTTACTTTTATTCACATTTTGCAGTTAAAATTGCTAAAACTGGAATCAGAAAATAATCCAGTAATTATACTAGACATGAAAAAATTAATTGTTTCCTTTTAAGAAAAAAAAAGCTAAAACAAAAATTTTGTATTACAGGGTTTGGTTAGCCAAAGTTCATTTCCATGTACAATAATTTTTTCCCCAGATCAGTCAGCTGAGGTAATATGGAAAAGTAAATTCTATCATATTTATAAAAATTGTGTGTAGTATTTAATATGTATTGGTGTTTTACCTCTTTGGTACAGATAAAAATTAAAGGCAATAACAGATTATATGTCATCTACCAGTAACTAGTGAGATGGAAATTCCCACCCTGGAGCAGAATACAGGCAGGCTTTTTTTTGTTGCACTTTACTTAATTGGTTTGTAGATATAGTATTGTTTACAAATTGAGGATTTGTGGCAACCCAGTATTGAACAAGTCCATGGGCACCATTTTTACCACAACGTGTGTTCATTTTGTGTCTCTGTGTCACATTTTGGTAACTTGCAACATTTAAAACTTTGTCATTATTATTATATCTGTTATGATAATCTGTGATTGGTAATCCTTGATGTTACTATTGTAATTACTTTTGGGCTTCACTAACTGCACCCAAATAAGACAGTTAATTGATAAATGTCATGGCTATTCAAACTGCTGCAATGACTGGCCCTTCACCATCTCTACATCTCCTTTGGCCTCTCTATTCCCTGAGACACAGCAATATTAAAATTGGGCCAATTAATAACCCTATAAAGGCTTCCAAATTGTTCAAGGAAAAGACAGTGTTGCATATCTCTCACCTTAAACCAAAAGCTAGAAATGTTTAAACTTAACGATGAAGGCATATCAAAAACCAGGATAGGCCAAAAGCTAGGCCCCTTGTGCTAGAATCAGGGAAACACAACAGCATCAAAGGAACAAAATAGAAAAACAAGTAACTGGTTCTAAAATATGGAGATCTATAAATTGTCTAACAAAGAATTCAAAATAACCATCTTATACTAGCTCAATGAGTTCCAATAAAACACAGACAGACAACTAAAAATAATCAGGAAAGCAATATTTGAACAAAATTAGAAGCTCAACAAGGAGAAAGAACCCCCCACAAAGAGCCAAACAGAAACTCTGGAGCTGAAGTATGACTAAAGTGAAAAGTATCATAGAGAGTTTCAATAGCAGACTGTATAAAGCAGAAGAAAGAATCGGTTAACTCAAAAACAGATCATTTGAAATTACCCAGCCAAAAGAACAATAAACAAACAAACAAACAAATAAATAAATAATAAGAAAGACTATGGGACTTATGGGCACTATCCAGCAGACCAGAGCATTATAAAACACACACACACACAAAGTTTTAACAAGTTTAAAAATATTGAAATACTATTAAGTCTATTTTCTGACCATAGTGGAATGAAACTAGAAATCAGTAACGTGAAGAAGATTTTAAAAATTCACAAGTATGTAAAAATTAAGCAACAAAGCCTTGAATAATAAATGGGTAAAAGAATGAAAAGAAGGAAAATAAAAATATCTTGAAGTAAATAAAAATGGAAACAGAACATGCCAAAACTTATAATATGCAGCAAAAGCAAATCGAAGATGAAAATTCTTAATGCAAACACCTGCATTAAGAAAAAACAAAGATCTCAAAAAACAATCTAAAGTTACACTTCTAGAAATTAGTAAAAGAAAACAAAGCTAAAATTAGACAAATGAAGTAGCAAAGATTAGAGCAGAAATAAATGAAACGAAGACTAGAAAATAGTCTTGTAGTTTTATTAATAGACAAGGCCAATAAAACTAAGAGTTGGTGTTTTGAGAAGGTAAATTAAATTGACAAATTTTTAGCTAGCTAAGAAAAATGAGAGAGTACTCAAATAAATAAAATTATAAATAGAGACATTGCAACTGATATCACAAAAATATACAGAATCATAATGGACTGCTATGAACAATTATACACCAAAAATTGAATAACCTAGAAAAAAAATGGATGAATTCCAAGAAACATACAAAGACTAAATTATAAAGAAATAGATCATCTGAATAGGCCAATAACAACTAAAAAGTTTGAATCACTAATCATAAATCTCTCAACAAAGAGAAGCACAGAACCAGATGCCTTCACTGGTAAATTCTACCAACCTTTAAAAAAGAGTAATCCTAATCCTTCTCAAAACTCTACAAAAAATTGAAGAGGATAAAATAATTCTCAAATTGTTTTATGAGGCCAGCATTACTTGGATACCAAAGCAAAAAAGAACACTATAAGAAAAAAAATTCAGGCCAATATTTCTAATAAACATAAATGCAAAAAATCTCAATAAAATATTAGCAAACTGAACTCATCAACACAGTAAAATAATCCTACATTATGATCAAACTGGATTTTTCCCTAAAATGCAAGGATAGTTCTACACATGAAAATCAATAAGCGTGATTCTCCAAATTAATAGAATGAAAGATAAAAATTGTATGATCATCTTAATGGATGCAGAAAAAGAATTTCAGAAAATTCAATATTCTTTCATTACAAAAACTCTCAAATTGGCCAGGCACGATGGCTCACACCTATAATCCCAGCACTTTGGGAGGCCAAGGCGGGCTGATCACAAGGTCAGGAGTTCGAGACCAGCCTGACCAACATGGTGAAACCCTGTCTCTACTAAACAAAAATTAGCTTGGCAAGGTGGCACACACCTGTAATCCCAGCTACTCAGGAGGCTGAGGCAGGAGAATCACTTGAACCCGGGAGGTGGAGATTGCAGTGAGCCGAGATCACACCATTGCACTCCATCCTGGGTGACAGAGTGAGACTCTGTCTAAAAAACAAACAAACACTCTCAAATTAGGTATAGAAGAAATGTTCCACAACATAAAAGCCAGGTATGACAAGCCCACAGGCAACATATTCCCAGTAGTAAAAAGCTGAAAGCTTTTGCTCCAAGATGAGGATGAAAACAAGAATGCCCACTCTTGCAACTACTGTTCAACATAGTTACTTAAAACCCTGATCAGAGCAAGTAGGCAAGAAAAGGAAATAAAATGCATCTAAAGCGGAAAAGATGTTATTTATCTCTGTTTGGAGATGCTGTGATCTTATATAAAGACACCCCTAAATACTCCACCAAAAAACTGTTAGAACTAATAAATGAATTTAATGTAGTTGCAAGTTACAAAATCAACATACAAAAGCAGTTGCATTTTAATACACTAACAACAAAATATGGAAAGAATAGTGTCAAAAATAATAATATACTTAGGAATAAAACCAGGGAGGTGAAAGATCTGTGCCATAAATATTATAAAACAGTGATAAAATAAATTGAAGAAGACATTAATAAATGAAAATCTATCCCCATAGATTAGAAGAATTAACGTTAAAATATCTGTACCACTTAAAATGATCTACAGACTCAATAAAATCTCTACCAAAATTCCAATGGCATTTGTCAAAGAAGTGGGAAAAACAATCCTAAAATTTGTGTATCTTACTCGATTTGAGCTGTTTTAACAAACTGTAAGATGGATGGCTCATAAACAATAGAAGTGTATTTCTCACAGTTCTGGAGACTGGGAAGTCCACGATCAATGCACTGATAGATTCAATGTCTTTCTAAGGGCCTGCTCTCTGGCTTAGATGGTGTCTTTTCACTGAGTTCTCACATGGTGGATGGGGCAAGGCAGCTTTCTAGGGCCTCTTTCATGAGGACATTAATCCAGCTCATGGGGGCTCCAACACTCACAACCTAATCACATTATGAAGGCCCTATTTCCCAAAACTATGGCACTGGTAATTAGGGTCCAATATTTAGGGAGATACAAATATTCAACATATAGCAATATGAAACCACAAAAGACCCCAAACAGTCTTGAACAGGAACAACACTGGAGGCACCACACTTCCTGATTTGAAATTATACTACAAAGTTATAGTAACTAAAGCAATATGGTACTGACATTAAAATAGACACAGAGATTAATGAAACAGAATAAAGAACCCAGAAATAAACTTAAACATATAAAGTTAACTAATTTTTGACAAGGGTGCCATGAACACAAAATAGGGAATGAATAACCTCTTCAATAGATTGTGTTGGAAAAACTGGATATCCACATGCAAAAGAAGGAAATAAGACACTTATCTTACACGATATACGAAAATCCATCAAAATAGATTAAATGCTTAAATGTAAGGCCATAAAACCACAAAACCCCTAAAAGAAACCAGGGACAAAGCTATTTTCATTGGCCTTGGCAACAAATTTTTGGATATATCAAAAGACATACAAATGACCAAAAGGTATATGGAAAGTTGTTCAACATCACAAATCATCAGGGAAATGAAAATCAAAACCACAATGAGATATCACCTCACGCCTGTTAGGATGGCTATAATTTAAAATATGAAAGAAAGTAAGTGTTGGTGAGGATTTGGAGGAAAGGGAACCCTGGCAAATTTTTGAAATGAATGAAAATTGGTACAACCATTATGGAAAACAGTATGGAATTTCCTCAAAATGCTAAAAATTGAACTACCATATGACCCAATAGTTGCACTCTGGGACTTATTCTAAGAAATTTAAAATTGCATCTTGAAGAAATATTTGCACTCTTATGTTCACTGCAGCATTATTCACAATAGCTAAGATATTGAAACAACCTAAATGTTCATCAACAGATCAATAGAGAAAGAAAACATGTAATATGTATACACACACCCACACCCCACACCCTCCACACACACACACACACACACACACAGATATATATATATAAAGTGAAATATTATTCAGCCTTTAAAGAGAGGAAATCCTGCTATTTGTAACAATGCAGATAGACATACAGGATATTATAGGAAATGAAGTAAGTCAGACACAGAAAGACAAATATTGTATGGTCACACTTAACATGTGGAACCTAAAATAGTCAAAATCGTAGAAGCAGAGAGTAGAATTTTGGTTGCCAGGTCCTTGGAGGAGAGGTAAAGGAGGAAACAATAAAAGCATACAAAGTTTTAAGTTCTCGAGATCTACTATATAACCTAGTGCCTGTTGCTAATAATACTGTATTGTATACTTAAAGTTTCCTAAGAGCATAGATCTATGTTAAGTGTTGTTACTCCCACCCCCAACTCCCTCAAAATGATAACAATAAAAAGGGGGCTGGAGGAAACTTTGGGAGATGATAGTGATGTTTTTGGCCCTGGTGGTATGTTGGTTTTACATGTCTATACTTATCCCCAAACTCACTGAGTTGTATACTTAAATATGTATAGCTGTTCACATGTCAATAATATCTCAATAAAGTGGTTTAAATAAACAAAAAATGGTCACAAAAGTGATGCAATATAATTTTATTAATAACAATGATACTGATATATCTGAGAATAAGGCTGAAAAATGGTTAAGACACAAGGCAGTGCAATTGAAGTTTCAAAACACTCTACACAAGCAGCCTAGGGACCCTCATGGCATAGGCAATGTGAATTTTCTGTTAGCAGATTGTTGCAAATTCAGCTCTTTTCCCCCTCAGCTTCCTAATTTAAGGAATGAGGAATCACATTGTGCCTAAAATTCTTCTGTGGCAATAACTGTCCTTGATTCTCTATTACACACTTTCATTAAAACGCCAAATAGAGTGGCTGTATCACCCAGACAGACATAAAATTTTGCAGTAAGGTATTCATGACTGAGGTTGGGTCTTTTTCTGAGAAAAAATAAAATTTGGTATGAGGAAATGCTAGAAGGAAAATGGAGACATTTGGAAAAGGTAGGTAGGTGAAGAGGAAAATTCCCCTCGCTCACAGATTAATCATGGACCAGCCCTGCCTATTGACTTCTGTGGCCACTGCTCTTGGTTTCACTATAATACCCAGGGTTTCACCCCTAAAAGCACATGGCCAGTTAGCTATGACCTATCTAGTATTGGAATAAAAATGATAAGCATTTCAAAGGCAAACAGACTTCACACATTTCTTGGCCTGGGTGGAGCAAGAAATTAGGGAGATAGAATAAACAGGTGTGGCTTTGCATTGTGTTTTATATTAACTGAACCTACAGGAAATAAGTTCCTTAAGGAATAATGCCTTTCTTTATAGTAATTCCCAGAATAGCGTTCTGGAAAATATTACTCTTGGAGAAGTTATTTCATTTTCTCTTTATGAGCTCAAAAGGAGCATACAATTAGTATTTCTAAGAGTTCATCTCTGGTGCTTTTGCCTATTTCACCTCTTCCACACATTCAACTGCCATTAAAACAGATAATTTTGTTTTTATAGGAACATCAAAAGAAGAAGAGATCTGGGGTAATCCCTAGAAAATTTTAGGTACTGTTTATTAATCTGTGCTTTTAAAGGGAACACCAAACAGTATATTTTCTTTCAAGTTAATACTGTCTTGTTACATGATTAAGATGGCAAAATGACCATGAGAAACCAAGGTAAATAAGGCGTGAGACAGATAATAGGAAAAGATCTTCATGTTCCAGGATGTCAGACTTGCTATAGAAATTCCCGTTTTTGTGTGTTCCCTTACTTATTTTTCACTTTACAATATTCTATTGCTTAAAAACACAGGATTTAATTTTTTTTAATTTTAAGTTCCAGGATAGATATGCAGAATGTGCAGGCTTGTTACATAGGTATACGTGTGCCATGGTGGTTTGCTGCACCTATCAACTCGTCATCTAGGTTTTAAGCCCTCATGCATTAGGTATTTGTCCTAATGCTCTTCCTCCCCTTGCCTCCCACCCCCCGACAGGCCCCACTGTGTGTTGTTCCCCTCCCAAAACACAGAAGTTTTAAACAAAATTAACAAAAATCACGTTTCCACAATTTGAGAGCCAAATTTATTTCTGTGAGGACTATCAATATGATAAACAGAAGAGCCAGCTTTGCATTTACCATATTTTCAAAGAGGCAGTAAATATCTTTCTTAGAATTTCCCTACCCAAAGTCCATTTAATCTAACATCAAATATGGCTGTGGCCCTCATAGATCTTTTAAGCCTTTAAGAATGTATTGTGGCCGGGCACGGTGGCTCACACCTGTAATTACAGCACTTTGGGAGGCCGAGATGGGTGGACCACGAAGTCAAGAGATCGAGACTATCCTGGTCAACGTGGTGAAGCCCCGCCTCTATTAAAAAAATACGAAAAAAAAAAAAACCAAAATTAGCTGAGCATGGTGGCGCATGCCTGTAATCCCAGCTACTTGGGAGGCTGAGGCAGGAAAATCGCTTGAACCAGGGAGTCGGAGGTTGCAGTGAGCTGAGATCATGCCACTGCACTCCAGCCTGGTGACAGAGCGAGACTCCGTCTCAAAAAAAAAAAAAAAAATGTATTGTAAGGATGGAGGTATGAAAGTAAATTTTGCAACGGAAGTGTGGTGATGGTTATCATAACTGCCACCACAACAACAAAGAGTTATGTATCTGCTGTTGAATCCATAGAAGTCCTGGGGAAAATTCCCAGCCTCACAAGGAAGTTAGCGAAAGCTTCAACAGGAATGGAAAGCGTAGAAAGTACCAAGACAGGATATGGATACCGCCACGCATAGAGTGAGAACATAACTCCTTTTTCAACTAGAAAGAAACAGGTGCCAGTTTCTAAGCTATTAAATTATGACATACAAAGAATAGATTGATGTTATCTGTGGATGCAATAATAGGTGTCCTGGTCATGGAACTTAAAAATTACTGGGACTTCATCTCTCTCCCTGGCCTTGAATATTTTCTTCCATTCACCTATTATTAGTTAATCACACTTTTATTTTGGAAGCCCCTGGGAAATAGATGACAAAGATGACAAATTAAGGGGTATATGTCATGAATGTAAGCTTAAAGCCTTTGCAAGCCCCCCCACCCCCCACCCTGGCCCCCAGTAATGGGCCATCTCAATTGGCTAGGCAAACACGTTTAGAGTCAATTTCCTAAGAGGACTCTGCTCCCAGTCTTCCAGCAGCTGGCCCATTGCTAAGTTGTATTTTCAATTTGGTTAGGCCAAATACATGGTCATGGAGAACTGATTACTTCCTCCTCAACTTACCCTGCCCTGTGACACACAAGTGTCTTCATTCCTGGAATATTTCTGCTGTGCTGAAATAGTCCTTCATTATCTTCCTCATTTCAACAAGGCGTTTAGATGTTATTTAATTTATAGTGTTAAGAAAAAAATTCTTAAATTTGGAAATAAGGTACTGCATAACTTTATAGAGCCATATTAAAGTATTATCTAACAGGCCCACATAAATTAAATCTCTCTCTAGGGGGTATAACTCTGTTTGATTTTCTATTTATTACTGATCATGTTCAGCCTCTGTAAAGTTAGATGTTAAGTTACAGAGGACTGATCATTATAAATTGTTTTCATCCACTAGTGATTCAAATTACTTCTGTGCCATAGAAAAGATAACTTCAAATGTTACAATTTTATTATCCTGTAGGATGTGAATCAGTTTTTATCTAGCTTTGCAATTTTGTTCCAGTATTCTTTTATCCACTGATTATTATCTCTATATATCTTATATCTACATGCTCACACGTACACACAGACACATCTCCTCTCTTCCTTTGAACTAGCTTTCATCATCCCTCTAGTCTCCTCATTAGTGGGTTGATTAAATCTTTGACACTTTCTCACTACATATCAGAATCATGATTTTAACTTTTTTTGTAAAAAAACAGCATATTTGATAATAACAAGAATCTATAACTTGAGTTACTTATCCTTTCTGAGGATTTAACATCTCTCTACTCTTACTATTCTTTAGGACTTTCTCTCTACTCTCTGAGGCTAAATTCCATCCCTGTTCCCAGAAATATCATTTGATTCCATGTTCAAGGCAACTACATTTTATTTATAATAAAATCTAAAATAGTATACAATTCCCAAGAAAACAGGTATAAGTTAGGGACTGAACGGGAGATCCTACTTTAACACTGAAGAAATCAAGGTCTCATCACAGTTAAAAGTATCACCCAATATATAGCCTAATGCTCACTTACAAAGAAATTACAGTATACTTGGAGTGGGAGGCTATGCATAAAACTTTTAGTAAAATCAGATAATAAAAACATAGTGTGGGAAGCAGGATTTACACAGCTATACCAATATCCTAAATGGATGCAGAAACATAATTTAAGAAAGGCATAGCATATGAGAAGGTACTGTTACTATTGTCTTTGATGCACTTTCCTTCTGGTGGCCATACCTTGTTTTCCCTCTAAGGAAAAACATTTTCTTCCGCTCTCAGTCTACGTGCTTTCTGAAAAGTTGAATTTGCTCCAGGCACATGACTTGGGTCTAGCCAATCAGACTATCACATTCCCCTGATCACAGTGATTGACTCAGGGATATATTGGGAGCTTATTGGAAAAAAGAAGCATTTTACCGGTAAATTCACTAGAGTGAATTCAAGACAATATGGGGACTGAAGTCACATCCTGCAGCTACATGGAACCTGAGAATGGAGCCAGCACTAGAGGTAAAGCCAAGAAAACAGGGTTTGGTGACTGACAATGCTTGGTTCCTAGTTAAATAGCTAATAAGCTAATTAGCTATTTAACTGACTATTATGGTTTTATAATTTGTTCAGCTTCATATGAGACAAACTGTAAAGCTGCACTAGTCAATTAAATAGCTAATTAATTACCTTTTCTCATGAGACTAGTATTATGTTAGGGTTCTGACACTTGAAACAGAAAACTAATCACTGATGGAGTAAAAAAGCCTGGAAACTGTGATTAAAAGAGCTTCATAGGGGAAAAAAGTATCCTCAATCAGAGATAAGATGCCAATTTGTTAGTTCTGACATAATTTCTAAATTTCCCATACATTTTCAGAAGAAAAAAAAATAAGGCTCTTTCTACCATGGTTCTCAGGAAGGCTTGGACTTCTAAAGCTCTTTTCAAGAAATAATCGAATTTAGAATAATATCAGATTTCCTGAGCTTAGCACTTCACTTAAAACTTATAAATAAAAGCATTTGTTTATTTAACAGAATTATTAAAAGTGAATAAGCATCATGGAAAACATCACTGTGTTCAAATATAATGTTAGCAACCCTACAGAATTTTCATGGGCAAAGTTAGGTGTGGTCATGCTACAAAATGTGACATTATAAAATTACCTTGCTCCAAATGTCAATTCCCGTACCTTTCTTCTTTCTTTCCTCCTTCCCTCAAAAAAATGCTTTGAGTGCTTAAATGACAGCCAGCAATTTAATCAGAAACTATGAATAAAACGAAAAGCAAGCAGACATACTCCTCTGCCCTCATGGGGCTTCCAGTCTAATGAGAGAGTCAGACAATAACTAATAATCCCTCTCTCTCTCTCTCTCTCTCTCTATATATATATATATAAAAATATATATATATAAAAATATATATATAAAATATATATATAAATATATATATAAATATATATATAAATATATATATAAATATATATATAAATATATATATAAATATATATAAAAATATATATATAAATATATATAAATATATATATAAATATATATAATATATATATAAATATATATAAATATATATATAAATATATATAATATATATATAAATATATATATATAACACTGTAAAAGTGTTACAAGTTGGGTATGTTGTACTACTAGCACACAGAGAAACAAAAGTTTACGAGATAATACTTATCCTTGTTAGCTGTAACCCACTCACATTTTCTATTCCATTCTATTTCCCTTTTAAAAAAGTTCTGCTCATAACTCTCTAAATCTATTTCATAACCTACTTCCATAGTGGTATTTGACTCACTCAGAAAAGTCAGAGAATACTTCTCTAAGGAAGCGATGATTGAGTTGAGGTAAAAAATGACTAAGAGTTAATTAGATGAAAGAAGGAACAGCTAAACAGAGGATACAGCAAGTGCAAAACTTGGGCACGGAAGGAAGTAGATGTGTACTTGAGACTGAAGAAAGGCCAGTTTGTGGCAGCAGTGCCGACAGCTAGGAGGAGCCTGGTACCTGATGAGAATGAGAGACAGGATGGCCAAAGCCAGGCAGGGTCTGGCAAGACATGTTAAGAATAGTTGTCTGAGAACAATGAGATAACATTGAAGATTATGTGTGTTAATTGTGCCAAAAAATAGGTGTAAAAATAGTTGCAGCCAGAAAAGTTAGAAGGTTACTGAATTAATCCAGGAAAGGGAAAACTATACCCTGGGTTTCAGTATATGGCTGTGGTTATGAAAAGAACTGTATTCTCAACATTAAAAATTAATTCCTATTATAACCCAATAGAATGACTTATAATACCAATTACCTAATACATGTCAGTCTCTGCATAATCAATCAACTAAGGAAGCTGATTGAAATTGATTCCTGGGCCCTGATCTTGAAGAGTTTGATACAATGGGTCTGTGGTGGAGCTCTGGTATATGTATGTATTTTAAAGCTCCATGGGGATTCTGATATGCAAAAGGAATAGGAAACTATTAGGAGGCTGATCTCCTTCCTTTTTACTATATTCATTTCCCCTAGTGACCTAACCCAATTCTTTCTAAATACTATCCATGTGATAGTGACTCTCATGTTTATATAATGTAAGCCCAAACTTCTCTGCTGAATTACACATTCCTATATCCAACTGTTTATATCTTTAATTGGGTAATCTAATAGAAATGTCTAACATTAACATGTCCAAAATAAAATTTAAATTCCCAGCCATTTCTCATCTAAGCTTCTTTCCCTTGAGTTTCCCTATCTCAGTGATGGCAAATTCATGCTTCCACTGAGGCTAATCTCAGAGTCATCCTTACCAAAGCATGTATGTTGTGCTTCACACCCAATTCACCAGTAAGTCCTGTCAGCTATACCGTTCAAAGACACCCCCAACTGTAAAACTTCTCACCAGCCCTATGGTTTCATTCTAGACTGAGGCAACATCATCTTGCAATTGAATTGTTTTAACAGTTCTCTGCTCTCTCTCTCTCTCTTTTTTTTTCTTTTTGAGACAGAGTCTCTCTCTGTCACCCAGGCTGGAATGCAGTGATGCGATCTCAGCCCACTGCAACCTTCGCCACCCAGGTTCAAGTGATTCTCATGCCTCAGCCTCCTGAGTAGCTGGGACTACAGGCATGCACCACCACATCCAGCTAATTTTTGTATTTTTAGTAGATGTGGGGTTTCACCATGTTGCTAGGCTGGTCTCGAACTCCTGACCTCAGGCGATCAGCCCGCCTCAGTCTCCAAAAGTGATGGAATTACAGGTGTGCACCACTACACTCGGGCTACTCTGTCCTCTCTTTATCTTTCTCTGCTTTCCTTTTTTCTATTTTTTCACACAGCATATGAAAAACTTTCAAAGAGAAAGAAAAATCATTTTACTCTTTTGTTAAAAATCCCCCAAATGGCATTTTATGTCACTTAAAGAAAACCGAAAGTTCTCATCACACCCTGTAAGGCACAACCCTCCAATATTACAGTCCCTGACTACTTGTTAATACCGCTCAGCCACATTGCTACTTAAATATACCAAGCAAACTCCTGCCTTGGAATATTTGAACCTGTTTTTCTCTATGCCTGGAATATTTTTTTTCCAGAGCTGCATAATTTTTCCTTTACTTCTTTAAGGGTTTTGCTCAAATATCATTGTGTTAGAGTCTTTCTCAGATCACTCTATATAAAATACATATGTAAACCTATATACATCCACACACACAATCTTTTTTTTCTTATTTGTCAATTGTCAGCTCTAATAAAATAATTACTCATCAAGAGAAAATCTTTGGCTTATAGCTATATCTTCAGTGTCTTTAGCATTGCTGGGTATTAGTAGAAACTCAAAAAAAGTTTTGAGGAATGATTGAATGGTATACAGAGAAAGGAGATGGTGGACGAGCTTGGCACAGAGAACCAGATGGGTGGCAGGATGCTGGAAAGTGCACAGTGGCTTCTCTGACATGTCTGCTTGTCATTGGAAAAAGATCAAATTCCCATCCCTCTTCTTGGTAGGTGAAGCTGTGGACATGCAAAGCCAACCTTAGGAGAAGCAATGAAGAATAGCAGGCAGTGGTTACCTGTATGGGCTCTGCTGTCAGATGGCCTGGTTTTGAATTCCAGCTCCATCAATTTCCTGCGTGACTTCAGCCAAGTCACTCAACCTCTCTTAAACTCTATAATCTTATCCAGAAAAATGGGCAAAAATAGCTGTTGGGAGGATTAGGTAAATATAATTCATAAAACACACTTGGAACAAAGTAGTTGTCATGAAATATTAGTTGTTATTATATATGATAAGGTGCAGTGGGCTAGTGTGGAATTATGAGAGAAAAAGAAAAAAAGAGATTTAGAAAACTCAAGACATTGAGCTTATTCTGCCACAAATGTTTAGATAAGGAAGAGCTTTCTTGTCTGTTAAAATACTTATTTAGAGTAAAGGGCAAGTACAATACCAACAACTATAATCTTTCTAGTGTTGACCTAGCTAGACCTTTATATTTCATGAACAGAGGTAAGATTAATCAGATGAAATGCCAAATGAAAAGAGGAAGACAGTTGAGTAAAACAAAAAGTGTGATTTAGCAGAGGATTTAGTGCGTCAAGTTATACCACATCCTGTTAGTCTTTTATGCCATTATCCAGTGTTGTGTGTCCCAGCAGCATAACAAAGGTTAAGAACAAGTTTATTCAACATCAGCAATGATTGCCAGAGGGAAGCAACTCACTTTAGTCAACATGGCTATCAAATGACAAAGAAAGGCACAAGTGAGAAATCTGTTTACAACCCTGGCATTTGGAGACACAACAGATGAATTATAGCATTTTGTAGATATTGAATTATATTTTTACATTCACTCACAATACTTGGAGTGAAGAGATCAAAAATTCTGTTAGAACAAATTGTAATGCATTTTCTCTCTTGTTTCTATTTTTCCCCACTTCTCCAATATACTTACATACTTTTAATAGGTCGGTAAATCTCCTAAATATTAGCTCACATCCAATCATACTGTTTAGAGAGCTTCTATGATTCATAAACATGCCTGAATGGATTTGGAGCGAATTCACAATTTCAGTATTTACCAAAATGTTAAATACTATGATTTGTATCACAGGTATCAACAGAGCTAAAGTAGCCAGATTAGTAAAACTTCTCTGAGAAATGGCTGATCTCAGTCATGGAAATGCATAATTGGGCATTAATATTGTTTTTACTGGAGATCTCATATTTGGCACTCTAACACCTCATACTGCAAATCAACAGGCAGCTCATTCTTACCTCTGTCATTAAGTATCAGGGGTTTTCCGTAAAACTCAATGTTAGATGCATTGACCAGTAACAAATGAATCTTTAAGTCAGACACTGAAGCAGATCAGTATCATGGTTAAATTTGAAGCAAACATTTCACTGTAAAATTCAAGGTTTACATCATATCTGATATGGGACTCTAGGGAAAGATTTTGCTCAGAAAGAGAAAAGAAGGGTGGAGTGAACACCTTGGAAAGGCTCCCTCTAAGTATGTACATCCACAGAGAAAAAGGCCTAACCTCACTTCCTGTTATGGATGTCAACTGTGGTGTAAACCAAAGAACTATCAAGCAATCAGCTAGGGCTCTAGTAGGATGAAGTCCCGTCCCAGACTTGCAGCTGAGAGGATTCACTCCCCGGATAGGCCTTTTGGTGATAAAAAGAGGAGAAAGAATGAAATGAATGAGGTTTCTTTGAGAATAAATGAGGAGGACAAGCCTCTGGGGCTGTTCAATCCTAAACACAAGGGAGTGTTGACCTAGACACTGAGGCAAGGAATGGTGATGAAAGGGCAGGATGGAGGCAAGGACGAAACACACTACCGCAGCAGGTGATCTCCAGGTGGTGCATTCCTGGGTTCCGATGAATCAGACATAACTGGGGGAACTTGGTTTCAACCACCTGGAAACTAAGGCATTAGAAAACAATGAGAATATAAATTCATGTGTCATTTCTAGGAAATAACTGACTTTTTAACTTAATAACATGTCACATACCAAATGTCCACCTAGCTTCTTACAGTCTCTAAAATGTGCTAGGTTTAAGATTTTGTGTATTTTGGGCTCATAATGATATTTTAGGCACAGAGGAGGAGAGAAGAGCCAAACATATCTCCATCTCAGACATCACTATTCCCAGATAGAATCAGTGGTGGCAATCCTTCCCATGACTGTCAAATGTGAACTAAGGTGTTTTACAAACTAAGAAGACTAAAGGGTCCATATTGGTCCCTCCTGTATCAGCTGGCCTTGACAATACCTCTTACAGATATGGGACAACTGTTACATCACCTTTCTTCCTGCACAGAGCACTCAGATGAATGCATAATTTTTGAAAGAGAGTAAGGCCTAGAACGTTTTGTGGGAACTGTCCAAGGTGGCAAAGGAGGACAATACCTTGGAATTAATCTGTAAGACAGCACCTATTGTCACCAATTTTAAAAACAAACCAAAAAGAGGAACTTTTATCTAAAAAACTCTAGCCTTTTCTTAGCATTCCAGGAAGACTTCTCTGAAGGTTGGCCTGTAGCTGTGGAACTGGTGATTGGATAGGTCTCAATGTTCATGATAAAATCCTTGATGTATCAAAAACTAAGCTGTCATTGAAGGACTACACCCTTCTGGGAGGAGGATAAATCATCCTGGAGAAGTGGAGCAGAAAGGTTGAAAGAAAAGGAGATTGATGAAAATCTGTTGACAAGATCTTACTAGGTCATTCACTGCTGTGTAAAGCTTTTTATTTGGTCTTGGTTAGCTCTTTCTTTTGTTCCCTCCAGCAATAACTTGAACCTTTCCTAGTCTGATCTCTTCAGGTATTGCCTCTTCCCATCCCTCTCCCTCTCCTTCTCTATCTCCTTTTTCCTCTCTCTTTCTCACTCTCTGGTAGAAACTTTCTCAATTCATGTTTTGCTGTCTTCAGACTCTTCATTTGCACCTGGCTTTCTCTATTTTCATTTTATTCATTCAAATACTCAATTTCTATTTACTGAAAACCTTCATTGTGCTAACTGATCAAGATACATGACGAACAGGGCAGTACAAGAACTTCTCCTGGAAGTCTCCTCATATTTTAGTGAGAGAGGTAAAAATAAAACAAGCAAAGATATAATGTATCTTTCTCCCCTGCCACTTTGGTGGAGACTGTGGTAGATTCTAAGAAAGAGGCAGAGTAACTTCATGACTTGATCAAAACGGAACTTGGCTGGGAATGCTTACCTTAGAACAATGGTCACTGAGAAGGTGACATTGTAAGCTGACACTGGAAGGATAAAAACGACACAAGCCTGAAAGAGCCTAGAGAGGTGGGTTCCAGGCAGAACGCACAGGAGGGTAAAAGTCAGAAGCAGGAAAGAGTGTGCTGTGTTTTCATAACTAAGAGTAGCTGCTGATGGCTGGATCTTAGAAAAGGGGAACATGGCATGAGTGAGGTCAGAGAGGTTGGTAGGGACCAGGTCATACAGAAATTTCTGGGCCAACATGAAGCATTTATGTCTTATTTATTTTCAATAGAAAGCCATTTTAATCATTCCCCAAACTCACACCTATTAGCAGTCACTCCCTATTCTCCCCTTGCCAAGGTCCTGGAAACAACTAATTTTTCAGTCCCATTGCTTGCCTATTCTGAACACTTCACATAAAGGAAATCATTCAAGACATAATTTTTTTTACTTAGCATAATGTCTAGTTTCTTTTACTTAGCATAATTTTTTCCCTATGCATAATAAAATTAGTATAGGTTCATCCATATTGTAGCACAAATCAGTACTTTTTATGCTAGATAATATTCCATTACATGAATATAACCCAGCTTGTTTACCCATTCATCAGTTGATGAACATTTAGGCTGTTTCTACTTTGGGGTTATTACAAATAATGCTACTAAGAGCATTTGTAAACAAGTTTTTGTGTGGACATATATTTGCAATTCTCTTGGTTATATATCAAAGAGTGAGATTGTGGGATCATATAGAAACTCTATCTTTAACATTTTAAAGGACTGTTAACTGTTTTCCAAAACTGTTGCATTATTTATATTTTCACCGGCAATGTATGAGGGTTCCAATTTCTCCACATCCTTGAAACACTTCATATCATCTGGCCTTTTGATTATAGCCATCCTTGTAGGTATATATTTCATTGTAATTTTGATTTGTATTTGCCTAAGCACAATGAATAATACATTAGTTAATATTGATGTAACAAATTTATAATCCAGGAAGGGAATTTAAAACTAGTATGGGCCCAAGTTTGATTGACTGGTTGATTCATTGATAGACCCAAAAGAGCAGAAGACAGCAAATGCGGATGTTAGATTGCCCATTGAATACAAAAGGAAAATAATCACATCTTGTAAAATGTGTTGTCAACACCGGAATCAAAGTTGACGGATGATTAGAATCAGCTATTGTAATTTGGGGGCAGACTTATGTAACAGGAATGTAACAGGATAATATTTTGAAATACTAACTAATGTGTTTTCCTCCTCGGCATCCACAGCAGCAGAGTCAGCATATTCTACTCAACTCGTCACTCCTACAGTGCCACATGGTGCCTAACCTAAAACCTATTAATCATCTCTATTGACTTAAATGAGCACTATGTGTCACCTTTGCTGAGAAATTATATGCTTTCTTCTTATTGCCACCAATAATGCTGAGCAGCATTCAGCATTTTACCCATTGAGTATTGAGAAGTAATTGTGACTGCATATTCATCTAAATTTTGTCAGCTTCCTTCCAAAGTATAACCTGTGGGCAACATCTTTTTCAAAGCCCCATGTATATGCAGGCATACCACAAAGACATTGCAGGTTCAGTTCCAGACAACTGCAGTAAAATGATTATTGCAATAAAGGCTGTCATCCAAATGTTTGGGTTTCTGAGTGCATATAAATGTTATATTTACACTATGCTGTAGTCTCATAAGTGTGTAGTAGCATTCTATGGAAAACAATGTACATACCTTTATTTATTTTTTTAAGAAAGACCAGGTCTCACTATGTTTTCCAAGATGGAGTGCAGTGGCTATTCACAGGCATGATCTCACTACTAATCAGCATGGGAGTTTCAACCTGCTCTGTTTCTGACCTGGGTCAGTTCACCCCTCCTTAGGCAACCTGGTGGTCCCCCACTCCCAGGAGGTGACCATATTGATGCCAAACTTAGTGTGGATGCCCAACTGGCATAGTGCACTACAGCCCAGAACTCCTGGACTCAAGTGATCTTCCTTCCTCAGCCTACTGAGTAGCTGGGACTATAGGAACGTGCTACCATGCCAAACACATATCTTAATTTAAAAATACTTTATTGCTAAAAAAAAAAAATGTAAAGGATCATCTGAGATTCCAGAATCACAATCTTTTTGCTGGTAGGGAGTCTTACCTGGATGTTGATGGTTGCTGATTGAGCAGGGAGGTGGTTAAGGTGGCTGTGGCAGTTTCTTGAAATAAGATGATGAAGTGCCACATTTATTGACTTCTTTACATAAAAATTTTTTCTTTAGCATGTCATACTGTTTGATAGCATTTTACTTACGGTGGAGCTTCTTTCAAAATTGGAGTCAACCCTCTCAAACCCTGCCACTGCTTTATCAACTCAGTTATGTAATATTCTAAATCATTTGTTGTCATTTTATCAACTTTCACAGCATCTCCACTAGGGGTAGATTCCACTCAAGAAACCACTTTCTTTACTCGCCTGTGAGAAGCAACTCCTAATTCATTCAACTTTTATCATGAGATTTCAGGATTAAGTCACATATTCAGGTTCCACTTCTAATTCTAGTTCTCTTGCTGTTTCTACCACATCTGCAGTTACTTCCTCTGGTGAAATCTTGAACCTTTCAAAGTCATCCATGAGGGATGGAATCAACTTCCTTCATACTATTCCTGTTAATGTTGATTTTGACCTCTTCCCATGAATCACAAATGCTCTGTGGCATCTAGATTGTGAATCTTCTCCAGAAGGATTTTAACTTACTTTATTCACATCTATCAGAGGATCACCATGGCAGCTATAGCCTTGCAATATGTATTTTTTATGTAAGACTTGAAAGTTGAAATTACTACTTAAACCATGGACTTCAGAATGAATATGGTGTTAGCAGGCATGAAAACAATATTAATCTTCTTGTATATCTCCATCAAAACTCTTCAGTGACTATTTGCATTGCCACTTAGCAATAATATTTTGAAAGAAAACATGCTTTTTCTGGCAGTAGATCTCAATAGTGGGCTTAAAATATTCAGTAATCTATGCTATAAACAGATATGCTGTTGCCCAGACTTCATTATTCCATTTATAAAACACAAGCAGAGTAGATTTAGCATTCTTTTTAAGGTCCTTAGGATTTTCTTAAATGGTGAGCATTGGCTTTAGCTTAAAGTCACCAGCTGCATTAGCCCTAATAAAAGAATTAGCCTAGTTTTGAACCTTTGAAGCCAGGCATAGATTCTCTTTAGCTACGAAAGTCCTAGATGACATCTTCTTTCAACAGAAGGCTTTTTTGTCTATATTGAAATGTGTTGTTTAGTGTAACCATGTTTATCAATTATTTTAGATTTTCTTGATAACTTATTGCAGCTTCTACATCAGCACTTGCTGTTTCATCTTGGACTTTTATGTTATGGAGAAGGCTTCTTTCCCTAAACCTCATAAACCACCCTCTACTATCTTCCAACTTTTCTTCTTTAGCTTCGTCTCAGCATTCACTGAATCAACTCTTCAAAGAGAATTAGAGTTTGGTTCTGGATTAGGCTTTGGTAAGACAATACTGTGACTGAGTTGATCTATCCAGACCACTAAAACTTTCTCGGTACCAGCCATAAGCCTGTTTTACCTTCTTATCACTTGTGTATTCACTAGAATAGCGCTTCTGGTTGCTTCCAGAACTTTTTAAATTTTATTTTATTTTTGCATTCACAACTTGGTTAACTGTTTGGTGCAAGAGACATAGCTTCTGACCTCTCTCACCCTCAAACTTTAGATTTAGCATAAGAGACATGTGACCCTTCCTCTCATTTGAACACTTTGAGGCCATTGTAGGGTTATTAATTGGCCTAATTTCAATATTATTATATCTCAGAGAATAGGGAGGCCCAAAGAGAAGGAGGCAGATAAAAGAATGACCAGTCAGTGGAGCATTCAAAACACACACACACATTCATCGATTAAGTTCACCCTTGTTTATGAACACAGTTTGTGGCATCTCAAAACATTTACAATGTAACAACAATGACCACTGGTCACAGAGAACCACAACAGAAATAATTGCAATAAAAAATTTTGAAATACTGCAAGATTTACCAAAATGTGACACAGAGACAAAGTGAGCAAATGCTGTTGGAAAAATGTTCTCAATAAACTTGCTCAATGCAGGGTTGCCACAGACCTTCAACATGTACAAAATGCAACGCCTGTGAAGTGCAATAAAGCTAAGCACAATAAAGAAGGTTTGCCTGTACAATTTCCTCAAAATAAAAAGTATAGTCTTATGGGGACAATAGTAATTATAAAAAGAAATGCCGAACATGTACTTGGTGGTACTAAATAGAAACTAACTGGAGTTCTCCCTGACCATTTTAAACTACAAGAATGGTAACACTTCATTTCTACAAGCACATATATGCTAACCTGTTATACTTGCAATGCCTGTAATAATGCTATAATGCTGTGATTGGCTTGGCTTTGATGCTTGCTTTTTTCTTTAAGATTTGTTGGAGGGGCTATGGCTGCCTACAGACATATGCTTCAAAATGGAGATCCCAGATGCTCCATTCAATATGATATGATGCTAAAGGAAGGAAGCCATTTTAAAAGCTAAAGATAGAAAGGAAGCATTCAAATTGACCAATGCTACAGCCTTTAGCTGATGCACTATCTGATTTCAAGGCTTACTATAAAGCTAGATTTATAAGGACATTTGGTGTAAGAAGAGACACATAGACCATGAAATCAAATAAAGTCTAGAAATAGATGCACATGTATGCCATCATTGAATTCTGGTAATGGTTCTGAGTAAATTTAATGAGAAAAGTTTTCAAAAATCTTGTTATAATAATTTGACAGTTATATTAAAAAGTGAAACAATGTATCTCAATTACTATTTTGGATCATTTATAAAAATTAATTCAATATGGCTTATATATATGAATATAAAAGGTAAACAAAAACTTTTGAAAACTTACAAAAGAATATCTTTCAACCATGGAGGTAGACAATAATTTCTCAGAGAGGACAAACATAAAATAGGATTAATCATTTAAAAATTGGTAAGTTTGACTTTATCAGAATTCAAACTTTCTCCTCCTCAAAGACATTCTTAAGAAAATAAAAAGTCAAGCTATAGACTAAAAAATCACAAGGGCTGGGGGCAGTGGCTCACGCCTGTAATCCCAGCACTTTGGGCGGCTGAGGCGGGCGGATCACGAGGTCAGGAGATGGAGACCATCCTGGCTAACACGGTGAAACCCTGTCTCTACTAAAAATACAAACAATTAGCTGGGCGTGGTGGCGGAGGCCTGTAGTCCCAGCTAATCAGGAGGCTGAGGCAGGAGAATGGTGTGAACCCGGGAGGCGGAGCTTGAAGTGAGCCGAGACTGCGCCACTGCACTCCAGCCTGGGCGACAGAGCTAGACTCCGTCTCAAAAAAAAAAAAAAAAAAAAAAAAAAAGCACAATACATTTATCTATCAATCAAAGAACTTGTATCTACAATATACAATTAACTCCGACAAATATAAAATGGCAAAAACTCAATTTACAACAAAATAGACAAAAGATTTGTAAATAGATTTCACAAAGGAAAATTTACAAATGATAATTAAACACAAGGAAAAGTTTTCAACATTATTAGTAATCATGAAATAAAAATTAAAAACCCAATGGGATAGCATGAATAACTGCCAGTAGCTAAAAATTTAAAAACAGTTATGACGAGGATATGGAGAAACCAGGGCACTCTTACTTTGCTAGTAGGAGTATGAAAAGGTAAAACTACCTCTGGTAATAATTTGGTAATTTTCTATAAAGATTAATACACACGTATTATATGGTCCAGCAGTTCTATTCCTAATACTTATCCTGAAGAAGTGAAAATAAATAATTTGATTGTTTCTGTGTAAAAAATTATCTCAAAACTTAGTGGGTTAAAACAATAGCTATTTATTGTCTCAGGATTATCTGGGTTGATAGGGGACTGGACTCATCTCTGTGAATCTTTTGCTCCATGTGGCTGGAGTTGCAGACATCTGAAATTTGACTAGGTTGGAAAGTACAAGACGATTGCTTACACGGTTGCAGGTTGGTGCTGGCTCTCAGCTGGGAGCCCAGTGAGGCCCATCAGCTGGAGTGCCTTGGTTCTCTTCCATACGGCCTCTACACATAGCTCAGGCTTCTCAAAGCACAGGGGTTGGGTTCCAAGAAGAATCATTCCAAAAGACCAAGGTGGAAGCTGTAGATATCCTTGCACAAGTTACACAGCATCAGTTCTGCCAAATTATATTGATCAAAACCAGCCACAGGGCCAGTTCAGATTCACGGGTATGAAACATAGGTGCCACATCTCAATAGGAAGAGTGACAATAATTTTATGGCAATCTTTTCCTATGATGTGCAAAAAGACTTATATAATAATGTTTACAGCCACTTCATAATAGTCAAACTATTGAAAATGACCCAACTGTCCAACAACAGATGAATGAATAAATAAACCTGCATATATTTCTACAATTGAATGCTTAATTTGAATTATTCAATGAATATTTAATTGAATACAAAGTATACTACTAATATTCACAATAACATGTGTGAATCTCACAGACATTAAGTTGAGCAAAAAAAAGCCAGGCATAAAAGAGTACACATTGGATGATTCCGTTTTTAAAAAGTTCAAGAGTAGGCAAAACTAAAAATCAGAACAGCAATTTCCTCTGGAGAAGAGAATGAATGGAAAAAGCATGGATTTTCTGAAAAAAAATGAAAATGTTCTCTTGATTAGCTATTTACATTTTCAAAACTCATTGAACTGTACACTTAAGATATGTACATCTCACTGTGAAAATTTTACATCAATGTAAAACATAAAAGAAGAAAAAATATTTTTAAAAGTTTTCACAGCTATCCTTTTTGTTCTTCTGAATAGTTTTATGGAGAAGAAAGCTGATATTAGTATTTTCATTTAAATAAATAGTAAATTGTTTGAGATCATACAGAAAGTTTGTGGCAGAAGAATGACTTAAATTCGGATAAGAGAAGTATTCATGGGTGGCTGAAGGAACCATTTTTTTCTGAGTATTGCCTCAATTAAAGTAATTATTTTAATTTCAAACCATCGCAGAAAGCTGACTAGATATAGTTCGATATGAAACTTCCACAACTTTCATTTATTACAAAGAACTATCTAGTACCTAGCAACACTGTGACAGATACTAGCTTGTGGTCTATTTCTAATATGTGAGCCATTACTGTATTTCTCTGTTCTATGACATAATCCCTGGTCATAGCATTCATCAGTCTGGCCTCAAATTTAAATTAGAGAAAAACCACAGAACTCTTTCCAAGGGACATTATGTTCCAAATGAAATTACTCCCAGTCTGATTTACTAATACTGAATGCTTTGGAAACTGAAATGATTCAAAATAAAATATTTTGTTAAAGCAATTTGGTCAATTTACCCTCCAGAGGAAGTCATGCTTTAAAATCCCAAGTGGCTAGTAAGAAACTCATGGTCGAACATTAGCCAGAATTTCTAGGATTTTGTGACTTTTGGCTTGGCATTGCGACATCTTTTTTTGCCAGTGTGAGCAATTTTCTAATTCCCAATTCTTGTAAAAAGAATATTTAAATGTGCATGAAAGCAGTTATTCACTGGGAATTCATAATCAGACTTAATGAAAATTTGATGGGAAAATATAAACTATAAGACATGTTCTATTCTCAGTTTTTTAAAATCTTTGTTTTGGTGATGTGGTGATGAGGCTTGTGGTGGTGGTGGTGTGCCTGTGTGTTTGTCCTTTAAGTTCATGACCATTGTTTTGCATACTTATCAGATGTTAGGTCTTTGCTAGTTTTTCTTTTTTTTTCTTTTTTTGCTTATGAATCCAGGTTTATTCATGTGACAGGTGGTAAGATGATGCCATACTTAACTTTGACTTCACATTCCTGTTGATCAAAGCCTCTCACACCCTTTTTAAACAAAGCGGGCAGTAAAATACAACATATTGCTTAACTAACCAACGTTACATATTGCTCAGAAAACTCTACACTCCCAACAGGAAATTCCAGGAATGAAAGGATTCCTGTTTCGTTATCAAAAAGGTGCCTTGTTCTAGTAACCACAATAGGTAGAGTAAATTAAAAGATTTATTCCTGGATTGTTCATTTCTCTGAAAGTGACTTAAGAACAAACTTAAAACTTTTGAGGTAGGTCTGACATAATGAATTCTCTTTCATCTGAGATAATACTTTTAAATGTGCATCAGAAACTCTTCAAAGGTTTTCCAAGCAGCGACAAGGAAGGAAAACAGATGGTTTTGACTGTCTAGGAACTACATAAATCACACATATACAAATATATTACAATTATTACTATTCAAACAGCAATGATGAGGTTCTACTATATAGTAAATAAGAATTGAATATATTGTGAAGTTATGCAAAAGATAATATTCTGCTAAAACAAATACAAGTTGTGAAGGTAATAGTGATCAGAAATAATATTTCAAACGAGCATTATTAAGCACAGTATTAGAAATCTAGTTTACATAAAGGACTTTTGTAGTATCATAGAAATGCCTTCTCCAAGTTATTTAAAATATCTGACATTAAAAAGTGCTTTGCTCACTTAGCCCAGAACAAATTTCTGAAGAAAGCAACGAAGACTTCCTGTTTCTGAGATGCTCAAGGCTTTCAGAAATATTTAAAACGTACATTCTGATCTTATTTTCTCCATGTATCAACTCTTTCTGTCAACAAAAACTTTTCTGAGGTTTGCACAGTCATACAGTAGATAACTAGCTGCCCCATCCACACAGAAGGTGGGAAAGAAAAGCCCAGCTATGATTATTTGGAGTTTAGCTCGGTATAGACCCAATCAGGGCTCACTGATTTGCTCCTCCAACAGATATTACCTGAAACGGGCAGCAAGGAAAATTAGATAACTGGCCAAAGGAAAGAAAATATTCCTGACATTTTATAGAAAAAGTGAAATGACTTTGAAGCAAAGTTATTCCCTGGATGATGCTGCTTCTTCATTGGACTGCCAGACCAATTTAGAAGGAAACAGACAAACTGCATTTACATTGCAACATAAACCCAAGAGTTACTACCTTTTTTCTTTTCTTTTGCATACAAGCAACTCTATCCTCCACTTAAACTCTTATTGCCTTCCTTATACTGATAACCTCGATATGCTTAACCTGATAACAATGTGCTCACATCCTTAGTTATTGCAATTGTATAGCATTTCTTAAAGGTAATACAAAGAATATTGGATATTAAAAAAAAAGAACCTTAAAAAAACATTTGAAAAGGCCTATGCCAAATACTAAATCACAGAGTTAAAGGCTTCTATGGTTTGTTGGAAAAGATCAATTTAGAATGACATACCCACACTGTTAACATTCAACACAGTATAACATAATCAGAATTTCCCCTTGTCATTTACATCCTACAATCTCAATGTCACAGAAACTATTTGGTCTGTGTTATTTGGTCAATACTTTAGTTGTATAATTTTATTTCATTTAATATAAAATGTCTTTCTGTGTTCTGAACATTCTTCTGAACAGTTTGGATTCCAAAGAATGAAAATATTAATATCATTCTAACTTTCTCTAAGAATAACCAAGAAATAATTTCCCATATAGGAGGCAGCCAATTCAAAATTGTAAAGGTTAGAAAAATAGAGGAGTTAATAACAGTAAACAGCCCCATCCTTTTCTCTTTAAGATCTACTTGTAAGGTAAATAACACTGTAAAATTAAAAAAAAATTATCATTATTAATCAGCAAGTATTCACAGACTGCTCACTGCTACACTAAGAAATTATGGGAGGTTATGTGAGAAATGCAGGACATCATCACTGATTTTAAGGAGTTTATAGTTGACTTGAGGAAGACAAAGGCAAAATTAAGGAATAATTAAACTCTGCCTCATGAGGTAGTTATTACAAGTATACTAGATGTTCAAAGAGCAAAGGTGGACGGAATACCCTACAAATGACTTTGTCAGAATAAGCCTTTTCAAAGAAGAAAGGACTTTGAATCTGTCTGGAAGAAAGTGAGGGATTTAGAATGCAGAGGATGACGTATGGTATTATTTCTGAGGGCTCTGTTATGTTCCATTGGTCTATATCTCTGTTTTGGTACCAGTACCATGATGTTTTGGTTACTGTAGCCTTGTAGTATAGTTTGAAGTCAGGTAGCGTGATGTCTCCAGCTATGTTCTTTTAGCTTAGGATTGACTTGGCAATGCGGGCTCTTTTTTGGTTCCATATGAACTTTAAAGTAGGTTTTTCCAATTCAGTGAAGAAAGTCATGGTAGCTTGATGGGGATGGCATCGAATCTATAAATTATCTTATGCAGTATGGCCATTTTCACGATATTGATTCTTCCTATCCATGAGCATGGAATGTTCTTCCATTTGTTTGTGTCCTTTTTATTTTATTGATCACTGGTTTGTAGTTCTCCTTGAAGAGGTCCTTCACATCCCTTGTAAGTTGGATTCCTAGGTATTTTATTCTCTTTTAAGCAATTGTGAATGGGAGTTCACTCATGATTTGGTTCTCTGTTTGTCTGTCAGAAATAATACCACACATCTACAACTATCTGATCTTTGACAAACCTGACAAAAACAAGAAATGGGGAAAGGATTCCCTATTTAACAAATGGTGCTGGGAAAACTGGCTAGCCATATGTAGAAAGCTGAAACTGGATCCCTTCCTTACACCTTATACAAAAATTAATTCAAGATGGATTAAAGACTTAAATGTTAGACCTAAAACCATAAAAACCCTAGAAGAAAACCTAGGGCAATACCATTCAGGACATAGGCATGGGCAAGGACTTCATGTCTAAAACACCAAAAGCAATGGCAACAAAAGCCAAAATTGACAAATGGGCTCTAATTAAACTCAAGAGCTTCTGCACAGCAAAAGAAACTACCATCAGAGTGAACAGGCAACTACAGAATGGGAGAAAATTTTTGCAATCTACTCATCTGACAAAAGGCTAATATCCAGAATCTACAAAGAACTCAAACAAATTTACAAGAAAAAAACAAACAACCCCATCAAAAAGTGGGCAAAGGATATGAACAGACACTTCTCAAAAGAAGACATTTATGCAGCCAACAGACACATGAAAAAATGCTCATCATCACTGGCCATCAGAGAAATGCAAATCAAAACCACAATGAGATATCATCTCACACCAGATAGAATGGCAATCATTAAAAAGTCAGGAAACAACAGGTGCTGGAGAGGATGTGGAGAAATGGGAACACTTTTACACTGTTGGTGGAACTGTAAACTAGTTCAACCATTGTGGAAGACAGTGTGGCAATTCCTCAGGGATCTAGAACTAGAAATACCATTTGACCCAGCCATCCCATTACTGGGTATATACCCAAAGGAATATCAATCATGCTGCTATAAAGACACATGCACACGTATGTTTATTGTGGCACTACTCACAATAGCAAAGACTTGGAACCAAGCCAAATGTCCAACAATGATAGACTGGATTAAGAAAATGTGGCACAAATACACCATGCAATACTATGCAGCCATAAAAAATGATGAGTTCATGTCCTTTTTAGGGACATGGATGAAGCTGGAAACCATCATTCTCAGCAAACTATCACAAGGACAAAAAACCAAACACCACATGTTCTCACTCATAGGTGGGAAATGAACAATGAGAGCACTTGGACACAAGAAGGGGAACATCAGACACCAGGGCCTGTTGTGGGGTGGGGGAAGGGTGGGGGGATAGCATTAGGAGATATACCTAATGTAAAAGACGAGTTAATGGGTGCAGCACACCAACATGGCACATGTATACATATGTAACATACCTGCATGTTTTGCACATGTACCCTAGAACTTAAAGTATAATAAAAAATATAATAAATAAATAAATAAAATAAAAAAATAAATAGAAAGCAGAGGACAGTTTCAGGTGGAATACCTTGGAAGCCTCTAGGACCCTTGATATTACTGCAATCTCAAAGGCAAGAGTGGAAGGACTGAGGATATCAATAGCTTAAAATATGGTTGTTGGGAAACACAATAAAGTGGTTAGCCAGATTGGGGAGAGCTGCTAGGGGGTGTTTGCCAGCAATTGTGAAGAAAGTGGTTTGTAATCTGGAAACCATTAAAAATTACTGGGGCAGATTCTCTGGTGCTTGACTGCCAGTGCTGGATTTTCTACTACTTAACTCATGCTCTACTTACTTTGCCTAGCTGCAAAATGGGGGAGAAAATTTCTCTTATCCAAGAATCAATGTGAGGCTCAAGAAATAATGAACATTAAGTGTTTTGGAAGGCAAAAATCATTTATACTGTATTAGTTTATATTACATTATACTGTGGTATAATGACTAAAATAGGATTGCTTTAGACAGACAGTTAAGCCTTCAGGCTGTCAGGATGCTGATACCATTGGATGAATTATTCTATTTTAGTTGGGAACAAAAATAACAGAGTTTTTCTCTACCACCTGGATACAGTGCAGGTAAGACAAATGGCTTTTGTTTAAACTGATGATAAAGAAGCAACTACTGTTAAAGTGCTGTGTCTTCAGTGGTTCTTGGTGCTGTCATACTCAACCTTAGAGGACTTTTGGACCATCCACGTTTGTACAAAGCCAACATCCAAGATGCCTATATAGGAACCAGACATGGGCAGTGGGCCAGAGTGATTTCCATGGGAAGCCAGTTTAAGTGACATATTGCTTCCTGATTAGGTTGGGCAACCCAACAGCCCATTTCTAGTGGGGACTTTCTATCATGTGCTTGTCAGCTAAAGAAGTGTTTTTTTTCTTCTTGCATTCCATAAACAAGCTACAGTGAATTGATTCAGAGTGCAAACCAGGTGAGATATATACATTTATAAGACCGTCAGGAGGAACTGGCAATCTTTTCTCATGATCCATCTCAGATTTCACCATTTGGCGCCAAAAACAAATTCGTGTGTTCACTTATGTTTAAAATAGCTTATTTAGAACTAACGTAAACACACACACACACACACAGTTTAAAAGTCAATAACCTATGTAATTAAACTTCTTTTAAAAGAACAAAGTCTTATCCTATGGTTTACTCCCTGTGGTTACGTTGAATTTAATTGCCCAAGATTTTTTGAAGTGTTATCACTTCACCTAGGCTTAACTTTTGTCTTTCGATACACTCTAATCTCTAAAACGTCAACATACTAAATCTGCAGGCTGTTTTCTACAGATTACCACTCCCCAGAAAGATGAAGAATTACATTTTCTGAGTCAGGTATGATGCTGGTGATGTCAAGAAGCTGTGAAGACTTCTCATTTAGTTTCCCACAGAGTAAGGCCCATACCACCAAACCTTACTCAGCCAGTGAATTTCTGAAGTTTCCTTCCAAAATAAAAGTTGTTAAGGTCTATGACATCTCTTTCTTGCTCACCAATGGAGGTGATGGATGGGGGAGTTAATAAAATTCCCAGTATCATAGGAGACAAGGAAAAGAGTTGTGTTTCATGACTGGTTTCTCATTGCCATCATGTTTACTGATTACCTTTGCTGGTCTGCTGTGAGGGCAAGGGTCTTCAGAACCAGCCAGAAGAGGATCTAGTTAGATTTCCATGAAAGAAAGCCTATGTGTCATTCCAATACAATAACCCATTCCTGCCATGGAGCAAGACAGTGGAAAACCCTTAAACCTTCAGTGCTTTAACTCCTCCACAGATAACAGAAGGAGAGAGGGAGAGGAAGCTGGAAACTACTTCACCCTTCAATTTCAGGCAGCAGTGCAGGGCTCACTGGGGACTAGAGTAGGCCTGTGGAAACAGCGTTGGTCACCAGTAATCATGAAACTCGATGGTTCCAGAAACCTGTGGGGAGCATTCCTCCCTCCGTGAAGTTGTTTGAGGGAAAACAGACTGGGTGCTGTTGTGCTGCCAAATTGATACAAACCCCTACAAGAAGCTTTCACATGAGCCCTTCAAACTCATCAGCCTCCCACAGCATCTCCAAATGGTGTCAAATACATATCTGGGGCTGGGAACAGAGCTGGGGCAGGCCTGGGATCCCTGGCAAGCTTTAGCCTGCGCTCACCATACTACACCTCACCCCCAACAAGACCAAAACCTCTTCCAATTCAATAGCATAGCAACTGCCAATAGCAAGGTATCTTCCATGGCAATTTGCTGGGTGATTTTGGAAGATTTTTGTTTAACTACCTGGACACACGTATACTTGCTATATACTACAAGTACAGAATTCTCAGTAAGCGGACTTACCAAAGTAGGTGATCTGTAGGGGAGTTAACAAAATTCAGTGGTCCTTTCAGGCCACTGACTTCAAGTGGCAAGAGACAAGGGTCTCTTGTTATCATGTTATCTTGGCTTCCAAAGCTGGTTGAAGTCCAGAGATTCATAAAGTCATTCAAGAAACCTAGAATGACCTGCCTGCAAGGAAGACAGGAAGGACTTTCAGTTTATAGCAATTCAAACATGAATAACATTTCCTGATTAATAGTAATAATAATTAGAAAGGATTGACTTTCAGAAATTTTTCTCAAATCAAGGCTCCTGTTACTTTGGTTCCACCTTTTCTCTCTAGAAGGAGAGGAGGAGCATCTCCCAGAGGGCTGCGTGCCTCAGAAAAGCCGGCATCCCTAGCCCGCTCTGGCACAGGCCATGAGGCCCTGCTGAATCCTGCTGAATAGCTACTCCCTTCTAGCTGGAGCCACAGCTCCCTCCACCGCGGAGCAGGGTTACAACGTCCCTCTCGGTAGAGGTGCACGCAGCTCCTCCTGGCCACCCTCCCCACCAGTTCCCATTGTCTGGCCCCCCTCCCCCAACCTCTTCTTTCCACACTGCCCCATGAGTTCAGGGAATTTCCCCAGCATCCCAAAGCTTGAGTTTCCTGTCAGTGGGGAGAGATGAGTGTAGATAAAAGGAGTGCAGAAGGCACGAGGAAGCCACAGTGCTCCGGATCCTCCAATCTTCGCTCCTCCAATCTCCGCTCCTCCACCCAGTTCAGGAACCCGCGACCGCTCGCAGCGCTCTCTTGACCACTATGAGCCTCCTGTCCAGCCGCGCGGCCCGTGTCCCCGGTCCTTCGAGCTCCTTGTGCGCGCTGTTGGTGCTGCTGCTGCTGCTGACGCAGCCAGGGCCCATCGCCAGCGGTGAGAGCGCATGGCGCGCGGGACGCACTCGCACTCGGGCACAGAGGTGCATCCCAGCCTCTGCGGGGTCGCTGCGTTCCAGGGAACTCTCCCAGCAACCTGCCCTATAAAGGGTGTCTCTCTTTCTTCCCCAGCTGGTCCTGCCGCTGCTGTGTTGAGAGAGCTGCGTTGCGTTTGTTTACAGACCACGCAAGGAGTTCATCCCAAAATGATCAGTAATCTGCAAGTGTTCGCCATAGGCCCACAGTGCTCCAAGGTGGAAGTGGTGTAAGTTCTGTGCTGCTGTGTCCGCTGTGACCTTGGCAAGAGAGAAATCCCGCAGCCTGGGTCTTCAACCTTGGTATCTCATGAGTGTATCTTCTTTTTCTTTCCTTCAGAGCCTCCCTGAAGAACGGGAAGGAAATTTGTCTTGATCCAGAAGCCCCTTTTCTAAAGAAAGTCATCCAGAAAATTTTGGACGGGTACTTGTCACTTTGATCTTTGTGGTTTCTAAATCTGATCTAGGGAGACCATAGACTTCACAAGGTCTTTATTCTCTGTACGATTTAAGTAACACTTTTCATGTTTAGAATTAAAAGGTTGTTGAATTGGGAAAGTTTTTCTGGATTGTCCTGGGAAAATATACCAATCTTACATGTAATTACTTGAGCAATTACACACAGCTTGTCACTAAGTTATGTTTTTTGTTTACCCATTGCTTTTATTGATTTTTGTATTCTCCTTTTTTACCAAACATCATAAACGCTGAGTTTTGACAAGGGTGGAGTAGAAAGGAGTGTGAAAAATGGTTAAACTAATATAACATTTTTCTCAACAGTGGAAACAAGGAAAACTGATTAAGAGAAATGAGCACGCATGGAAAAGTTTCCCAGTCTTCAGCAGAGAAGTTTTCTGGAGGTCTCTGAACCCAGGGAAGACAAGAAGGAAAGATTTTGTTGTTGTTTGTTTATTTGTTTTTCCAGTAGTTAGCTTTCTTCCTGGATTCCTCACTTTGAAGAGTGTGAGGAAAACCTATGTTTGCCGCTTAAGCTTTCAGCTCAGCTAATGAAGTGTTTAGCATAGTACCTCTGCTATTTGCTGTTATTTTATCTGCTATGCTATTGAAGTTTTGGCAATTGACTATAGTGTGAGCCAGGAATCACTGGCTGTTAATCTTTCAAAGTGTCTTGAATTGTAGGTGACTATTATATTTCCAAGAAATATTCCTTAAGATATTAACTGAGAAGGCTGTGGATTTAATGTGGAAATGATGTTTCATAAGAATTCTGTTGATGGAAATACACTGTTATCTTCACTTTTATAAGAAATAGGAAATATTTTAATGTTTCTTGGGGAATATGTTAGAGAATTTCCTTACTCTTGATTGTGGGATACTATTTAATTATTTCACTTTAGAAAGCTGAGTGTTTCACACCTTATCTATGTAGAATATATTTCCTTATTCAGAATTTCTAAAAGTTTAAGTTCTATGAGGGCTAATATCTTATCTTCCTATAATTTTAGACATTCTTTATCTTTTTAGTATGGCAAACTGCCATCATTTACTTTTAAACTTTGATTTTATATGCTATTTATTAAGTATTTTATTAGGAGTACCATAATTCTGGTAGCTAAATATATATTTTAGATAGATGAAGAAGCTAGAAAACAGGCAAATTCCTGACTGCTAGTTTATATAGAAATGTATTCTTTTAGTTTTTAAAGTAAAGGCAAACTTAACAATGACTTGTACTCTGAAAGTTTTGGAAACGTATTCAAACAATTTGAATATAAATTTATCATTTAGTTATAAAAATATATAGCGACATCCTCGAGGCCCTAGCATTTCTCCTTGGATAGGGGACCAGAGAGAGCTTGGAATGTTAAAAACAAAACAAAACAAAAAAAAACAAGGAGAAGTTGTCCAAGGGATGTCAATTTTTTATCCCTCTGTATGGGTTAGATTTTCCAAAATCATAATTTGAAGAAGGCCAGCATTTATGGTAGAATATATAATTATATATAAGGTGGCCACGCTGGGGCAAGTTCCCTCCCCACTCACAGCTTTGGCCCCTTTCACAGAGTAGAACCTGGGTTAGAGGATTGCAGAAGACGAGCGGGAGCGGGGAGGGCAGGGAAGATGCCTGTCGGGTTTTTAGCACAGTTCATTTCACTGGGATTTTGAAGCATTTCTGTCTGAATGTAAAGCCTGTTCTAGTCCTGGTGGGACACACTGGGGTTGGGGGTGGGGGAAGATGCGGTAATGAAACCGGTTAGTCAGTGTTGTCTTAATATCCTTGATAATGCTGTAAAGTTTATTTTTACAAATATTTCTGTTTAAGCTATTTCACCTTTGTTTGGAAATCCTTCCCTTTTAAAGAGAAAATGTGACACTTGTGAAAAGGCTTGTAGGAAAGCTCCTCCCTTTTTTTCTTTAAACCTTTAAATGACAAACCTAGGTAATTAATGGTTGTGAATTTCTATTTTTGCTTTGTTTTTAATGAACATTTGTCTTTCAGAATAGGATTCTGTGATAATATTTAAATGGCAAAAACAAAACATAATTTTGTGCAATTAACAAAGCTACTGCAAGAAAAATAAAACATTTCTTGGTAAAAACGTATGTATTTATATATTATATATTTATATATAATATATATTATATATTTAGCATTGCTGAGCTTTTTAGATGCCTATTGTGTATCTTTTAAAGGTTTTGACCATTTTGTTATGAGTAATTACATATATATTACATTCACTATATTAAAATTGTACTTTTTTACTATGTGTCTCATTGGTTCATAGTCTTTATTTTGTCCTTTGAATAAACATTAAAAGATTTCTAAACTTCACTCATATTGTTTCTCCTTCCTATACTGTTACAATACATTTTACTTATCTTTAATTCTATGTAATTTAAAACACTAACTCTGCTCCTCTCTGACTGGCAGAGAAGGCCCTCATTCCCCAATACCATTTCCTTGGCTCAACCTTTCTCCAAGTTCAGTTCCCTTCTAGTTATCCCTTCACAGCACCAATGGCTTCTGGGGTCTTTAGAAAACACAAATATTTCCCTATCTAAATTCTTCCCTATCTAAATTGTTTCCTAAACATAAAATAAAGGTTTCTAAGCATGACAGATGACCTTCTTTCTGTCTCATCCCATTCCTGATCAGCACTTTAACTTCCCTTGTCCCTCAAATTCACTATAGTCAGGTGTTCAGTTCCCTAACTGGGCATGTTCTTTCCTAGGCCCATGACTTTGGATTTGCTAGGGCCACTACCTGCATATAAGAAGAGGCTTATTCATCCTTAAGAACTCAGCTCAAGTAATACCAGCTCCTTGGCAGAGCTCATGGCTTCCGATTTGATATTCTCATGACATCTCATTATCTGAATTACAACAAAAAAACTGCATTGCTCTTATTTGTTTATAGGTTTCTTCATCCACTCTAGCTCTCCCAGAACATTAACCATATTATATCTACCGCTGCATCCCCAATGTAGCATTAATGCATGAATTAATGAATTAACAAGTTATCCTGATCTTCAGGCTGTCAGATACTGTTCTAAATTCAATAACCTGGTTCATGGTAGATGTCATTTTTTTTTTTTTTGAGACCGAGTCTTGCTCTGTTGCCCAGGCTGGACTCCAATGACATGACCTCAGCTCACTGCAACCTCTGCCTCCCAGTTTCAAGCGACTCTCCCGCCTCAGCCTCCCGAGTACCTGGGAGTACAGGCACCTACCAGCATGCCCAGCTAGTTTTTGTATTTTTGTAGAGATGGGATTTCACCATGTTGGCCAGGGTGGTCTTGAAATCCTGATCTCAGGTCATCAGCCCGCCTCAGCCTCCAAAGTGTTGGGATTACAGGCATGAGCCACCCTGCTCGGTTTTAATTAAATTATAACTTGTTTACCCTCTTTTCTCCTTGTCTAGCAGTAGTCCAACAAGGAGTTTGGCATGCACAATCCTCTCAATCTATAATACCTCCCCTCACTTTTACCAGGGTAGCTACCATCCTTCCTTCTGGAATAGCTTGCCTTTTACTTTCTTGAGGAAACCTCTCCAACCCTTACTCCTACCTTTGAGGAGGACCCTTTTATACCCTCTCATAGCATTCTGTACTTTTCCTTCATGAAGTTTTCTCACCGAAGTTACTGTAGAGTTTATTGAGCCTGTGTGTTTATTGTCATCCGTTTAAGGTCTCTCTGTTCTAGCTTCATGTAAGCCTCATGAGGGCGGGGACAATGCTTATCAACTTCATCTCAGTTCCTAGGACAGTGCCTAGCACATACTAGGTATTCAAAAAGCAAGTGATTTTGGCTAAACAAGTCCCCTTGTCACTCTAAAATTAAAAGAGCAATTTCATTTAAATACATATTCTTAGGTTATACTTAACATTTCCCTATCTAAATGACAAATGAGGTTCTGTCTCATCCCAATCTTGATCAGTACTTCAACTTCCCTTGTCCCTCAAATTTACTATATAAATACCTAAGAATAGGTATTTATATGAAATTGCTCTTTTATGAAACACAAGAAAAGGAAAGAAAGAAGATTAATCATATTAGTATGTATGTACATACATTCACACTCCAGTTGGATTACATTATACATGTTTATATTGGCATGTACTTGTATATATTAGAATAGGCTATGAGTCTTTTTTTTTTTTTTTTTTTTTTTTTGAGACCAAGTCTCACTGTCGCCCAGGCTGGAGTGCAGTGGCATGATCTTGGCTCACTGCAACCTCTGCCTCCCAGGATCAAGTGATTCTCTTGCCTCGGCCTCCAGAGTAGCAGGGACTACAGGTGCGTGCCACCCTGCCCAGCTAATATTTTTGTAGTTTTAGCAGAGATGGGGTTTCACCATGTTGGCCAGGATGGTCTTGATCTCTTGACCTCATGATCTGCCCGCCTCATCCTCCCAAAGTGCTGGGATTACAGGCATAAGCCACCAGAGTCTTTTAAAGAAGCTCTGGAAACAATATACTCTCTGTATATTTTCTGTCAATTACATAGTACCTATCAAAATATATGATGTATTTTCCTTTGTATAAGTATTCATCAATCAAATATTAATTTATTGATATTAATCGATAATCCTGTTACATGCCTATTATCTTTGTAGGATCCTTATGATCTGGAAATTATAAAGATGAGGAACTTTCAGTCTAAGTTAAGGTTTTCTGCTGCAAATATACTCAGTTTTCCCACAGAACAAATATTTTCCAGTAAGAAGAGTGGAAGAAAGGGGAGAAGAGGTGAGGGGAAGAACTAGAAAAGAGAAGACTAGAGGAGACAAGGATGAGAGGAGGAGGGTGTTGGAAGGGACTATGACTTGCCTGTTTTTTCCTTTCTATTTTCTTCCTTCTCTCCTTTTCCTTCTTCTTCTCTTCCCTCCCCTTCCCTTGCCTACTCTCCTTCTCTCCCGCCATTCCTCATTTCTGCTTATTAGTGAGAAGTTAAATAATTATATTTAAAAGAGTAGGAGAAGAACGCAGGTGCCCCAGTAGAAATCACAACCAGCAGCCAACACCAACAACCTCTCATGTGAATTAAGCCATTAAAATGTTGTTTTAAATTATTTTATTATTTTTCTTATTCTTAAGAAAATGTTGTGGGTACATAGTAGCTGTATATATGTATGGGGTACATGAGCTGTTTTGATACAGGCATGCAATGTGAAATAAGCATATTGAGAATTAGGTATCCATCCCCTCAAGCATTTATCCTTTGGGTTACGAACAATCCAGTTACATTCTTTATGAGTTATTTTAAAATGTACAATTAAGTTATTATTGACTATTGTCACCCTATTGTCCCACTCTTTATTTCAGCCATTTCAGCTGCTCTTGACTGCACTCAAGTGAGCTTAGCAGAAGAAACTCACGCTAACATACAGAATTATCAGAAACAATAAATTAATATTTTAAGCCACTAACAATGAGGTCGACTTATTACACAACAAAAGAGGATTAATGGTACTTGTTAACAATGCTCTAGAACATTATGTTAGAATTTCCTTAATGAATGAGCATGTAAGGAAACTAGGTAACTTTCATATATTTGAGATTTAACAAATGATATTAATCAACATAATTTAAAACACAAATTCTGAGTCTGGCAAAACTTTGAAGTATTGTATATAATAGCGCCCAGAAAGATACTTCCCCTCAACTTCTTCACCCTCCCCACTGTCCTCCCATTTTCACCCCATGCTTCACCTCTGGGCAGTAGACAGTAAAACCTCAATTCACATCTGAACAATTCTTGTCAACTCATAGTTATACAGTAAGCACATTTGGTTTCAGCCCTTACAGAAAAACTTTTGATGGCTAGTATTTTAAATTTATTGATTAAGATACTTTAATGAACAGACTCAACATTGTACTATCCTTAGCATTTTTGGTACTAATTGCTTTTATGATTGATTTGCTTGTGCTAGTCTATTTCCTTCATACTTGAAAGAAGGATTTGGGAAATGTGCGTTAAAAATGTTCTGTGTGAGGCAGAGAAGTCATTTATGCCTTAATTTTATAGATAGTGGTCCTCCAATGTCTCTAGATATTTTCTTTTAAAATAGCTAACATAAAATGTGCTTTGAGTCTTAGATAATTTGCTTGCTTCCTTCATGACTCTGCTATTTATAAGATGACTTAAAGAAAAAAGAGCTAAAATAACTTAGCACCCCCCAACACACACATATACAAACCCACAATGACAATGTAAGATTAATAAAAAGGCTGTCAAGTTATTTTAAAAACAAGGAACAAAATAACTCTTCTCTAATTCTAGCATTTATTTAAACAATAATTTTGCATAACAGTATGCTTTTAACTGAATAAGTTTTTAAAAACATCTTTTAACCAGTTTTGTACACTCAGTTTATCATCATCTTTACTGTGTTTCTCAACGTGGAAATGGAAGGGAATGATGCAAATGACAGTAACAGCAATTAACAGCAGCAGTTGTCATCATAGCAGCAAGAGTAGAGTATTTTTCATATCCCATTGCTTTCCACAAATATTTTAGGCCTGACTTTTAAAAAATAAATAATTAAATGACCAAGTCATGCAAAGAGAACTTCGTAAAACCTGTTAGGAAGTTCAGGCTTAATCAACTGATGCTTAATCAATATTTTTTGAGTTAATAAAAACTAGCAAAATATTGTTTTATATCAAATGCTGACTGATATCCTTAAGAAATTTTGATGACTCAAGAAATCTGTTACTACTTCCTCACGAATTTTGCCGACGATGTGTCTTTCGTGACAAGCCACATTTGTTGATTAAGACAATGACTCCATGATACTGGAGTCACCTCTTTCCTGGTATTAACCCACCAGTTGGTTTCCTGGTAGGAAAGAGCCTACCTTTTTCCTGGTATCAACTCACTCAAAAGCATCATTACTTCAGAAAACTTTTCATACAGTTTTCTTAAAACGATTAGGAACTTTTAGGAAATCTTACTAATGAACGAGGAAAGAAATCTGGATAACGTTAAGTAGGGGGAAAAAAGGTGTCCAGTGAAGCCAATAAACATTTTCAGCAATGTATTTTGGTGTTGAACAGAAAATGAAATATACTATGAATAGTGTTAAAAAAAAAACCTTTATATCTTGTTCTGGAAATGGCTTTGATCTTATGTTTGAAAATGTATATGACTTGCGAATTCACAATATCTCAATCTCAATAATGAAGAAAAGCTATAAAGTCACCCCACAGGAGGAAAGAGAAAGAAGTCTGCTCCCCTCATTTTGTGTCCTGCTGAGCTTATCTCTGCAATTAACTCCACATCTCAACTCTCAGAAGACTCCGAACTCTCAGCTTACACCCTTCCTTTAAGCTTGCTTAAGACTAGAAATTTCTATGTTGTGACAGGGAGAAAAATCATTCCAATTAAATATGCTCTACTGCTAAACTCTAATTTAAAGAAAACAATAAATGAGGTGGAGAAAAATAAGAAATACATTCATCAACTGAAACTAAGGCTAGTGAGGCAGAAATAATTTTATACATGTTTATTGAAAGCCAACTGGGAAGACAGACCTGGGAAGACACATCCACAAAGTTGGGGGTGTTCTAGAGTCTTTCACAAGTTACAAGGGCTTTATATAATAGAAAAGCTTAAAATAAGGCAGAAAAACTCCTCATACCAGAGTTGTCTTCTTTTTCATTGGAGGGTACAATACCGAAGTTAAAATCATTAGCTACAGATTACAGCATACAGGCTAAATGTCTACATACAAAACAATCAATAAAACTTTTTGTTTCAGCTAAACTTAGAAATAAATCATTGTCCTATTTAGTGTCAGTAGGTTCTACAGTAATTAGTACATCAATCATTTGAGGAACTCGTAATAAAATACTTTACTCAGAGATAGAATGTCACCATCAAGTCACGAAACCTTTCCAGGGCGAGTTAATTTGGAAGTCTGCTTACTTCTAAAGTAAACTGTCAAATGTGGTCTGTAGGTTATCGCATTTAAAAACAGGACCTGAGAACTTGAGTAGACATAGTAGATAACTATTAAACAATAGGGAAAATTGGCTTGAAAACAAAAACATGATTTAAAAAATTACTATATTCATCTTTTTGATAGAGAGTAATTTTGAACATTTAGTATTTTAAGCATTTCTTCTAAAATTTAAGGATATGAAAAGTAAGAAAAGAATATGGAAAATTTAAATAATATTCTGTGAGACTTATACATAGTTGTAAAAGGAAGAAAACTTGTTGCCAGTGCCACTTACATCTGCCTCTTCTTTATTGACAATCTTCCAAATAAATTTAAATAGCATAGTTGCTTTGGGTCCTGTCGAGTTTGGCCTGGAATTGTAGGTGATTAGAAAGGATAGGGAAGCTTTCATGTGATACGTATTCATTGATTTATTAATTATTTAAGACCTACTTTATATTGAAGTATCCTACATGTTATAGGATACATGAGACATTCAAACAAACACAGGACATGCCACTCCCTACAAAAGTGCATGGTTCAATTGAGGAAGGAAGTCTTACAGATGGGACAGAGAACCAGAAAATAACATAAAGCCAACATGTAATGTGTAGGTCCACCTCTCTATCTTTGTAGGGATATAGCATTTCAGACCAAAACCTTTAATTTGGGTCTGAGAATTCAGGAACAAATATTTTCCTTGGTAAGGACATTTCTTGCACAATTTCTAATAGTGCAAAATTGGAAACACCGTGAAGGGCACCAACAAGGCAAGGTTGAGTAACTATTGTTCTTATCACAGGACGTCACATGGTCATTAAGAAGAATGGGGGAAAACTACATTAAGATGACCTGAAAAGATAAGGAACACATATTTTTTGAAGGATAAAAGTCAGCTGTATAGTGATCCATATACAATACTTCTATGTATATGTGTACCTCTATGTCTTAAACGTGTCTCATTGTATACATATACATGTGTGCATATAAGTGCAGACAGAATTGAAAACTAATGCAAAATTGTTACCAGTGTTTACCACTGAATAGTAGGAATGTGGAGAAATGATGAAGAGAAATTTGTGTTTTATTTCAAAGACATCTGCAGCATACGAATCTTTTGCAATAAATTATATAATTTTTCTGTTAAATTAAAAATAAAAAGAAAAATAAATATGCTGGGTCCTACTTTTTAGGTATTCTTAGGTGGTAGAAACAAGTAGCTTCTTTTGTAATATAAAGGAGGATGAGTTTCATTTGTAGTTTCTAGATGAAATTACAAAAGATAATATAGATTGAAGGCAGAAAGAATCCAATAAGCTAAAATCCAAAGACAACCTTTGACGGTAATTGGCTCTTATTTTACTTACATGCTCCAAACCAATCCCAATATTTATCAACATTCATGAAAAGAACATTTGCTTTCTTTGGCAAGCAAAGATAACTTTCTCTTTCAAGGGCCACATGTTTGTGCCTTCAGGTGCTCCTAAAGTTTCTATTAAGCCTAAAAACTGCAGTATAGAAAAGGCAGGGCGTATTGTTATAAATCATACAAAGAAAATGCATGTAGTATTTCAGTCTAGTTCTTACCTTCCTGAACGGAGTTCTTACACAGGTGTAAGGAAGATAAGTATTGAGAAAGGGAGAGTGGGAATGTGAAGTGATGCACATTAAGCAAGTTAGTAGGAATTTGACCTGTCTGGTCTTTCTCTGGGTTGGGCACAGCTTCAAATGCTTATGTGTGTATCACCACATACCCTCACTTCCTCCTTTCCTACCTCTTCCTTCTTACTGGCTTTGAGAAAGAGCATATAAATGACATCTTCAGGGCATGAGAAGCCACTTATCTGCAGACTTGTAGGCAGCAACTCACCCTCACTCAGAGGTCTTCTGGTTCTGGAAACAACTCTAGCTCAGCCTTCTCCACCATGAGCCTCAGACTTGATACCACCCCTTCCTGTAACAGTGCGAGACCACTTCATGCCTTGCAGGTGCTGCTGCTTCTGTCATTGCTGCTGACTGCTCTGGCTTCCTCCACCAAAGGACAAACTAAGAGAAACTTGGCGAAAGGCAAAGGTAGAGGCCCTGCTTCTCTGCACTTGTTGCTGCTTCTGCTACACCTGTCTCTGGGGTAAAGACTAGCTTGGTGCCTTTGGGGCTGGAGAGGGCCATTATACCAATAACTCCAATTGGAGGAGACACACAGGGGGGTCACTTCTCACTTCTTGTGTGCTGGGCAATCTTCTGGGCACTTTACTAAAGCGTTACAGATCATATTCACAATGGCTTTATGAGAGAGGTACAATTGCCCTCAATCTGCAAATAAGAGACCTGAGGAAAATATTCATGACCACCAATAGGTCACATTTTCTACCCTAGAGGAAAGTCTAGACAGTGACTTGTATGCTGAACTCCGCTGCATGTGTATAAAGACAACCTCTGGAATTCATCCCAAAAACATCCAAAGTTTGGAAGTGATCGGGAAAGGAACCCATTGCAACCAAGTCGAAGTGATGTAAGTTGCTGTTTCTGTGCTATTGCCTTATCAGAGAAACCCTCTACCTCCATCCACATATGCACTCGTTTCCTCCAGTCTCATGGATTAGTTCTGATATTCAGATCAGGACACCCACAGATAACCCTGTTCTCTTTTGCAGAGCCACACTGAAGGATGGGAGGAAAATCTGCCTGGACCCAGATGCTCCCAGAATCAAGAAAATTGTACAGAAAAAATTGGCAGGTGATGAATCTGCTGATTAATTTGTTCTGTTTCTGCCAAACTTCTTTAACTCCCAGGAAGGGTAGAATTTTGAAACCTTGATTTTCTAGAGTTCTCATTTATTCAGGATACCTATTCTTACTGTATTAAAATTTGGATATGTGTTTCATTCTGTCTCAAAAATCACATTTTATTCTGAGAAGGTTGGTTAAAAGATGGCAGAAAGAAGATGAAAATAAATAAGCCTGGTTTCAACCCTCTAATTCTTGCCTAAACATTGGACTGTACTTTGCATTTTTTTCTTTAAAAATTTCTATTCTAACACAACTTGGTTGATTTTTCCTGGTCTACTTTATGGTTATTAGACATACTCATGGGTATTATTAGATTTCATAATGGTCAATGATAATAGGAATTACATGGAGCCCAACAGAGAATATTTGCTCAATACATTTTTGTTAATATATTTAGGAACTTAATGGAGTCTCTCAGTGTCTTAGTCCTAGGATGTCTTATTTAAAATACTCCCTGAAAGTTTATTCTGATGTTTATTTTAGCCATCAAACACTAAAATAATAAATTGGTGAATATGAATCTTATAAACTGTGGTTAGCTGGTTTAAAGTGAATATATTTGCCACTAGTAGAACAAAAATAGATGATGAAAATGAATTAACATATCTACATAGTTATAATTCTATCATTAGAATGAGCCTTATAAATAAGTACAATATAGGACTTCAACCTTACTAGACTCCTAATTCTAAATTCTACTTTTTTCATCAACAGAACTTTCATTCATTTTTTAAACCCTAAAACTTATACCCACACTATTCTTACAAAAATATTCACATGAAATAAAAATTTGCTATTGACTTGTTGTCATCTATTATTAATTTTAACAGGATTGTTGGGGAAAAAAAGCTTTAATTTTCCTCTCTTTTTTGTATACTTGGTATTTCACAGTTTGAACAACAAAAGTTACTAAATTGATGATCGGTGTCATTCTTAATGTAGTATGATAACAGTTCCAATTTATTAATCATTTTAATATGCCAGGAATACTAAGTGTTTTCCATGCATGAACTAAACAATTTTTTAAAAGATAGATATGATCTGGTTAAAAGAACATCCTCTGGAGTTTGAATAATGAGGTAACCTGGCTCTGCCACTTGTTAGCTGTGTATATCAGGTCATGTTGCTTAATTTCTCTGTACCTTAGGTTCTTCATCCCTAAAATGGGGATAATATTGCCTCCCTCATAGAGTTTATGGAAGGATTAAAAAAGTTAATAAATTTAAGGTATTTAAAATAATGTGTGTCATAAATAAGCCACACATAAATGTTAGTAATTATTTCTTATGATTATTATTATCCTCCCCAGTGTTACAGAAGAGAAAAATCAAGTTTATAGAGTTTAAAATACTTGCCCACTTTCAGATAACTAAGTAGGTAACAGAGTGGGAATTTCAAATTGTGCTCTTAACCACCACACCACAGTGCTTTCCTCAACTCTTCTTTCTCTAATGAAGAGATTACATTACATATAACATAGTATTATTCACACATGTAATACAACTTGATACATAAATAGCATACTGTATATACTATAATAATTATAGGGTATCAGGCATCTCACTCATTATGTTTAGTGGTTTCCCACTGAAACTTGACAAGACCAGCTCCTGAGACATGGCACAGTGTTGACACCATGCTTATACCTCCCGAGATGCAGATGTCTTCTGTTTTTGAGTGCATGTATTGAGTTACTCTGTTTACATGCAGAGAAAGAATGATTCAGTTGCCACTCAGGACCACCTGGATTCCTTTACACTGCAAACATTAAAATCTGGGTGTAAGACTGTAAAAACCCAGCGTGTTGCCCATCCATATGCAAAATCATCCCTCCCCTTCATTCTCTCTGCTGTTAACTCAGAAGGGGCTTCAAGTTTCAGGTTCATAAACACATATGAATTACAAAACATTCTGCAACAGCCATTGTGTTGGATACAGGATATTCAAAAATACAGTCATGTTTTGCTTAACAATTGGGATACATTCCGAGAAATGCATCATTAGGTGATTTTGTCATTGTGTGAACATCACAGGGTGTGCTTACACAAACCTAAATGGTATAGCCTACTACAAACCTAGGCTATATAGTACAGCCTATTGCTCCTAGGCTATAAGCCTGTACAGCATGTTACAGTGCTGAATACCATAGGAAGTTGTAACACAATGGTGAATATCTGAGTATCTAAACATCTGTAAATGTAGAAAGATATAGTAAAATTATGGTATAAAAGAGTAAAATGGTACACCTCTGTAGGGCAGTTACCACAAATGGAGCTTGTAGGACTGGAAGTGGCTCTGGATGAGTCGGAGTGTGAGTGGTGAGTGAATGTGAAGGCCTAGGACATGACTGTACACTTCTTTAGGCTTTGTAAACACTGTACACACTTAGGCTACACTAAATTTATAAAAAATATTTTTTCCTCAACAATAAATTAACCTTAGATTACTGTGTTTTTTATTTATAAACTTCTTAATTTTTAAACTTTTTGACTTTCGTAATAACACTTTAAACGCATTGTACAACTGTACAAAAACGTTTTTTCTTTATATCGTCATTTTATAAGCTCGTTTTCTTTTTTATCTAGTTATTTATTTATTTTAGAGAAGAGGTCTTTCTCTGTCACCCACACTGTAGTGCAGTGACATGATCATAGCTCTCTGCAGCTTCAAACTCTTGGGATCAAGTGATCTTCCTTGATCTTCACTAAAGATGTGCACCATCATGCCCAGCTAATTTTTGAAAATTGTTATTGAGAAGGGAACTGATTAGGTACCCAGGATGCTCTCGAACTCCTGGTCTCAAGCGATCCTCCTGCCCCAGCCTCTCAGGCTGGGATTACACTCATGAGCCATAGAGCCTGGCTAATTGTTTTTTGTTTTGTTTTGTATTTTTTATTTTTCACACTTTTCTGTTAAAAATTAAGATGCAAAAACACATATCAGCCTAGGCCTACACGGAGTCAGGATCATCAGTATCACTATCTTCCAGCTCCTTGTTTTGTCCCACTAGAAGCTCTTCATGGGCAATAATATGCATGGAGCTGCCATCTCCTATGACAACAGACAGATGATAACAACTCATACTTCCTGAAGGATCTATCTGAGACTGTTTCACGGTTAATGTTTTTTCTATAACTAGTAGAAAGAGTATATTCTAAAATAATAATAAAAAGTATAGTATAGTAAATACATAAACCAGTAACATAGTTGTTTGTTATTCTTATCAAGTATTGTGTACTATACATAATTTTATGTGCTATACTTTTATAGAACTGGCAGTGAATGGGTTTGTTTACACCAGCATCCCCACAAACATGTCAGTAATACACTGCTTCCTATGACTTTACAACCATGAGGCAATGCGAATCACATCACTAGGCAACAGGAATTTATCAGCTCCATTATAATCTTATGGGACCATTGTCATATATGCAGTCTATTGTTGACCTAAATGTTATGTGCTGCACTACTGTATGTAAGTCACAGAGAATTGCACTTGAAAAGATCACTATGTGGTGGGAGAGGCAGATAAGTAGGCAAATAATTGCAACTATATATTACACATGTTAATATAGAGGTATACTTCAATTGCTTGAAGGAGCAAATACATGGATATGTTAAAACTTCATCATCATCATTTTCAACACATCATCTTCGCTAATGTGGCACTTTGAATTGAGTCTCTACCAGTACACTGAAACAGTGATAAATGTTATAATCTCTGATTTCATAGTGTTTTCCAGTTTAGGAAACAAAACCATTTTTAACACTATGAAATACACACATACACACACACACATACGTATCTCTGTGTAATATATATATATGTGTGTGTGTGTGTGTGTGTGTGTGTTACCTGTGAGAAACAGGAAAGACAGAGTTCTGCAAGATAGAAAGGCAAGAGAACACAATTACATATAGTTGTCAGGGAAGGGCCCTCTGAGGAACTGACACTTAAGCTGACTCCGGAAGTATAAATAAGTCTTAGTCAGGTGAAAAGGCAGGTAGTGGGAGAGTAGGAGGAAGAAATTACTCAGCTCAACAATTAAATTGCATATTTCTATAGAAGTCCAGTCCTACCACATATTAGAATATCAGCTTTCCATGCAGTGGGCTCCTGACACCCTTTACCACTGTTAATAAGTGTGATAGAGAACCTCTGGCTTTGGGTTAAGGGTGTACCTTGCCCTAATCAAGAGCCAAAGTCATTCTTTCTCAGAGAAGGGAAGACTGTCCATATGGATCTCTTCCCCTTTCCTATGTGGGATTCTATTGCATCCCCTCCACCGTCACCTCCCATCATTCTCACATTCAACTCCCAGATGCCTTGAATCCTCCTGCAGAGAGCATCACTGCTCCCCACCAACAGTGCAGCTCATCTCACCCTGTCACTAGCACTGGCTGAAGACACAGCAGGCACTGGGAGACATGGCCTGGCAAACTCTTCTTGTCCTCTCTTCTGGACTGTTATTCAGGATGGAAACAATGAAGAAACAGCCAGGCACTAAGCTTTTACAAAAAGAATGCATTCAAATATTACTTCTGCAATTTTTCCAAGAGTACGAGTAATGGGAAAATAGACCTTGCGTCCTACAGCATACTGGGTGATTGTTGGTGGAGCCTGGTAAATACCATCCAGAGACTAGGGAAGTTTTCCACATTCAGGTGAAATTCAAAAGAGTCATCGCCTAGAGACCAAATTAAACTTATTAGTAGCAGAAAATAATTGCGAATAACACATGCTTCACACACAAAGCCACCAAACTCAGTAGTAATAATTGGTAGTTGCAGCTGGGAGGTTGGAAAGGAAACAGGAACTGTCAGGGTCCTGAAAGCACCTACTGTGTAAGTTGCATGATGACAGCAGAGAACTCTACTGTTAATACAACACAAAAAACATTCCTTTTCTGACTCAAGTTCTGTTTCTAACTCTACAAACGTGCTTGTATGTAAGTTGAGGTTGGAGGTCCCAGCCAAGGCAGCTGCCCAGAGCCTTTTCTTTCTTTCTTTCTTTCTTTCTTTTCTTTTCTTTTTTTTTTTTTTTTTTTTTTTTTTTTTTTTTTTTTTTTTTTTTGGTAATCTTGGCTGGCCAGAACCCAAGTCTTCCCAGTACTATCTTAGTTTCCGCACCGCAGTTCCTCGGTGTCCACTTCAGGCTTCCGGACTGGAAGGACAGCCGGGAATAAAACGTGCCGGCGAGGCTCAGGAGTCATTGGCCACAGAGACCCAGCCCGAGTTTCCCATCGCACTGAGCACTGAGATCCTGCTGGAAGCTCTGCCGCAGCATGAGCTCCGCAGCCGGGTTCTGCGCCTCACGCCCCGGGCTGCTGTTCCTGGGGTTGCTGCTCCTGCCACTTGTGGTCGCCTTCGCCAGCGGTGAGAGCAGAAGCCAGGCTGTGAGGGCTGGCAGCGGCGAGGGGGAGTCCGGGAAGCCCTGGGGCTGGGGAGGAATCCTCTAGGATCATGATCACAGCCACACTTAACGGAGAGCCTGCTGAGTGTCTGGCCACAGTGCCAGGCGCTGCACCTGCACCTCCCACCTGGTTAGAACAACTTCTGTCTGGGGGAGGTGTGATTTATGGTAAGGAAAAGAAGGCTGAAGGTAGTGGAAAAAGTCCCTAAAGTACCTCTGGCTACTCATGGAGTCACCACTCCCTCCCCTCCTCCTCTCTTACCCTCTCCATTTCCCCCTCAGCTGAAGCTGAAGAAGATGGGGACCTGCAGTGCCTGTGTGTGAAGACCACCTCCCAGGTCCGTCCCAGGCACATCACCAGCCTGGAGGTGATCAAGGCCGGACCCCACTGCCCCACTGCCCAACTGATGTGAGTCCTTGCACTGCATCTGTCAGTGCTCCCGCTCCGTGCCTCCTCTGCCCAACCCTCCCCCTTCTAATGCCATTTGCAAACCCAAGGACTGAAAGTCACATCTCTTCTCTTTTCCCTGCCAGAGCCACGCTGAAGAATGGAAGGAAAATTTGCTTGGACCTGCAAGCCCCGCTGTACAAGAAAATAATTAAGAAACTTTTGGAGAGTTAGCTACTAGCTGCCTACGTGTGTGCATTTGCTATATAGCATACTTCTTTTTTCCAGTTTCAATCTAACTGTGAAAGAACTTCTGATATTTGTGTTATCCTTATGATTTTAAATAAACAAAATAAATCAAGTTGTAGTATAGTCAAAATACTTCTTAATAATAGTGCAAAAATTGTGTTGACACATAACAATTTCATGGAAGAAAAAAATTCCGGTATTTTAAGCAAAAAGTATTTTGAAGGAAGGTGTGAATACTGGTTATGCTTGGTGTTACATGTTGGCTGATACATATTCATGCATTTACATGATTGCAGTACTTTATAGCTACATATTTACCTTGACCATTATTATTACCTTTGCCAATAAATATCAGTAACACAGATGGCTTTTAAAAAATTAAGTAAATAAATAAGACTGTTTTTATGCCCACAAATTCTGGAAACAAGGAGACGTACTAGATGATGTTTTTATTCATCCCTCAGGAAGGCACTGCTCTACTCTGGGGAGAAAGGAAGTTGTTGCAGTGTTGGTATATTAGTTACCTATGGCTTCTGTAACAAATCAACACAAACTCAGTGGCTTAAACAATACAAATGTATTATCTTGCAATTTGGGGGGTCACAAGTCCCAAGTGGGTTGAACATGCTGAACTCAAAGTATGATCATAGCTGTGTTTCTTCTGAAGGCTCTAAAAGAGAATCTATTTCCTTTCCTTCCTCAGCTTATAGAGGCATCTACGTTCTTTAGCTTATGGGCCCTCCATTGATTTTCAAACTGCATCACTCCAACCTCTGCTTCCATTGTCACATCTCCCCTCTCTCCTCTGACCTTTCTGCCTCTAACTCTACCTACCTCTCATAAGGAGCCTTGTGAATACGTTGGACCTGCTTGGATAATCCAGAAACCATTTCCATCTCTGGACATTAAAACATCTGTGGAGACTTTTTTGCCATACTAAATGACATATTCATAGGTTGCAGAGAGTAGGGCATGGGGATCTCAAGGGTGGGGGGCATTATTCACCCTACCACAATGGGTCAGAAGGCAGAATCTAGCTGTGGAATGAGAAAGCTGCAGTCATTTTTCATGAGCTAATGTAATTTTTACCCAAGGTGACAATGTTTGTGTAGACATAGGATAAAAATCCTAAGAGAAAATAGAACATGGTGCCATTCAATCTCTTTGGTGGTGGTGGAAAGGGTGGGTTTTTAGGATGACAAACTAATTAAGAAAAACATAACTTATAGATGCTTAGGAAATGCCAGAATATCATCTAAAATTCCCACACCCACATTGCAAGTTAGAGAGTATTATTCCCAATATAGAGGTGAGCTGACAGTCTCGGGGAGGACACAGCTTGGGAGAGGCTGAGCGGATAAGTCTGACTCTCAACTCCCTCCTCTTGCTTTCACATTGTGCTGCCTTTCACACAGGCAAGTGGCATGTTAGCTGATTCTGCAGACAGGAATTGTTCCATGAACTAGCTCTTGAAGGGGGCGGAGGAATTTGCCAGGGGGACAAAGGGAAGACAGGAACTGTCACCAGAAGAATAATATGTAAAAAGACACTAGATAATTCAGTCATTTGCATGTTTGGACAACAGTTCATAGTTCTGCAGGGCTGGAATGGAGAGAGAGAGTGAAGCATGGTCTCTCAACTAGTTTTCACCCCCTTGGTATTTTTCACCTATAATACAACTTATGCACTGCTACCCATATTATTTTTCCAAACACAGATAGAAATATTTCACTCCCCTGCATAAATCATTCCAGATCCAAAGTCCTTAGCATGACACTCTACACTGTGTCACACTCACTTTCCCTCTGTGCCTTAGTTTCCTCATCTGTGAAACAGGGATATTATGAGTGGCTACTTTATAGATGATCATGAGGACCAAAGTCAATCAGTGCTGGAATGCTGGTGCCTCATAAGTTACTGCTTAAGAATTACCTTGATCTAACTATACTGAGAACACTTTCAAGTTGCCACCTTTATCAGCAAGGGCATGGGAAGAAGCCTTTCCTCCTGGGAAAAGCTCAAGTCACACAGAAACTCCCTGTTGTTGTTTCAACAGTCATGGAGTGATAAAGTTTAAATTTACTTAAACTCCCTGTGAGTTGTAAGCAGTCATCAGAAAATGTTCACAAACTAGACACTTACTGCTTAGTCATGGGCTCTATCAATAAAACCAAACCACCAAAGGATATTTTGTTCTTGGAAGCTGTTCTGCATTTTTGTAATTTTTCATTTTTTTCTTCTAAGGACTGTGGTAAAAATAGCTTCTTCTGTAATGTATAGAACATTGAAGGTTTAGTTGGTTTTAAATATGTATCCCTATTTTCTCTTTATAAAAGACAATTCTTATTTATTACAAAGAGCAGAAAATATAGAAGAAATAAAAATATTTTTCATAAACTGTATTTTCTCCACTCAATTTTTTTATTTTTGAAAATATTAGTCATTTGATATCCTTACAAGTTGAACTGCTAACTTCTAATAAAGTATTTATTTGTACACACCATAAAGAAAACACTTAGTAATTTACTTAATTATATTGCTATTAGTTTGGGAGCATTCCTGTCCAAATTTTCAGAGTATGAAAGCATGTTACAGGGTAATATAAAATGTTTTCCTTGGCTGGAGAACAAATAGCTAACTCATGTGATATTGCATTCACTTATACATATATAGTCCTGTGTATATTTATATTCACTGTATCTATGTGTGTATGAATGTATGCATGTTTTTCTACACCTTTACATACATATAAACTCACACACACATAAAATGAGTTTACAATACAATACTTATACCTGTTTTGTACTATGCATCCTGATATTTTATTTTCTATCCTATCCTATCCTACCATATTCCACTTTTTAGAAGATGTTGGCCACAACTCTATAAAATTATTTTATAATCCACTGATGTGTCATGATGTGTAGTTTAAAAGCACTAATCTAGTTCATTGATTAAAAGGTTAGGTTCTGATGGTCCATATTGGAGTCCACACTTCAAGCAAGATGCATGGGGGAGTCAGTAAGAACAGGATGCTGAGGACCAACTGGATAGTTAAATCTCCTGGTCTGTAGTCTTCCTTCAATTTCAATCTCCATCCCTGATCTAGGGTTGGAGTCTGGGAAACCCATGAAAAATAGCTTCTGTGGTAAAGATGTCACTCCAAACAGGATATTGTCTGGACTGCTGGGATTCTAAGTCCTTTTTAGCTGGGGCTACAATTTATATTCATTACCCATCTACTTCAGTCATGTACATTCTAGTTGGTTCCTAATGCACAACTTAATAGAGGACTAAAAATACATTGATTTCTAGGAAGACTTAGATAAAAAGCAAGCATGTTCACAATTAATGGACTTAAGTAGCTGTTTTATACCTATTTCCTCTTCTCATACGGCTCTTTTCCCTCTTAGTCCTATAGATGCTGGCACTAGCCTAGTGAGCTTTTGTGTAAGTTTGGGTTATATCTCAACTTTGATTCTGTGTGACCCCAAGTCTCCTCAGTTTCCTTATCTGCAAAATAAGGACAATAATGTCCACTTCATAGGGCTCTTGAAAGGAATACATCACACTTATAATAGGACACAGCATGGATTCTGACTCAGAATTGGAACCTAATAAGTAAATAGGACTTTTATTCTCTTTCCTTGGAGTTTCACCACCAGAGCGTATAACATTTCCAGTAGTGACAGCCACAATCTGTGAGCTAGCAAGCAACCTGTTGAGAACACAACCAACAAGAACTTCTCCTGCACAGAACCACAATCAAAAGAAGACAACAAGTTAAGAAGATTTTAACATGATAGACCAAGGTGGTGTTTTCCACTTACAGTAACAAATAAAAGAAAATCAAATACCAAAACCACAATGTTGATGGGGAGTTTATCGTGGCTAACTAAAACCACTTTATGCCTGCCTCCTCCACTTAGAAAAACCAGAGCAGTATATAGACAGTGACAGTATGAGTACATTATCCAAGAGATGATGTTGGAATTCAACAGAGAAGTAACAGGAGAAACTAAAATCTGAGAGGAAGGAGGAGAAGAGGCAGCCTCCTTTCCCAGGTTAGGCTAGGAGCTGGGAGTGACTTCCTAATGCAAAGAAGGGGCAAGTAATAGACTTCTAGCAGTTCATATCCCCACTGTGAAATAGTATAATCCTCGCCATGAAAGAGCCCTCTGACCCTCCCAAACCCTGAAACTAACATGACGACCAGCCAGGAGACTGTGGGATGGAACTGCTCCAGCGAGGGAGCTCACACTAGGTTCCACATTCTTTCTGAGAGATAAGTGGCTACAGCAACTAGCTTCTGCCAACTTCATGCTATCCTGGGGCCCAGCAGTGCTGGGACTGGGGCGTTATGAAAACTTGGGTTGTCACTGCTGGGACAGGAGAGCAAGTAGGGATCACTCTCATTGCCAGGGCTAGGAAATGAGCTAGGCCTGAGAGGCAGCAACTAGTGCCAGGAAGTGAGTGATCTGAGGTGGGGTCACGAGGTGAGGGAAAGTTGCTGCTGGGACTTGGTTGCAAGCTGAGTGAGGGCTCTTGAAGCCAGGGTAGGGGAGGCAAATCCCATAAGGACTAGGGTTTGAAGGGCTTGCATGTTCCCCATCTGCCAGCACAAGGATGTGACCAGAGGGATGCCTCACCCTCTTCAGTGGCAAGCCCTCAACAAAGCTGCTTCTACCCGTGCCCCATACACTCTGCCTGGGACCTGAGAATTGCTCTCCTGTTGCCCCCCATGGCTAGTGCCTACTCTCACCACCAGGGTGCCTGAGCACAAGCTATCCAACCTAGCCGCACCACCACCTCTTCAACAAAGCACATAGCCTGGGGTCCTGGAGACTGTCCAACCCAATCCACCACCCTGGGAACTTAAGTAACTCTTTCAGGGGCCTGGGGTGTGGTCTAAACTCCTAGCTGCTACCCCTTCAGGTGGCACCTACCTCTCAAATGGATATGCTGTGGGCCTGGATACCAGTGCACCCAGCCCACTGTAGCCACTGCCAACATCAACACACACTGCTAGGGACCCAGAGAATTTTCTCTCCAGTGCTACTATGAATGCCCATGTCATGTCAACTGTCTAGAGGCCTGAGAACCTGCCCACCTATTGATCTACCATTGCCACTACTGGCCTCCAAGCATGCTGCCTAGAGGCCCAAGAATTAACACACTGGTAAAAACCAAGACATGTAGCAGTGTGCACTTCCCTAGGGCATAAAGATAGGCATACTCAGCCAACTGCTACCACCGCTGTGGCCTAAAGACTGGCCCACAAAACATACTAGTCCACAGCAAAATTTCACCAATCTCCATTAATGACTGCACCCTAACTCACCAAGGAAATCACAAATACTACTAATGTTGTTTACAGCCAAATAAATCACCCAGAGACTATGCTACTGTGTACCCAGAATCACAGCCAAAGTGCCCTACCCACTGAATACCATAGATACATCTCCAGAAAACAGTCCTCCTCTACTAAAAGTAAATGTCAAAATGGAAGAAGCAACTGTTATACTACATGTGTGGACATCAATGTAGGCACGCTGGAAACACAAAAAGCAAGAAAATATGACACCTCCAGAGGAACACATTAATTATCCAGCAATAGATCTTTTCTTTTTTTTCCTGAGATGGAGTCTGGCTCTGTTGCCCAGGCTGGAATGCAGTGGCACAATCTCAGCTCACTGCAGCTCTGCCTCTTGAGTTCAAGCAATTCTCCTGCCTCAGCCTCCCCAGCAGCTGGGACTACAGGCATGTGCCACTGTGCCTAGCTAATTTTTTTATTTTTAGTAGAGATGGGGTTTCACCATGTTGGCCAGGCTGGTCTTGAACTCCTGACGTCAGGTGATCTGCAAGCCTAGGCCTCCCAAAGTGTTGGGATTACAGGCGTGAGCCACCATGCCTGGCCAATAGATGTTAATCAAAAAGAAAATTTAATTTCCCAATAAAGAATTCAAAATATTGTTTTTTTCAAAATATTGATTTTTTTTTTGAGACAGGATCTCACTGTGTTGCCCAGGGCTGGAGTACAGAAGTGTGATCTCAGCTCACTGCAACCTCCACCTCCTGGATTCAAGTAATCCTCTCACCTCAGCCTCCCAAGTATCTGGGACTACATGCATGTGCCATCATGCTTGGCTAATTTTTTTTTTAGAGGTAGGGTTTCACCATGTCTCCTATGCTGGTCTCAAATTCCTGAGTTTGAGAGATCCACTCACCTCAGCCTCCCAAAGTACTGAGGTGTGAGCCACAATGCCTGGCCAAAAACATTGATTTTAAGGGATCTCAGTGATATTCAAGAGAATTCTGAAAAATAACACAAAAATACTTAAAAAATTCAGAATATGAATGAGAAATTTACCAAAGCAACAGATATTTTCAATAAGAACCAAATAAAAGTTTAGAATTGAAGAATCCATTAAAGGAAATATAAAATACATTTGAAAGGGTCAACAGTAGACTAGACCAAGCAGAAGAAAGAATCTTAGAACTTGAAGATAGGTCTTTTGAAATAATCCAGTCAGACAAAAGTAAACAAAAAATAATAAAAAAGAAAGAGCAAAGCCTTTGTGACATTTGGGACAACATAACATGACAAGATAAACAAATTGTCAGTATTACTAAGGGTGAAGAAACAAAGATTAGAAAACCTATTTAATGAAATAATAGATGAAAATTTCCAAAGTGTAGCAAGAGATTTCAACATTTAGATGTAGGTGGCTGAAAGAAGCCAGGTAATACAATGCAAAAAGGTATTCCCTATGGCTGTCTAAAGTCAAAGTTTTTTTTGTTGTTTTGTTTTTTGTTTTTTTTTACTTTTTAATTACAGCCATTCAAACTGGTGTGAGATGGTGTCATATTGTTGGTTTGATTTTCATTTCTCTAATGTTTAGTGATGTTGAGCATTTTTTCATATGCTTTTTAGCCAAATACATGTCTTCTTTTGAAAAGTGTCTGTTTATGTCATTTACCCACTTTTAAAGGGAGTTGTTTGGTTTTTGCTAGTAAATTTCTTTAAGTTCCTTATAGATTCTGGATATTAGACCTTTGCCAGATGCAGAGTTTGCAAATATTTTCTCCTACTCTGTATGATGTCTGTTTACTCTGTTGATAGTTTCTCGCTGTGTGGAAGCTCTTTAATTAGATCCCATTTGTGAATTTTTGCTTTTATTGCAATTGTTTTTGGTGTCTTTGTCACAAAATCTTTGCCCATTCCTATTTCCTGAATGGTATTGACTTTTATCTTCCAGGGTTTATATAGTTTTAGGTTTTATATTTAAGTCTTTAACCCATCTTGAGTTGATTTTTGTATCTGGTGTAAGGAAGGAGTTCAGTTTTGATCTTCTGCATATGGTTTGCCAATTATTGCAGTACAACTTATTGAATAGGAAGTCATTTCACCATTGCTTGGTTTTATCAGGTTTGTCAATGATCCAATGATTTTAGATGTGCAGCACTATTTCTGGCTCTCTATTCTGCTCCATTGGTCTATATGTTTTGTTTTGTTTTTTAAACCAGTACCAGACTGTCTTGGTTAACATAGACTTGTAGTATAATTTAAAGTCAGGCAACAAGATACCTCCAGCTTTATTATTTTTGCTTAGGGCTACCTTGGCTATCCAGACTCTTTGTAGCTTTCATATAAATTTTAAAATATTTTTTCCTAGTTCTATGAAGTAAGTCATCTGTAGTTTGATAGAAATAACATTGAATCTGCACATTGCTTTGAGCAGTTCAGCCATTTTAACAATATTGATTCTTTCTAACAATAAGCATGGAAACTTTTTCCATTTGTGCCATCTCTGATTTCTTTGAGCAGAGTTTTATAATTCTAAGTGTAGAGATCTAATAGTATTCCTAGGTATTTTATTCTTTTGTGGCAATTGTGAATGGGATTGCACTCCTGATTTGGCTCTCAGTTTGACTGTTGTTGATGTACAGGAATGTTAATAATTTGTGCAATTGATTTTGTATCCTGAGATTTTACTGAAGTTGTTTATCAGCTGAAGGAGCTTTTGTGCCGAGATGATGAAGTTTTTTAGATATAGACTCATGGCATCTACAAACAGGGATAGTTTAACTTTCTTTCTTCCTATTTGGATGCCTTTTATTCTTTCTGTTGCCTGATTGCTCTGGTCAATACTATGTTAACTACATGTGGTAAGACAGGGCATCCTTGTGTTTGTTTTAAAGGAGAATGCTTCCAGCTTTTGCTCATTCAGTGTGATGCTGACTGTGGGTTTGTCACAGATGGCTATTATTATTTTAAAGTATATTCCTTCAATGTCTATTTTATTGAGGGTTTTTAGCATGAAAAGATATTGAATTTTATCAAAAGCTGTTTTTGCATCTATTGGAATAATCATGTGGGTTTTATCTTTAGTTCTGTTCATGTGATGAATCACATTTATTGATTTTCATATGTTGACCCATCCTTTATCCCAAGGATAAAGCCTACTTGATCATGGTGTATAAGCTTTTTGATGTGTGCTGGATTTGGTTTGCCAGTATTTTGTTGAGGATTTCTGTATCAATGTTCATCAAGGATATTGGCCTGAAGTTTCTTTTTTTGTTGTGTCTCTGTCAGGTTTTGGTATCCAAATGATGCTGGCCTCATAGAATGAGCTAGAGAGGAGCTCCTCCCTCAGTATTTTTCGAATAATTTTGGTAGAAATGGTAACAGCTCTTCTTTATACACATGGTAGAATTCTGCTGTGAGTCTGTTGGGTCCTGACTTTTTTTGATTGGTTGACTTTTTATTACTGATTTGATTTTGAAACTTATTATTGGCCTGTTTAGGGATTAAAATCTTTCCTGGTTTAGTCTTGGGAGGGTGTATGTGTCCAGGAATTTATCCATTTCTTCTAGATTTTCTAGTTTGTATGCATAGAGGTGTTCATAGCAGTGTTTGATTTTTCTTTCTGTATTTCTGCAGGGTCAGTGGTAATGTACCCTTTGTTAACTCTAATTGTGTTTATTTGGGTCTCCTATCTTTTCTTCTTTATTACTCTACCTAGTGGTGTATCTATTTTATTAGTTTTCAAAAAAACAACTTCTAGATTTCTTGATCTATTGTATGGTTTTCTGTGTCTCAGTTTCTTTCAGGTCAGCTTTAATTTTGGTTATTTCTTGTCTTCTGCTAGCTCTGGGGTTGATTTGCTCTCGCCTCTGTATTTCTTCTAGCTGCAATGTTAGGTTGCTAATTTGAGATCTTTCTAACTTTTTGATGTAGGCATTTACTGCTATAAATTTCCCTCTTAATACTGCCTTAGCTGTGCCCCAGATATTCTGGTATGTTTTATTTTTGTTTTCATTACTATTAAAGAACTTCTTGATTTCTGCTTCAGTTTCATTATTTACTCCAAAGTCATTCAGGAGCAGATTGTTTAATTTCCATGTAATTTTCTGATTTAGAGTGACTTTCTTTGTATTGATTTCTATTTTTACTGTGCCATTGGCTGAGAAATGTGGTTGGTATTATTTCAATTTTTTAAAATATTTGAGGATTGTTTTATGTCTGATTGTGTAGTTGATTTTAGAGTATGTGCCATGTGGCAATGAAAAGAATATATATTCTGTTGTTTTGGGTGAAGAGTTTTATAGATGTCTATTTAGTCTCTTTGGTCAAGAATTGAGTTCAGCTCCTAAATATGTTTGTCGATTTTCTTCCTCAATGTTCTAAAACTGTAAGTGGATTGTTGAAGTCTCCCACTATTATTGTGTGACAATATAGGTCACCTTTTGGGTCTCCAAGAACTTTATCAATCTGGGTGGTCTTGTGTTGGGTGCATACGTATTTAGGACAGTTACATGTTCTTGTTGAATTGAATCTTTTACCATTATGTATACCCTTCTTTGTCTTTTTAATTCTTGTTGGTTGAAATTCTATTTTGTCTGAAATTAGGATTACTATCCCTGCTTTTTTCTGTTTTCAATTTGCTTGGTAGATTTTTCTTCATGCCTTTATTTTGCACCTATGTGTGTCACTGCATGTGAGATGTGTCTCTTGAAGACAGCATACCAATACATCTTGGTTTTTTAACCAGTTTGCCATTCTGGGCCTTTTAATTGGGGCATTTAGCTCATTTACATTCAAAGTTAGTGTTAATATGTATGGATTTGATCCTGTCACCATGTTTTCAGCTGGTTATTTTGCAGACTTGTGTGCTTGCTTTATAGTGTCACTGGTCTGTGTACTTAAGTGTGTTTTTGTAGTGGCTAGTAAGAGTATTTTCTTTCCATATTTAGAGCATCTTTCAGGACCTCTTCTAAGGCAGGCCTGGTGGTAATGAATTTCCTCAACATTGCTTCTCTGAAAAGGATTCTATTTCTCCTTCACTTATGAAGATTATTTTAGTTGGATATGAAATTCTTGGTTGGAAATTTTTTCTTTAAGAATGTTGAATATAGGTTCCCAATCTCTTCTGGCTTGTAGAGTTTCTGCTGAAAGGTCCACTGTTAGCCTGATGGAGTTCTCTTTGTAGGTGACCGTACCTTTCTCTCTATCTGCCTTTGACATTTTTTTCTTTTATTTTGATACTAGAGAATCTCAAGATTATGTGTTTTCCAAGTTGCTTGCTTTCTCTCTGGCTCTTTCAGGGACACCAATAAGTCATAGATTTGGTCTCTTCATATTATTCTATGTTGCTCTGATATTTTGTTCATTCTTTTTTATTGTTTTTGCTTTATTTCTGGCTGACTGAGTTATTTCAGAGTCAACCTGCAAGCTCTGAGATTTTTTTCCTCCACTTGATCTATTCTGCTGCTAATACTTGTGACTGTATTACAAAATTCTTGTAGTGTATTTTTCAGCTCTATCAGATGTTTTTTAAAAATATGATTTAATCTATTAGCTCCTGTATTATTTTATTGTGATTGTTAGATTTTTTGTATTGAATTATTTAATGGTCTCCCAAATCTCGATGATCTTCATTCCTATCCATAATCTGAATTCTATTTTTGTCATTTCAGCTATTTCAGCCCAGTTAAGAATCCTTGCTCAGAAACTAGTATAGCCATTTTCAGGGAATAAGACACTCTGGCTTTGTGATTTGCTAGAGTTCTTTTATTTGTTCTTTCTCATCTGTGTGGATGGGTTTACCTTTAACTGTGGTATAAATTGAAGACCACCAGTAGACTTCTTTTTTAGATGCTTTCAGAGGGCCAAAGCTTTTTGCAGGGTCCTTATTTTTAGCTGAATTCTTGTCATTGATATCACAGAAGGGTATATTAACAAATTATTTTTGGTGTTGAAATTTTGGGCTGCAATCCAGTAGGTGGTACTTAAGTGTAATGGCCAGTAGGCAAGCTTTTGCTCAGTCACATGGCTTCTCTGTATTTCTTCATGACTATAGCCATGCTCCTTCTCAGCACTCTGAAAGTAAGAGTTCCTCTCTCACTTCAGTGCTGGCTGAAGATGTCAATTTAACACTGCTGGGCTGTGTATCTCAGCTCTGGGGCAATGTCAGGCTTTATGTTCCCTCCCAAGCTTAGAGGTAACAGGGGAAAGGAACTTTGCAGTGGTTGTGATAGAGAGTCTTTCACTTATCTTTTGGGGCTCCATCTTGAGAGGTGTGGAGCTGCTATCAGTCAGTGTGATCAACTTGGGTTGCGGCAGCTGTCCTGTGAGCCCAAGCCAGGGAGGCATACCTTGTGACAAGTGAGTGGCGGGGAAAGAGGGCAGACAGACCAGTAACCTCTCCATAGGGCAATTAATGCTTGCTCAAGGTGCAGTTGAAGCACTAAGGGTCTTTGCTCATTCCCCAGGGCAAGGGCAGAAAGGGCAGTACCACTGCAGTGGCAGTGGTAGAGGGGTTTTCAGTAGCCTCTGGGAACTCTACCTCTGAGAACCATATAGCCACAGTTCCTGGGAATGTTCAGCCAGGGGTTGAGGTGGCTGCACTGGTAGCCTGAGCTGAGGACCCCTCCTAGTTGGGGACTTGGGGGTTGAGGGTTTACAGGGAGGAGAGACTGGCTTCCTCTCTGTATAGTGACTATGGTGTGCTGTAAGCTTGGGTGAAGCCCTCAGGCTCAGTTTCTTCCCCAGCCTGTGAACAGAAGAGACAGAACATTGTTGTGACAGTGGCAGAAAGGAACATTGATTGCCTCTTGGAGCCCCTTCCCAGGAAATTCAGAGCCACTACCAGTGGGTATTCTCAGCTGTTTGTGGGGCATCTAAACTGTGGACCTGAGCAGGGGCCCTGCCTGCTGAAGAGTGGGTGCTGGGGGCTCACAGGGAAGGTAGACTGAACTCCTCTCTGTATGGTGGCTGTGGAGTGCTTGGGTGCCAGTGAAGTGACTAGGCCCTTTGTTCCTTCCTCAGCCGAAAGGTGGTTAGGGCAGTACTACTGCAGCTGCAATGGCCAAGAGGTTGTGGGTTGACTCTGAGATTTCCTCCTCAGAGAAATGCTGAGCTGCCCCCAACTGAAGTGTTCAAGTGGGGGCAGGGTGGTTGTGCTGGAGTCCAAGGTTAGGAGGCCTCACCAACTAAGGAGAAGTTGGGATGAGAACCTGCATGTAAAACAGTCTGGCCACTTTTTGATGAAGCAGCTGCACTGTGCTAGGGTTACATGTTAGTCCCTCGTCACCACATACTCTCCAGAGCCTGAAGGCAACAATAGTGAGGGCTGTGAGAAAGCAAAGATGGCAGCCTACCACTCCCTTTAGGGGCTCTGTGTCATGGAAATGCAGAGCTGCTACCAACCTGAGAGCCCTGATGGGAAGTGGTTGGAGTCCCAGGTTGGGAGCTCCCATCCACTGAGGAGAAATGTGGGATCCACATAAAAAAAAGAGTCTGGCCATTTTTCTGTGGGACAGCTGTGCTGTGCTGGGGGTTTGTGCCAGTCCCTAGTCACTGTAGGCTCTCCAGAGCCTGAAGGCAACAACAGTGAGGGCTGCAAGGCAGGAAAGTTGCTGCCCCCTTGCCCTGGAGATCTGTCCTGGGGAAGTGCAGAGCTGCTACTAGCCTCATAACCCCAGTGGTGGGAGGCTGGAGTCCTAGACCAATGGGTCTCATCCTGTGAGGTGCAGTGTAAGTGAAGCCTGTAGACAGTTGCTGCTCAACCCCCTGGATTTGGCTCCTTTCCTGGATGTGTGTAAAGGAGACTAACTTCCCCCTTTGCCAGAGCTGAAGCCACTAATGCTGGAATGCCTGGGGATCAAAGGCTTTTGGGACTTTGGCTATGCCTCAGCAGTGGCTCTGCTGAGACTCCCATAGCTTTGCATATCAGTCTGAAGGTTTTTGTGGGATGAGCTCACAAGGGCATCTCCTGAGACCAGGGCTTGCAAAGATCTATGGACCAAGTGTGTGTCCCAGGGTTTCTCATTCTCTCACCATTTCCCAGTGGTCGGGGAGCCTCCTCTGGCTCCATGCCACTGTCAGGTAGGCATTAATCTATTCTTGCTCCTCTGTGTTCTCCTTGGGTTGAGTTGTTTGTTTGATGAATCCCTGGGTTTGTGCCCACCTGGGTGTTTCAATTGAAGATGTAGTATTTATTCACCACTTTTTCTTCTCTTTGTGAAAGTAGTGCACACTAACTGCTTCCAGTCAGCCATTTTGGCCATCATGTAAACTAAAACTTTTTAAAAATATTTTCGCTCCCTCTTAACATTGAGAAATGGCAGATTAACTGAATGGATTTGATCTCCTTGACAGGCAATACTGTCATAGATGTGAATTCTATATCCATTCACCTAAGTACATCTGTGGTTTTTTAGATCCCTTTAAAATTAGAGAGAAAAAAGAAAGTAAACAAGACTCATGGAGACCTGACATCTCACAGTAATACTGTGGATTATTTCAATTACTGCACTTCTAAACTCTATGTATTATACTTATTCTTCATTCTGAGTGTTGAAATGATGACTCAATCTTCATTTACGAACAATAAAAGAAAGATATGATGGAATATGAATATGGTTGCAGGACAATATTCAGTCACAAAACATTTACAACAGCAAGTTAAAAGCATTATATTTTTATGTGTCAGGGCATGTGGACATTTTGTTGGTGTAGGGGTTTGTCCTCACATAAATTATTAAGCTATTTCATCAGTTATAAACATCTTATGACCATGGGTCATGACTGGCAAAGAATGTGCCTTGCTAGTATCAGGGCACCTGGACATTTTCTTGTTGTAGAAGTTTGTCCTTACAGCATTATTAACCTCCTTCATCAGTCATAAACATCTTATGACCATTGGTCATGTCCGACAAAGAATTTGCCTTGCTAATTTTAAGGTGGAGTTGATTTTAAAATGGTGTGACCCTGGGTCTCCTATGCTTCCCAAACAAATCATCAACAACAATGTATAAGAGATAAATAAAGGATCAAAGAATGTATAAACAATGAGAAAACAATTAACAATATGACAGGTCCTCACATATCAATAATAACCTTGAACATAAGTGGATTAAATTTTTCTCTTAAAAGATATAGAATGGCTGAATGAAATTAAAAGCATGATCCAACTATATGCTACTTACAAGAAACTGTCCTTACTGGTAAAGACACATACAGACTAAAATGAAGAGATGAAAAAGCATATTCCACACAAGTGGAAACAAAAAGTGAGCAGAAGTAGCTATGTTTATGTAACATGGAGTTTTAGTCGAGAACAGAAAAAAAAGATGAAGAAAATCATTATATGACAAAGGAATTAATCCAGTGAAAGAATATAACAATTCTAAATATATATACACCCAACACTAGAGCACCCAGATTCAAATACTACTAGGCCTAAAGAGAGGACGGAAACATAATAGTGGGGTCTTTACCACCTCATATCGGCATTAGATGGATCATCTAGATGGAGAATCAAAAAATAAATGTTGGACTTAAACTGTATTTAGGTCAACTGACCCTAAGAGACCTTTACAATAGCAGCAAAATACATTCTTTTTATCAGCAATGGAACATTCTCCAGAATAGAGCATACATTAGGTCACAAAATACGTCTCAGCAAATTGTTAAAAGTCAAAATCATATCAAATATCTTCATAGATGGAAATGGAATAGAATTAAAAATCAATACCAAGAAGAACACTGGAAATAATACAAACACATGGAAATTAAACAACATGCTCCTAAATGACCACAGGGTAAAGAAAAGAGTTAAAATGAAAATTTGAAAATTTAAAAATTCCATGAAAAAAGTGAAGATGGAAACACAACATACCAAAACCTGTGGTATATAGAAAAAGCAGTGCTAAGAAGCAAGATTATAGCAATAAATGCCTATATTAAAAAGGAGAATTTGGGAGGGCAAGAGGGCTGACTAGATGCAGCTGGGTCAAGCAGCTCCAACTGAGGAACTGAGATGACTAGCATGCTCCTAACAAATCTGCAGAGAGAAGGCACAGAGTATGGGTGGATAGAAGACACAGAAGCTGAGCTGAAGGGGGAGAAAGCGGGGAACCCTACATGGGGCTACAGCACACCCAGACTCCTTCCTAGCTCCCAATGGCTCCAGGAGAATGGGTGAGTTGAACTGGTAAGGAGCAACCTGCTTTCCCCACAGGTGTCTGGAAACCAGTAGGAGGAGACCTCTTTACCATCACAGACACTTGAGTTGGCAGGGAGAGCTGCTTAGGGAAGTGGTAGGGGCAGCAAGCCAGCTGATGTGGAGCCCAGAAGGTTTGGTGCGGGAGCATCTGTAGCAGAGTACAGCCAGTGATGACCATCCCTAGGCTTGACTTGCTCCTATAGGAGACTTTAGCCCTAGTGGAACTGTCAAGTCCTGAACTCTATGGGGCAGTCTTGCCCATCAGATAGGGCTGGTCCAATCTGAGCACCTCTTGGTCTGCTGACCTCTCCCAGGGCCCTGACTGACCATAGCTGCTTGCAGGGAAACCTTGCATACCCTGGAGGCCCACCCCATAGCTTCTGCACTGGCAGACTCATGCCTGACTGGTGAAGAGATCCAGCAGAGCAGCCCCTACAGCCACACACCAGCCTGCATTCTCCCTCCCCATACTGAAGCTTCCCCCACATCCATTGCTACTCCCCACATTGCTTTGCTGGTGTCTGCCTGCAGGTGGCAGATTTTGCTTTCCTTGTCCTGCCAGCGCACAGGAATACATGCGGTCCTCACCCCTCCCAATGGTAACCACCATCACAGACTGAGTCTTGCCGGGGACAGAGACAGCCAGTCCCAGCCCCACCAGTTGCCTGTTCTTGCACTAACACCACGCAGAGAACAATAGATCCTTCTCTGCCCTGAGAAATCACTCCTGCTTGCAGGGCATAGAGAAGGCACACAGAACTGTGCTCGCCAGTGCCCTGCACTTAAGCCAACATCACCGGAAGATAAGCCCACAAATATGAGAAAGAATCAGTGCAAGAACTCTGAAAATTCAAAAAGCCAGAGTGCCTTCCTTCCTCTAAGCAACCATATCACCTCTCCAGCAAGGGTTCTGAACAGGGCTGAAATGGCTTAAACAACAGAAATAGAACTCAGAATATGGTTAAGAAGAAAGATCACTGAGTTATAGGAATATGCTGAAACACAATTCAAGAAAGCTACAAATCATGATAAAGCAATGGAGAAGCTGACAAACCAAATGGCCAGTACAGAAAAGAATGTAACCAATCTGATAGAGCTGAAAACTCACTACAAGAATTTCATAATGCAAGCATAAGTATTAATAGCATAATAGACCAAGGAGAGGAAAGAATCTCATGGCTTGAAGGCTCACTTTCTGAAATAAGATAGTCAGAAAAGAATAGAGAAAAAATAATGAAAAGGAACAAACAAAATCTCTGAGAAATATGGGATTATGTAAAGAGACCCAATCTGTGAACTCATTGGTGTCCCTTAAAGAGATGGAGAGAATAGAACCAACTTGAAAAATATATTTCTGGATATAATCCATAAGAACATCCCCAACATAGCTAGAGAAGACAACAGTCAAATTCATGAAGTGCAAAGAACCTCAGTAAGATACTTCACAAAAAGATGATCCCCAAGACACATAGTCATCAGATTCTTCAAAGTCAAAATGAAACAAAAAATGTTCAAAGCAGCTAGAGAGAAAGGTCAGATCACCTACAAAGGGAAGTCCATCAGACTAACAGTGGACATGTCAGCAGAAACCATACAAGCCAAAAGAGACTGAGGGTCAATATTCAACATTTTCAAAGAAAAGAAATTTTAACCCAGAATTTTATACCTGGCTAAACTGAGCTTCGTAAGTGAAGGAGAAATAAAATTCTTTTCAGACAAGCAAATTCTGAGGGAATTCATTACCACCAGACCCCCCTTACAAGAGCATGTGAAGGAAGCACTAAATGTGGAAAGAAAAGACCATTACTAGCCATTACAAAAACACACTGGAGTACACAAACCGGTGACACTATAAAGCAGCCACATCAAGAACTGTGCTGAGCATAAACAAGTCTGAAAAATAACAAGCTGAAAACATGATGACATGATCAAATCCACACATATCAACACTAAACTTGAATGTAAATGAGTTAAATTCCCCAACTAAAAGGTGCACAGTGGTGAGCTGGATAAAGAACCAAGACCCGTTGGTATACTGTCTTCAAGAAAACCATCTCACATGCAGTGACACAGAGAGTCACAAAATCAAGAAATGGAGAAAAATCTACCAAGCAAACAGAAAACAGAAAAAAGCAGGGATAGAAATCCTAATTTCTGACAAAACAGACCAACAAAGATCAAAAAAGACAAAGAAGTGCATTACATAATAGTAAAGGGTTAAATTCAACAAGAAGATATAACTGTCCTAAATAAATATGCACCCAACACAAGAGGACCCAGACTCATAAAGCAATTCTTAGAGATCTACAAAGAAACATAGACTCCCACAAAATAATAGTGTGAGACTTCAACACTCCACTGACAGTATTAGAGACAGAAAATTAACAAAGATATTCAGGACCTAAACTCAGTACTGGATCAAACGGACCTAGTAGACATCTACAGAATTCTCCACCTCAAAATAACAGAATATGCATTCTTCTTATTGCCACATGGCACATACTCTAAAATCAGTCACATAATTGGAAGTAAATCACTCCCTAGCAAATGCAAAAGAACTGGAATCAAAACAAACTATCTCTTGGACCACTGCTGTATTAGTCTGTTCTCATGCTGCTAATAAAGACATACCCAAGACTGGGTAATTTATAAAGAAAAAGAGGTTTAATGGATTCACAGTTCCACGTGGCTGGAGAGGCCACACAATCATGATTGAGTGCAAAGGAGGAGCAAAGGCACGTCTTACATGGCAGCAGGTAAGAGTGTGTATGCAGGTGAACTTCCCTTTATGAAACTATCAGATCTCATGAGACTTATTTACTATCACAAGAAATGAGATAAATTGGCCATAATAAAGGAGCTGCAGGCTCCACACAAGTTTGAAATCCAATAGGGCAGTCATTACACCTTGAAGTTCCAAAATAATCTCCTTGACTCCAAGTCTCACATCTAGGTCATACTGATGCAAGAGGTGGCTTCCCATGGTCTTGGACAGCTCTGACCCTGTGGCTTTGCAGGGTACAGCTCCCCTCCCACTGATTTCATGGGCTGGTGTTGAGTTTCTGTGGCTTTTCCAGGCACACAGCACATGCTGTCAGTGGATCTACCATTCTGGGGTCTAGAGGACAGTGGCCTTCTTCTGACAGCTCCCATAGGTAGTGCCCCAGTGGGGATTCTGTGTGGTTGCTCCAACCCCACACTTCCCTTCCATACTGCCATAGCACAGGTTCTTCATGCAGGCCCTGCCCCTGCAGCAAATTTCTGCCTGAACATCCAGACATTTCCATACATCCTCTGAAATCTAGGTAGAGGTTCCCGAACCTCAATTCTTGACTTCTGTACACCAGAGGCCTAACACCACATGAAAGTTGCCAAGGCTTGGGGCTTGCACCCTCTGAAGCCATGGCCCAAACTATACCTTGGCCCCTTTTAGCCACAGCTAGATTGGCTGTCACAGGGAACCAAATCCCTAGGCTTCACACAGCACAGGGTGGGGGGCACCCAGACGTGGCTCAAGAAACCATTTTCCCCTCCTAGATCTCCAGGCCTGTGATGGAAGGGGCTGCTGTGAAGGTCTCTGCCACGCCCTGGAGACACTTTCCCCATTGTTTTGGTGATTAGCATTTGGCTTATCGTTACTTATGCAAATTTCTGCAGCTGGCTTGAATTTCTCCTCAGAAAACGGGTCTTTCATTTCTATTGCATTGTCAGGCTGCAAATTTTTCAAACTTTTATGCTCTGCTTCCTCTTGAACACTTTGCCACTTAGAAATTTCTTCTACTAGATATCTTAAATCATCTCTCTCAAATTCAAAATTCCACAAATCTCTAGGATAGGAGCAAAATGTCGCCAGTCTCTTTGTACAACAATAGTCTCCTTTGTCATACTTCCCTAGTTCCTTATCTCCATCTGAGACCACCTCAGCCTGGACTTTATTGTCCATATCACTACCAGCATTTTGGTCAAAGCCATTCAACAAGTCTCTTGGAAGTTCCAAACTTTCCCACATCTTCCTGTATTCTGAGCCAAGTCTGTAGGAATTTCCAAACTTTCCCACATTTTCCTGTCTTCTTCTGAGTCCTCAAAACTGTTCCAACCTCTGCCTGTTACCCAGTTCCAAAGTTGCTTCCACATTTTCAGGTATCTTTACAGCAGTGCCCCACTCACAGTTATAATTTACAGTATTAGTCTATTCTCACTCTGCTAATAAAGACATACCAGGCCAGGCGCAGTGGCTTACACTTGTAATCCCAGCACTTTGGGAGGCCAAGGTGGGCATATCACTTGAGGTCAGGAGTTCAAGACCAGCCTGGCCAACATGAGAAAACCCCATCTCTTCTAAAAATAAAAAAATTTGCCAGGTGTGGTGGTGCATGCTTGTAATCCCAGCTACTCAGGAGGCTGAGGCAGGAGAATTGCTTGAACCCAGGAGGTGGAGGTTATATTGAGCCAAGATCATGCCACTGCACTAAAGCCTGGGTGACAGAGCAAGACTCCGTCTCAAAAAAAAAAAAAAAAAAAAAAAAAAAAAAAAAAAAAAAAAAAAAAGATGTACCCAAGACTGGCTATAAAGAAAAAGAGGTTTAATGGACTCACAGTTCCACATGGCTGGAGAGGCCTCACAATCATAGCAGAATGCAAAGGAGGAGCACAGGCACATCTTACATGGCAGCAGGCAAGAGCTTGTGTGCAGGGGAACTGCCCTTTATAAAACCATCAGATGTCATGAGGTTTATTCACTATTACGAGAACAGTATAGGAAAAGCCCACCCCCATGATTCAATTATCTCCCATTGAGTCCCTCCATGACACGTGGGGATTACAAGGACTACAGTTCAAGATGAGAATTGGGTGACAACATAGCCAAACCATATAAACAATGCAATCCAATTAGAACTGAAGACTAAGAAATTCACTCAAAATTATACTTTTACATGAAAATGCAATAATCTGCTCCTGAATGACTCTCAGGTAAGTTATAAAATTAAAGCAGAAAGGAAACATTTATTGAAGCTAATAAGAACAAAGATACAACATACCAAAATTTCTGAGACACAGCCAAAGCAGTGCTAAGAGGGAAATTTATAGTACTAAATGTCTACATCAAAAAGTTAGAAAAATATCCATTTAAAAATGTAACATCACAACTAAAAGAACTAGAGAATCAAAAGCAAATCAATCCCAAAGTTGGCAAAAGATAAGAAATTAACCAAAATCAGAGCTGAACTGAAGGGGGTTGAGACATGAAAAACCATTCAGAGTATCAACAAATTCAGGAACTGGTTTTTGAAAAAATTAATCATATAGATAGAAGACTAGCTAAACCAATCAAGAAGAAAGAAGAGAAGATTAAAATAAACACATCTAGAAACAACAAGGGGGATTTTACCGCTGACCCCCAGAAAGACAAACAACCATCAGATAATATTATGAACACCTTTATGTAGGTAAACTAGAAAATCTAGAAAAAATAGATAAATCACTGGACACATACACCCTCCCTGGTATGAACCAGAAAGAAATTGAATCCCTGAATAGATCAATTAATAGGCTCTGAAATCGAGGCAGTAATAAATAGCCTATCAACCAAAAAAAGCCCAGAGCCAGACATATTCACAACTGATTATATCAGATGTACAAACAAGAGCTGGTACCATTCCTACTGAAACAATTCCAAAAAACTGAGGAGGAGAGACTTCTCTTTAATCCATTTTATGAGACCAGCATCATTCTGATACCAAAACCTGGCAGACATACAACAAAAAAAGAAAATTTCAGGTCAATATCCTTGATGAATATCAATGCAAAAATTCTCAACAAAATACTGGCAAACCAAATCCAGCAGCACATCAAAAAGTTTATCCACCACAATTAAGTAGGCTTTATCCCTGGGATGCAAGGTTGGTTCAACATATGCAAATCAATAAAAATGATTCATCACATAAACTGAACTAAAGACAAACACCACGTGATTTTCTCAATAGATGCAGAAAAGGCATTTGATAAAATTCAATACCCATTCATATTAAAAACCCTTAATAAACTAGGTACTGAAGGAGCATACCTCAAAATAATAAGAGCCATATATGACAAACCCACAGCCAATGTCACATTGAATGGGCAAAAGCTGGAAGCATTCCCCTTCTAAATCGGCACAAGATGAGGATGCCCTCTCTCACTACACCTGTTCAACAGAGTATTAGAAAAAATGCCATGTAACCCAGCAATCACATTACTGGGTATATACTCAAGGGAAGGTAAATCATTCTATTAAAAAGACACATGCACACATATGTTCATTGCAGTGCTATTCACAATAGCAAAGACATGGAATCAACCTAAATGACCATCAATGGTAGACTGGATAAAGAAAATATTGTACATATACACTATGGAATACTATGCAGCCATAATAAAGAACAAGCTTATGTACTTTGCAGAAGTATGGATGGAACTGAAGGCCATTATCCTTGGCAAACCAATGCAGGAACAGAAAATCAAAAACCGCTTCTAGGGTTTTTATGGTTTTAGGTCTAACATTTAAGTCTTTAATCCATCTTGAATTAATTTTTGTATAAGGTGTAAAGAAGGGATCCAGTTTCAGCTTCCTACATAAGGCTAGCCAGTTTTCCCAGCACCATTTGTTAAATAGGGAATCCTTTCCCCATTTCTTGTTTTTGTTAGGTTTGTCAAAGATCAGATAGTTGTAGATGTGTGGTATTATTTCTAAGGGCTCTGTTCTGTTCCATTGGTCTGTATCTCTGTTTTGGTACCAGTACCATGCTGTTTTGGTTACTGTAGCCTTGTAGTATAGTTTGAAGTCAGGTAGCATGATGCCTCCAGCTTTGTTCTTTTGGCTTAGGATTGACTTGGCAAAGTGGGCTCTTTTTTGGTTCCATATGAACTTTAAAGTAGTTTTTTCCAATTCTGTGAAGAAAGTCATTGGTAGTTTCATGGGGATGGCATTGAATCTATAAATGACCTTGGGCAGTATGACCATTTTCACGATATTGATTCTTCCTATCCATGAGCATGGAATGTTCTTCCATTTGTTTGTGTCCTTTTTATTTTGTTGAGCACCGGTTTGTGGTTCTCCTTGAAGAGGTCCTTCACATCCCTTGTAAGTTGGATTCCTGGGTATTTTATTCTCTTTGAAGCAATTGTGAATGGGAGTCCACTCATGATTTGGCTGTCTGTCTGTTATTGGTATATAAGAATGCTTGTGATTTTTGCACATTGATTTTGTATCCTGAGACTTTGCTGAAGTTGCTTATCGGCTTAAGGAGATTTTGGGCTGAGACAATGGGGTTTTCTAGATATACAATCATGTCATCTGCCAACAGGGACAATTTGACTTCCTCTTTTCCTAATTGAATACCCTTTATTTCTTTCTCCTGCCTGATTGCCCTGGCCAGAACTTCCAACATTATGTTGAATAGGAGTGGTGAGAGAGGGCATCCCTGTCTTGTGCCAGTTTTCAAAGGGAATGCTTCCAGTTTTTGCCCATTCAGTATGATATAGGCCGTGGGTTTGTCAAAAATACCTCTTATTATTTTGAGATACTTCGATCAATACCTAATGTATTGAGAGTTTTTAGCATGAAGGGCTGTTGAATTTCGTCAAAGGCCTTTTCTGCATCTATTGAGATAATCATGCGGTTTTTGTCTTTGGTTCTGTTTATGTGATGGATTATGTATACTGATTTGCATATGTTGAACCAGCCTTGCATCCCAGGGATGAAGCCCACTTGATCATGGTGGATAAGCTTTTTGATGTGCTGCTGGGTTTGGTTTGCCAGTATTTTATTGAGGATTTTTGCATCGATGTTCATCAGGGATATTGGTCTAAAATTCTCTTTTTTGTTGTGTCTCTGCCAGACCTAAAACCATAAAAACCCTAGAAGAAAACCTAGGCAGTACCATTCAGGACATAGGCATGGCCAAGGACTTCATGTCTAAAACACCAAAAGCAATGGCAACAAAAGCCAAAGTAGACAAATGGGATCTAACTAAACTAAAGAGTTCCTGCATAGTAAAAGAAACTACCATCAGAGTGAACAGGCAACATACAGAATGGGAGAAAATGTTTACAGTCTATTCATCTGACAAAGGGCTAATATCCAGAATCTACAATGAACTCAAACAAATTTACAAGAAAAAAACAACCCCATCAAAAAGTGGGCGAAGGATACGAACAGACACTTCTCAAAAGAAGACATTTATGCAGCCAAAAGACACATGAAAAAATTCTCATCATCACTGGCCGTCAGAGAAATGCAAATCAAAACCACAATAAGATAGCATCTCACACCAGTTAGTATGGCAATCATTAAAAAGTCAGGAAACAACAGGTGCTGGAGAGGATGTGGAGAAATAGGAACACTTTTACACTGTTGGTGGGAATGTAAACTAGTTCAACCATTGTGGAAGTCAGTGTGGCAATTCCTCAGGGATCTAGAACTAGAAATACCATTTGACCCAACCATCCCATTACTGGGTATATACCCAAAGGATTTTAAATCATGCTGCTATAAAGACACATGCACACCTATGTTTATTGCGGCACTATTCACAATAGCAAAGAGTTGGAACCAACCCAAATGTGCAACAATGATAGACTGGATTAAGAAAATGTGGCAAATATACACCATGGAATACTATGCAGCCATAAAAAATGATGAGTTCATGTCCTTTGTAGGGACATGGATGAAGCTGGAAACCATCATTCTCAGCAAACTATTGCAAGGACAAAAAAACCAAACACTGCATGTTCTCACTCATAGGTGGGAATTGAACAATGAGAACAGTTGGACACAGGAAGGGGAACATCACACTCTGGGGCCCGTTGTGGGGTGGGGGGAGGGGGGAGGGATAGCATTAGGAGATATACGTAATGTAAATGATGAGTTAATGGGTGCAGCACACCAACATGGCACAGGTATACATATGTAACAAACCTGCAAGTTGTGCACATGTACCCTAGAACTTAAAGTATACTAAAAAGTATATATATATATACATAAAAGAAAATCAAAAACCGCATGTTCTCACTTACAAGTGGGAGCTAAATGATAAGAACGCATGGACACATATAAGGAACTAAGACACACTATGGCCTATTGGAAGATGGAGTTAGGGTGGGAGGAGAAAAAGATCAGAAAAAGTAACTAATGGTTACTAGGCTTAATATCTGGTTGATGGAGTAATCTCTACAACAAACTCCCATGACACAAGTTTACCTATATAACAAACCTGCACATGTACCCCTGAACTTAAAATAAAAGTTAAAATAAAAAAAATAAAAAAGGAGAAAGATTACAAACTAACAATTTAACAACTTGCCTCAAGGAACTAGAGAAGCAAGAATAAACCAACCCCAAAATTAACATAGGAAAGTAAATAATAAATATCAGAAAAGAACTAAATGAAATAGAGACAAAAGTGCAAAGGATCAACAAAAATGTTGGTTATTCAAAAAGATAAACAAAATTTATGAACCACTAGCTTGATTATCCAAGAAGAGAGAAGACAAAATCAGAATAAACAAAATAATAAGCAAATAAAGAGACATTACAGGTGATACCACAGAAATACAAAAGATCATTATGAACCACTATACATTAACAAACTGGAAAACCTATAGGAAATGGCAAAATTACTGAAAATATACAATGTACAAAGATTGAATTAGGGAGAAATAGAAAATATGAACAGACCAATAATGAGTAGCTAGATTGAATCTGTAACAAAAAGTCTTCCAACAAAGAAAAGCCCAGAACCAGATAAAATCATAAAAACATTCTACCAGCCGGGCATGGTGGCTCATGCCTGTAATCCCAGCACTTTGGGAGGCTGAGGCGGGCAGATCACAAGGTCAGGAGATTGAGACCATCCTGGCTAACATGGTGAAACCTTGTCTCCACTAAAAATACAAAAAAATTAGCCAGGCGTGGTGGCGGGTGACTGTAGTCCCAGCTACTCAGGAGGCTGAGGCAGGAGAATGGCATGAACCCAGGAGGCAGAGCTTGCAGTGAGCCAAGATCATGCCACTGCACTCCAGCCTGGGTGACAAAGCGAGACTCCATCTAAAAAAAAAAAAAAATTCTACCAAATGTACAAAGAACTAACACCAGTTCTCCTGAAACTATTCCAAAAATTTGAAGGGGAGGGCATTCTCCCCAACTCATTCTAAGCTGCCAGCATTACCCTAAGGTCAAAACTAGACAAGGGGCCGGGCGCGGTGGCTCATGCCTGTAATCCCAGCACTTTGGGAGGCCGAGACGGGTGGATCACGAGGTCAGGAGATCGAGACCATCCTGGCTAACATGGTGAAACCCCGTCTCTACTAAAAATACAAAAAATTAGCCGGGCATGGTGGCAGGCGCCTGTAGTCCCAGCTACTCGGGAGGCTGAGGCAGAAGAATGGCGTGAACCCGGGAGGTGGAGTTGCAGTGAGCCGAGATTGCGCCACTGCACTCCAGCCTGGGGGACAGAGCGAGACTCCGTCTCAAAAAAAAAAAAAAAAAAACTAGACAAGGATACAACAACAAAAGAAAACTACAGGCCAATATCCCTAAAGAATGTAGACATCAAATCCTCAACAAAATACTAGCAAACCAAATAAAACATTATATCAAAAAGATAATACATCATAATCAGGTTCGATTGGTATCATGGATGCAAGGATGGTTCAATATATGCAAATCAATAAATGTGATATATTACATCAACAGTCTGAAGTACAAAAACCATATGATTGCCTCAATAAATGTAGAAAAAAATCATTTGATAAAATGCACTATCTCGTCATAATAAAAACTCTCAACAAACAGGAATAAAGGAAACATACATCAAAATAATAAAGGCCATATATAGTAAACCTACAGCTAACATCATACTGAATGGGAAAAAATGGAAAGCCTTTTCTCTATGATTTAAAGCAAGACAAAGATGCCCACTTTCACCACTTCTTTGCAACATAGTAATACAAGTCCTAGCCAGAGGCAATCAGGTAAGAGAAACAAAAGCCAAAAAAATTGGAAAAGAGGAAGGCAAATTGTCCCACTTTGCTAATGATATGTTATATGGAGAAAAACCTAATGACTCTATCAACAAAACCTTAGATTTGATAAATGAACTCAGTAAACTTTCAAGATACAAGATCAAATACAAAAATCAGTAGCCTTTCTATACACCAATATTTATCTAACCAAGAATGAAATCAAGAAGGCAATCCCATTTACAATACCTACAAAAAATTAAACTACCCTCTAATAAATTTAACAAGGAAGTGAAAGATCTCTACAAGGAAAACTGCAAAATGCTGATGAAAGATATTGAAGATGACACAAACAAATGGAAAGACATGCACATGAATCAGAGAACTTAATATTGTTAAAATGACCATACTGCTTAAATAAATCTAAAGATTCAATGCAGCCCCTATCAAAATACCAGTGTAACTCTTGTGGGAAGTCAGGGACCCCAAACAGAGGGACTGGCTGAACCCATGGCAGAAAATAAATTGTGAAGATTTCATGGACATTTATTAGTTCCCCAAATTAATACTTTTATAATTTCTTACACCTGTCTTTACTGCAATCTCTGAACATAAATTGTGAAGACTTCATGGACATTTATTACTTCTCCAATCAATACTCTTATAATTTCCTATGCCTGTTTTTACTTTAATCTCTTAATCCCATCATCTTCATAAGCTGAGGATGTATGTCACCTCAGGACCCTGTGATGATTGCGTTAACTGCACAAATTGTTTGCAGAGCATGTGTGTTTGAACAATATGAAATCTGGGCACCTTAAGAACAGGGTAACAGTGATGTTCAGGGAACAAGGGAGATAACCGTTAGGTCTGGCTGCCTGAGAGCCAGGTGGAACAGAGACATATTTCTTTTCTTTCAAAAGCAAATAGGAGAAATATCACTGAATTCTTTTTCTCAGCAAGGAACAGCACTGAGAAAGAGAATGCGTTCCTAGGGGTAGGCCTCTAAAATGGTCACTGCAGGGACGTTTGTCTTTTACAGTTGTAAATAAGGGATGAAATAAGTCCCAATCTCCCATAGCACTCCTAGGCTTATTAAGACTAGGAAATTCACACCTAATAAATTTTGGTCAGACCGGTTGTCTGCTCTCTAACCCTGTCTCCTGATAAGATGTTATCAATGACAATGCATGCCCAAAACTTCATTAGCAATTTTAATTTTGCCCTGGTCCTGCGATCTCGCCCTGCCTCCATTTGCCTTGTGATATTTTATTACCTTGTGAAGCATGTGATCTCTGTGACCCACACCCTATTCATACACTCCCTCCCCTTTTGAAAATCACTAATAAAAACTTGCTGGTTATGCGGCTTGGGGGGCATCATGGAACCTGCAGACATGTGGTGTCTCCCCCAGACACCCAGCTTTAAAATTTCTCTCTTTTGTATTCTTTCCCTTCATTTCTCAGACTGGCCAACACCTAAGGAAAATAGAAAAGGACTCACATTGAATTATCAGGGGCAGGTTCCCCTGATATCTGACACCCAACATGGTCTTTCTTTTTTCCTAAATGCATGTGGGAACCCGATTCCCTTTGGCAGGTGTGGAGAAATGTCATTGGTTTGGTCCACAGAGATGCTTGTTTGACTCCCTGACGACTGGTGAGTAGTCTGTGTATGGTCCAGTTTAACTATGGGTCACACAGAGTATAAAAATTATACTTATCTCTTCTATATTACACTCCAGTTAAAACAGAAAAGGGTTTGAGTGCCCATGGAAAATATGGTCACTCTATTCAGGGCAGTGGGAAAATACTGTCCTTGGTTTCCTGAAAAAGGAACTGTATATGTAAAACTATGGGATCATGTTGGTTCAACATTCTGAGAACTGGTCTCGACAGGGAATTATGTTCCTGTCACTGTTTGGGGTGATAGGGCCTTGGTAAGTGCCATCCTAATACCTTCTCAACCTTCCTCTCCTGCACAGCCTTCATCATCTGATCAGCCTCTCCCTTCAACTACTCCTCCCCTACCTAATGATGCTGACAATTCAATGTCTAACTCTGGTGACTTTGGCTTAACATTACCCCTTACTTATTTTCTTTTCAGGAAGAGCTGGTACTTGAAGCTCCTGCGGCTGCGACTCACACAGCCTGGAACCATAGATATGCTAATTCTTCTCTCTTCAAACCTCCCACATCAGCTAATGGCTCCAGAACCAAACTACAATTTACCTATAATTCTCCAGGCCCTCCCCATCCACTGCAGCCCCTCAACCTACTGTTGTTTCGGTTCCTCAACCAGTCTGCATCATTATGTACCTCTCAATCTTACCTTTTTAAAATAATTTAAGGATGCTGGTACTCAGTATGGCCCTACTTCTTCTTATGTTAAAATGGTACAAACTTTTTGTACTGAGGTCGTTTTACTTCCTTTAGACTCAGACCTTTTGGCAAAAGCTATTCTAACCCCATCTCAGCCTGGTGGTCAGAAGAGGCCCATTTGCAGGCTCAGCTAAATCGGACTAATGGCATTCTAATTACTCAGGCTCAACTCACAGGCTCCGATAGTTTCTCTAATACTTATGCCCAATTAGGCTTTGATGCTCTTACCACAAAACAAGCAACAAAGTTGTGTATGAGAGCTTACAATAAATTACGTGCCCCAGGCCAACCTTCTGCTTCTTTTACTACTGTTAAACAAGCTCAATTGCTTTTATTACCTAATATCATTTTAAACAAAGGAGGTAAGACACGTGGCCCTAGGATGGGCTCTGATGGTGAAAAAGCCGCTTATTGGATTAATGTAATTTCTAAACAATGGCCCACCTACACCATACACATTCAAGTAAAAAAGTTTGAGGGCCTAGTTGATACTGGGGCTGAAATTAATATTCCACATAACTCTTATAGTGCTCCCAGTCAGCATACGATGGAAAACATGGGGTTTGTTCCTGGGCTTGGTCTCAGTCCAAAGCATGAAGGGATTACTAAATCCCTTCCAGTTACTGTAAAAGAAAACAGGGCAGGTTTAGGTTATCCTTTTTAGTGGCAGCCGCTGCCATGCCTCCTGATCCTATCCCTTTACAATGGAAATCTGACACACCTGTTTGGATTCAGCAGTTGCCGCTTTCTAAAGAAAAACTGGAAGATTTAACTCACTTGGTTTCTGAACAGTTACAACTTTAAAATGTGGACCCTTCTCTTCCCCCTTGAAATTCTCCTGTGTTTCTAGTAAAAAAGAAATCAGGCAAGTGGCAGATGGTAACCGATTTAAGGGCCATTAATGCTGTAATTAAACCTATGGGGGCCATCCAACCCAGCATGCCTGCCCCCGCTTTAATACCTAAAAATTGGTCTCTCACAGTTATTGATCTTAAAGATTGCTTTTCATATTGCTTTATGTAAATCAGATTGTGAAAAATTTGCTTTTACTGTACCATCTATCAATAATCAGGAGCCTGCAGTTAATTATCAATGTAAAATACTTCCTCAGGGAATGCTGAATAGCCCTACAATCTACCAGCTTTATGTTGGACAAGTGCTCTCACCAGTTCGAGCCCAATTTCCCCAGGCCTATATTCTTCATTATATTGATAATATTTTAATTGCTGCCCCCACTGATAAAAAATTAATTGACTGTTATCAAATTTTGAGCTGCCATGTTACAGAAGCTGGATTACACATCCCTCAGGATAAAATTCAACAGATCACTCCTGTTCAATATTTAGGAATGGTGGTCAATAAACAATGTACTAAACCTCATAAAGTTCAAAGTAGGAGAGAATCTTTAAAAACTTTAAATGACTCCCAAAAAATTTTGGGTAACATTAATTATTTAAGACCTACTTCAGGCATTCCAACCTGTGAGCTGTCTAACTTGTTTTCTATACTGTGGGGAGATTCCAATCTCTGCCGTCTCAGGACATTGACCCCTGAGGCTTCACTAGAACTGAAATTCGTAGAGGAAAGAATCCAGACCACCCAGTTATCTAGAGTACAGCCGTTTCAGCCTTTTCAGCTTCTGGTTTTCGCTTCATTACACTCCCCTACAGGACGAATAGTTCAACATAATGACTTAGTGGAGTGGTGTTTTCTTCCTCATTCTGTGTCAAAAACTTTGTCTGTTTATCTGGACCAAAAGGCTACTCTAATTGGACAGGCATGGTGTATAATACTTAAAATTTCCAGATTTGAATGGAATTTAATTGTAGTTCCTTTAAATTGGCTCGAAGTTCAAGCCGCCTTTCAACATTCCGTACTGTGGCAAATTCACTTGGCTGATTTCATTGGTGTTATTGACAATCATTATCCAAAGAACAAATTGTTTGATTTTATAAAAATGACGTATTGGGTGGTCCCTCGATTAACCATAGATCAGCCTATTCCTGAGGCTGTTACAGTGTTCACTGATGGCTCCAGTAATGGCAATGCTGGTTATGTAGGTCCTACAGACAAGCTTATTTCTACCTCTTATACCTCTGCTCAAAAGGCAGAGTTAATTGCTGTAATTACTGCCTTAGAGGATTTCCCCAAACCTTTAAATATTGTCTCTGATTCTACTTAATGTGGGAAAGAGGATATGCTTGTGTTTCACCAGGAGATTGTCAAAAACCACAGGGAAAAGATGTCCGTGTCAGAAACTGCCCTCAGACGTGGTGAGATCTGTGCCAACTCCTCAGAAGCAGGCACACCAAATCACAATGGGTCTGATTCAATCCTCCCTGGTGGCAATGGAGACCCATCTAACTAATCCCACTTCTCCTGATTACCTTTCTTTTTCTCTTTACAAACCTGAAAATCTCACCATTTCTATTAGCCTGAAAGTAACATCCCTCTGTTCTTCTCTTCCTCCTTCAGCACTCAATCTCGCTTACTATGGGTTTTATTTAATGATTCTCCTCCTTATACTTTCTGTCTCTCCAGTTTCCTCCCACACTGATTTACCTGCTACACAAAATTATTCTTACTGGGCTTATGTGCCTTTTCCTCCACTTATTCGACCTCTCACCTGGATAGATGCTCCTGCAGAAATCTACACTAACGATAGTGTGTGGATGCCTGGAGCCACAGATGACTGTTGCCCTGCTCAACCAGGAGAAGGCACTGCATTTAATGTTACCATGGGTTATAAATACCCTCCTCTGTGCCTTGGACATGCACCTGGTTGTATCCATCTAGAAACTCAAGTCTGGGCTGCTTATCTTCCGGAGATATCAGCTACAGAGGAACCGGGATATTTGATCTCTGGCCTCTCCCTTTCTCCTTTAAAATAAGGGCCAAGCCTACTCCATCTCATAATTCTATATTTCAGAAAAATGCCTAATAGAATAGACGTTAAAAAATATTGGTCAAATATTAACTACATGAAGAGGAATAATACTGTAGTTAGCAATACAATGTAATAATGGCAGTTTAGTGTTGAGGATAAGGCATTCAGCCAACACAAAGTTGGTTGAACATTAAAAATACTGTTTTCCCAACTCCTGACCATGCTAGGCTCACAGATCTTGCCAAGTTATTTATAGACATTATGACATGCTCATGCCATTTGTCTCATAGGTGATTTGTTTGGCGTTTCATTACAGTCACATTTGTAACTATTACGGACTCTGTTAAGAGTTCCCCTCATCTGTCCATCCACATAGTCCAATCATACACAGATGCTACAATATATGCTCACTCAATCTTATATGATAATAGATATTTACTCTAATGTGCGTCATACAGATGATATATTACACACAACCAAGTTCTTGTTTCTCCACTTTCACCATAATTTCCACAATATGTAATTAAATCTCATATTTCTTTAGTATCCTTAACTACTTCAAAAATGTCAGTCAATGAACTAGCTCAGTCACACACCAGCAGAACCATCCCTCTGAAATCAGTATTGTTCAGATGTCTCTTCTGAATATATGGACACAGCCCAGAAAGAAAAAAAAATTAAACCAAAAATATTTCTGACTGAAAAAGTAGAGGATACGGAACATTGAAAATACTATGGCATGATATTTAAATCAAGTTTTTGTGATTATTCAAACTTTTCTTAGCTGAAGTCTGTGTTTTTATGCTATGTATGCTATTTTTTCATTTGTGGTTTATATATTCATCTCTCAACTTCCTAAATGTTGTTTCCAGAATGCCAAAGTCATAATAATGTTTTAATCTCCAAAACAAATTTCTTATGTAATTATTTCCAAGAGAAGTTTCCTCATTTCCTTACTCTTTTGCAATTTTGGCAATCCTGTATTTCAGATTTTTTTTTTTTACATTATGTGATCATAGTATCATTTATTTAATTAATAATCAGCTCCAAATAGTTCGGAAAAGGATCTTAGGAAAATGGAGAGGCAAAACAACATACAAAAATGCTTTTAAAAGCCAATAACCACCCCTTACCCCCCCAAAAAACTGACAAAATCTAATATATTGAATGATTCTCAATAATATCTGAATGATTTTAAGTATTTGTAGACTGATCATATCATCAGATTATCATGCCAGAAACCGAAAAATAAATAATCTAGCACGGCCAAAGAAAGTAGACAGGCTAAATAAGAATTTTGCATTAGAAGCTGGACTCTATCCAACTTTACCTTCTCTACTAAACTTATCACTGTGCCTTATACACATAGATTAATTTAAAAATGTGTCGGAAGTGTAGCTATTATTTACTCACTTTCTGTCTAGATGATGAACCTTGAATTAGCTGGCTCCTACCATCCGCCATGAGACAGATGATCCATAAAGGCCAAGCACCGATACTCCAGCTCCATCTGTGACAAACTCTCTTGCTTTATTTCTGACATTTCTCCTTTTCTGTTCCAGACTTAAGCAGCTCAGGTAATCTGGCTCTGAATGCCTTTGCAGGTCCCATGTGTGTTCTTTGGACTTGGCAGAAATTAGCTTCAAAGATATCTAAGCCAAGGTTCATATTCTGAAATGAGCTGTCCCAGGTAAGATACTTTTCCTTAGCTCTTACTCTAAAATTTAAACTCTGGCTCTGGTCCAGCTGTATCATCTTAGGTCTACTGAGAGGTTTTATTCAGTACTGAGAGTTGAAATAGGCAAAAAAATACTAAGGAAATGCTGCTGTCCTTCAAGGGCAATTTCCATATGTACTCACCTCAGGACACTTTGATTCTAAAACAGTGGCCCAAAGCCATTTATTTATCCATTATTTCAACAAATATTTGTAGAGTGCTTAGTATGAACCAGACTCATTGGAGACAAACAGGGATGAGATTTTACAGCTTTCCTGCAGAGTACATAATCCAGAATGGGAGTATGTAAACCTATGATGTGCTATTAACTCCTATGTTTATTGAAGAAAAACAAGCAAATTTTCAGTGACCCATTAAAGTAGGTTTCATAGAGAAACGTGAAGAGAGATTAGAGAGAAAAAAAAAACCTCTTCATGCCTTGCTGACTATGGTAAACTTTATAAAATGAACATGTATTACAACTACCATTAGAAAACAAAACAATACATTTACATTTTTCAAATTTTAAAGAATCACTTTCATATTTCTAGGCCAGTTTATCATCAAATCCCCCAAAAAGAGTAACAATAAAAGGGGTAATCACACAGCCTTTCAATCATTCATGAGCTAGTCACATACTTTATAACCTTTAGGTTATATGTCATTTCCTACCCCCAATACAAATTTGAATTTCCCTTTAATTCTCTTGGTTTTTCTCTTAGGCTCATGCTCAAGTATTTTTTAATACAGTCATGGATTTTGTACATCTTTCACAATAAATAAGATGGAGACTTTATATTTAAACTTCTTTTTACAGATGAAGTGTTTAAAACTGGGGCTGAAAAATAAATTAAGGATCTGTCTCAATAGTAAAAAATGACCCCCCTCCCATCTAAGTGCATCCCCTAGTAAAGTACAGATGTATTTTCCTTTCTGAAAGTCAGATATGGAAAATTTAATTTCATGTTAATTTTTTGTAAATTCCTGAGTTTATTTTGTAATTTATCTTTTAAGTGAAAGCAAGTGTATTAGAGAAATAAAGAAACGAAAGAACGGCTGTTCCATAGGCAGAGCAGCCTCAGGTTTGTGTGTGTGTGTGTGTATGTGTGTGTTTTGCTTTTTTTTTAATTTAGAAGTTTGCAGCATTTATTATAGCTTGAAATGGATGAAGACATTTGGGGCACTTTGTATTTTGTCCTCCATTGGGCCAAGGCTTTTCTTGTATCCTTTCTGCCATGGAATTTAAGTAATCAGGAAAATGTGAGAAAGGAAATAAATGAAAAAGATTGGAGCAGAAATACTAACGATAGGATCTGTTTTAAAGCAACACAACATTCTAGCACACCTTTCCACCCCTTGACCAGGATTACTGTAATGACAGCACAGGTACCTGTGAGCACCAGTAGCTATGAGGACATTTTGGACACTGAGATTGCGTTTATATGAACAGTCTTCATTCTAGGACCTGCTTTGATTTCTTAAGGGCTCACACTGCTCTATATGGTGTTGTGTATAGTTAAGTACAGTTGGGTGGCAGTAGGGATACAGAAAATTTTAAATGTAAAAAAAAATTAGGGAGTGAACCTTTTTATTAGATCCTTTTTTTTCTTTATAGAAGAATTCATAGCAGGTTGATTTTCTGTTTAGGCAACATTGGGAAAAGCTATTTCCATTTTATTTATTTAAAAAACGTTGATAAGGCACTTAATCCATGATGGCTCTTACAAATGTTGACTCACTTCTCATAACTACCTTGGGCTTAGCACAAAGAGGTTAAACAATCTGCAGGTGATGCTGTGCAACTAAATGCAGGCAGCCAAGTTGTATTGCCCTGTGTTTGGCTAGGGGTAAGGGCTCTTATGCCTTGAACTGGGCTGCCTAGAGCTCTGCACTCTAGGCAGAGGCCATTCCTTTCTCCTCTCTTCTCTCTGTTTTACTCCATGTCTCAGAGAGGTCTGAAACTGACTTGGAGATTCACACTAAAACCCTCTAAAACCTAATGATGAATCAAAATAAATTCTCTAAAGCTGTAGAAAAAGTGATAGAGGCGTCGGGTTAAAAGGCTGAAATTCACGATCAGAAAGCCACAATGCCTATGTTTCCAGAGAAAGCAGGTCCAACATCAAATACCAGAAAGTCTGATAGTAAATGGAATGTGACTCTATGTGGGACCTGGTGTTCCTATTTCATCTGAATGGATATCTGCTGTTTCAGTGGGAAGAGTGCTTGCACACCAGGTACCCACTCCCCAGTGTCATGTGCTGTGCCGTTGAAAGACAGAGAACCAGAAATAGGCCATGAGGCTGCTGGACCCAGCAAGTCCCTCATGTCATAGATCAAATCTGTGACATATGGGAGTGACAGCCAGTGCCCAGCTTCAGAGTGATAGCCAATCTCATTATGTCATATCAAATCTGAACCTCTCGTACGGGGAGAAGGAGATCTCTAGGGAATTTCGGAAGTCCCAGTATTTCAGAGGGAAGGAAGTTATGCAGGATAGGAAAAAAAGAGGTCATGTTACAGCCTGGGCTTCCACTGAAACTAACACTGGATTCAGCTTTTGACACTGATAATCTGTTGCCACCAAATGGAAAACGTAAACAAGATATTCTATGTGTGATTAGAGAATACGCAACACAAGGAGCAAGCAGAACATTCTTCTCTGGAATCTGACATGATGGCTGCTGTATTTTTACAGGGAGCATTGATTTCAGATATATGTGAAATATGCTAAACCGAAAAGCAGAGACAGAAGAGACAGAGAGAGGTTAGATAGAGAATATGATATCTAGAAGATAGCCAGCTAAGCAAAATCTAGCCTTCTAAGCCCTCCTTAATTCCTCTTAAATCCCCCATCCCAACTCTATTAACTAAGTAGTTATCACTCTTTTAAAGAGTTCGCGCCTCCCCTGTTGTGGTTCTCAGGGATCCGCCCCAGCTCTTAACTCTCCTCCCCGTCCCACGCACTGGGATGGCCCCATGCCCAAAGTCCTTCCCCGCAGGCGGTATTTCCAGCGAGGTGGACTCAATGACCTTCCAGGGATTTGGGGTAGAAAGCGAATATCCCACAGTCGACGGGAGTTACTCTGGAAGGCGAGCCGGGGAGGCTGCACCAGTGGGTAACCAGCCACCGCCCACCACCCACCCACCCCGGGGGTGGGGCCAGCCCTTTTCTTCAGTACTCGGGATAGACCTGGAGCTCCGAGAATTTCCCTGGCCCGGGGGTTCCAGACTTTTCAGCCCCAATCATGCATAAAAAGGGTTCACCGATCTTGGGGAGCCACAGAGCCTGGGCTGCAGGCACCTCCCTGCCAGCTCTCCCGCTCCTCGCACCGCCGCCCGACCTGCCTTCTGAGCCCGGTGAACTGCGCCGCGCCCCCCGCTGTCCCCCGCGCTCCCCGGCTACTGCGGGCGGCGCTGCTGCTCCTGCTCCTGGTAGCCTCCGGCCGGCGAGCGGCAGATGGGTCCCGGCGCCCTGGGGTCTCCGGAGCGGGACACGGCTGGGGTAGCACCCCGCGCCAACAGTCCCGCTCACCCAGCGAGTCTCTTCTTCCCTAGGAGTATGGGTGGCCCATGAACTGCCTTGCCAGTGCTTGCAGACCCTGCAGGGAATTCACCCCAAGAATATCCGAAGTGTGAACGTGAAGTCCCCTGGACCCCACTGCACCCAAACCGAAGTCATATAAGTCCCTCCCCGTGACTTTTTCTTTTCTCAGACCATGAGAATTAAATCTGTAGTCATTTTTCTAATTAGTGGCTGGATCCAAAAGAATAATAAAATATATCTAATCTCCCCCAAGAAAGCCCAAAGGTTACATCCAGGACTTGGTCCCTAGGTTAAGCCCTAAGGTGCTGGGGAGAGTGGAATGCTATCTTCCTAATTATTTACATATCAAAAGAGATGAAGCCCACAGAACCTAAAGACATCAGTAGGACACATAAATTGAAGACCAGAGGGCTCTTAGGTTCCAGGGGAAAGGTATTTACATCCCAAAGAGTTGGAGTTAGGGCTCTAGCTCATTGTGTTTCCATGAAGACCCTTTCAGGAGGGTAGTGGGACAAATTCTTCCTTCTCCTTTACAAGCAGAAGGAATCATCTTTTCCTGTCCTTACCCTATGGAGTGTGTGTCCCAGTGTGTGAGACAATAGATGTGACTTTCACTGCATCAACTCAGGGGGGAGGCCCAAGGCAAGCAGGAAGCTGAACACACTTAATGAGAGGTATTTAGTAGGAAATCTGCCTGGGATCCAGAATCCCCTCTGTGTAAATTTTAAATTTTAAAATGTGGTTAAAAACCAAACATGGACTTCATTAATGATGTATGGAAAGAAGAAAGAAGATGCACTCAGTTCATATGGTGATTAAGAACATAGGCTGTGAATAATTAGATGGATCAGGGAATAGAGTCCAGCTGTAACATCTCTTGTGTGATCTTGAGGTTAAGTTTCTTGATTAAACTTTATTTTCTCATTGTATTAAAAATGCTACACCTTTTTGTAGTTGTTACTAAACTTATGCATTATAATCATTTATGCAAAGAGCTAAGCAGTGCCTGAGAGTTGGTAGTGGCTTTGGAATTTCTGGAACAAAGAGGGAGCAGTTTGATTGAAGATGGGGGCAGTGTATTAGTTTCCTAATGCTGCTGGAACAAATTACCACAAATTTAGTACCTAAAAACAATATAAATTTATTATCTTACTGTTTGGGAGACCAGGAGACAAAAATCAGTTTCACTGAGCTAAAGTCAGTGTCCACAGGCTGGTTTGTTCTGGAGACCCTAGGGGAGAATGTGTTTCTTTTACCTTTCCAGCTTCCGAAGGCTATCTGCATTCCTTGCCTTATAGCTCCCTTTCTGCATCTCCCTACATCTCCATTGCTTAGGTTCTTCACATCTTTCTTTCTGTCCCTTTGTTCTGTCACATTGCCTTCTGTCTAACTCTGACTCCTCCTGCATCTTTTCTATAACAACATTGTGATGATATCTGGCCCACTCAGGATAATTGGGGATAAAATTCTCATCTCAAGATTCTTAATTTCATCATTTCTGCAAAGTCCTTTTTACAATATAAGGCGATGAATTTACTGGTTCTTGGGATTAGGACAATGACATCTTTAGTGGGCCATTATTCAACCTACCACAAGGTTTTGAAAGTCAGTCTTCGAAGCACATTTTGTAGGCTAAAAAGACATGTACATATTATAGAAAAGAAATCTGAAATTGTGGGAGGAACTAAAATGGTACCACCTCTGGCTAGTTTTCAATAAATGCAACTATTGTTAATGTTTCTGAATTAAAGAAAAGAAGACTTAGGTATTTTCTCCACACTGGAGAGCTTCAAACCAAACCAAAAAAGATTCATTACATAACTGGAGGGAAGGCATGAATGACCAGAAGAACAAGAGGAAGGTCTGGGTGGAAAACTTTGAGAGGGTCCCTGGATCAATGTTTATCTTTGGTACTCTAGCCCACTGTCATTTATATCAATGTATTATTGGAGCAAGTCGTAATAGCAAAAGTGAGTACCACATTAAATTCTCTGTGAAAATTTGGAGTGCAAGCAGACCTCCATTTAGGTCATCAAGGTAGCGGGTGGCAGATAGGGTTATTTGAGGGAATGGTCACCAGATGATGAGGGCAGAAAACAGATGTTCTCTGTATTCAAAGATCAGTCTTAGAACAGTGTGACACAGCATGACCTGTGACTTTGAGAGGCAGACAACAATGTCAACAGTACCTGAGACTTTTGGGGCAAATAAACTACAAGAGAAAAAGAGGAATGATGGATGACCCCACTCTGTTATTACGATTCCTTATTTGAGAATTATCCTGAAATCTCCTGTTAGAGATTTCCAGAAACTGGTGGGATGTGAGAGATACAGAGATGGAGCTTCTGCAATAGCCAGTTTGGGCAATGTTTCCTCTGCTGGAATATCAAAGTTATAAGACAGGAGTTCATTTGTACTAGATTTCCCATGAAGACCGAGACAAAGGCTTATGTGGCTATACCAATTCTAAGTCCGCAAGCCCACATCAGGGGCCTTATCTTTAGCTGAGTGTATGGTATCCCTGTGGAAATATTTTATCCTCTGCCTTAAGATTGATAGTGACAGGTGACTGGGTTGTGCCTTTTGCTTTCAATAGTCTGATGGGGAAACATATGATGATCTGGGGAGTGATAAACAGATTAAATGGACCTGGTCTCATAGCAGCAAGTCAGAGCACATAGAAGTCTGCTCTGTGGGCAAGAAACAAATACAAGTCCACCTAATCTACTCCCTGACAGAACTATTCAAATACAAAACAAGAAAGAGAATCAAGATTTTGAACATTAGTCCAGGAGTTTTGCAAAAAATGATGACATGAACCACCAGGCATAGTTGTCTTTGTGCATATTCTAGAACCACAGTTTCCTTCTGCTTCTCAGGATTCTTCTCTGACCCTTCACTATAACCACTGCTGTGTGGACCAGAGGAAAGTTATGGACATCATAGCCAAACATGCTCGGAATAAGCATGGAATAAGTGTGGAATAAAAATCTCTACCACATCTTGTGACCTTGCCAAATGACTTACCTCCTCTGAGTTTGAATTTCCTCATCTGTAAAATAAAAATAACCCTTGTTGGGTTGTTGTAAGGTTTCAAGTTAATTCACAAAAAGTATATAGAATAGTACTGATACAAAGCAATACTCTGCAAATGGTTATTATTAGCACAGTTTATAGTGTCATGAAGGAAAATTTTTTAAAAATCTCAAGACCCCCAAACTCCTTATGCCAAAATGAAAGTTAAGCCTGGAAGCTGAGTCATGCAACACCTTCTTCCAAGTGAATAACTGTTGCTAACATAATGCATTAGCCAGATCTCCACAGAAAGGTAAAAGGTCTCAGGTCTGAAACTAAAGTCTGTTTCAAGTCCACAGATTCCACACTGAGCAGATTACAAGATTATGTTCCCAGATGAAGAACAAAGACAAGAGGAGATTGATCTTTCCCCCACCTCCCCAGAGATGTTTGCATAATTGATTCTTCCTTTACTCTATTTTTTTTCTTCAAACATTCCCCTTATCTTAAGTAAAATGTAGATTTACTGGGCACTAACTAAAGTCTCACAATAATGTAACAATTTGCCATACTGCCTACCTGCCCTTCTTCCTACATGCCTTCCCCCGTTTAAGGAAATGTATAAATACTAAACCTCCTAAAAACGTCTTCAGATGTTTGTCATGTGTGTTTTTCCTGACCACACCTTGTGCACCATTCTTGCATTGTTATAAAGAAATATCAGAGACTGGGTAATTTATAAAGAAAAGACATTAAATTAGCTCACGATGATGATTACACAAGAAGTGTGATGCTGGCATCTACTTTTGGTGAGGAAGCCTCAGGAAGCTTACAATCATGAGCCTCAGGAAGCTTACAATCATGGTAGAAGGCAAAGGGGGACCCAACATACCTCATGGTGAGAGTGGGAGCAAGAAAGAGAGCAAGTGAGAAGATACCACACACTTTTAAACAGCAAAATCTCAGGACAACTCACTCACTTTTGTGAGAAAAGCACCAAGCCATGAAGAATCTACCCCAATGACCCAAACTACTACTCCCACCAGGCCCCACCTCCAACACTGGGGATTGCATTTCAACATGAGATCTGGGGGGACAAGTATCCAAACTATTAACATATCAGTGTCCTAAAGCTGGCTTCATAAATCTTGATTGATTGAGATATTTGCCTCAGTCACTCATTTTGGTTATCAGTACCTGTCAGAATAAGTAATTATTTTTGAGAAGGGAGATACAAGGTAGTTCTAACGGAGTATTTAATGTGATTTAAAAATTTGTATTGTCCTTAGAGCAGCTGGAAGATTATGGTTATGCAGTAAGTTATTTGAAACAAACCTGAGAATCTGATAATCTTGGAATTTAAAGAGTCTAGAATTCATTACAAATTAAATCTATTAAATCTATTATCAATCTGGTATTGGGTCAACATTCTTAAAATAGATACCTGTATTTGAAAACCTAATCACAATCTTTTTGACAAATTCAACAATAACTGCCATTAACTCCTAAATCAGCCTGTGGATGCCACCAAAGAAGCAGCATTAAAGTCTCTCTTCTCCCTGCTGTTACATCTAAGTCAGAGTCTCCTAAAGAACCCGAACAGCTGAGGAAGCTCTTCATTGGAGGGTTGAGCTTTGAAACAACTGATGAGAGCCTAAGGAGCCATTTTGAGCAAAGGAGAACGCTCACGGACTGTGCGGTAATGAGAGATCCAAACACAAAGTGCTCCAAGGGCTTTGGGTTCGTCACATATGCCACTATGGAGGAGGTGGATGCAGCCATGAATGCAAGGCCATGCAAGGAGGATGGAAGAGTTATAAAACCAAAGAGAGCTGTCTAAGGGAAGATTCTCAAAGACCAGGTGCCCACTTATCTGTGAAAAAGATATTTGTTGGTGGCATTAAAGAAGACACTGAAGAACATCACCTAAGAGATTATTTTGAACAGTATGAGAAAATTGAAGTGATTGAAATCATGACTGACTGAGGCAGTGGCAAGAAAAGAGGCTTTGCCTTTGTAACCTTTGACGACCATGACTCCGTGGATAAGACTGTCATTCAGAAATACCACACTGTGAATGGCCACAGCTGTGAAGCTAGGAAAGCCCTGTCAAAGCAAGAGGTGGCTAGTGCTTCCTCTAGCCAAAGAGGCGAAGTGGTTCTGGAAACTTTGGTGGTGGTCATGGAGGTGGTTTCGGTGGAAATGACAACTTTGGTCATGGAGAAAACTTCAGGGGTCATAGTAGCTTTGGTGGCAGCCACGGTGGTAGTGGATATGGTGGCAGTGGGGATGACTATAGTGGATTTGGTAATGATGGAAGCAATTTTGGAGGTGGTGGAAGCTACAATGATTTTGGCAATTACAGCAATCAGTCTTCAAATTTTGGACCCATGAAGGGAGGAAACTTTGGAGGTGGAAGCTCTGACCCCTATGGGGGTGGAGGCCAATACTTGGCCAAACCACAAAACCAAGGTGGCTATGGCGGTTCCAGTAGCAGCAGTAGCTATGGCAATGGCAGAAGATTTTAATTAGGGAACAAAGCTTAGCTGGAGAGGAGAGCCAGAGAAGTGACAGGGAAGCTTCAGGTTATAACAGATTTGTGAACTCAGTCAAGCACAGTGGTGGCAAGGTCTAGCTGCTACAAAGAAGACATGTTTTAGACAAATACTCATGTGTATGGGCAAAAATAGGACTGTATTTGTGACTAACTGTATAACAGGTTATTTTAGTTTCTGTTCTGTGCAAAGTGTAAAGCATTCCAACAAAGGGTTTTAATGTAGATTTTTTTTTGCACCCATGCTGTTGATTGCTAAATGTAATAGTCTGATCATGACGCTGAATAAATGTCTTTTTTTTAAAAAAAATCCTAAATTAATGTGAAGTTAGATAATATTTTTTAAGACACTTTTATCTCATGTTTGTATACTTATTTTCTATTATCATCATGATAGCACTGATAACACACAATTTGATCATTTCTACCTTGTGCATAGAGAATAATGACTCAAAGAGATTAAGATAGTGTCTGATCCTGGCTAACATGGTGAAACTCTGCCTCTATTAAAAATACAAGAAATTAGCCAGGCGTGGTGGCAGGTGCCTGTAGTCCCTTGGGAGACTGAGGCAGGAGGATGGCTTGAAACCGGGAGACGGAGCTTGCAGTGAGCTGAGATTGCTCCATTGCACCCCAGCCTGGGCGACAGAGTGACTCTGTCTCAAAAACAAAACAAAACAAAAGATAGTGTCTGAATAGTGTTTCTGATTCATTGAGTTTTTGCTTGACATAAAGACCAAGAAGTCAGCAATCAGTGGAATGTTAAAAAGTCATTCAATCATATTGTATGTTGAGACTTTTCTTTCATATGCCATTTTCTGTCTCAAAACTTTACCTCTTGGAGTATGCTTCTGTTTGCAATGTCCTTCAGGTTTTTCTCTGTATGCTGAGCTTTTATGCATTTTTTTTGATACAACTCAGTGATATCTTCCACGTGAAAGCAAATGAGATACTCTGATTTTTGAAGCTATGTATAAAGTGGCACTGTATCTACAATTCTATTAATTATTGCTTTAAAGGGTTTGATATGTTGATAAAGGAAAAAATGCATTCAGTATAATGTAACCAAGGTCATTTAACAGAATAATAAACAGAATTTGAGTTCATACTCCATTTTTAGTAATTCAGTTTTAAGAGCTGTGAAGCTGAATATACTGCTCCTGACTGCAATAAGTTAATTTATTCTGAATTCTATTTCCTTAATAGCCTATCAATAGATGGAAGATTCCATTAATACCTTAAATATGATCATTCAAATTGACATAAAATGAAAACATAAGTTAAAGCATATTAATTTCCTGCTTAGTACTAACTTGGATTTTAAAAAGATACAGACTTTTTTATGACAGCACATTTTAAATAATTATTAACTGCAGATGTCATTGGATCCTTCAAAATTGCATAGTTCCACCTCCAGGAAATAAAAAGGCAAACAGTTCATATCTTTATCAACAGATTTATTACATTCTACACTTCCCATTCCTCCCAAATAAAACAAACTGGAAAACTAAATTCTACTTTCTTATTGGCTTGTAACTGACAAACATCACTTTGATAAGTTTCTCCTTTCATTCTTCAACAAAAAGGGAGAAGACAACAAAATTGCTCTTGAGATTGTGGTGGCTGAGAAACACTATAGTCCTGAGTCTACCAAGGTCTGAAATCAGAAATGTCTACTGAGATCTCACATTCTTTGGCTATCTGCCCTTACAAAGTTTGTCCTTTTCTTTCATCCATTTAACATTACATAAAAGAGAAACCAGGTCTAAAGAGATGTTTTTTGGCTTTAAGCAAAACAAAAGCTGTGAAATATCTAAAATTAAACTAGGACATGCATGCAGTTTGTCAAGTGTCAAAGAAGCCCAGATAGAGGCAGAACAAATTTATTTAACTTGAAATTCTGATTAAAGGGTCTGTACTTCTCTTTCTGAAGGGTAAAGGGGAGATGATGGTAGTAATATTATTTCAAGTCAATCTAGGGTGTTTATTTTAATATTAGTTAGCAGATGGAATTATTACATTCAACTGAAATCTTACATCAAATTATACCGATAAATTTTCGCTGGACTCAAGCAGTTCTTTTATACTTATGTAGTTATGGTTTTGATTACAATTACAACCTTAAGGAGTGGATATTTGCTCTTTTATGCCTAACACTATTTCATAGTAGCAGCTCAATAAATTCATATTGATTATGATATTGGCAAATAATTGGTATTCTGTGATTTCTCCATGACTATTTCTATTAATGTTGAATTCTTAATCCAATATTGTGGCCAGCTACATTGATTTGAAATAGTAAATTAAGGGTTAGGCAATATGGCTGTCTTTATCTTCATTCAGATTTTTCTGTACTTACCTCACATAGCTGATGCTTCTGAGAGCTAAGAGTTGCAATATCAATATATTTGGAATATGATTTTTTAAATTTTTTTCTATACTCATTAAAAATGTCCAGTTGATACTTGAAGCTTCTTGCTGTAGCTGAAAAGAAATAATGTAAGTAGGAATTATGAGGGGAAAGTAATAGTCTCTAGTAGTAGTTTTCAGAGATGAAGTTCTTGCAAAATTTACCAGACTAACAATATAGGAGACAAGGGTTTGGGCATTATTCTTACATGGTGAAGGAAAAAAATCACTATCTTCAAGATTCTATTCTAGTAACTTCTTCTTCTTCAAAAAAAAGTATCTGACATTGGAGCATGAGTAAGGCATAAACTGAAATGTGTAGATTGATTTTTGAAGTCAATGAACATCTATAATAAGCAATGACACATACTAGCATTAAAAATACTTTGATAATGCTAGATTATTGGGAAGTCTTTTATATACTTGGACAAAGAACATTCAAAAGTTGCAATATAATGTAGCAGGTTTAAAAAGTTTTTTAAGTTGCACAATATGTCATAGATGTATAAGATTGTATAGAAACATATACTATATAAAAACATGAATAGATGTTTTATATAAATAATATTTAATATTAAAGATTGTATAAAACATGTATATGCATATGTATACTATTTGCATGTGTGCCTATATACATATATACACACAGACAAAGGTTTAGGAAGAGTAACAAAATAAACCACTATGCCCATTTCCATGTTTAAGATATGAACATTAGCAGGATACTGGAAGTACTCTCTGTACCCATTCCAAATCTCATCTTTCTCCTTTCCTGTCACACTCCTTGCACCTTAACCCTTAACTTGAACTCAGTGTCAGTCATTCCCACTTATTGTAGTGCTTAACATCTATAAGTAAAATCCTAAACAATTGATTATTAATTTTATTTGTTTTGAACTTTGGAAAAATGAGCTGATGCTACACAGATATGACCTAATTTTGTCATTTAGGAACTTGTTTGTGAATTTCATATAGGATGATTTATTTCAGTCAATGACTGCTATTACATTTTGTGGCAACACAAATACTTATCTGGTCCACTGCTGTGTGGAAATTTGAGTTGCTTACAGTTTTGCTAATACTAGTAACATAGCTCTCAACATTTTTTGTGCTGAGCCCTGGGTATATAAGTCCTAGAGATACTTTAGGATATATATGTAGGAGTGGAATTACTGGCTCATATGGCATGCATATATTCAACTTTACCAAATCATAAAAAATTATTTTTAAAATGATTGTACTCATTTACCACACCCACTAGCAATTCATGAAAGTTTCTTTCCTCCACTCACTGGCCATCCCTTGAAATTTTCAGACTTCTGAAATTGTTGCTAAATGACTCTATAATGGTATCATATAGTGATTTTAATTTGCTTTTTTCCTTATTATAAATGAAGGTGAATATCTTTTCACATTTATGAACCATTTGTAGTTGGTCCTCTGTGAAACTTCTGTTTCTTTTGTCCACTTGTTCTGTTGTGCTATTAGCCTTTTCATAAAAGCTTTAAAAAATTTTGGATGGTAATCATTTGTCACTTACATATGTGGCACAAAGTTATCTCTGCAGTGTGTTTTAAAGTGAATTTTCTATAATATAATTTTTTCTCTTACGGCTGATCTTTTCTCAGAATCATAAAATATTCTACATTGTCTTCTAAAAATTAAGTAGATTTGTCTTTCTTACTTAGAACTTTAATCTACTCAGAATTGATTTTTCTCTATAATGTGAGGTAGAAGTTTAATTTTATTTTTTATATGATTACAAATTGGTGCAGTATCATGTGTTGAAATGTTAATCATTTTTCAATCTCTGTCATAAATCAAGATTTCTTATATGTGTAGTTTGTTTCTAGACTTTGTTTTTTTCTCATTGGTCAGTATGTCATATCTACATGAGTGCTATACTATCCTAATCACTATATTATTATAAAATTTCTTGATAACTGAAAAGGCAAGTCTCCCAAAATTGTTTTTCTTCTTTAGGAGTCACTGATCTCTTCTCAGTTCTTTGATATACACCTTAGAATTACTTTGTCAATATGTAACTTTTGAATTCAACTTTATTGACTTTATAGATCAGTTTTGGGAGAGACAGTTGATGCAAGTTTAAGATATTAACATTTTATGGTATAGCCCATAAATTAAGGTCTTTAATATTAAAAAATGTTTCTCCTTGTACATTGTTTATCTTGTTTCTAGAGACTTTTGTATTTGGCCACTATTGTAAATAGTGTCTTGAAGACTGTGTTTTCTGGTTTTTGTATCTAATTTTTATACTCATCAGTATTCTAGTAGTGTAAATTATTTTGCATTTTCTACATAGACAATTATGCAATCTACTACTAATGGCAGTTTTTTGTTTTCACCTATTATCAATTTTTATATATTTTTCTAGCCTCACTGTACTGATTAAAATTTTTAGTACATGTTTGAAGGGAAGTGTTGATAGCAGACACTCTTGTTTTGTTCTTAAGAAACTGTCCAAACATTTACCACTAAGTATAATATTTATTTTAGGTTAATATTTATATTATTTTATATATTTTATATAATATTTATATTATTTTAGGTTAATATTTATTTGAGGTTGAGAAAATTACCTGCTATTAATAATTTCTTGAGCTTTCTTTTTATATCATAAATCAACATAGAATTTTATTATTTTTAAATCTTGGAGTTTCCACTCCTAAAGAAAGTTGAGGTGGCCATGTCTGCACTTAATGAGCGTCTAAAGAATCCTGAAAATTCAGGTAGAGCCCTGTAGTCTGTGAATAGCAGTTGAAAACTTCAGCATCAATTTAAATGGGCACTTAAACAGGAACACAGAATACTTTCCTTTTGATTTGGACAATGTATGCTTTCCCCACCTAATTATAAATGATATCTTAATGAGACTCTGAAGGCCAAACAAGCAAAAACTGCCTAAAAAGAGTGTTAGAGATAGAATGCTAAATAATATATAATAAACATTCTATGGGGACAGCTTGGGAGATGCACATGTAGATTACTAAACCTAACACAGAACCTTGTACATAGTAACAAATGTTTTCTGATTTGTTTATTGCTGGAAAAAGTTTTATCATACTTTAAAACAGACATTATTCATAGTCAATGGTAGAAAGTGTGGTAGTGCACACAGAACATTGTATTCTAAATATATAGTTAGAGTAATATTTGACACAAGTTTATTTTGAAATACATGTATTTTACAGTTGTTAAAAACAATAAATAATATTAAATCACCTTAGAATTTTATAAGAACCATTTATTAACAGGTGGTATCCCCAGTTTTAATTATCAAAATAGTCTCCTTTCCAGAATCACATTGAAAGATGAAAAATTAGTTTTCCTGAGGCTCTTAAGGATGTATGAGTGATGATCATTACCAAAAAGATTAATGATAAGTACAGTACATGTCAAAATGTCTTGATAATAATTTTTTTCTTTTAACTAGATTGACATTTAAACAAAAGCTCTGTTGTAGATTTAAATGAATTGAATCCATACTTATTACATAACGAGGTAGGATATTCAAAGTGACCTATGCTATAATTATCCTTACTATACATATATATGACAACAATGGTTGTATGTTGTCTTATACAGATCAAACATAGGCCTATTAACTTAAAGAAATTTTTTCCAAAATCTTTGGTGGAAATTCTGTATCTCCAATATAGTGTTGCCAGAAGCTCACCTCCAGGCAGAGTCAACAAATCATTGGGTAGAAATGAGATAACAAGAGAAAACTCTGGAACAAAGATTGAAGTGTAAGTAAGTACTTGGGAGGTGCAAGGAAGGCCAGCAGGGAAGTAGATGGGAATAATATAAAGATGGGAATGCCACTAATAAAAGTGCACTAGTAAGCTAGCTGCCCTGCCACTGTGGGCCATCAGCTGAGCTCCTGCAGCAGGTCTTGTCGGAGGAAAATCTGAGTGAAGTGCCTTCATGGCTGCCAGAGACAACAAGTCTCATATTTGGGAATCTCAACAAACTACATACAGAACAAATAAAAACAATTCAACACCTTGTCTCCTCATAGTAAAACATCAGAATACAGAGGACAAGGAGAAGATCTTAAATTAATGTAATCTGCTATGGGTGAGTGCTCTAGGGAAGAGGTGTGGACAAAGCCAGTTCATCCAGTCTTTGGATAGTATATTTAATAACATTATTTGTGCTTTACAAAACTGAATTGATTTGGATTTTTTAATAAAATAAATGCAAATAACATGTCTTTTCAGAGCTTATTTAGTCTAGTCTCACACCGCTAATTAAAGACATACCTGAGACTGGATAATTTGTAAAGGAAAGAGGTTTAATTGACCCACAGTTCAGCATAGCTGGGGTGGCCTCAGGAACTTACAATCTTGGTGGAAGGGGAAGCAAACATGTCCTTCACATGGTGGTGTCAAGAAGAAATGCCAAGCAAAAGGGGGAAAGCCCTTATAAAATCATCAGCTCTCCTGAGAACTCACTCACTCTCAAGAAAACAGCAGCATGGAACCATAATTCAATTACTTCCCACCAGGTCCCTTCCATGACACATGGGGATTATGTGAATTACAATTCAAGATGAGATTCGAGTGGGGACACAACCAAACTACATCAGTCAGAAACCCCATTTTGAGATGATGTTTATATTTCCAGAGGACTAGAGTGAGAGCAAGGGTTAGTAGTTTATCCATTGATTTATTTTGGAGTTTCCCCTCCTTCTTGTGGTCTAATTCTATATACCTAATGACTATCAGTTCTAACATTATCTCACCATGATTTCAAAAACTTAAACTCAAGAGAATATTCACCATATAACATCCTAGACACACTGAGAAATATTATGCCTGTATCATCCTTAGCAATGATCTCCTCCTATTTGTGTGGCATTGTAGGAAGCCTGTACATAATTAATAGTTAAAATGCAGATGCAGACATGTTCAATTCACAGATCAGAACTTTGTTAGCTAGGTGACTTTGATCAAGTTATTTAACTGCTTATAATTTAGGTTTCCTCATTGCTTCTCTGTGAAATTGTATGCCCTAGTTAGATCAGATCACTACTTGGTTCCCTGAAATGACTATTTTCTGTTTTGGCTTGGGGCCTTCCACATGCCATTCCCTGTAATTGGAAAATGTTTTACCTCCTCTCCAACACTTAGCCCGTTCATCTGGCTTATTTTTACTGAATCTTCAGCTCTTAATTTGTAAATCACTTCCTTCAAGAGACATTTCCTGAGCCCTTCAAGTATTCATTAGCTAATGAAGCATCATAATAACAATTATCTCATTTTTACTATGATGTGCTAGTAAAAGGAAATGAAAAAAGAGAAATCAACTAGCCTGCTCAAGGTTATAAAACCTGTTAATGGCAGAACCAAGCCATGATGCCAGGATTGTTATCTCCGTTCTCTTCCATTATTTCTATCTCAGTTATCAGTACTTAGCTCCACCCTGGCTACACTCAGCCTCTATGGAATGTTGAGACATAAAGCCCCCAGAAAGAGACCCTCTGTGTATGCCTGGGTGAAGCACATTTCTTCCCCATGAAACTAACGTGAAGAAATTCATCAGGCCATCTAAGACATCCTGATGCTGATCCTTGCCAGCAGCTCTGACAGCTTCCCTTTACTGGAACATCAGCTACTATAATGTTAATCTGGACCAATGCCTGTCTGCTCCACTTTCTTCTTGCTGCCAATGTTAACATGCAACCACTGTAATTTAGTTAGCTCTCCCTAAAGTTCACATGGGGAGCCTACTCTTCCTCTGTATTTCCATTTTGCTTTATAAACAATTCACTCAGCTGCCTAAGCCAGGGAGGAACCTAAGTTTCATCATAGATTGAGCCTGTCTCTCTTTTCTGCTCCAGCTAGAACTCCACCTGGGCTTTAGATCCTGCCATTTTGTCCTTTTAACAACTCTCATGACTCTTCCTCTCCCTTCCCCATGCAATTGCCTTAAATCTGGCATTCACCTGACTATTGATATAACTTCTTAACAAGTCTCCCTAGTTCCAGTCATCTGTATCCTTCGATCAATACTTTTTTAACTTTTATTTTAAATTCAGGGGTGTATGTACGGGTTTGTTAAGTAGGTCAACTTATTTCATGGGGGGTTGTTGTACAGATTATTTCATCACCCAGGTATAAAGCCTAGTACCTGTCAGTTATTTTTCCTGATCCTCTTCCCCCTCCCACCCTCCACCCTCCTTGAGGACCCAGTGTGTGTTGTTCCTCTTCATGTGTTCATGTGTTCTCATCGTTTAGCTCCCACTTACAAGTGAGAACATGTGGTATTTGGTTTTCTGTTCCTGTGTTAGTTTGATAACAAAAATGGCCTCCAGTTCCTTCCACATCCCTTCAAAGGACACGATCTCATTCTTTGTTATGGCTGCATAGTATTCCATAGTGTGTATGTACCACACTTTTTTTATCCAGTCTATTATTGATGGCAGTTTAGGTTGATTCCATGTCTTTGTTATTGTGAATAGCACTGCAATGAACATATGCATTCCTGTGTCTTTATAACCGAACGATTTATATTTCTTTGGGTGTATATTCAATAACGGGATTGCTGGGTTGAATGGTATTTCTGTCTTTAGGACTTTGATGAATTGCCACAGTGTCTTTCACATGCCAGGACTGGTATCCATTTTCTTCCATTATTTCTGTCTCAGTAGTACCTAGTTCCACCCTGGTTACACTCAGCCTCTATGGAATGCTGAGACATAAAGCCTCCAGAAAGACATCCCCTTTGTGTGCCTGGGTGAAGCACATTTCTTTCCCATGGCACACTAATTAATCAGGCCATCTAAGACATCCTGACTGCTGCTCCTTGCTAGCAGTGTATAAGCATTTATACATGAAAGTATAATTTACACCCCCACCAACAGCGTATAAGCATTCCCTTTTCTCCACAACATCACCAGCATCTGTTATTTTTTGACTTTTCAAGAATAATCATTCTGATGGTGTGAGAAAGTATCTCATTGTGGTTTTGATTTGCATTTCTCTAATGGTCAGTGATGTTCAGCTTTTTTTTCATGTGATTGTTGGCCACATGTATGCCTTGTTTTGAAAAGTGTTCACGTCCTTTGCCCATTTTTTAAGGGAGTTGTTACTTTTTTGTAAATATGTTTAAGTTCCTTATAGATACTGGATATTAGACCTTTATCCAATGCATAGTTTGCAGAAACATTCTCTCATTCTGTATGTTGTTTGTTTATTCTGTTCATAGTTTCTTTTGCTGTGCAGAAGCTCTTTATTTTAGTTAGATGCTATTTGTTGATTTTTGCTTTGGGTGCAATTGCTTTTGGCATTTTTATCATGAAATCTTTGCTCATGTCTATGTCCTGAATGGTATTGCCTAGGTTGTCTTCCAAGGTTTTATAGTTTGGGGTTTTACATTTAAGTCTTCAATCTATCTTGAGTTAATTTTTGTATATGGTATAAGGAAGTAGTCCAGTTTCAATGTGCTGCATATGGCTAGTCAGTTATCCCAGCGCCATTTATTAAATAGGGAATCCTTTTCACATTGATTGCTCTTGTCAAGTTTGTCAAAGATCAGGTGGTTATAAGTGTATAATCTTATTTCTGGGTTCTCTATTCTGTTCAATTGGTCTATGTGTCTGTTTTTGTACCAGTACTCTGCTGTTTTGGTTTCTGCAGCCTTGTAACATAGTTTGAAGTCAAGTACCATGATGCCTTCCATTTCATTCTCTTTGCTTACAATTGCTTTGGCAATTTCAGCTCTCTTTTGGTTTCATATCTATTTTAAAATAATTTTTTCTAGCTCTGTGAGAATGTCAATGATAGTTTAATAGGAATAGCATTGAATCTATAAATTGTTTTGGGCAATATGGCCATTTTAACGGTATTCCTTTTTCCTATCATTAGCATGCAATGTTTTTCCATTTGTGCCATCTCTGATTTCCTTGAGCAGTGGCTAGTAGCTCTTCTTGTAGAGAGTTTTCACTTTTCTAATTAGCTGCATTCTTAGGTATTTTATTCTTTTTGTGGCAACTGTGAATGGGAGTTTCTTTCTGATTTGGCTATTGGCTTGATTGTTGTTGGTGTATAAGAGCGCTAGTGACTTTTTCACATTGATTTTGTATCCTGAGATGTTGCAGGAGTTGTTTATCAGCTTAAGAAACTTTTGGGAAGAGACTATGGGTTTTTCTAGATATAAGATCATGTTATCTGCAAGTGGGCATAATTTGACTTCCTCCCTTCCCATTTGGATGCCCTTTATTTTTTTCTCTTGCCCAGTTGCCCTGGCCAGGACGTTCAATACTATGTTGAATAGGAGTGGTGAGGGACAGCACCCTTCTCCTGTGCCTGTGCCAGTGTTCAAGGGGAATGCTTCCAGCTTTTGTCCATTCAGTGTGATATTGACTGTGGGTTTGTCATATATGGCTCTGATTATTTTGAGATATGTTCCTTCAATACCTAGTTTATTGAGAGTTTTTAACAAGAATGGATGTTGAATTTTATCGGAAGCCTTCTCTGCTTCTATTGAGATAATCATGTGGTTTTTGTCTTTAGTTCTGTTTATATTATAAATCACATTTATTGATTTGCATATGTTGAACCAACCTTGCATACCAAGGATAGAGCCTAATTGGTCGTGGTGGATAAGCTCTTTGTTGTGCTGCTAGATTCAATTTGCCGGTATTTTGTTGAGAACATTTGCATCAATGTTCATCAAGGATATTGGCATAAAGTTTTCTTTTTTTTTTTTCTTGTATCTCTGTCAGGCTTTGGTGTCAGGATGATGCTGGCCTCATAGAATGAGTTAGAGAGAAGTCCCTTCTCCTCAATTGTTAGGAATCGTTTCAGTAGGAATGGTACCAGCTCTTCTTTACATGTGGTCAAATTAGTTGTAAATCCATTTGGTCCTGGGGTTTTTTTAGTTGGTATTCTATTTATTACTGTCTCAATTTCAGAGCCCAGTATTGGTCTGTTCAGGGATTCAGTTTCTTCCTGGTTCAGTCTTGGTGTATGTGTCCAATAATTTATCTATTTCTTTTAGATTTTCTAGTTTATGTGCATAAAGATGTTCATAATATTCTCTGATAGTTGTTTGTATTTCTGGGAGGTCAGTGGTAATATCCCCTTTGTCATTTCTGACTGTGGGTATTTGAATCTTCCCTCTTTTCTTCTTTATTAGTCTAGCTAGCAGTCTATATACTTTATTAATTTTGTCAAAAAATACAGCTTCTGGATTTGTTGATCTTCTGAATGGTTTTTCATGCCTCAATCTCCTTCAGTTCAGCTCTGATTTTGGTTATTTTTTGTCTTCTGCTAGCTTTGGGACTGATTTACATTTGGTTCTCTAGGTTTTTTAGTTGTGATTTTAGGTTGCTAACTTGAGATCTTTCTAACTTTTTGATGTGGGCATTTGGTGCTGTTACTTTCCCTCTTAACACTGCCTTAGCTGTGTCCCAGACATTCTGATTTGTTGAATCTTTGTTCGCAGTAGTTTCAATGAATTTCTTGATTTCTGTCTTAATTTTACAATTTACTCAAAAGTCATTCAGGGGCACGTTTTTCATTTTCCTTGTAATCGTTATGAGTGAATTTCTTAGTCTTGATTTCTAATTTAATTGTGTTGTGTTCTGAGTGACTCTTTGTTATGACTTCAGTTCTTACTTCCAATTATCTGATCAGTTTTACAGTATGTGCCACGTGGCAATGAGAAAAATGTATATTCTGTTGCTTTGGGGTGGACAGTTCTGTAGGTATCTATCAGGTCCATTTGATTCAGTGCTGGGTTTAGGTCCTGAATAGCTTTGCTAATTTTTTCTCAATGATCTGTCTAATATTGTCAGTGGAGTATTAACGTCTCCCACTATTATTGTGTGGAAGTCTAAGTCTCTTTGAAGGTCTCTAACAACTTGCTTTATGAGTCTGGGTGCTCTTGTGTTCAGTGCATCTATCTTTAGAATAGTTATATCTACTTGTTAAATTGAACCCTTTACTATTTTGTAATGCCCTTGTCTTTTTTGACCTTTGTTGGTTTAAAGTCTGTTTTATCAGAAACTAGGATTGCAACCCCTGCTTTTTTCTGTTTTCCATTTGCTTGGCAGATTTTTCCTCTATGCCTTTATTTTGAGCCTATGTGTGTTATCAGATGTGAGATCAGTCTCTTGAAGATAGCATACCAAAAGGTCTTGGTTCTTTATCCAGTTTGCCACTCTGTGTCTTTTAATTGGGACATTTAGACAATTTATATTTAAGGTTAGTATTGATATGTTTGGATTTGATCCTGTCATCATGATGTTAGCTGGTTATTTTGCAGACTTATTTATGTGGTTGCTTTATAGAAAATGCCTCAGCATTTGCTTGTCTGAAAAAGACATTATTTCTCTTTTGCTTATGAAGCTTAGTTTGGCTGGATATGAATTTCTGGGTTAGAATTTCTTTTCTTTAAAAGTGTTGATTATTGCCCCCCAATCTTATTCACTGCAAAGTGATTCCATTAAAACACAAACCTAATTAGGTTACCTTTCTGCCTTGGGAGTCTTCAATGGTTCTGTATCATCTACAGCAAATACCACTGGGCATGAGTAACGTATTAGTTTGCTTGATAACAAAGTACCACACACTGAGTGACTTAAAAACATAAATTTATTTTCATACAATTCTGGAGGCTAGAAGTCAAAGATCAAGGTGTCAGCTGAGTTTTTTTTTCCCAAACATTTCTAGACATTAAGAGAGTATATACATGGTTATAAAAAGTCACTTAGTCTGGAGTATATTGAAATCAAATTTATTTGTATATGATAGATTCAAAATATGTAATATATAAAATATCATAAATAAGTCCAAGAAGAAATATATAAATATTTCATTAGAAAATTTTAACATATATTTTTAAATAATTGATAATTTATGCAGAAAAGACATTAAGATACAGACTATTAAAAAGCACAATTAATACATTCCATGCAATGGATATATCTGTATATATGTTTTTACATATATATCGATATATATGTATATATGTATATACATGTATCGATACATATACACATATATATCGATATATATACACATATACATATATATGTAAAAACATATATACATGATATATATATCAATATATGTAAAAACATATATACATGATATATATATCAATATATACATATCCATTGCATGAAATGTATTAATTGTGCTTTTTATGTATATGTATGTATATTAATATATATCTCCACATACTCAATTTTCAATAGCTACAGAGTATATTCTTTTCTTAAAAAAGCCCACTTTATTGAGGTGTAACTGATATACAAAAAGAAAAATAACAAACAGTTAAGGAGGAAATTTTTGGAAGTAATGGATAGGTTCATGGCAAAGATTATGGTGATAGTTTCAGAGAACATAGTATTTTCAAGAAGACATGGACCATTTATGAAAGCTGACCACATATTTAGATAGAAGGCAAGACTCAAAAATACTTTTCGATGTTTGTTGTGATACACACAATGATCTGTGATTATTGTGTGAATAAGTTAGGTATCAACCACAAAACTGTACTTTAGAAAAAAACTCAACAATACTGAAAGCAACATATATTTGGAAATTAATAAAATCACTTCTAAATAACTCAAAAATCAGAAAATCAGAAAATACATAAAAACTTATTAGAAAATATATAGAATCAACTGATAATTTTGCCGTATGTTGAACACATGAGACCTAGGTAATGTAGGGACATTTACAGCTTTAAAATGCTATGCTAGAAAATGAACTTAAAATATCTAAATTAAATAAAAAGACAAAGAGAAGGAACTAGATATAAGAGTAGAAATTTATGAAATTGGAAACACACATTCAATAGAAAGGATCACCAAAACCAAGAGTTGGTTGTTGAATAGATTTTGGTGTGATTGGTCAAGACTGCAGACATTACAAAGTTAACAAGAAGATGTTATCATTTGGTGGCGATTAATGTGAAAATAGGTAAAATGGACAAATTTGTAGAAACATATAACAGTAAATTAAAGAGGAAATATTATATTTAAATAAACCTGTAACCTTTAATAAAGTTGAATTAATACTTACAATATTTCCTACCCAAGAAATGCACAAAACCAGCCATTTTTAATAGGGAAGTCTACCAAATATTCAGGAAAAAAAATTCAAACTTACAGAAATTATTTCACAGTGTCAAAATTTAGATCCCTTTCTGACTTACTACATAAGGCTGACATATTCCTGATAATAAAACCTGACAAGAGCTATTTCTGAAAGGAATTTTTCAGGTGAATCACAATATGACTATAAATGTAAAAGTTCTTTAAAAATAAAGGATTAGAAAACTGAAAATTAGAAGTTTAAAAAATACATCAAGGGATACAAGATTGACTCAATATAGGAAAGTCAATCAATATAATTCACTAAGTTGAAATGTCAATGAAAAAATATAAGAACTCGTTAAATATTCAATATAATTATCAGGGTTTATTTTACTACATAGTATATATAATACTTCTCAATGGTAAAAATCAGCTATTACAATATGATGCCATTTTGCAAAAATATGTTTATTGAAAAGTAATATGATCTAGGAATGGAAGCCAAAATTCTAATTCTAGGATTTGATAAATAGGACTTTTCTAAGTCTGTCACAAGGTGGCCCCAAATCCATATTCTTCATGGCTCTGCATTTGTGGAAAATGAATCAAACAGCAAAAAGAAGGTAATACAGCAAAAATCTAAGGTAATAATAATCCAGTGTATACATAGCCCACTTAATAATCAATTGTCCACTTGGCTAAAAGAAGAGAGAAAAGCAATCTTATTACATTTGAAATGAGGAAGGAAGCTGATAAATGCATCAAGGCATTTTTCTTCAAGATTAGTCTCAACAAAAGTAATAAATAATCCTTTTGACATTCAGTATTTCGATGAGCACACAGGCTAGTAATATGCAGGCTTGGCTGAGAAAAATCTGTGATCTTTACCTTTTCCCTCTTTTCTATTAACAATTATTTAGTTTTTGACCTTGCCTGAGTACTTGTAAAACAGTTTCAGAACTGTCTTCTTTTTTCTGTTCTACTTGCCATACAAAGAAAAACTGTAGATTATAAATCATGTAAGATCCTGTCAGGAAAGCCTCTGATTAAAAGTCTTATACAAAATCATGACTAATTAATTCATTTCTTCTTCCTTCCTCTTATCTCAGAATCCTTGAAGTCTTAAGATGGCACCACAAAAATTTCTTTTCAGACAGTGAGAAATTCTTTCAAGGCTGGGTAACACAATGCTAGAAAAAATGCCTGGCTATTGACTGCAACTGATAGACAATATTTGAATAAATAGTAAAACAATTAGTACAGAAGATTGATATTTTAGTTTAACTTAATTGTGGTATAGCTTGGACAAGTCACTTCAAGATAATAATATTTTATTCTTGTGGTTTTTTGAGAATTAAGTGAGATAGCAGGTACGGTTCTGAATACTGTTCCTGGCACATGGAAGAAACTTAATGCTACTTTTGGCCATTGTCAATGCTTTCATTCAGAATACAATGGAATAATGAAAATAATTACTTGTCAATGGAAAGAGCTAAACATATCCCTGCTTATATTCTCAACTGATTCTGAATTGGGCTTCATATACCAGCTCTAAATGGTATCTTCCAAATCTGTTTGTTTTTGTGAAGGAAAGGGTAGTCAGAAGTGATAGACAGCCTGACTTATCTTGAAACAGCACAGCCTGGAATTTAGTAGGGTGTTCTGAGTATACCTTAGCAAAAAATATAGAAAACTATGATTTTTGAGTGAGTTCATAGATTTTTAAAAGTAAATGAGAGAGGCTTGATTTGATTGTGCACTGTCTACTATGAATTTTATATTTGTCTCAGGGAAAGGAAGCAGAAATGGCACAATTGTTGAACTTAGTAATCTTCAAAAAAGTCTCTTCTGCTTCTGCCTGGTAAATAAGAAGGTAAAGGGCCGGGCGCGGTGGCTCACGCCTGTAATCCCAGCACTTTGGGAGGCCGAGGCGGGTGGATCATGAGATCAGGAGATCGAGACCATCCTGGCTAACAAGGTGAAACCCCGTCTCTACTAAAAATACAAAAAATTAGCCGGGCGCGGTGGCGGGCGCCTGTAGTCCCAGCTACTCGGGAGGCTGAGGCAGGAGAATGGCGTGAACCCGGGACGCGGAGCTTGCAGTGAGCCGAGATTGCGCCACTGCAGTCCGCAGTCCGGCCTGGGCGACAGAGCGAGACTCCGTCTCAAAAAAAAAAAAAAAAAAAAAAAAAAAAGAAGGTAAAATTAGACAATCTAATTGTAGTGTAGATAAATCACAATTCATAATCAATTCTGACTCATTATGCTCAGAATTTCCAGCACATTATTTAGCACAAATTATTAAGATTCTATTGCCTATTCATTTATGGCAAGGATTTTTACAACTAGCCATCAAGACCAAGGTCTTAGACAACATTTGTAACACTAAATGTAGAATGCAGGTCTCCATGCATTTTAAAGAAAAATGTTTAATGCTTATTTTCCAAGATAAATGTGTTATTAAGACATGGAAACATTCATCAAGAATGTTGTTTATAACTGAAACATTTCAAGGTGGATCCAAATGCAGTATTTATACCTGACCTTTTGAAACTTGCCAAAAGCTACATTATACTTTTAAAGACTAAAGATTGAAAAAAGAGTGCCAAAAGTGATTAGTTATATACGTACATACACACATACATACCATGCATACCAATATACATATACACTAGATACTCTGCTAAATAATTTTTATATATTATTGCATC